>NC_000014.9:93361713-94611713 GCF_000001405.40 Homo sapiens
GACTTCCAGTAATGTGTTGAATAGGAGTGGTGGGAGTGGGCATCCTTGTCTTATTCTGGTTCTCAAGGGGAATGCTTCAAGCTTTTACACATTCAGTGTGATGATGGCTGTAGGTTAGTCATAGTTGGCTGTAATTATTTTGAGGTATGTTCCTTCAATACCTAGTTTGTTGAGGATATTTAACATGAAGGGGTGTTGAATTTTATCAAAAGCCTTTTTTGAGTCTATTGGGATGATCTTGTGGTTTTTTAGTTCTGTTCATGTGATGAAAACATTTATTCACTTGTGTATGTTGAACCAACCTTGCATCTCAGGAATAAAACCTACATAATCACGATGGATTTGCTTTTTGGGTGTGCTGCTAGATTTGGTTTGGTAGTATTTGGTGGAGGATTTTTGAATCTCTGTTCATCAGGCATATCTGCCTGGAATTGTCTTTTTTCATCGTGTCTCACCAGGTTTTGGTATCAGAATGATGCTGGCCTCAGAATGAGTTAGTGAGGGGTGCTTCTTTGTCATTTTTTTTGAAATAGTTTCAGTAGGACTAGTACCAGTTCTTCTTTATATGTCTGGTATAATTCAGCTATGAATCCATCTGGTCCAGGGATTCTTATGGTTGGTAGGTTTTTTATTACTGATTAAGGTTTTTTTTTGAAACAGAGTCTCATTCTGTCACCCAGGCTGGAGTGCAATGGCGCTATCTTGGCTCACTGCAACCTCCACCTCCCGGGTTCCAGCGATTTTCCTGCCTCAGCCTCCCAAGTAGCTAGGATTACAGGTGTGTGCCACCATGCCCGGCTAAATTTTGTATTTTTAGTAGAAATGGGGTTTTACCATGTTGGCCAGGCTAGTCTCCAACTCCTGACTTCAGGTGATCTCCTGCCTCGGCCTCCCAAAGTGCTGGGATTACAGATGTTAGCCACTGTGCCAGACCCTGATTCAGTTTTGAAGCTTGTTTTTGGTTTGTTCAGGGTTCCAATTTATTCCTGGCTCAGTATTGGGAGGTTGTCTGTTTCCAGGAATTTATCAACTTTTTTCTAGGTTTTCTAGTTTGTGTTCACAGAAGTGTTTGTAATAGTTTCTGAGAGATTTTGTTTTTCTTTGAGTTGGTGGTGGTGTCCCTTTTGTTATTTCTGCTTGGGTTTATTTAGGTCTTCTGTTTTTTTCTTTATTTTTCTAGTTAGTGGTCTATCAATCATATTCTTTCAAAGAATAAACTTTTGGTTTTTATGGCTTTTTGTGTCTCAGTTTTGTTCAGCCTAGCTCTAATATGATTATTTTCTTTTACTAGCTTTGGGGTTGGTTTCCTTTTGTTTTTCTAGTTCCTCTAAGTGTGATGTTGGGTTGTTAATATGAGCTCTTTCTAACTTTTTGACGTGGGTATTTAGCACTATAAACTTTCTTCTTAACACTGCTTTAGCTGTGTCCCAAATATTATAGTATGTTGTATCTTTGTTTTCATCAGTTTCAAGGAATTTCTTGATTTCTGCCTTAATTTCATTGTTTACCCAAAAGTCATTCAGGAGGAGATTGTTTAATTTTCGTGTAATTATATGATTTTTGAGAGCTCTTGGTATTGATTTCTATTTTTATTGTGCTGTAGCTTGAGAGCGTAATTGTTAAGATTTTGGTTTTTAAAAAATTTATTGGGAATTGCTTAATCTCTGATTGTGTGGTTGGGTTTAAAGTATGTGCCATGTGCCTCTGGGAAGAATGCATATACTGTTGTTGTTGGGTGGAGTGTTCTGGGGATTTCTGTTAGGTCCGTTTGGTCAAGTGTTGAGTTTAGGTCCCAAACATCTTTGTTAGTTTTCTGCTTTGAAGATTTGTTTAATCCTATCAGTGAAGTATTGAAGTCTCCCACTGTTATTGTGTGGTTATCTAAGAGTCTTTATAGGTCTCTAAGAACTTGTTTTATGAATCTGGGTGCTCCAGTGTTGGGTGAACATATATTTAGGATAGTTAGGTCTTCCTGTTGAATTGAACACTTTATATCACTATGTAATGCCTTTCTTTTTTTTTTGAGATGGAGTCTCACTCTGTTGCCCAGGCTGGAGTGCAGTGGTGCAATCTGGGCTCACTGCAAGCTCTGCCTCCCAGGTTCATGCCATTCTCCTGCCTCAGCCTCCCAAGTAGCTGGGACTACAGGCGCCTGCCACCACACCCAGCTAATTTTTTTTGTATTTTTAGTAGAGACAGGGTTTCACCTTGTTAGCCAGGATGGTCTCGATCTTCTGACCTCGTGATCTACCTGCCTTGGCCTCCCAAAGTGCTGGGATTACAGACATGAGCCACTGCGCCCGGCCTATGTAATGCCTTTCTTTGTCCTTTTTGATCATGTTGGTTTAAAGTCTGTTTTATCTGAAATAAGAGACCCCTGCACACCAAAACCTTTTTAGTTGAAGTATAACACAGGTATACAAGTTCTAAGTGTATGGCTGAATGAATTTCACAAAGTTAGTATACCCATGCAACCAGCTCCCAGAGCAAGAAACAGAACATTACCAAGACCCAAAAAGACCTTCTTGTGCCCTCTTCTATTCATTAGCCCCCTAAAGATAACCCCAATCATGACTTCTAACAGCATAGATTAGTTTTGCCTGTTTGAACTTTAATATAAATATAGTGCTATAGAGTGTACTATTACCTCTGACTTGCTTTGCTCAATGTTATATATGTGAGATTTATCCATATTGTAGTTTAGGTTTTATTTTAATTTATTGTAGGTGGAGAGATTAGATCAAGAAGGTGGCACATATGTTCCACCTCCAAACAAATCTGGAGAAAAACATAGCTCAGTAGTCACAGTAGAAGGGTGTTTTAGATGTGGGAAATTCCAGGCTCAGTTTCAACATATACAAGGAATAGAAAAGGGGCCTGGGATAATCGTCAGTGGGATTGTTAAGGGAACTATACTTAGCTATTTAGCATGTCAAACCCTCTCCCATCTCAGTTTGTGGCACTGGCTTAAAAAAATAACTTTATTGAGATATAATTTACATATCATTCAATTCACTAGCATTGGCTTATTGACTAATGTTGTAAATGTGGATACTGGGGCCTAAAGGTCCTGGGATTTTTTTCCAGGTAGTTGCTACTGCCCTTTAGAAAAAAATGGAAAGCTTTTACAACTATAATAGGTGCCACATGTCCTGCCCCTCCTCCTATATTTACCAGAATCAGGTCACAGTAAAAATAAACAGAAGGACAGAAATTCTCAAGTACAGAAGTGCTCAGGGCTGGGTGCAATGGCTCATGACTATAATCTCAACACTTTGAGAGGCTGAGGAGGGAAGATTGCTTGAGACCAGGAGTTTGAGACCAGCTTGGGCAACATAGGGAGACCCTATCTCTACAAAAAAAAACCTTTTAATTAAAAAAATGTTATCAGGCCAGGCATGGTGACTCACGCCTGTAATCCCAGCACTTTGGGAGGCCGAGGTGGGTGGATCACTTGAAGTGAGGACTGTGAGACCAGCCTGGCCAACATGGTGAAACCCTGTCTATACTAAAAATACAAAAATTAGCGGGTTGTGGTGGCAGGTGCCTATAATCCCAGCTACTTGAAGGCTGAGGCAGGAGAATCACTAGAACCTGGGAGGCGGAGGTTGGCGTGAGCCGAGATTGTGCCACTGCACTCCAGCCTGGGTGACACAGTGATACTCCATCTCAAAAAAAAAAAAAAAAAAAATGTGATCAGACTACCAAATTTCACCAAATACTTGAGGAAAATCAATACCATAAAAAAGAAGTACCAAACTCAAGAAATAGAACTAATACTGAGAACTCAGAGTTAACATGGCAAGCAGAGAACGATTTTTAAAGCAAACATATTCTCATAGATTTGACAATGGAACATCCTTGACTATGAAGCAGAGATCTTGAATATTAAAAATATAATTATTAAGATGAAGAACTCAACATCTGCGCTAAATATCAGAGTGATACAGTCAAAGATCAAATTAGCTGCCAGAGTAAGCTGTGAAAGTCTTTAAGAGCATAGAGAAAAGACGAAGGAATTAGAAACAGTGAGAAAAAAGGGCACATGGAATATAGATTCAGGAATTTAATATCTGTCTAATAGGAATTTCAGATAGAGAAAATGGAAGGGAGGAAATAAAGGAGTCAAATAAAAGTTTCCCAGAGCTGGAAATGATAAAAGGCCTCAGATTGAAACAATCCGTCAACTGGAAGTAGAATAAATTATAAAAAGCCTACACCTAAATACATTCTGGTGAAATTTGAGAAGACAAAGGATAATGAGAAAATTCCAAAAGCTTTCAGACAGAAAAAAAGAGGTTGTCTACAAAGCAGTAATCACATCTTTTATTGTAGCACAATCTTTGCAGGCAATGAAACAACACTTTCAAAGATAGAAAAGAAAATGATTTTTTAACCAATTAGAATACTATACCTACCCAAAGTAACATTTAGGTGGGAGGGCAAACTAAAGATGTGCAAGGCCTTAAGGTTTCCCACGTGAGGTATTTCAGGTGGATTGTGGGTTGTAGAAAATGTTCCTTCCCTTCCTTGTCTGAGCAAAGATTTTTTAAAATTTATGATTTAACTAACTAAGGATATAAATGTTATCACAAATGAGTTGGTTACACAGAGCAGATCCGAAACAGTATCTGTTCAGTGCATCTTTCCATGGCTCTCAGGTTCTTAATGGGATGTATCATTGCTGGAGATGATGTCCAGCCAGAGCAGGGTCCTATGGATGTGGGAAAACTCAAGTCTTGCTAAGCTTTTATTATTTTATATATTTAGGGTTGAGGCGACCATTCAGAAATAACTTAATCCATGTGTTTCCATTAGTGTAAGCAAATACTAAGTTCTCTTGATTCTTTTTTTATTCTTTTTTTTTTTTTTTATTTGAGACAGGGTTTTACTCTGTCACCCAGGCTGGAGTACAGTGGCATGATCTTGGCTGACTGCAACCTCTGCCTCCGGGGTTCGAGCGATTCTTGTGCCTCAGCCTCCTGAGTAGCTGGGATCATAGGCGCGCAACACCACGACCAGCAAATTTGTGTATTTTTATTAGAGATGGGGTTTCACCATGTTGGCCAGGCTGGTCTTGAACTCCTGACCTCAGGTGATCCACCTGCCTCAGCCTCCCAAAGTGCTGGGATTATAGGTGTGAGCCACCGTGCCCAGCCTTTCTTAATTCTTTTTATTTTACCCAATAAATATAAGTGCTAGGACTCTTGATTCTTAACCAAAAGACAGTATTACCAAGGACACATCCTCTGAGTAGAAAAAGCAGTTGATTCCCAGTGTTCCTGAGCCTCTTGTTTCACAGACATCTATTTTTTTCCCACAGCCCTCATCTCCTGCTCTTATCTGGGAGGCTTTCATACTGACTTTGATTTGAAGACATTGTAAATCCAGTTCTCCATTTCTTTCCTATTAAATAGTGATTAGAGGCTTCATTCCTGCAAAACAAATCTATTATCACATAGGAAGCAAAAATAAAAATAATAAAATAGTAAAAAAAGAAATCTAAGGACGAGGAAGAAATGGGTACAGGAAATAGTGGTGAAGAATGCCAGTCAAACAAAATAGTTAAGTCCAAGTAATAGTTGATTCATTAAGTCAAACAATTTAATAATCCAGAACTGAACCCTCAGATGGTAGAACATGTGTCGTGGTAAAAGTGGATGGTAGCCAGCAGGGAAGGCTATAAATACTGATACTGATGGAGATACTTTTGGCCAATGAAATTGTGTTCCTTTATCAATGCTGTGTGAGAAAAGAAAAAAAAGGGTATTCCTTCAAAATTTAAGGTTAACTATAAGAAGCAGGGAAATAGGCTGGATATTTTCCAAACCATTAGAGTAAAAACATGGAAAAGAAAATGAATCCAAAATGAAAAGGCAGAAAAGTTAGAGTAGCAACAATAGGTATGGTAAATTGAAAAAATAGGAAAAATAACATAAGAGGGTAGGAATAAATTTTAAAAGATTAGTAATCACAACAAATGTGTTGACTCCCTGTGTTAGTCCCTTGTCTTGGGAAGCCCATCTATCTTGAGCAGTGTTAAGGGCAGGTAGACCAATCTAGGCAATAGGCTTCCTAATTTACTCTCTTCATCTCTGACTTGAGAAAAAGTGACCATTTGCCTTCCCGTAGTCCATGATTTCTTCTATGGATGGAAATAGTTGGAATAGAGAAGAAGTCAATATGGACACAATAGCTGCATGATTGATTACAATGACCTGATCAGAGTCAATGTGAGAGGAAACAGGAACACAGCATCCCAGTGACACAGGATTGAATTTACACATTTATGTAAAATTCAAAACTCACTCCTTAATCTTTGTTCCTATTTGACCCTTTCTCAGAGTGATTCTGCTATATGACTTATCCTGGGACCTTTAGTTAGGCCTGTTCTTCCAGTTTTGTTCATTTTGCAGTCATTGCATGAATTAGATATTGCCTTCTCATTGTTTTTCATTTTTCTTTGATTATTTTGATTAGTTTCATTTATATCTGGATTCTACTGAAGGATAAGTGTTTCTAAAACACTGAGACTTATTTTACTTGCTATCAAAATTTTAACAAGTTAAATTCACCTATTAGAATGTTCAGATTTTTAAAAATCTAAAGATATGTTTACTAGAGACAACACCCCTCTAAAAAAGTTTAAAATAAAGGGATGGATCTTCTGCAAAAGATGATGGGGAGTGGGGAGAAGGCATTTTTACTCTCTTCTTCTTTGACAATAAAATGACAAAAATGAAAATGTAGAGAAAAAATGCCATTTTCTTTTTTTTTGAGACATAGTCTTGTTCTGTCGTCCAGGCTGGAGTGCAGTAGGATGATCTTGACGCACTGCAACCTGTCTCCTGGGTTCAAGCAAGTCTCATGCCTCAGCCTTCTGAGTAACTGGGATTACAGGTGCATGCCACCACACCCAGCTAAATTTTTGTATTTTTAGTCGAGACAGGGTCTTGCTATGTTGCTCATGCTGGTCTCAAACTCCTGGACTCAAGTGATCCACCCGCCTCAGCCTTCCAAAGTGCGGGGATTACAGGCATGAGCCACTGTGCCTGGCTCAAAAATGCCATTTTCAAAGAATTGGAAAAGCTATTAAGACACAAACTACAAAATAGTATACCTTAGCAAATATTGTAAACAAGTGAACCTGAAACAAAGACTGAAAGCTGACTGTCTCCTTATTCCTTGAGCAGAATCCAGATTTCACCAAAAGTTCTTAAAGGCATTCAATGTTTATTTATGGGTGCTTGGATGAGGTCACTGGAGAAGACAAATGCCCTTTAGAAAACTTCTTTATTGCAGGGGTTTGAGTTTACTTGTCATTTCTATGATATATTCTCCTAGTCAACAACTGCAAGAGGTGAAGTAAGGTGGAGGAAGACGAGGCAATGATTGCTAAATCACAACACAACATACATTAACCCAAAGGGTGTTGTTGTGAGCTTTGGTGCAAAAAACTGGTAGTAGTAAAGGAAATACATTAGGTAGGAATGTGTTCCAGACAATAAACTTGTGTGAAATTCTTCGACTTGATTCCCCTTCTACTTATACTGTTCTTCAACATATTCCTGGCCCAATTCAAAGACTAGACTGTGCCTAAAAACATTTTTACAAATTGTAGTATAGAGACTTCCAGTTTCCAGTTCTGCATGTGAGGAACTTGAAAGCTGCCACTCCATTTTAACAACAAGTAAAAAGCTGAACTGACTGAAAAAATCAATAACTCTTCTTAGATTCATAAGAGAAGTAAGGAAGCAGAGCACACTGCTGCTTCCAGGATTAGAGTGTCATGCTTACCAGAGCAGAAAAGTCATGAACAGACACTGCCGTGGGAACAAGTGCCCAGGTAGGAAAACCTGAACTGTAATTGGCATATTAGTAGAGGCTCAGTGTGAATGAGTCTGAGGGTTAAATATTCCTGGGGACCTAGTCATAGGAACCCCTCCTTCCTTTTGTGAGTTTTACCTCTAGGCAGGTCGGCCTGGTTAGCCACGGTAAGTATCAGAGAAAAATCCCCTTGTGTTTCTGGCAGGCAGAGGGAAAAGGAACCATTTTGAAATATGCCAGATTAATCTGTTCTTAACAAGGCCTGCCTTTAGGGGAACTAGTTAACCACAGCCTGACCTACTGGGGTTTCATTGCTGCCTAATTTAGCTGAGGGACAGGAAGTAACCAGCTCCAGTTAGCTTTAGCCTTCCATGTGGGAGAAGGGAAATAACCCAATTCTAGCCTATGTAGCCATCCTGTCCCACTTAAGAGGGGTGAGAAAAAAATGATAAATACTTGTGGAGTTCGCAGTCCAGAAGCATAGGCTCACTAAAAGACTGAGGCTTAATCACAGGACTATAGAATGCTTCCCTTCCCCTCATACCTAATCACTACATTACTAAAGACCTATTTATGGCAGTTCCTTTTACCTGGCACACGATATCCGGCTATCAAGAAAAACATTACAGGACATTCTAAAAGACATAAAGAACGATTTGAAGAAACAGAGCAAGCATCAGAAGCAGACATGGAAGGGATGTTGCAATGATCAGACCAGGAATTTAAAACGACTATGATTAATTGCAAAGGACTCAAATAGATAAACTAGATTGTGTGCAAGAACAGAGGGACAATGTAAGCAGAGAGGTGGAAACCTTAAGAAAGAGCCAAAAAAAAGTGCTAGGAATCAAAAACACTGTAACAGAAATGAAGAATGCCTTTGATGGGCTTATTTAGTAGACTAGACACAGCTGAAGAAAGATCTCTGCGCTTAAAAATATAGTAATAGAGGCCAAGTGTGCTGGCTCACGCCTGTAATCCCATCACGTTGGGAGGCCAAGGTGGGCAGATCACGAGGTCAGGAGATCGAGACCATCCTGGCTGACACGGTGAAACCCCGTCTCTACTAAAAATACAAAAAATTAGCCAGACGTGGTGGTACATGCCTGTAGTCCTGGCTACTCGGGAGGCTGAGGCAGGAGAATCACTTGAACCCGGGAGGTGGAGGTTGCAGTGAGCTGAGATCTCACCATTGCACTCCGGCCTGGGCTACAGAGCGAGACCCTGTCTCAAAAAGAAAAAGAAAAAGAAAAGATGTATTAATAGAAACCCTAAAACTGAAAAGCAGAAGACAAAGATTGAAAACAACAATGACAACAAAGAATATCCAAGGACTGTGGAACAACTACAGAAATGTAACATACAAGTAATGGGAATACTAGAGGGAGAAGATAGAAAAAAAAATAGAAGAATTATTTGAAAAGATAGTAATTAAGAATTTCCCTAAATTAATGTCAAACACCAAACTCCACATCCAGGAAGCTCAGAGACACAAAGCAAGGTATGCTCCACCTCCTGCCAAAAACCAAAACAAAACAAAACAACAACAACAAAACAGGGGTGGGTGCGGGGTGGCTCACCCCTGTACCCTGTAATCCCAGCACTTTGTGAGTCTGAGGTGGGCAGATCACAAGGTCAGGAGATTGAGACCATCCTGGCTAACACGGTGAAACTCCATCTCTACTAAAAATACCAAAATTAGCTGGCATGGTGGCACGTTCCTGAAGTCCCAGCTACTCGGGAGGCTGAGGCAGGAGAATTGCTTGAACCCAGTAGGTGGAGGTTGCAGTGAGCCAAGATCGCACCATGGCACTCCAGCCTGGGTGGCAGAGCGAGACTCCATCTCAAAAAAACAAAAACAAAACCCAAAAACACACACACAAACAAAACAAAACAAAAAAACGCAGAACACAACACTTAGGCACACTGTTTTCAATGAAAACGCAGAAAAAAATTCCTGAAGGAAACCAGTGGGGAAAAAAACTTCTTACCTGTAGAAGAACAAAGATAAGAATTACAGCCGGGCTAGGTGGCTCACGCCTGTAATCCCAGCACTTTGGGAGGCCGAGGCGGGTGGATCACGAGGTCAGGAGATCGAGACCATCCTGGCTAACATGGTGAAACCCTGTTTCTACTAAAAAATACAAAAAATTAGCCGGGCGTGGTGGCGGGCGCCTGTGGTCCCAGCTACTCGGGAGGCTGAGGCAGGAGAATGGCATGAACCCAGGAGGCAGAGCTTGCAGTAAGCCCAGATGCACAACTGCACTCCAGCCTAGGGGAAAGATCGAGACTCCGTCTCAAAAAAAAAAACCAAAAAAAACAACTGACTTCTCAGAAACCGTGCAAACAAGATGATAGTGGAGTGAAATATTTAAAGTATGGAGAGAAATAAACTCCTATAACCTCGAATCCCATAACCCGCAAAGTTATCTTCAAAGGTTAAGAAGAAATAAAGGCATTGACAAATAAAAATGAGGAAATTCATTGCCAGTAGACCTGCCTTGCAAGAGAAGTTAAAAGAAGTTCTTCAGAGAGAAGGAAAATAATATAGGACAGAAACTTGGATCAACATAAAGAAAAAAGGAACACTAAAGAAGGAATAAGTGAAGATAAAATACTTTAATTTTTCTTCTTAATTGGTCATAAATAATTTGTTCAAAATAATAGCAACAATGTATTCAATTATATATGCTTATGTTCATATGTGTATAAGTATATATACAGTAACAACTCTGTATCTAATGTGATTATATTACATACAGTAACAAACACTAAACCAACTCTATTAATAATAATTTTGAATGTGAATGATTTAATACACCAGTTAAAAGACAGAGATTGTCAGAGTGGACCAGAAGACGTGACCCAACTATATATTGTCTGCAAGATACCTACTTCAGATATAAAGACACGTATAGTTTAAAAGTAAATGGAGAAAGATATATCATGCTAACCTCAACCAAGAGAAAGCAGGAGTAGCTATGTTAATTTCAAACAGAGAAGACTTCAGACCAAGGAATACTACTCAGGAGAAATTTGTGCATTACGTAATGATAAAAGAGTCAGTTCTTGAAATACAATCCTCAATGTGTTTAAGCACCTAACAACAAAGGATCAAAATACATGAGACAAAAACCAGTAGAATTTCAAGGTCAAATGGATGAATCAGTTATTATATTTGGAGACTTCAATACCCTTCTTAAAATGGACAGATCCAGCAGGTAAAAAATCAGTAAGGCCATAGTTGAACTCAACAACACCATCAATCAACTGGATGTAATGGTCATCTATAGACTACCTTATCCAACAACAGCAGAGTACATGTTCTTCTCAAGGTCACAAGGGACATTCACTAAGATATAGCACATTCTGGGCCATAAAACACATGTTAACAAGTTCAAAAGGATAGAAATCATACAATGTTTGCTCTCAGATCACAATGAAACGAAACCAGAATACAATAACAGAAAGATAGTTGGAAAATTTCAAAGTACTTGGAGAGGAAACAACACACTTCTAAATAACACATGAGTCAAAGAGGAAATCTCAAGAGAAATTAAAGTATATTTTGAGCTAATGAAAATGAGAACAACTTATTGAAATTTGTGGGATGCACAAAAGTAGAGCTTACAGGAAATTTTATAGCATTGAGTACATATGTTAGAAGAGAAGACTAATCATCTAAGCTTCCACCTTAGAAAACTAGAAGAGCAAATTAAATCCAAGTAACCTGAAGAAAACAAATAATAATGATTAGAGCAGAAGTCAATGAAATTGAAACAGGAAATTAATAAAGTCAACAAAACCAAAAGCTGGTTCCTAGTAAAGTTTAATACAGTAGATAAACCTCTAGCCAGGCTATCTGAGAAAAAAAAAAGAGAGAGGACACAAATTACTAATATCAGAAGTGAAAAAGGGAACATCACTACAGATCTTATGGACATTAAAAGGATAATAAAGGAATAGTGTGCACAACCTAATTCCTTGGAAGACAGTCTGCCAAAACTCAAACAAAAAGAACTAGATAATCTGAATAGGCTGATATGTATCAAAGAAGTTGAATCAATAAATAATTAACCTGCAAAATAGAAAACACCAAGCCCAGATGTCTTCACAGGTGAATTCTACCAAACATTTTAGGAAGAAATCATACCAATTCTTGACAATGTTTTCCAGAAGATAGAAGAAGGATAAATACTTTCTAACACATTCTGCAAGGCCAGCATTACCTAATAAAGCCAGACAAAAACATTATAAGAAAAGAAAAAAACTACAACCCAGTATCTCTCATCAACATAGATGCAAAAAACTGCAACACGATATTAGTAATTCAAACCCAGTGATGTGTATTTAAAAACATCATACACTATGACTAAGTGGGATTTATCCCAGGTATGCCTTAGTTGCATCCACATGGTGCTAATTCTGCAGGCTTGAAAAAATCAAAAGCGGTGGAGGCTTGGCAACCTCCACCCAGATTTCAAAAGATGTCACTGAAAGCCTGGGGCCCCAAGCATAGACTTGTCACAGGTATGGTGCTACCACAGAGAGCCCCACTAGAGCAATGCTGAGCAGAAATGTGGGTCTGGGGCTGCGGCAGAAAGTTCCCACCAGGGTAATGCCTAAGTGGAACTGTGGAAGCAGGACCGCTTCCAGGACCCTGGAACTATGGAGTCACCGGCAACATGCAACATCCACCTGGGAAAGTTTCAGGCACTGGACTTCAATCCATACAAGCAGCTATGTGGGTTGCACCCAGCAAAGCCATAGGGGTAGAGTTACCTGAGGCATTGGGGGCTCAACCTTGCCCCAGTGTGTTCAGTAGGTAGAACATGGAGTCAAAAGCAATTATTCTTCAGCTTTAAGGTTTAATGTTTACCCTGCTGGGTTTCCGACTTGCTTGGGGCCTGATACTCTTTTCTTTGCCTACTTTTCTCTTTTGGAATGCAAATGTCTGTCTTATTCCTGTACCACCATTGTAGCGTTCTTTCTTTCTTTTTTAAAGTCACTTTTTTTGAGACAGGGCCTCACTTTGTCACTTAGGAAGGCGTACAATGGCATGATCATGGCTCACTGCAGTCTTGACCTCCTGGGCTCAAGCGATCCTCCCACCTCAGCCTCCTGAGTAGCTGGGATTACAGTTGAGTGCCACCACAACTGGCTAATTTTTAAAAAATATTATTTTTTATAGAGACAGGGTCTAACTACGTTATGCAAGCTGGTCTCAAACTCCTGGGTTCAAGTGATCCTTCTGCCTTGGCCTTCCAAAGTGATGGGATTACGGGTGTGAGCCACCATACTCGGCCTCCATTGTATCTTGAAAGTAGAAAAGTTGCTTTAATTTCACATGCTCACAGATGAGACTTTGGACTTTGGAGTTTTGAGTTGGTGTTGGAGTTAAAGCTTTGGGGCTATGGAGAAGGAATGAATGTATTTGTATATGAAAAGGACATGAGTTTTGGGGGGTCAGGGGTGGAATGCTATGACTTAGATATTTTTTCCCTCCAAAACTCATGTTGCAATTTAATTCCCATTGTGGGAATATTGAGAAGTGAGTCCTTTAAGAGATGGTTGAGGCTGGGTGCAGTGGCTGACACTTTGGGATGCTAAGGCAGGAGGATCAGTTGAGTCCAGGAGTTAAATACCAGCCTGGGCAACATTGCAAAACCCTGTCTCTACAAAGAATACAAAAATTAGCGGGTCATGGTGGTGGTGCCTGTAGTCCCAGCTACTCAGGAGGCTGAGGTAGGAGGATCACCTGAGCCCAAGAGGTCAAGGCTGCAGTGAGCTGTGATTGCACTGCTGCACTCCAGCCTGAGTGACAGAGTAAGACCCTGTCTCAAAAACAAATTTAAAAAGGTGATTGAGTCATTGGGCTTCTGCCTTCATGTATGGATTAATCCACCCATGGATTAGTAGATTAATGGGTTAATGGATTAATAGGTGTATTAGTCCATTCTCACATTGCTGTAAAGAAATACCTGAGACTGGGTAATTTATAAAGAAAAGAGGTTTAATTGGCTCACAGTTCTGCAGGCTGTACAGGAAGCAAAGTGGCTTCTGCTTCTGGGGAGGCCTCAGGAAACTTCCAGTCATGGTGGAAGGCAAAGGGGGAGCAAGACATCTCATATGGTGGGAGCAGGAGCAAGAGAGAGTGGGGAGGTGCTGCATACTTCTAAATGACCAGATGTCATGAGAGCTCTATCACGGGAACAGCACCAAGGGGATGGCACTAAACCATTCATGACGGATTACCCCCATGATCCAATCATCTCCCACCAGGCACCACCTTCAACATTGGGGATTACAATTTGACATGAGATTTGGGCGGGAATACAGATCAAACCATATCAATGAGTCATCGGGAGTGGGACTGGTGGCCTTATAAAAAGAGGAAGCGAGACCTGAGCTAGCATGTTAGGCCCTTCACCACGTGATTCCCTGTGCCACCTTGGGACTCTGCAGAAAGTCCCCACCAGCAAGAAGGCTCTCACCAGTTGTGACCTTTTGACCTGGGGCTTCTCAGCCTCCATAACTGTAAGAAATAAATTTCTTTTCTTATAAATTAGCCAGTTTGAGGTATTCTGTTAATAAGCAATAGAAAATGGACTAAGACATGAATTATAACAAGGTGTTTAAGTTTCTAAGTTTTAGGCTAGTTTGTTATGCAACAATAGATAACCAGAGGCACTTAATATGTATTGATAGAAAAGAGTGTTGAGGGAACTAGAGAGATTTTGGGGAAGAACAGAACTATCTTATAGAGATTTAAATTTTTTCAAATGCTGTGTGGTGATATAAAATCTTTCTCTAATCTTTCCTTACAGTCTTCAGGAAAATGAGCATTATTTACTAATGCGTTCCAGGGTAGAATAGAACTGGTGGTCTTCTAAAGAAGAAAAAAAAATCACAGGGGCAAACCGTATATTTATATGTATCTATATCCTATACACATATACACATATAGCTATGTGTGTGTGTATGTGTTATATTGCTAAAACTTTAGACAGTTGGAATTTAAGAGTTTATTTGAGCAAAGAACAGTTCATGAATTGAGCAGCACTTGGAACCAGAAGAGGTTCAGAGAGCTCCAACCAGCAGCATGAGCAGTTAGCTATTATAGAAAGCAGAGAAATCATCTGGTTGGCTCCAGCTAGGTTTTTGCCTTGTTTGGGTATAGTGTGATAAATTCGGTTTTTGTGATTGGCTGAATCTCAGCTATTTGTTACAAAAAATATACTCCTAGGTTGGAATTCAGTTTGTTTGTATACAAAGTTAGGTTGCCTCAGGTCAATCAATGGCTTTTTGCTTAATTTAATTATATATAAAAATATATAAAATATATAAAATATATATTATATGTTATATATATTATAGCTTTCTCTCATGCACTCACCTATGTACATATATGCAAGGATGCAAATGACAAGAGTTCTCCTTTTCCCTTTGAGGGATCAGTGAAGGAGTAGACAGACTTCACTGACTGCATTTAGCTGCACCCGAAGCAGTGCAGTTTGCAAGATTCAAGAAAGAAGTGCAATGAGAATAGTTGTTTCTTTTTTTTTTTTTTTTTTTTGAGATGGAGTCTCGCTCTGTCACCCAGGCTGGAGTGCAGTGGCGCTATCTGCAATCTCCACTTCCCAGGTTCACGCCATTCTCCTGCCTCAGCCTCCCGAGTAGCTGGGACTACAGGCGCCCGCCACCATGCCTGGCTAATTTTTGTTTTTGCATTTTTAGTAGAGATGGGGTTTCACCATGTTAGCCAGGATGGTCTTGATCTCCTAACCTCGTGATCCACCCGCCTCGGCCTCCCAAAGTGCTGGGATTACAGGTGTGAGCCACTGTGCCTGGCCGAGAATAGTTGTTTCTTAAAGAAAACGGTGATGTACTGAGGGTTGAGGGCTTCAAAAGAGCAACCACAAGGGGAAGAGGAAAAGTATAGGAGAGAAGGCAAGAGTTGGAAAATAAAATAGTGATTACCGGGATACAATCTGAAGGCTCAACCAGTGAGGTCTTGCAAATGTTGTGTTATATAAAGGGGAGAATGAACTATAAAGGAGCACAACTCTCAATCTCTCAAACTCTACATTTAGGACACATTTTGAAATCCTATAACGGAACTGCTTATAGCTGTAGTGGAATCCAATGTATATTGGGTGGGATAACAGCCAATGTGGTTTTGGAAAGGGGTAATCTACTCATAATCCTACCACCCATCTTGTCCCAATAAAATATTATTGCACGAAGATGTGTATTGACCATCAGAATGCTCCCACTGCAGTATGAAAGACCACCAGAACAATTCCCCTAATTCTTACCCACTCCCAGCAGAGAATTACATACAGCTTTCATAGCAGGAGGATCCCTGCCGTGTGGTCTGTTTTTACTGGTAGACAACAACGAAATACATTTTAGTGTTTAAACAGTTTAAGAAGTTGGAAAATATTTGAGGTAATAATCAGGTATCCAGACTTAACACTTGTTTTAGAAATCACTAAAAATAAGCCTATTGGTAAATGAGTTAGGGATAGAAAATAAGCCACGGGATTAGGACTGTCAACCAATTTTGATTCTTTGATGACTGTTTACTGTCATGCTTAAGCTCTGGAGATATAAAGGAGTATTTCCCAAATGCTTTTGTCCTCCTTACCACAGCTTCCCTGCAGGGACAAGATAATACTTCTCAGCTTCAGCTCACATGGAAAGGTGGGAACACACTTGCCCAGAGACCTGTATTGACTTCTTGAGGATTGGCATTCTCACTGTATCTTTAGGTGATTATAAGAATTTTCAGTTCAGGAAGACAAAAGTTGTAAATTTTAACCTTTGGGGAACTTCCTACTTGGGATTAGAGACTATAAAGTGAATGATACAGCCTTGTTAGTGGTACACGTTTAGTATCCCTTATCTGAAATGCTTAGGACCAGAAGTGTTTCAGATTTTGTTTTTTTTTCAGATTTTGGAATATCACCATATACATAATGAGATATCTTGGAGATAGGATCTAAGTCTAAACACTAAATTCATTTATGTTTCATATGAACCATATACAGATAGCCTGAAGGTAATTCTATACAATATTTCAAATAATTTTATGCATGAAACAAAATTGTAGCTCTATTTTAATTGCAGCCCATCACATGAGGTCAGGTGTGGAATTTTCCACTTGTGGCATCATGTTGGTACTCAAAAAATTTTAAATTTTGGAGCATGTTGGATTTTGGATTTTCAGATTACAGAAGCTCAACCTGTAGTAGCATATGCTACTTATGAAATCAAAGTGGTTGCCAGAATTATGTCTCTTCTTTCAGTGTGATGTATTTAAGAAAAAGCGAAAACTTAGATACATGGTAGCACTATATAACAAACAATAGAAGATGAGACTCAAAAGGCCAGAATGTGGAGTAGCTGGAAAGGCTACACGAGGTCCTATGGAAGCCAACTTTAGACAGAGCTGGCACTATGAGAAAGTAGCAAAGTCTGGATCAGGAGGAGCAAAAGAGTATAAGAGAGTCAAGTTAACAGCTGAGCAAAAGAGTGGGGATTCATGAATTTCCACTGCTGTGATTGATCTCTGCTTTAAATCTGCAACTACTTCCAGCTCACACCTGTACTTGGGCTTCTGTTTGTGAATATCTATGATATTCCTCTTATTACTCCAGGTATAATCTTTATCAACATCTTTTACTTGAACTACAGAGAATATGTCTTTGTTAGTTTCCCAAAGAGCCAAACAAAAACAGCTAGACTTACAAACTGGTGGAGGTTGAGAGAGAGTTTGCACAGGCTATAGATAACCAAAAAAGTCATCATCTGTAATTAAGCAGGATTTGGTAAATATGAACAGGCTAGTAAACTTTTTTGAGGTTGGCAAATTAGGGAGATTTCTGTAGTTGGCCATAAATATTAAAGGTTTCATGACTTTAAGCCCAAGTATCACCTTACATCCTGCAGACATTTATCATACACCTCGTTTGGTATATTTCAGACTTTAATAAACTGCAAGATTTCTTCACTATGATTTCTACCTACCTTAATATACAATTCATATTTAAAATCACCCATTAAACCAATTGTTGTGGCTGCTTGGGATTCTAATTTGCAGAAGTACATTTTGGAAACCTGAATGCAATAAGAATGATATAATGGACTTTGGGGACTGCAGGGGGAGGGTGGGAGGGGGGTGAGGGATAAAAGACTACACATTGGGTACAGTGTACACTGCTTGGGTGACGGGTGCACCAAAATCTCAGAAATCACTACTAAAGAACTTTTCCATGTAACCAAAACCCATCTGTTCCCCAAAAGCTATTGAAATAAAATAAAAATAATAAAAAAATTTGCAAGATATTAGACTTCCCATTGGATTCAGGGCTTCTCAAATATTGATGTCACTTTGCATTTTAAATTTCATGAGCAAGAGTTTGTACAGACCAGAATTTCAGTCCCAGCTCTGCCACCTCATAGTATTGTGAGTCTGGGAAAATTACTTCACTTCTCTCTTCCTCAATTTAACTTCACAGGGTTGATCTGAGGATTAAAGACACAACATAAGTAAGGAAGCTGGCACGTAGTAGATGCATATGTCAGATTTGCTCTCCTTATTGGTGGGATGGGTAGAGTAGGAGGGGGAGGATGACATTTTTCTATCTCCAGGTTCAGGAAAAATTTGAACCAAGATATAATATTCAATTCCAAAGTCAGAGTAAACATTTTTTCATTATAAAATGACACATTAATATATGTTTGTTGTAAAAAATGAAGATCATATATGTAGTAAAAAGTATGAAGACTGCCTTCCCCCATTTCCCATCCCACTTTCCTCCCCAGATTAAGGGTCATGTCAGAGCCTTTGCTCGGGGAGACTTCTCCACTCCCCTCCCACATCCTACAGGGCTACTGCTTATCTTCAGGTCTCAGTTTAAATGTCATTTGCTTGGAGAAATCCCCTTTGACCACTCTAAGGTGGTCTCCTTGCTTCCTTCTTTTATTTTCTATGAGTACACCCTATGCATATTCTTCACCATATTTATGTGAAATTGAACTTTTGCAGTAAGAGCTTTGTTTGTGTGCATCCCCTGTTAGACTATAAGCTCCATGAAGGCCAGATGTTGGCTGTTTTGTTCATCACTGTACACTAGTACCTGGCGTGGTCTGTGGTATATAGAAGGTACTCAATCAATATTTGTTGGATTGAATGAAAGATGCTTGTTTAATGTTTTACTTTATATTCAGTGTATAGATTTTTCTGGTGACTCTTATACTCATGTTTTTGCCAAAATTGTAATATATAGCCACACTGCAGAGATATTCTGGAGGAATCTGAAAATAGCATACAAATGTATGAAATTAATATAGTTTCTGAGTTTTTGAGAGCCAGGGAGTTTTGCTGATTTGTTAGTATTTGTCAGTCATTTAGTAAGTATTTATTGAGTGCTTTAGATAGTCAGTGATAAACAAAACGGATGTGTCCCATATGGAATTTTATTCTTAGTAGAGGAAATACATTAATTTTGTAAAAACAAATACATGGAATGGAATGTTATGGTTTGATTATGTTGCCTCAGTTTTGGCCCAGACCCCAAGATAAAGGTACTAACTAGTTCCAGTTCTAAAGTGAGATGGAAGATCATGAAGCAGATTTGAAAGGGAAGCTGGTTTTGTAATCTTTAGCTGACGAACTACTTCTAGCCTATAAAAGAAATTAGAGAAGCCCAGAGGTATTGTTAGGAATATCATGGGATTATCTGATGACGGATGTTGGGGTTGTGACTCCCCCCAGAAGGAGTGTGGGTGCTTTTCCCTCATTTAAAGGCTAGTGAGAGGAACTTTAATGGAATCACTCATGGAGCTTCATGTATGTGTCCTAGGGTTTGGGGTTCATGCAGCTGAATCATCCAGAGGATGACAGGCTGTGTCTGGAGCTGCCCTGTCAGGGCTTTTGATGAAGAGTGAGCTGGGTTTGGAAAATAGCAACATTCCCACCAATAGTGCTCAAGAAGCGTGCTACTGGTAGGCCAGATGAGGGCTTCTGGAGCAAGAGGAAGAGACAGATGGGATTGTCTTAAGAGTCTGCCTAAAAACATCATCTAGAGAGTTGAGAATACTTCAGTGGGAAGAAGAGGAGGTATACTCCCAGATTCCTAAGAGTAGAATGCTAGGAGAACATTCCAGAAGAGATATATTTGCATGTGTCACGGGAACTGCTGGTGTATGAACTTCAAAGAAAGACAAAAGTGTCCTCTAGAGGAAGTGTCAGCTTTAAACACTTGCCATGGTCAGAGAGCTTTAGAGGTAGATTTACAAAAGAGTATGAGTCAAATAAGACCTTTCTTTCACCTTGACTCTTATCAGCCTGGCCCTCCCTCAAGCTTTCAGTCTTAGGAAAGCCAAGTGTGAACTAGTAAGGGAGGAGGAATAGACAAGCTAAGCTGGAAACTAAAAAGACCAACCATGCTGCCTTTCTGGAGGAAAGGAGAAACTTTAAATGAAGTTAAGATATTTTAAAAATTCCCTGAACTGGACATATTATTAATTTCCGAATTCAGAATTCAGTGTCTGTATCTGTATCTATTTATCTTCTGGTTCCTAATAATACAAGGTATGTAATAGATGTGCCTCTGATGGGGAGATTTATTACTGGCCAAGTGTAACCCACATATCTCAGGAGGCTGCAAATTGCCTGAGATATTTCCACCCACCCTGTTCCATGCCTTGGTTTTAAAAATGAACTTCAGAGCAGCTTTGAGAAGAAAAGAACACTATTTTCTTATTCTGAATGTGTAAGAGTATGTGGTAGACAAAATCATGCTTGCCTTCCCACTCCCCAAAGATGTCCAGGTCTGAATCTTCAGGACCTGTCAAGATGTCAAGATGTTACCTTACATGGCAGAAAGGACTGTGTATATATTCCAGAGGAAGATTATTATTATATTCCTTCCCTTCCTCAGGAATATATGTATAGTCCCTACAAAATAGGGCTTAATAAATTGCATGCCAATCGTTAATAGTTTGCATACTATTTTTGCATAATTTTTTTATTCATTTACTCAGTATTTAATGAGTACCTTCTTGGTGCCCAGCACCTGAAGATATAAAAATGAGTAAGACAGATGCAGATGCAGATGAAGAAATTGAGGCTCTGAGAGGTTAAATGACTTGCCCAAGGTCCATATTTAGTGAGTGGTAGAGTCGGTTCTGGAATCCATGTGTTCTGATTCCAGATTCCATCCATTTTATCTTCCTCCTCATCAGTTAGTAAGAAGAGTTACCACTGCCGCATCAATATTAAATACTGATTGATCTAATGCATGTACCAAAATACTTTACACTCCATGAGGATACAAAAAGTCTGTCACTAACCTAAAATAAAATAGCAGACTAGACAAGGTAGAATGTCTAATCTCCCAGTTTTATTTTAGAATTTAAGATAGAATATGATAAATATTATAAAAGAATGGGAATAAAATGGCTTATTATCTGAAAGGCTAAAGAAAGAATATTTAGCTGGGATAGAAAATCAAGTAGAACCTCTTCCTTTATGGAGGGTGTGTCATTTGAACTGGTCTTGAAAGACGTCTTAGAGGAATTAACTTTCATATACTGGGACCGTTTTGGGTCTTTCTCATGGTCATATAATTTTGTGAGAGAGATTGTGGGTTCATTCTCAGCTTAGCATTCACCATGGCCTACTTTGCACCTGAAGTGTAGTTTTCATTTTCTTTCTTCAGAAGAAGATGGGGAGAAGTGGGAGCTGGGGTTGTTGAAGAAAATGGTTATGGGTGGGTAGGGAAGACAAGTAGAAAAAATGTTGTCTAATAATCTACAGGCATACCCTGAAGGTATTGTGGGTTCCATTCCAGACCCTTGCAATAAAGCAAATATAGCAATAAAATGAGTCACATACATTTTTTGGCTTTCCAGTACATATGAAAGGTAGGTTTACGCTATGCGATAGTCTGTTAACTGCACAATAGCATTATGTCTAAAAAACAATATGCATATCTTAATTTAAAAATACTTTATTGCTAAATAATATGAATGATCATATGAACCTACAGCAAGGTGTACTCTCTGCTGGTGTTGCCTTGATGTTGATGACTGCTGACTAATCAGGGTGGTGGTTGCAGAAGGCTGGGTTGGCTGTGGCAAGTACTTAAAAAAAACTTAGGCTGGGCACGGTGGCTCACACCTGTGTCCCCACCGAAATCTCATCTAGAATTGTAACACGCACAATTCCCATGTGTCATGGGAGGAACTCAGTGGGAGGTGATTGAATTACGGGGCTGGGTCCTTCCTGTGCTGTTCTCATGATAGTGAATGAGTCTCATGAGATCTGATGGTTTCAAAAAACATGAGTTTCCCTGCACAAACTCTGTCTGCCACCATCCATGTAAGATGTGACTTGCTCCTCCTTGCCTTTTACCTTCTGCCATGATTGTGAGGCCTCCCCAGCCATGTGGAACTGTAAGTCCAATAAACCTCTTTCTTTTGTAAATTGCCCAGTCTTGGGTATGCATTTATCAGCAGCATGAAAATGGACTAATACAATCTCTCATCTGTTGATGGACCCTTAGGTTGCTTCCAAATGGATCTTATGAATAGTGCTGCAATAACATGGGAGTGCAGATATCTCTTAGATTTACTTGTTTCCTTTCTTTTGGGTATATACCTAAGGAGTGGGATTGCTGGATCAAATGGTAGCTCTGTTTTTAGTTTTTTGAGGAACCTCCAAACTGTTCTCCATAGTGGTTGTACTAATTTACATTCCCACCAACAGTGTACAAGGGTTCCCTTTTCTCCACATCCTCTCCAGCATTTGTTATTGTCTAACTTTTGGATAGAAGCCATTTTAACTGGGGTGAGATAATAGCTCATTGTAGTTTTGATTTGCATTTCTCTGATGATCAGTGACGTTGAGCACCTTTTCAATACTCCTGTTTACCATTTGTATGTTTTCTTTGGAGAAATGTCTATTCAGATCTTTTGCCCATTTTAAATTGGATTATTAGATGTTTTTCCTATAGAGTTGTTTGAACTCATTATATATTCTGGCTCTGAATCCCTTGTCAAATGAGTAGTTTGCAAATATTTTCTCCCATTCTGTGGGTTGTCTCTTTGCTTTGTTGATTGTGTCCTTTGCTGTGCAGAAGCTTTTTAACTTGATGTGATCTCATTTGTCCATTTTTGCCTTGGTTGCCTGTGCCTGTGGGACATCACTTAATGTCCTAGAGAGTTTCTCTAATGTTTTCTCTTAGTAGTTTCATAGTTTGAGGTCTTAGATTTAAGTCCTGAGTTTATTTTGATTTGATTTTTGTGTATGGTAAGAAGTAGGAGTCTAGTTTCATTCTCTTGCATGTGGATATCCATTTCTCCAAGCACCATTTATTGAAGAGACTGCCTTTTCCCCAATGTATGTTCTTGGCACCTTTGTCAAAAATGAGTTCATTGTAGATGTATGAATTTATCTCTAGGTTCTCTCTTCTATTCCACTGGTCTACATGTCTCTTTTTATGCCAGTACCATGCCACTTTGGTTACTATAGCTCTGTAGTGTATAAGTCAGGTAATGTGATTCCTTCAGTTTTGTTTTTGCTTAGGATAGCTTTGGCTATTCTTTTATGGTTCCATATAAATTTTAGAATTGTTTTTTCTATTTCTGTGAAGACTATCATTGGTATTTTGATAGGGATTGCATTGAATCTGTAGATTGCATTGGGTAGTACAGACATTTTAACAATATTGATTCTTCCAATCCATAAACATGAAATCTCTTTCTATTTTTTGGTGTCTTCTTTAATTTTGTACATCACTGTTTTATAGTTTTCATTGTAGAGATCTTTCATTTCTTTCAAAAATTAATTCCTATTTTATCTTATTCATAGCTATTGTAAATAGGATTACTTTCTTGATTTCTTTTTCAGATTTTTCACTATTGACATATAAAAATGCTGCTGAGGCCAGGCACAGTGACTCACGCCTGTAATCCCAGCACTTTGGGAGGCCGAGGTGGGCGGATCACTTGAGGCCAGGCATTCGAGACCAGCCTGGCCAACATGGTGAAACCTCATCTCTACTAAAAATACAAAAATTAGCCAGGCGTGTTGGTGCACACCTGTAATCCCAGCTACTTGGTAGGCTGAGGCAGGAGAATTGCTTGAACCCAGGAGGTGGAGGTTGCAGTGAGCAGTGTTTGCACCACTGCACTCCAGCCTGGGTGATGGAGCAAGACTGTCCCCAAAAAAAAAAAAAAAAGATACTATTGATTTTTGTATGTTGATTTTGTATGCTGCAGCTTTACTGAATTTGTTTATCAGTCCTGATAACTTTTTGGTGGAGTCTTTAGGTTTTTCCAAATATAAGATCATATCATCTGCAAACAAGGATGATTTGACCTCTTCCTTTCCAACTTGGATGCCCTTTATTTCTTTCTCTTGTCTGATTGCTCTAACTATAACTTTTAGCACTTTGTTGAATAACAGTGATGACAGTGGGCATCCTTCTTGTTTTCAGATCTTAGGGGAAAGGCTTTCAGTTTTTCCCTATTCAGTGTGATACTAGCTGTGGGTCTATCATATATGGCTTTTATTATATTGAGATATGTTCCTTCTATACCCAGTTTTTTTGGGTTTTTATAACTAAGTGGTGTTGAATTTTATCAAATGTCTTTTAAGCATCAATTGAAATGATCATATTGTTTTTGTCCTTCATTCTGTTCATATGATGTATCATATTGATTGATTTGCATATGCTGAACCATGGTTGCATCCCTGGGTTAAATCCCACTTGGTCATGATGAATGATCTTTTTAATGTGCTGTTGAATTTGGTTTGCTAGCATTTTGTTGAGATTTTTGCATCAATATGTATCAGTGATACTGGCCTATTGTTTTCTATTTTTGATGTGTCTTTGTCTGGTTTTGATGTCAGTGTAATATTGGCCTCATAGAATACATTTGGAAGTAATCTCTCCTCTATTTTTCCACATAGTTTGAGTAGGATTGGTATTAGTTCTTCTTTAAATGTTTGTTAGAATTCAGCAGTGAAGCCTTTGGGTCCTGGCATTTTCTTTGATGGGAGACTATTATGGCTTCATTCTCATAACTTATTATTGGTATGTTCAGGTTTTGAATTTCTTCGTGGTTCAATCTTGATAGGTTGTATGTGTCTGGGAATTTATCCATTTCTTCCAGATTTTCCAATTTAATTCCTTTGGTATTAGTTACAGTGCCTCCTTTTTCATCTCCAATTTTATTTATTTGGGTCTTCTCTCTTTTTTTCTTAGTGTGGCTAAAGGTTTGTCACTCTTGTTTATCTTTTTAAAAAACCAAGTTTTTGTTTCATTGATCTTTTGTATTGTTTCATTCATTTCAATTTCATGTATTTCTGCTTTTTTTTTTTTTTTTTTTTTTTTTTTTTTTTGAGACGGAGTTTTGCTCTTCTTGCCCAGGCTGGAGTGCAATGGCATGATCTTGGTTCACTGCAACCTCCGCCTCTCAGGTACAATCGATTCTCCTGTCTCAGCCTCCCAAGTAGCTCAGATTACAGGCATGTGCCACCATGCCCAGCTAATTTTTTTGTATTTAGTAGAGACGGGGTTTCACCATGTTAGTCAGGCTGGTCGCAAACTCCTGACCTCAGGTGATCCACCCGCCTCGGCCTCCCAAAGTGCTGGGATTTTAGGCGTGTGCCACTGAGCCCAGCCTCTGCTCTGATCTTTATTGTTTCTTTCTTCTATTAATTTTTGGTTTGGTTTGTTGTTGCCTTTCTAGTTCTTTAAGGTGTATCATTAGGTGGTTTTTTTGAATTTTTTTTTCTTTTTCAATGTAAACATGTATAGTTATAAACTTCCTTCTTAGTTCTGCTTTTGCTGTATTTCTTAGGTTTTGGTATGCTATGTTGCCATTAGCATTTGTTTCATCAAATTTCTAAATTTTCTTCTTACTTTCTTCATTGACCCACTGGTCATTCAGTAGCATGTTGCTTAATTTCCATGTGTTTGAACAGTGTCCGAAGTTCCTCTCGTTATTCATTTGTAGTTTTATTTCATTGTGGTCAGAGAAGATGCTTGATATTATTTCAGTTTTTTGAATGTTTTAAGACTTATTTTGTGAACTAACACATGGTCCTTCCTTGAGAATGATCCATATGCTGAAGAAAAGAATGTCTATTCTGCAGTCGTTGCATGAAATGTTCTGTAAATCTCTATTAGCTCCATTTGTTCTATAGTGCAGATTAAGTACAATGTTTCTTTGTTGATTTCGTCTGGAAGATCTGTTCAGTACTTAAAATAGGATATTGAAGTCTCCAGCTATTATTGTATTGGAGTCTAACTCTTTAGCTCTGATATTTACTTTATATATCTGGGTGCCCCATTATTGGGTGCATATGTATTTACAATTGTTATATCCTCTTGCTGAATTGCCCCCTTTCTTATTACGTAGTGACCTTCTTTGTCTCTTCTGATAGTTTTTGTCTTGACATCTATTTTGTTTAAGTATAGCTACCTCGGTCTAGGATTATAGGCATGAGCCATGCACTGCACATGGCCAGCTCATTCTTTTCAAAAGTTAATATTCTTTTTTTTTTTTCGAGTTGGAGTCTTGCCCTGTCACCCAGGCCAGAGTGCAATGGTGCAATCTTGGCTCATTACAGCCTGGAACTCTTGGGCTCAAGCGATCCTTCTGGCTAAGCCTCCCTGGTAGGTGGGACTACAGGCACATACCACCACACCCGACTATAAAAGTTAATATTCTATAGCATGAATATACTACAATATATTCAGTCATTATTTTGATGGACATGCATACCCTTCCTTTCTTCTTTCCTTCCTTCCTCTCTTTCTCCCTTTCTTCCTTCAGACAAAGTTGAAAGAAACAGTGGTATATATATGTTTTTGGCACTGGTGCTTTTATTTGTAAAGAATAAATTTCTCAAAAATGTATTTTTGTATCCAAGATTTCTGCTAAATTGTATATGCACTTTTAATGTTAATAGATATTGCCTGATTAGTTTCCAGAAGAGGTTGCAGCAATTCATATTCCAACCAGTGATGCATGAGGGTGTCCATTACTCTGCATCTTCATCAATAATGAATAGCATTGCTTAACATTTTTTTTGTCAGTTTTATGAGTGAACACTTTCAAATAAAGACCACTTTCCTGGAGGAAGCAGTTTTTTCCTTTCCAGTCTTTTCAGGTCTGGATGGGGGCACTTCTTTTGTAAGATATTGAAGGAATATTAAACTTCTTTCTGAGGAGGAACCTTGATCTTCTTCCTTTTTCCTTTGTAGTGGAACAGTTGGAAGTAATATATATTTACATTTTAGGTTCAGAGAATAATTGATCAATCATTTTGTGTTCCAATGTATCCAGGTTGGCTTCTTCCAGTAAGATTCACCAGCTAATAGTCATGTTGTGTAAGGATTAATGGCTAATCTCTTTAGGAATTGATTGGAATGGACCAGTTTAACTTTTTATCCTTGTATCATGAATTTGGCTTCAGATTCTCAGGAGAGAGGGAGCATCTTCAGAATGTTTTGAGTTATGAGATTATTTCCTGGTCATGGAGGATGGGGACACTGATTAACAGTGACATTTAGACAACATAAAATGGGGGTTAGGATGGCTCCTCAAGGCAATATCAGAGTGCAGTAACCAACAAGGTGGGGAAATGATATTGGGGAGGCCAAAGCAAGTTGCTCAAACCTAAGATGACAGAAATAAAATTAAAAGTAAACTTCTACCTCTGACCATGACAGAGCTACAGGGTTATGGTTTTTCATCTCATGATTAAAAAACTAGAAATCTGGAAAGAAAAAACAATGAAAACCCTGCTTTGAGGCATTGTCCAACAGGCAGTCCCAGACTGTAATCCCTGTGAGAAGGAGAAAAAAACTAGGTGAATCCTACAGTTGTCCAGTTCCATTTTCCTGGAGGCAATTTTCATATAACATTGCAGAGCCTGGTGATTTTGCTGAATTGAGGAGACAGAGGTTGGAGTTCTTGGAGGTGGAAGGTGTTAGAACTTGTGGGGAAGATTATAAAAAATGGGAGGGCCTTACACAGAAGCACCAACCTAATACAAATTCTTCCAGAAAACAAGAAAAGTGGGAGCTTTTTTTTTTTTTTTTAAGATGGAGTCTCACTCTGCCGCCCAAGCTGGAGTGCAATGGCATGATCTTGGCTCACTGCAACCTCCGCCTCCTGGGTTCAAGCAATTTTCCTGCCTCAGCCTCCTGAGTAGCTGGGATTACAGGCACATGCCATCACATCTGGCTAATTTTGTGTATTTTTAGTAGAGATGGGGTTTTGCCATGTTGGCCAGGCTGGTCTTGAATTCCTGACCTCAGGTGATCTGCCCGCCTTGGCCTCCCAAAGTGCTAGGGTTACAGGCGTGAGCCCCCGTGCCCGGTGAGCACTTGTTTCATGAGGCTAGAATTCTCTTGAAACCAAAACTAGCCATAGATGTTATGAGAAAAGGAAACTATAGGTTAATCTCTCTCATGAACAAAGATAAAAAATTCTGAACAAAATACTGGCAAACTTCATCCAGTGACCTATGAGAAGATAATGTGTGAGAATTAAGTTGGATTTATTCCTGAAATGAAATATTTGTTTAACACTGGAAACAATCAATCAATGTAATGTACTACATTAAAAGATTAAAGCAGAAAAAATATCATATGATCATCTCAATAGATGTGGCAAACCATTTGATAAAAGTCAACATATATTCATGATAAAAACATTCAACAAATTAATAATATAAGAGAATATCCTCAACCTGATAAAAGGTTTCTACAGAAAAGCAATAGGAAAATCATTCTTAATTGGTGACATTTTGAAAGCTTTATCTTTGGAATTGGAAAAAGGACAAGGATGCCTACTCTAGTTTTCTTCAATGTTGCACTGGAAGTCCTAGCCAGTGCAAGATGGTAAGAAAAGAAATAAGAGAAATACAAATTGGAAATGAGTAAATAAACTGTCACTATTTGCTGGTAACTTGATTGTGTATATATAGAAAAATTTAAAAGAAGGTATAGATATATTATTAGCATTAATAAATTAGCAAGTTTGTAGGATACAAGGTCACTAAACAAAAAACAGATGTAGTTCTGTATGTCAGCCACATACAGTTGTAAAATGAAATATAAAAAGCAACCATTTACAGTGGCATCAAAAATTTTGAGTATTCTTGGAATAAATCTATGAAAAGATATACTATACTTCTATGGAGAACATTCTTGAAGGAAATTAAAGAAGCCCCAAATAAAGGGAGAAATTAGATTCATAGACTGCAAAACTTAATGTTGTAAAGATATCATTCTTTTCAAATTATCTCCTCAATTTATCTGTAGATTTAAAAAAATCCCAAACAAAATTCCATTTTTTCTGTGTTTCCTGCATTTGTTTAGAGTCTTAAGCTGATTCTAAACTTTATTTGAAAATTAAAAGATCAATAATAGCTAAAACACTTCTGAAGAAAAGCAGCAATATGGCAGGATTCCATATATCAAGACTTTTTCCTAAAGCTGCAGTAATTACAACAGTGGTATCAGCACAAAAATATATAACTGATTGACACAAAAAAATAGAGTCCAGAAAGAGAGCCAAGATATGAACACTTGATTAGACAAAGGTGCCATTGCACAGTAGCAGATTAAGGATAGTCTTTTCAATAAAATGTATGGGACAAGTGGATATACATATGATAAAAAGAAACAAAGAAAGAAAAGGAAAAAAAAAGGAAAAGAAACTTGACTTTTATCTCATATCACAGCCAGACATCAATTCCACGTGGGTTGTAGGCATGAAGGTGCATGGCAAACAGTGAAGCTTTATTAGATAAAATAGAAGCATATTATCCTGACTTTGGGTAGGGAAAGATTTTTTAAAGCAGAAATAAAAGGCACTAACTGTATAGAAAATGGTTGACAAATTTGACAATAAAATTAAGATCTTCTCTTCATCAAAAGACAAACTGAAGGGCGTACAAAGGTAGGCTACAGAATGGTAGAAAGTATTTGTAACATATGTAACTGACAAAAGCCTTGTATCTATAATTTCTTTTTTTGAGACAGAGTCTTGCTGTGTTGCCCAGGCTGGTCTTCAACTTCTGGCCTCAAGTAATCCTCCCACCTGGGCCTCCCAAATTGCTGAGATTACAGGTGTGAGTTACAGTGCCCTGCCAAGGCCTGTATCTAGATGACATGAAGTATTCCTTCATATTAATTAAAAAAAGACGATTTATATAAAATGATCAATGACTTAAGCAGGAACTTCACAAAGAGGATATCCAAATGTGCAATAAATGCATGAGAAATGCTCAACTCAGTAATCAGTGAATTGCAAACTAAAAGAAGCTGCTACACAATTAGCTGAATGGCTTATATTAAAGAGATGGCACTCTCACATATGAGCAAAGATGTAGAACAACTGGTAGAAGGGTAAATTGGCACAACAATTTGGAAAACAGTTTATCATGATACAGTAAAGTTGAAGATGAGGCAGTCCTGTGACCATCAGTTTCATTTCTAAGTATGTACTCGACTGAAATATATCCACATATGCAATGGGAGACATGAATCTTAATGTATATAGTAGCATTACATTTGGTAATTTCAAATTGAACTAACTCAAATGTGTGTCACCAAGAAGTGACAAAGAAGTCTTTGATATTTGTACAAAGGACTACTGTACAGTAATGAAATGTAACAAATGACAGCTTCATATAACAACATGATGAATTTCAGAAACAATGTTGAAGGACAGAAGCAAGACCAAAAGAACATATACCGTGTGCTTTTATTTATTTAATGTTAAAAAATAAGCAAAACTAAAGTGTAGTGTTTAGGGATACATACTTATGGGAAGGGTACAGGTGATTAAAAAAGAAATGAACACTTAAAAATTTATTACACATTAATTATATGTTATATATGGACATGTAGTTTGTATCAAATTACAGATTTCCCCTCATATTTCTCAATATTTATGCAATGACTCTTCAGTCCATTCTTTTTTATGGGGAACTTAGTGACAGGGGTCACATATTCAAACAAGCTAAAGAAGTGTTTTTTTTCTGCCCATAGCCAACAGGAGTTCTCAGATACATTTTCTACTTCATTTTCATCACATATCCCTTCAGTTCCTTAATCGGCATCTTCTCTGACACAGGACTGTTAATTCGGTTTGAAATATTGACTGTGGATGAGTGATTACCCAAATCTCTTGGGATGTCTTGATAACTCTGTGTTTATAACACCTAATATGTTCGTGAAGAAATGAAGGACTGCATTTGGACTGTCATTGGTGATAGGTTACAAAGGATTTGGGCTAAAGTAGACCTCAGGATTGATATATGCCTTGGGGATAGTATGGAACATTAGTAAAATTATAAAAATAATTGTGATAATTCCTTTAAAAATTGTTTGTTTGGGTCACCATTCTGAAGACTGGGAATTCCAAGATTGAGAGCACATCTGGTGAGAGCCTCTTGCTGCATCATAACATGGCAGAGGCATCTTGTGGTGAGAGAGTTGGTATGAGAGAGGGCAAGAGCCAGTGAGACAGAGAGGAAAATGGGGGATGAATAATTTATCCTTTTAGCAGGATCCCAGTTGTGTGATAAACTGACCCACTTACACAATAACAGCAATACTCTATTCTCTAATTGCTGCTCAAAGATCCTGCATGTCAACACTGTTTCATTAGCAGTTAAATTCCAACAAAAGTTTGGAGGGGACATTCAAATCATAGCAGTAGGATTCAGTAAATGGTTCTTGAATTAATCTAAGACTTAGTCATTAAAATAAGGCTCATTTCAGAAGCTGGTCCTTATATTTGATGACATCTATTAATATTTTATTGAGACTAAAGGTTACAGTTCTCCATAATTAATGTAGGAAATAGGATTCCCTTCTTTATGAAATTGAGCCAAATGACATAGGCTTATTTTCAAAATTTTTAGCTGTCAAGAGAAATTTAGAAATAAAGACATTAAAGTATTACATAAGTATTCTTGCCATTTTTCTAGGTGAAATTACACCTCAGAAACACAGTCAAGTGAACAATGAATATGCAAACTTTTCTAGGTAGACTGGATAGAATCTTTTATTTCAGCATTTTCCTTAGAATATTCTTTTTATAGGAACAATAAAATTGAAGCAATTTTTAAAAAGCCATACCATTATTAGAAATTCAAGTATTCTTTTCCTTCTGGCTGTGTGATTGGATATTTCCCACCCCCCTAGAAAGTATTTGCTAACTGGCTTTCTTCAATTCTTGATTTCTTTTAAATCTCAATCCTTGGTTCTCTGCTATTCTGTATGTATGCTATTTTATTTGGGGAGTTACTATTGTCCCCTAACCTCAAATATTACTCTTATGATTATAATTTCCAGGTTCTACCTCCCATTCAAACTCCATTCCAATTTTGTCAGGTTTTTTTTTTTAGGACATCTGTATCTTCCACCAAACATTCAAGCTCAGTGTCTTCTACACAGAATTCCTAGTACCCATGAATAACTACTTTCAAACTCCCAGTTTCTGCCAGTATTCTTGCTATGTTCTGAGGTGGAAATAAAAGCTATTTGTCTGCGACAGCTATTATCCCATTCATCATCAGGTTTCATTTGCCTTATTTAGCTAAGCATTTATGCCCACTGATGTTTCACACACATTGTAATAAAAAATAATGATACTTAACATTATTCAGTTTTTCATATGTGCCAGCATCTAAGAGCTGTACATTCTTAACTGATTTTATCCTTGCATCAACACAGGTTTTTAATTTTTGCTTCATGCAATTGTCTTTTATTTTATTTTATTTTATTTTATTTTATTTTATTTTATTTTATTTTATTTTATTTTATCTTATTTATTTTTTTTGAGACATAGTCCTGCTCTGTCACCCAGGCTAGAGTGCAGTGGTGCGATCTCGGCTCACTGCAACCTCCGCCTCCCAGGTTCAAGCGATTCTCCTGCCTCAGCCTCCTGAGTAGCTGGGATTACAGGCACCCGCCACTGCACCCAGCTAATTTTTGTATTTTTAGTAGAGATGGGATTTCACCATCTTGGCCATGCTGGCCTTGAGCTCCTGACCATGATCCACCCTCCTCAGCCTCCCAAAGTGCTGGGATTACAGGCGTGAGCCACTGCACCCGGCCATTTTATGTTTTTATTATTTTTAGAGATAGGGTCTCATTCTGTCACCCAGGCTGGAGTATAGTGGCATGATCATAGCTCACTGCAGTGTTGAACTCTTGAGCTCAAGCAATCCTTTCACCTCAGTATCCTGAGTAGCTTGGACTGCAGGCATGTGCCACCATGCCTGGCTAATTTTTAATTTTTTTTGTAGAGATAAGGTCTCACTGTTTTGCCTAGGTTGGTCTCCAACTCCTGGCCTCAAGCAACCCTTCTGTCTTGGCCTCCCAAAGCATTGGGCTTACAGACATGAGCCACTTCACCTGGCCTGTCTTTTAAATTATATAGAAAAGAAAGAGTTACAAACAAAAAACACATTTTTATTGTCTTTTATATTTATCTATGTAATTACCTTTTCTGTGCTTTTTATTTCTCCTTGTCGATTTCAGTTACTCTCTAGGGTTCTTTTATTTAATTCTGAAGGACACTCTTTAATATTTATTTTAGTATGGTCACTAGTAAGGAATTCTTTAGGTTTTTGTTTATCTGGAAATGTTTTATATTTGCCTTCATTTTTAAAGATAGTTGTATTAGTTTGTTCTCAGACTGCTATAAAAAACTATTGTAGACTAGGTAATTTATGAAGAAAAGAAGTTTAATTGACTCACAGTTCCATAAGCTGTACAGGAAGCATGGCTGGGAGGCCTCAGGAAACTCACAGTCATGACAAAAGGCAAAAGGGGAACAAGCACATCTTACCATGGTGGAGCAGGAGAGAGAGCAAAGAGGGAAATGTTACATGCCAGATCTAATGAGAACTCACTATCATGAGAAAAGCAAGGGGGAAATCCATCTCCATGATCCCATCACCATCCACCAGGTGATGGGGAGGGCCCCCAACATTAAGGATTGCAGTTCAACATGAGATTTGGGTGGGGACATGGAGCCAAACCATATCAATAGTTTTGCTGGCTATAGAATTTATTAGTGTTTTTTTTGTTTGTTTTTTGTTTTTTTCCTCTTAGTACTTTGAATATGTCATCCCACCATTTCTGGTCTCTACAATTTCTGATGAGAAATCAGCTGTTGATCTTATTGAGTATCATATATACATGGTGGTTTGTTTCTTTTTTTTGGGCTTTCAACCTTTTTTTCTTTGTTTTTTGACAGTTTGAATATCTAGGCATGGATATCTTTGAATTTATTCTACTTGGAGTTTGAGGATGTGAAGATTAATGTTTTGTCTCCATTTGGGGAAATTATTGGCAAATATTTCTTCAGATATTCTTTCTGTACCTTTCTCTTGCTCCTCTCCTTCTAGGACTCTTATTATGCATATGTTTGCATGCTTGATGTCTCATATGTCTGAGGCGCTGTTCATTTTTCTTCATTCTTTCTTTTTTTGTGTTACACAGACTAGACACTCTCAATCGACCTGTTTTCAAGTTCATTCATTTTTTTTTTCTGTCTGCTGAAATCTTCTGTTGAGATTGTCTTGTGGATTTTTCCTTTCAGTTTTTGTTATTTTCAACTCCAGAATTTTTCTCTTTGTTTTTTTTTTTAAAAGTCTATCTCTTTAAAATGTCTATTTCTAGAACCAATAAGTTGATATTTTCTATTTAGTGAGACATGATTCTCATACTTTCCTTTAATCCTTTAGATATGATTTAGTTCTTTGAATATATTTAAAATAGATTATTGAAGTCTTTGTATAGTGAGTCCAGTATCTGGGATTTCTTAGAGTCAGTTTCTGTTGATTGCTTGTTTTCCTTACGTATGGCCCATACTTTCTTATTTTTTTACTGTTCTTATAGTCTTTTTATTGTTCTTGTTGAAAGCTAGACATTTTAAGTAGTATAGTAGTTCTGGAAGTCAGATTTTCTTCCCCCACCTCAGGGTTTCTTGTTGCTACTGTTTGTTTTAGTGTGTTTGTTTAGTGACTCTTCTCAATTATTGCTGTAACATCTATATTCTATGTGGCTATTGAAGTCTCTGCTTGGTTAGCTTAGTGGTCAGCTAATTATTGGATGAAGACTTTCTTGATTGCCTAGAACCAATAAATCTCCCAGTCTTTGCAAAGGGCATGTGTGTGTATGTGTGTGTGTGTGTGTGTGTGTGTGTGTGTTGTGGCATGCTTTCAACTCTCAGCCAAGCAACTGACAGCTCTGTCTTGGCCCTCACTTTCTGCTTATGCAATTCCTCAAGCCAGATGTGAGAGCTTAGGGCCTTCTCAGATTTTCTTATCATGTTGTCAGTCACCACTGAGTATGGGCACAGGCATATATATGTGTGTGGTCATCTAGGTTCCTAGGAATATTTCAAAACATTTCAAAAAGCCTAGGACATCTTGTTTTCTATTGTTTCCCTTTAAGCTTTTTGCTTAGTCCATTGTTTGTCCTGTTTTCCACCTCATCAGGCAGTTATGAATTTATTTGTTTATTTTTTATTTTATTTTTAGAAGCCAGTCAAATTTAGCAGCAGGTGGTTATATACCAACTTTAGTGACACTAATGTTAATAAGTTCTGATAACCCACTACCATCCGACAAGCCAGGTATGAATTTAAACAGTTGACTTATTTGTTTTTGACAAATGCCCTGGGTAAAGCCCTTTTGAATTGTCACTTTGGAAAACTCCCTGTCAGGTAACATTCAGACAACTTATCTGAATTTCTGGAAGTGAGATCTTCCAGGGAACTACCAGACAGATTGAATAATGGCAATTCCTTTAGGAATAGGGCTTTAAAGAAACCCCAACTTGATCCTGTCCTCTCCAGTGGTTTCCAGCTTCTAATTTTCACTGCAAATGCAGTCTGTTAATTTCCAAGGCTGTAGTGTTTCTGGAGAGTGGGGGATGGGGCTAGGGAAAATTAAAATGCTACAACCTGGGCCCTATGGTTCCTGCCTGTAATCCTAGCTACTTGGGAGGCTGAGGCAAGAGGATTGCTTGAACCCAGGAGTTTGAGATGAGCCTGGGCAACATAGTGAGATTCTGTTTCAAAAAGGAAAAACAGATCCTTGATCATAGCTGAGAGTGTCCCCTAATTCCATTCTCATCCTTAGAACAATGGTTGGAGTCATTTTTTTTTTTTTTTGGCCAGGTATGGTGGTGTGCACCTGGAATTCCAGCTACTTGGGAGACTGAAGCAGAAGGATCACTTGAGGCCAGGAGTTTGAGACCAGCCTGGACAACATAGTGAGATTCCTGTCTCAAAATTTTAAAAAACCCACAAAATTTTGTTCTTAACAAGATGCAGCCATTTTTGTTGAGTGAATAAATGATGTCTGAATTGCTGCAAGCCCTTAGTCAATTTCAAGTTCTGACATGTTGATTTTGACAAATTTTGCCAGTTTTCTCTTTCCTTTTATGGAGAATTTCAGAGGTCCCTACTCCACCATTTTCAATGATGTCTTCTCCATAATTATTAAGAGCTTGGTTGTGTAGTAGTACTTCACTAGAAAAAAAGTCTGGCTGTTCTGTTTTACAAGATATAGGTATATTGAAGCATAAGAGTTTATGTGTGTGTGCCACAAGGGTCTTGTGATTTGGTAATACCTACAGGATAGGGATAAGCCAGCCAGGTGGGATGTTGCCCTGGGCACAAGACTGAGTGTGACTAGGAGGATAATAAGCCAAGGAAAGTTGAAGTAAGGCATTCAGGATAGAGAAGAGGCAACATTATAGAGAAGAAACAAGTTTGGAGCTTTGATTATAATATTGTGCTAAATTTGGAAGGGCACAATGTAGGCAGAAACAGAAGACTATATAGAGGAATTGAGAGAGCACAATCACATTAACAGGCCCAGGCAATTGGTTCAGGACAGACTATGAGGAGCACACTGGTCCAGAGAACTCTGTTTATCTGATGTCCATTGCATTTTCCTGGGACAGTGTGGGGCAGGCATTGCAGCTTATCAGAGTTGCTTCAGGCTAGCCATTTGTATTTTGATTGTCAAGGCAAACCCCATGATGAAGGATTAAATAATGCCAAGACAGTTTAGGATTTTCCTGAATGTTGTAATCTACAAACACAGAAGGGTTTTAGAGAAGAAGAAAGTCTGTAACAGCTGCAGTATCCAGGAAGGTCTTTATGTAGGAGGAAAAACTGCTCTTTGAATAATATGTAGGGTTTAGCTAGGCAAGAGGTTAAAGGACTGTGGCATGTACCCACAGACAGGAGGGAAGAAATGAGTATGAAATGGAATGGTGTGTGTTGGGGTAAACATGGTGTATTAGTCCATTCTCATGCTGCTATAAAGATACTACCTGAGACTGTGTAATTTATAAACAAAGGAGGTTTAATTGACTCACAGTTCTGCATGGCTGGGGAGGCCTCAGGAAACTTACAATCACAGCAGAAGGGGAAGCAAACACCTTCTTCACAAGGTGGCAGGAGGGAGTGTGAGCATGTGAAGGAGGAACTGTCAAACACTTATAAAATCATCAGATCTTGTGAGAACTCACTCACTATAATGAGTAAGTACAGCATGAGGAAGACTGCCCCCATGACCCAAACACCTCCCTCCCTCTACATGTGGGGATTACAGGCCCCTCCCTCAACCCGTGGGGATTACAATTTGAGATGAGATTTGGGTGGGGACACAGCCAAACCATATCACATGGGAACTCATTTTGGTCACATCAAATTTCTTGTTGAAATATAATTTGGGAATAAGAAAATTTTTAAATAGGAATTCCGCCGAGCACAATTATGTAAGACTACCAGGGAATCAAAAAGACATAACTGAAATGATTGCTGGGCACTATTGAAGATACACAGCATTAATTAATGGTAGGTCAGTTCTTACAGTCATTCTTTTTTTCCACCCATTTTTCTTCTATTCTTCCCATACTATTTTTGAGGAGAAAAGAGGCTTAATTTTATTAGATCCTTAATATGTGCCAGGCACTGTGCCAAGCACTTTATATGTGGATTTCATTTAATCCTCTCATCTGACCTTTGGAGGTTGCCATCAATAATCCAATTTGATAGATACAGAGATTTGGTATTTTATTAATAGCTGGTCCCTTTCCTTGTCATGGAACCAAAATTCACCACAAGTAGTAGAGGGTTTATTGTGAGGGAAGTTCAGATGTTAGTTGGGGCTCTTCCTTTGCATTGCCAATCTCCTATGTGCAGATTTCCTGCATATATACATGTGTGTGTATAGAAAACAGGATATTCATTAAGCAGCTATCCTTAATGGTTATCTGGGAAAAGCTTAATTACTAGGCCACAGGATTAATGGGACCCATGACCGCCTGAGATAGAACCTGGAACGGAAAGGTCTTTCATAGTCCTGGGAGTTTTAGGGACTTTAGAAGCAGAGTCAATGGATCTGCATGTTATCCATCATTGACCCAACTCAGGTATCCCTATTTGCCATTGATATATCTGTGTTCTCCTCTTCCTATGACCAACTGGCTGATTCTTCTACTTTTTTGTTTATATTTGTGAGAGAGAATGTTTTTGGGAGAAATATTTTATGCTCCTTTAGCGGGGGCTGTTTTGGGATGGTTTACCTGAGAAGAAACTAAGGGAGTATCATGCATGGTATTTGAGAGGTTTAATACTTAGAAAAATTTAACATGTCCCAAGTCAATCAATGGCAGAGTCAAGAAATGAATAACAGTTTATCTCAAAGGTTCTATTCTTTTTACTCTTCTTGTGGGCATGACTTTGTTTTAAGGTTGATGTGGGTTATGTAGTTGACCCCCATCCCCGAAGAGCTGACAGTAGTAGTTAAATATGGTATAAATTAGCAGATAAGTGCCACATGAATGGTTCAGGAAAGCATCCTGGGAGTTCAGATGAAGGGGAAAATTCCTCTGAGTGAATTAATTAGAGAAGAATTCATGGATAAAGTAGTAATTGAGCAGAATAAAGACAGCCTTTTAAGGCAGAAATGTAGGGAAGGGATGACGTGAATAAAGGCTTAATGACGAGGAAGGCACAAGGATAAGTTTGATTACAGCACAGGGCACTGGGGTCTACGGTGCATATCGCTTTAGGGTGCTTACTCTAAATCATGCTGGGAGCAGAATGAAGAAAAGCTGAGAGTGGAGTGAGAGCAGTACCCAGGAAACCATCATGGAAGGGATTTCAATGATTCGGATGTGAGATCAAGAAGAAATGAATTAGTGTTATGGCAAAAAATATGGAAAGAAAGAAATGAATTCAGGGATGATTCTGAAAGAGACAAGACAGGACTTGAAGCCTGATTAGATGATACGGATGAAGCAGATGGGAGAATAAGACAACATTGAGAATTCAAGTCTGGATAACAGTGATAGTGAGAATGATACCTTCATTATGAGAAATAAAATCAGGAAGAGGTGTTGATGGGGATAGGAAAATAGTGCATGGTTTATGTATGCTGAGTTTAAGGTATTAGTGGGGCATCCAGATATAGACATCTATTAAACAGTTAAAAATGTGAGCTTGAATCTTGGCAGAGTGGTTGGGACAAAAATTTTTTTAAAAAGTTGATAATCTTCAACATGTAAATTGTTGTCGAAGCACAGGAGTAGATAAAATTTCCAAAGAGAGACAGATCTTAGAAAAAAGATGAAAATTCCAAGGGCAAAGCTTTGATAAACAACTCACAGTTTTTGAGGGGTAGGATACAAAAGATGAAGAACTAGGCAGATACTACTTGCCCAAGGTGGCAGCATGTACATGTTTTGAGCCTTTAACTCACAGTAATGATAGATAAATCATCACTGAGCTCAAAACAAGGTAAATATCAATTTGTACCAGAAACTGAACAGAAATGCAAATTTATGAGTAGGGTTGATGCCACAAGCCTCTGGACTCCAGGCTGAAAGCAGACAACGCATTTCAGGTTTGAGTAGTGCTCTTTGTAAGACAGGAACTAGAGCCACATTTACTGCTTGAAGTCTCCTGCTAGCCCCAGCCCCACTCCACCTCAAGAAAAGAGTCTGAAGAAAATTGTTGTTGGCTCCTTCTTGGGATACCTACAGCTTAGAACATGCTGTCAGCCTAGAGATTCAGATAGCTATAGGTACAGCCTTGAGACTCAGACTGAATCAAATTGCCCAATGTCTTGTGACTGGATTAGTGATATCTCTATTTGACATCCTTATCTGCTAGTATATAAGGTCTAGTTCTGGACTGGTTGTCCAGAGAGTTAGGTAGAAACAAACAGACAAACCACAAACTGTTAGAAAGGGAAGAGTGAGCATAAGGGAATAGAAGAGAGAGAAAATGAAATAAGAACAAAAGCCTCTCACACAGGACGTATCCAATTCAAGATTCCACAATGTAATGTAATGGTAAGAAATACAGCATAGGCCGGGTATGGTGGCTCATGCCTGTAATCCCAGCACTTTGGGAGGCCAACGTGGGCGGATCACCAGAGGTCAGGAGTTTGAGATCAGCCTAGCCAGCATGGTGAAACCCCATCTCCACTAAAAATACAAAAATTAGCTGGGTGTGGTAGTGGATGCCTGTATCCCAGCTACTTGGGAGGCTGAGGCAGGAGAATTGCTTGAACCCAAGATGCGGAGATTGCACTGAGCTGAGATTGCACCACTGCATTCCAGCCTGAGTGACAGAGTGAGACTCTGTCTCAAAAAAAAAAAAAAAAAAGAAAAGAAAAGAAAAAAAAAACCAGCTTAAAAAAATTATGAGACTGTGAATGCACTGTAAATAAAATTATTTTTATGAAACAAACTGTCAAAAACCCTAAAACTAAAGTATATTTGGTATTGAATGAAGGAATAAAATGCATAAGGAGGAAAAAATTATAAACAAAAAAGCAGATATGAACTGAGAAGAGGTAGATATGAAAAAATATAATTAAATATATGAAAATGAAATATATACACCATTGAAATGAAACATTAATTGGGATACACACGGGATTGGACACAAAGACAATCAGTGAATTGAGAGCTAGTTCTGAGGAATTCACTCAGAATGTGTCATGAGAGGTGAGGAGATAAGAAATATGAACAAGCAAGTAAGAGATATAGATAGAATTAGAGGTTCTGAAATATTAATATCAAATAGAAGTTCCAGAAGAAAAGGGAGGAGACAGTAGAGAAGAAATATGTGAGAGTGTGAACCAAAAGTAGACTCGTATACTTGTGGTTCCCACTGGCAGATATTTCTTCTCTGCTGTCTCTGCTGAGCAATTTACAAAGTTTGTTTTGCCAAGGTTAAGGACATACCCATGACACAGCCTCAAGAGGTCCTGATGACGTGTGTCCAAGGTGGTTGAGGCACAGCTTGGTTTTATATATGTTAGGTAGACATGAGACATCAATTAATATGTGTAAGATGTACATTGGTTCTGTCTAGAAAGTCACGACAACTCAAAATGGCAGGTGGGAGTGGGGCTTCCAGGTCATAAATAGGTAGGAGACAAATGGTTGCATTCTCTTGAGTCTTTGGTCAGCCTTTCACTGAGTAGTCAATTTACATGTGAGAGGGGGGTAGAGGAATAGTCACTTATGCCTTAGTCTGGCTCAGCGAATCTGCATTTTTACATAAACAATAGGACAGAGGAAGCAATCAGATATGCATTTTTCTCGTGTAAGCAGAGGGATGACTTTGAGTTCTGTCCTTTGTCCTGCAGCTGTGAAGATAAGCTATGAATTTACATTGCCAAGGTGAAATTCAGCAGGACTGTTTTAGGGTAAAGATCTTTAGGTCCACAAGGAATTTCTCTGTGGGAAAATTGCGAGGGAAGTAGACAGCTTTTTTATCTTTGCAGCCATCTCATTTAGGAATAAAATGGGAGGCAGGTTTGCCTGATGCAGTTCCCTGCTTAACTTTCCCTTTAGCTTAGTGATTTTGGGGTCCTGAGATTTATTTTCTTTTCACAAGAGATATTGACAGTTTTTCAGCATTACAAAAGCCATGAGTCCTCAGATAGAAAGTGCGTTTCCAACAGCAAACAGCATAAAATAAATCTACATGAGGACACATCATAGTGGATTTGCAGAACACTGATGATCAATACAGTGTTCTAATGCTACAGAGAGGGAAAAAGCGGATTAAAAAAATTTTTTTTTATCAACCACAAGAAGAAGCACCAAAAAATTAGATTATTTTATAAAAAGGCAATTGGAGTGACAGGTAACTTTTCACCAATAAAGGATCCCAGAAAACAATGATATCATCTTGAAAGTGTTGAAGTGAAAAAGACTTTGAGCTAGACTCTTTTTTTTTTTTTTTGAGATGGAGTGAGCTAGACTCTTATATCCACTTAAATATCACCTAACAGTGTGGGCAAAAAACATTTGCAGATACATAAAGAAAGAGTAGGACTGTTTTCTAGCTGTATAACTTTTTGGAAACAAATAATCAAGGATATACTTCAGTAAGAAAGAAAAGTAAACCCAGGAGAAGGGATGGTGTGCAAGAAATAATTGTGAGCACAGAAATTGATAAAATGCATTGGTAAATTTAATTAGCTGTTGACCAAGAGAATGGTGAGTTTTATTTTTAAAGGCAAACTGAAACTCTAAGTAACAGTAACAAAATGGGGAGTCGTATTCAGTTGGGAAGAGGATTGAAATATTGAATGGTTTTAGAATTTGTTAAAAAATTCACAAACATTTCATTTAAAAAATGTGACCCTGGGCAACATAGTGAGACCCTGTTTCTACAAAAATAAAAAAAAAAAAATTAGCCAGGCATGATGGCATGTACCTGTAGTCCCAGCTACTTGGGAGGCTGAGGAAGGAAGATTGCTTGAACCCAGGAGTTCAAGGCCACAGTGAGCTATGATCACACCACTGCATTTCAGGCTGAATGACAGAGTGAGACCTTCTAAAAAAAATATATATATATATATATATAAATATATACATATTATATATTATTGTAATATAATATATATGTAATCAGTAAAACATAGAAACACAATCCATATTTTTCAAATGAGCAGGGGGAAAAGGAGAGATTACAGAAAAATTTATATTAAAAGTAAGATGGGAGAAAAGGAGAAAAAAGGGCAGTAAAAACTATATAAAATAAGATATGAAATATAAGCTTAAGTATATCAGAATAAACATAAAAAGATTCAACTCCTCTCTTAATGAAAGAGAGCAGATTGAGTAAAAAATAAAATTTGGCTATTTGCGTCTTAAAGGAGACAAGCTTAAAACCACATAGGCTAGACAAACATAAAGGGATGGAAAATTATTATATACGAAGCCAACTCTAATGAAAACACTAATTTTAAGAAGCTTATATAGATATGTATTGGAAATTAGAATTTAGGGCAAAATCATTTGAAAGAATAAATGAGGCTGCAATATATTAATTTTAAAAATCCACAAGAAGAGTCGGGAGGGGTGGTTCATGCCTGTAATGCCAACACTTTGGGAGGCCGAGGCGGATGGATCACCTGAGGTCGGTAGTTCGAGACCCGCCTGGCCAACGTGGTGAAACCCCTTCTCTACTAAAAGCACAAAAATTAGCTGCGTGTGGTGGCGGGCACCTGTAATCCCAGCTACTCGGGAGGCTGAGGTAGGAAAATCGCTTGAACCTGGGAGGCGGAGTTTGCAGTGAGCCAAGATCACACCATTGCACTCCAGCCTGGGTGACAAGAGCAAAACTCCATCTCAAAAAAAAAAAAATCCACAAGAAGATGTAACAATTATGTTTACCCTAAATAACATAACCTTTAAATATTATATATGATATTGTGAATGTTATATCAATAACTAAAAACTGACAGAATTACAAGGAGAAATGAATAAAAACCACAAAGTGAGAGAAACTAAGTCAAGCATATAAAAAATTAACAAAATATAAAAAATTTCTATCCAAAGTTAACAAAAGTAACCCTCTTTTCCAACAAACAAAGAATATAAATGCTTCAAGTAATCTGAGAACATTACAAACATTGATCACCTTTCCATGTTATAAAAGAAGTCTCAAAATTCAAAGAACTAATGTTATTAAGGTCATATTTGCTGGCTACAGTTTAGAAATCCACAAGAAAAAGATGGTAAGAAAATTCTGTATGTTTGATTTAAAGAGGAATTCACAATGCCAATTACAAAAATATTCAGAATCAAATGACAATAAATGTAATTTGAAATGCATACAGCTAAGGTGACACTGGAAAGTAAATGCACTTGTTAAGAACATTTAAAAATAGTTAAATGTTTAACTCAAGAAACTAGAAATAGAAGAGCAGGAGAGTAATCTCTCCACTACTTTCCCCAATATCAGAAGATACCAGCGGAGTTTCATCTACTAAGGTGACCAACTATCCTGGTTGGTCCAGGACTTGTGATTCCTGGGACATTGATCTTTAATGCTGAGCTGGGACAGTCCTGGGTAGACAGGATGGCTGATCACCATTCACCTAAACTACCAAGGAATAGTTAATCCCTATTTTATATAAACTGAGATTAGACAAAGAAGGAGATCCATTCAGTTCATTTACAGGCTACTATAGCTTTGATACTATAATTGGATGAGAAAATTGTTAAACAATGTCACTTTCCATCATAGGTGCAAAAATTCTAGAAAAAAAATTAACACAGCAAATTCAGCAGTGTTAAGAAAAAATAGTATATTAGGATCAAGTTTATTTCTGGGATGTGAGGATTCTTTAGAAAATCTATTAATGAGCTGGGCATGGTGGCTCACGCCTGTTATTCCAGCACTTTGGGGGTCTTAGGCAGGAGGATCTCTGGAGTCCAGAGGTTTGAGACCAGCCTAGGCAACATAGTGAGACCCCATATCTTTAAAAAAAAGAAAAAGAAAATTAGTCAGGCATGGTAACATGTGCCTGTAGTCCCAGCTACTTGGGAGGGTGAGGTGCGAGGATCACTTGAGCCCAGAAGCTTGAGGCCACAGTGAACTATAATCATGCCTTGGCACTCCAGCCTGGCCAACAAGGTGAGATCCTGTCTCTAAAAAGAAAACAAGGAAACAAGAAAATCTAATAATATAATACATCTTACTAACAGACAGAAAACCTTATGATCATCCTAAAAGATGATTTATTAAAACTCAGTACAAACTTTTGGGTTCTGCTCTAACACACAAAGAGCTTGGAAGTTATCACTCATCTCATAATAAGGGAGAAACTGAAACTCTGCAACTTTTCTTAGATCTATTAGATAATAGGGATCAGAAGGTGAACTGCATATATTAGTTTCCTAGGCGGCTATAACAAAGTACTATAAACTAGGTGGCTTAAAACAACAAAAATTTATTCTGTTCTAGTTCTGGAGGCTAGAAGTCTAAAGAAAATCAAGGCGTCAGCAGATGGAAGCCCTAGATAGTCTAGGGAGGAATTCTTCATTTTTTCCTTGCTTCTGGTGGCTCCCAGCAATCTTGGTATTCCTTGGTTTGTAGCTGCATCACTCCAATTTTTGCCTTCATCTTTCCATGAACTTATTTCCTGTGTGTGTCTCTGCATCTCCTCTCTTTTTATGGGGTGCCAGTTATTAGATTTAAGGCCCACTCTAACCCAGTATGAGCTCATCTTAACTTGATTACATCTGCAAAGACCTTATCTCCAAATAAGGTCACCTTCTGAGGTTCTTGGTAGACATACATTTTGGGGGGATACTATTCAACTCATTACACCACAACTCCCCAAACTAGAGAGATAGGCAAATACAGAGAATCACAGGTTACAGGGAGCAGAAGCCTCTAAATGCAATACCTGATAGAAACACTTAAACAATAATTGACACATTGCTGGAGGCTGAGTGTGGACTAACTTGAGACATAAAAACTCTTGAGGGCCTAGACTTGTGGGGAGGACACCCACTTTCATAAGTTTTATCTCTAGGAGCCCCACCAGGTTCTCATGATAAAGTGCTGAGAAAAATCTCATGCCTCTGGCAGGGGAGAGGAAAATACATCTGTTCTCTCTAACAAAGGTCTGTCCTTAAAGGAAACTACCAGGCCTTATCTGTGTTAGGAGAAGGGCAATCAGATCATTGGAGTGCACTCTAGTTTTTCCGTCTCACAGAAATGCAGGGGAAAAAAAGGTAAGAAACTATTTGGAAGGTCTCAGTCCAGAAAATTTGGCCCATTAAAAAAACTGGAGATTTAATTATAAGATTATAGAATGCTTCTCCTCCCCAGTACCTTACTACCACATCAACAGGGCTCTAGCATAATAACATAAGATCACAAGGAAGAGAGATGAAAGACGCAGACGATTTAAGAAGGCATTTTTAGGGAAACTCAAATTGAACAAGGGAGACAAAACAAGAGCACTAGAGGAAATTGAAGGCTCTGACACCTACAGTTATAGCCAACATTAAGCACAGACTAACTCTCAGCCAAATAAACACAAAACTGCACAATAAAGGCCTGTATACCTACAGTTACTATTACTCAATGCATTATGTCCGGTCTTCAACAAAAAATTACAAGGCATAATTAATGGCAAGAAAAAACACAGTCTGAAAAGACAAAGCAAGCATCAGTACCAGACTCGAATAGGGTAGAAACTTTGGAATGATGAGACTGGACATTTAAAATAACTATGATTAATATGCTAAGGGCTCTAATAGAGAAAGTGGACAGCAAAGAAGAACACACGAGTAATATAAGTAGAGAGATGGAAGCTCTAAAAGAATCTAAAGGAAATGCTAGAAGTAGAAAACACTAAGAAAGATGAAGAATACCTTTGACTGGCTTATCTCTAAAATTGTACTGATGAAAGAGTGAAGCCTAAAGTAAACTATGGACTTTAGTTAATAATACCATAATAAGAACAGGTGCAGTGGCTCATGCCTGTGATTCCAGTACTTTGGGAGGCCACGGTGGGAAGCTCACCTGAGCACAGGAGTTCAAGACTAACCTAGGCAACATAAAAAGACCCTGTCTCTGCAAAAAATAAAAAACCAGCTGGGCATGGTGGTGCACGCCTGTGGTCCCAGCTATTCAGGAGGCTGAGGCGGGAAGATTGCTTGAGCCCAGAAGGCCAAGGCCACACTGAGCTATGTTTGCACCGCTGCATTCTAGCCTAGGCAACAGAGTGAGATCTTGTCTTAAAAAAAACCCACAAAGTGTAAAAATAAAAATACCATATCAATACTGGTTCATCAATTATAACAAATGTACCACATTAAAGCAAGATGTTAGTAATGGGAAAAACTTGGTGTATGTGATGTGGGAGGGGAAGACAGGGTATATGGGAACTCTGTACTATCTGCCTAATAAAACCTTTATTTTAAAATGCAATAAAACTTTATCACTAAAAACTCTTAGCTAAATATGATAGAAGGAAACTTCCTCAACCACATCTATAAAAATGTCCTACAATAAGCATAACAAATTTAGTGATGAATTTTAAACACTTTGTCAATAAAATTAGGAATAAAGAAAGGATTCACTATACTGCTTTTATTCAGCATTGTTCTGGAGATCTTATCCAATGTAGTAAGATTGAATAATAATTATAATAATTGTAAGTGCAAGTCAAAACTCTCATTATTTGTAGATGCTAAGTTTGTTTATGTAGAACATTTTGGAGAATCTACAAAGTATTAGAACTGATAAGAGAGATTAGCAAGGTTGTTAGATATAAGATCAACCTAAAATCAATATTCTTTCTGTATCTCAATAATAATTAATTTGAAATATAATATGAAATAATATTCCATTCAAAATAGCAATAAAATTATAAGGTACTTATAAATAAATTTGACAAAAGGTGTTCAAGACTCTTATGAAGAAAACTACAGCATATTATTGAAAAGCTAGGTATAGCCAGGTGCAGTGGCTCATACCTATAATTCCAGTGCTTTGGGAAGCCAAGGCAGGAGAATCACTTGAGGCCAGGAATTTGAGACCAGCCTGGACAACATAGTGAGACCTCCGTCTCTACAAAAAATAAAAATAAATTAGCCAGGTCTGATGGCATGCTCCTGTAGTCCCAGTTACTTTTGAGGTAGAAGGATTGCATGAGGCTAGGAGTTTGAGGCTGCACTGAAGTATGATAGCACCACTGCACTACAGCCTGGGTGACAGAGCAAGACCCTGTCTGTAAAATAAATAAATAAATGGAAACATATATAAAAAATAAAATATCTAGATACATGGAAAGAGACATCATTCCTATGAATAAAAACAGTCAAGATATAAATTATCTCAAAATTACTTCATACATTCAATGCAATTCCAGTCAAAATTTCAAAAGGTTTTAAAATATAATTTGATAAATTGATTCTAAAATTTACATGAGTAGAAGGGGTGGAGTAAGATGGCTGAATAGAGGCTTCACCAATCAGTCCCCCAATAAAGACACCAATTTAACAACTATTTGTCCACAAAAAGCACCTGCATAGGAACCAAAAATTAGGTGATCACTCACAATATATGGTTTTAACTTCATATCACTGAAAGGGGCATTGAAGAGGCTAGAAAAGAGTTTTGAATCACTGACACCACCCTTCCTCCCTCACCTAGCAGTGGCTATGTGGCAGGGAGAGAGAATCTGGACACTTGGGAGTGGGTGAGTGCAGCAACTGTGAAACATTACATGAAACTTAGTTCTGCCCTGTCATAGCAAAAAGCAATACCAGGCTGAACTCAGCTGACGTCTGCCCACAGAGGGAGTATTTAAACCAGCCCTAGCCAGAGGGGAATCACCTATCCCAGCGGTCTGAACTTTAGTTCTGGCAAGTCTTGCCACCTAGGGATGGAGTGCTCTGGGACCCTCATTAAACTTGAAAGGCACCTTAGGCTACAAGGAACTCCTGGGTGAGTCCTAGTGCTGAACTGGTATCAGAGCCAGTGGACTTGGGGGACATGCCACTTACTGAGACACCAGCTGGGGCAGCTAGGGGAGTGCTTGTGCCACCCCTCCCACAACCCCAGCCTGCACAGCTCATGGCTTCAAAAGAGGTCCCTTCCTTCCACGTGAGGAGAGAGGAGAGAGAAGAGTAAAGAGGACTTTGTCTTGCATATTGGATACCAGCTCAGCCACAGTAGAATAGGACAATGGTCAAAGTAATGAGGCCCCCTTTCTAGGCTCCTGGATTATATTTCTAGCACACCTTGGGCCAGAAGGGAACCTGCTTCCTTGAAGGGAAAGACCCAGTCCTGGCAGTACCCATTGTCTGCTAACTAAAGAGCCTTTGATCCTTGAATAACCAACAGTGATGCCCAGGAAATACACTGTGGGCCGTAGGTGAAACTGAGATTTTCTGACTTCAGGTGAGACTCAGCACATTCTTAGCTGTGGTGGCTATGGGGAGAGACTCCTTCTGCTTGAGGAAAGTGGAGGAAAAAGAAAAGCAGACTTTGGCTTGCTCCATATGTACCAGCTCAGCCACAGGGGAATAGAGCACCAAGCAGGCTCTTGGGGTCCCCAGTTCAAGGTCTTGACTCCTGGATGGCATTTTTGGGTCTACCCTGAGTCAGAGGGGAGCGCATTGCCCCGAAGGGTGAGTCCCAGGCTAGGCAGCATTCACCACAAGCTGACTAAAGAGCTCTTGGGCCTTAAGGGAGTATTGGTGGTAGCTTCGCAGTACTCCCCATCCTGGCCACAGGATGAGGCCCCTCTGCCTCTAGAAAGGTGAGAGAAGAGTGGAAAGGACTGTGTCTTCTGATTTGAGTGCCATCTTAGCTGCAGTACAATAGAACACCAGCTAGATTTCTAAGGTTTTTGACCGTAGTCTCTGGCTCCTGGATGTCACCTCTGGACCCACCCAGGACCTGGGGGAACTTGCTGCCCTGAAGGGAAGGACAGAAGCCTAGCTGGCTTCCCTGCCTGCTGATTGTAGAGCCCCAGGGCCTTGAGGGAACAAAGGTGATAGCCAGGTAGTGGTTATAGTTAGCCTTGGGTTGAGGCCCAGTGCTGTGCTGACCCAGTGCAGTCCTGGTAGTGGTGACCACAGTGGGGGCTTGTGTCACTCCACCTCCAGCCCCAGGCAGCTGAGAACAGAGAAAGAGAGACTCCATTTTTTTGACAGAGAGTAAGGGAAGAAAACAAGAGTCTCAGCTTTGTGATCCACAGAATTCTTCCAGATCTCTTCCAAGACAATCAAGGTGGTACCTGTATGAGTCTGTGAGAACCACAGCATTACTGGGCCTGGGGTGCCCTTTAATGCAGATACAGCTTAGATCACAACACTCAAGTCCTCTTGAATATCTGGAAAGCCTTCCCAAGAAGGATGGATACAAACAAGACCAGACCAGGAAACTGAGAAATATCTAACTCTTCAATGCCCAGACGCAGACAAACATCTGTAAGTACCAAGACCATCCAGAAAAACATGACCTTATCAAATGAGCTAAATAAGGCACCAGGGACCAGTCCTGGAGAAGCAAAGATATGTTGCCTTTCAGACAGATAATTCAAAATAGCTGTTTTGAGGAAACTCAAAGAAATTGAAGATAACACAGACAAGGAATTCAGAATTTTGTCAGATAAATTTAGCAAAAATATTGAAATAAAAAGAAGCAGAAATTCTGGAGTTGAAAAATGCAATTGACATACTGAAGAATGCATCAGAGTCTTTTAATAGCAGAATTGATCAAGGAGGAGAAAGAATTAGTGGGCTTGAAGGCAGCCTATGTGAAAATACATGGAGGAGATAAAAGAAAAAAATAGAAAACAGTGAAGCATGCCTACAGGATATAGAAAATAGCCTTAAAAGGTCAAATCTAACAGTTATTGGCCTTAAAGAGGAGGTGGAGAAAGAGATAGGGGTAGAAAGTTTATTGAAAGGGATAATAACGAGAACTTCCCAAACTAAGGGAGAGATATCTATATCCAAGTTCAAGAAGGCTATAGAACACCAAGCAGATTTAACCCAAAGAAGACTACCTCAAGGCATTTAATATCAAACTACCAAAGGTCAAGGATAAAGAAAAGATCCTAAAAGCAGCAAGAGAAAATAAAGAAATAACATAAAATGGAGACCTCCAATACTGACTGTTGGGAGTTTGATTATAAAATGCCTTGAGGCAGTCTTCTTTGGGTTAAATCTTCTTGGTGTCTTACAACCTTCTTGTACTTGGATGTTGATATCTTTCTCTATGTTTGCAAAGTTCAATGTTACCTTACAGGCCAGGAGAGAGTGGCATGACATATTTAAAGGGCTGAAGGAAAAATACATATATCCTAGAATAGTATATCCAGTGAAAATATCCTTCAAACATGAAGGAGAAATACCTTCCCAGACAAACAAAAGCTGAGGGATTTCATCAACACCAGACCTGTCCTACAAAAAGTGCTAAAGGGAGTACTTCAATCAGAAAAAAATGGATGTTAATGAGCAAAAAGAAATCGTCTTAAGGTATAAAACTCACTGCTGATAGTTAAGTACACAAAAAAACACAGAGTATTATACCAGTGTAACTGTGGTGTGTAGACAACTCTTATTTTTTTTATTATTATTATACTTTAAGTTTTACGGTACATGTGCACAATGTGCAGGTTAGTTACATATGTATACATGTGCCATGCTGGTGTGCTGCACCCGTTAACTCATCATTTAGCATTAGGTATATCTCCTAAAGCTATCCCTCCCCCCACCCCACAACAGTCCCCAGAGTGTGATGTTCCCCTTCCTGTGTCCATGTGTTCTCATCGTTCAATTCCCACCTATGAGTGAGAATATGCGGTGTTTGGTTTTTTGTCCTTGCGGTTGTTTACTGAGAATGATGATTTCCAATTTCATCCATGTCCCTACAAAGGACATGAACTCATCATGTTTTATGGCTGCATAGTATTCCATGGTGTATATGTGCCACATTTTCTTAATCCAGTCTATCATTGTTGGCCATTTGGGTTGGTTCCAAGTCTTTGCTATTGTGAATAGTGCTGCAATAAACATACGTGTGCATGTGTCTTTATAGCAGCATGATTTATAGTCCTTTGGGTATATACCCAGTAATGGGATGGCTGGGTCAAATGGTATTTCTAGTTCTAGATCCCTGAGGAATCGCCACACTGACTTCCACAATGGTTGAACTAGTTTACAGTCCCACCAACAGTGTAAAAGTGTTCCTATTTCTCCACATCCTCTCCAGCACCTGTTGTTTCCTGACTTTTTAATGATTGCCATTCTAACTGGTGGGAGATGGTATCTCATTGTGGTTTTGATTTGCATTTCTCTGATAGCCAGTGATGGTGAGCATTTTTTCATGTGTTTTTTGGCTGCATAAATGTCTTCTTTTGAGAAGTGTCTGTTCATGTCCTTCACCCACTTTTTGATGGGGTTGTTTGTTTTTTTCTTGTAAATTTGTTTGAATTCATTGTAGATTCTGGATATTAGCCCTTTGTCAGATGAGTAGGTTGTGAAAATTTTCTCCCATTTTGTAGGTTGCCTCTTCACTCTGATGGTAGTTTCTTTTGCTGTGCAGAAGCTCTCTAGTTTAATTAGATCCCATTTGTCAATTTTGGCTTTTGTTGCCATTGCTTTTGGTGTTTTAGACACGAAGTCCTTGCCCATGCCTATGTCCTGAATGGTAATGCCTAGGTTTTCTTCTAGGGTTTTTATGGTTTTAGGTCTAACGTTTAAGTCTTTAATCCATCTTGAATTAATTTTTGTATAAGGTGTAAGGAAGGGATCCAGTTTCAGCTTTCTACACATGGCTAGCCAGTTTTCCCAGTGCCATTATTAAATAGGGAATCCTTTCCCCATTTCTTGTTTTTCTCAGGTTTGTCAAAGATCAGATAGTTGTAGATATGTGGCGTTATTTCTGAGGGCTCTGTTCTGTTCCATTGATCTATATTTCTGTTTTGGTACCAGTACCATACTGTTTTGGTTACTGTAGCCTTGTAGTATAGTTTGAAGTCAGGTAGCATGATGCCTCCAGCTTTGTTCTTTTGGCTTAGGATTGACTTGGCAATGCGGGCTCTTTTTTGGTGCCATATGAACTTTAAAGTGGTTTTTTTCCAATTCTGTGAAGAAAGTCATTGGTAGCTTGATGGGGATGGCATTGAATCTATAAATTACCTTGGGCAGTATGGCCATTTTCACAATATTGATTCTTCCTACTCATGAGCATGGAATGTTCTTCCATTTGTTTGTATCCTCTTTTATTTCATTGAGCAGTGGTTTGTAGTTCTCCTTGAAGAGGTCCTTCACATCCCTTGTAAGTTGGATCCCTAGGTATTTTATTCTCTTTGAAGCAATTGTGAATGGGAGTTCACTCATGATTTGGCTCTCTGTCATTGGTGTATAAGAATGCTTGTGATTTTTGTACATTGATTTTGTATCCTGAGACTTTGCTGAAGTTGCTTATCAGCTTAAGGAGATTTTGGGCTGAGACGTTGGGGTTTTCTAGATACACAGTCATGTCATCTGCAAACAGGGACAATTTGACTTCCTCTTTTCCTAACTGAATACCCTCTATTTCCTTCTCCTGCCTGATTGCCCTGGCCAGAACTTCCAACACTATGTTGAATAGGAGTGGTGAGAAAGGGCATCCCTGTCTTGTGCCAGTTTTCAAAGGGAATGCTTCCAGTTTTTGCCCATTCAGTATGATATTGGCTGTGGGTTTGTCATAGTTAGCTCTTATTATTTTGAGATACGTCCCATCAATACCTAATTTATTGAGTTTTTAGCATGAAGGGTTGTTGAATTTTGTCAAAGGCCTTTTCTTCATCTATTGAGATAATCATGTGGTTTTTGTCTTTGGTTCTGTTTATATGCTGGATTACATGTATTGATTTGTGTATATTGAACCAGCCTTGCATCCCAGGGATGAAGCCCACTTGATCATGGTGGATAAGCTTTTTGATGTGCTGCTGGATTCAGTTTGCCAGTATTTTATTGAGGATTTTTTGCATCAATGTTCATCAAGGATATTGGTCTAAAATTCTCTTTTTTGGTTGTGTCTCTGCCCGGCTTTGGTATCAGGATGATGCTGGCCTCATAAAATGAGTTAGGGAGGATTCCCTCTTTTTCTATTGATTGGAATAGTTTCAGAAGGAATGGTAACAGTTCCTCCTTGTACCTCTGGTAGAATTCGGCTGTGAATCCATCTGGTCCTGGACTCTTTTTGGTTGGTAAGCTATTGATTATTGCCACAATTTCAGAGCCTGTTATTGGTCTATTCAGAGATTCAACTTCTTCCTGGTTTAGTCTTGGGAGGGTGTATGTGTCGAGGAATTTATCCATTTCTTCTAGATTTTCTAGTTTATTTGCATAGAGGTGTTTGTAGTATTCTCTGATGGTAGTTTGTATTTCTGTGGGATCAGTGGTGATATCCCCTTTATCATTTTTTATTGCATCTATTTGATTCTTCTATCTTTTCTTCTTTATTAGTCTTGCTAGCAGTCTATCAATTTTGTTGATCCTTTCAAAAAGCCAGCTCCTGGACTCATTAATTTTTTGGAGGGTTTTTTGTGTCTCTATTTCCTTCAGTTCTGCTCTGATTTTAGTTATTTCTTGCCTTCTGCTAGCTTTTGAATGTGTTTGCTCTTGCTTTTCTAGTTCTTTTAATTGTGATGTTAGGGTGTCAATTTTGGATCTTTCCTGCTTTCTCTTGTGGGCATTTAGTGCTATAAATTTCTCTCTACACACTGCTTTGAATGTGTCCCAGAGATTCTGGTATGTTGTGTCTTTGTTCTCGTTGGTTTCAAAGAACATCTTTATTTCTGCCTTCATTTCGTTATGTACCCAGTAGTCATTCAGGAGCAGGTTGTTCAGTTTCCATGTAGTTGAGCAGTTTTGAGTGAGTTTCTTAATCCTGAGTTCTAGTTTGATTGCACTGTGGTCTGAGAGACAGTTTGTTATAATGTCTGATCTTTTACATTTGCTGAGGAGTGCTTTACTTCCAACTATGTGGTCAATTTTGGAATAGGTGTGGTGTGGTGCTGAAAAAAATGTATATTCTGTTGATTTGGGGTGCAGAGTTCTGTAGATGTCTATTAGGTCTGCTTGGTGCAGAGCTGAGTTCAATTCCTAGGTATCCTTGTTAACTTTCTGTCTCATTGATCTGTCTAATGTTGACAGTGGGGTGTTAAAGTCTCCCATTATTATTGTGTGGGAGTCTAAGTCTCTTTGTAGGTCACTCAGGACTTGCTTTATGAATCTGGGTGCTCCCGTATTGGGTGCATATATATTTAGGATAGTTAGCTCTTCTTGTTGAATTGATCCCTTTACCATTATGTAATGGCCTTCTTTGTCTCTTTTGATCTTTGTTGGTTTAAAGTCTGTTTTATCAGAGACTAGGATTACAACCCCTGCCTTTTTTTGTTTTCCATTGGCTTGGTAGATCTTCCTCCATCCTTTTATTTTGAGCCTATGTGTGTCTCTGCACGTGAGATGGATTTCCTGAATACAGCACACTGATGGGTCTTGACCCTTTATCCAATTTGCTAGTCTGTGTCTTTTAATTGGAGCATTTAGTCCATTTACATTTAAAGTTAATATTGTTATGTGTGAATTTGATCCTGTCATTATGATGTTAGCTGGTTATTTTGCTCGTTAGTTGATCCAGTTTCTTCCTAGCCTCGATGGTCTTTACAATTTGGCATGATTTTGCAGTGGCTGGTACCGGTTGTTCCTTTCCATGTTTAGTGCTTCCTTCAGGAGCTCTTTTAGGGCAGGCCTGGTGGTGACAAAATCTCTCAGCATTTGCTTGTCTGTAAAGTATTTTATTTCTCCTTCACTTATGAAGCTTAGTTTGGCTGGATATGAAATTCTGGGTTGAAAATTCTTTTCTTTAAGAATGTTGAATATTGGCCCCAACTCTCTTCTGGCTTGTAGAGTTTCTGCCGAGAGATCCGCTGTTAGTCTGATGGGCTTCCCTTTGTGGGTAACCCGACCTTTCTCTCTGGCTGCCCTTAACATTTTTTCCTTCATTTCAACTTTGGTAAATCTGACAATTATGTGTCTTGGAGTTGCTCTTCTCGAGGAGTGTCTTTGTGGCGTTCTCTGTATTTCCTGAATCTGAATGTTGGCCTGCCTTGCCAGATTGGGGAAGTTCTCCTGGATAATATCCTGCAGAGTGTTTTCCAACTTGGTTCCATTCTCCCCGTCACTTTCAGGTACACCAATCAGATGTAGATGTGGTCTTTTCACATAGTCCCATATTTCTTGGAGGCTTTGTTCATTTCTTTTTATTCTTTTTTCTCTAAACTTCCCTTCTCGCTTCATTTCATTCATTTCATCTTCCATCACTGATACCCTTTCTTCCAGTTGATTGCATCGACTCCTGAGGCTTCTCCATTCTTCACGTAGTTCTCGAGCCTTGGCTTTCAGCTCCATGAGCTCCTTTAAGCACTTGTCTGTATTGGTTATTCTAGTTATACATTCGTCTAAATTTTTTTCAAAGTTTTCGACTTCTTTGACTTTGGTTTGAATTTCCTCCTGTAGCTTGGAGTAGTTTGATCGTCTGAAGCCTTCTCTCAACTCGTCAAAGTCATTCTCTGTCCAGCTTTGTTCCGTTGCTGGTGAGGAGCTGCGTTCCTTTGGAGGAGGAGAGGTGCTCTGCTTTTTAGAGTTTCCAGTTTTTCTGCTCTGTTTTTTCCCCATCTTTGTGGTTTTATCTACTTTTGGTCTTTGATGATGGTGATGTACAGATGGGTTTTTGGTGTGGATGCCCTTTCTGTTTGTTAGTTTTCCTTCTAACAGACAGGACCCTCAGCTGCAGGTCTGTTGGAGTTTGCTAGAGGTCCACTCCAGACCCTGTTTGCCTGGGTACCAGCAGCGGTGGCTGCAGAACAGCAGATTTTCGTGAACCGTGAATGCTGCTGTCTGATCATTCCTCTGGAAGTTTTGTCTCAGAGGAGTACCCGGCCATGTGAGGTGTCAGTCTGCCCCTACTGGGGGGTGCCTCCCAGTTAGGCTGCTCGGGGGTCAGGAGTCAGGGACCCACTTGAGGAGGCAGTCTGCCCGTTCTCAGATCTCCAGCTGCATGCTGGGAGAACCACTGCTCTCTTCAAAGCTGTCAGACAGGGACATTTAAGTCTGCAGAGGTTACTGCTGTCTTTTTGTTTGTCTGTGCCCTGCCCCCAGAGGTGGAGCCTACAGAGGAAGGCAGGCCTCCTTGAGCTGTGGTGGGCTCCACCCAGTTCGAGCTTCCCGCCTGCTTTGTTTACCTAAGCAAGCCTGGGCAATGGTGGGCGCCCCTCCCCCAGCCTCGCTGCCGCCTTGCAGTTTGATCTCAGACTGCTGTGCTAGCAATCAGTGAGACTCCGTGGGCGTAGGATCCTCCAAGCCAGGTGCGCAATATAATCTCCTGGTGCGCCATTTTTTAAGCCCGTTGGAAAAGCACAGTATTAGGGTGGGAGTGACCCGATTTTCCAGGTGCCATCTGTCACCTCTTTCTTTGACTAGGAAAGGGAACTCCCTGACCCCTTGCGTTTCCCGAGTGAGGCAATGCATCGCCCTGTTTCGGCTCATGCACGGTGCGCTGCACCCACTGTCCTGTGCCCACTGTCTGGCACTCCCTAGTGAGATGAACCCGGTACCTCAGATGGAAATGCAGAAATCACCCGTCTTCTGTGTCACGCTGGGAGCTGTAGACCGGAGCTGTTCCTATTTGGCCATCTTGGCTCCACACCTTTTTTTTTTTTTTTTGAGATGGAGTCTCATTCTGTCACCCAGGCTGGAGTGCAGTGGTGCAATCTTTGCTCTCTGCAACCTCCACTTCCCAGGTTCAAGCAGTTGTTCTGACTCAGCCTCCTGAGTAGCTGGGATTACAGCCACCTGCCACTGCACCTGGCTAATTTTTGTATTTTTAGTAGAGTCGGGGTTTCACCATCTTGGCCAGGCTCATCTTGAACTCCTGACCTCGTGATCCACCTGCCTCAGCCTCCCAAAGTGCTGGGATTACAGGCCAGCACCACTGTACCCAGCCCGTAAACCACTCTTAATTAGAAAGACTAAATGATGAACTCATCCAAGATAATAACTACAACTTTTCAAGAAACAGGCAGTATGATAAGATAGAAACAGCAAAAAGTTAAAAAGCAGGGGGATGAAGTTAAGGTGTAGAGTTTTATTGGTTTTCTTTTTGCTTATTTGTTTACTTACGCACACAGTGTTAAGTTGTTATCAGCTTAAAATAATGGGTTATAAGATAGTATTTGTAGGCCTCATGGTAACCCTTAAATAAAAAACATACAAAGGATACACAAAAAATTAAAAGCAAGAAATTAAATCATGCTATCATGGCCAGGTGTGGTGGCTGACCCCTGTAATACTAGCACTTTAGGAGGCCAAGGTAAGACGATTGCTTGAGGCCAGAAGTTCCAGACCAGCTTGGGCAACATAGTGAGACCCTGTCTTTATAAAAGAATAAAAAATAATTAAAAATAACTAAATAAAATAAAATAACCTAATCACTCTCTATTATTCATCCCTTAAAAACTAAAATAAGTAAATCGTACCACCAGAGAAAATTATCTTCCCTAAAAGGAAGACAGGAATGAAGAAAAGAAGCGAAGACCACAAAACAACCAGAAAGCAAATAACAAAATGGTAGGAGTAAGTCCTTACTTATCAATAATAACATTGAATGTAAATTAACTAGACTTTCCAATCAAAAGACATGGAATGGCTGAACAGATAAAAAAAAAAAAAAGACCCAATGATCTGTTGTCTACAAGAAACACACTTTACCTATAAAGACACACATCGACTGAAAACAAAGGGATAGAAAACAATACTCCATGCCAATGGAAACCAAAAAGAGCAGGAGTGGCTATATTTATATCCAACAAAATAGATTTCAAGACAAAAACTATAAGAGACAAAGAAGGCCAGTATATAATGATAAAGGGGTCAATTCAGCAAGAGGATATAGTAAATATATATGTACTCAATAGGGGAGTACCCAGATATATGAAGAAAATATTATTAGAGCTAAAGAGAGAAATAGAACTCAATGCAATAATAGCTTAAGACTTCAACACCCCACTTTCAGCATTGGACAGATCTTCCAGACAGAAAATTAACAAAGAAACACTGGACTTAATCTGCACTATAGAACAAACAGAACTAGTAGATATTTACAGAACATTTTATGCAACAGCTGCAGAATACACATTCTTTTCCTTGGCACATAGATAATTCTCATGGATAGACCATATATTAGGTCACAAAACAAGTCTTAAAACATCAAAAAAATTAAAATAATATCAAGCACTTTCTCTGAACACAATGGAATAAAACTAGAAATCAATAACAAGAGGAACTTTGGAAACTCTACAAACGTGGAAATTAAGCAATATACTTCTAAATGACCAGTGAGTCAATAAAGATGTTAAGAAGGAAATGGAAAATTTTCTTGAAACAAATGACAATGGCAACACAACATACCAAAACCTATGGGATATAGCAAAAGCAGTATGAAGATGGAAGTTCCCAGCTATAAGTGCCTACATTGTGGAATAAGAAAGCTTCAAATAAACAACCTAATAATACATCATAAAGAACCAGAAAATCAAGATCAAACCAAACCCAAAATTTTTAGAAGAAAGAAATAATAAAGATCAAAGCAAAAATAAATGAATTTAATATGAAGAAAACAACATAAAAATCAATGAAACAAAAATTTGGCTTTTTGAAAAGATAAACAAAATTGATAAATCTATAGCCAGACTAAGAAAAAAAGAGGGAAGACTCAAATAAATAAAATAGGAGATGAAAATGGAGACATTACAACTTATACTGCAGAAATTCAAAGGCTCATTTAGTGGCTACTATGAGGAACTATTAATATATGCCAATAAATTGGAAACACTAGAAGAAATGGATAAATTCCTAGACACATGCAACCTACTAAAATTGAACCATGAATAAATCCAAAACCTGAACAGACCAATAACAAGTAGTGAGATTGAAGCCATAATAAAGTCTCCAGGCAAAGAAAAGCCTGGGACCTGATGGCTTCACTGATGAATTCTGCCAGACATTTAAAGAATAGTACCAGTCCTCTTCAAACATATTGGAAAAGTAGAGGAGGGGATAATATTTCCAAATACATCCTATGAGGCCAATATTACCCTGATACTAAACCAGACAAAGAAACATCAAAAAGAAAAAAAGACACTATAGGCCAATATCACTGATGAATATTGATGCAAAAATCCTCAACAAAATACTAGCAAACCAAATTTAACAACACATCTTAAACAAAGATTATCCTTCATGTAGGAGATAGCTTAAAAAAAAAAAAAGAAAACAAGAACATTTATCATGGCCAAATGTGATTTATCCCAGGGATGCAATGTTAGTTCAACATACACACAAATCAATCATGTGAGACATCATATCAACAGAATGAGGGATAAAAACCATATGATCATTTCAATTCATGCTGAAAAAGCATTTGATAAAATTCAACACCTCTTCATGATAAAAACTCTTATAAAACTGGGTATAGAAGTGTGAACCCAAAAGTATCTGAGACAGGTCTTAATCAATTTAGGAAGTTTATTTTGCCAAGGTTAAGAACACACCCATGACACACCCTCAGGAGGTCCTGATGATATGGGCCCAAGGTAGTTATGGTATGGCCTGCTTTTATACCTTTTAGGGAGACATAATACATCAGTAAACACTTGTAAGATTTACATTGGTTTGGTCTGGAAAGGTGGGATAGCTTGAAGCACAGGCTACCAGGTTGTAGGAAGATTTAAAAATTTTCTGATTGGCAATTGATTGAAAGAGTTGTTATTATCTAAAGACCGGGAATCAATAGAAAGGAATATCTTGTTTACAATGATAAGAGGTTGTGGAGACCAAAGCTTATCATGCAGATGAAGCCTCCAGGTAGCTGGCTTCAGAGATAATAGATTATAAGTGTTTCTTATCAGACTTAAGGTCTGTGTTGATGTGAATGCTGGTTGGCCTTTCCTGAATTCCAAAAGGAAGGAGGGCATAATGAGGCATGTCTGACCCCTCCATTCCCATCACGTTCTGAACCAGTTTTTCAGGTTAACTTTGAAATGCCCTTGGCCAAAAGGAGGGGTTCATTCAGATGGTTGGGGGGGCCTTAGAATTGTATTTTTAGTTTACAGAAGGAACATACCTCGATATAAACAATGTTATATTAAAAACATGAATGGATAAGTAAATTCAGTAAAGTTGCTGGATATAAAATCAACATACAAAAATCAGTAGTGTTTCTATATGCCAACAGCAAACAATCTTAAAAAGAAATCAAGGCCAGGCTTGGTGGCTTATGCCTGTAATCCCAGCACTTTGGGAGGCCGAGACAGGTGGATCATGAGGTCAGGAGACTGAGACCATCCTGGCTAACACGGTGAAACCCTGTCTCTACTAAAAAAAATACAAAAAATTAGCCAGGTGTGATGGTGGGCACCTGTAGTCCCAGCTACTCAGGAGGTTGAGGCAGGAGAATGGCGTGCACCTGGGAGGTGGAGCTTGCAGTGAGTTGAGATCGCACCACTGCACTCCAGCCTGGGGGACAGAGCGAGACTCTGTCTCAAAAAAAAAAAAAAAAAAAAAAAAAAAAAGAAAAGAAGTCAAGAAAGTAATGCCATTTACAATAGTTACAATATAAGATAAAATACCTACAAATTAACTTAACCAAAGAAGTGAAAGATCTCTACACTGAAACTATAAAACATTGATGTAAGAAATTGAAGAAGGAAATATATTCCATGTTCATGTACTGGAAGAATTAATATTGTTAAAATGACCATACCACCTAAAGCAATCTATAGATTCAATTCAAGCCCTATCAAAATACCAATGACATTCTTCACAAAAATAGAAAAAAGCAATTATAAAATTTATGTGGAACCACAAAAGACCCAGAATAACCAAAGCTATCTTAAGCAAAAGGAACAAAACTGGAAAAAATCACATTACCTGACTTCAACTTACACTACAGAGCTATAGTAACCAAAATGGCATGGTACTGGCATAAAAACAGACACATAGACCAATGGAACAGAACAGAGAACCTGGAGATAAATCCATACATCTACAGTGAATTCATTTTTGACAAAACTACCAAGAACATATATTCGGGAAAGAACAGTCTCTTCAATAAATGGTGCTTGGAAAACTGGATGTCCATATGTGAAAGAATGAAACTAGACTCCTATTTCTCACCATATACAAAAATCAAATCAAAATGGATTAAAGACTTAAATTTAAGACTTCCAACAATGAAACTACTAAAAGAAAACTTTGGGGAAAATTTCTAGGACACTTAACTGGCAAAGATTTCCTGAGTAATACTCCACAGGCACAGGCAACTGAAGCAAAAATGGACAAATGGGATCACATCAAGTTAAAAGGCTTCTGCACAGCAAAAGAAACAATCAACATAGTGAAGGGCTAACCCACAGAATGGGAGAAAATATTTCAAACTACCTATTTGACAAGGGATTAATAACGAGAATATATAAGGAGTTCAAACAACTCTGTAGGAAAAAAATCTAATAATCCAATTCAAAAGTGGGCAAAAGATTTAAATAGACATTTCTCAAAAAATGTCATACAAATGGCAAACGGGCATATGAAAAGTTGCTCTACATCATTGATCATTAGATAAATGCAAATCAAAACTACAATGAGATATCATCTCACCCCAGTTAAAATGGCTTTTATTCAAAAGTCAGGCAAAAACAAATGCTGGAGAGGATGTGGAGAAAAGGGAACCCTCATACACTCTTGGTGGAAATGTAAATTAGTATAACCACTATGGAGGACAGTTGGAGGTTCCTCAAAAACCTAAAAATAGAGCTTAAGATCCAGCAATCCTCCTTCTAGGTATATACCCAAAGTAATGGAAAGCATTACATTGAAGAGAGATCTGCACTCTCATGTTTATTGCAGCACTGTTCACAATAGCCAGACTTGAAAGCAACCTAAGTGTCTATAAACAGATAAACATGTAAAGAAAATGTGGTACATATACACAAGAGAGTACTATTCAGCCATAAAAAAGAATGAGATCCTGCCATTTGCAATGACATGGATGGAACTAGAAGTCATTATGCTAAGTGAAATAGCCAGGCACAGAAAGAACAACTTCACATGTTCTCATTTATTTGTGGCACCTAAAAATTAAAACAATTGAACTCATAGAGATAGAGAGTAGAAGGATGGTTAACAGAGTCAGGGAAGAATAGTGGGGGTGGAGGGGCAATGGGGGAGGGTTAATGGGTACAAAAAATAGTTAGAAATAATGAATAAGATCTAGTATTTGCTAGCTCAGTAGAGCGACTGTAGTCAAACATAATTTAATTGCACATTTAAAAATAACAAGGAATATAATTGGATTGCGTATAACACAAAAGAGAAATGCTTGAGGTGATGAATACACCATTTACCCTGATGTGCGTATTACACATTGCATGCCTATATCAAAACATCTCATCCATAAATATATACACTTACTATGTATCTTCAAAAATTAAAAATTGAAACTAAAAAAATTCACATGGCAGGTGTATTAGTCCATTTTCATGCTGCTATAAAGGACTGCCTGAGACTGGGTAATTTATAAAGGAAAGAGGTTTAATTGACTCACAGCTCCACATGGCTGGGGAGGCCTCAGGAAACTTAACAATCATGGTGGAAGGGGAAGCAAACACATCCTTCATCACATGGTGACAGGAAGGAGAAGTGCTGAGCAAAAGGGGGAAAAGCCCCTTATAAAACCATCAGATCTTGTGAGAACTCACTCACTATCACAAGAACAGCAGCATGGGAGTAACCGCCCCCATGACTGAATTACCTCCCACTGGATCCATACCATGACACATGGGGATTTTGGGAATTACAATTCAAGATTAGATTTGGGTGGGGATGCAGTAGGCAAAATGGTCAAATATAGCCAAGATAAATTTGAAGAACAAGCACTGGTGGGAGGACTTGCCTTATAAAGACTTATTATAAAGCTATCATTATTAAAACAGTATGGTTAAACAGGCAAGTACAAACATACCTGTGGTCCAGAATACAAATCTGGCAAATAGCCTCATATATACATAAAAAAGTTGATTTATGATCAAGTTGGCATGGAATTAGAACCTTTTGGGGAAGAGTTTAATAAATGGGTAAGATGCTACTTATTCATAGGGGAAGAAGCAGACCCCACTTCACACATAAACATAAACATAAATTTAAGTTGAAACAAACACTTAAATGTGAAAAGTAAAACTTTAAAACTTTTAGAATGAAATATAAGAATCTGTTTACAACCTTGGGCATAGGAAAGCACAAACTATAGAGAAAAAGATTGGTAGGCTGGTTAAACTTGGCTATGTTTACATTTTAAAACTCTTCAGTAAAAGACTCCATAAACAAAGTGAAAAACAAGCTGTAGACTGGGAGAAAATCTGCATTTTCATCTGGTATCATTTTCCTTCAGCCTGAAGAACTTCCATTACTATTTCCTATAGTGCAAGTCTGCTGGTGGCAAATTCTCTCAGTTCTCTTCCATCTGAAAATATTTTTATTTTATTTTCATTATGAAGGACTTTTTTGTGTGTGCCAAATATGCCACTGCATTAACAGTTTTCTTTTTCTTTTTAGTATGGTAAAGATGTTAGTTTATTATCTTCTGATATCCATTGTTTCTGATTGGAAGTCAGTGTTAATTTGCATTGATGTTCCCTGTATGTAATGTGTGTCATTGTATATCATTCTCTGGTTGGTTCCAAGGTTTTCCCTTGTCTTTGTTTTTCAGCATTTTGAATCTGATGTGCTTAAGGCTTGACTTTCATGGTATTTTTCCTGCTTGGGGGTTTGTACTTCTTTTTATATCTGTAAATTTTTTTTGTCACCAAATTTTGGAAAATTTTCAGCCATTATTTCCTTAAATATTTGTTCTTAAATATTTTAAAATAATATATTAATATATTATTAGTATTTTTATCCTCTTCTTCTGTGAGTATAATTATATGTTATAACTTTTGTTATTGTCTCACAGGCCCCAGGCTATGTTCCTTTTCCTCTAATTATTTTTTTCGATCTGTTTTTCAGATTGGATAATTTACAGTGATTTATCTTTAAGCTTACTTCATATTTCATCTATTTTCTACACCCTGCCATTAATATCATCTAGTGAATTTTTTATTTCACATATTGTACTTTTGAGTTCTAAAATTTCCAATGGTTTTTTAAAAATATAGTCTCAATTTCTCTACTGACATCTTTACAATCATTATAAGCATTTTTTTTTCACTGCACTGAGCAGACTTACATGATTTAAAATCTTTGTTAATGATAACATCTGGATCATCTTGGGTTCATTTTCTATTGTCTTTTTTCTTCACCATTGGTCAAGTGGGTCACATTTCCTTGTTTCTTTGTGTGTCATGTAAATTTGGATTGTATCCTGGACATTGTGATTTTAGTGTTGTGGAGACTCTGTATTCTGTTATTTTCCTCTGAAGAGTGTTGACTTTTTTAGCAGGTAACTAACTTAATGGGATATAAACTATAAACTATCAGTTTATTGAATATCAGTTTAGTTCTTGAATCCCTAGTTGGGTTTTTGTTGTTTGCATGCAGGCTTTCACATGTGTGGTTCAGAGATCAGCTAGATATTTGGGCAGAGGTAAATAGGTGATATCTCCTTTACTGTGGCTCTCTCTTTCTCACAGTTCTCCCTTCACTTTCTAGCAGCTATAATTGCTTTTAACTAGGTATTTTGGCATTTTGGGTCAATCAAGCTGTGAGTATGCTATTGGAGTCTTTAATCACTAATTGTATGGGGTGTTCCTCACACATAGTGTTTAATAAACATAATTAAACCAAAATGGAATGTTGAGCATAAAGTGTTAAGTTTTAAAAAGATATGTATAGTGTGGTATTAATTATAGAAAATTAAAAAACATGTAAAATAATATATGTTGCTTATGGAAATAGACATATATGGTGTGTATGTAATTACCCTATCTAAAATTTTATCTCATTCAAAATTTCAAACCCTTCAATACAAACTTTCTCCTTCCCTTTGTGTAATATTTTTCTTTTTAGTACTTGTCAGCACTGAATATATTATGTTTTACTTACTTATTTTTTGTCTTTCCACTAGAATATTAGTTTTAAGAAGCAGATTTTTTTTTTTGTCTTCTCTGTTTGCTACATTATAACAAGTTCCTAGAGCAGTGTTTGACATACATAGGCACTCAATAAGTAGTTGCTGAACAAATAAATAAATAATATAAAATATAAGGACATAACCACAAATTTAGAATAATTTTTTATGGGGGCTTCTAATGTCTCTAAAATGTTTTTTTCTGAAAAGTAAAACAATGCAACATGACAAAATATTAAGATTTGATGAGACTGGGTAGTGGTAACATTAGTGTTCATGATTTTTAAAATATTTCTATGTTTGAATTACTTCATTAAACAATAGAATGGGCAAAAAGTTTGGAGAAGACTTTGAAGAGCATTATGTTATAGAAGTCAAGGGAAGAGGGAATTTCAAAAAGAAATAGGGAGAAATTTCAAATGCTGGCATTAGTCACCAAGAGATAAAGCAATTATAATTTACTATTAGGAAATTATTAGTGACTATTGAAGTAACCTGTTTCAGCCACAATTTGATAGCAGGTAGGGTAGTGAGGAAATGGAGAAATGGAGGCCACTTATTCAGTAAGATGATAGGCACAGCTTTTTGAGGATGAAAAATTTATGCATGTTTGCAAGCAGGATGGGAAAATCCATTGAAAAGATGAGACTTAAAATGCTGGGAAAAAGAAGATAATTAAAATAGCAAATTCTAGAATAAGTAGAAATGTTTATAATTAGAGGCATAGGTTTGGAAAAAAAGGCATTGCATCTGGCAATGAGAAGAGGCACTACCTCTGCAATAGAAGAAAACTAAGCAGGAAGGATTGAGATAGGTGGAGACAGAAGGAAAGGTGAGGGAGTTCATTGAAGTAGTAAGGCCATATGTCGGAATGGTGAAACTGAGTAATGGATATGGCCCAGGTTAGTGAGTTAATGGGCATGTCAGAAGGCTCAAGCTGTGAGTGCCTAGGTTGATGATTAGAGTCTCAATTATATGGGTGCTATCAGGCTTTGGAGGCTCCGAAGCATCAGAACTAACCTGAATGGATTGGGTGCATTTGAGGAGTTTCAGCAGTAATGCTAATAGCAGCCATCACTCATATGTGTCATTGTTCTAGATTCTCATATATATACTTATTTATTCCTGACAACCTTTAATGTGACTATGATATGACCATTTTTCAGGTAAGGCAGTCGAGGCATGGAGAAGTTAAGTAACTTGCACCAGGTTACACAGATCATGAGAGGCAAAGCTGGAATTCAAACCCAGGCTGTCTAACTCCTCAGTCCATGACTTAACACCATTATACTCTCCCTTAACTCAGTAACGGGAGGGTTAATTGATGACAAATGAAAGATTGTTAAGCAGATAAAGGGATAATAGGTTTCCAACACATACTTTGTCCTTTGTTTCTGTATTATCCAAGACACCTCTTTTTCATGTGTGTTAATTTCCAATTACTGTTTTCTTTATCAAAGCCTCAGGCTTCCAAGAATTTTCTGAATAACCCATTGAGCTTTCTTTTAGTCATACAAAGTGTTTGTCATCTTCTCAGGAATGTTCATTATATTCATATTTTCTTTAGAATGATTCCAATTTCTTTTTACTCAGAACGAACTCTTTGGCATCATGCTTCACATAATCATTTATCTTTTACTAATAAATGGAACTTCTCTTTGGGATGTGGTTTTGGGAATGAACAATGACATGGAATGATAGCTGATTAGCCAGAGCAACCTGCCAATCAGCAGGATGTCAGAGTCCAATCACATATGCAACCCAAAGAGCCAATTCACTAACCCTTTATGAACATTTTTGCAAATACCATGAAACTTGAGTGCTGTGTGTGCATCATTATGGGCAGTTTCCCTGTTATTTGTAGATTTTTTTATTTGCTACTCAGAAGCATCTTTCCTTGATGTTTGTTCATAATATTTTTCTTAATTGTCCAAGATTTCACCTGAATAGTTTGATATATTACACAGAATTTAAAATTCTTTCCCTAAATAGGATCTTTTATTCTCTGAGGTGGAAAACATTGATTTATCAGCATTAAAAGTCATTGTCAACACTTACCGTTTTGTTCCTGTAACTTTTACTAAATTAACCTGCTATGACCATGCCCCTCAGCTTTAACAAATTAAACTATTTGAATGAAGAATGGACATAATGGTTGGGGATTGTGCCGTACTTTTAGTTTACAAGGACTTGCGCATCCATTCGATCTGCCCAGTAACTCTTCAGGTGACAGGGCAAGGTTTTAATGTTCCCATTTTACAGATAAAGAACCGGAGGTGTAGGGAGATTAGAAGATGGTCCTTGAGTGAGTAAGTGGTAAAAGTGGGTCTTGAATCTGGTTCTTCCCGACTCCAAGTGTCTCTCCATTCTGTAGTGGATTCTTTGGATATCTTCCTATTAATATGCACGATGCCCTCGTCTATTGCCTTCCTTTCCCGCTGCCTTCGGTTTTCCAGTCGAGGGGCTTCCTAATGTGTCCCTGTCCAGCTGGGATGGCTGCAAGGGAGCACACCTGGGGTCTTCCTGTCTTCAGTCTTTCATCTTCCTTTTCTGTGGCCCTTCCAGCTTCACCATCCGTGGACATCTCCTCCTTCCTTCAGCCCCAACTTCTAAAGTCTTGTCACAGCCCCCTGGCAGTGGGACCTCCCATCCCCAATCATCAGCAGGAGAGCCCATCGCAGAGGGGAGGCGAGGGCAGGGACCGCAGCGCACAGGGAAGCCATGCTGAGGGTTCCTCCTGCATTTTCTTCCTCGCGGTCCTCAGGAACATCCTCGCGCCCTCCGGCCCCGGCGCTCCAGCCCGCCCCGGATCCGCCTCCCTCTCCTTCCTCCCCGAGGTTGAGACGAAGCGTGGGACGCACCTGGGTCCCTCTCTGGTCACCCTGCTGAGGCTCCGGGGGCTGCTCCGGGAGCAGGATTTACAGGCCCGGAGAACGCCAATGGGAGATCCAAATGGTCGGGGACTCCGGCGCTTTAAGAGGCTTTTCTCTGGGAAACACCCGTCCCCTCCGTGCGCCTTATGAATGGAAATACTCCTCCCCCGGTCGAGCCCATTTTCCCATTTCACCAGGAGCCGCAGCCTGCTCTCTCCTTTCGGTCTCCCCGCCCACATCAACGCGGGCAGCTCCAGGAGGGGACGGACAGGAAGCCTTTGGCCGCCTATTAAATCCCACCCATTTCTCCGGGGGCGATTTCCTAACCTTCCGGGACCGAATTCTGCAATTTGATGTGCGTTTTGTCCGAATGGTAGCGACACGGGCCTAAGGGAGGGGGAAAGCGAGGGGGTGGGGGGTGGGGGGTATGCACTCTTTTCCTCGCAACATCGCTGGCGGAGCGAGGGAGCTCACACGACACAGATTTTGGGGCAAAGCCTTTCCAACTGGACAGCACCATGTCCACCAAAGCGGAGCAGTGTAAGTAGCAGCCGGCCCGGCATTCCGGCCCGGCCTCGGCTGGGAGCTATTGCAGCTGCGGCGTTTGCGGCTGCTGGGAGACCTTGGCATTGTGCTGGTGCGGGGGTGGGGGCTGAGGTTGGGGCGGGTGGGGGGTGGCGGAGAGAGAAGGTGGGGGAGGGTGGACGTTAATGGCAGCGCGGCGCTGTCCCCGGTGCTGAAAAATAATACGGTCTTCCTCGGGCTCCAGCGGGGGTTTCTCAAGACTCAGAGACCCTGCGAAATGAAATTAAAATGGGGTCATTCTCGGGAAAAAGAGGCCTCGTATCTTTCAGATAAACATTTCAGTATCTCTTGTTGGAGTGGGGGAAGGGGGGTAGCGGCAAATCAGGGGCGGGGAACTGTCAGTTGCAACCAAAGCCTGCCTGGCCTTCTGAGCATGCCCAGTTCTTGGTGCTGGAGCCATAGGGGAGTTTGAGTCTGCAGTTTCCACTTCGGGTGGAAGAGGCAAGAAGGGAGAGAAGGGGGAGGGAGCAGGGAGCCAGGCAAGAGGAAAATTAACTCACTAATGCCAACACCAATGTCAAAACCAACCACAACCATGCGGTGCTTACAAGAAAGTGAAAGGAGCTCTGGGAAAATGACCTAATTGATCTAATTATTGTTCCAAAGAGCAGGCTTCCTTTGTAGGGCAGCCCATAGCACCGGAGGATTTTGGTTGTCCCAGTAATGACTGACTGTGTGCGTGGTTGGAAGCAACCTGCTAACTCCTTGTGGATGGAGTAAGTTTCTAATATGGTTCCCATAGTCTGTCTTATTGCAGTGCGCACTAGTAGGCCTTCGGTGTGTGCTTGGTAGGTTGATCAATGTGAAGCCTTTTTCCGAGTACACTTGAGGGCTTGAGGGATTCAGGAGCTTAAACTTCAGATTGTAAATAAAAGACGTTTTTATTAAGCAGTAAGTTTGAATTTTTAACAATATACCAGAACTTATTCACCTAGATTGACTCCTTTCTTCCAAAGCAGTACACGTTATATGGATAATGCTGTCACTACTTAAAAGTCTTTGTAATTCTTCTTTGGAATGGCTACTAAAGCCGGTTTTTGAGACACACAAAACAGTAGTCTCATTATTTGAGGGCAATATCTTATATATGATAAAATGCAGTATGTCATTTATTCACCAGATAAATTAAATAAACTGAAGGCTTATAGAATTCTCAGATTGATGGTTCATTAGAAATTGTGCATGCCCACCTACCACCCAGTGCTTTTACTTCTTTATGTTTTTTTGGAATCCGGAAGATCTGAGTTTCAATCTTAGTTTTGCTACTGTTTGACCTTGGGCAAGATAATTGACCTCTCTGAACTTTATTTCCTCATCTGTAAACCTGGGCTAATCATGCTGATGGGGTTGTTGTGGGGAATGAGAGAATACATATAAAAGGTTTAGTAATGAGCCTAGCACATAGAATGTACTCAATAAATGATGGCTATGATAATGACAAGCATTGCCCACTTTTAAATAGTCCATCTCCTCTAAATAGTTAGGAAGCTCTCTTGTGATTTTTTTTGCATGTTTCTGAAAGTTAAATCTACATTCAAAATTAAGTTTTGCTTTTACAGAGGTTTTTGAAAAAAATTGGGTGCATTCTGTTTTGAGGAATGGTAACATAGTTTGAGTCCATGTAGAACCTCCCACTTGAGAATATCACATCCTGATATTATAATAAAGCCAAGTGGTTTTATTATAGTATGGTTTTTAAAGGAAAAAACACCACCTGTCATTTGATTGTGTAGTTACATATTACGTAAGTAATTTCAGGCTAAAGCCAGTGAGTATTACTGTCCTCTTCCTGTGTTTTCTCTTCCTTGTTACATTTTGAAATGGACTGGATGCTTTGTCTTGTCTCTTTCCTGGGCAATGAATAAAATCTATCTATGGACTTGATTCTGTAGAGCAATTAGTGGACTTAAGTAGCTATTTTAGACGTGTTAGTGAAACAGATTTTTTTCATCTGTAGAGGATGAAAAGGACACCATATCTGGAGCTAGAACATGTGGACTTGAGCTTTGTATGTCCTTCTGATTAATTGTGAGACACGGGGCAATTAACTTAATAGTTTTGTGCCTCAGAGTTTCCATCTTTAAAGTAAGGAATTGTAGTAGGAGCTATCTTTGCTTTAGTCTTAAGGGTTTGGAGGGCAAAGGAGGTAAATGGGAGTAGGCTGTGGAAAGGTTAAGGATGCTATGGATGTTTTTAGATATCTGTATTTAGAATGAAGGTAATTAAGGAATCTCTTTTCTTTTTCTGTTAATATGCACTAACATGAGTGGATTGACATTTTCGTGTATGTTATGTACCTGAAAATAAAGCAAAAACACAATAGGCTGCATAGTTGATGTTCATGAAGGACAAATACTTTTTATAAAAAGAACGCAGATTGGCAGCATTTTATCCTTGGACTTGGTAGAAGTTTAGCTACGTGTAAGGAGCAAGAGAAGGAAAGGTCAGGGAATTTTTTTTTTTCTTCTACTGGGTGTGAAGACTACTGGATAAGGAGAGAATGGGAGAGCTCGTTTCTCCTCTGCATTCAGGATGCACATTACCACTTTCCTAAGGACTGAGGAGGGAGAATTAGGCTTAATATAATGTCAAAATATTATTTCTATTACTCTTCTTCTTGGAGCTTCTTGATGTTGATAAAGGTTTCACTGGTTTGACAAGTAGACATAGTTTTGTTGGACCAGCAAGAGAAAGTACTTGCATTTCAACCCAAACCAGCTTACTCGATTTACCTTTGAAATGTAATGTATCACAGAGATATGAAAAATGATTTCTGTTTTATGTAGTGGCATTTTCTTTTGTGAGATAAGTAATAGTGATGAAGGAGAAGCTAGTGGCCGGGCGCAGTGGCTCACGCCTGTAATCCCAGCACTTTGGGAGGCCGAGGCAGGTGGATCACCTGGGGTCGGGAGTTCGAGACCAGCCTGACCAACATGGAGAAACCCCATCTCTACTAAAAATACAAAATTAGCCTGGCATGGTGGTGCATGTCTGTAATCCCAGCTACTCAGGAGGCTGAGGCAGGAGAATCACCTGAACCTGGGAGGCGGAGATTGCTATGAGTAGAGATTGTGCCATTGCACTCCAGCCTGGGAAACCAGAGCAAAACTCCGTCTCAAAAAGAAAAAAAAAAAGAAAAGAAAAAAAAGAAGCAGCAGCAGCTAGTTTTTGGAGCCTTTAAAAAATATTCAATCTGTTTCCTGTGCTATCTGCAGAGCCTCAAAACAGGAGGTGAAAGCTTCCTAGCACTTTCTCAGGTGATTGCAGAAGAGTTAAATTTTTTTTTTCTCCAAATGCTTCTTTTTCTTACAAAGTTCACTGTAGTGAAAATGTTTGCATAGCTGATATAGAATTTGGAATGATAAAAATGAAATTTATTTGGAATTCTAAAGAGGAGTCCCACTCCCTCCACCCCAAACTTTTTCTGTCTTCTAAGAATCAAAATTGACCAATCGGGATCACCTTGGGTATGCTCTTTCAAAAGAAGCTCTGCTTTTGGTAACAGCAGACATTCAGAGTTGGGGTTCTAGAATCAGACTGCTGCCTGGGTTTGAATCCTGGCTTTGCTCCCTGTAAACTCTGTGACCTTAGATAAGTTAATGTCTCTAAGCCCTGACTACATCCTCTATAAAATGGGGATAGTTATAGTTGTTGTGAAGATTAAATGAGGTGATTCATGAACAGTGCTTAGCAGAGAATCCTGGCACATAATGAGGACTTAATAAATGTTAACAATTATTATCATCATCATCATCATCAAATATAAAACCTTATGCTTGCTGCCAAAATGGAGATAATTGTGAAGTTTGGATCTAGCCTCCCAGTAACCAAAAATATTTTTGATTACATCAAAGATAAACAATTTTAAGAGTGTAGCTGATTAGCACTATGACTTGAAGTTGAACTTGCCCCTCTCCCATGTATATGTAAGGGCCATGCATGGAGAAATCAATAGATAGTTTTCTTTATTTTTTGCACATTATATGGTAATATCACTAAAATAGAAAAGTACTTCTCCTTTCAATAGCACTGCAGTTGTAGTCATTTAGAAATCTTTTCACAAGAATATTGCAAACTTCTTATAGAGGAAACTCTATTACAGTTTTATTCATATTATGCAAAAATTAGAATGTGCCTATTATAACCATTTTTGTGGTTGCAAAAAGAAGAATAGCTTTTAGCTCTCGTCTTACATGACTTCTCTGTATCATTTGACACTAGTTGCTGCATTCCTGATTTAAACTCCTTTTCTTCTTTCTTTTCTGGCTGTTCCCACTCAGATTTTTTCTTAGGGCTGTCTTCTTCCTGCCTTTTGAAAATTAGCTTCGCACAGGAATCTGTCATTAGTCCTCTCTCTCACTCTTTTTTAAAATCCCACAGACTCTTGACCACATTCACTTGCATGGTATCATCTACGAGGATGCCTCCCACATACAATTTTCTAGTCCACAAACGTTTTTGGAAGTACAGTCCTCTATCTCTACCCAAGCATCTTATACATACCACCCAAATTCATTGTCCTTTGTTCCAACCTTGTACTTCTTTTTAGATCAGTCATTTTGGTAAATGACACTTCCTTGCTCATTTATCCAAGTCAAAAAATCAGTCTTCCTAAACTTTTTACTCTCTGCCATAACTATTCAACACATTCCCAAGCCTTGTTGATTCTAGCTCGTCAACAATCTCTGCTTTACCTCTTCAATGCAGTTACAATGAACTATTTTTTCAGTTCCTCCAATGCATCATGTTCTTTTTGCCTGAAATGTTTTCTTCCCCCTCATCGTCTTGGCCTGTCTAATGCCTACTTACTGCTCAATACTTAGCTTTGAAACCTTGCCTGATTGCCACTTTCTCCCTATATGCCCTATTTGTGTGGTCACACTATATTTCAATTAGTTTCTTGTTAGTTGCCTTAATTTACTTTGTGTGTAGATTGTATTATGTTCCTCTCTGTGTCTCCAGTGTGCAATCCCTTGTCCAGTGCATAGTGTTTGCACAAAAATCATTTCTTGAAAAAGTAAAAATGACTGAGGGTGGATGAAATGCCTTTTATAAGGAAGGATTACATAACCAAGTGTTTGGATATCATTAATTTGAAGATTTTACATTTTTGTTAATATGAAGTTCTGCATTCTATGCAATGTGAACATTGCACAAAATGCATGCTTTTCAAATGGATTTACAGGTAAATAAAACTACAGTTGTCAAAAGTACTTAAAATATATTTGCTAAATCAAATGTTACAGTATTTATACAACATGTTACACATTTCTTAAACATTCATTGTGGTTTTGATTCTGTCCGATTAGCTAAATTTTCCTTTTACTATATTCAAAATAATAATTATGATTCTTAAAGTGGTAGGCAGTTTTAGCACACAGCCAACTGTTTTTTTTTTAAGATAAAGTGGCAATATATCTAAAGTCAGGGCCTCTTCAGACCAGTTTTACTTGGATGCTGTTCAAGTTTTATGTATTGATTACTCAACCAATAAATAAGCTTTAAGTTGGGATTCTTGTTTTGCAGTAGTATTATGTTGGAAATTCATATGCATTTGTTTCTTACATTTTGAAAATATATGGATAGCTCTGCATAAATAAACATATATATTGGCTTAGAAATGAAATATTTCCTGTATCAAAAAGTGCATTAAGCAAAAAATATATTCTTATCAATACTCTTGCTTTCTGTAATGTGAAAAGCTCAACAATTTCATTTAGAACTTTTAGCTTCTTTCAGTCCATTTATTCTATTTGTGTCTTGTTTTTCTCTCCTTCTGGACTTTTCAAGACCAATGTTACCAACAGCATACAGCTTATCATGTGAGTCTCATTTGATATTTGATGTGGGATTAAAACTGGAGTGGTGTTCAGCATTTCAGGGTATCTTTCATTTTCATTGGTCTCAGGAACTTGGTCTTCCAATAGAATAAAATTAAAAGGATATGTGTGTGTGTATACATATATATTTATGTATATATACATGCACAAATGCATGTGTATATACATATACATTTATGTATATGTTATTTTATTTTAAGAATAAATCAGCTTGCCTCAGAAGTAGAAATAGATAATAACTCACAAACAGTTTAGCATGTCAGGATTATATGTGCTTGAATCTTAAGCTCTCCAGGAAAGACAGTTTAGATATTTATTGCTTGTGCCTACTAGGTACTAGGCACTTTGGTATATATTGGCTTAATTCATTTTCATAACAGCTTTGAGAGATGTGTTATTATACTTTGGTTTTATTTCTTCAATGTTCCTCAAGTACCTTAATTCCTATTTCTTCTTTTTATTTTTTTATACAGAACTTTTCACAGATTTATGTGTCATCCTTGCGCAAGGGTCATGCGAGTCTTTTGCATATCATTCTAATATTTTCAGTGAGCACTTACCCTCTATCTGTGCAGCTGAAAGTCTTAGGGCTTTGTTTAACGCTGTATTAGTTTTCTAGAGCTGCTGTAATGAATTAGCACAGACTAGGTGGTGTAAAACAACTGAAGATTATTCTCTTACAGTTCTGGAAGCCAGAAGTCTGAAATCAAAGCGTTGGCAGGGCTGTGCTCTCTCTGCAGGCTCTAGGGAAAAATCTCCCTTCCTTGTGTCCTAGCTTCTGGGGGTTTCTGGCAATCTTTGGCATTCCTTGGTTGTAGCAGCATCACGCCAATCTCTGCCTCCATCTTTACACAGCCTGTGTCTCTGTATCCAAACCTCTCTCTCCTTCCTCTTATAAACACACGTCATTTGATTTAGAGCCCACCTTAATCCAGTATGACCTTATCTTAACTTGATTATATCTGCAAAGACCCTATTTCCAAATGAGGTCACATTCACAGTACCAGGATTAAGACTTGAACATATCTTTTGGGGGATACAATTCAAACCACTACAAACCTTATTACATTTTGTCTTATTAATGTTATTTCATTGTTATGTCTGATTCTGTAATCCAACATATTAGCTATTCTTCCATTGGTTTTGTGTCAACTACCAAAACAATATGCATTCCTATATGAAGTATCCAAAATAAAAATGTTGACAAAAAGAAAGAAGCACCAAAGCCCTGTGAGTGTCATGCTATTAAATAACTTTTTTCAAGTTGGCTTTGAGCCTCTAATCAATATATTTTAAATGTGAGTTTCACTAGATACAAATCTATCCTGTCATGGTACCACTCAATCTATATATTTCATCAACTTGTCTATTCACTTATTCAACCAATATTTATTGGGTGTCTACTATGTATCAAGCACTGTGCTAGGCTCTAGAGGAGCTTACAGTTGACTCTCCAAGTGCATCCTACTTTGCTGAGATGTATACACTCTCTACAACTTTTCTTTGATGCCCTGTCTAGATCTCTAAAAAAATAGGAAGTTGAAATGAACTTGGGATGACTTATTCACAGGGAGCCAACAATTGCTCCTGTGGTCATTACTACTCTTTATTTTAACTGGAGGCTAAAATTTTTGTGGGGAATTTTCTAAGAATCTCCACTCTCCCATTCAACATTGTTCTTAAAAAATAATGTTTCAAGCAGGTTTCACTGGCTTTCTTTTACGTTCTTTTTTTTTTTTTCACGTAACCCTCATTGCGTTAGATCTTTTTCATTCTTCCAAAATAATTTTATAAACAAGTTGAATAACTCCAGGAAAAAGCCTCATAGTATTTTTGTGAGTATCATATTACTTTTATAGAATAACTTACTTTAGGAAGAATTGACATCTTTCTGATATTGAATCTTACTCTTTCTAAGAACATGGTATGTCTTTCCATTTGTTCAAGTCTGTGCCTTTCTTGGGGTGCTTTTTTCTCATATAGATTTTGGAATTTCTTATAGAGCTCTTGCTTAGTATTTTCTTTCGTCATTTTTTGCCATCATAATTGAGATGTATCATTTCTTCTATTTTAAAATTTTGAATACATGAAGGCTATTGAGTTTTTGTATGCTGATTTTATAACTTTATTTTACTAAATTATTTTCTTTTTGTAGTCATTTTTCCATCTATTCTTTTGGGTTTTCAAGATATACAATTGTATGCTCTGCAAATAGAAAATAGTTTTGTCCTTTCTTTTCTACTCAATTTTTATGCCTCTAATTGCTTTCTTGTTTTCTGATTGCATTGGTCAGTATCTCCAATACAGTGTGAAATATAGCAGAGAGAGTGGGTGTTCTTGGCTTGTATTTTACTTTAGTAGGAAAATCTCTTGTATTTCTAAGTAAGATATTATTTTGGGCTGAGGTAATATACTAGGCAGTATCTGTCAATTCTTATTTTGTTAAGTTTTTTTTTTAAACCGAAATGGGTGTTGAGTCAAGTTTATTTTCTGCATCTATGGAGACCATATTGCTTCCTCTCTTAACTTTATTAATATGCTTGGTTGAATTTCATCATATTTTAAGAATTTTTGCATTGATATTAATAAGTTAGATTGTTTCATAGGTGTTTTTCTGGGGGGTAGAGTGGGAAGTAATTTTATTCAGGACCTGGGAACAATGTGATACTCACTACATAAAGTGAGCCTGGAAATTTTGCTTCCTTTCTAAACTTTGGAATAATATAATAGCATTGGTGTTATCTGATCTTTAAAAGTTTTTTAGAGTTCCCCTGTAAAACAATCTGGCCTGTGCTTTTTTTGTAGTGGAACTCTTTAACTTCTTTCTCTATTTGTTGTATGACACTTGTTCTATTTAGACTTTCTGTTTCTACTGGGGTCAATTTTGGTAAGTTTTATTTCTCTAAAAAATTATGCATTTCATCTAAGTTTTCAAATTTGTTTGCATAGAATTATGCAAATGACTATCTTAGAAATTTTAAAAATTCCTCTGTTTTGATGTTTATTTTCTGCTTGTCATTTCTAATGCATACAGTTGGCCCTCTGTATCTGGTGGTTTTTGCATCCATGGATTCAACCAACAGTAGATCAAAAATATTTGGGAAAAAAACAATAAAAAATAGTACAATAAAAAAATACAGTGGGGTATGACAACTATTCCTATAGGATGATATTTTATTCGGTATTATAAAACAGAGATGATTTAAAGTATACAGGAGGATGTGCATAGGTTATATGCAAATACTATATAATTTTATAAAAAGGACTTGAACATCCAAGGATTTTGGTACCTGCAGAAGGTTAGGGGTGGGGGTGGGTCCAGGAACCAATCCCTGGTGGATACTGAGGGATGACTGTATTTAATGTTGTGTATTTGTGCTGTCTCTCCTGCCCCCTTTAAAAAATTGGGTTAGTGGTTTGTCTATTTTGTCGATTTCTTTTTCAAGAAACCAGTTATTTTTATTTATTTATTACTTCTAGTTTTTGGCATTTCTAAATTAATTTCAGTTTTTATTATTAATTTCTGATTATTTTTTCCTTGATTTCTTTGTTTTATTTTGTATTCCTCTAGCTTTTTGAGTTGGCTGTTAATTTTTTTTTTTTTTTAAATTTTTATTGAGATAGGCATTTCATGCAATATATTTTTCTTTGACACTTCCTTTAGTTGTAGCCTACAGATTCTGGTAATGTCAGGCTTTATTATAACTATTTTCAAGAAATTCTGCAATTGAATTTTGTATATTTGCCTTTGACCTAAGAGTGGTTTAAAAGTGCATAAATTTCCATGTGGAAGGGCATTTTTGTTTCTCTGTTGTGTTGTTGATTTCTAATTTTATTGCCTTATGGTCTGAGGATACTATTTACATTATTTCTATTCTGTAGCACATTGAGGTTTTTGCTGTGTCATAAGATTTAGTCAGTTTTTGTGAATACCACATATGTACTTAAAAAGAAGTTGTAATCTCTATTATTATTGATACAATAATATGAGTTTGATGTATATCTATAAGATCTACCTTGTAATGTTGTTTAGGTCTTTTATACCTTTTATTAATTTTTAGTCCACTTGATCTTGGATTGTGAGAGGTATGTTAAAGTCTCCTATTATTAGTGTGTTTCTGTCTATTTCTTCTTGCATCTTCTGTAGGTTGCTGCTTAATCGAAGTTATTACTGTGTTACTGGGTGCATAAATACTAATAACTAATATCTTCATTGTGAATTGTAGCCTTAAACATTATAAAGGGCACTTCTTTATCTATTTTAATGCTTTCTGGTCTGAATTCCACCTTGTCAGATATTAAGATTATGACCCCGTTTTCTTTTTATTTGTGTTTGCCTGATATATCTTTTGCCATCCTTTTATTTTTAACTCTTTTGAATCTCTTTGTTTTAGATGTGTCTCTTGTATTCTGCATAGTGTTGGATTTTGCTTTGTTAGCCAATCTGAAAATCCTTTTCTTTTAATAGGTGAGTTAAGCCCTTTTACATCTATTGATATGATTAATATGTTTGGCCTCAGTTCTATCATATTATTTTATTTTTATGTATTTTATATCTAAACTCTTTCATTATGCAGTGGGTTTTATTTGCTCATTTTTTTCTTTTGGTTAACTTTATACTAAGACTTCTACATAATACTGCTAGTCCTCTTGTTTTTGGACTAACTAGTTCCCTACATTGAATAATATTGCAATTAGCTTCTAACCTCTTCTCTCTACCCTCCTTCTAACCCAGTATCTGATATACAATAGTGTCATTTTGTTTACAATTAATACCCATTAGACAATCATATCCATATGCCCTCCATGCCTCCTGATTTTTGATAATTGTATTTTAGCTGCTATATTTTCTTTCTTATAATCATGGTTTAGCTTTGTTTCTCAGATAAATTTATATTTAATACTCATCACTCATTCTTATACTGCTGTCTTTCAGTCTTTTTGGTTGTCTTAATCGCCATTTCTAATAGATCCTTTAGGAAGGGCTTACAGAATCAATTATTGCCTGAGTTTTGGCAAGTTTATAATAGTTTGCAACTTTGTACTTGGAGGTCAGCTTGGGTGGACATAAAATCTTTGACTTATATTTCGCCAACTTGAGTATTTTAAATTTGTCACATCATTTTTTTTGGCATTAAGGATTGGTGAAAAGTCCAGTGACAATCTTGTTTTCTTAGTGGCTTAGTCTTTTTTTTTAATCTCCTTTTAAGTAGCCTTAACTATAATATGATTCATTGTTGGGTCATGCTGAAATGATTGCAGTATGTCCTTTCAATAAGTTCAAGATGTTTTTTTAATTTTAGGAAATACAGTTTCTGGAGATACAGTTTTAATACTTGTTTTGTTCCATTGTTTGGCATTTTCTCTTGAGATCCCTATCGTACACATGTTGGGTGTTTTTTGCTTATCTTCTGTAGGATCATTTTCTACTGTACGTTTTAAAAATCTCTTCCTTTATTTCTTTTAGAGTTTTTTTAGAATTACCCACACAATATACCTTTATTAGTCTACATGTGAACTAGCTTATTCTTGGTGATTCTGCATGTATATAGAACTATGTATTTATTTAGGCCTTATTTTGAAATGTTAAATATAAAGTTGATAACATTCAGTTGAATATTATCTTATTTTGCATAAATTCAACTTATTCATTATAAGTACAAGCATTTGACTACTATCACCATGTCTTCTAATGTAGACACGCCCAAATACATACATATTAAGATACGTCATTTTATCCTCTTTTTGTTTACGTGGAAATAGTGACAAATAATAAAATTCACCAATTTGCAAAGCACAGATTGATGAATTTTGCTAAGAATATACAGTCATGTAACCACTACCACAATAAAGATAAAGACCCATATCCTGGCCGGACATGGTGCCTTATGCCTGTAATCTCAGCACTTTGGGAGGCCAAAGTGGGCGGATCACTTTAGGTCAGGAGTTTGAAACCAGCCTGGCCAACATGGCAAAACCCTATATCTACTAAAAGTACAAAAATTAGCAGGGCATAGTGGTGCATGCCTGTAATCCCAGCACTTTAGGAGGCTGAGGTGGGCATATCACTTTAGGTCAGGAGTCTGAGACCAGCCTGGCCAACATGGCAAAACCCTATCTCTACTAAAAATATAAAAATTAGCCAGGCGTGGTAGTGCATGCCTGTAGTCCCAGCTACTCAGGAGGTTGAGGCAGGAGAATCGCTTGAGCCTAGGAAGCCGAGGTTGCAGGAAGCTGAGATTGCGCCACTGCACTCCAGCCTGGGCAACAGAGAGGGAGTCAGTCTCTAAATAAATAAATAAATAAATAAATAAATAAATACCCTTATCCTTATCTTAGAAAGATTCCTTGTGTCCTTTGCTCTTGATCCCTTCCTTCAACTCCCAGTTCCAGGAAGACATTGCTTTTCTTTTTATTATTAGTGTTGCCTTTTATAGAATTTCATGTAAATGGAATCATTCAGTGCATACTCTTTTCTGTCTGACTTCTTTTTTTTTTTTTTCTCAAGACGGACTCTTGCTCTGTCGCCCAGGCTAGAGTGCAATGGCACAATCTCAGCTCGCTGCAACCTCCGCCTCTTAGGTTCAAGCGATTCTCCTGCCTCAGCCTCCCGAGTAGTTGGGATTACAGGTGCACACCACCATGCCCGGCTAATTTTTTGTATTTTTAGTAGAGACAGGGTTTCACCATGTTGGGCAGGCTGGTCTCGAACTCCTGACCTCGTGATCCACCTGCCTTGGCCTCCCAAAGTGCTGGGATTACAGGCATGAGCCACGGCACCTGGCTTCTGTCTAACTTCTTTTATTTATCATAATGTTTTGGAGAGTCACTCATGTTGTTGGGTTAATTAATATTTTGTTTGTTTTTATTGCTCTATATAGTCCATGGCATGTGTATATTACAATTTGTTTATCCATTCACCAGTTGATAGAAATTTGGGTTGTTTTCAGTTTTGGGCCATTATGAATATTTGCATACCTGGTTTCATGTGGACATATGTTTTTATTTCTCTAGGTTGAATACCTAGGAATGGAATTGCTTGGTAGTATGGTTAATGAATGTTTACCGTTATAAGGTATTTCTATACTATTTTGCAAAGTGGCTGTAAGGTTTTATGTTCCCACCAGCAATGTAGGAGAGAGTTTCAGTTGATCTGCATCTTCATCAACACTTGGTATTCACAGTCTATTTAACTTTAGTCTTTCTAGTTGGTGTGCAGTGGTATCTTGTGGTTTTAATTAGCATTTCTCTGAGGATTAGTGATGTTGAACATCTTTTTATGTGCCAATTGACTATTTGTATATCTTCTTTTGGGAAATTTCTGTTCCAATCTTTGGTCTATTTTTATTGGTTTTTTTGATCTTTTGATTGAGTCTTAAGGGTTCTTTATATATTCTGAATACAAGTTCATTGTTTTGAAACATTTTGCTTCCAATCTGTGGCTTACCTTTGTGTTTTCTTAACAATGACTTTCGAGAAGCAAGACTTTTAAATTATACAGCCCATTTTCAATTTTTTTTCTTTTATCATTTGCACTTTTGGTATCCTGTTTATGGAATCTTTGCCTAAACCAATGTCACAAAGATTTTCTTCAGTATTTTCTTCTAGAAGTTTAATGGTTTTATCTCTAACATTTAGGTTTATAAACATTTTTGAGTTAATTTTATGTATAATGTGAGGTAAAGTTTGAGGTTCATTATTTCCATGTACGATATCCAGTTGTTTCTTATCTCTGTTGGATTATCCTGGTACCTTTGTTGATAGTCAATCACTCATATATATGTGGGTCTATCTCTGGACTCTATTTTGTTTCTTCATCTATTCTTATGTCAATGGCATATGATCTTTAGTACTATCAGTCTTCCAACTTTGTTCTTATTTTTCAAAACTGTTTCAACTATTTAAAGTCCTTTGCTTTCTATGTAAATTTTAAAATCAACTTGTAATTTGCTTCCAAGGAAGCTTATTTGGATTTTGGTCTATAGATCCATTTGGAGAGGATTACTTTCTTAACAATCCTTGGAATGACACATATGTAAACTTATTTATGTCTTGTTTAATTCTCTTTTGCAATATTTGGTAGTTGTCACATCTTTCATTAAATTTATTCCTAAGTATTTTTGTGAGTGGATTTGTTTTTCAAGTTTTATTTCCTAATTATTTGCTGTTAGTATAGATAAATACAATAGCTTTGCTGTGTTGGTCTTATATCCTGTACCCCTACCACACTCATGTATTTGGTGAGTAGTTTAAAAAAAGAAAAAAATATATGTATAATTGAAGGTTTTCAGTATGCACTGTTACGCCATTTGTGAATAAAGATAATTTTACATCTGCCTTTCCAATCTGTATGCCTTTTATTTCTTTTTATTGCCTACTGCACTGGCTAGGACCTTCAGAACAATGCTAAATAAAAGTGATGTGAGTGAGTGTTCTTGCCTTGTTCTTGACCTTAGGTGGAAAGCTTTGAGCCTTTCAGAATGTTAGACCAACCTTGCATTCCTTTATTCCTGAATTAAACCCTATTTGGTCGTAATGTATTCTTCTAAAAATATTGTTGGATTCAGTTTTCTAATGTTTAGTTAGGGAGTTTTGTATCTGTGTTTTCATGAGATATACTGGTCTGTAGTTTTGTTTTCTTGTGATATTTTTGTCTGGTTTTGAAATCAGGATAAAATTGGCTTCATAAAATGAGTTGGGAAGTGTTTCCTTTTCTATAGTTTCTGAAAGGGTTTGTGTAGAATTGATAACGATTCCTTGATTTTTTGATAAATTCACCATTGAAGCCATTAGAGCCTGGAGGTTCTTTTTTTGGGGGAAGGTTTCAAATTTTAAATTCAGTTTCTTCAGTTCATAAAGATTTCACAATTTTTGTTTGCTTTAAATTCTTCTTAAGTCAGTTATGGTTATTTGTGTCTTTTAAGGAATTTGTCCATTTTGTCCATTTGACAAATTTGTCTAGTTGCCATTTACTGGTATAAAGTTATTTGTAATAATCCCTTATAATTCTTTTTATATCTATAGAATTTGTTGCTATGTTCCTCTTTTATTTCTGATATTGGCAATTTATGTCTCTTTTTTTCCTGACCTGTCTGGTTAGAGGTTTATACATTTTACTGATGAACCAACTTTTGGTTTCAATGATTTTCTCTATTGTTTCTCTGTTTCCTATTTTATTGATTTTTGTACATAATTATTTATACCATTTCCTTCCTTTGGTTTGTTTGGGTTTTAATTAGCTCTTCTTTTTTCTAGCTTCTGAAAGTGAAAACTATATTATTAATTTGAAATCTTTCTTCTTTTCTAATACAGGCACTTGAAAGCCGTGCATTGCTTCATAAGTCCTGCTTTAGGCGCATTCCACCAGTTTTGTATTTTCATTATTCAGTTTAAAATATTCTCTAATTTATCTTGCAATTTTTTTCTTTGACCCAAAATTTCTTTAGACATGTGTGTGGTTTTTTTTTTTTTTGGTGGGGGATGGAGTTTTGCTCTGTTGCCCAGGCTGGAGTGCAGTGGCACGATCTTAGCTCACTGCAAACTCCACCTCCCAGGTTTAAGCGATTCTCTTGCCTCAGCCTCCTGAATAGCTGGGATTACAGGCACCCGCCACCATGCTTGGCCAATTTGCATTTTTAGTAGAGAAGGGGATTCATCACGTTGGCCAGTCTGGTCTCAGATTCCTGACCTCAAATGATCCTCCTGCCTTGGTCTCCCAAAGTTCTGGGATTACAGGTGTGAGCCACCGTGCCCAGCCTAGAAGTGTGTTGTTTAATTTCCAAATATTTGGGATTTTCCTGGTTATCTTGTTTTTGATTTCTAACTTAATTCTATTTTTGTTAGAGAATATATTCTGTATGCTTTCAATCTTTTGACATTTATTAAGACTTGTTTTATGGCCTCAAATATAGTCTATACTGGTAAACATTCTATGTGCCAATTGAAAACAAAATGTATTTTTAAATTGTTGGGTAATGTGTTGAAATCTTCTACGCATTTGCGGATTTTTGTCTAATTTTTCTAATAGTTGCTGTTAAAGCATATTGCAGTCTTTAGATTATGGAATTCCTTTTCCCTTTAAATCTGTCATTTTTTGCTTCATGTGTTTGGAAGCTCTGTTACTGGGTTCATATACATTTATGATTGTTATGTTTTCCTGTTGAATACCCCTTTTATTTTTATGAAGTGTCTTTTTTATCCTTGTTAATATATTTTGCTTTGAAATGTATTTTATCTGATATTAATATTGCTACTCCAGACTACCTTCACATGCTGTTTATCTGGCTTATGTTTCCCATTCATTTCCTTTCACCCTTTAAAGTTTTCCTACTGTCTTTTTAAATATTCTTTTTTGCATTTTTAAACTACTGGTTGACTGAGCAATTATTATGTACTTCCTTAATTTTTCACAGTTAATAACGTACTACCTTATTTAAAATATAGAAATCTTGCAACTTTATAGGCCCATATCCCTCTTTATTTTATACTTATTTTATGTAATACATCTACATATGTTATAAACCCCACAAGATAATGCTGTAACTTTAATTTTAAAATTACATGGTTAATAAAGAAATTAACAGAAAAAAGAAAGTATAGTCTTTTGCATTTACCAAGATATTTACCATTTCTGGTGCTCTTTGTTTTTTTTTTCTGAGGACTCAAGTTTCTATCTGAAATTTATTTCTCTTTAGCCTGAAAAACTTTCCTTCGCATATTTTGTAGTGTAGCTCTACTTGTGACCAAATGTTTTAGATTTCTTTTGTCTGAAAAAGTCTTTATTTTGCTTTTATTCTTGAATAATATTTTTGCTGAATACAGGATTTTGCTTCGACAGTTTTTTTTTTCCTTTGAGTACTTTAAAAATGTTATTCCCTCTGGCCTTCTTGGTTTCAGAGGTGAATTCAGCCATTACTTGTCATATATCCATAAAATTATGTAAATTATGGTTTTCTCTTACTGGTTTTAAGATCTGCTCTTTATTTTTGGCTTTCAACAGTCTGAGTGTCACGTGGGCTTCTATTGGCATGGGCCTCTGGGTGTTCATTCTGCTTTGTGTTTGTCATTTCAAGTCTGAAAATTTCTGCCTGTTACCAAATCTGAGGACTCTTTGGCCATTATTTCTCAAATATTTTCTCAGCCCCGTTCTTTTTGTCCTCTCCTTTTGGTATTCCCATCACACATATGTACCTCTTACTGTTTGATACTACCTAACCCACCTCTGAGACTCGGTTCTTTTTTTTTTTTTTTTTAAATCGTTTCTCTCCTCTGTTCTTCATGTTTGATACTTTCTATTGGTCTGTTTTCAAGTTCACTTATTCTTTCCTCTGTCATGACCATTTCTAACGGCTGTAAGTTCATTCAGTTAATTTTTATTTCTGAAATTGTTTTTCAGTTCTAGAATTTCCATCTTGTTCTTCTTGCATGATTTTTTTATTTCTGCTGAGACTTCCCATTTCTCTGATGAGAGTTTCATGCATTGAAAACATATTTTGTTTTACTTAATTGAGGATAGTTTTAGCAATTCATTAAAATCCTTGTCTGTTAGTTCCAGCATCTATTTCCTTTCAGGATCAGAATATACTGACTTTTCTTGTGGGAATGTGTTGTATTTTCTTGGTTCTTCTTATGTTGGGTCATTTTGAGTTGTATCCTGGATATAATGAATGTTAAGTTTTGGAGACTTTGGGGTCTACTATTTCCCACCGATGAGGTGTTGTTTCCTTTGCTTTATGGGTAATTTTCCTGGCTGGGATGGAATTGCAAACTCTGTTCTCATGCAGCAGTTCCTTACTTTGTTCAGATCTTTTGTCTTTAGCTGGGCTGATTTGGGTCTATTTTGCACTTGTGTGGTTCAGGGGTCAGTCAAAGATGTCAGAGTTTGGGGATCCAGAGTTTATGGTTTTTTCCCTTGTGGGATTCCCTCACTTGCTTCAGGAAAGTAGTTTTTGGTTTGTTCGTTTTTAGAATCTGCTCCATCACTTTCAGATCTTATCACTTGAGGAACTCCCTCCTTGCTTTGACTCCTGTTTTCAGACTGGGCCCCACAGTACCTGTTGATGACTTGAGAGTTCTGTTCTGAAGACCCAACTGCCTTCCTTTCGTGTCTTCCTGCATGGATGCTGATGCCACATGGCTGTGTGGCTATAAGCAGTCTGTCCCCATCCTTTCATATTTAGTCCACGGTGATACTTTGTCTCCTAATTTTGTTGTAGATTGTCAGTGGGTCTTTGGTTTTGTTATCCTCATTGATCTGTCTATTTTTAACAGAGGGCCCTGGGTTGACTCAAAAACTATGCTGTTGCCACTGTCCTCTTTCCAGAATCCTCCTCTTTTACCATATTTAAGCTGATTATTTTTGAGTGCTTAAACTCTAGTCTCTGGTTTTTAGATTCGTTTCTTAAATAAATGGCTGCTGCCTTTAGAACCAGGCTTGTGGCTGTTCATCTACTCTCTGTTTCTGGGTCAAAATGAAGTCACAGAAGCTCTTTATTCTTTAATACAGAAATGATTATCAAAAGTCATAAATACAGGGCACAGGTGTGATGGTGCATGCCTTTAATCCCAGCTACTTGGGAAGATGAAGCCAGAGGATCCCTTGAGGCCAGGAGTTTGAGGTTGCAGTGACCAGTGACTGCACCACTGCGCTCCAGCCTGGGCAACAGAGCAAGACCTTGTCTCTAAAAAAAAAAAAAGAAAAAGAAAAAAACCAACTTGTAAATATGGGAGCCTTCTCAACAATGACAATATGCATATTGTGTTTTTCTCATGCGACTGGGTTCATGCTTGCTCTTCAGTTTTTTTGAATTAAATAATTTAGTGTTTGGGTAATAACATCATCAGGGGATGAAACTGAAAAGCAAGGGAATGATAAATGAAAATGTTAGAAAGGGACTTGTATCTAGGGCGAGTGAGGGGGATTAAATCAGCGGTGGGTATAGATAAGATACAGGAAATGTTCTATCTTTTAATCTGGTGGTGGGTAAATGGGTGTACGTTATTATTACTTTTGAAAGTGTGTACATAATTGTACGCCCTCTTTCATATCATGAAGATGTGCGAAACAGTCTCTGGGACACAATCTAAATTCAACTTCCTTGAGAGCTCCTCTTCAGGAGGTCACTGAGCAAAGTCAGAAGTGAGTCCTGGGAAAGAAGGAGTTCATCCCAGTTGAGGCTTTGCAGTGCTGTTGTGTAGGCCGGGGGACCTCTGACCAAAAATGTGGTCAGGGAGTGGGTTACTCTATGTTTTCTGCTTAAGCTCAACATGACCTGCCTCTAGCTCTTAGAAGTAGGTCAAAGCAGAAACTTTCTGTGGGGGTAAAATGAGTGTCCTTAGCTGTTTGAGGCCACTGTGGAGGAGAGTAGGAACTTTATTGGCTCAAGAACAAATATCTGGGCCACACTTGCCAAGGCATTCTGCATTGGGTTAAAAGCATGGTCTGGGGTTCTTGGTGATGGCAACTTTCAGGAATTTGTCTCTGGAACCACATTGCTCTGACCTTGACTGATTGCCCTCTATGCCTGATACACAACTGGGTGTTCTTTCTCCCAGGAGAAAGGATGCATCTATGAATGTCTAAATACGCCTTTATTTTTGATTTGTAGTTTGTCTGAATGTAGAATTCTACTTTGGGAACATTGTTTTTCAGGGTTTTGAAGGCATTGCTTCATCGTTATCTTGTTTCCAGTGTTGCTTTGGAGAATTTCAAAGCCATTTTGATTCTTGATCTTTCCTAAGTACTAAAAAAATTTAAAAATCTCTAGAAGTATGTAGAGTCTTTTCTTTGTCCCTAGTTTCTGACATTTCATAACAAAGTGCATTGCTATGTGTCTATTTTTACTCATTGTGGTGGGCTCTTTTAATCCGCCATTATCTAAAAAGTTCTTAACTGATTTTGTTAATGGTTTTAACTCTTTTGGTTTTGCTATTGCCTTTTTCTGAAACTCCTTATATCCTGATATTGGATATCCTGAATTTGTCATTTCTCTTTTATTTTGTCTTTTGCTGTATTTTGGGGAAATTTTCTCAATTGTATCTTCTAAACCTTCTATTGATTATTCCTGGGATTATGTTTTTTATCTACAAAAACTTTTTTCTTCACTGTATCTTGTTTTTCTAACAGCACAACAGCGTTCATTTATAGGTAGAGTATCTTATCTTTCTGATATTAATAACAGGTTTTTTTTTTTTAAGATAAAGTTTTCCTCTTCCTTACAGACTCTTTCTCTCCAAGTTGATTTTCTCTCCTTCTGGTCTTACAGTTAGAGGCTTTCTTTAGATGGTTGGCCTTCCTTCCCTGTCTACTCATAATTAAGGGCTAGAACTAAGAAGCTGACCTGAGCAGGTTAGAGGGCCATTTACTGGGGGCACCCCTGGTGTCACTGTCTTCAGACCTTTCCTCTTTGACTTAGTCAGATTCACAGAAGGAAGGAGAAAAAAAAAGAGGCTTCTAGTCTCCAGCCTGAAGGGTAAGGGTCTAGCTGCCAGGGGTTGGAGGGCAGGGTTTGGTTCCGCTCTGCATTAGCATTTACACTTCATATAGCCAGCAAATCCCCTTGGTTAGGTAGATTATCCTGGCTTTCCATTCTGTTTGGTCTCTGCCATTCCGGAGACCCTCTGATGTGTCTCTCTTCCGGCAATGAACTTCAGATATTCTGAGTTGAGGAGAGGTGCTCTCTCAGGGCATGTGAAGTGGGGGAGAAAATTTAGGGTTCTAATTGCTCTTAAACAGTTTTCAGCCAATCCCCCACATTTTTTTTAGCACCCTCTTCTGCCCCTTACCTCCTGTTCCAAAGCTATCTGTTGCTGCCGTTTCTGTGCCTTTTGAGAAGCCTGAAATGCACACTAGTTGGTTCTTGGCTTTGGAATCAGTTGGTTCTTAGCACTGCTGCTGGCCTGGGATTTGACTTTCTCTGGTCTGCCAAGTCAACTGCTACTTGTCTATTAGCTTTCAAGCTTCCAAAAATGATCTTGCTTTGTGTTTTCTTGCCTTGTCTCCTTTTCTTCTTGTCTTTGAAAAATCCTTTTACTGTAATTTGGTGACATTTTAGTTGTGTATGTTTTAGATGATTGTCTTCACTTTGCAGTCCTGACCCAGAACCTTTCTCTTACTTTTCCACGCCTAGCATCTTCTCATCCTTCATGTCTTACTTAAATATTATCTCTTCTGAAAAGTCTTCCCGGACTATCCTATGTCAAGAAGGCGTTGCCCAACCTCTTCTTTAGTCTGTATTTGAGTCTCTTGTAATATTTTTATAGACCTTTAAAAAGTATTTACTGTCTTTTCGTTCTTTTTTCACACTTTCTTATATGCTGCATGACATCAGGGACTGTGGCTGTCTTGTGCACTGTTACATCCCCAGCAACTGGCACATAGTTAACTACAATGAACATTTACTGAATGTGTGAAAGAACAGATTACACCTGGACTGCATGATTTTTTTTTTTTTTTTTTTTTTGAGACGGAGTTTTGCTCTTGTCACCCAGGCTGGAGGGCTGGAGTGCAATGGCGCGATCTCGGCTCACAGCAACCTCCGCCTCCCAGGTTCAAGCGATTCTCCTTCCTCAACCTCCAGAGTAACTGGGATTACAGGTGCTCACCACCATGCCCAGCTAATTTTTGTATTTTTAGTAGAGACAGGGTTTCGCCATGTTGGACAGACTGGTCTCGACCCCTGACCTCAGATGACCCACCCGCCTCGGCTTCCCAAAGTGCTGGGATTGCAGGAATGAGCCACTGCACCTGGCCGAATTTTTTAAATTGATAACAATTTTCTCAGTTTTCTCATCTGTAAAAAAATAAGAGCAGGGAAATGCAATAGCACCTACCTCATAGAATTGTTGTGAGGCTTAGAGAGTTGAAAGGATAAAGTGCTTAGAACAGTGCCTGGCACATGGGAAACACTATAACAATGCTATTATAGTTATAGTTTTAAGAGTCTTAAAAGCAGTCTTTAGAGAGTTGTACTTTTATATTTAATTGTTGTTCAATTTTGTTCAAGTTAAAGAAAATTTTGCTGTGTGATGGACTGAATTATTCTTCTGAATTCTGTAGTATGTTCTGAATCAAAGTACATCTGAATTTTGACTCCAGGTTGATCATGAATGGCAACTTGAATTTTAGCACTGTCATGGAAGAGAATTGTGCTTCCACAGGAAAGTGGATCCCAAATAATTCCCAGAGGTTTTCCACATAGCCAGACATTTAAGGACGGTGCTGGCTATGATGCATCTTCTTGTTTAGGCAATTCTGGGCTATCTGTGTCTTCTTATGGAGTAGAATTTATTTTCAGTGCAATCATTTTGTTTTGAAATTGAGCCACATTGATTGGATAGGTGGTTGATAATTCAGATATGTCTTGAGTATTGCACTTAGCTGTAGAAACTTAAAGAATGATTCATAGTTATCAGCCTTCGTATATCCCCGAAATTATTTGATTTTCACCAAATAATTCCTCAGTTCTTCAAAAACCTATGATTTTTTAAGTAGAGAGCTCAGTGAAATTTAGTAATGAGAGATTAAATAATTTTCTAGTTTTCATTTGCTAAATCCATATATCTGAATTTATACTTTCTTGAAAAGATCACTAATGCTCTTGTTTCTCTCCCCCACTTGCAGTTTCAAGTACAATAAGCACAGTATTCAGATATCTTATCTCATTAATTAGAAAGTGCAAGCTCATAAGTCGCTCTTTCAGTGGGATAGGAAGTACTTAAAATTTGGCCTCAGATTCTCTGATTTCAAAATCTTGATCTGAGGAAGCTGCTTAGTAAACTTTGAAAAATAAGTCTTTATAACCTAACCCAGTTGCATCAAAATAGAATAGATTTTCATATTCTGTTTCAAATTGTTACATATCCAACATTCAACTTGAAGAAAATTCACTGCCTGTATTAATTTCTTCATCACATCATGAAATGAATCTGACTTTCAAAGTTTCTAGTACAAGTTCTCTTGACCAATAGTGCAATAGAAACTGGAACAGAAACCTCCTTTTTTGAGGAGGAATAGATTGTTTGAGGGGAATAAATTGTTTTTCCCTTTTCTTTATTGCAAGTGTCCCATCTCTGGGACATGTGAAGCATTTCCATGTTTAGACTTTTTAAATCTTTTTTTTTTTTTTTGAGTCAGGGTCTCGCTGTGTCACCCAAGCTGGAGTGCAATGGTGCCATCATGGCTCACAGCATCAATCTTCTGGGCTCAAACCACCCTCCCACCTCAGTCTCCCAAGTAGCTGGGACTACAGGTATCACCATGACACTTGGTTATTAAAAAAATTTTATTTTGTTGAGATGGGGTCTCACTGTGTTGCCCAGGCTAGTCTTGAACTCCTGAGCTCAAGCAATCCACTTGTCTCAGCCTCCCAAAGTGCTGGGATTACAGGCATGAGCCATCACATCTGGCCTAGACTTTTTTCCATTGACAGGTGTTAGGTCTTACTAATTCATGTATGAAAGCTAACTAGATGATTTTATGTATGTATGTATAGATGTGTGTATGTGTATACATAATTAGTGTGCTAAAATGTGCAGTGGGGGTCACAGCTAGTTCAAGTGTTTCTCTTTATAGTTGACATATCAGAAAATGGCTCTATCATTTACCTCCTATGTGATCTTGGGCAAGTTACTTAACCTCTCTCAGCCTCAGTTTTTTCGTTGGTAATGTGGAAATAATAGCAATACAACTATTATTTTTCTGTTTACCAGCATATAGTAAACATTCAGAATTTAGAATTATTATTGTGATTATTGTGACCTTCTAGAGGTGAGGATTTTGTCTTATTTATGTTGATATATCAAAGTACCTCATTAATCAATATCTGATGAATGAATAAGAACACTGATATCTTTCCTTTCACTTTTGCTGCCTAACTTGTTGCTAATGTCTAAAATTCTCTAGACTGGACATTTTGCTTTTCACATGTTAAATGCTAAGAAATGTAATTGAATAATGTATGTGGAATACTTTGAAAAATGTAAATGGCCATACAAATGTAATGGATGATGATGATGATGATGATGTTGATGATGCTAATGATGATGATAGTGTTGGAGTCACTTGCCAAAGAACAGGAATGTTCTTTGCTGACTTCCCCTGTCTGCTGAAAGTGCCAGGTAAAATTTGCTACCTGGAACCAAAACTGGCTGAAGACTATGTATGTAAGTATGCAAATATTTGGAAGAGCTTAACAATGCCATTTGTGACATTTGACATCCTTTGGACTGTTCAGCCTCTCTACCTGTGTATCCTCTTCCACAACCCTTCATTTATGTCTTTTATGAGGTTTTGCTTTCAGTTAAAGAAGATGACCTTCCTCAAAAGAGAAGATCGTTCTTTGATTAAGGATTTGCAAAGAACTCTGCTTGTCTGCTACAGTTGTCAAACAGTGCATTGTTGCCTTGTTCTCTCCACATCTCCATTTCTGAATATATCTTTTTTATTTGCTGCATTTGTCTTTTATTCTTTACAAGATAAGTCTCTGAATATAGAACTAAATTTTAGTACCACATGCAGCAATAGAGTGTGTGTGTGCGTGCATCTGCATGCGTGCGTGTGTCTGTGTGTGTGTAGGGGGCTATTCTTGATTATATTGATGACACAAGATTACTAGTATGTCTTATATCTTCTTTACTCCACAGGTTACACTATTTTAAGGGACAGAGTTTTGAACTGGGAAAGGAGAAGAAGAGAAACTCACCTGTAATAGCTAATTACAGTAGTAATTTATTATCTACTATGTGCTAGTCATTGTGCTAGGTAGTTTATATATGCAATATTTTAAAGTACTTATAGCAACTCTGTGAGATAGATATGATTACCCCCACTTTATAAATTAGGAAATTGAGACTCAGAGAAGTTCATGACTTTATCCACGTTCTCATAGTAAATAGAAGAGCCAGAATTCAAATAAACCCTGGATTTGGACTCTTGGTGCCTCTGTTTTGTTTTGTTTTTCCCATCAGTACAATGGATTGTGTGTGTGTGTGTGTGTGTGTGTGTGTGTGTATGTGTGTGAAAAGCTCTCATTGTTGAGATGAGGCAAGGAGGAGGGTTCAGGTGACTCTTGTAGGAGCTGCAGAGAATTACAGATGTATGATGAGGTGAATGATGAAATACTTGGAAAAGCTGGAACATGTGGCTAGAAATGGAAACTAAGAAACCCCAGGGCCCATATTCTCAGTGTTTGTGTGGTTTTCCTTAGGAGCCTGTTGAGTGCAGGTGATAGTTGCTAATCTGGGAATGAGGGAAGGGAGCATATGGAATTTGGAAAATACCCCTCAAATCTTGTTTGGCTTCTGATATTAAAGGACTTATTTGTTAATGTTGAGTATGATAATAGTATGTGATTATATTCTTCATGTCTTTATTAGTGAGAAATTATATGAAAATATTGATAAGTAAAATAATGTGATGAATAGGATATGCTTTAAATACTTAAGCAAGAAAAAAAAAGAGAAAGAGTGGAAGGGGACAGATGGTGACTATTGAAGGTAGATCATGAGTGTCTGCCAGTGGGGTAGCTTGGACACCTTCTACCCTCAGGGCCTCTTCTCTGTGGCTCTAATCCAACAGAGGAAGGGAATCTGACTCATTCTGAATAGAATAGGGCCAATGTTAGCTGTGCTAAGCTCTGTATTTTTTCTACTGCCCCTCCTAAGATTATTTTTCCCAAAAGGTCCTTCTTAGGGATGTTCCTCTATGAAGGGTGTTTCACTTTCCTGCACCCAGAGGTACATAGCTCTAATCTCAGTCAAGACTGACTCAGAGAATGAAAAATATTTATATGCCTCTGCTCTGAGTGTTCTCTGAGCTGGTCAGGGTGAAAGTGGGGCACATATCATCCTATAACCATGAGGCCATGCCTGGCTTCTCACACAGTTAGTTCCTTAGAGTGGGGCTGTCTGTTTGGCCTTCTGACTCTGGAATGGGTATTCTTTGATCTCACTCCATCCTTGAAGATATGATCCCATCCTTATTCCATTCTTAAGCTTTCAGCCAGACCAGCTCCATACCCCAAAATGGATGGTGGTGGAATTGGGGGATTCTGGAGGAAAGTGATACAAGTAGTTCTTGTGATACAAATTGTTCTTCCTATGAGTAGTAGGAAGAGGAGGTAGTGGAAACTTTAGTGTTATAGCCAAGATTCAAAACTAGCCCATGAAAGGAAAATAAATTCTAAACTGCTCCATTGTACCAAGAGTCATGTGGCAATTTATTCATTCATTTCTTCATTTCTTCATTCAGTCATTCAACAAACATTTAGGACCAGACACTTATTAAATGCTGGATGTGCTAAAATTAAAGAGACTTTTTCTGATCTGAAGGTTCTAGTAGCCTAGTGGAGGAGACAGCCATTGAGTTAATAATTATAGCATGCATTGATAAATGCCATCCATGATAGAAGGAAGTCCCGTGTGCTATGAAAGTGCCGAGGAGATGCATGTAATGCAGTTTGTGGGAAGGTTAGTTACCTACTGGGGAAATGGGTACAGCTAAGCTTTAAAGAACTCTTAGGAGTTAGCCAGGCAAAGAAGTGTGGATTGCATTCCTGTAGTAGAGAATGTGTCTAGAAACATGGAGGAGTAACAGGATCATGAGTTAGAGTTTTTGCAAGTCAGTATGACTGAAGTGTGGGACACAAGGAAAAGAGGCCGAAGGTGAAACCCAACAGGTGAGCAGGGAACTCTTCATGCTGGGCTCGATATGCTAAGTTAATTGTTTGGATTTCAATCAGCAGAAAATGAGGAAGATTTGAATTTGAGAAACATCACACTGGGTGTCATGTGGAAAAAGGATCGAAAGGGAATCAGTCTGGACATCACAGCAATTAATCTAGGGAAAAGATTACACAAGCTTGAATTAAGGTGATGTCAATGTGGCTGGAGAAGAGGGTAGACCCTGGAGTTGATTTCTAGACAGAACCAATAGGGCCAATAAGTAGATCACTAGTCTACATGAAGGATGTAAAAATAGTGAGTAAAGACAGATATGCAGTGGCAGGTAATTGAGGAGGATGTCTGATTCCTTATTGATCCACCAATCAAGAGAAAAAAATAAAAAGGTTTCAGGCATAATTTTTACTTAAACCATTGTGGTGAATATAACAACGCACATTTGTGAAATATGTCCAAATCCTCTTTATGTATGTCTAACATTTTTTGATGACAGCTTAGAATGAAAAGAAGATGAATACCTTAAAAGGGGGCAATGACAGAAAATCATCTATAAAATCTTAGGCTTTATGTCGTGCAAGAAGAAACCAATAAAAAATTAAGATGGAATTAGGACATATACTATCAAATCGACAATATTAATAACTAGCACTGGCAAAGAATGGGGAAAATGTTACTTTAATTTCTCATTTGGCAAAAACAGAACAGAACAAACAAATAAGAACTCCTGAGGCTTATACATATTAAATGATTTGCTTGAAGTCACACATAGCTGTAGGTGGGAACTCACATTCCCTCCCAGGGATCTCTGCAGGGTGTTGTGATAACACCATGACTCAACATGTTTGGGGTCTAAGTAATTAAAACTAAAGTTGGAGTAGCCAATTTGCAGGAAAAAAATGAGTACTGCAAATGATAATGAAGAACCTATAAAATTTTGGGGGGCTCCATAGGAATGAGAGATGGAAGGAAATAAATCAAGAAAAAGACTACTGCATTATTTGCATGTTATACAAGCAAATTTCATCTTGAAATTACTTATTAGTGTAAATGATATTAGAAATTTAAAGCAGTTATTTAGGGAATATTAATAGGACTAAAGATAATTGACATTTAAACTTTCAATTCATTTCAACCACCGTGCTACTGTTGACCATCTGCTATGTACCTAGCATTGTGATAAGTCCTAAGGGAGTACAAATGTAATATAAGATGGTTTTGTCTCCAAGGATCTTAAAGTGTTGTTAGGGAAACTAGATTTGCACACATGAAACTAATTTAGAACCATCTAGAACAGTTTATAATCAGTGAAATATTTATATAATGAAGTGCAAAAATTTTGGAAGCAGATATAACATGCTCTGGGTAGTCAGAAAAGGGAGCTATTGATAATGTCCAGAGTCAATTAGAAGGCTTCACTCAAGGCTGCAGTGCCGTGGCGTGATCTCAGCTCACTGCAACCTCTGCCTCCTGGGTTCAAGCAATTCTCCTGCCTCAGCCTCCGGAGGAGCTGAGATTACAGGTGGGTGCCACCAAAACTGGCTAATTTTTGTATTTTTAGTAGAGACAGGGTTTCACCATGTTGGCCAGGCTGGTCTCAAACTCCTGACCTTGGCCTCCCAAAGTGCTGGGATTACAGGCATGAGCCACTGCATCCGGCCAATGTAACTCTTAAGATGAGCCTTGAAGGGTGAAAGGGGTCTGATTTTTCAAGAAAGTAAAGGGCAGGACTAGTGAAGTAAATGTTTTGTTTTGTATTTTCTAAGAAATAAATAACTAGTCTAATATTCTAAATAGTCTAATATTTTGTCTGCTTACTGCAGTTTTACTTAGTGAAATATTGGAAACAACCTAAATGCTGAACAATAGAATAGGGGAAGTGTCCATATTTCATGCTAAATCTGTATCACTGAATATTATTAAACCAGTAAAAATAATTAAAGAACAATGTAGTCTGGCAGAAAAGCATGGCTTGCAGCCTGTTAAACTATCAGTTTTATACTTATTAGCTTTGTGCCTTTGGGCAAGTCACTTACTGTTTTTGAACTTTGGTTTATTCAACTTTTTTTTTTTTTTGAGACGGAGTCTCACTCTTTCGCCCAAGCTGGACTGCAGTGGCGCTATCCCGGCTCACTGCAAGCTCCGCCTCTTGGGTTCATGCCATTCTCCTGCCTCAGCCTCCCGAGTAGCTGGGATTACAGGCGCCCACCACCACGCCCGGCTAATTTTTTGTATTTTTAGTAGAGACGGGGTTTCACCGTGTTAGCCAGGATGGTCTCAATCTCCTAACCTTGTGATCCGCCCGCCTTGGCCTCCCAAAGTGCTGGGATTATAGGCATGAGCCACCGCGCCCGGCCCTATATATTTATTTTTAACCCTCACAATAACTTTGCAAGGTGGTCACTACCATTACCATTAAAAGTTGAATAAACCAGGCCGGGCGCGGTGGCTCACGCCTGTAATCCCAGCACTTTGGGAGGCCAAGGCGGGCGGATCACAAGGTTAGGAGATTGAGACCATCCTGGCTAACACGGTGAAACCCCGTCTCGCCACTGTACTCCAGCCTGGGAGACAGACCAAGATTCCGTCTCAAAAAAAAAAAAAAAAAAAAAAAAGGCCGAGTGCAGTGGCTTACGCCTGTAATCCCAGCACTTTGGGAGGCTAAGGCGGGCAGATCATGAGGTCAGGAGTTCGAGGCCAGCCTGACCAACATGGTGAAACCCTGTCTCTACTAAAAATACAAAAAAATTAGTCGGGTGTGGTGGCGTGCACCTGTGATCCCAGCTACTCAGGAGGCTGAGGCAGGAGAATCGCTTGAACCTGGGAGGTGGAGGTTGCAGTGAGCCAAGATCGTGCCACTGCACTTCAGCCTGGGCAACAGAGCAAGACTTCTCAAAAAAAAAAAAAAAAAAAAGTATATAGAGCACCTGGTGCATAGTGGATGCTCAAGAGATGTTATTCACACTTAATGATGTATATACTCTGCTGGTATGTAAACAGTTACTGTCTTTCTGAAGGACGATTTCTTAATTCTTACCGAGAGCTTTAAAAATGAGTGTTTTCTGTATGACTCAGCAATCCCATAACTAAAAATTTATTCTAAGGAAATAATTAAAGATGTGTGCACATCTGGTCACACGTGGCACCTCACTCCTGTAATCCTAGCACTTGGGAGGCCGAGGCAGGAAGATCCCTTCAGCCCAGGTGTTCGAGACCAGCCTGAGCAGTATAGTGAGACTCTGTCTCTACAAAAAATAAAATTAGTAAGAGAAAAGAAAAGAATATTCTTTGCAGCATTGAATAGAATACTGGAAAACACCCCAAAATCTCACAAATAGATTATTGGTAAAGTAAATTACGATTCTCTTACATAAAGGAAATTATAAAACCATTAAAATGATGATATAGAAGTGCATAGAAAGTGAGGAAAACAGATTCTAAAACTATACACAGTTTAATCCTATTCTGGTAAATGTATATTTATGCAGAGAAAATTTTCTAGAAGGATAACATGCCAAAATGTTAACTACAGTTGTTTCTGAGTAGTGGGCCCTTTAGGTGATTTTTATCTTCTTCATGTTGCTTACCTGAATTTTTTCCTTTTATGATAATGAGGATTGCTAATTAAATTTTTCAAAAATAGGGATGGATCTCTGTTAAAAATTTTTAGTGACATAGGAAAATGCTTAAGACTTAAAAAGGAAAGATTTAAAACTTACGTTTTATACAATCCCAATTTTGTTAAGTGTTTTTTAGTCTATGACTGAATTTTGCTTTTATGGCTTTTGCTCTCAAAAAGTAGCAAAGCTCCCAAGAAACGGTGAGGATAGAAGGGGCCGTAAAATATCAAACAGAGATTAAATTTGTGTATGCACAGACCTCTTTTGTTTTTTTTTCTTCATTTTCATCACAGTTTTAACAGTTGGCCTTCTGGGCTATTTTTATAGACAAAGTTGAACTGCTGTAAAAAGCCATTCTTTCCCTTCCTGCCTTGTCTACTTTCATCCTTACTAGGAACTCAGCAAATTCAGTACTTAATAGGCACCGAGGGTATACAATGGTGAACAAAAAGCTCACTGTTCACTTAGAAAAGACAGTCAACGGTCACCTAAATAAATACATCATTACAAATTGTGCTCACTACTCTGGACAAAACTGCAGAGTGTTACACAGAAAGAAATGAAGGTGGAGATCAGGGAATCATTTTGGACAAGGAAGTTTGCAAAGACCTCCATAATGAGGAAGGGACACTTAAAGTCAGTTTTGAAGTATGAGTAGGAGTTAGTCTCACAAAGTGTGGAGGGAAAGCACTCTATGAAGAGGGACAAGGACATAGAAAGGTTTTCAAGCAAAAAAAAAAAAAGAAAGAAAAGAAACACAAAAAAACAAAAACCGGTGTTAAGGAAAAAATGGGCTAGGTGTGGTGGCTCTTGCCTGTAATCCCAGCACTTTGGGAGGCCGAGGCGGTCAGATCACTTGAGGCCAGGAGTTCGAGAACAGCCTGGCCAACATGGTGAAACCCCGGCTCTACTAAAAATACAAAATTAGCCAGATGTGGTGACCGGCACCTGTAATCCCAGCTACTGGCAGGGCTCAGGCAGGAGAATCACGTGAGCCTGGGAGGTGGAGGTTGCAGTGAGCGGAGATCGGGCCACTGCATCCCAGGCTGGGTGACAGAGCAAGACTCTGTCTCAAAAAACAAAACAAAACAAAACACACACACAACAGTGTCTGGCTTTTGTGTCACGACGTTAGGTTGGAAGGTAGGCAGGGACTTTGACCACACTAAGGAGGATTTGGGATTTTGTCCTGAAGACAGTGGGCAGCCCCTGAAGGACTTTGAGCAGTGGTTACTGTTTATGACTGTATGAAGCAGTTTATAATTTAAAAAGATCTGTTTGGCTGCTCTGAGGAGAAGGAGTGGAGAGAGGCAAGAAGAAATCTGAAAAATGAGTTAGGAGGCTGTTAGACTTGATCAGGAAATGCTGCTGCTGAGTAATGACAGTGACGATAAGGAACAGAAGACAGTTGGGAGATGTATTTGATAGGATTTAGTGATAAGACTTAGTGATTAATAGGACTTAGTAATGGATTGGATTAGAGGAGTGAGGTACGGCGGGGAATAGGGTCTGTCAAGGATGAGCTTTAGAATGCTTTGCTTGAGTGACTTGGTGGGTTACACAGATGGTGGAGTAGGTTTCTTTCTTGGGGGAAGGGAGACCTAAGAGTCAATGTCAGACATGTTTTCTTTGAGATATTTATAAGATTCCCAAGTGGAGAAATTGAATCGATGAGGCCTGTTATTCACAACAGCTACCCACCTGGGATGGAGACAGACCTTTCAGAGCAGTTGGCCCCTGGATGCTCCTGACAGTCCTGTGGATGGATGGGATTGCCTATGGGGAGAATATTGAGAGAGAGGAACAGAGTCTAGGACTGAGCCCTGATGAATTCCAACACTTAGATATCAACTAATAGGGGGAAGTGGCAAAGCACTTGAAGAAGGATACGTTCCAGGGGGAGGAAGAGCAGGGGAATGTGGGGTCTGGGACGCCAAGGGGAGAGAGTTTCAAGAAGGAGGGAGGGAGGGATTGACTGTACAGAATGCTCTGAAAAGCCTAGGAAAATGGTGATCGGAAAGTGCCTGATGGATTGGCAATCTGGAGGCTCTAGATGATTGTGGGAAATGGATTCAGTGCAGTGGTGGATGTGGGAGCCAAACTGGAGTGAGTGGAAGGAGGAATAGAAAGTGACAGAGAGAGGAGAATGTGTGCAAGACTCTTCATCATCTTGGCTCTGAAGGCAGAGGACTGTCGCTGGAGGGGAATGGAAAGGCAGGAGAGAGGTTTTTTCTTTCCCTTCGACAAGAGAGATTCTACAGTTTGTTTGAATCCTGGTAGGAATGATTTAGCAAAGGAGGAGAGATTAATTTCATAGGAGACACACTGATGGATGGAGAGCCCCAGTGAATGCTGGGATTGGTGTTTGACAGGACAAGGAAAGGAGCTGCTAGTAGGTTTTTGACATCTACTATTTAATATATGTGGAGTGTATACCAGGCACTGTGCAAAGTATCCACTCGCACCATAATCACAATAGCACAGTAATCACAGTAGCCCTGTGAAGTTGATGTAATTATCCCCATTTTACAGATGAGGAAATTGGGCTTAAGTGGAGATAGATCCAAGGCCTTAAGTCAGAACTGTTTGATTTCAGAGTTCATATTCTTAACTCTTACTAATAAGATTTCCTCGGGGCCGGGCGCTGTGGTTCATGCTTGTAATCCCAGCACTTTGGGAGGCGGAGGCGGGCGGATCACGAGGTCAGGAGATTGAGACCATACTGGCTAACACGGTGAAACCCCATCTCTACTAAAATTACAAAAAATTAGCCGGGCGTGGTGGTGGGCACCTGTAGTCCCAGCTACTTGGGAGGCTGAGGCAGGAGAATGGCGTGAACCCAGGAGGCAGAGCTGGTAGTGAGCCGAGATCGTGCCACTGCACTCCAGCCTGGGTGACAGAGCGAGACTCCATCTAAAACAAAACAAAACAAAACAAAAAAAGATTTCCTCTATGATGGTGTATTAGTTTGCTCCAGCTGCCATAAAAGTACCACAGACTGGGTGGCTAAAACAACAGAAATGTATTTTCTCACAGTTCTGGAGGCTTGAAGTCTGAGATTGAGGTGTTGGCAGGTTTGGTTTCTCCTGAGGCCTCTCTCCTTGACTTGCAGATGGCTGCCTTCTCTCTCTGTCCTCACGTGGCCTTTCCTCTGTGTTCCCACATTTCTGGTATCTCTTATGTGTCCTAATCTCCTCTTAAAAGGACAGCAGTCAGATTGGATTAGGGTCCACCACGGAAACGGCCTCATTTTAACTTAATCACCCTTTTAAAGGCCTTATCTCTGGGTACAGTCACATTTTGAGGTTAAGGTTTCAACATATGAATTCTAAGCGCCACAAAATTCAGTCAATAACAGATGGCTTTTTAAAGTATAAGGAAAGGGGTGGCCCCGGGGGGAGTTTTGAAGATAGTATAACTATAATTGAAGAGTGTAGAAGAAGGAGCTTACTAGAGAAATGTAGCCTTAGGGTCAGTTGAGGTTGAAGATCATTCATTTATATCTATTGGGCCCAATTATTCGAGCCTCCGCAGCAGCAGTCAGGTATATGTGTGGAGTAAAGAGGAGCCCTGCTTTGATGAGGCTGCTGGATGCTCACATGGGCTTATTAACCAGCCAAATGACCACCTCTCGTGCACAAAATTGAACTGTAAATGAGTTTTATTCACATCCTTGGCACAAGTACAAATTACTATTTGTCATGGACCTTTTTGGCTGCTCTCAAGTTGTTGAAAACGTGGATGTTAAATCTATTACTGCTAAGATTTTGTTGCATTCACCAATGCACAAATTGGCTTGAACATTTTTTTCAATCTGTTCTAAAAATGGTCTTTCATGATTACTCACCACTCTCTTCCTCTTTCTCTGTCCCACTTTCTTTCTTCCTTTTTTTTCTCCATCTTCACTTATCAACAATTTATTGAGTACCTACTAGGTGTCTGGCACTAAGGATGAAGAGTCCACAATCTATCGTATGTCTATATGCAGGTATATATGTGTATAGTGTACATATATATGCAGATATGTATACTCTCTATATATCCTAAAGACCTGAGTGATAAGTGCTGTTACTAAAGTATTAATTCATTTGTTAATTTAATCCTATGAATATATTGAGTCCCTACTAAGTGCCAGACAGTGTGTTAGGCTTGGGATAGAGCCATGAGTAAGGTATAGTTTCTGCCCTTAAGAAATTTACAAGCTGGTATAGAAAAACAAGCAGGTAAGTACACAGAGACAATGCAATATGACTTTTGTAACATTACAAGATCTCAAAGAAAAAAGTGACTCTTGTCTCTGCTTTGCTGTGCATATTTGGGTACCTGTGGAAAGGAGCTATTGCTGCATTTTAATGAAAAGAGCTATAAAAAGAACATCCTTTCATTTCATAAACATTTTTGAATGCTTGTAATCATTGTGTAGTGATGGTTTTATAGCTCTTGAATTATGAGCAAGCCATTGAGTTGAGGGATTTGTGAGTTTTTTCCTCATTTGAACTTATTGTCCATACCCTGTACTATTATCAACTCCTTTACTTAGGTGATGGAATGATTAATGGTATTCCTGAAATACTCTACAGAAACTTGCTGAATATTAAAACTTGAGAAAAGTCACAGTAATGCTTCATTACTGTGACAGTGGGTGAGCAGACAGCATGTGCTGGCCTAGCATATATCTCGGATATTTGGAACTTGGAACTATGCATTAATGTGGGGATTTTCTTGTAGTATGGTTTTTGAAATATAATGAATAGCAGATCAAAAACACTGAGAAGGAAATGGACTTTTGTAGATTATGCAATCAAACTGTTTTCAAGTATCACCTATTATCTCAGGAAAAAAAGTTATTTACTACCAAATATTTATGGAGTTAATTGAGATGATGTTTATAAACTTATTGCTTTCTTTGGAGCTGATGTGTTACATAGACTCAAGGTATTATTATCTGCAATCTAGACTTATTTCTTTGGGAAAATGCTAACCATATTATGGAAATAGTTCAGGTAGTGGAAGAGAGAAAAGGCAAATCTGATAAATAGTGTATGTAGGATTTAGAATCAGTGATTAACCTGGTAACTTCTGGAAATTGCTTTGATGTCAAGCAATGGACGTTCACATTCATGTGGATGTCACGTTCACGTGGACATAATTTCAGAGTCATATTCTAGAGTGTGTCATAGTGGAAAGATCACTGGATTGGGATCAGGAAATCTAAGTACTAGTCTGGCTCTGCCATTGACCACCTATGTGCCTCATTTTCCCCATCTTTAAAAGGAAGTGGTTATGGGAAGAGGTCTCTAAGGTCCTTCCAGTTCTGATATTTTGTCGTTCTGTGCTTCTACGTCCCACACTTATCAAAAGGATTTTGAGTTAGAATGCATCCAGGAGCTTATTTCCGTGGGTTATTGGGAACAGCAGGCCTTGCTTCTCCAGGACTTGATATGTCTTCTGTTAACTGCTGACAGTGAGCCATACCACCTAAAAGGCTCCCTTAAAGATTGAAAGGACAAATGGACAGTGTTGAGAACTCTGTGGAAGAGGAGACCAGAGAGACGTTGATCATCATGGCTCCTTGGGATTTGCAAAGAGGAATGACTAGAACGGGGTCCTTCACTACAGCCAGGTCAAAGGTCAGGTCAGGAATGTGGACAATGCTGGTGACTCCAGGTAGGTCTAGGAGGGTAAATAAATCTATTGAGTCCCTCCTGAATCTTGAGAAGATCTGGGCAGCCAAGCTCAGAAAGCTATTAGGAAGTCTCCTAATTTATGAGATTCTTTGGAAGAAAAATGTGACATTTATTTTTTACATTTTTATTAGTGCACAATCATTGTATTCTTACTTAACACTCATCATGTTAATCTACTCTTAACATATTCTCACAGCTAAAGCATTTACTAAACACACTTTCATGATCACATGTTGAGTTAATAATCTGACTTCAATTGATGCCATTGTGCAATGGAACTCCCTATATTTTAGGATTTTTTGAGTGTTGTAGAAAGACTTTTCAGTTTTCTCCTTCAGTTTTAGTTAAGCAACATTAAATGTAATTCCTTGGCAAAGACTTATATCTATTATTATTTTGCTAATAATAAGCCAACTTGGGGGTGATTAGAAAACAATTTGGAGTACTGCTTTTCTTAGTGATAAAAACAAGCAATAGATAATTTGTGAATAGGATATTAAACCAGAAAACTAAGAATAATTTTGTGTGCCGAATACAATTAAAAGAAATTAAAAGTTTTTTTGTAATTGTTTCTATCATGGAATTCTATTAAAAATTTACTTATGTTTCTTAAAATACTGATTAAATTCTTGTTTGTAATCATTTTTAAAAATGACTGTATGCCTAATACATATTACAAGATGATTCTTCTCTTTCTTTTTCTTCTTCCTTTTTTTTTTTTTTTTTTTTTTTTTTTTTTGCTTTTATCTAGTTGCTTCCAAGATCCGGTACTTGCAGGAATATCATAACCGGGTTCTCCACAACATTTATCCTGTACCATCAGGAACAGATATTGCAAACACCTTGAAATACTTTTCTCAGACCTTGTTAAGGTAAGCTTTACAATATCCTCTACTTTGAGAGAATTATTAGGTAGTATTGCTGAATTTATTGGGATCTAAATTTTTATTGAATTGCAAGTTTTAAAGGGCCTATGTTTTCTAGTGCTCTGTCAGAAGAGTCTGTGCTCAAGTTCTCTGGGTGTATGTAGCAAATTGGATCCCAGGCCCAGCTGAAAAAGATTGGTTGCCTGGCTACTGCCTGCTTTCCCGCATTGAACATCTTTTCAGGGCATCTTTAAAATGATACAGTTCTATATTTGGCACTAATATAGAGTGGGATTAAAAGGATAGCCTACAATTGCTTAAAATTAATAATTGGAAACACTTTTGGTCTAAAAGCAATTCAGAATTATGTGGCATTTTAGGTTCATCATTAGCATTTTCTATTTCCCTAAGTGTAATATACAGTGATAATAGTTATTTTTAATCTGGGTAACACTTCACATGTTCAACATGCTTTGCCTTGATAATGAAATTCTATGAAGGACAAGGAAAAAAAATAGGGCTCTTTTTCTTTTGTCTACTTTTACTGTAAGGTAGAGATAGGAGGGCCCTATTTGCTCCACGTATCTTGATTAAGAAAACAGAGCAAAGAAAGCTGAACTGTTCAAGTAAAGGCTCAGTTGTTTTCAGAAATAACATTGAAGAATTCAGAAGAACCTCTCACGTTCCATTAAATTCCAAGATGTGGTTTCTCCATTACCACGGTCTTCTCACTTCAAATCTGATTTTGGCAACACATAAATTGGCTTGGTACTGTTTCTTTTAGCTGTACAGAAGCAAAAATTTTGTAAGACAGATATTAGGAGAACACAAATTTGCAAAGACTAGTGGCACTGGAGTTTCTAGCAGTCGAAAGCTTTGCCACGGGAAAAGCTGAATGCTTTGCGGATGGAAGCTTCATGCGATCAAGTCAGCTACGAATCTTTTGCAGTCCTCCTATCTTTCTGTTCTTATTTTTTGAAATATCTTTCCTTCTTTAGAGTCCTTAGTGATCCTGTTCTATATTGAAGGGCTCCTGCTTATCAGATTCATACATTTCATACTTGCACGGTAAGGTTAGGACCTCTTACAGGATATTTTCCTTCTTCTCAAATTGTAGTGGAATAATTAGCCCAATTTTCATAGTGATCATCAGAAAAATTTATGAATCAAGGCATCCAATTCTGTTCTCTTGAATTCTTCTTTTGTCTTTGAGGTCCAAGTTCTCAATGGAAAACAGTTTCCTTTATGACAAATTCTGAAAGTTCTCAAAGCGAGAGACACTTTTCAGTAGGAAGCATGCTGAATTCCATTTGCCAGGAAACTGTAATATCCTAGTTGGCACCTCAGAGCTTGCTGCTTAGGTCTTAGTGATTGTGCCCAAGAGTTAAGGAATTTAAAATATTGAAAAGTCACGTTTGCAAGACGTAAAGATTCCATTTTCTTGAGCAGTGGACCATTAGAATATGATCATAGGTGGTAGTATTTTAGTGGTAAAACTGGTAGTTTGTTCAAGTGGCTTGTTGGAGAAGATCCTATGCAACTGAGCTGAGTTCATTTTCAAACGGAGGCAACATCAACATGTACTGCTAATGGTAATAGTAACAATTGCAACCATTTTTTTTAAAACTAGAAGTACAGAACTGTTGATATGTACATCTATAACAATCGTATTTGTACTTCTTCATTTTATTTATGCTATTAGAAAGTTCAAGACAGCCAGACATGGTGGCTGGCATCTATAATCCCAGCTGCTTGGGAGGCTGAGGTGGCAGATTAAAGGAAGTGCTTAGCACCAAGATTTGTCATCTTTTCAGAATTTAAGTGAATTTAAGTGGAGATAATGTTAGCAACCAGAAGTCTCAAACTTCAAGTTTGAGACCAGCCACAAGTTTGAGATCAGCCTGGACAACATAGTAAGACCCCATCTCTAAAAAAATTCTTTTAACAATTAGCCAGGTGTGGTGGCATGCACCTTTAGTCCAAGCTCCTCAGAAGCTGAGGGAGGAGGACTGCTTGACCCTAGGAGTTTGAAGCTGCAGTGAGCCTTGATTGCACCACTGTACTCCAGCCTGGGTGACAGAGCGACACCCTATCTCTAAGATAAATAAATAAATAAATTCAAAGACAAATAATATGGTCTAAGCATTTGGTGTCCAAGATTAGTGGCAGTAAGATTTTCTACTACAAACAAGATTTTCTACTGCAAAATTATTATATATTGTTTAATATTATTAAAGCATTTAATATGATCTTTATGTTCAGAAGCACTTCTTGCTTTCAGAACTCAGGTTCTTGGGGGAAAAATAACAAGAAGAAAGAATTAGAGATGAATTCTCACGAAGTAACTATTTGTCTTTCTATGTGGATATTCTCAATGAAGTTAAAATGGTTTTTTTTTGGTTAAAATATGCAACTTGAAATTTCAGCAGCTTCACTTGAGTCAGGGTTGCATTTTTGGAGCAATAGTTCGTGGTATTTGTGCATGCATACAACTCTCATGATTTTAGTAGAGTTTCGTACCTATTTCAAAAGGCAGAAATTAGCTTAGACATTTAACTTCGATTTATTTAATTTGTAGGAGGGGAGAGATTGTATGTTACCATAGTTGACTATAAAATCAGTTGAAGAGTCCACATATGTCCACTTAGCTCATAATTAGACTCAAATTTGTGTTCATGGGCATTCCTTAAACTCTAGTAGTGGAAGGTGAGTCCTACATGTTATTTAGCTTGCTAGCCCTTGTGTCTGGAGCAGTGTTTAACCCAGAGAAGGGGATCAGTAAATGTTTGTTGAATTGAATTGAGTTGACTTTAGTCCAAATTTCATCCAGCGTTGGAATCCTTCTAGTTAATGCTATTTACTTAATCTAGTGGTGACCTGGGGTCTGGTAAAGTTACATCTGAGTGCCGAGTTGTACTCATTTTAATTTAGCAGATACCTAAGTTTGGCAGTGAGCAACACACAACTTCAGAGTTTAGTTCTTTGTTTGCTTTTAGCATTAGAAGTAACTACCAAGACCATCCAGTTTAATCTCCCCTCACTGCTACATGGGAGGGAGTCTGTTCTTTTTATATTGGAAACATCCTGTGGCCATATTTTCAACAGCGAAGGTCTTTAAGAATCTTGCTTTTTACCTGGCAGGACATTTAAAGGATCCTAGTCTTCTTCCTATGTCAAACATTCTTTTGGAATTTCTTCCCCCAGATCTCTCTTCTGGTGCTGTTTAGGCTGCTAGCATGTAAAATCTTTTAACGAAATTACATTTGGGGAAAGCTGCTTGCTGCTATTTAGAAAATGCCTAATATGTTATAAAAATGGATTGTAGATGCAGCATAATAATCTTAATTGAATTGTAATTTCCAGTTGCTTAGGAAGAATATATGTATATATCCTCCATGTTATTGGTTAAGTCATGGAGTAACTTTAGAGCATTGCATAATGAAGTAAATTTTGTTAAGTACATAGATTCAACTCAAATGTCAACATTCCTAATCTTAAAGGAAGTTTGTTTGACATATTAATTTTCTGTGCTATACATACCTCAGGGCAACTTCTCATCTTTCCTCACACCAACAGAGGTCTTCCTCTCTTGATGCTGAAAGTCAATGTTTGATAAAGAGAATCTCAGGAGGAAAAGGGAAAGGTGAAAAGCTGGCTGCAGAGTCAAACTCTTCTGAGCAGGGCATTCTTAATATTCATTTTGGTTGGGTTTACAGAACTGTGGGAAAGAATTTCAGGTGGGGAAAATGGTTTTATCAGCTCCCAAGTTAGGCAGTTTGGTTGGGGAAATACTTTTTTTTTTTTCTGAATAAACTTCACAAAACATCATAAAATCACAATGCATTGTACATTTATTCATGAGCCCTTCTTAAGTTTTTCCACAAATGAAAACATTTCCTTACATTGAGACATGAATGGTAATTTAAAACTGGTTTCATGGATGACTCATTTTCAGCCATTTTTTTTCTCAACCTCACCGAATTCTCAAATCTAAAGGCAGTGAGAGAGAAGTTTTACTGTTTTCATGCTGACATTCTTCCCTCCCTGCATGTATGAAGCTGTTGTTGCTATCGTTTGGGAACCCCACATATACAGGAAGGGAAAAATATCAAAGTAGAGTCTCCAAAGTATTTGTTAACTGACATCATACTTTGGAAAAATACTAAGGTATATTTGAAAAAATAATGTGTTTATTTCCCCCACCAAGAAGTTTGATCAGAGCATTGCACTTAATTTAAAGCATAGCATTAATTTATGGTATTCAGCTATTTTTATTTTCTAAGGCAAAATGTTGTTCTCCTTATACCACTTCTATAAGATTCACATTTTGTAATTTTGAAAAGATGCCAATAGTAGGTTAATTTAGGGCCGAAGTTTGGGAAATAATATCTCTGACTTATAGCCATTGTGATTCTAGAGGAATTTTCAGTGGGATTAGAATCCTACAGGATTAAAACAGATTTTTGGTGACTGGGTTTATCAAGAATATAACATTAATAAAGGTGGTATTCTTAGGAATAATTGAGTCATGTGAGAAAAGTATAAAGTCTGATGAAAAATCTGATGGCATTTATAATAGATACAGTCAGGTGGTAACTGGAATATTGATATTATCCCATTGTAAAGTATAAGCTTACAAAGTCAAATACATCACACACAAAAAGGTAAATTAAATCCCTTTAAATTACAAAAAAAAATCTTAAGTTATTTATTGATAAGAAGTATTACATAAGTATTCTGAAATTATTTTTATTATTATCAATTGTTTTCCCCTGGACATTGGGTAACAGAAGACAAAGGAAATCGAGGTAAATTAGGCACATGGAAAATACAAAGCATGTAGTCATTTTTCTTACATTGTAACATATTTTGCACTAAGAGCAAATAATAAAAATAAATGCAAACTTGATAGAGCAAGCATGCTTGACACTAACCAATTCTTGACATCACTGTAAAATTGTAAATGTAATATCATTAACTAAGAACTTAGTAATGTTTGATGCACATAGAGCAACTGTAAAACAAGGTTATTTTTATGTAATGAACCATTTATAAACTGTTATCTACTTGGACTAACATAAGTGTACTATATAAAAGCACTTTGCAAGTGCGCAGATATTATCATTCTAATGTATAGCTATTGTCTTTAATGCTAAATAGTATAACCTAATTTTACAAAACCTAAACATTTTGCTAAGCAGTAACTTCTTCTATTTTTAAATTAACAACTTTTCTGCTTTATCACTTTTACCAAAAAGGTTTTTATTTTAAAATTAAGGCTAAAAGAAAACCAATTTATTTTTAGAATTTATTTTTATTCCCATTAATTTTTTTTAACTTTCTAAATTATCTTTCCTTTAGTCTTTAGTGAGTTTTGTTGAATAATAACGTAAGTAGCAGCAGTAATATATGAAATCTTACTGTATGATGTGCAGCTATATGACAGATACTGCTTGCTTAGTCGTTAGGATTTTGAAGGTAACTATTTAATAAACCACTGTTTGTATTCATAAAATAAAATGTTTCCTCCCCAACATGCAAAATTTAAAAAACACACATAAATAACCATTATCATTAGTTCACAAACATATGCTATGGACCATCAACTATATATTATTTTATAGCTTTTCCAATGTAGTTTAGCTAACATTTTAGAAATATGTATTATTTCTAAATTCATATGCCTGTTTAAACTTCATTATCTCAAATGATACTGACAGAATGTCATGAAACAGTATCATAATATACATATAGACATTATTTTGATGCAATAAACATGTGATTTTTAAGACTTTCTTAATAAACACACATGTTTATTCTTTGCTGAAACATGTTTCTGCAAGTGCCATACCTATATTTTGCAAGTTCCTATTTACCTGATGAAGACAGTCTTGCTGAAAATGTCTTTTCCTTTGAAAGCTCCTTGTAATTAGGAATAAGAGCCCTTACTCATTAGACAAAGCCGTTGTTTTTTTCTCCCAGGAAACCTCTCCTTCACCAAATTGCTAAACTGTAAAACATGGGTTTGGCACTGAAACATGCATTTTTATATTTTTGCTCCTTACTAACCAGATAACACATGAGATGCAATGAGACTTCCACAAAGTAAACCTTGTATTATTGGTACCTCTGAGCACGAAGCTATGTGACCAGTACTAGACTGGTAGACCCTGCTGGCGTGGCAATTGCATCTTATGTGGAATGTATCTGGTGTTTTATTATTTGTTTTAGAGTGTCATTTCAATGTAATGTGCTGTTCTTTGTGTCTTTGTTGTCTCTTTTTTTTCTTTGTCCCCCCAACAGCATTTTGTCCCGCACAGGGAAGAAGGAAAACCAAGATGCCTCCAATTTGACAGTGCCCATGACCATGTGTCTTTTTCCTGTGCCATTCCCACTCACCCCATCTCTAAGACCGCAGGTCAGTTCCATCAACCCTACTGTTACTCGCTCCCTCCTTTACAGCGTCCTGCGAGATGCTCCCTCAGAACGCGGCCCGCAAAGTCGTGATGCTCAGTTGTCAGACTACCCTTCTTTGGACTACCAAGGCCTCTACGTGACTTTGGTGACCCTCCTGGATCTAGTTCCTTTACTACAGCACGGCCAACACGGTGAGCACTTAGCTGAAACCTTTGGAAATGTACGTGGATGCTTATGAATGTATATGATGCTGAGCAAGGGGCTTGGAGATGGTCACTGTTGTAATCAATCACCTGAAAGGGCTTTGTGTGGCTAGAAGCACTACACTGAAACTTCATTATGGTGCTTCCCATACTATTATTTTACACTGTTTTATTGCCAGAGGGATGTTATCCAAGTGGAGTATTGGGGGAGAATGGGGCTGGAGAAAGGAGGAAGATGTATAACAAGAAATTTTCTCTTCTTTCCTGATCAGTTATCATGAGGACTCTTGTTGAAATTATGAGTGGGGAGATAAGATTTTAAAACTGTCACCCAGAAAATTAAGAAGTAGAGCATGAAGAGCAGGCTATAATCCACTGACTGATTCGGTAATTTTTGAGGGAGCAAATTCTCTAGGACCCATTTTTTCCTGTCTCTTTAATAAAGTCAGGAGGTTAGATGAGAAGTAATCTCTAACAACTCTTCCAAATGTAAACAACAATCAATAGTTATTACAAAATGTTGTATCAAAATGTAGATATAGTATATAGTGGCGCTGTATGCTGTATTCAGCATATGGTATTAGTGGTGCTATGTGCTATTTGCAGTATGTATACAATATATGATATTAGTGGTGCTTAGAATAGAAGTCTAAGAGCCTGCTTCTTTTCTTAACTCTTCCCCCTTTCTACTCTGTGTCCTTAGCCAGTTTCATTATCTTGGTTGCTTACCAAATTCTCCTAACCTGTAAAAATGGGAGAATCAAATGAAAAACAATGCAATAAGAAAAGGGATTTCTGCAGGTAATGCACTTTAAAACATTAGTTATTTTAACTTCAAAACTCTGATAATTTGGTCCCTGAAAGTATGATAACCAAAGTTTCACTGTACAGAAAAATTTGAATTTTGGAAAATAAGTGGGTAGTGGGGGTTATTTTGTCTTTTAGTTATGGCTAACTCCCCTAAGAGAATTCTTGATGGTTTATTTAGTACAACGTGTTCATAATATTAAAAGTTTAAAAATCTACGGAGATAAAAATGATGAAATAATGACTATTGGATTTGTTTTTTCTTACATTTACAATTCTGTGTTATGGTGAATGTAAAAGGTATAGAAATTCGTAAAGTTGCTTTTTGTATAATTCTGTAGCCGTCTTAAATCTAGCCACTTCTGCTGTGATCCTCTGCCAGCTCTGAACTTAAATGAGAGGATTCTTAACATAAGACTGCCAGAGCTTACTATGCTGATGAGCTTGTCAGTGCGTCTCCTTCGTGACTACTAGTCCTGAACTCACCTGGGACTTGCCTGGTCCTGGGTTGGTCCACTGTGTTAGGGGAGCTGCCCGTTATCTTCAAAGCCCCTTGATTAAGATAAAGACATTAAATTTGGTAAATTGCAATCTGTGTAATTGCAATTAATGTGTAAATTGTGACGATTTCAGGGGAGATGATTTGTATTTTTGCTCTTGTACCTGCGGCTGTTTTGTGACTTTGTGACATTGTTATTTAGCTATCGTGTTCTTGTTCTGCATGATAGAGCTTAGAAGGTAGGAAAAAACTCAGTAGATCAATCTAATGAATGGTTCAGAGAAACAATACGGCATTGTTTCTTGAAGCATGGTCTGAAAAACATCGGAATCACTGAGGGAGTTTGTAACATGGAATTCTGGTCCCACCCGGGGACTAGTTACTAAGAATCACTGAGAGGTGGGGCCTGAGGATCTGAATTTTTAGCAAGATCCTTGTGGACGCTTCTTTTGCATAGACTTTGAGAGCCGCTGCACTAAGACCGGAGGCTGTGTCTTGCTGCTGGGTCTGGGTGGAGCACAGGAAGAGCACTAGGCAACGGTTTTGTCGCAGTTCAACTGCTAACTCTCAGGTGATCCTGAACAATCACCTCTCTCCGGACCTCAGTTTCCTTATATGAAAAATACTCCAGTTGGGCTCCTTTCAGTGCTAATGTTCTGTAATTAGGCTAAAAGGCTCAGCAAAAGGAGCTGAGGTGTCTTGTATGCACAGCTTCGGTTAATTCTTAGTAAAACACCTGTGGATTTTCCATTTCATTCATTTGAGCTCAAGGTTGACTGACTCTGGCCCTCTAGTGTGCACTGTGGCCACATCCTTTCTGTTGTTAGCTGATGTGCCTGTTAAGATGGCATATTAATTCTAACGACAATCAGAAATAACATTAGGAATCCAAAGAAGGTTCATCTGCTGCAAAACAAAGAAGAGTCTAGTACTTTTCTGTTATAATGAATACAAAAGTGATCCAAGTCTTCATCATCAAACCTTGGCTGATGGCCTATATTTTGGGAAGTCCAGGAATATACAAATGTACATTTAGTGTAATGGGATTTGGCCTACATGCATTCTAAAGCTAAATAGTTATGGTTTTGTTGCATCTCCTTTATTTTTATTCTTGTGCAGGTAATAATAATAGTAACTGTTAATATTAGTAATAACAGCTAATATTTGTGGAGCACACAGTATGTGCTATGCTAAGGACTTTACATTTATCTCATTAAAACCTCCTAACAATCCTTCTAATGAAGTGAGGTAGGTATTGTTATGATCCCTGTTTAAAGATGTTGTTAGAAAGATTATTATTAGGTAGCACTTCCTCCCATGATCATTGATGACTCAATGCACATGGTCATGTAGCACCAGCTTACGGCTTCCCTTGTTTGGTGCTTGCTGAAATTGCTGCTCGGCTGAAGGTTGCAAATTACCTCATTGCCCGACACTCCAGATGGTTTGATTGATGGAGCAGAAATAGCCCGGTTTTATTTCTGATACTGCCCTTGACTTTTCTAAAACTTCCATTGGGCAAATCATCTAACTTCTTGTGCCTCAGTTATCTTGTGTAGAATGTAGTAATACAAATACCAAGTATTATTGAAGATTGAGAAAGTGTGGAGGAAAAATGCATGTAATGGATATTTATATTTCTTAACATATTCATTCATCAGTCATTTATTGACCAATTACTGTATAAATAGTACCCTATCAAACATTATGTTTCATAACACTTAATAGAGATGGAGCACTAGTTGCTTATAACTTAAACCAGTTCATTAAAGCTTAAAATGTAAAGTTAGCCTATTTTGTTAATTGCAAAATATTCAGTGACTGATTACTCAATTTTGTTTTGTAGATCTTGGACAGTCGATATTTTATACAACTACATGTTTGCTACCTTTTCTCAATGATGATATTCTGAGTACTTTGCCCTACACGATGATATCAACGTTGGCTACCTTTCCTCCATTTCTGCACAAGGATATCATTGAATATCTTAGCACATCTTTTCTACCAATGGCTATATGTAAGTCCAATCTTACCTAATACTAGATTATTTTTATGTATGATATGAATGGAAATTGCTTTTGCTGTTATAGGCTCTAGTTTTTCGAGATTATAATGGAATCACTTGATATATACAGGAGCTATGATTTCAATTCAGTCACTTTAGCATGGATATTATGGCGAAAGTCAAAGAAATGAAAGGCGTTAGGGCTTAAAATTGTTTTATTCAGACTGTTTGATCTTATAGAATAGAAAAAAAGAACATATCAAGGCAGTCTAGATTTCCTATGTATAAGTTACAGTATCTTTTACCACTTTAGAAAAAAGATGGGGAAAGTATTGTCTCAGATGCAGAAATTCCTATCTTTTGGCTTTGAAGGCAGTAGGATCTAATAGAAAGAGCATTAGATAGTCAGGATGTGTAAATTCTGGTCCCAGCTCTGCCTCTAATCTGGGCAGCTCACATAGTTGAAACATCATCTACAGAGTGACGAATCCATCAGCTTTCCCTTATAGAGGTATCGTGATGATAAAGTGACTCGAAATTTATGAAAGCACTGAAAAAAGCTAAAGCTTCCAAGTCATGTGCAATGTATGATTATAAACATAAAACTGATTTGAATCCTGTTTCATTTCTGTAGACTTAATCTTACAGGCTTTCCAGACATGCGCACAAAGAGAAAAAAATATTGCATTGTGGTTTTTATGATCAAAATCATTTTCAAGTATTTTTTAAAGAAATGGATTATGGATTAATCTATGTTTCAGTGGGAAATCCGAAAAGATTGTGGATTTAGGAGTCAAACGTTGGGATCCAAATCACAGCTCTTCCACCTACTAGCTATATGACTTTAGGCAAATTACCCAACTTTCTGTTTCTTTCTTATAAAATAATAATAATAATAATAGCTGCCTCATGAAGTTGTGGGATAATTAAGATGGTTAACTTGGAACATTGGTAAAATGCTAGCACAATGCCTGGTATGCAATAAGTGTCAGCTTGCTTCTCGCCTTCTCTCAACTATTGTTTTAGAAAAATACTTTCGTTGGTTACATTCAACTCCTAGTGATCATTATTCACATTTTAATTTTATGTACTTACGATCTTATTAAAGTTGTTGCTCTGTAATAACAATTGGTAACCATATATATCTTTTGAGCTACATTTGCTTATTTTTACAATCAAGTTTAATGTTAGCTATGGAATTGTACTTTTCATGTCTTTCAGCAAAGAGTTTGACTTCTCCCTAAATTATATAGCAATTCAAAAAAATTAGCAGACTGATCATACCATTCAAGTAATACAATATTTGATCATTTTCTTCTTTTGTTCTTACTGACAAGTACTCATTTCTTGATATCGTTTTAGAATTGCATAGTCATATCTTTAAAATAAGTGATGTTAACTGTTAAACTTAGGCATAAGAATTTTTGGTTTTTTGAAGCATAACAGATGAGGCTGTTTCCTTCCTTCCTTCCTTCCTTCCTTCCTTCCTTCCTTCCTTCCTTCCTTCCTTCCTTTCCTTCCTTCCTCCTTCCCTCCCTTTCTCCCTCCCTCCATTCTTCCCTTCCTCCCTTCGTCCCTTCTTTCTTTCTTTAGTTTTTTGAGATGAAGTAACACTCTGTCACCCAGGCAGAAGTGCAGTGGTGCAGTTTTGGCTCACTATAACCTCTGCCTCCTGAGTTCAAGTGATTCTCCTGCCTCAGCCTCCCAAATAGCTGGGACTACAGGCACCAGCCACCACGCCCAGCTAATTTTTGTATTTTTAGTAGAGATGGGGTTTTGCCATGTTGGCCAGGCTGGTCTCAAACTCCTGACCTCAGGTGATCCACCCGCCTCAGCCTCCCAAAGTGCTGGGATTACAGGCGTGAGCCACTGCACCTGGCTTCCTCCTTCCCTTCCTCCCTTCCTCTCTCTCTCTCTCTCTTTTCTTTTCTTTTTTGATATAGGGTCTTATTCTGTTGCCTGGGCTGGAGTGCAGTGGCACAGTCATAGCTCACTGCAGCCTCAAACTCCTCGGCTTAAGCGATCCTTTTGCCTTAGGCTCCCAAGTAGGGTGTGAAGGCCTCTACCACCATGCCCAGCTAATTAAAAAAATTTTTTTGTAGAGATGGGGTCTCACTATGTTTCCCAGGCTGATCTGGAATTCCCAGCCTCAAGTGATCCTCTTGCCTCAGGCTCCAAAGTGCTGGGAGGCGATGGTGGGATTAATGAGGAGGCTGTAGCTTTCTAACAATTAATCTAATTCACTAAATCCCTCCTTCTTAGGAATAAGTTAATAATTATGGGAGAGGTGTTGAAAATATCAGGCCTCTGAAGTTACATTTAAGATTGATCAAGTATTGTGATAGCTGACAATTTGTTTCTTTACACTTAATTATTAATTTCTACTTAATTAGAAACACAGATCCCAAAACATGCCATGTAGTCACGTTAGAATTCTTACTTACATAAATGTACAAACCTTGGCAACTGAGGAGAATAAAACAGTAAGTTGAGTTTACAAAATTTGTGTATATTTTAATGTTTATTAGAGGAGTAACTTGGCATTTATTTGAAGGTATGAACAAGTCACTTCATGTTCCCAAGGTCCCATTTTTTTTAACTATAAAGAAGGGGTTTGAAAAAAATGTTCAGTCTCGCAGATTACTTCTGGCGTACTAATTCTAGTTTAAGTAACATCAATATTATTTTATGTAAGAGGCACGTATTGTCCTCTAACCTAGTTGTTGGTCTACTTCATGTGTTTATTTTGTTGCTCTGGTTTTAGTCTTTTGGCTTTGACTTTCCTTTCTCATAATCATTCCTGTGGTTCAATAATAGCCAATATTTGTCATCTTTAAGTCTTTGAAAATAAATTGTAATACCAACCTTTACAGCCAAATTCGATTACACCATTCAGGTGTTTCCTTTGTACTTGTTATTTCATGAGTATACAAAGACATAGATCCAAAACCAGAAGGATATAGTTTCAGATTAATCATGTTAAAATGGACTGATGTGAGAATGTGTGTCCGTGTGTCGTATTCATGTTTTTTCTATTTTTTTGGTAGTTGTTTTGGTGTCTAGAAATTGTGACCAAAACAAGACAAGAACGCATAACTTCTTGCAGAATATTTTTATTTCAGGACTGAGATGTTAGGATGAAGGATATTGTATGTCCTGAGTACTTGATAAAGTCTTTAAGACAAAAAGGCTTTTTGGTGTGGTGTTCCTAATGTCAGATGGAAAACATGAACTGCTTTTCAGGTATAAAATGATTCTATCCTTAAGGACCTAGAAGATAAAGTTCTGATCTTTGAAGTGGACCTAATGAGGTATTGCAGCTCTTCAGAGTAAGAGGCCAGCATGTATATCAGAGATTTCCTCCTTACCATCCTTGTCAATAAACCAAGTGCTGGACTTTTATTTTAGAATGAGTCCTTTTAAGGTTCTGCAGAGCAAACTTCAACTTACTTATTGTGAAATTTTCCTTTGACATAGCTTTTCTTTTTAACTCCTTCCATAAATAAAATATATTTCTCTTTATTCCAAATGTGCTCAATATGCTTTGTTTATAAAAAATATATTAAAGGAGTTACTAAGAATTGAGAAAGTCATTTGCATGTCACCATGGAAACCTCTCTTTTTCCAATAAAGGATCTGTGATTTGTGGACTGAATTGAAATATGGAGATTTGGGAGATGATGGCTTTGGCAGAGAAGAGAAAGAGCTGATTCCAAGTGAACATTGACTGATGCAGGCTATGTTATTGTAAAGATGATAATAAAGCTGAACAATTATATCAGCTTAAGATATAATTGTTTAAGATTATTCTAACGTATCCTAGTATCCCAGACTATGCGGTCTCATCTAGTTCCCTTTCCACCTTAAATTTTCTCAAAAAGTCACTTACCTTCAGGAAAAATAAAGGTTCATTTAAATCTTAAGGGCATTATCTTAAAGGCAATTGCGTGACTTACCATTTTTTGTTCTATTCCTACTACTACAGAGGGTGCATGTTATGTTTCTATAACCTTCCAAAGACTAATAACACATAGAAAAAACAGTAAAAATGCAAAATATTAATGATATTTAAATAATCTTTAATATATGCAGTCTGTTTTATTAGCTACTGGTTGTTTTTCTAAGATAGGTTTCCCTATATACTTTGAGAGTTTTATTGCCGAGTCATGGGAAATGTTTTGAAATAGAAATCCAGAAGAGCTGAGTTATAATCCTTCAACTATTGGCAAATCTCCTAACCTCATGGAACTTTGGTTTCCTTAGCTGTAAAATGGTGATTAAGGATAACTTCCTGTGTCTACATCCCATGTTTGTTGTGAAGACCATGGAATAATGTATGAGAATAGCCTTAAAATATCATGTGATATTATGCACGTGTATATCAGGCCAAATGCATAGTCAAATCACAGACCTGTTAAATCCCATTGCAACTCATTCCAATACTTAGTTGAAATTCACACACTGTCCTGAAATTTCATCATCTTAAATATTGCTTGAGGTAAGAGGCCATCTGCTGGGGCTTGGCAACTTTTTCTTCTAGAGTTTGTTGTATAATAAAAATAATGATTGTAGCAGTTTTTGGATTCACAGAATCTGACAGACCACTTCCACAGTGTTAATGGGCATTCTGTCCATGACTTTTCATTAATCTATAATTCTGCAAATATTTTAATGCTGTGTAGGCTTCCAGGTCACGTTGTCTTGGTCTTCCCTTTATGTTTAACTGATAATGCCCTTCTGAAGGGATGGACATCTTATGCTTAAACCCTATCTCATGGAACACAATTACCTCTGCTCACACAAGTAGGAGGCCCGCGTAGAGGTGAGACCGCTTTTTAATCCAGGCAGTGCAGTCTGGCAGAATACAGGAAATGGTTCTGTCACATTGAAAAACTTACACCATAATGTGTTTCTTCCTGCCAGGTGTCTCCTTTACCTTCACCCTTTAGACAAGTATAAAGCCACTGGAATTCATTTCAGTATATCCCCATTCAGGCCACTTCTTACCACCAGCTTTCATTGGGGCCAGTCCAGTAGCTTCCGAACTGGTCTCCCTGCTTCCCTTTTTAGCCCTCCTACCTTCTGCTCTCCATCAAAAAGCCAGAGCTATCCTCCAAACATGTAAATCAGATCATGCCACTTCCTTCAGCAAAACCGTCTAGCTTCCCGTTACTCTTACAAATCAAATTCAGTGCCCTTCCTTAGCTCACAGGCCCTCTATGACCTGACCCTTGACTACCTTCCTGTTTCAATTACTACATCTCCTTGTCTTCACTCTGCTCCAGGAGCCTTGGCCTTTCTGCAGTTTCACAAAGGCACCACACTTTTGCTTTTGCTCCATGCTTTATTCTCTGTCTTCAAAGTCCTTCTCCCAAATGGTCTCATGATTATTTGCTTCCTTACATTCTTTAGGTTCAAGCTCAAGTACATCTTTCAAGATGCCCTTCCTTACCCTCTGGCTAAAACAGGACCTTCCATCGCTTTCTCTTTATTCCCTTGCACTGCTTCCATTTTGCCACAAGTACCTGTTTGCCCTTTCTTGTAGAATAGCGCTGTCTACAGAACTTCCTGTAATGATGGAATGTTCCATAAAAACATTAAAAATTTTGTGCTGTCCAGTAGAGTAGCCACTAGCCCCATGTGGCTACTAAGCTCTTAAAATGTGTTCAGTGAGACTGAGGAATGGAATTTTTAATATTATTTAATTTTAATTAAATTTAAATAGCCACGTGTGACTAGTGGTCACCATATCAGGTAACACAGCTCTAGCATCTAGGATCCATAAGGACAAAGACCTGTCTGTCTTTTTTTTTTTTTTAATTATACTTTAAGTTCTAGGGTACATATGCACAATATGCAGGTTTGTTACATATGTATACATGTGCCATGTTGGTGTGCTGCCATGTTGGAGTCCCATTAACTCATCATTTACATTAGGTATATCACCTAATGCTATCCCTCCCCCCTCCCCCAACCCCACGACACATGAGAGGCCCCTGTGTGTGATGTTCCGCATCCTGGGTCCAGGTGTTCTCAGTGTTCAATTCCCACCTATGAGTGAGAACATGCGGTGTTTGGTTTTCTGTCCTTGCGATAGTTTGCTCAGAATGATGGTTTCCAGCTTCATCTATGTCCCTACAAAGGGCATGAACTCATCCTTTTTTATGGCTGCATAGTATTCCATGGTGTATATGTGCCACATTTTGTTAATCCAGTCTATCATTGATGGACATTTGGGTTGGTTCCAAGTCTTTGCTATTGTGAATAGTGCCACAACAAACATACCTGTGCATGTGTCTTTATAGCAGCATGATTTATAATCCTTTGGGTATATACCCAGTAATGGGATCAGGGATTTCTAGTTCTAGATCCTTGAGGAACCACCACACTGTCTTCCACAATGGTTGAACTAGTTTACAGTCCCACCAACAGTGTAAAAGTGTTCCTATTTCTCCACATCCTCTCCAGCACCTGTTGTTTCCTGACTTTTTAATGATGACTTGTCTGTTTTTAGCACTGTATCCCCAGGACCTAGAACAATGTTTAGTATACAGGAAGTACTGACCAAAAAAGTTGTTGAATTTAATAAGTGACTAGAGCATTAGCTATGAAATCAAGTGACTTGGCCTGCAGTCCCAATGATTAGGTTGGTGCTGTCATGCAAATAACTTGATGATCTCTCTTTCATAAAATGGCTTTTCCTATATAACTCCTCTTTTGGATGATAGTCATATAAGAGCTGTACATAATAATATATTCAGAACTACAAAATGCAGGAACATATTAAGGCATTGTTACTATTTCTGGAGGGAGGAGATCATGGTAATGATTGTTCTGGTGATGCTGGGAGGATAGGGAATAGGACTGAGAACTTTTAATTGTATTTCCTGAGCACAATATTAAATGCAAAATTTTCTTATTTTGATTAATTATCTTCTCCCTTCTATTGTTTATAGTCTTGGCTTTTTACACCCTCATGGGGACAAGCTGCACATCTGTTTACATCATGCCTTTTTAACAAGATTCAATAAATGATGTGTGCCTGTGCATGTTTATTAAATTAGAATTGCAATGATTTTATTCAGTCTGTTAGAAGGCTAGGAAATTGTAAGGCACCGTCTGTTTATGTAAGTATTGCAGCCAGTTTTCTAGGGCTTGAGCCAGGGGAATGCTTTTGGCCTCCTGGCTGGTCATTCTTGAGGGAGAGTATGGATTTGTTGGAATAGGAGGGACATCCAGAGGTGGCTGAGCCATTTGGGCCATTCTGCAAATAGGCTTCGCCTAAATCATCTGAGACATGTGGGCATCTTTCCTACTTTTAAAGGCCTCCATTTACAGTGACTCTCAGCCTTCCTTAATAGCAGTTTTCATTGTTGAGAAATACATATTATTAAATGCATATTATTAAAAAGTTTGAGATGAATTTAAACAAAGGTGAAACACTTGTCCCAAAACAAGAATATATATATGTATATATATGTGTATATATATGTGTATATATATATATGTATATATATACGTGTGTGTGTGTGTGTGTGCGTGTGTGTATTTCTTGAATACATCTGAGACAAGAATTTCTCTTTTCTTTTTTTTAACAAAGGGCACAGGGTGTGCAATTATTCTTCCTGCACCTGGACACCTTACTGGGCATTTTCTTTCTTATTTCTCGTCCCTCTAATAGTACTTCTCAAAGAGTGGTCCAAAGCCAGCTTGCATCAGAATCACCTGATGTGCTTATTAATTAAACAGGTACTTTCCTGGAAACATGTAGTTTCCAAGCTGACTCTCCAGAAGCATCTTCTTTGGCCCCAAAGAAGCTGAATTTGAACAAGCTGCTTGGCTACAGTTTGAGAGCAGCCAGCGTGCACTTTGTTCCTTAGCATTTGGCTGAAAGTTCTTCTTTCTTGATTAATCACATTTGATTAATCAACTTGACATCTAAGAGCAGTGAATTGTTCTCCAATCTTTGTCTAATTATTAATACTTATTTATTAATAAGTTGTGGAGCCAAACTAGTTTATCTCCCTGAGTATCACCGGCGTAGGCAGCTGGGTTAGCAGCTGCCTAGCTGCAAGTGATTAATAAAAGCCAACTTAAGTAAATGGAACTTAGTGATAGATATGTTTTGTTTGTTTATTTCTGTAAAATTGTTTTAAAGGCCACTGTCTACTTTGGTGCCCAAATTCCTTTATGTAAAAAGAAAAGAATTGTGTTAATTTTTTTTATCTCCTCTGATTTATTGTATGACAAATTTTTATTAGTGTTTTGATGATTCTATTATACATGTGTTCTATTAGAAGTTATCTATCCTTTTTGGATGTAGGTGAGATATAATCCACACCTATTGTACTTTAATATAAAATAAAATAAAGCAGATTTTGAGGTTATTTGCTTTTTGTTGTTGCCTGTGGCAGTGGTCTTCTCTATTATGTTTAGAAATCTAAGGGTTGACTTTTTGAGGGTTTTATGCTGTCTGCACCATTCTGTTCATGCTTGACACTCTGCCACACAAGCCCAAGTGTAAGGCGAGGTTTCTTCTACTTCTGCAATTTTCCCTGAGAAAAAGAGGAATTTATTTTATATTTGAGTCCTAATAAAGTTTCTCCTGTGGTGGGTCCTCTCTCAATTACTGTGTTTGAAATAAGAAAGTCCTCTTGGGGCCAGGCACAGTGGCTCACGCTTGTAATCCCAGCACTCTGGGAGGCCGAAGTGGGTGGATCACGAGGTCAGGAGTTCAAGACTAGCCTGGCCAAGATGGTGAAACCCATCTCTTCTAAAAATACAAAAATTAGCCGGGTGTGGGGGCAGGCGCCTGTAATCCCAGCTACTCGGGAGGCCGAGGCAGGAGAATCGCTTGAACCCAGGGGTTGGAGGTTGCAGTGAGCTGAGATTGTGCCACTGCACTCCAGCCTGGGCAACAAGAGTGAGACTCTGTCTAAGGAAAAAAAAAAAAAAAAAAAAAGAAAGAAAGTCCTCTTGGGAGACCATGTATTTCCCCAAATGACTTCCATCAGTGCTACTTTTGAATACTTAAAGGGGTGACTGGATACACTCTCTTAAACATGAGAAACAAAGAAATTTAATATGGTATTTGATGTCATCTTAAACAAGCCACTTAAAGATGTCTTAAAAGCAGTTTGTGAGTGGAGACCATGATTATACAGCGGTAAGATGGATTTTAAAGAAGCCAATTTGCTTTGTGATTTTATGCTTGTTGGTGTAGGATAAAATGCCCAGCAACTGTGTTATTCACAGATTCACAAATTGCTTTATTTCAAACAACTCAGATGAATATGAAGATGGTAAGCTCTGGAAAACTAAAAAAATGGTTCTCATGGTAATGAAGACATTGATGATGAAGTTACACGTGAAGGTTTGAATAAAACTGTTTAATGATATGTGAAAATTGAAAATCTTTAAATTAATATATCATTATTTTTTATAATATGTGATTTAGAATTTGTATTGTAACTAAATTAATGTTATACATTATAATTAAACTATTATTTCATCTGCATCTCTAAAAATTAATACATTCAATTTGAGTTTAAAAACCTTTCCTTTTTATTTTCTCATTGGGATACCCTTCAATATGTCTTTATCTTTGGGCACACAGAGGATTCTGTTTTTTCTTTCTTTTCCATCTAAATACAAACATCATGGGGGTAGAGATCCCATCTAAGTACAACTCAGATAAAGCCATTACATCACTTTCTGACACTGTTCTGTCTCCTTATAGATTCTCACTCAATTTTCCTATGGAGATGACAACTGTAGCATTTGTATGCCAGGACACATTTTGTGGTTTCATTTGTGCAAAACTTCCATTAGCTTTATTGGAGCTATTTTTTTTTTTAAAGTTCCTTCTTATCTCTCATGCTCTGTGCAAAGTAACAGGTATATGTAGAGATTAAATTGTGTCTAATCAAAGAACTTTTGGTTGCAGTGGGCTCCTCAAGGAGAGAAGGTGTACCTGCCCATGTTAACCTCTCTGCATCATCCATGCTAATGATTGCAATGCAGTACACATCCAATCCAGGTAAGTGGAAATTGGAATGGTTTGACTAATTCTAGTACCAATAATTAAACAAGACATCAAACAAGCAGGCTAGATGTTCTCATGTGAGAACGTCATCATCATAGAGATGTGTAGAAAACAGACTTTTGAGTTGGAATCAATTTATCTTGCCTATTGCTATTAGCAGTGATCCTGCAGGCTAGTGATATTTTTAGAATATTTGAGGACACAATTTTAGACATTGACTGGAAATGGATTGAATATAAGTATACAGAAATAGTAAAATTAGAAACATAAAAATCACCTGCAATTCTAAGAACAAAAGATAACCACTGTTAATATTTTGGTAAATTGGCTACCCCAATACACCCAAGTATCCTTAAACATAAACCTTTCACTATATTTCTGATTATTTCCTTAGAATAAACCAACAAAAGAGGGATTAATGAGTTAAAGGACTTGAGAAATTTTCAATATTTCCAATAGTATGTGAAAGTACTTGTCTCATTGTGATTTGTCATTATTATTATAAAATTTGTGTAGAGTTAGACAGATGAATATTAATATCTCTTTGTTTAGATTTGTAGTTCTTCCATTACTAGTGATGTTGGACAGATTTTCACATTTACTCTGTTTGATTTCCATTTGTCAGTATAATTGCAGATAACTTTGGAAAACTGACCAAAACATGTGCTAACATGTAAACTCATTTTTATTTTCATTTAGTGTTTATTTGGAAAGTAAACAAATCCAGTGACACTGTGGTTTTTTTTTGCTATCTACTTAATTACTTAATAAATAGTAATTGAACTTCTGACTCAGAATGAGGAAAAATTTTTTATTTCAAAATCTGAATGCTTCTTAGTTTGGAGTGTCATCTTCTGTCTTAGTCCGTTGGGTTGTAACAGAAATATAAACGGAGTGGCTGATAAGCAGTAAACATTTATTTTTCTCATTTCTGGAGGCTGGGAAGTCCATGATCAAGGTGCCAGCAGAGTTGATGTCTGGTGAGGGCCTGCTTTCTAGTTCATGGATGGCCATCTTGGTGTTGTGTCCTTAAATGGTGGGAAGGAAAGGGAATTCTCAGGGTCCTCCTTTATAAAGGCAGTAATCTCATACATAAGGGCTCTGCCCTAATGACCTAATTACTTCCTAAAGGCCCCAACTCTGAATACCATCACTTTGAGGGTTAGGGTTTAACATACTAATTTAAAAATTTTTTTAAGATACAGAGTCTTACTCTGTCACTCAGGCTAAAGTGCAGTGGTGCAATTATGGCTCACTGCAGCCTTGACCTACCTGGCTCAAGCGATTCTCCTTCCTCAGCCTCTTGAGTAGCTGGGACTACAGGCATGTGTTACCACATCTGGCTAATTTTTAAATTTTTTTAGAGACAGTCTCATTATGTTTCCCAGACTGGCCTCAAACTCCAGACCTCAGTGATCCTCCTGCCTTGGACTCCCAAAGTACTGGGATTACATGCATAAGCCACCATGTCTGGCAACATACAAATTTTGAGAGGACACAAGCATTTAGTCTATAGTATTCCACCCTATTTTCTGAAATTCATGTTATTCTCATATGCAAAACATTCATTCCATCCCAATAGCCCCAAAAATCGTAACTCATTTCAGCATGAACTCAAAAGTCCAAAGTCTCATGTGAATACCATCTAAATCAGATATGGGTGAGGCAATTTCCTCTCCAGCTGTGAGCCTATGAAATCAAACAAGTTATATGCCTCCAATATACAATGGTTGGACAGGCATAGCATAGACATTCCCATCCAAAAGGGAGAAATGGGAAAGAAAAAAGGTGTAACAGGTTCCAAGTAAGTCTAAAACCCAACTACATTATACCTTAAGGTTTGAAAATTACCTTTTTTGACTTGATGCTCCACCTTCCAGGCCCACTGGGGTGGAGGTCCCACCTTCCAAACCCATTGGGGTAAGAGTTCTGTCTTTTGGACCCACTGAGGTGGTGGCCCTGCATAGCAGCTTTGCCATGTAGGGGTTGGGCCCCCAAGACCCTGCCCCTGTGGCTTTGCGTGGCTCTATCTCCATGGCTTGCTGGGCATTGCCCTGGTGGGGGCTCTCTACAGTGATCCTGGCCCCCACAGTGGTTCCCTTCCTGGGCCCCACTCTGCAGGCTGGGGTCCGGTGCCCATGACTCTCTCAGGGTGGAGTTCCAGCTCTCCTGGGCATCCTTTGAAATCTAGGTGGAGGTGAATACACCCCCATGCCTTTGCTGGGTACAGTGCATGCTGCTCTGCCCAAAGGGCAGCTGAACAATGAGGCACTGGGGTATAGGACTGAATTTTACAATGTAAGAAGGTGCCTTGTGAGGGGGTGGCATGCCCTGAAGTCTCAAAAGTGCTGGTGGCCTCTCCTCTGAAACCATTTCTCCCCCAGGGTCCTTGCACTCTGGGTCTGTGATGGGAGGGGCAGTGCAGAGGATTTCCGAAGTGCCTCTGGGGTCATTCTTCCATTGTTTTGGACAATACCTCCTGGCTTCTGTTGAGATGGCTGACTAATCTTATTAAATGGTCACTTGGCTACACTCTCCCCATTCTCTTCCTAACAGGCTTCTTCATCCTGTCAATACAGATAGGCTGAGGGTTTTCCAAATCTTTAAGTCTTCTTCCTCCTTGATTAACAATTCTGTCTTTGGATCATTCTCTCTCCCCACATTTTATTACAGTATAAGCAGTCAGAAGAAATCCAGCTGGGCCTCTCTTTCAACACTTTGCTAAGAAATTTTCTTAGCCAAGTATCCAATTTTATCACTCACAAGTTCTACCATCCACAAAACACTAGGACATGAACACAATTCAGCCAAGTTCTTTGTCACTTTATAGCAAGGATGGCCTTTCCTCCACTTTCCAGGAATGTGTTCCTCATTTCTGTCTGAGATCGCATCAGAATTGCTTTTGCTGTCCGTATTTATACTAACATTCTCTTCAGGATCATTTAGGTATTCTCAAAGAAGATTGAAGCTTTTTCTACTGCTTTCCTCTTCTCTTTTTCAGCACTTGCCAGAATTGCTTTTAAAGGTCTATTCATGGCAATATAGGCTTTTTTCTAGCCTGCAGATCAAAACTCTTCCAGCCCCTACCTGTTACCCAGTTCCAAAGCCACTTCCACATTTTTAGCTGTTTGTTACAGCATCACCCCACTTCTCAGTACCAATTTTCTGTTTTAGTCCATTTGGGTTGCTATAACAAAAATTCTATAAACTGGATGACTTATAAGCAATGCACATTTGTTTCTTATAGTTCCAGGGGCTGGGAAGTCCAAAATCAAGGTGCTGGTAGATTGGATGATCTGTGAGAACTCATTTCCTGGTTCATGAATGGCTGTCGTTCTGCTGTGTCCTCAAGTGACAAAAGGGCAAGGGATTTCTCTGGGGCCTCTTTTATAAGGGCACTAATCACCTCCTAAAGGCTCCACATCCTAATACCATCACATTAGGGGGTTTGGATTTAACAGAAGAATTTTGAGGTGACACAAACATTCAGTCTGTAGCATTCTTTAAGTATGAAATCTCTTATGATTATTATATAGATATAATTAAAATATATATATGGGGAAATTATATCTTATATATCTGTCTGGCTTAAAATAATCAAAATACTATATTTATTATATATTATGTCCTTAATAAAACCATTTATTTGGAATCTAGTTAATTAGAGTCTCATCATGCCAGTCTGGTCCAAATTTCTAAGCTAGTTGGGTAGTAAAGCAGGGTGCTTTGAGATTAGTCGTATGTGGATTCACATCTGAGCTTACCTGCAAATTGCCAGTTAGTGAACTTGAGCAAGTTTTTTACCCCCTGAAACCAAGTGTCCTCATCTATAAAATGGAAATAATTCTTCTTGCAGTACTTTAAAATGCTGCTGTGAAGATTTAATGGGTTACATATATGTAAAGTGCTTACTTTAGTGACTGACAAATTGTAAATTCTCAATAAATACTGAATCCCTACAATTTGCCATTTTCTTCTTGGAGTTGAATGTTGAGTTGAATGTTTCACTGGAAAACTACTGTGGTCAGGTAGAGTTGCATCTGTTATTTTAAAATCTGTATCTTCATTTGTTCATGAGGAAATGTTTATAACCAGCTACTGTATACTAGGAATCATAGTTGGGACCCAAAACTAGTCTTGTGATATAGGAAGCACTTAAGCGAGGCAATATCCACCAGGGGCTCTCTGGGACCAAGTGGTAGGTCATGGTTCTGTTGTTTGAATTTTTATTGGAAGAAGCACAACTGGCAACTTGATCCTTGTAGCTGATTGTGTATCAAGGATAGAACACAATCCTTACTTAAGTAACCAGCATTCATTGAGCACCTTCTATATACAGGGCTTTGTGCTAGGCATTGTGAAAACCACACAAAAACATAAGATATGGTACTTGCTATGAAGCTTATGTCTAATTGGGAAGATCAGGCATATTTACATAAATCATTAGTTAACAATGTAATGTAGTACATAGGAGTACTAAATAAATATATTAGACAGTGTTAATTTATCAGAAGGAGGGAGCTGTATGGATTGAAATGATCAGAAAAGATTTTGCGTCACTTGGGCCAAGGATGAGTTTTAAATTATGGAGAGAGTTTTGTTTTGTTTTATTTTTCGAGATGGAATCTCACTTTGTTGCCCAGGCTGGAGTGCAGTGGCACGGCTCACTGCAACCTCTGCCTCCTGGGTTCAAGCAATTCTCCTGCCTCAGCCTCCCCAGTATGTGGGACTACAGGCACATGCCACCATGCCCGGCTAATTTTTGTATTTTTAGTAGAGATGGGATTTCATCATGTTTGCCAGACTGGCCTCGAACTCCTGACCTCAAGTGATCCGCCTGTCTTGGCCTCCCAAAGTGCTGGGATTACAGGCATGAGCCACCATGCCTGGCTGGACAGAGTTTTTATTGATAAGGTAAATGGGGCATTCTGGGAGGGGAAGCTGTTTTAACAAAGGAACTGTCCAGGTATGTTCATGGGTCAGTGATGGCTCTGAACAACGTTCATATAGCAGACCTGTGGAGATCAGCAGACACTATGTACAAGAAAGTGTCTTGGAACATCTGCACTTGAGAATTCAGTGATGGCTTAAGACCAAATTTCCAATTCTAGAGCAACCATTCAATCAGTAGTCACTGAGTATCCACCATGTACTGGGCACTGGGGGCTCCATGGTTAGTGACATGGGACTGACCCCATCCTCATCTCAGGAAGCTTATCGTATGGTCGGGTTGAGAGGCGAGAAGACAATCAAATAATCATAAAATCAAGTGTAAAATTTTGCTTGTGACAAGTGCTTCAAGTATGTTATACTATAAGATGTTATAAAAGGAAATTTTGCTTTTATTGAGGAAGTCAGGAGGGCTTCTTTGAGGAAGTAACCTTTGGTTTGAGAACTGCAGGATGAATAATGTGAACAAGGCCTACAAGGGGGGGCGGTTCAGGAAGAGGAATCTCATGTGTCACGGGGGAGTCTGGCAAACAGCTGAGACTGAAGGATCAGTGTAGCTGGAACTCAGAGTGAGGGCTCCCTGGTGTGACACTAGACTTAAGAGTTCCATGGGCTGGAACATGCAGGGTGTTGTGAGCTATGTTAGGGAGGCCTGCGTTTATTCCAAATCTGATGGGAAGCTGCTGAACGGCTTTGAGTGGGCTGTGGTGTCTGTCACCCCTGCTGCAGTTGAGAACGGATTGAGAAGAAGCCAGGTTGGATATAGATTGACCTGGAAGGAGGTCATTGCATTTGCGTAAGCACTTCAAAGGCAGGGACAATTGAAACTGAAGAATAAGCAGATCTTTCTGAAAGCTATTTAGGAAGTAAAATTGATAGGACTTGGTAACATATTGGCTAGAGTGGGTTTCTGGATGCACTAACTGGATGCATGGTGGTCATATTAGTTTGTTGTTGCACTGCTATAAAGAAATACCTGAGACTGGGTAATTTATAAAGAAAAGAAGTGTCATTGAGTCATGGTTCTGTAGGCTGTACAGGAAGCATAGTGGCTCCTGTCTCTAAGGGAGGCCTCAGAAAACTCATAATCATGGTAGAAGGCAAAGGGGAAGCACGTCTTACATGGCTGGAGCAGGAGGAAGAGAGAGAAGGGGAAGTGCCACATATATATATATATATATATATATATATTTTTTTTTTTTTTTTTTTGAGATAGAGTTTTGCTCTTGTTGCCCAGGCTGGAGTGCAGTGGCACAATCTCAGCTCACTGCAACTTCCGCCTCCCAGGTTCAAGCAATTCTCCTGCCTCAGCCTCCCAAGTAGCTGGGATTACAGGCACCCACCACCACACCCAGCTAATTTTTTGTATTTGTAGTAGAGATGGGGTTTCACCATGTTGGCCAGGCTGGTCTTGAACTCCTGACCTCAGGAGTTTTGATCCACCCGCCTCGGCCTCCCACAGTGCTGGGATTACAGGCATGGTGCCACACACTTTTAAACAACCAGATCTTGTGAGAACTCTATCATGAGAACAGCACCAAAGGGATGGTGCTAAACCATTCATGAAGGACCCACCCCCATGATCCAATCACCTTCTGCCAGGCCCCACCTCCAACACTGGGGATTACAACTGAACATGAGATTTGGTGGGGACACAGATGCAAACTGTAACAGTGGTTCTACTCACTGATACTGGAGGCATTGGAAGAAGAAGATCAGGCCTCTGAGGGAAGATCTTGAGATCTGTTTCAGACGTGTTGTGTTCACAGTATCTTTGAGACACCTAATAGGAGCTGGTAATTAGGTAGTTGTATTATGGGTCTGGAGCTCAGAACAGAGCTTTGGACTAGAGATAATGAACTTTGAGCCCACACACAAGTGTCCAGTGACCTTCACTGAATTGCATATAGATGGCTGCTGAAGTTGTGTGTGAGTGTGAGATTGCTTAGGGGAGAGCAGAGAATGAAAGAAATGTGGAGTGGTTCTGTGATTAGGCCTTCAGAAACTTCAACAGATAATGGCCCAGTGGAAGAGGATGAGCTCTCCAAAGAGACAGAGAGGTTGCATCTGTTAAGATGTCTTTGGCTGACAGAGGCTTTAAAGTATAAACACATTGGTTGTTTACTTAATAGGAAGTCCTGAAGATAGCTCCACAATATCAGGGGGCTGAGATCTTGGAATTCCCCTCATGTTTGCAAGAAAGCTGCCACTGTGGAGGTTATTATAACCTCGTATAACTACAAAACAGGTAATAGGATCAAGCAGAGTCATTAAGAGAAAAGTCTCCTGGTGTACCTCTTTCGTTTTATCAGAGGGAGAAAGTATGTCTCAGAAGCTCCCCAGCAGATTTTCTCTTCATTCTTACTGTCCAGAACTGAGTCACGTGGCCATCTCTAGCTGCAAGGGGCTTTGGGAAAGCATCTTGCTTTTGTAGTCTGTGTATTGGTGTATTAGTCCGTTTTTACACTGCTATAAAGAACTGCCAGAGACTGAGTAATTTATAAAGAAAAGAGGTTTAATTGACTCCCAGTTCCGCATGGCTGGGGAGGCCTCAGGAAACTTATAATCATGGTAGAAGGTGAAGGGGAAGCAAAGACCTTCTTCACATGGTGGCAGCAAGTGCAGGGAAAACTGCCTTTATGAAACCATCAGATCTCGGGAGAACTCACTCACTATCACGGGAACAGCATGGGGCAAACTGCCCCCACGATCCAATCACTTCCCATTAGGTTTCTTCCTAAAACCTGGGGATTACAATTCAAGATGAGATTTGGGTGGGGACACAGCTTAACCATATCAATTGGCAAATGGACAAGAAAAAAAGGGTGTTGACAGCAGTTGAGTAGCAATAGTGTTGTCCACCACAGGTGACGGGAGGGTCATTCATATGAAGCCAAGGAGTGTTTCAAAAAGGAGACAGTAGTCAGCACTACTGAATGTGGCTGAAAAGTCAAGTAAGATGAGGACTGGAAAATGTCCATTGGATTGAAGGACACGGAGGTCATTGGTGAATAAAGTGTGAACTGCTTCAATGTCAGCATAGGCCTGGAATATAGATTAGGGAAGGTATCAAAAGGCATCTAACTAGGTTGAAAGAATCTTTGTTCCCCAAGTGAAGATAGGCAAATCAAGGAAGCTTGCTGTCATGTAGCTTTTAAAAATTCCTCTATAAGATGGAACTGATGATGAAATTATAAAACCCCACTCTAATCCATCAAGTCTGTCACTTCCTATCCATTCAACCTTGGGCAAGTTGGAAACTGAGGCTTAGTTTCCTAACTGCACCATAGCAATTGTGAGATAATACATATAAAGCTCTTTCTACGGTATCTAGCAAATAATGAATGCTCAATAAATGTGAGCTTTTATTATGATTCTGTTGGGCTAGTTTTTTTTCTTATGTAGATCTTATGTTGATACAAGTTTATTTTATGAATGTATGATTACTACCGACATTAAAAATATTTCCATTGTTAACATGAAGCATGAAATACTTCTCAAGGACCTTGGGACAAAGCTTGATAAAGTCAAGGGCTTATGTGATATTTTTTAAGTATGAATATATGGAGAGAAGTTATTTCTAATTTAATGATTAGAGACTGAAAAGTCATATTGAAGTAATTTCTTATATATGTATATCAAAGGATGTTTTGTCTGGTATTTACATTTCATGTATGAATTACATTTTCTACATTACAGTGTATCATTGTCAATTACTGGAATGCCTCATGAAATATAAACAAGAAGTCTGGAAAGTAAGTTTTGGGTCAAATTTAACCCATAGTCACAAACTTAATTTGTATAATACAGTAAAAACTGTTTACGTATTAAAACTGTTGTTTAGGTCAAATTTATTGACGTCCTATTATTTTGATGTGGCAGAACCTATAATTCTTTCTTTAATGGTTAATTATTTATCATTTAGAGCAGAAATGGTACTTTAAGAACATCGTGTCTTGACGGATAAAGTAATTGAATGTATCTTATTCTTGGAATTAAGCTAATATTATATGTTATGACAAACAATTTTATTTAATTTGAAAGATTGCTTGAGAATGTGTCCTCTTTCAAATAGGAGATGTGAATGTTTAAGAAATGTGATTAGGGAAATGTTTTTTCAAATATGGTATTTGGCAAACTGTCTTGTGCTATTCTAAAATCTTTCTTTAGCATCAATCTGATTAGAGATCAATTTGTTAGAAGATAAAGTACTTTGTACTCTACCTGTGAGGGCTCATTTACAGAAGGATCAGTAAATAAATAAATCATGAAAATATAATGTTTTGACGTGATCTAATCTATGAAACATGTCTGCATGAGATTCCAGGGAAATTACTCACCTCAATCCCTCCATTAGAATTTTCACTGCTTTGGTAATGTTGAAGTCTCTACCTTTCTTTTTATTTCATGATGCTAAGTCAAAATATGCTTGCTGTTTCCTTTAGGATCTTTTGTATGTGATTGCGTATGGGCCTTCACAAGTGAAGCCTCCAGCTGTGCAAATGCTTTTCCACTACTGGCCCAATTTAAAACCTCCTGGGGCAATAAGCGAGTACAGGGGGTTGCAGTACACAGGTAAGAGGAGAGGAGCCCTGTGATGCCCCATCTGTATTTCTCCTGTGCCACACTGGCCTCACCTACTTATACATACATTTTTATCTTGCTGGATTATATTTTCTATGCCTTTGGACATGGTCATAAATCCTTTCTGAAACTAAGTGGTTTAAAGATGAATTAATTCAAATCAATTTCAAAAGCATTTATGGCCTCAGGGCAAATTGCCTTAAGTCTCAGTCCCATTTGCTGTACCACTGGCTGAGGGTCTTAACTCTGGCTACCATTAATCACTCCACAGGGATGAGCAGTGAGAGTGATGCTGCAAATTTGCTCATCATTTAGCAGAAACCCCAACTAGCAGATTCTGCTCTGATAAGAAGACTTGCAGCACTTTCAATATCACCAGCTCATGCACTAAATAAAAATTAAATGACCCAGACTGGGCACAGTGGCTCATGCCTGTAATACTAGCACTTTGGGAGGCCAAGGCGGGCAGATCACAAGGTCAGGAGATGTAGACCATCCTGGCTAACATGGTGAAACCCCGTCTCTACTAAAAATACAAAACTTAGCTGGGCGTGGTGGTGCACGACTGTAGTCCCAGCTACTTGGGAGGCTGAGGCACAAGAATTGCTTGAATCTGGGAGGCGTAAATTGCAATGGGCCAAGATCGCACCACTGCTCTCCAGCCTGGCTACAGAGCGAGATTCTGTCTAAAAAAAAAATTAAGTGACCCCGATAGGCTGGGTGCAGTGGCTCATGTCTGTAGTAATCTCAGCACTTTGGGAGGCTGAGATGGGCGGTTCGCCTGAGGTCCAGAGTTTGAGACCAGCCTGGCCAACATGTAAAAATTAGCCAGTTTTGTTGCTTGTGCCTGTAATCCAGCTACTCAGGAGGCTGAGGCAGAATAATCACTTGAACCCAGGAGGAGGAGGTTGCAATGAGCCAAGATTGTGCCACTGCACTCCAGCCTGGGTGACTGAGCCAGACTCTGTCTCAATAATAATAATAATAATAATAAATAAAAAATAAAAAATAGGTCAGGCGTGGTGGCTCACACCTGTAATCCCAGCAGTTCGGGAGGCCTAGGCGGGTGGATCACAAGGTCAGGAGATTGAGACCATCCTGGCCAACATGGTGAAACCCCGTCTCTACTAAAAATACAAAAAAATTTTAGCCGGACGTGGTGGCACGTGCCTCTAGTCCCGGCTGCTTGGGAGGCTGAGGCAGGAGAATCACTTGAACCTAGGAGGCAGAGGCTGTGGTGAGCCGAGATCAAGCCACTGCATTCCAGCCCGGGTGACAGAGTGAGACTCTGTCTCAAAAAACAAACAAAAAAATGACCCCGATAGCCTGGTTGCTCAGCCATTCAACAGGGAATGAATTTTGATGTAATTAATAATGAGAAAAGAACATTAACTTTAAATATAATGACAGATATCTACCAAAAAATCCTGCGAAACAAACAAACAAATCAACAACCTCCAGGTCCTAGGAGGTTGTTTATGTATATATATTATTAAATCAAAGAAGAAACCTATGGCTAATGGAGTTTTTGATGCCCTTGTTCACCTTTTTGCCCTGCTTAATTGTAGGTATAATTTTCTGAAAATGAGAGAGAGAGATATTTTTGCAAGGTTGACTTTTCTCCAAGTTATTGTAGGATTGCACACTGATGTTCTGAGAATCTACTTATTTGTTCACATTATTGTTATTTACAAAGGTGATTTGAGGTGGTTTTCAAGGGGATTTAACTGAATTCAGGTGTCTGATTTACGTTCCCGATGAAAGACTTAAAATCAAGTGTTAGAGATGGTAATACTTGTTGTTTGGGCTTTTGGTGGCCCTTGGTGGGCTTATTCTAAGCCCAAAATACATGGTAACAATAATAAAAACAATGAAAGTAGATAGTAAGTAAATTTTTTAAAATGGGAATTGGTATCATAGGTGCTGTATATCACAGATAGCAGAGAATGTTTAAGTGTTGGTAAGTGAATGATTTGAATGTAAAAGCAGCACAACATACGGAAGCATTAATAGAATAAAAGGTGAAACAACTGAAATATTTGACACTCCTTCCCATTCGATCCCTGAAATAAGCACTTACGTGAAGTATAAATGGATAATCAGTATTAAATAACATTTATTTATTTGATAAATATTTGATGAGTAACTACTCTGTGCCAGACACTGTACTTTCTGTTAATAATACAGGAACCAACACAAAACCAGGTCTCAGGGAACTTACTACAATCTAGACATGGAAATCCATTCATTTTATTGAACAAATAATTATGGAGTGTCTACTATTAGGCAGGCATTATTCTAGGCGCTTTTGGTGAAGCAGTAAAGAAAACATGAAAATCATTACTATCTTGGAGCTTACATTCTAATTGTTGGGGAAAGACCCCAAAACTGCCTTACAGGGTAATAAGTGCTAAAGTAGAACAAATACAGAGAGCTGTGGGGACACACAGAAAGGGTCTCTAACCTCAACGGGATGTGGGCAAGTTTGGGAAGGGGTATTTGTTAAGGCAGATTCTCAAGTAAGTGACATTTAAGCTGATACCTGAAGGATATATACACACTAGATGTCAGAAACGGGTGAGGCATGAGTGAATAAAGTGTGAGTTGCAAGGCAGAACGTACTGCAGGCAGAAGATAGCATGATAGTATTTAGGAATTGGAAAAAGTCCAATGTAGCCAGACATTGGAGTGAGAGGAGGAGAGTAGCCAGAGGTGAGCAGAGAGGCTGATAGGCCTGGGAAGGAGTTTGGATTTTATCCTAACAGCAAAGGGACGCCAGGCACAGGCTTTAGATGGAGAAGCCACTTGATGAGATTTGCCTGTTCAGAGCATCTCAAAAACCCAGCAAACTGACAGCCACTTCCACCCATCCCCGTGGCCATTGCCCCGAGAAAGGTTCAGTCAAACCTGTCTTCACTGAAATAGCTCAGCCTATGCCCACTACAACCAGAGCAACTTTCATCTTAGCGTACCAAGATGTCTCTGTCTGAGGGCATTCATTCTTCAGTCCATCCTTGCAATGATATGGTCATGCTTCCATTCTTTCAGCAGTCTGTTATGGGATGCCTGCTGCCCTCCAGGCACTGTCCTAAGTACTGGGGAAGTAGCTCTCTTGAAACTCCCATTCTAGTAGACCATGGCATTCTGTGTAGGAAACAAAAGATCACAGAAAAAAAAAATCATTCCGGTCTATAGATTACTACTTATCCAGCACCGGCTGCTGGTCAGACATTGTTTAGCTGCTTATGATATTATCTAATTTTTTTTAGCCCTCTCCTAATTGAAGACAATCTATGGACCAGGCACCATATTAGGTTTTACAGATGTTTTCTCAATTAAACCTTACAAAAATATTGGGAAGTCAGTTGTCCTATTTCTGTTCTACAAATGAGGAGTGGGACATAGAGTTTAAGTAACATGCCTAAATTCACACAAATAATAAGGGCACAGATTGAATTTGAGCCCCACATTTTTCTACTTTAACTGTGTTACATCACTTTTTTCAGTTCAGTTCTTTAATTAAACATTAGGTAAAGCATTAGAAATTGTCTGCAATGCCTACTGCAAGACATACCAAAGAGTATCATCAGTATTGAAATGGCACTATAACCCCAAATATTCTTAATGAAAATTGTATGGATTTTATTAACTTAGAAGCTCAAAGATGAAATGCTTTCTTAGGAACCAGCAACTTTTGTTTGTTTTCCCAGTGATTTACAGCATTTCCTCTTTAAAAAGTAAAAATTTGGCCAGGTGTGGTGGCTCATGCCTATAATCCCAGCACTTTGGGAAGTGGAGGCAGGTGGATCACCTGAGGTCAGGAGTTGGAGACCAGCCTGGCCAACGTGGTGAAACCCTAGCTCTACTAAAAATACAAAAATTAACCAGGCATGGTGGTGCACGCCTGTGATCCCAGCTACTGGGGGGTTGAGGCAGGAGAATCCCTTGAACCTGGTAGGCAGAAGTTGCAGTGAGCCAAGATTGCGCCATTGCACTGAAGCCTGGACGACAGACCAAGACTCCATCTCAAAAACATAAAAATAAATTAAAAAAAAAAGCAAAATTTTTTTTTAAAAAGGAAAATTTACTTATAGAAAAATTACAGTAACATGTGGCCAGCGCAGTGGCTCACGCCTGTAATCCCAGCACTTTGGGAGGCCAAGGTGTGCAAATCATGAGGTCAGGAGATCGAGACCATCTTGGCCAACATGGTGAAACCCCATCTCTACTAAAATACAAAAAATTAGCTGGGTGTGATGGTGCGTGCCTATAATCCCAGCTACTTGGGAGGCTGAGGCAGGGGAATTGCTTGAACCCAGGAGGCGGAGGTTGCAGTGAGCTGAGATCGCACCACTGCACTACATCCTGGCAACAGAGCAAGACTCCGTCTCAAAAAAAAAAAGAAAAATTATAGCAATATGTAAGGAGGAAAAACACCACCACCATCCAGAAATGACTATTGTTAACATTTTGGTTTATTTACAGGTTTTGGTGAACTTTAAAACCTATAATTAAGATCATATTGTATGTAATTACACAAGGCTCCTCCCAACTATTTATGATAAAAGATGTCAAACACAGGAAAGTTTAAAGAATCACTATTAACACACAGGGTTAATGATTGTTAGTAATTCACCATAATTTTAACTTCACATATATGTGTAGGAATTATATATTATTTTCTAAACATAGTTAACATAGGAATATTTACAGCTCATACAAAGAAGATCAAATAATAAGAATTTGGTGATCTACAATGTTTTTTCCTTTTTGGTTTATTAGTGTATATCAACAACAACTGCTCCAATTATTTTGGCCTTAAAGTTGGAAAGAATTGGCCGGGCATGGTGGCTTATGCCTGTAATCCCAGCACTTTGGGAGGCCGAGGTGGGTGGATCACCAGGTCAGGAGATCGAGACCATCCTGGCTAACATGGTGAAACCCCGTCTCTACTAAAAATACAAAAAAAATTCCGGGTGTGGTGGTGGGCACCTGTAGTCCCAGCTACTCTGGAGGCTGAGGCAGGAGAATGGTGTGAACCCAGGAGGCGGAGTTTGCAGTGAGCTGAGATCATGCCACTGCACTCCAGCCTGGGTGACTGAGCAAGACAATGTCTCAAAAAAAAATGCAAAAAATTGATGTCTCATATTTTTATGGGACTCCCATGTGTATGTATATAATTAAAATGACTTTTTCTCCTGTTTAAAAAAAATGCAAAAAATTGTAACTTAAGTTTCTTGACAATGAAAATAGCCATTATGTTGTTCTATGCTTTTCTGCTTCTGTGGGAGAGAAAGAAATTATTTAGCAATTTTCCTGTTACAGTGTCCCAACTAGAAAATAATTTAGCCTTTGTTAGTAAGGAACAGCAGCAGTTATTGTTCAGTTTCCATTTGAACTATAGGACAAAAGATGTTACACAAGATGTACATCTCCAAGAAACAGACTCCACATTTCCAAGACAGGGACTGTACCTTTCTAAGACACAGACTGTTGCAAAAGCAGATAGAGAATAACTCAAGACAGTACTACAAGGTGAAATTTTGGTCTAGGCTACCAAATATCACATCAGTACATTGGATTTTTGAGATGTATACAAGTTAAGTGCAAGAAGGTCTACCAGTTCTTTTATGTCACATTGAGTTCTTAGTTATCTGTTTTATTAACTCAATCTTATCTCTACATAATTAAAAATGTTTTAAAACTTTTTTACCTGTGCCTTGTGTACATGCAGATAATCACAAATTTATAAGTGTTCATGGACCACCTCCTACCATATGTTCCCTCTTACACCCCAAAGGTAACTACTGACATGACTTCCAATACCCAAGATTAGTTTTGTCTGTTTTAGAATTTTATAAAAATGGAATAATCCATTATTTATTTGTATGTGTGTGTTGTGTGTATGTGATTTGTTCATGGTGTTGAGGATAACTGTACTTTGTTTTTTTATTGCTGTGCCTATTCTACCAAATGAATGTACCATAGTTTACCTATCCATTCTATTATTAGTGGACTTTTGGATTAATCCCACTTTCTGGCTTTTATATATAATGTTCCTGTGAACATCCTTGTATATGTCTTTTGGTGCATACTTGCATACATTTCTGTTAGGTGCCTAAGGTGGAATTCCTGGATTGGAGGATGTACATATATCCAACTTTAATGGATAATGGCAAACAGCTTTCCAAAGTAGCTGTATTAATTTGTCCTCTCATTAATAGTGTATGAGAGTTCTTTTTGTCTTATTTTCCACATTTTGGTTATTATTTGTTTTGATGGTTTTAAAAATTTTAGCCATTTTCAAGGGTGTGTAGAAGTATCTTATGATTATAATTTGCATTTCCCTGATTACTAGTGAAGCTGAACATTTCTTCCTATGTTTATTTGCCATTTGAACATCCTCTTATATGATCTTGGTCAGTTATATATGTTGCAAATATCTTGTTTTTTTATTTTCTGAATAATGTCTTATCATTAAATAAAGTTATTTTAATATTATCAACTTAGCATTCTTTGTCTTCATATTTAATCCTTTTCATGTCCTATCTAAGAAAATCCTTCCCTACCCCAAAATTATAATGCTTTTTTGTCATCTTCTATAATCTTTGTTTTTCATCTTTTAGATGTATCTGGAATTAATTTTTCTATATGGTATGAGGTAACGGCCAATCTCTTCTCTTATGGATAGCCAGTTGGCTCAACATTATTTATTGAAAATATTATTCTTTCCTTACTATTCTGTGGTACCATTTTTGTCATAAATCAAGTGTCTATTTAAAAATGATTCTGTCTCTGGATTCTTAGTTCAACTGGTTTATTTCTCCTTTTACCAATACCATACTCTTTTAATTACTGTAGCTTAATAATAAAATTTTAAATCCACCTGTGCAAGTCCTTTACCTTGTTATTATTGCTCTCTTCATCTTCCTTGTCTTCACCTACCTTCTCCTCTTTCTGTTCTTTCTCCTCCTCCTCCATTTCTTCCTCCTCCTTCAATAATATCTTGCCTATTCCTAGCTGTTTGCTAAGTTAAAAAATTTGTCAAGTTAAACATATACAAACACTCATACTGCTAGGATTTTGATTGGGATTGTCTTGAGTCTGTGTTGAGATAATCTTGATCAATTTGGGAAACTGACTTCTTTATAATATTGAATCTTCCAATCCATGAACATGGTATATCTCTTCATTTATTTAGGCTTTTTTAAGTTGCCCTCAATCCTTTTTCTAGTTTTCTACTAGATGTAGATGTGTAGATGTCTTGCATATCTCTCATGTAGTTTATTCCTAGATATTTATTTTTAGAATATTATTGTCAATTATATATGTTCTAAAAATTACATTGTCTAACTCTTTGTTGCTAGTATGTAGATGCAATTAATTTTTAGTATATTGGTCTTGTATCCAGCAACTTTGCTAAGTCACTTTTCACTTCTAATAATTTATTATGGTAGTCTTGCTTAAAAATTACTTTAATATGCACAATTATATTATTGTTGAATAATACACATTTAATATCTCTTTCTCAATCCATAAGCCTTTTATGTCTTCTTGCCTTATTGCAGTGACTTAAATCTCACTGCTATGCTGATTCCTAAATCCTGTGCTATGCTGATTTCTAAATGCTTCATGGTTTCTTCTTTGACCCATGGGTCATTTAGAAGGAGATTTATAGCTTTATCCTTCTGTGGTCAGATAACATACTTTGTATTATTTCATTCCATTGCCATTTTTAACACTTTCTTTAGGGTTGAACATATGGTCATTTTTGTAAATGTTCCTGTGTAAAGAACTTAAAAAGAACTCAAGAATGTAAAAAGAACTTCTATTTGGCAGTTGTTTGTGCAGTGTTCTACATGTGTCAATGAAATTAAATTTGTAATTGTTTAATTCAAATCCTGTATATTCTCATGATATTTTTGCCCATTTCTTCTATCTGTTACCAAGAGCAGGGTGTTAAAAATCTCTTACTATGACTGTGGATTTGTCTATTCCTCTTTGTAGTTCTGTCAATGTTTGTTTTATATATTTTCAGGCTGCATTATTAGGTGTATACAAGTTTAGAATGCAGTATCTTCCCAGCTAATTGAAACTTTTACCATTACAAAGTGCATGTCTTTATCTCTTCTAATACTTTTTGTGTTAAAATCTACTTTGTCTTATACTAATGTAGCTATACCAGCTTTCATGAGTGTTTGCATGGTATAACTTTTCCCATCTTTTAATTTTCAATTTTTTTGTATTCTTATATTTTATGTGTGTCTTGTAATCAGCATATAGTTCTTTAAACTCAATACTTACGATTTTTACCTTTTAATTGGAGCATTTAGCCCATATATATGTAATGTAGTTACTGGTATATTTGACTTTAAATCCACAATTTTCTATTGTGATCTATTTTTCCTGCTTCTTTTTTCTTTTTTCTCTCTCTCTTTTTTTTTTGCCTCTTTTGCACTAAGTATATTTAAATATTTCATCACCCCATCTTTGGCTTTGTAAGTTATTTAGTCCTCTACTATTCTTTCAATCATTACCCTAGAGATTATATCATGCATTCTTGACTTATCAGTGTCCAGTATAAAGTAGTACTTTTATATTGCTGCGTAAAGTGGCAGAAAATTTTAACTCCATTTACTCCCTCCTGACTTCCATGCTATACTTTATTTTATATATATACATATTATATATTCTACAAAACATAATTACTGTTGTTCAGTGCATCAGTTAGATTATATTTTCCTTTTTCTTGCTATTTTCCCCTTTTTGTATCTCTAAGCTCCTATCTGGGATTGAAGTTTTTTAAAATAATATCCTTTTATATTTCCTTTAGTGCCATTCTACTGAAGATACGTTTTCTCAGTTAGTGTTTGTCTGAAAATGTTTGTTTTGCCTTTGTTTCTTAAGGCTATTTTCTCATTGTATACAATTTTTTTTTTTTTTTGAGATGTAGTTTCGCTCTTGTCACCCAGGCTGGAGTGCAATGGCACGATCTCAGCTACCTGCAACTTCTGCCTCCTGGGTGCAAGCAATTCTCCTGCCTCGGCCTCCTGAGTAGCTGGGATTACAGGCACCTGCCACCATGCCTGGCTAATTTTTGTATTTTTAGTAGAGACGGGATTTCACCATCTTGGCCAGGCTAGCCTTGATTGGCAGTCATTTTATTTTTCATACTTTGAAGGTATTTCATGATTTTCTCATTTTCATTGTTTCTATAAAAAATTGACTATCAAAGTCAATTGCCAATTATTACTCTTTTGAAGATAAACATTTTTTTCTTTGTCTTAAAAGTTTTCTCTTTATTTTTTATTTTTGGCAGCTTTACTATGATATATCTAGTTATGATATTATGTATGTTTGTCTTTTTGGAGGGGTTCATAGGACTTGATCTGTGGCTTGATGTATTTTGTCACTGGAAAATTGTCAGGCTTATCTCTCTTTTGTTAGTGATAGTACTTTATTAAGGTATATTTTACATAAGTTAGATGCACAAGTATCAAATGTACAGCTGGGTCAATTATGACAAATGTATAATGCTCATGTAGTCGTCATCCAAAAAAGACAATGGAATGTTTCCATCAACCCAGAAAATAATGGTATGCCTTTTCCAAACACCATCCCCTTCTCTCATTCTGAAGTGATCACTATTCTGGTTTCTACATAATTCATATATTCATCTAATTCAGGTATTCAGGTAAATGGAGATCAAACATGATACATTTTTTCATTTCTGAATCCATTCAGTCAACATATTACTGAGATTAGTCCATGTTAGTGGATATTAGTAGTTCTTTTTTTTATTGCTAAGTATTCCATTGCATGGATATGTCATTTGTTTATCAACCTTCCTATTGATGTATATTTGGGTTGTTTTCAGTTTTTAGCCAATATACATAAAGCTGCTATGAATATCTTATACAAGTTTTTTTGTGGACTTACGCATTTATTTCTCTTGGGTATATACCTAGGACTGGAATTGCTGGGTCATAGAGTTTATAAGAAGTATCTAAACAGTTTTCTAAAGTGTTTATGCCATTTTACATTTCATCCAACAATTTATGAGAGTTTCAGTTGCTCTCCACTCTGCTATCACTTGCAATTGTCTGTGTTTTTAATTTTAGCCATTCTGGTGAGTGTGTATCTTGTGGCTTTAATTTAAATTTCTTTGATGACTGCTGTTGAGCACATTTTTATATAATTATTGGTTATTCCTATATCTTATGAAGTACCTGAGAAAGTCTTTTACCAATTATTGATTGGGTTCTTTATCTTCTTTGTTGTTGATATGTAGTTGTTCTTTATTTAGTTTGATACAAGTCATTTGTCAGATTTATATAATACAAATATTTTATTCCAGTCTTGGGGTTACTCTTTTATTTTCTTAACAGTGTCTATTTTGATGAGCATGAGTTTTTAATCTGGTAAACTGAAATTTATCATTTTTGCTCTTATGGTCAATGCCTTTCATGTCCTGTCTAAGAAGTCTTTGCCTTCTCCAAGACTGTGAAGATTTTCTCCTTCCAGAAGGTCTATATTTCCATTTAAGTCTATGATCTGTCTTAAGTTTAATTTTTGTGTATGATGGCTATGGCTTATTGTCTTCCTTATGATTTATATTTCCTTATTTCCAGTGCCCTTTGTTGAAAAGATTATTTTCTCCCCTTTGAATTATATTGGCCCCTTGGTCATATTTTTGTGGGTTTATTTATGGACTGTGTTTGTTTTCATTTATTTGTATCTCTGTCTGTACACCAATACAATTGTCTTAAATACTTTTATGTTATAGCCTTGAAATCAGATAGTTCAAATCTCTATATTTGTTCTTTTTCTTTGACTACTTTGGCTATTTTAGAGACTTTGCATTTCCATTTAAATTTTAGCATCAGCTTTCAATTTTCAATTTCTGTCGAAAAAAAAAAAAACCCACTAAACCCGAAAAAAGGCCAGGCATGGTGGCTCACACCTGTAATTCTAGCACTTTGGGAGGCCGAGGTGGGAGGGTCACATGAAGCCAGGAGGTCAAGAACAGTCTGGGCAACATGGTGAGACCCTATCCCTGTTTATTAAAAACAGCAGCAGCAGTAGCAGCAACAACAACAACAACAAAAAGAATTTCTGCCAAAATAATCCTGCTGGGATTTTAATCTGGATTGTGTTAATCTGTGATTCCATTTGGAAAGAAATGGCATCTTAACAATATTGGATTTTTGAATCCATGAATGTGGTATATCTTTCTATTAGTTAGGTCTTTTAAAATTTCTCTCAGTGGTGCTCTGTATTTTTCACTGTAGAAGTCTTACATTTCTTTTGTTAAATGAATTCCTAGGTGTTTGAATTTTTTTATGCCATTGTAAATGGCATTATTTTAAAATTTAATTTCCAATTGTTTATTGCTTGTGTAAGGAAATCCAATTGAGTTTAACATATTGATCTTTTATCTCATGAGTTTGCTAAATTCAATTATTAGTTCTAGTAGTTTGTTTATTAGTTGGATTTTCTATATAGGCAATGGTGTCATCTGTGCTACTTCCTTTCAAATCTTTATATCACTTATTGCTGTTTTCTTTCTTTGTTTTATTGTCCAGTACTTTCACAACAGAGTCTGTTGAATAGAATTGATAAGAATGGATATTGCGTTAGTCTGTTTTCACACCACTAAAAAGAAATACCTGAAACTTGTTAATTTATAAAGAAAAGAGGCTTAATTGGCTCATGGTTCTGTGGGATATGCAGGTTTCTGCTTCTGGGGAGACCTCAGGAAACTTACAATAATGGCAGAAGGTGCAGGGGAAGAAGGCACATCTTCACATGGCTGGTGGGGGAAGTGTGTACACATCCTTTTAAACAACCAATTCTCTGAGCACTCACTCACTATCATGAGAGCAGCAAGGGGGAAATCCACCCCCATGATCCAATCACCCCTCACCAGGCCCCTCCTCCAACCATGGGAATTACAATTCAACATGAGATTTGGGTGAGGACACAAATCCAAATCATATAATTCCACCCTTGGCCCCTCCAAAATATCATGTCCTTTTCACATTTCAAAACACAATCATGCCTTCCCAACAGTCTTCCAAAGTCTTAACTCATTGCAGCATTAACTCAGAAGTCAACAGCCTGAAGTCTTATCTGAGATAAGGCATGTCTCTTCCACCTATGATCCTGTAAAATAAAAAACAAGTTAGTTACTTACAGATTATAATGGGGATACAGGCACTGGGTAAGTACTCCCTTTTCAAAAGGGAGAAATTGGCCAAAACAAAGGGGCTACATGGCCCATGAAGTCCGAAACCCAGCAGCGCAGTCATTAAATTTTAAAGCTCCAAAATAATCTGCTTTGACTCCATGTATCACATCCAGGCCACACTAATGCAAGGGGTTGGCTCCCAAGGCCTTGGGCAGCTCTGCCCCTGTGGTTCTGCAAGGTACATCCTCTGCAGCTGCTTTCATGGGCTGGTGTTGAGTACCCGCAGCTTTTCCAGGTGCATGGTGCAAGCCATCGTTGGATCTACCATTCTGGGGTCTGGGGGACAGTGGACCTCTTCTCACAGCTCCACTAGACAGTGCCCCCATAGGGACTCTGTGTACGGGCTTCAACTCTGTATTGCCCTAGTAGAGGTTCTCCGTGAACGCTCTATCCCTGCAGCAGACTTCTGCCTGGACATCCAGGCATTTCCATACATCCTCTGAAATCTAGGCACCGGCTCCCAAGCCTCAACTCTTGCCCTCTGCATATCCTCTGGCTTAACACCACATGGAAGCCACAGAGGATTATGGCTTGCACTCTCTGGAGCAGTGGTCTGAGATGTATTTGGAGCCCTTTTAGCCACAGCTGGAGCTGGAGTGGCTATAATACAGAGAACAGTGTCCTGAGGTTGTGCAGGGCAGTGGGGCCCTGCCCATGAAACCATTCTTCCCTCCTAGGCCTTGGGGCCTGCCGTGTGAGGTGGTGTCACAAAGTTCTCTGAAATGCCTTCAAGAAATTTTCCCCATTGTCTTGGATATTAACATTTGGTTCCTCTTTACTTATGCAAATTTCTGCAGCTGGCTTGAATTCCTCCCCAGAAAATGGGTTTTTATTTTTACCACATGGTCAGGCTGCAAATTTTCCAAATTTTTATGTTCTGCTTCCCTTTTAAATATTAAGTTTCAGTTTTGGATAATCTCTTTGCTTATGAATGTAAGTATGCACTGTTAGAAGCAGCTTGGCCACATTGTGAATGCTTTGCTGCTTAGAAATTTCTTCTGACAGATACCTTAAATCATCTCTCTCAAATTCAAAGTTCTACAGATCCCTAGAGCAGCGGCACAATTCTGCCATTCTCTTTGTTGAAGGATAGCAAGAGTGACCTTTACTCCAGTTCTCAATAAGTTCCTCATCTCCATCGGAGACTGCCTCAGCCTGGAATTCATTGTCCATATCACTATCAGCATCTTGGTCACAACAATTTAACAAGTCTCTAGGAAGTTCCAAACTTTCTGTCATTTTCCTGTCTTCTTCTGAGCCTTCCCAACTGTTCCAACCTTTGCCCGTTACCCAGTTCCAAAGTGGCTTCCACATTTTCAGGTATCTTTATAGCAATGCCCCACTTCTCTAGTATGAATTTCCTGTATTAGTTTGTTCACACACTGCTATAAAGAAATACCTGCAACTGGGTAGTTTATAAAGAAAAGAGGTTTAATTGGCTCATGGTTCTGTGGGTTATATTGGCTTCTGCTTCTGCGGAGGCCTCAGGAAACTTACAATCATGGCAGAAGGTAAGGGGGAAGCGGGCACATCTTCAAGCGGTGGCAGGAGGGAGAGGTGGTGGGGAGGTGCCACGCACTTTTAGACAACCAACTCTCTGTGCACTCACTCACTATTATGAGAACAGCAAAGGGGAAATCCACTCCCACGATCTAGTCACCTTCCACTGGGCTGCTCCTCCAACACTGAGGATTACAATTTGACATGAGATTTGAGTGAGGAAACAAATCCAAGCCATATTAGATATGGTTGCTTTGTTCCTAACTTGAGGGAATATTTCACCATTAAGCATGCTATTAGCTGTAGGGTTTTGCAAATCTCCTTTATATCAGTTTCAGAAAGTTAAATTTTATTTCCAGTTGACTTAGATATTTTATTCTGAATAGTTTTTATTTTTTATATTTATTTATTTATTTATTTTGAGACAGAGTCTCGCTTTGTCACCAGGCTGGAGTGTTGTGGTGCGATCTCGGCTCACTGCAGCCTCTGCCTCCTGGGTTCAAGCAATTCTTCTGCCTCAGCCTCCCGAGTAGCTGGTATTACAGGCATGTGCCACCACGCCCAACTAATTTTTGTATTTTAATAGAGACGGGGTTTCACCATGTTGGCCAGGATGGTCTCGATCCCTTGACCTCGTGATCCACCTGCCTTCACCTCCCAAAGTGCTGGGATTACAGGCATGAGCCACCGTGCATGACCAGTTCTTAAATTTCACCAAATGCTTACATAAACTAAAACAAATAAACAAAAAACAGAAAAATGATAAAAGTTGTGTTCTGTATGTATCATTGTTTTCTGCTTTTATCTTTACTATCTTGTTTCTTTTACTTTCTTGAATTTAATTTTTTCTTCTTTTTCCTAGCTTCTTGGGATTAAAAAATTAGATTGTTTATTTCCAACATTAATTTTTTTCTAATTATCCATTTAAAATTACCAACTTCCCTCTAAGTTCTATATTTGCTGCATCCCACAAATTTTGATATTTTGGGTCTTTACTAGCATTCATTTAAAAATATTTAAACACTTTAATTGCTCTATCTTTATTGCCTGTGTTATTTAGGAGAGTAGTTTAACTTGCAAATATCTGGGCTCTAGTTACCTTTTTGTTTTGATATCTATGGTAATTCCATTGTAATTAGTGAACATTGCTTCTCTCATTTAACTCTTTAAACGTATCAATTCATTGTATCCAATAGGAAATTACATATTATTCTTGTAATTGTACCTCTGAATGTAGTATGATATTTTTCTCTGCCTCTTTGAAAGATTTTCTGTTTATTTTTGGTATTTAGTACTTTCATTATGTTCTGCTTGAGTGTGGTGGTTTTTGTACTTATTTTGCTTGGGGTTTGCTGAGCTTCTCGAATCTGTGGTTTTATGTTCTTCATCAGTTTTGGAAAAATTTGGGATATTATTCTATCCAGGTATTTATTCTGCCATTTCTGTTTTCTCCTCTCATTCTGGGACTTTAAAAAAATATTTGGTACTTTTTCCAGAGGTATCAAATACTCCATTTTTAAAAAATGTTTACCTGTGCATTAGTTTGGATTTGTATTAATTTTTCAAGTTCACTGATCCTTTCTTCTGCTGCGTCCAATATTTTTTAAAAGTCCAGTCAATGAGTTAGTAATTTTATATATGCTATCTTTTCTAATTATGTTTTTAGGTCTAGAATTTTCTTTTAGCTATTTTTTACAGTTTTCATCTCTCTCTGGGAATTTTCATCTGAATGATCTATTTCTGTATATTCTTTAACATATTTGAACTACTTATTTTAAAATTCTTATTTTTAATTTGAAATGAGTCTAGGTCATTTGCTTCTTTTCACTCTTCCTCTTGATTATGGATCACATTTTCTAGTCCTTTCACATGTCTTGTAAATTTTTTATTGTATGATGGACATTGTAAAGAATATGTTGTAGAGACTCTGAACTATTTTATTTATTCTAAAAAGCATTGTATTTTGTGTTTTGTATTTGCTGGTGTGAAGTTACTGGTGGATCACCTTCTTGCATCAAGGCTTAGCTTTATTTATTTTTATTTTAAATTTTCAGATTTTATAGGCTTCTTGATCTCTAGTCTTTTAAAACAAATTTTACTTGTACATATTTTTGTTTTTTTGTTTTTCCCTCCCTCCCTCCCTCCCTTCCTTCCTTCTTTCCTTCCTTCCTTCCTTCTTTCCTTCCTTCCTTCCTAACATGGTCTCACTCTTGCCTAGGCTGGAGTGCAATGGCATCACAATCATAGCTCACTGCAATCTTGAACTCCTGAGATCAAGTGATCTTCCCACCTCAGCCTCCTAAGTAGCTGGAACTACAGGCATGACCAACACACCTGGCTAATTTTTTATTATTTGTAGAGATGGGCCTCCCTATGTTGTCCAAGCTGGTCTCAAAATCCTGGGTTCAAGTGATCCTCCTGCCTCAGCCTCCCAAAGTGCTGGGATTACAGACATGAGACCCTGTGTCTGGCCTAATTGTACCTTTTTATGGGATATAAAGTATCCCATACATTTTTGTTATGGCCTGATATTTTGTTACCTGCACAGACTGTGTAATGATCAAGTCATGGTATTTGGGGTGTCCATCACCTCAAGGATTTATTATTTCTATGCATTGGGGACATTTCAAGTCGTCTCTTCTAGGTGTTTTGAAATATTGAAATATACAATACATTGTTGTTAAATATAGTCAACCTACTCTACTATCAAATATTGGAACTTATTCCTTCTATCTGTTTGTACCTGTTAACCAGCCTCTCCTTCTCTGCCCTTCTCTTCCCAAGGACTTAAATTTATAACTTGTTAAGCCAAGTATATTTCAGTTTTGCCTTTAGTCCTAGTGTATAACTATGACTCCTATAGCATTATCTTCAATATTTGTGTTATGTAGTAAAAGCAGTGTTTAGAGGGATATTTACAGCACTGAAGACATACAGTAGAAAGAAGGAACATGTAAAATCAATGCTATAGTCTTCTACTTTAGGAAACTAGAGAAAGAAGAGCAATTTAAGCCTGAAGTAAGCATAAGAAAATAAATAACAAAAATTAGAGAACAAGTCAGTAAGATTTAAAACAGGAAAACATAGAGAAAAATCAACAAAATTAAAAACTGTTTTTTAAAAAATCAATAAGCTTCTAGCCAGTCTAACCAGGGAAAAAGGAAAAGACATTAGACACACATTTCTAATATCAGAAAGGAAATAGATATTATTATTTCCTGATCTCATGGACATTAAAAGGATAGTGAAGGATTACTATGAACAACCCTATGTCTACAAATTTATAAACTTAGGTCTAGAGCACGGTCTTTATTCCTAAGGTGTGACCTATCTGTTACAAACTATTGTCTCCTGAATTTCTGATGTGTTCACTAAAGCTCTTTGCTTTGGCTACATTGGAAATACAACATATATCTAGCCCTTTGTGACCTCCAAAATCTCTGTTCTGCTTTCAACCATTGAGCAGAGTTCTCTGCTAGTCCTTGCAGAAGTTTGCTCTGAGCACATGCGGGCCAAAGACCTGAGGGATGCCCTTCCACTGATCTGTGATACCTCTTCTTGGTAGCTCTCCTCTGTTCTCTACCTTTACTCACAAATTCCATCCGCCTTAGCATTTCTTTATTTTGATTTCTCTACCCACTGAAAATCTGTTTCTTCTACCCACCAAAAACGCTGATTTCTTACTGAGTTCCATTTTTCTATGCTGCATTTTGGAAATATCACCAGGCAGAAAGCCAAGGTGAATGTAGAACTTAACTTGTATGCTTTACTTTTTAAAAAAGAGAGCAGCCCTGTGCTGTATCTATGCCCAATGTCTGAAACCAGTTTGTCCAGTGGAAAGATAAGTTCAATACCAGCTTTTTATTATGGTTGTAACTGGAAGTTTCCTTATCTCTTCAAAAGTGGCTTCTGACACATTCTCATCCCTCTTTCTGGAATTCTAATGGCATTTATGTTAGACCTTTCTCTCGTACATCCTTTTATGCATATTTTTTGTATTCCCCGTCCCCCACCATTTCATCTTTCTGTGCTTCACACTGAATCTGTTTCTGACATGTCTTCCTGTTCTCAAATTCTTGATCCTCCTAATTATGTTTTAAATTTTGATTATTATATATCTTTTCTTTCTAAAGTTTTGTAGCCTTTGACCAACATTCCCCAAATTCTACCCCCCATTATATTTTTCACTTCTAGAATTTCCATTTGGTCCATATGTATATGTGTGTGTGTGTGTGTGTGTGTGTGTATTTCCAGTTCTTTGATGATATTCTCTTATCTTCTACTTTATAGAACATATTAAGCATAATTATTTTAAAATCTGTTTCTGATGACTCAGTGTTCTGGATCCCTGGAGATTCTGATTCTCTTGTCTGTTGTTTCTTTTGTTTTGTTTTCTTGTCTTCTTGTTTGTGTGGTTGTTTTTTATTGTGTTCAAGACAATAGATATAAAAACTATAAACCTAATTTGAGACTTAGTATGATGGATTCCTTCAGAGAGAACTTAATTTTGCTTCTGGTGAAAGGGTATAATTCTTAGGTCAGATTTTCATTGTTTGTGCTCTGTGGCTACTGTAACCACTAATTTCATATATTTATCTTTCCCTCTATATTCTTACCTTCTCAGGTTTGCTTACCCTTTGTGTGTATATGTGAAGTTACCAATGAACTTTTTGCTCATTTTTAAATTGGGGTGTTTATTTTATTATCTTATTATATTGTATGTTCAAAATATAAGACTTTTGTCAACATAATGTGAATATGCTCTCTCATTCAGGGGCTTCCCTGTTGAAGTATTTCAAAGAGAAGGAGATTTTAATTTTGATAAATTAATTGAAATTTATCTTTTTTTTTTCTTTTGTGGTCCTTTTTTTGGTCTCTCCTAAGGTTGTAAAGAAATTCTATGCTTCTAGAAGTTACATAGTTTAAGATTTTACATCTAAGTATATGATCTATTTGGAATCAATTTTAGTATATAGCAAGAGGTAAGGGTTGGATTTGTTTTTCCTTTAAGGATATCCAGTTGTTTCAGTTCAATTTGTTGAAAAGAGTATCTTTTCCGTATTGAATTACCTTGACCCTTTTGTTGAATAATAATTAACCATATATGTATGTGTCTATTTCTAAACTCTCTATTTTGTTTCATTGTCTATCCTTATACCAATATCACATAATCTTGATTACTGTAGCTTTACGGTGTATTTTAGAATCATGTAGTATAAATCCTCTAGATTTGCTCTTTTAAAAATTTTATGGGCTATTTTAATACATAAAATTATGTAGTGTAAGTACTCCAGATTTGTTCTTTTAAAGAATTTTTTGGGCTATTTTAGTACCTTTGCATTTTCATATAAATTTTACTATCAGTTTGTAATTTCTACAAAACAATCTGCTTGGATATTTTTTTTGGGGGGGGGGGTGGGGGATGGAGTCTTACTCTGTTGCCCAGGCTGGAGTGCAGTGGCATGATCTCAGCTCACTGCAACCTCTGCCTCTCCGGTTCAAGTGATTCTCCTGCCTCAGCCTCCTGAGAGGCTGGGATTACAGGCATGTGTGACTATGCCTGGTTAATTTTTGTATTTTTAGTAGAGATGAGGTTTCACCATATTAGCCAGGCTGGTCTCAAACTCCTGACCTCAGGGTGATCTGCCTGCCTCAGCCTCCCAAAGTGCTGGGATTACAGGTGTGAGCCATTGCATCTGACCTCTGCTTGGATTTTTGAATGAGATTACATTGACTATATAGTTTAATTTGGGGAGAATTGACATCTTAACAATATTGAGTCTTTTCATCCATGAACATGGTATATTTATCCATTTATTTAGGTCTTCTTTAATTTCTTTCAGCAATATTTGCTGGTTTTTAGTGTACAGATATTATATTTTGTTAAAGGTGCTCCTAAATATTTTATGATTTTATATGCTATTATAAATAGTGTTTAAAAATTTTAATCTTCTACTTGTTTATTGGTACTCTACAAATACCCTGCAACCTTGCTAAATTCACTTCTTAGTTTTTGTGGCTTTTTTGTAAGTTTCTTGAGATTTTCTGTATACCTGATTATGCTCTCTGCAAATAATTTTTTTTCTTTTCTTTCTAATTTGTATGCCTTTCTTTTTTCCTTCCTTCCTTCCTTCCTCCCCTCTCTCCACCCCTCTCTCCCTTTCTCCATCCCTCCCTTCCTTCTTTCCTTCCTTCCTTTCTCTTTCTTTTTCTCCTCTTTTCCTTTTCTCTCTCTCTTACCCTTCTTTCCTTTCTCCCTTTTTTTCTTTCTATCCTTCTCTTTTTTTTTTTTTTTTTGCACTGCTTAATATCTCCACTTGAATAGAAGTACTGAGAGTGGACGTCCTTGTTCTTTCTCCCAATCTTTGGGGAGAGTATTTGGGCTTTCACCATTAAATTATTATGTTAACTGTAGGTTTTTCATAGATTTTTTTTTTTTTACCAGATTGAGGAAATTACTGTCTGTTCTTAGTTTGCTGAGAGCTTTAATCATGAATGTCAGTTTTGGTCAAATGCATTTTCTCTTTCTATTGAGATGATTATATGATTTCTTCCCTTCATTCTGTTAATATGGTAAATTACATTGATTTTCTTGGCAACGTTATGCCTTTTATGCCTATTTTTTGTATTCCCCATCCCCCACCATTTCATCTTTCTGTGCTTCATACTGAATCTTTTTCTGACATGTCTTCCTGTTCTCAAATTCTTTAGCCTCCTAATTATGTTTTTAATTTTGGTTATTATATATCTTTTCTTTCTAAAGTTTTGCAGCCTTTGACCAACATTCCCCAAATTCTGCCCCCCTGTTATATTTTTCACTTCTAGAATTTCCATTTGGTCCATATGTATATGTGAGTGTGTGTGTGTGTGTGTCTGTGTGTGTGTGTGTGTGTGTGAAATGCAATCTTGCATTCTTGGGATGAACTCATCTTGTCATGCTGTATTATATTGCTAGATTTAATTTTCTAAGTTAAGTGTTCAGGTTCCTACATTTATGAGAGATATTGTTTTGTTTTATTTAATTATGATGTCTTCATCTGGTTCCATTTACAGAGTAATACTGACCTCATAAAATGAGTTGGAAAATGTTTTTTTCTCTTCTAATTTCTGAAAGAGTTTATGTAAGATTTGTATTATTTATTCTTTCAATGATTAATAGAATTTACTGGTGAAGCCATATGGACTTGGGGTTTCTTTGAGGGAAATGTTTTATGTTGTGAATGTAATTTTAATAGTTATGGGTTTTTTTTACTTTTATTGAGTTATAGTGAGTTATTTGTGTCTTTTAAGGAATGTGAGCATCTCATCCAAGTTTTCAAATTTATTAGCATGTCTGTAGGATCTGTAGTGATGTTCTACCTTTCATTCCTGATATTGGTAATTCATGAATTTTCAATTTTTTTTTTGTCCATCAGGATGCTGGGGCCTATCAAGTTTTTGGGACTTTTCAAAGAACCAGTTTTTGATTTTATTGATTTTATCTATGGATTTTCTGATTTCAATTTCATTGATTTCTGTTTCTTTATTGTTTTCTTCCACCTACTGAGTTCTGTTCTTTTTCTGTCTTCTTAAGGGAGATGCATAAACTTTTTATTTCAGATCTTTAATATTTTCTCATATAATAATTTTTAGCTATAAATTTCCATTTAATCATTGCTTTAGTTGCTTCCCAGAAATTCATTATATATGTTATGCTTTTATTGTATTTCAGTGCAGGATATTTTCTAAAGTTTCTTCTTTCATTCATGAATTGTTTAGAAGTGTGCTTTTTAATGTGTAAATATTTGGTAATTTTTCAGATACTTTTGTGTTATTGGTTTCTAGTTTAATTCTATTGTGGCTAGAGAATATGCTGTATGATGTAGCTCCATCTAAATTTTTGAGACTTATTTTATGGACTGGAATACCTATCTTGTTAAATGTTGCACGTGTACTTTAAAACAATGTGTATTCCACAGTGGTTGAGTGGAGATTTCTAACATTATAAAATAGGTTAAGTTGTTTGAGAGTGTTTTCAAGTCTTATATATTTGCTGATTTTCTGTCTGCTTGTTTTATCAGTTACTGAGAGAGGATTATGGAAATTTACAACTTCAGTTATGCTTCTTTCAATTCTCTCACCTTACTAAGGGTACAAATATTTATGGTTTTTATGTTTTCTAGGTTAATTGACCCTTTCATCATTGTAAAATTGCCTTGGTTTTTCTGGTAATATTCTTTGTTCTGAAATCTATTTCTCTGATATTAATATAGACACTCAAGCTTTCTTATAATTTCAATTATGGTATAACAATTATGCCATAATTGCATAGTATAACTTTTTCTGTTTACTTCTAGCTTATCTGAGCCTTTATAATTTAGCTATGTTTTTCACAGGCAGCATACAATTGGGTCATGGGTTTTAAAAAACTCAAATCCTATTTCACAATCTTTGCCTTTTAGACCATTTACATTAGTAAAATTATTGTTTAGACCATTGGCATTTAATGTAATTTCTGGTATGAATTGAAGCCTATCATGATACACTTGTATGACTGAAGCCTATCATGTTACACTTGTTTTATATTTGTCCCATCTGTTCCTTTTTTTTCTTTTTGATATCTTGCCTTTTTTGAATTAATTATTTTTAGTGTTATATTTTATTTCTGTATTGTACTGTTAGCTACACCATCTTTAAAAAATTGCTCTTGGGTTTATAATATGCACTTTTAACTTCACAGTCTACCTCAAATTATATCAGTTTACATATAATGTAAGGCCTTTTTGTATTTTAATTTTACCCCTCCTATCCTTTTTGTTATTGTTACCAAACATCTTACTTCTATATATATTATTAGCCTCTATTCATTATAATTATTTTTTGTTTTAAATAATCAACCATCTTTTAACAACATATTAATATGAGTAAAAAAGCCTTCTGTAGTTATTCAGCATACTTACCATGTCCAACACTCTTTATGCCTTTGTGTAAATTTGAGCTACTATCTGGTATCATTTTCCTTTAGCCCGAAAAACTTCCTTTAACATTTCTTGTAGTGGAGCTCAGCTGGAAATGAATTCTCTTATTTTGTGTTTGTCTTCAAATAGTCTTTATTTCATACTCATTTTTGAAGGATAATTTCACTGGGTATAGAATTCTAGGTTGACAGTTTTTTTCTTTCAGCCTATTAAAGATGTCGTTCCATTGTCTTCTGGCTTGCATTGTTTCTGACGAGAAATCAGCGATCATTCTTATCTTTGTTCCCCTGTAAGTAATGTGTCTTTTTTTCCCTCCTGGCTATTTTTAAGATTTTCTTCTTATTGGTTTTCATCAATTTGTTTATAATGAATTTTGGTGTTATTTTCTTTGCTTTTATCTTGCCTAGGATTCATTGAGCTTCTTGGATTTGGGGGTTGTTTTCATCAGACTTGAAAATTTTTAGCCATTGTCTCTTCAAATATTTCCCCCTTTTATTTCTTTTGTGCTTTAAATCACATGTACTTGGAGCAATCATAAAAATTTGGCTTTATACTAAGTAAAATATATGTAAGGTAAAACTGCCTGAAATTTTCCCACAGTTCACTGTATCTCTATTTTTCTTCCATTATTTCAGTTTGGGTAGTTTTGTTATGTCTCCTAATTCACTGATCTTTTCTTCTGCATTGTCTATTCTTCTATTAAGCCCATTCAGTGAGTTTTTCAAGTTGTATTTCTGATTTTTAAAGTCACATTTAATTTTTAAATTATATCTCCCATCTCTATCCTCATTATGCCTATCTTCATGCTTTCCTTTGCCAATGTTTATGATAACTATTTTAAAGTTCTTCTTTGCCAACTACTTCATCTCCACAGTTTCTGGGTTTGTTTCTGCTGATCTGTTTTCCCCCTGGTTATGAGTGACATTTTACCCCCTTTTCAAATATCAAATAATTTTGACTGGATGCTGGATTTCATGATTGTTACATTATTGAGTGTCTGAATTTTGCTGTCTTCCATTACAGTATGTTGAAGTTTGTTTTGGCAATCAAGCTACTTGTGGATTAGTCTGACCATTTCAAGGCTTATTCTTAGGTTTTGTTAGAATGAGCCTAGAGTAACTTTTTCTCTAATGTTAGTTTAACCCTATTACTAAGAAATGACCCTCCTAAAGTTTCTATGATTGCTCCAAGTATTTAGTGATTTCCCCCTACTCTGACTGGTTGGACCTTGAATATCTTCCAGCCCTGTACAAGCTCTAGGAATTGCTTAGCTCACAGAACTCTCACAGTTTTTCTCTATCCAGCCTCATAGAGTTTTACCTTACATACATTTTACTTAGTATAAAGCCAAAGACTCAAAAGGACTCCTATTTAGATTTCTGGATCTCTTTCTTTGCCTAGTTCCCTCTTCCTTCATACTCTATTCAGCAAATTTCAGCCATCTGGCCTCTCTAAACTCCAGTTTTTGTCCCCTCAACTAAAAACAAGACCATACTATTCTGCTTATCTTTCCCTTTCTAGGGCCAAGGTCTGGAAGTTACTGTCAGGAAGAAAGCCAGGGTGATTGTGGGGCTCACTGCATTATTTCTCTTCTCTCAAGGATCACTGCCCTGTACTACTTGGAGACCAGTTTCTGAAAATAGTGTTTCAAATATATATTTTTTAGTTCTCTAGTTGTTTATGGTGGGAAGGCAAGTCTAATACCAATTTTTCTATCATAGTTGAAAGAGTAATTGTTGTCTGCTGTGTTTTTATGCTATCTTTTTTGTTATTATTTTTGAATGGTGATCTAGTATGACTATATTTGCCACAAGATAAGGTATGCTGATTGTCCTTATATCAAAATCAATTGTAGTGCTTTTCCCAATTAGAAATACCTGTGTTCTATCCTCAAACATTTTGATTCAGAAGATCTAACATTGGTTCCAGACATCATATTTTTAAAATCTTGACAGTTGATTTTTGATACATAGCAAAACTTAAGATCACTGTTTTAGTAAGTTTAAATCCAATGTGGCTTTTATGAACTTAAATTGATTATCTACAACCTGTTCTTAACACAGCAACACTCAGTAAAAATGGAATGCAAAATTAAAGCAGTAGGACCTCCTGGATATCTCCATTATCCACAAAAAAGCATTTATTTCTGGCAGAATAGAAGTCTTTAGAGCCCTAATTACTGTGGCTGGTGCACACTTCAATTTGTTTACCTGTGCCATAGCAGTTGTTATATGTTTTGAATATTAATTCTTCCCATAAGTGTCATGAACTTCTGTAAAGCAATCTGCAGACATTCTTATAATACACTGATTTGGAGATGGTTAGCAGATTTTATCTTGTGTGCCAATTTTGTTTTGATTAGTGGTGACTTCTTGGAGCACAGTGATAAGAAGGATCCTAAGGCCAGTTCTGGACTCAGCAGGAAGGAATGCTGTAATGGATTAGTGATGTCTGTCATGAGTTTGGGATCAGAAGAATGCAGCACATGTTCCATGTTTTTGCAATTCATGTACTGGTTAAAGGCAGCTTTTTCCTCTATGTTACTCTAATTGTACAAGAAAACTTGTTACAACTCTTTATATTCAGCTTGACTTTACCATATATGGGAAACTAATCTCATAGTTATGAAGCGCCTATACCGAAATTATTTCTTCATCAATCTGTTCATGTACTCATTCATTTCCATTTCTTCTTTGTTGTGCTCTAAAAATATGATCAAAATGATACTATCTTATTATAGTAGTGGTCTCTGGTCTGTATTTCTTGTCTTCTTTTCAAATAAATAGACCTGTTGTATATTTTTAAATGTCAGTCGTTCTGGTAACTATATTTCCGTGAATCCCCAACTAGACACATAATCTTATACATGGTCTAACAATGGGATAGAAAGTTTGAAGGTGGGAAGCTCCTAGGTAGAAAATTTTCTAAAGTGTTTGGAACATAAATTAGCTCGGATCATTAATAATATATATTTTTGAATTATAATTGAATATGTAACTAAGTAAGAATATCTTCTCATCTGCAAATTCCCACGTATTAAGAATAGGCCAACATAGTCCTGTGAGTTTAAAATATGACACTTTAGAAAAATGTCCTACTTTCAAGCATATAAACCCCTTACATGTTTTTAATGATGGAATATTGTTAGCCAAGTGCTTTGGGCTACAGAATCATCCAGATGATAACTACTGGTTGTGATTCTCAGTCTGACTTATTACAGGTCACTTGGTTCTTTTCCTCATTCTGTGTGTATACTGAGCTTAGGAGTTGGGTATTAGCAGACTAGCAGAGATTTAATTGGGTATTAGCAGACTAGCAAAGGTTTAGTAGGTGGGTCACGTGTAAGAGAGAGATGCATTTCATTTGGGCAAGAAATTAATCTTTCCAGTCTCCATGTTTGTTGGGGATGGGATAGGAAATGGAATGGTAGAGGACGTCTTACTATTCATTTCAGTTGTTATCAATTTAAAACGCTTACTGGTGCCAAGAATCTAGGATGTTTAGCATAATATACAATCATGAAAAGAGCAGAATGTCAAGCACCAAGAAATATAGGTTCTAGTTCTAGCTTATCATATACTAACTCTGTGACCATATCAAGCTACTTAACCTTGCTAACTTTAATTTATTCTTATATGAAATGAGATTAATAATCTGCTGTACCTACCCTACAGAGTTGTTGGAGGATCAAGTGAAACCATGGTTGTAAAAACCTTTGAAAACTTATTAATGGCATACCATTGTGGTACTGTACATGCCATCTTATATTGGCTTATCTCTTATCCTAGGAAAATGGATGGAGTTGTATATCTTTGCTTGTCTTTTAAATTTTTTATAGATTAAAAAGATGATTCTGTTAGAAAGCTTTCTGATGATGGTTCTGTTTAGAAAAAAGAAAATAGTAAAATATCTGTTTTTACTAGGGCATGAATAATTTCAATGAGAAGTATTCATCAGCTGTGCTTTACTTTACAGCTTGGAATCCCATCCACTGCCAGCACATTGAATGCCACAATGCAATTAACAAACCAGCTGTGAAGGTACTGTTTTATTAGACCTGGTGCCATACTGTATTGTCAGTGGTCAAATTGCTGAATGAAGTGGAGTAGATTGCATCCTTCTCTGTAAAGCAGAGGCATGTCCTCTGTAGTAATTCGAAGTACCTCCATATTCAATCTGATTGTACTTTGGCAGACTGGTCAAGAGAGAGCAATGAATAGCGTTGTCTGCAGTTTTGGCTATGCGTTCGTAGCCAAGTGCTATGTAGCACTGAGCTAATTATCTATCAGAAGGATCCTAGTAAAATGCTTACATGGTCCTTAACTGGTTTCTATTTCAGCTAATGAACTCAGGGAAATGTATTTTCTCTCTGTTTTCATGTGTATGCTACAAATCATGAGTGCTTATGCAAATTCAGGAGTGGTAGGACAAAAAGATAAAATTGTTAATTTTTAGCTCATATTACAAATATGACTTAACTGAAATGACTGAAAGGTGTCTGGACAGCATATACATGGAAAGTTACATTAAAAGTAAGGAAACAGTGGTTTACAGAGTCAAGTCATTTTCCTAAGGTTGCCAGTTAGCAACAAAACTGGAGACAGAACCAGGTATCTGGACTCCTAACCTTATTGTCCTTCTACCACACCAAATTGGTTCTGTCCTAGTATAACCCTGAATCTTGAAAGTTGAATGTGAAGAAAAATAATCACACCTTTTAAGAAAATTATTTATGATATATTTATTGGATATAAAATATTTGGCTGGATGAACCTGTGTCTGGATTTGCAAGGTATAATTTTTATATTATGAGGAGTAGGAGTTACCTGAAGTTATCAGAGTTCACAGTTACTTTGGAGAACCAGGTGTCCTGCGGGTTTGCTTCTTTTGTTTTATAGATAGCCTGTAGAAAACCAAATACTAATAGAAAACTAACACCATCTCTTTATAGAAACAAAGTAGGAAAGGTGAAATGAGATCCAATAAATATAAAAGAAACCAAAAATGTGTTTCATGAACCAAAAACTGGCAGAGGAGTGCCGGTAATAACACTGTCATCTAGATACATTATACTAACAAAGGATGGCCTTGTATTATTATTTTTAATCTCTGCTTTTGTTGAAGGCAAATTGAATGGATTGATATTAAGAGCAGGTAACTGGCTGGGTGTGGTGGCTCGAGCCTGTAATCCCAGCACTTTCAGAGGCCGAGGCGGGTGGATTGCCTGAGGTCGGGAGTTTGAGCCCAGTCTGGCCAACATGGTGAAACCCCGTCTCTACTAAAAGTACAATAAAAAATAAGCTGGGCGTGGTGGTGTGTGCCTGTAATCCCAGCTACTCGGGAGGCTGAGGGAGGGGAATTACTTGAACCAGGGAGGTGGAGGTTGCAGTGAGAGGAGATTGCACCACTGCACTCCAGCCTGGGCAACAGAGCAAGACTCCATCTCGAAAAAAAAAAGAGCAGGTAATGATGACCCACACAATGGAAGTGTAGGCCCTTCCCATTCTACTGTGTGCACCCCACTGTTGACCTTCAATAGACATTTGGGGTTCAGAGGTGCTCTTCTTTGGAGTGAGGATATTTTGAGCTGCTCACATGTGAATTCATAGTTTATTCATATAGTTCAGCTCGATTTTTCACAATGATGAGACTTTCATGGTTCCTTCTTATTATCCTTCTTTTCTTCCTCCTGCCTAAGTTATAGCTCCTTCTTTTGGGTCACCCAGACATCAACATGAAGGGGATCCTTTCTGTCTGGTTTCTGCAGTTATTTTTCCTTGATTTTATGTCAGACTGCATTCTCAGGAGTCCTCTGATATCCTGGTTAGTAATGCTTTCTGGCCTCCTACTCACAGAAAGCATCATGAATTAGATTTTCTACTTCTTTTCTAGGCAAACAGCCCAGTCCATTCCACTGAGTTGGCCTCACTTTTCTTCCTGAAGTGAGTCAGCCATGATAGGTCAAACCATCCACTTTCTGTCATTTTATAAAAATAGAGGCAAAATTCACATAATGAACAATGAATTATTTTAAAGGGAATAATTCAGTGTCATTTAGTATATTTACAATGTTTGCCAACACCACCTCTTTCTAGTCCCAAGACATTTTCATATCCCCCAAATCTTACTTTCTGAACTCCAGTTTCCTTAAAGACCCTTCTTTTCTATTTTAATTCTACACTTTGCAGAAAGGTAGCATTCTCATTAAGTCTTCCTGTGCTGGGGCCATTTTTGCACTACAATAGGTCTGGCTCAGTATTGCTCTTGCTTTACAGTGTGAGTCCGCCCAATCCACATCATCACCGTATGACATGCAAATCAAGGGTATCAAACATCCAAATGCTTACAAAATAATGTTAAGCATAAAGTTATGCAATTTTATAGTATGATGTTTAAAAGTTTTAAAAAGTTTAAAGGTTACATAGTGAAAAACAATCAGTAATACTTATCATGGTGAAAAACAATCAGTAATACTTATCAGAGTGTTACTATGGATTGCATCAAGATGGAAGGTTAATGTGTTAATTGAATTTTCTTTTTTCCCTTTCTCGGTTTTCCAAAGCCTCTACATTGGGCATATGTCATATTTATAAACAAAAAAATCCACTTATTCATGTGACACACAGATATGAACACATTAGTGTGGATGTAAACCAACCTGTTCAGACTAGAACAAAACTCACTAGACCAACTACAGATCTGATAGGTCATGCTAAGTAAGTTATTTAAAAAGTCAGAGGTTGACTAGCTAATCTCTAATGATTATTTATAGTTTTAGCATCCTAGGAGCTTCTCCTTTTGAGTAGTGTGAAAAAGTATCTTTACGTGAGAGAGGTATCAATGACTCACTAAAAAAGAGGGTAGAATAACATATAATATGTAAGAGGAGCTCCACATGGGGGGCATGGGAAAGATTTGGGGAAAATTGATTAATCCTCACCAAAAGCCTAATATCTCTGTGATAGTGAGCTGTACTGCTAAGCAAGAATGGTATACCAAATAGAAAAATATTATCCATTTTTGTTTTAATAGGCTGCAAAAAAGTACTTTTTAGGCAAAAGCCAAGAGTTGTAATAGGATTAAATGTGAAAATATGTTGGAACTTAAAGTTTACGATATCATACTCTGCTTTTGATTTTACCTGGTTCTACTTGAAGTCCACTTTATGAAATACTTTGAAGCCCAGATAATTATCTAAGGCAGGTTCTGGCAAACTATGGCCCAGAGCCAAATCTGGCCTGCTGCCAGTTTTTGGAAATAAGGTTTTATTAGAACACAGCTATGTTAATTTTCTTACATATTTATTGTCTATGGCTGCTTTCATGCTCCAACAGCAGAATTGAGTAGTTGTGACAGAGACTGTGGCCCACAAAGCCTAAAATATTTACAAAAAAAGTTTGCCAATCTCTGATTTAACACACCGCAAAGCAGTTACTCATTACGTCTAAGGAAGCATGAAACTTACATGAGGAAAATTTTCACTCTGAGCCTTTGTCATCGGGGAATATATAGTTTACAAATGTTGACGGTAAATTGAGCAATTCTAACTAGCTTCCTCAATCATTGAAGTGTCTGTTTTCACTTTGAATTACAGGCTGTTTGGGTTATAAGTTTAGGTGATTTCCCCCCTTCAAATTTGTGAGAACAACTAAAAAGAGTGTAGTTCCAGAAAAATTTGTGTATTAGGCATCTTAACTGCTTACTCAGCTAGCACATGAATTGATTATTTTTTCGAGGGTAGAAACAGAATTCAAAATGGCTTTTGTAAATTATAGAAATTTAAATTTATGCAAAGTACAAAATGCAGTTAGTTATCTAGATTTTTTGTTCATTTGATTTAAAAGATCCAGATATTGAAATATTCTGATGATCAACTGTGAAATTAACACTTTGCATCTCTGTGCTTAGGCTCGTGAAACCCAGCTGTATCAACCAGTTCCAGCAAGGGCAAACAAATTATAGGTCATGTGTAGGAAAAAAAAAAAAAACACATGAAAAAGAAAGGTTGGATGATTGATACAGAACTAAGATTCCAGAGTAAGAGAAGTGAACCACTCAATGTTAGATTTAATGCCAACTTTTTTGAATAAGGTATGCCTTAAGAAGCAAAGTTCTCTACCACTAGCACTTTGGTATCAGTTATGATTCTGAAATCTTAATAATATATTTTCCTTTTCCTAATGAGAAACTACTGTTGTTTACCACTTTAAAGAAGGAATTAGTGTGAGTAATATATCGCCAATTTGAGCAGCAATTGAACAAGATGATATTTTGGATCTTTGTGGAATGAGAGTGAATTTCTTGACACTATTTATTACTTGAATTGCAAGTTAACAGGAGAAATGAAAAACCACGGCAGCCACATTTAAATCCTCAGGGTGGACTCATCAGCTAGTCCAGGGAGAAACATTTATCGGTAAAAAGGGTTTTACTAAAAATGTTTATTCCACCTCGCTTGTGGAAAATCTGTCATTATTGAAGCATTTGTGCTTAGAATATAGGGAATGTGATACCCAGGAACAGGAGAGTTCATTCTGTCTTTTCATATGTTTCAGATGTGTATAGACCCTTCCCTGTCAGTAGCGTTGGGTGATAAACCACCCCCGTTGTATCTCTGTGAAGAATGCAGCGAGAGGATTGCAGGGTAGGTATAAGAGTTCTTAAAGAAAAGGAAATAGGACAACAATAAGAAGATAAGAAAAATCATTTGGACTTAAATTAGTTACATTGCTAAAGTTTCTCTCTAGCCTCTCTGATTTTTAAAGGTTAATTATTCTGATACTTAACATATAGCAAACTTTCACTGGGAACATTACAGCTTTGAAAAGTTGCAATATTTCTCTTTATGTGACATGAGAAGAAGGCAATTCCATTTAATAAATCAGCTCCAATTTTGGAGTAACCCTGTTAAAAAGGCCACAGAGAAAAACAGATGTAAAAGAAAACTGTGGTTTCCAAACATGACATACAAATTATATGGGTTCTTTTTGCTTGTTTGTTTCACAGAATCACACTCAGCTTTGTACAGATCATGCAGTATTTTGGTTGGCTTAATTAGCATCTGGAAAGTATCATTTAAAGATAACTGAATATGATGAAGTGCCTATAATTTATAATTTAGCTGGAATGCATTAGACATTTTAAGAGTTTATTATGATAGTGCTCTTAATTATACTTCCTTTCTATTAAAAGCCTTTCAGCACTAGTGTGCAGCTTATAAACATTCATGTGGAAGGAGAACATTTCAATGAAGCTCAAAAATGAATTTTGTTTTTTTCAATAGGGACCACAGTGAGTGGCTGATTGATGTTCTTCTGCCACAAGGTATGGTTTACTTAGGAAAGGATGAATAATGAGTAATCATGACTAATGACATAGTTGCTTTATCTCCTTTTGTACTATTTTATTTTACAAAGACAGTCACCAAAGTATTGTATTGTATGAATATTCATTGATATGAAGCATAATATCAATGCCTTGCTTATAATGTACCCACACATTTAATAATGCGGGAAGTAGTATCATCCCTACCAAAATTAAGGGTAGATATTGGAATTAGGATTCCATACGACTAAAGCCCTGCCAAATTATGTCTTCAGGGATTTTCTGTATCTGTAACAGGTGTTGTCAGTGATAAGTTGCTGCACCAGGTCTTACTAAGGAGAAGAAAAAGAATAAGGAACACTAGCTGGGAGAGAAATGAATAATTGGCCTTTCCCCTGCTACTATTACTAGTACCATGTTGTGGGGGGGAAATCATTGAATGTCTCTGAGGCTCAGTTTCCTCATCAGTAAAATGGGGATAAAGTATATCTAACCCATCTCAATGGAAAGACAAGATTGCAATGCTTCTTGTAGTTTGTCAGAGTTGTCAAAGCTATGCCCTATAAGTTGGTAGGTCCCAGACAGAGCATTTCTCCACATATGGGAGAGGCAGCTATTCCAGCCATGTCATTGGAGGCTAAAATGACAAGGAAAAGTACTGACAAACACAGAGGAAAAATGAAAGGTGGAAAGAGCTGCAGGCATACTAAGTTTGAGTAGAGATCGGGGCACAGGAAGAACTCGATGGTATATGACTTCAGATGTAGAAAATAAATGGATTCCCATCCTAGCTAACATGGTGAAACCCCGTATAAAAAATTAGCCAGGCATGGTGGCACCTGCCTGTAATCCCAGCTACTCAGGAGGCTGAGGCAGGAGAATCACTTGTAAAATGGAGCAATAATATCAGCCTCTATATCCTTCAAAGGCACATTTTGAAAATTTACATAAAAATATCTGTAGGTCAGGTGCAATGGCTCATGCCTGTAATTCCAGTACTTTGGGAAGTGGAGGCGGGCTGATGGCTTGAGCCTAGGAGTTTGAGACCAACCTGGGCAACGTGGTGAAACTCTGTCTCTACTAAAAATACAAACAAACAAACAAAAAATTTAGGAGGGCAGGAGAGAAAAAACAATTTAGCCAGGCATGGTGGCACGTGCCTGTAGTCCCAGCTACTTGAGAGTCTGATGTGGGAGGATCATTTAAGCCCAGGAGGTTGAGGCTGCAGTGAGCCGTGATCATGCCACTGCACTCCAGCCTAGGCGACAGAGAAAGACCTTGTCTTAAAAAAAACAAAAACAGGCCGGGCGCGGTGGCTCACGCCTGTAATCCCAGCACTTTGGGAGGCCGAGGTGGGCGGATCACAAGGTCAGGAAATCAAGACCATCCTGGCTAACATGGTGAAACCCCGTCACTACTAAAAATACAAAAAATTAGCCGGGCGTGGCGGCGGGCACCTGTAGTCCCAGCTACTCGGGAGGCTGAGGCAGGAGAATGGCGTGAACCTTTGAGGCGGAGCTGGCAGTGAGCCGAGATCGCCCCACTGCACTCCAGCCTGGGCAACAGAGCGAGACTCCGTCTCAGAAAAAAAACAAAACAAACAAACCCCAAAACAACAACAACAAAAAACCTGTAAAAAGATTTGGGCTCATATGGGTAAATTTAACTTTTTTTCCTTTAAATTATGCTACTTAATTAGTGATCATCCAGTGCTCTGAGGTAAAAGCCATAGTCAAGTTATAAAATATAAGTTATAAAATCCTTTTTAAATATGTTGCTGAGTTCTGGTTGTCATCTCCAGTGATATTCATCTTTAGAGGAATATTGGCAATAACTTTTCATTACTTATACAGACATGTGACACTAACCTCAGATGATTTAAGATAAACTCTAGGATATCAAACTGTCAAGTAACCATTAATTATACAAAACCAGTTTTTAAACATGAGTTGTAAATTTTGTTGCTTTTTCATCCACTAGTTTAAGATTACCAGACAGGGTTTGGGAGACATTTACCTTTGATCTTTTAAATAAATTGTAACATAGACTATAAATAAGGTGTTAGTTCATTTTTTGAGTACATACTATTTCAGAGTACATATTAGCCAATTCTTGGAAAATTTATTTTCAAATGCTCTCCAGCATCAGTTTTCATGGAAATAATTGATGTGCCCACTGAAAAGAATTCTTATGCATTCATTATGTAGACAGTAATTTGACAGTCTTGCTCCAACTGGTCTACCCGTGGGTTTGAAAATTGCTTTCTCTTAAATAACCCTACAGCTGGTTTTACACACACACGTTAAGAGTGATATAAATTGATAATTTAAATCTAGGTAGTCCAAGTTAGTAATTTTGTCTACAGTTTTGATATTGCAAATAATCCGATGGTGATGCTGTAAATATATCACATTAACCCAGTGTCATAGTATAATGGGAAGAACAGTAAATGGGGAATTTGGAGACTTGAACTCAAGGTCTGCCCCTACCATTGATAGCTTGTGTGACCTTGAAGAATTTACCTAACCACAGTGGTTCTCAGTTTTGTCCTCTGTAAAATGGGGAAATAAGATTAAATTTGTTTGGCTTTAACAAGATTTGATTTCTAAGTCATGTCTGAAAAGATTAAATTATTTGTAAAAGTAGCAGTGTGCAGGTGTTTTTAACCTCACTAAACATACACTACTAGATGAAAAGAGATCTATTTCATGATTTCTGAGGAAACTAGAAGCCAATAAAAGTAGACGATAATTTATGAGCCAAGTGAAAATCTGTTTGGGCCAAGTCCAGAGGTCATATTACTAAGATTTAAAAGATTCCCCCTTCATGGCTGCCCTTATTTTAAATGGGCTCTAGACCTGGCATGGTGGCTTACACCTGTAATCCTAGCCTTTTGGAGGGAGGTCAAGGCAGGAGGGTTGCTTGTGGCCAGGAGTTGAAGAACAGCCTGAGAAACATAGTAAGACCCCATGTCTACAAAAAAAAAAAAAAAAAATTAGCTGGGCATGGAAGCCCACACCACTGCCTAGCTGCTTAGAAGGCGAGTCAGGAGGATCACTTGAGCCAAGGCGTTCAAGAGGCTGTGGTGGGCTATGATGGTGCCATTGCACTCCAGCCTGATTGACAGAGTGAGCCACTGTCTCAAAAAATAAATTAATTAATTAAATAAAAATTAGAGGGGCTCTCTTTCTTTGTTGATATTTTGTGTGCCTTCCCCTTACAGCTGAAATATCTGCTATATGTCAGAAAAAGGTAAGAGCAAACCATTTGTGTCGTTGGGGCATGATTTATTGTGTTTGTATGTAAATTCATTTATTGACATCTGCCTCATTTCTGCACCGTGGTTTCCAGTATATGCATGCCATTGTATTTGTGGAGGGGTAAAGGAAATAATTTAGCATGCAAGATTGCTACATCCAAATGGTCTCTATTTCCATTTCTGCTTTTGCTCACCCATCTTATGCACAATGCTTTTGTTCAGTAATTTGCAATAAAAGCCTATGTGTAATTCTGGGATAGGAGTCCAATTAGAAAAAGGTTTGAATTATACTGCAATTTATGGTACTTAACTTTAGTTAAGGATATATCTTGTATGCTAGAAATCTCAATTGTTTTGAAGTGGAGTGCAAATAGTCCAATTTGTATGTGTGAAAAACATACCCAGACTGACTGTATATGGAAAGTATTTATGTGTAAGTTGAACAATACATGTAGCTAAAGATTCTTCCTTTAATATTTCCTTTAGTTTTTTTTTAATAATAGTTTCTCTAAACCACCTCCATCTTCTCTTCTTGTTTTAATAATTGAAAAGAGTAAGAGGAGGCAGTATGATGTCATAAAAAAGAATTTTTGACTAGTTGGTTGAGATTCTTGGACTCTGGCCAGTTCTGTTCCCTCCTACCTATGTGGACCTTGCACACATCATTTAAACTTTTTGGGATGTTGATTGTGAGTAGGTATATTGGAGGGCTGTCTCAGTTATCTATGGATGCATAACAAACCATCTGAAAACATAGTGTCTCATATGGCAACCAATTATTTAATCACAATTCTGTGGATTGGCAATTTGTCCTATGCTCAGCTCAGCTAAGCAGTTCTTTTGATAAATTACTCTAGGCTCACTCATGTATTTGCAGTCAGTTGGTGGGTAAGCTGGAATTGGCTGGCCCCAGATGGTCTCACTCCCATATCTGGGGCTAAGCTGGGATGGCTGGAATGGTGAGATGGGTGGGGTGTCTGGGCCTCTCTTTCCACATGATGTCTCATCGTCCAGGGGCTAGGCTGGACTTGTTCACAGGTGGCAGTCTTCTGAGAGAGTGAGAGAGCCTCACTCACTCAAGGCCTCTCAGAAGTCACACAGCATCATTTCTGTAGCATTCAACAGGTCAAAGCAAGTTCCAAGGCCGGCCCAGATTCAAAGAGTGGAGAAATAGGATCTTTGTGGTTATTGAAGGATTGGCAAGAATTTTATGGTCACATTTAATCTACCACAATCTGTCCTTTGGACATAATTATTTACCTTCTTTCCATATGCAAAATATGCTCACCATTTTATATGACCTCCACAAGTCTTATTCATTTATGGCTTCAGGCTTAAAGTCTAGTATCTTGTGATCTGCATGTGATATGTCACTGATTAAACTTCTTGGTAACTGATTCTCTTGATTCAGAGTCCTGTGAACTAAGAAGGAAAGTTATCTTCCCTCTCTGCACCCAAGACACAATGTTGAGACAGGGACAGGATCATAGCAATAAGCTTCTGTTCAAAAAGAGGAAGGGAAAGCAGATAGCAGTCATTGGTCTATAGCAGCTCCAGCCATAAACACATCAACAGTTCCTCTGTCTCCAGGAATAGCATACATGCCTTGATTATGATCTGGTTTTGTTTCCTAGAAATAGTTCCCTAATCTGTTCTTGTCCTCCTGAGCTCTTGGCTCCACTCTCTGAGACATCTTTTCTTTTCAATAAGAAATGGTCCATGTTGCAGCTGAGTAACTTTCTCAATCTGCTTCGTGCATGTAGGAGTTAGGGTCCCATATATCTCTTTTCATTTAGAACTGCGTCTCTTTAGTTTTAGCTGGTGGTGCTTTTGCTAGTATGACTTTCTTAAAAACTTTGTGGATTTTTAGTGAATCTCATTGGGGTCCTGAGCCCCCAAAGCCACATCTATAATGATTTTTGAGGCAGTCCTTCCTATATTTTGGGCGTTTCAGTGTGCCCTTAAAATTATTAGAAGCCCTGTTATAGCTGAGAGCCTCAATTAGACATCGCCTTATAACTTTCTGAAGCCTTAACAAAGGATCTTAGAGTCATAGACCATATTCTTCCTTTGATCTTTATCCTGAGGCCATTCTTACTTTGAGAATCGTTTCTAAGCTTGTGGGACCAGGATTTCAAACAGTTCTATTTTCTAAATCAGCATGTTTTGGCTCTGGGGACATACGTAACATATTTGACACCCAGGGTAGATCATTTTTTAACACTTCCCTCTTTATATGACAAACTTATTTTTAGTAACAAGCTTCAAATTAGCACATTTTTATTGCTTATCCTTTAATAAACATTGTGTTTTACACAGACATTAATTTGGAGAATTTCCATTAAGTTCATAACAGTTCAGAATTGTATGAGCTTGCCCTGGGTAGTTTGTATTCTACCTCTTTGTACTGCATATTCCCTGAATGGTATATTTGAAATAAGCAATGATAGCATCGTGATTGGAAAGATGAAGAGACAGACCTTGATTATTTCAATTCTGTGATTTTGTGAGACCACTTGGAGTTATTTCTATGTGTTTAAAATTCAAAGCAGTGAAGCAAAGTGGTTGGAGTGAACATTTGAAAACATGTCCAGCTGAATCTCCATCTAAGGGAAGCCTCTCTAGTTTAGTTTGGAAATGAATGAGCTGAATCCACATGGGTTGAGGCCTTTCAAATATATTATCAAAACTTAGTAGGAATCCTAGCAATTATTTAGAACTTCGATCAACTGAAGATTATTTTTGGGGAAATGTATTTTATTGCTGACATTGTTTAGAATTGATGGCATGTGGTAATAAAGCAGGTTGACTTTTAGTCGGTATTCCAGATATTATCATATGCAGTGTATCCAGATACTCCATAAGAAATTGCTCAAAATTTACATCGTAAAACAGCAACATTTAGTTATGTTCATAGACTCTGTGGATCAGAGATTCGGACAGGGCATGATGGAGATAGCTTGTCTCTGTTTGATGATGTTTGGGGCTTCATCTGGGAAGACTTGAATGCTGAGGGTTTTAATTATCTAGAGGTTTCTAGATCATACGTTTGGGCTCTGGGATGGGGTGACTTGAAGACTAGGCTAAGCCAGCGCCATTGACTCAAGACTGAAACATGGTCTCTCCCTGTGGCTTGGCTGTCTCATGGCATCCTGGCAGAGATCTGGGAGGAGTATCTAATGAGGAAGTTTCTGAAGAGAGAACATCTCAAGGCAGCAAGTGGAAGCTGCGTGTCCTTTTATAAGCATCATTTCTGTCATGCTATATTGGTTGAAGCAGTTGCAAGCCCATCCAGATTCAAGGGGAGGGAAACTATCCTTGACTTCTTGATGGGAGGAGTGTGGAGAACCCGCCTCTGGTCACAGATTATTTACATTCTTTCCACTTGCAAAATCCTGACTGGAGGTCCAAGATCTTCTCATCAAAATCAAGTTCAGGTGTAGATGAGGCTTTTTGGGCTTGGCTCCTTAAGTATTCTTCCTTTTGCTTTGAATACTTGTGAATGAAAGAAATGTTATCTGCATCCTGCACAGCTAACATGCAATAGTGATACAGGGGTAGGATTACTGCAGTAGAGACTCATGTAAAAAGTGAGGAAATGAGAGGAAGGTAGTCATGTCCGAATCTCTGATCCACAGAGCCTATGAACATAATTAAATGTTGCTGTTTTATGCCGCTAAATTTTGAGTAATTTCTTATGGAGTATCTGGAGTCCTTAGAAATTCTGAAAGTCACAGGGCACATGTCACTTGTTCCTTAGTTAGGTGCGAGTCCTGCTTCCTGGGAGCTGGTCTCTTTGGCTCTAGGCCCCACCCTCTGGGAGATGCCCATCTTTTCCTTCTCATAAAAAGTAGCCTGTCATTTACAGCTAAGTAGTTTTATCAGCCTATTTTTTGCTTATAGAAGTTTGGAAATCCCAAAACATCTTCTTTTTTGGGCTGTCTCTGTCCCTTTCAATCTACAATGGTATAATTCCATTAAAAACATGGGCTCTTATGTCTCAATTTATAAACCTGCTTCATTAAACGTGAGTCAAATGCACAAACCTCTTTGGGATAAGTCCTTCTACACCTTATGCTCTCTATGAGGCTCCTGGGAATGATGACTTACGATTCTTAGAACCCTTATTGTTGAATGAAGTGGATGCTGAGGTATGCCCTTAAGATCCTTAGAAGGCACCCCCCACCCACCCCCGGCTTTTTTTTTTTTTTTTTTTTGTCTATCTAAAAGAGTCAATGGTGTACCATATTAAATTCTGAGTTCTTAACAAAGGGTTTTATATTCGAGCCCTTGCTATCATTTTTTTCCTACTGAGACCACATTTTCCTGATAGGGCCCTGGATTTGATGTTTGCCTTGAAACTTTTTCTTACCTTGAGAATCCTATGCTGGCTGGAAGGACTGTCCTGAGCTCAATATTTTCCCTTTAAATTCTAGGTGAAGACAGATTAATTCATTATTTTATCTCCCTCCTCTCACAAGCTCTGAGTTCATAAAGCCTTAGAGTCTAACGCCCCCTTGGGGGTGTTCACATCTTCACAAGCACTATTGAAAGAGACATTGACTATGTGGTGGTCGCATCTCTCATAGGCTTGGGGCACGTCTCCAATAGCTTCATGTGGGTGCTGCCTCACTCCTCTGCCTCCCGCCAGGGCAGCTTGAACAGTACCACCCCTGAACTTGGAAATGTCTTACGCTCCACCACTTTTCTCGTTCCCATCACTTCATTTGCGGTTCCCTTCCTGCGGTTGATGTCAATGCTGACTCTACGAAGGGTTCTGGCTGTGTATGTCCCTGTGGTCTTCACAGAGTGCCGGTGGGCATGGGAAGGCCTGGCTTGAGGCCATCACTTTGGCACAGCACAGTCTCTGTCTTTGAATGCAGCATCTACCTGTCCTTGAATGCGACAAGGACAGAGGAGCTGTAGCGGAAATCTACTCTTTCAGGTGGATAAAATAATTTTGAAAGAGTTTATTCCGGGAGTTAACATCATTTCTTTTCTTCCCTGATGTGCTGTGATGTTGCACTCTCTGATCCATGGTTCTGTTTTTTTCTTTATATTTCTGCTGAAAAACTCTTGGAATGTTAACTTGAAATAATCCAGAAAGTGTCCTCCTCCTCGCTCCCCCCATGGCTGAGGTAACTTTACACAGGGCTTCCCAACACAATGCCACTGATATTTAGAGCATTTCTACTACTCACAGGAATAGAAAACACTCCTCGCCTTTATTTTTTAACTATGACTGAAATCTAGGTAGTGGGAGAATAACCTGCGCTTTGGAAACTAGTGGCCCTTGAATGTGTTGTCACTTCGAGTGGCCCCTTAAGTTTTCATTTATTCTGATTCTTAGCCAAGTTTACCTCGGTGGTCAATTTTAATTGATTTCACTTTCTTGGCTTCTAGAACTGCAGTTCCCACGTTAGAAGAGCAGTTGTCACCTGCTTCTCAGCAGGGTGCTGTGGTCGTCACGGAAACAGGCCTGTTCGGTACTGCAAGAGGTGCCACTCAAATCATCACAGTAATGAAGTGGGGGCCGCTGCGGAGACTCACCTCTATCAGACCTCTCCTCCGCCCATCAACACGCGGGAATGCGGCGCTGAGGAGCTGGTCTGCGCCGTGGAAGCCGTGATCAGGTAACACGCAGTTTCTTAGTAGCTGCCTCTGACAACTCCACCTTGCTTTGAGCTAAGCTCCGCACACTGAGATGTGCATATTTAATGCAACCTCAAATGCCCTTAGCCCAGATGCTCACCTTCCCACAGTGTTGTAATGATGCTATTTTAATTCATGAATTCAATGAATATTTTTACGGATGCCAGTTATGTGCCACGCACTATGCTGGGCACATGGGAGGCAGGAGGGAATAAAATATAGTCTCTGCCCTTAAGTTACCCATGTAGGGACTAGAAAAACATAAGCACGTCATTGTGGTACGGTTTGGTGAGCTCAGTAATAGCATTGAGGAAAGGGCGTTAGGGGAACTAGGTGAAGGGGCCAATCAGAGTGAAGCGTGTGAATAGGCCTGGCTTGACTGACAGCAGCATTAACCAGTCAGGAGGCGGGGAAGGCAACAAGGGCGAATTACCTGCATAGGAAACAGGTGCGGGACAACTCCAAGTAATTCCATGCTGGGATAAACCACGACCCTGTGTAGTCAGACAGGGACAGCAGGGACAGGTCCTGCAGGCTACTGGGTTTTTCTTCTTCTATCACATGACCAAAAAAAAAAAAAAAAAAGCAATTGAAATAACTTCTACCCTTCCTCTCTTTTTGTCTGATACTCATAGAGGCAAGATTTTTTGTTTGCTTGTTTTTGTTTTATTTTGTTTTGTTTTGAGACAGAGTCTTGCTCTGTCGCCCAGGCTGGAGTGCAGTGGTACAATCTCGGCTCACTGCAACCTACGCCTCCTGGGTTCAAGCGATTCTCCTGCCTCAGCCTCCTGAGTAGCTGGGATTACAGGTGCGCACCCCCACGCCCGGCTAATTTTTGTATTTTTAGTAGAGACGGGGTTTCACCATGCTGGCCAGGCTGGTCTTGAACTCCTGACCTCAGATGATCCACCCGCCTGGGCCTCCCAAAGTGCTGGGATTACAGGCGTGAGCCACCGTGCCTGGCTCCAGGCAAGATTTTTTTTTTTAATTAAATAAATAATATGGCCGGGCGCAGTGGCTCGCGCCTGTAATCCCAGCACTTTGAGAGACCGAGGCGGGTGGATCACGGGGTCAGGATTTCGAGACCAGCCTGACCAACATGGTGAAACCCCGTCTCTATTAAAAATACAAAAATTAGCTGGGCGTGTTGGCGCCTGCCTGTAATCCCAGCTACTCAGGAGGCTGAGGCAGGATAATCGCTTGAACCTGGGAGGCGGAGGTTGCAGTGAGCTGAGATTGCGCCACTGCACTCCAGCCTGGGAGACAGAGCAAGACTCCGTCTCAAAAAAATAAATTAAAAAAATAATAATAATATTAGAATCTAAGTGTTAAAGGATAGAGGCCAAGTCTTTTCTGTTTCTCTTATCCCAGTGGCTGACACGTAGTAGAAATACAATTAATGTTTGTCAAATCGAATATTATGGAAAGTTTGAAAAGAAATAAAAACACTCAGCCATACTGATGATGATGTTATCACCATCATCATCAGTGTTGCTTATGTTCTAATTTTATTTAAATGTATGTTTCATTTCTATAACTGTAATCAGTGTATCCACAATTCTTTTTGAAATAACATTACACTATTAGCTCTTCTCCACGTCGTTGCATGGTTTCCATATTTATCATTTGTAGTGGATATAATATTAATCTAGCTATAACTTACTTTTCTCTATCGTTACATATTTAGACTGCTTCCAGTTTTTTACTTTTATAAGTAACGCTTTGAGAAATATTTTTGTACATAGTGCTGTACCTATATTTTTTATTTTCTTAGGGTAGATGACCAGATATCAAATACCTTGGTTCAAAGGGTATGAATATTTACATGGCTCTTAATACATTACCAAGTTGCTTTTCAAAGCATGTGTATAGATTTACAATGCCAACACCATGTATAAAACTTACCAATACTGAGTGTTGCTTTTTAAAATTGGAACTTGTTTAGCAAACGGAAAAAAGAATTTTCACTGTTTCACTTTCGTGTCTTTGAATATCAGATGGTGAATATTTTTCCATTTGGGCACAAGCTCCTCAACCTTTCCTTGTATCATGCATTTGCTGTCTGCACAGTTTCATGATAGATATAGAGGAAGCATTGACTTATAGTGGGATGGTTGGTGAACCAGAAGTCAGAAAGGATCAGTTCTGCTTGATGCTAATTGATTGGAGGAACTAGCCTCTTTGTGCCTCAGTTTGTTCATCTTTGAAATGGGAATGGAGTATAAAATAGTAAGAAAATAGAATGAGGCATCCTGGAGTAACTCAGGATGCACAGTACTCAGTAACTCAGTAACACAGTACTCAATTTAAAGAAGAGCAATCCAGGATGCTTGAGTACTCGTGAGGTACTTCCTCTGAATGGGTCATGATCTAGAATGTGTTTTTTCACAGTCTAACTTGAAATCACACTGCTCTTTGGCAGCTTGTTGAAAGAAGCCGAGTTCCATGCTGAGCAGCGAGAACATGAGCTGAACCGGCGGCGGCAGCTGGGCCTCTCCTCTTCCCACCATTCCCTGGATAATGCTGACTTTGATAACAAGGACGATGATAAACACGATCAGAGGCTGCTCAGTCAATTCGGAATATGGTTCTTAGTAAGAAAAAGAAGTTAACTATTCTCCACTTTCTTATTTCTCATTTCAAAATTGTACTGAAGAGGAATTTCTCCTGTTCTTTTAAAAGGAGTAAATAGTGAAAAATTAACCTTAGCAATGGGGCTGAAGCTATGGCAATAGCTGTCAATCCTGAGCTGCATGTTAGATTTAGCTAGGAAAGCTTTTAAAAACTAACAATGCCCAGATCGCATTCCAGAATCTTGGGAATTTTTTAAAAAGCTCTTGGCCATTGATTTTGATGAAGAGCCAGGTGTTAAACCTACAGTATCAGGATCTAGACTGGTACAAGTCGGGAAGTTGCTAGTATATATTGTCAAGTACTGGATTCAATAACATATACAGATAATTCACATCCCATCACCTATGTAGATGAAATTTTTCTTGAAAGTTCAGTCTCTGTGGAGCTTTTTGTGTGTTTATGATATGTCTATGTACACCAGAGACGTTATAGCCAAAGTAATGCAAGGAATATGATTGCTATTGACTGATTTAATTTCAACATCTATTCAGTAGAGATCAAACATACAGATCTAACGTCCCAAGCAAGCTGAATTTACCAATGCGGCAGAGAAGCAGGCTTTTGTTTTGCTCATTGGAGACATTAATTCAGTCTCCATAGTGATATATCTCTATTGTGCTTGCATATAGTTCCGTGAAAGAGTCTTTACCAAATTGGCATTTAATTGTTGATTTCACATATCTTGCTTCCTAGAAGTTAGTATTTAATGACACAATGGCTACTGCTGTGAACTCTTTGAAGGCAAGGACAATGTTTTATTTATTTTTTTTATTCCTGGACCCTGCCATAGTACTCAATAGAAGATTAGTTCATAGTAAATGAATGAATGATGTTTTAAAAAGTCTATTTATGGGCCGGGAGCGGTGGCTCACGCCTGTAATCCCAGCACTTTGGGAGGCCAAGACGGGCAGATCACGAGGTCGGGAGATCGAGACCATCCTGGCTAACACAGTGAAACCCTGTCTCGACTAAAAATACAAAATATTAGCTGGGTGTGGTGGCAAGCGCCTGTAGTCCCAGCTACTCGGGAGGCTGAGGCAGGAGAATGGCGTGAACCCGGGAGGCGGAGCTTGCAGTGAGCCGAGATCGCGCCACTGCACTCCAGCCTGGGCAACAGAGGGAGACTCCATCTCAAAAAAAAAAAAAAAAAAAAAAAAGTCTATTTATGATAGTGAATTGGGGGGACTCCAAGGTATCTGAATTATTACTAATACACAATTCTTAGCAAAATATGATCATTTTAGAACTGAAATGTATATACATTATTTTCATTGAGGATATTGATGAAATATCATTTTGTTGACCTAACTTTTTAGAAGCATTTATCTGGTGCAGATTATATAATAGATTCCTTGTAGGAGAAAATGCTTAATTGGAAGGTGAAATCTTGAGGGAAAATTGTTGTTGCAATCCATCTATCCCTGTAGAAAGGAACACAGTTTCTGGATAAGCGATCCCCATTTTTAAAACTGCCTATTTCAAACAGATTATCTGGGATATCTTTTTATTTTTATTTTTTGCCTCTTAATGCACCTATAATAATTTTGTAAAGATGGATGGAAGCCGAACAAGGTTCTAATCTACCTACTTCTAGGTGAGCCTCTGCACACCCAGTGAGAACACGCCTACAGAAAGCTTGGCCCGGCTGGTGGCCATGGTGTTTCAGTGGTTTCACTCCACTGCGTATATGATGGATGATGAAGTGGGAAGTCTGGTGGAAAAGCTGAAGCCTCAGTTTGTCACCAAATGGCTGAAGACCGTATGTGATGTTCGCTTCGATGTCATGGTCATGTGCCTTCTTCCTAAACCCATGGAATTTGCCAGGGTAAGTGGAGGCCTACAGCTCACACCTTGTTAGAGAGGAGGACTTGGGGAGAAGTGCTGCCTTAGCCATGTGGGTATTATCAGTGTCTGCAGAGGAGGAACATCTCTCCTTATTTTAATTAATATAGCTAAATGAATTTAGTAACTGTATCTTGGATGATGTGCTGCTTTGATGTTGATTTGGGATGAGGAAGAATGGCAAGATGCATTTGTGAGGTATCTTTAAGAATTTAAGGGACCATTCTTTCTCGACATTGCTGATTTTTTTTTTTTTTGAAATGGGATCTTGCTATGTCGCCCAGGCTGGCCGCCTTGAACTCCTGGGCTCAAGTGATCCTCCTGCCTCAGCCTCTGGAGTAGCCGGGAAGCTAAATATTTTTATTAAGAAACAACAACAAAAAAGCCTTTCTATGAGGTTACTAGAGCTCAGTCCCCTTTTGGCTTAGAATCTTTGGAAAGATTACCATTCAAATAGGGGAAATGTCTTTTTTTCTTTTTTTAATCATGTATATATATATATACAGGTTAATGGTAGAAGTCCCTGCCCTGCCATTTGAAATGCCAAAAAGGTTCAGGGTCAGACAAAATGCACCTATTCCTCTCACTTAAGAACAGATTTCTCTGTGCTGATCCTCTTGCTTCTGCCTCAGTGGATCACATCTGAGAAGAACCCATGTTTCTTTTTTCCTTTTTTTTTTTTTTGAGACAGGGTCTCACTTTGTCACCCAGGATGGACCGCAGTGGTGTAGTCATACTCACAGCAGCTTTGAACTCCTGGGCTCAAGAGATCCTCCCACCTCAGAGACTACAGGCATGCATCACCACATCCATCTAATTAAAAAAATTTTTTTGGTAGAGATGGGGTCTCTCTATGTTGCTCAGGCTGGTCTCAGACTCTTGGCCTCCAGCGATCTTTCTGCCTCAGCCTCCCAAAGTGCTGGGATTATACAGGCATGAGCTGCTGTGAGCAGCCCATATTTTTTGAATATGATGTAATTTGCATCTAACCCAGAAAGGTGGATGTCCAGAATCAGGTTTTGGCAGTAATATGTGAAATTTTTTTTCCAAGTGTTTTCTAAGTGTTATTTTTATTTGTGATTTTTTATTTCCTTTCAAAGAGATCTTGAGGCAGTTTTCAGTAGAAACCTGTGCTAAAGTAGGACATTTAAGGATAAAACAGCACAGACCATCTATAGGGGTAACTTTTATTGGATTTTCAGGACTCAGAGTGATCTGTGCATTTATGGAGATGTACTTCTTTCTTCTTTGGTGCCACCTACTGACTCACTTAGAAAATTGAATTTTTGCCTAAAGGAAATTTCCCATTTTCTGACATTCTTTGCCTGTGTTGATATATTTTCTATTATTATGTCTATTGGAATAGTGAAGGATTGATGTGACATGCTTCTGGAAAATGAGAAGAAATGATTATGTTGGGAGAAAAACTTTTCTTATTCCAACTTAGGTGCAGATGTTTTGGGGCCTGCAAATTAACTGATAACAGTTTAACTGGAGAGAAGACAAAGTTTATTTATGAGTACATGTGGGAGATCTCAAGGATAAATTACTTCCTGAATAGCCAGAAATAAAAGATTTATATATCAAACTTAACAAAAGGTTTACTTAAGGGCTTCAGTGAGAAGGTATGGAAGGTTCCATTGGGTTTTTTAATGCCATGGGAGCTGGGCAGGAACTGGGCTATCTCCACAGCAGCTGAATCCACAGGAAACTCCCTTTCGGGGGGGTTAACAGAAGGGTTTTCTCTGGAGACTCTGCTAGAGTCACATAACGGAAGTTCGGCTAAGATTTCTTTTTGCATCTTCTTTAGCTTAAATGTTTTCACTTTAAAATACTCTTTATACCAACTGTAGGGTTTTGGTGGATAACATTTCCCTCATCTGAAACTTCCCTTGAAGTTTCAACATACATGAAAGAAGCTAGGTTGATTTCTATAGAGGGAAGATTTAGGCTAGAAATTGTGAGGTAAGAGATCTGCAGAGGAGAACAAGAGCATAGAATGAGGAACCAGAAAAGCACAGATTAATGGTTGGGATAGATTATAAATCTAGGTTTTGAGTACGGAGGGCAGACAGTTGAGAAGATGTCTAGATGTTGGTCTTGAAGCATGTTTAGACGGTGGAGTGAGAACATCGGTGTCACAGTTATGGTTATTTTCCAGAGCAGAGCAGAGAAGAGGTGAGTGTTTGGTGAACTTCCTGAGTGGACCAAACTGTTGTAGCAATAAGTCCTTTGAATTTTATATCATATTGTCCCACTTCAGCTTTTAGGGCTTTGTAACAAGATAACCCAGAGTCTTAATAATGATCTAGGAAGTTAGGTTTTAGTTCTCAGTGGTGCCATGTCAGGTGGGTAGGAGAAAAGTTAGAAGTGTTAATTACTGGCAAAATGGGCAAGACAGAAGGATCTAGTTTACAAAGAGGTGAAAACTATCTCAAAGGTGATGAACAGGACTAGAATCTGATCACTCACAAGGGTGGGTTATAGTTTTTCATCAAAACATAAAATTTCTCTTTACAATCACCTGCATTTTGACCAAAAATAATCAAAGTAAGATTACTTTTGGTTACAAAATTAGTCTCTTTAAATTTGGTCTGATCATTTGCACAAGCACAGCAAGAATGGTAATTGACCACTTAGGGCTTTTTAAAGTTTGCATTGCCAGAACTCTTAAAAGGAATCTCAGATTGGACTTTTAGAGGTTTCTTGATGCTAGAAGTCAGGCCAAGAACTTGTCACCAGATTTCATCTGTAATACTTATAGATTTGGGTGAATTCCTTTCTCCTTGAGGTCTCCCAAATATTCTAAGTTTCCTAGGAAGTGACCTTTTTTACTCATCTGTAAGGCTGAGAATTCTGTAATGCAGGTATCGAATCTGTTTTTCCAAGAGGGCTTTGAAAACCCTGGCTCCATAAAGTCAATCTTAGTTCCTTAAAACTGTTTAGTCATATCAGATTCCATGCAATTCACAAATATGACATTCTGCAAAGACTTAGTAATATAACTGTAACTGCCTGATGGGTTCTTCCTGCCTGCTGCACAAACAACATCGATTCACGGAATTGAGTATAGAAAGAGTTTAATTGACATGAGGCCAGCCGTGCCACACGAGAGACTGAGTTATTGCTCAAATCAGTCTCATCAAAGGCTTGTAGGTTAGGGGTTTCTCAAAGTCAATTTGGAGGAAGGAGTAGGGGTGGCTAGGCAGTGGATGTTTGCTGCTGCTGATGGTTGGGTTGGAGATGAAATCATAGGGAGTTGAAGCTGTCCTCTTATGCTGAGTTGATTATGGGTGCGGACACAGGAGGACATGGCTCCAGGTGGAGCCATGGGTGTCAGACATGCAAAAAAACATGAAAAGCTATCTCAAAAGGCCAATCTTAGGTTCTATCATAGTGATGTTATCCGCAGGAATAATTGGAGAAGCTGCATATCTTGTGACCTCTGGAATAACAGCTGGCAACCATTTATGTCTACACCTTAGCTGAATTCAGGCTCCTTTCCTCCTCATAGCCTTGTGGTCTCTTTAGAAAGGCATTTGAATTTTGGAGAAGGGCTACTATCATTTAAACTATAAGCTAAATATCTCCCAAAGCTAGTTTGGCAGTTTAAATGCTAAAGGCAAGAGGGGGGTTGGCTAGATCCGATCTCCTCCACTGTCATTATTTTCTCACTGTCATAATTTTTGCAAAGGTGGTTTCATAACCAAGTTTCCCAATTATGTCCTGTTAAAAGCAGAACAGATTGTTATTCAACTTATGCAAATAGCTATAATGCTATGAAAATAGGAATATTCAATAAGAGCTTCTGAATTCTGGAGGAATCAAGTAGAGAGAAAAAAGATATATTTCATGTTTGTTTACAAAGGTATAAATCTACCAAATTATTGTGAGTTATAGATAGCTTAGGAGAAAAGAGAAAGGGGTTCCTTGTATCTGAAAAACAGAACATTGATTGAAAAACTAGCAATGTTCTAAACAAAAAACGATACAAATTATAATCATTTATCATTCAGTCCTATGTAATTCAGTCTTGTTCTGCTTGATTGAGTTAGCAGTTAATGAACCCATTAGCTGCTCCACTAGAGTTCTGGCAATCCTTACTCATTCCAGTGGTATGATCTCAATTATTTAAGCAATGCCACCAGAAGCCTGTACCCCAGGGTACCTGTCATAGTCCTTTCCATGGATCTCAGAGACAATCTGTTTATGTTGAAAATAAGCATTTTTGCTAGTAGCTGATTGCAAGAGTTTTCAGAGAAACATCAGATAACAATTACTATCTGAATGACAAAAGGCTTAAAATAGTCATAGTTAAAGATCTGCTGAAAGTTCACTGTGACACAGTTGACAAGGCAGTTTTGTTGTTTCTGTAGCATGAAACATTAAAATAATAACAAAATGATAACTGATAATATTTTGTCATTGTTGTCTACCATCAGACAAAGAAGCATAAAGATGTATCATGCCAGCAAGGGCATTGACAAATTTCTAGGAACTTTATATAATTCCCGAAATATTTGTATTCATAACATTTACCTATACAAATGTAACCTAAGGACAGTTAAACATCTCTTTTTATTTGACAACGCTTTCCATAGACTTCAACTTATCAAATAAACCTAATTAGTTTAATGTATCTTTTTATAGGTAAGAACAAATCCTTTGAGATTTTCAAGCGTCCCTCTGGGAAATTTCAGGTCAGTTCAAGACCAGGATTTTATTTAGGATTTGGCTTTGGAAAGGCAAAATATCAAAAGTTATCAGAAATGTCAAAAGATTTGAGTACTTGATTAACCAACATTACAGGTCACTGTGAAACAATTCTTAGTTATTTATTTAACCTATATGACACTAAGAGATTTCAAAAGTAAATATAGGGAGCAACACAATTGTAAGAAACAAAAAGAGAAACAAAACTTAGCTCTTTTAATATTTAGAAGACTTGGTTCTCTTAAATAGTCTAGGACATGATAAAGACAAAAAGCACAGGAAGGCCAGGAGTAGTGGCTCATGCCTGTAATCCCAGCACTTTGGGAGACCGAGGTTGGAGAATCACTTGAGCCCAAGAGTTTGAGATCAGCCTGGGCAACCTAGGGAGACCTTGTCTCTACAAAAAATAAAAAAAAAATTATCCTGGCATGTTGGCTCGCACCTGTAGTCCCAGATACTTGGGAGGCTGAGGTGAGAGGATCACTGGGAGGTTGAGACTGCAGTGAGCCATGATCACGCACTTGCACTCCAGCCTGGGTGACAGAGTGAGACCCTGTCTCAAAAAAACAAACAACAAAAAATCAAAAACAAAAACAAAAACAAAAAAAACACAGGAAATTATTCTGATAAGACACAGAGTCTTTGTTTCTGTCTTAGTTTCTTCAGTTTGTTTGGGCTGCAAAAAAATACCATAGACTGGGTAGCTTATAAACAACAAATTTCTCACAGTTGTGGAGGCTGGAAAGTCCCAGATCAAGGCAGATTTAGTGTCTGGTGAGGGCCTACGTTCTGGTTCATAGATAGTGCTTTCTGGCAGTGTCCTTATGTGGTGGAAGGGGCAAGGTAGCTCTCTGAGGTCCCTTTTACAAGGGCGTTCATTCATAAAGGCTCTGTTCTCATGATCTAGTCACCTCCCAATAGGCCCCACCTTCTAACATCATCACATTGGTGATTAGGTTTCACCCTAAGAACTTTGCGGGGACACAAATATTCAGACTGTGGTAGTTTCCTAGGCAGATTTTTCAAAAGGTAAAGAAAAACCTTTTACAACCTCTTATTAAGAACAGAAATAAGATAATCTAAAAAATGTTGTTTTTTTAAGAGAGAGAAAATGAAACTCTGGTTTTGCATCAGTACACTGTTAATATTAAAGCTCATTTAAAAACCTCACAGTAAATCTACTCAATCTTAGCCAACATGACCACACAAGATAAAATTCTCTTTCTCTGTCTTCCCCATACTTCCCTTTCAGGTTTTGGTCCTTTCCTCTTCCTCATTCAGGAATAATGAGTAAACAGCTCCTTTAGGAAAGAATTGCTCTTTTTCCTGTAACAAAACCACATTCTACATTACTTGAATACTTTGCACACAGAGGTTTTTCCTTCATCCTGATTATGTCTAGTAGTTCAATTTACATATGATTGATTATAATTTTCAACTCTTATTATCCTTTATTTTCCAGAGAAAACTATTAGACAACTGTGAATTGCCTATTGTATATCAGCATTTTTTGGCATTTTAGCAAATTTTGTGAATATACAATCTCACAATTTCTAGATGCAAATTCTTCTTAGTATGATTCCCCAATGTGGCAAAAAGAACATCCTTTTTAACAAACCCAAATGTCTTTAGCATTTGTAAAAAATAAGAAGCTAAAAGCAGATAAACTTATGATCAGCAATTAATGTGTTAATATTTTATCCTACTTAGAAGTGATCTAGATTTTCAGTGAATACCTGCCATTTAATTTAACTTAGTATACCGTTAAGGTTTCAAGTTACCAAAAAGATTCTGAAAACTACATCTAAGCAGAAACATTATAAAACACAATTACTGTTGCTATAAACTTTGTCAGAATAATGATTCTGTTTAATTAAAATCAAATCTGTATATTCTATAATTTTAAACATTGGTAAATATATTAGTTTATTTGAGTAGTAAGCCCAGGTAGAAGCAAAACGTGTGCTCAGCATGGTACTCAATGCTGATAACTCTGAAAACACAGCTGTTTTTATTAAACCAACAATATTATACTTGTCTCATTTACAGATTTACTGAAATCACGTACACCTGAAAGCATTTGGGTTAGTTCCTATATTTCTGAGAGTTTTAGGAATATTTAATTTATATATGTTAAAATAAAAACCTTAGACAAATTATATTTAACAGAGATTAATTGAGCAAAGAACAACTCACAAGTCAGGCAGCCTCTGAACCAGAATAGATTCAGAAAGGCTCCAGCATAGCCATGTGGTGGAAAAAAAAGACAGGAAAAGAAATGTACAGGAAATGGAAATGAGGTACAGAAACAGCCAGATTGGTTACATCCTGATGTTTGCCTTATTAACAGTTGGCTGCCTTTGATTGGCCAAAAGTCAGTGATTGGCACAAGAGTAGGTTACAATCTGTTTATACATGCAGCTAGGTTACAGTTCACTATGTATATGTAGAAACTGTTGGGCCAAACTTAGAATATGTAAGAAGACAGCTTTAGGCTAGACTTAATTTAACATGTAAGTGTATATGTTTTGCAACTGTCAATCTGAATTAATCAAAAGGATCAGAAACCAGTTTTAAAGCATGTATTTAAGCAAAAAGCTGGAAATGGCCATTCAGCAAACATGGACTTCAGAGAAACGGGGTCAGTGCTCTGCAGTTAAAAGTGAAGGCCTTGCTTATATAGGCAGAAAACAAAGAAATTTAGCAGGATTATAACATTTTCTACACAAGGTTGGTTTATAAATTGCAACAATTTAGTTAGTTACAGTTTGTTTTCATTTCCATACAGCTAGTTTTCGTTGCCTTTCCAATTTAAAAGAGTATGTTTAACATTTCATCCTAGACAATATGATAGTCATGAAGTCTCTGTGAGAGAGGAAAGAGGGAAGTTCTAGCCTGGCCAACATGGTGAAACCTCGTCTCTACTAAAAATACAAAAATTAGCTGGGCATGGTGGCATGTGCCTGTAATCTCAGCTACTTGGGAGGCTGAGGCAGGAGAATTGCTTGAACTCGGGAGGCGGAGGTTGCAGTGAGCCAAGATCGCGGCTCTGCACTCCAGCCTGGGAGACAGAGCAAGACTCCGTATCAAAAAAAAAAAAAAAAAAAAAAAAAAAGAGGAAGGAGTCTTCCCTGGCTCAATTTAGTCATTTACTACATTTTACAAAATAATGTAAGTAAGAAAAAAGGCTAATCTGTAATTAGAAAAACAAGGTTACAGTTGCCTAGGTTGCAGCTGCCTGTTTACATGACTCAGGTCCCATAATCACATTCCCTTAAATATAAAGTTCCAACAGCTTCAATTTTGAGTTACTTGTTTCACAAAACCCATTTAGAATAGAGGTCTCTCAAGGAATTTTATAAAGCAATTTGGCAATATTTTCTGGAGATAAGAAGATACCACATACACATAATGTATATACATATGTTACAGACCACAGGCTCCTTGGCTCTCCATGTAATGGAAATTAATATGGGGCCAAGAGGACTTCCTAGATAAGGCTTTATTTTCAGGACTTGTTCTCAAGTGCAAGGCAGACAGTGGAGGCACAAGAATCCCCGAGCTGGTTCCCCAAAAAGAGCTGGTAGGATTTATTTTTTATTTTATTATTTATTTATTTATTTATTTTATTTTTTTAAATCGAGACGGAGTCTCGCTCTGTAGCCCAGGCTGGAGTGCAGTGGCGCAATCTCGGCTCACTGCAAGCTCCGCCTCCCGGGTTCATGCCATTCTCCTGCCTCAACCTCCCGAGTAGCTGGGACTACAGGCGCCCGTCACTAAGCCCGGCTAATCTTCTGTATTTTTAGTAGAGACGGGGTTTCACCGTGTTAGCCAGGATGGTCTCAATCTCCTGACCTCATGATCTGCCCGCCTCGGCCTCCCAAAGTGCTGGGATTACAGGCGTAAGCCACCGTGCCCGGCCAGGATTTATTTTTTTAAGGCAAAGCATGGGAATTGACATCGGCGGTAGAGTATACAGGCTGGGTTGGGCAGTGCATGTTAGAGGTAGGGTATGCAGGTCAGCAAAGCTGGTTGTGATGGTTGTCTTGAGTTATGGGTCACCTGCTGGTCTGGCCAGTGGCAACAAGGCTGTAAATCAGTTGTTCAGCATTCCTTCCCGAGATGGGAGACTCAGGAACCTTAGTTTAATTTTGGATCTCCTAAGGCCAGTGTCTGGAATTGTTTAAGTAAGAGGCATGGTTAAACATATAAAAGCACAGAAGAACAATACAGAATGGCTGTTTTCTTTGTATGACTATTAATGGATACGCATTGGTGAGGTAGTGGTGTGGGTTTTGAGATCAGTGGGAATGTATGAAAGAATGCTCTAGTGGGTGTGAGCTGAAGCCAAGCCCCACCCTTACTGTCTCATTCCCCTCTGAGATATTTCACTCTCTTTATTCTTAAGGAAAAAGGGCTGAAGATCTCATCTTCTGAAGCTATACTGAACAGCTATGCTGAACAGGGTTGTTGTCCCTGTCTAACCTCAGAGGAACATAGAAATCTCTCACTGACTGTTCTAGAGACCTGTAGGGACTAGAATCCTTCTGGGATGGTATGGGTTGGAATCCTTGGGCCATCATTAGCTTGACTTAGAACTGTTGAAGCCTGGAAGGCATAAACTTTAACCATCTGTACGCCTGTTGAATATAACAAATAATTATTTTAAAAATCAAATAGCACCCAGTGATAATTAATAAAATGCCTAAGTCCAGTTTAATAATGCTATGAGAAGAAATCAGCTGCCATTTGGAATTTAAGTGAATAGGCTGGAGAATGAGTCTCCTGGTGTGTGAAATATAAGGCAAACATACTTTTAATAAGAGACATTTCTATGGAAACAAAAGAAAAACAACTGTTAATGGTGGGCATAATCTACCCAGTTATTAGGCTCAAAGCATCTTTAGTTATGGAGGAGGGTGGTGGCAATTTTTCATGTTTTTTTGCTTGTATTATAAAGAATAAGCCTTAGTTTGCAGGGCCTTAGGAAAAAGGTAGTAGCAATTTCATTAAGTCAGAAAAGTGGAAGAAAATTTTTAAAATGTTAGTTTGGAGACTTGCAGCTCAGAAAATAATATTAAAAAGCTCAAAAACAACAGATAAGACTAGAACCTACAACAGGTATATTATACTCTTTTTCTCTCCAGTCTCTCATTTTTATCAAAGACAAATTATTGTAGGATTGATGTGTTTGCAAATTAAACTTTAGTTTCATTATACTTGTTTTGATTATTTGCGTGAAGTGCAGCAAGAATAATTATTTGCCATATAAACTTTTTTTTTTAATTGGCTTTGCTGGAACTTTGTTTTGTAAGGATTCTCAGATTAGACTTTTTAAAGCTGTGAGCCTAGCTATGGATTCATCTGTGCCTGCAAACACTTGTATGAATTGGGTGAATTCCTCCCCTCTTGAAGTCCAAAGATAACTTGGGGCTCCTGGACCTGTTAGAAAGTGACAGTCTTTACTTACCATAGGTCAGGAACCCTGTACAAGGACTGCATAGACAGGATATGAGGGCAGTTTTTCCAATGGGGTTTTATCGGCTTTAGAAGTCAACCTCAATTTTTAGAAAAGCAGTATGAAAGCATGTCATTCTCATAAAGCCTTGATAAAATAACCAGTTTCCCCAGTTGTGTCCTGTTACAAAAGAAAACAGATTCTTATTGCATGTATGCAAACAACTATATTGCCATAAGTTAAGAATACTCACATATAGTTTCCAAATTCTGCAGAAATCAGGTAGAGAGAAAGAAACATGCTCAAAATTTTGCTTATAGGTTGTAGTTTACTCAATTGTTAAAAGTTGTAAATGGTTTAAAAGGGAAAAAAGTTTTCTTGACTCTGAAAAACAAAACAAAAAGGGTCAGCAGCATTTCTGGAAGAAAAGGTCATAAACAGATTATTTCAATCTCCTATTTGTTTAGTCCATGAAATTAACTCCTGTTCTGCTTGATATTTATGGACACATTAGATCTCCAAGAGGGTCTTACAAGTTTTTCCCTCTATTCTAATGGCTCAGTCTCCAGGTTGTCAGAGACCTGCATCCAAGAGTATCCATGAGAGTCCTTTAGCTGATTATAAATCTTCTTTTGGAATAGATTAAAACAAGACAATTGTCTGTGGATGACAAGAGTCTTAGGACAGCCACAGTTAAAGATGCAATCAACAGGGAAATCTGGTCATTTCTGTGGCACACAATTTAATGTAACAATCTTAATTGTTATTGATAGCAGATACTTAGGCATATCAGAATCATAGGAATCTCATATAACTATGGAATACATATTAATCACACATTTATGTGACTATAATCTAAAAAAAGCTAAACACCATTTTAAATGTGATAGTGTTTCCTGTATGGTTTTGATACACCAAATAAGCTGCATATGTCTCTTTTGGACCTCAGAGGACCTACTACACAAAATGGTTAATTAGGTCAAAAAAGGCTTAATTCAGGATTTTATTTTGGAAAGCTTGTCAAATATCAAAATTTAAAACACTTGACATCACAAAATAGGACCACAGTTTATTTATTTAACCAACATGATTAACTCAAAGATTTCTAAACAGCAAAAATCCTTTAGTCTTTCACAGAGAGAGGACTCAGCTTTCTAAATAACCAGACCCAGTAAAGACAGCATGGCTGGGCATGGTGGGTTATGCCTGTAATCCCAGCACTTTGGGAGGCCGAGTGGGCAGATCACGAGGTCAGGAATTTGAGACCAGCCTGGCCAACACAGTGTAACCCCATCTCCACTAAAAATACAAAAATTAGCTGTGTGTGGTGGCACATGCCTGCAGTCCCAGCTACTCGGGAGGCTGAGGCAGGAGAGTCACTTGAACCCAGGAGGCGGAGGTTGCAGTGAGTTGAGACCATGCCATTGTACTCCAGCCTGGGTGACTGGCTGAAGCAAGACTCTGTCTCAAAAAAAAAAAAAAAAAAATTCTGTCTCTCTCTTTTTCCTGTAGGCGAATGAAAATCTTGCTCAAAAGGGAAAATGAAATTTTACCTTTGCATTAGTATATTAATACTAAAGCTAATTTCAATAACATTTGATGAAGCTATCTAATTTTAACCAGTTTGACCATAAGGTAAGATTTTTATAACCCTTTGCAAATTTTTTGTTTAAGAGCAGATAAATGCTCCAGGAAAACCCTATTATTCTGACACATGAGCCCAGATTCTGGCCCTGTGTTAGCAAGCTTTTATTTTAATATTTAATTTATGGAAAAACTAAATAATACCCTTTTAGCCAACTAGCTCATACACAGAATTTCTGTTTCAAGATTAATCTTTCACAAACCATCTCTAACTGGCTTAAACTTTCAGTTATATTCTATCTTTCTTTTAACCCAAAACAATCCTTAAACAACCTCTAAATTAGGCAAAATAGTTTGTCTTTTAAAAACTACATTCCCATGCCTTTTTCTTAAAAACACCTAATTTTAATTTTTAGTGTATGCAACTTTAATTCTGTACCAAGTGCAGAGCCTGGGAACTACAGGTAATATGTGACTCTTTTCCAGTATAGCTAGGGAGTGTGTCTAATTCTATATATCCCCAGGCCTTACCTAGAATCTAATGGCCCCAAAGCAGGCAAGTCAAACAGTTATCAAAAGTCATAGAAGCAGTTTATAATCTTAAAGCATCTAGCAAGGGCAGTTCCTGACCTGCCTAATTTAGACTGAATGCCTAAATTTTAAAGACATTTAATTTTATTTCATTAATAGTCTTTAAAACTGTCTTTATTTACCAAAGATTACTAAAGCCATGTGAACTAAAGTGTTTATTTTTCTGATAAAATATTTTATTTAAGCATTTATTTTTCTTTAAGCCAATTCATTGGATGTCTTTTACATATCTTGGTAGTAAGACATCACATACATACATGACACATATAAATACACAGACAGAGAAGCAGATCTGGTAGAGTTATAAGATTCTTCATTTGCCAGTTTTTAAGATTTTCTTCCTTTTTTTTAAATTAATTTTTGAGATGGAGTCTCTCTCTGTCACCCAGGCTGGAGAGCAGTGGTGTGATCTTGGCTCACTGCAACCTCTGCTTCCTGGGTTCAGGTGATTATCCTGCCTCAGCCTCCCAAGTAGCTGGGACTACAGGTGCACGCCACCATGCCCGGCTAATTTTTGTATTTTTAGTAGAAATGGGGTTTCACCATGTTGACCAGACTGGTCTCAAATTCCTGGCTTAAAGTGACCCACCTGCCTCAGGCCCCCAAAGTGCTGGGATTACAGGTGTGAACCACCACACCTGGCCAAGATTTCTTTCTCATTTTATTTTAGATAAAGCATCAATCTTTTGATTATCTGTTCTCTGCCCTAAATAATTATCAGTGAGGTAACTCTGATTTTGCATTTTAAAAGGGACAATTCTTAGGTGAAATAAGATAGATAATTTATATTTTACTTAAACCAAGGGAGAAATGGTGTGAGTAAAAGTTTAGGTGAGACAGCCAGGGAAAACAGATACCCTTACATGTGGAGATTTCTTTAAAGATGTAAGTTTTTAAATTGGGTTCAGGGTGGAGCCTTTTAAAGAACAAGGCCAGGAAAGCATGCAGTTTTTAGGGCCTAGTAGGTGGGCACAGCTGGAAGGCAGAACAGATCTCCCAAAATCAAGGATCCCATTTCCACACCAAATACTGGGTCCCCGCAAAGAGGCAAGTGCTATGAGACAAGACAGTGCAATGCTTTCACAGCATGTTTTATTGTAAGGACATTTCCCCAAGGCTGCTGGACAACCCAACATCAACTAGTCTGCTCTGTAATCAGCCCATCCCCCATTTCATACCTTCTAGTTGCCCAAGAGCATGGCTTTTTATGTATGTAAACACAAAAAAAAAGGAGTATCACCCTGTGGTAATAGCCACTCACTGTAAGCAACTGCTATTGGACATTTAAAAAAATATGCCTCTTATTTAGCTATTGCACATTAAGATTCAACATTTCTAAGTAATGCAAAATAATTTCTGATGCCCCCAAAAGTCAAAAAGATCAGGTAACATAATGCAAAACAGAACAGAGCCTCAGATTTTGGGAAGTATCAGTCTGCGTGTAATTCTTTGGGTTCTACTTGGAAAACAGAGGTTTCTCCCAAAACAGGAGTCTGTGGTGCCTCTTCTGTTTCTCTCAAGGAGTTCCAGGCTGTCAGAAATTACCTTAAGTCCTCTCATGCAGGGCAGTGAGGGCGTGTGTGCCAGAGGACAGAGTAAATGGAGAAACAATTCAATTGACTGAGAAAAAAAAAAAACCCAAAAACCTTTTTTTCAAAAAAACAAGATCCAAGAAGAGAAAAAAGCCTAATGGCCTTTTAAATGTATGTATAGCTTGGCTATCCCCTTTTAATTAATATCATTTACCATAGAGCTCTTTAAAAAAAACTCTTTTAAATCTTTAATTTCCAGACCATTGCCTGGCTGTTAGGGACAAACAGCCAATGCCTCTGGCATTTAAGCCTTTTATTCTCCCAAAGGGATTTTCCCAAGTGCAACTGTTACCAGTAAAAGGGGTCTTGATACAGACCCCAAGAGAGGGTTCTTGGATCTCATGCAGGAGGGAATTCAAGGTGAGTGGCAGAGTGCAGTGAGAAGAGAGAGTTTATTGAAAGCTACTCCATTACAGAGAAGGACATCCTTAAGTTTTTCTTGTATAGGGGTCATCTCTATATAAAAGCTAAGCTAAGCCATGTCTATGTAAGTGTGAGCAGAGAGTGTGACAAAATTTATATTCTATTGATTTAAAGAAAACTATCCTTGATGTTTTAGTGTGTGAATACATCAAACCATAACTATAACAATCTTGAAGCCATATTTTGTTATGGGTATTGGGACATCTGGACTTTCTGCTGTTGTGGGAGTGTCTTTGCCGGTATCTTAGGCTGTTTCCTCAACTGTAAATATCTCATGACTGTGGGTAGTGACCAACAAGGAATATGCCCAGTTAATCTGAAGATGGAGCTGAACTTAAAATGGGGTTACTCTGGCTCTCCTAGGCTCCTGCTTCCCTAACAAATCCAATAAGCCTTAATGAAGGTTATGATTTAACCATAGCTGCACAAAGTATCAACAAAGAGATTGCAAGCAGTTTTTACAAGATGTAGAATCGCCTCCTAGATAGCTCAGAGAAAGGAAAATTCTAGACAGAAAATCACAAGCTGCCTGACATAACCTAAACATTTCCGCCCTCTGAATGGTAGAGATGGAGAGAGAGTACCCCCATATGGTCACAAAGACAATGGAGGGAAAAAGAATAAATAAATGGCAAAGGTCAGATAAATATCAAACCAGAAGGGACTCATTCCCTAAGATGGGAATTGAACCCATGCCACCATCATGAATGGGCAAAGCCTTAGCCACAGAGCTACAGTATTGTTCTTCCCAGAAGTAATCTAGAGCAGACAGTTTCAAGTTTGCAAAGGATTTTAACTGCTTAAGAGAATCCTTAAGGCTAGCCATGACATTATCATGTGTCCTTTCAGACTGGCTGCCTTACATGAACCTGAAAATTTCCACCCTGTGGATGGCAGAGACTGAGAGAGAATACCCCCACATGGTCAAAAAGTCAAGCTTTCAAGGACATAAAACAAGACAAGAGGGAAACTACATTTGGTTTTTGTTTCAGGGACCCATAGCGAAGTTTGTAGCTGACCAATCTGCAGGGCTGGCTCAAACAGCAGACTTATAGGGGTCCTACACCCACATTCTATTCTGTGGCAACCCCTCCATGACAGAACAACGCAGAACAACAAATTCATATCACAGTACAGCAGATTCGCTACAACCTAAGACTAGTTTCCCACATCTTTTTTCTCATTAATCAAAACCTTGCAGGCTGGGCGCGGTGGCTCACGCCTGTAATCCCAGCACTTTGGGAGGCTGAGGCGGGCAGATCATGAGGTCAGGAGATCGAGACCATCCTGGCTAACACGGTGAAACCCCGTCTCTACTAAAAATACAAAAAATTAGCCCGGTGCGGTGGCGGGTGCCTGTAGTCCCAGCTACTCAGGAGGCTGAGGCAGGAGAATGGCGTGAACCCCGGAGGCGGAGCTTGCATTGAGCCGAGATCGCGCCACTGCACTCCAGCCTGGGGGACAGAGCAAGACTCCATTTAAAAAAAAAAAAAAATCTTGTAGAGGAGAGAAACAGGGATTTTTTTTTTTTTTTTTTTTTTTTTTTTTTTTTTTTTTTTTTTTACCATTTACTTAACTGGTTTGCACAGAGAGCGAGAGGCCGGGGCCCTGGCTGGTAAGAAATTCTTACCCTTTTGCCTGCATGCCAGGGTTTTGGTTTCCCTGTCTCTGCAGCTTCCATAAGAGCAGAGCAGCTTTTGATGACCCTGTTCGCTGTGCCATAACTGTGGAGGCCAAGCTGCGTTATAATAGAAAATCTTCCTTTTCTGTTTCATGGAACCTTAGACAGAAGCTTCTCATTTTTCCAAGATGCCACCCAGTGGGCCGCATGGGGGAATAAGATGTCAAATTAAACACAAAAAAAGGAAAAATGGATCAGGATGTGAGTGATACAGACTCTGGACCCATGTGCTGCCAATTCTCTCCTCTCAAAGACAGCACTGATAAAAGAAAAACTTCAGCTGAATTAAATTTAAAAGAGCTTAATGAGCAATGAACAATTTGTGAATTGGGCAGCCCCCAGAATCACAGCTGATTCACAGAGACTCCAGCACAACAGCTATGTGTGCTGTGCTGGAGTATAAAGATTTATAAACAAAAACAGGGAAGTGACCTACAGAAATTGGCAGTGAGGTGCAGAAACAGCTGGATTGGTTACAGGTTGGCGCTTGCCTTATCTGAACACAGTTTGAACACTTAGCAGTCTATATGAGTGGTTGAGGTATGGCCGCTTCAACGGCCAAGACTCAGTTATTGGCACATACTACTAAGTTAGGTTTTTAATCTTTTCTGACTACTAAGCTAGTGGAGGAAATTTTCATGCACGTCTGTGTGAAAAGACCACCAAACAGGCTTTGTGTGAGCACTAAAGCTTTTTAATCACCTGGGTGCAGGTGGGCTGAGTCCAAAAAGAGAGTCAGCAAAGGGAGATAGGGGTGGGGCCATTTTATAGGATTTGGGTAGGTAGTGGAAAATTACAGTCAAAGGGGTTGTTCTCTGGCTGGCAGGGGTGGGGGTCACAAGGTGCTCAATGGGGGAGCTTTTGAGCCAGGATGAGCCAGGAGAAGGAATTTCACAAGGTAATGTCATCAGTTAAGGCAGGGACTGGCCATTTTCACTTCTTTTGTGGTGGAATGTCATCAGTTAAGGCAGGAACCGACCATTTTCACTTCTTTTGTGATTCTTCACTTTCTTCGGGCCATCTGGACATATCTGTGCAGGTCACAGGGGATACGATGGCTTAGCTTGGGCTCAGAGGCCTGACATTCCTGTTTTCTTATATTAATAAGAAAAATAACATAAAATAGTGTTGAAGTGTTGGGACAGGGAAAATTTTTTGGGGGGTGGCATGGAGAGATAATGGGCGATGTTTCTCAGGGGTGCTTCAAGCGGGATTAGGGGCGGCTTGGGAACCTAGAGTAGGAGAGGTCAAGTTGAAGGAGGATTTTGTGGTAAGGGGTGATATTGTGGGATTGTTAGAAGGAGCATTTGTCGTATAGAATGATTGGTGATGGCCTGGATACGGTTTTGGATTAATTGAGAAACTAAACGGAAGGTACAAGGTTTGAATAAAAGAAAGAAAAAAATAGGTATTAAAGGACTAAGAATTGGGAGGACCCAGGACATCCAATTAGAGAGTGCCCAAGGGGGTTCAGCGTAATTACTTGCTTGGTTGGTGAGTTTTGGGGCTCTATCCTTGAGTTTTTTTATGTTGTCATGTACCAGGCCAGATCGATTTAGGTAAAAACAACAATCTTCATTTAAAAATATACAGAGTCCTCCTTTTTCAGCAGTGAGTAAGTCAAGGCCTCGGCAGTTTTGGAGGACAACTGCAGCTTAAAGAGTCAACTTGGGCCTGAAGGACTGATAAAGTTTGTGATATCTCTGTGATGCTAGCAGAGAAGTCATTAGAGAGGCTACGGAAGGTCGTGATAGAGGTTGAAATGCCTGCCATTCTAGTATCGAGAGCAATAGTGGAGGCAGAAAGTCGTAAACTGACAAGCAAGGATATTAGTGGAATAACTCTTTTTTGTCATCTCAGTGTCATGAGGGGAACAGGGAGCTCTTCGGTCCCATTCGCAAATTGAATTTTGGGAGTAAGGAAAACTAGTGTGCATGTGCCTGTCCAATTAGCAGGTAGCCACATGTAGGTAGAGGATCCACAGAGGAAGAAGAGAGCTTGTGCCAGGCAAAACTGGAAATGCAAAGTAAAAAGATGAGAAGGAATGCTGAAAGGGGTGTCTTGTACCCAGACTCCTAGGGATCCAGCTAGGGCGGCAGCCGTCAGAGGTTGTAATGGGGACTGATGGGGTAACTGCATAGAGGGAGAGGCTCGATTTTCATGGTGTATGAGAAAACGTTGAGTGCCCACGAGCAACCTTTCACTGTTATTTATGGGGCTGGGTATAAGTAAACAAGAAGAGGGCCTGGGAGGAGAGTCTGAAGAGCAAGGGGAAGGTAGCCAAGGATGGAGGGAAATACAGGGTGTCTTCCTAAGCAATAATTACTGCTAATGTTTTTAAGTTTGCCAGTATTGATAGAAGGCTTATCTGTAATATGGAGCTGTAAGGCTCCAATTGTTTCAGTGATGTATGTAGTTGGGCTTTGGAGATGAAGAGTGAAGGAACATCAAGAAGGGGAATTCCAGTGGGTCTTTGCTGAGAGATACATAAAGGAGCAGCCACAGGAAAAGTAGTTTTTGTTGTGAGGGGTCCAAATATGGGGGGAGTAGAGTTGATATAAGGAGAAAGGTTTTTAAAGTAAGTGTGGAGGAGGGCAGCAGCTTGCTGATGTGAAATGTCTGGGGAGGTCTTGCTGGACCTGTCTAGAAAGTAAAGAAGTTCTTCAGGAGGGTAAAGGTGAGGGCTATTAAAGGAAGTTTGGAGGTGTAGGGAGACAGGAGATGTTTCCCAGCCTGTATATAAGACGGGGGCAGCTGTGTAGGCGCAGGAGGAAAGGGAAATGCAAAGCAAGCAATTGCTCGCTAAGGAGGGATTAGAAATGGCTAGGAGAGAGTGAGTAAGATTGATAGTGTGGTGGAGATAGCTGGGGAGAGGTAGAGGGTGGCATAAGAATGGGAATGAGAATAAGATTGAGTATAAAAATAAAGAATAGAACTTCATCAGGGTGAAAGTATTGGAGGGTGCCCTGCCAGCAAAGATCATCTATCCACTCTAAGAGGGAGTTAAGAGTGGCGGTTTGGGGATAGCACCAGGAGATATCAGCTGCGATGGCTTGGAGAAACAGTGTAAACTGGCAGTATAAACAAGAGTAGGGCATTTATGAGTAGTTGAGAACGGTGAATAGGAGTGTGACTAGACAGAAGACAGCAGGGATGACCAGTTTTTGGGGCGCAGTCCAAGTAGTGGGGGTGACTGCATAAAGCCCTGTTGCAAAAAGTAGGGTAAGGACGAATAGACCTAATAGAATGAAGGGATGTATTAGGCTCATAAGGGTTATTACTGTTCTTCAGAAATGCAAGTGAGTTTAAGGGAAGTAGTGGGGAGTACTTGCGACTTCCAGGAGGAAGAAGAGAGATTAGGCTGGCTGTCCAATGGACACAGCTTTATTCTGGAACGGTGAACCCAGTGGGGAGGATCCTGCAGGTGGATGGCAGTTGGGGTACTATAGATGACTAAGTAGGGTCTGGTCCATCAAGGTTGTAGAATTTGAGGGGTCAGATTCTTAACAAGAACTGATTGTCCAGGTAGGGTGTCTTCATATGGCTGAGAATCTGGAGTAGGCAAGAGAAGATTAGCAGCCTGGCAAATTTCCTGTCTATCCTGCCGGAGGACTGGAAGATAGTTGCCTAGAGGACTGCTGTCTGGGACGAGGTTGGGGCTGAGCAAGAAAGTGCGTCCACATAAAAGTTCAAATGGGCTGTACCCTGTAGCATCTCAAGGACAGGCTCTAATTCTGAGAAGGGCAAGAGGTAAAAGTACTGTCCAGTCCTTTTTAAGTTGGAGGCTGAGCTTGGTGAGGTGTGTTTTTAAAAGACCATTAGTCTGTTCTACCTTTCCTGAAGATTGAGGACGGTAAGAGATATGAAGGTTCCACTGAATACCAAGAGCCTGAGAAACTGCTTGGGTGATTTGACTAGTAAAGGCCGGTCCATTATCGGACTCTATAGAGGTGGGAAGGCCAAACCGAGGAATTATGTCTGACAGAAGGGAAGAAGTGACTGCGGTGGCCTTCTCAGACCCTGTGGGAAAGGCCTCTACCCATCCAGTGAAAGTGTCTACCCAGACCAAGAGGTATTTTAGTTTCCTGACTCGGGGCATGTGAGTAAAGTCAATTTGCCAGTCCTGGGCAGGGGCAAATCCCCGAGCTTGATGTGAAGGGAAGGGAGGGGGTCTGAACAATCCCTGAGGGGTAGTAGAATAGCAGATGGAACACTGGGAAGTGATTTCCTTGAGGATAGATTTCCACTATGGAAAGGAAATGAGAGGTTCTAAGAGACGGGCTAGCGGCTTGTAACCTACATGGAAGAGGTTATGAAATGATGACAGAATACAATGGGTCTGTGAGGCTGGAAGGAGATATTTTCCTTGGTCTAAGAACCATTTGCCTTGTGTGGGAAGAGATTGATAGGTGGAAGTTTCAAAGGGGGAGTAGGTGGGAGTGACCAATGAGAAGGAGAAAAACTGCCATGAGGGACAGAAGTTGGAAAGCTAGCTGCTTCTTTAGCTACCTTATCAGCAGAAGTGTTGCCCAGAGCAATGGGATCTGATGCCTTTTGATGGCCCTTGCAGTGAATGACTCCAGCTTCCTTTGGAAGTAAAGTGGTCTTGAGAAGAGTTTTTATTAAGGAGACACTAATGATGGAGGACCCTTGTACAGTGAGGAAACCTTTCTCAGCCTATATAACAGCATGGTGGTACAGGATATGGAAGGCATATTTAGAGTCAGTATAAATATTGATGCGTAGTCCCTTTGCAATAGTGAGGGCCTGAGTTAAGGCAGTGAGTTCGGCTTGCTGAGAGGTAGTGCAGCGGGGGCAGAGCAGTAGCCTCAATGATAGATGTGGAAGATACTACTACAGCATAGCCTGCTTTTGCTGGTGAGTGGCGATTAGGCCTGGTGGAACTGCCATCAATAAACCAAATGTGATCAGGGTGAGGAACAGGAAAGAAGGAAATATGGGGAAATGGGGTGAATGTCAGGTAGATCAGAGAGATATAGTCATGGGGGTCAGGTGTAGTATCCAGAATAATGTGGGAGCCCGGATTGAAGTCTGGGCCAGGAACAATGGTAATTGTGGGAGACTCAACAAAGAGTGAGTATAGCTGAAGGAGCCAGGGAGCAGAAAGTATATGCATCAGGTGTGAGGAAGAAAATGAAGAAAATAGATTTTGGAAGTTATGAGAGCTGTAGAGAGTGAGTTGAGCATAGTTCATGATTTTGAGGGCCTCTGAAAGTATTAGGGCAGTGGCAGCCACTGCACGGAGGCATGATGGCCAGCCTAAAACAGTAAGGTCAAGTTGTTTGGACAAAAAGGCTACAGGGTGCATTCCCAGTCCTTGTGTAAGAATTCTGACTGCACAGCCCTGCACTTCGGCTGTGTGCAATGAAAAGGGTTGGGATGAGTCAGGGAGAGCTAGGGTGGGAGCAGTCTCTAAAGCTGTCTTCAAGCAACGGAAAGAGGAGTGGGGAAAGGATTTAGGATCTATGGGGTCAGCTAGGTTTCCATTTGTGAGTTTATATAATGGTTTTGTTAGGATGGCAAAACCAGGTATCCAAAGGCAAAAGTATCCAACCATGCCTAGGAAGGAAAGGAGTTGTTGTTTTGTAGAAGGTGTTGGCATTTGAGAGATCAGTTGGACATGATCGGCAGGGAGAGCACGTGTGTTACCTATTGAGGTAGGTAACGGATGGAGAAGAAATTTGAGCTTTGGATGGGGATACCCGATATCCTTTGGAGAATAAACGTTGAAGGAGCAGGAGGACAGGGGATTGATCTCCCAAGGGAGGTCCCCCAATCTGAGTCACGGCACCGAATTTCACACGCGTCCATGTGAAGAGACCACCAAACAGGCTTTGTGTGAGCAATAAAGCTTTTTAATCACCTGGGTGCAGGCGGGCTGAGTCTGGAAAGAGAGTCAGCGAAGGGAGATAGGGGTGGGGCCGTTTTATAGGATTTGGGTAGGTAGTGGAAAATTACAGTCAAAGGAGGTTGTTCTCTGGCTGGCAGGGGTGGGGGTCACAAGGTGCTCAGTGGGGGAGCTTTTGAGCCAGGATGAGCCAGGAGAAGGAATTTCACAAGGTAATGTCATCAGTTAAGGCAGGAGCCGGCCATTTTCACTTCTTTTTTAATTTCCAATTACTTCAGGCCATCTGGATGTACACGTGCAGGTCACAGGGGTTACGATGGCTTAGCTTAGGCTCAGAGGCTTGACAGAAATGTGCTCCCCCAAATTATAAGAGGCGTGCCTACGGGTCCAAACCCAAAGAATGGGCTAAGAGACCAGAAGTACAGCGAAAGTGAAACTTGACTGTCAGTCTTGCAAGATCAGGTGTCCATTGAGCAGGCACATCTGGTACAGTTACAGCAATCAATTTATCCCCTAGTGCGCAAGTCCCTCCCCCGGTTCCTGTAGGCTGAGCACTGTGGGGTTACAATCTTCCTGGACGTAGTCACCTAAGTTTCTTTTCTTGTTTTTTATTGGTCGTTGGGTTGGGGCTTTTGGTACTTTCTTCAGGGTCTTCTTGCTGCATTTTGTTGCAGCCCTTAATGCATTGTAATTGTAGTCAGCTCTGGGACTCTTCAAGTATTTGACCTATGACCCAGGGGGTTAAGCGAGCTGTTAGGAATAGACAAGGTGAGCTATTTTTGCAAGCTAGTAAACTTCCATTCTAAGCTAAATCCTCTGGTTTGGGTGAGGGTAACTAAAGGGTCCCAATAAGCAGGCACTGGCTATTAAAGCAGGGCCCTAGGGTATCCTGTTCTTCTATAGCTTACAGGTCGAAGTGTATTCAAGGTATTTTGTCTTGAAAATGGACCACCATATATGTTGTTTTCTACAGCTAGGTTACATCCACAGGGACTCAAATATAGAAGTATGGAGTTCTTCTCAGGCCGTATTTAGTTTGCTTTAACAGCAAACTAACAGTCAGTAGCTTCACACTGAAACAGACAGACGACAGGGAAGTCCACAGGCTTCCCTTCCCCACAAGGTGTGGCAAAGGGAGGGAGAATACTTAGAAGACTTAAAGAAGATTACAGAGTTCAAAGCCAGGGCACTAAACAGAGTTTTCTAAACTGATCAGCTGTTTCAATCCATCCTGCATGGGTGACTATTCAGGCTGAGCCAAGCCACCATTTCAACATGTCCTGTGTGGGTATCTATTCGGTTGGAGCTGATGAAGTTAGTGAAAACCAAAAGAAAGGAAGGAGGGAGGAAGAAGAAGGAAAAATAAAAACACAACAAATAGGGGACAGGAGAGGAGGGAAAGCATAGCTTAGAGGGGTGGCAAGGAGTCTTGGGGAGGCTGGAGGAAAACTCCCAGTTGCAGCAATACTAAACCGAAGTTTCAGACAGCTGCCCATCAGCTGCAGAGGGGTCCGGCCATCATGCTGGCTCACAAGCCTCCCGCTTGGGAGAGAAAAATGTTCCCCATGTCCTGTGGACCTGCATTGGTTGCCGGAGAATCTCTTATAAACCAGACTCTTTGGCTCCCCATGTAATGGAAATTGACATGGGGCCAAGTGGATTTCCTAGACAAGGGTTTTATTTCAGGGCTTGTGCTCAAGAGCAAGGGAGACAGTGGAAGTGCAAGAATCCTCCCACTGGTTTTCTAAAAAGCATTGGTAGGGATTGTTTTATTAGGCAAAGAGCGGGAATTGACATCAGGGGTAAGGTGTGCAGGCTGGGCTGGGCAGAGCATGTTAAAGGTAAGGTACACAGGTCAGCATAGCCGGTTGTGATGGTTACCTTGAGTAACAGGCCACCTGGTGGTCTGGCCCGCGGCAACAATGCTGTAAATCAATAGTTCAGCATTCCTTCTTGAGTAGGGACACTCCACAACCTTGGTTCGATTTTGGATACCCTTAGGCCAGTTTCTGGAATTTTTTTTTTTTTTTTTGAGACGGAATCTTGCTCTGTTGCCAGGCAGGAGTGCAGTGGCATGATCTCGGCTCACTGCAACCTCTGCCTCCCGGGTTCAAGCGATTCTCCTGCCTCAGCCTCCTGAGTAGCTGCGACTACAGGCACACACCACCATGTCCAGTAGAGATGGTATTTCACCATGTTGGCAAGGATGGTCTTGATCTCCTGACCTCGTGATCTGCCCACCTTGGCCTCCCAAAGTGCTGGGATTACAGGCTTGAGCCACCACGCTCGGCCTGGAATTCTTTAAGTAAAAGACATGGTTAAACATGAAAGCCCAAAAGAATAATATAGTGTTAAATCAAGTTTAACCTAAAACTGCCTCCTTACATCCTTTGGCCTAAAACATACTTTAAGTTTGGCCTAAAAGTTTCTCTGTACATCGTGATCTGTAACAAGTGGAGGTTATGAATGGACCATAGCCTACACTGTGCCAATCACCGAGTTTTGGCCAGTCAAATGTAGCCAACTGTTGGAACCATGTTCACAAAAGGCAAATGCCAACCTATACCCAATCCAGCTATTTCTGTACTCACTTTTCTTTCTTTCTGTTGTATTTTTTTGAGACGGAATTTCATTCTTGTTGCCCAGGCTGGAGTGTAGTGGCGCAATCTCGGCTCAGTGCAACCTCCGCCTCCCAGGTTCAAGCGATTCTCCTGCCTTGGCTTCCCAAGTAGCTGGGATTACAGGTGCCCACCACCATGCCTGGCCAATTTTTTGTATTTTTAGTAGTGATGGGGTTTCCCCATGTTGGGCAGGCTGGTCTCGAACACCTGACCTCAGGTGATCCACCCATCTTGGCCTCCCAAAGTGCTGGGATTACCGGTGTGAGCCACCATGCCCGGCCTCACTTTTCTTTTCTGTCCGTCACTTTCCTTTTTCTGTCCATAAATCTTCTTCCACCACGTGGCTATGCTGGAGTCTCTGAGCCTACTCTGGCTCAGAAAGCTGCCCAATTTGTGAATTGTTTATTGCTCAATTAAACTCCTTTGCATTTAATTCGGCTGAAGTTTTTCTTTTATCAGTAGAATGACTACTTTCTTTTGTGAACCCCGAATATCTGAGATGGTCTCAGTTAGTTTAGAAAGTTTATTTTGCCAAGGTTGAGGATGTGCACCTGTGACACAGCCTCAGGAAAGACATGTGCCCAAGGTGCTCGGGCACAGCTTGGTTTTATACATTTTAGGGAGACATGAGACATCAATCAATATATGTAAGAAATACATTGGTTCTGTCCAGAAAGGCGGGGACAACTCGAAACAGGGAGGGAGCTTCCAGATCACAGGTAGGTGAGAGACAAATGGTTGCATTCTTTTTGAGTTTCTGATTAGCCTTTCCAAAGGAGGCAGTCAGATATGCACCTATCTCAGTGTGGCAGAGGGAAGACTTTGAATAGAATGGGAGGCAGATTTGCCCTGAGCAGTTCCCAGCTTGACATTTCCCTTTAGCTTAGTAATTTTGGTGCCCAAGGTTTTCCTTTCACACTTTGTATGACTATTAATGGGTCTTAATATAACTATTAATGGGTATGGTGTCAGTGAGGTAGCATAGTGTTGTTTTGTGATCAGTGGGAATGCGTGAAAGAATGCTCTACTGGGGGAGAGCTGAGCCAAGCTCCATCCTTACTCTGTCTCACATAGACATACACAAACATACAGACACAAATAGAGACCTTATAACTTTCAAAAAGTGATATAAAACTTACTAGTTTAGGCCAGGTGTGGGGGCTCACACCTGTAATCCCAGCAGTTTGGGAGGCCGAGGAGCATGGATCACCTGAGGTCAGGAGTTCAAGACCAGCCTGGCCAATGTGGTGAAACCCCATCTGTACTAAAAATACAAAAATTAGCTGGGTGTGGTGGCGGGTGGCTGTAATCCCAGCTTGGGAGGCTGAGGCAGGAGAATCACTTGAATCTGGGAGGTGGAGGCTGCAGTGAGCCCAGATCACACCATTGCACTCCAGCCTGGGTAACAGGAGCGAAACTCCGTCTCAAAAAAATAAAATAAATAAAAAACAAAAAACAAAAACAAACAAACAAAAAAACTTACTAGTTTATATAAGAGCTCTTTTTCATCTTTGCCTCACTTTTATTTAAATTGTGTTTCTGGCAGATGGAACAAGTTTTTACCTATTCATTATAAGGGCTAATGCTTTTTATTGATATTTGTGGGGGAAACCTTTAAGATCTTTTTAGTTGCCCTGATATATAATCTCATAGAGGCTGTGGCTCAGCCTCAGGTTGTTGCTTTAGTCAATGGCAAAGCTACTTTTTAAAGTGGGCCGAGCTAAGGAAAAAGGCATTGGAGTTTTCTTAGGAGACTGGGGTTTTAATTAGTATTTATCAGGAGGGGAAGTAAATTTCTTGAATTTTGTGATAAGAAGCAGTACTACAAGTAAAAGTGAGGAGCCTCAATTCTGGGGTCTAAAGCAGAATTACTTCCTTGGATGTTTGCATTTTAAAGAGATGGCTCTTGGCTGGGTGTGGTGGCTCACGCCTGTAATCCCAGCACTTTGGGAGGCCAAGGCGGGCAGACTGCCTCAGGTCAGGAGATGGAGACCATCCTGGCCAACATGGTGAAACCCCGTCTCTACTAAAAATACAAAAATTAGCCAGGTGTGGTGGCACACGACTGTAGTCCCATGCAACTCGGGAGGCTGAGGCAGGATAACTGCTTGAACTGGGGAGGCAGAGGTTGCAGTGAACTGAAATCGCGCCATTGCACTCCAGCCTGGGTGACAGAGCCAGACTCCATCTCCAAAAAAAATAAAAAATAAAAAATAAGAGATTGCTGTCAGGTTCTTGAGAATTTAGTTCTGGATGGTAGAAGATTTACATCTGAAAAGGGGAGAGGAATTATGCAGACTTTTAAAGTAACTGGTCTTAGAGGATTTCCAGGGACATATTTGCCTATTGTCAGGTTTTGGTCTGTGACAAACAGGAAATTCTCCCAGCAGTGTTGAGCTTTAACATGTAGGTGCTTAAGGGAGGATGGGGGAATGGACAATTATTTGTCTGGAGAGTCTGCAGTGTTTACATGTCCAGGCTGAGGCCCAGGAAAATTACTATTTAAGTTCTCCTTCTTAAGGGCAGGACAGTCCATTTTCCAGTGTCCTGGCATTTTATAGTATCTGCAAGCATCTTTTGGAGGGGAGGTTTTGGGATTGGTAAGAAGGATGGATGGAGCTTTAGGTTATTCCTAAAGCCACATTTCTGTTTTTGTAAAGACTCAGTAAAGCCAGAACATTTATTTATTTTTAAAAAATATTTATTTATTTGTTTGTTAGATATGGGGTCTCACTCTGTGGCCCAGGCTGGAGTATAGTAGCACAACCATAGCTCACTGCAGCCTCAAACTTCTGGGCTCAGTCGATCCTCCCACTTCAGCCTCCCAAGTAAATGGAACTACAGGTGCATACCACCATGCCTGGCTAATTTAAAAAAATTTTGTTTAGATACAGGGTCTCACTGTGCTGCTCAGGCTGGTCTTGAACTCCTGGCCTCAGGCGATCTTTTTGCCTCAGCCTAGAACAGTTATTTTTTTAATACCTCAAAGAATTGGGTGGTGACATCAACAATAGCATTCACGGATTGGCCTGCCCATCCAACTGCCCTATTTTGAAATTGTCCCCTTAGGTCGGAGAGAAAATTTCTAACTGACATGGAAACCAAAAGATTCCTGTGTTCCAGGGCTTCTGAATTTAGAGCTGTGTGCCTTTGGAATGTTTTTATAAATCTTTTAACAGAGCCTTTAGGATAAATTCCTGCCCTCTGAGCATATCATTCCACTTCAGCCCATTGACCTGTAAAGGGAAGTCTTCCATAATATCTCCTATCAGACTGGACTATCAGCCTTCCCCTGGGCCATGTGCAGGAGGAAGGTGGTGAAGGGGAGTTTATGGTGGGTGTAGATTTAAATTTTTGTTCTAAATCTGATTTCTGTTATTTAATTTTATTAAGGGAGCGTTTTAGGCTAGCTGTGATACTTTTTGTGTCCTTCTTTCCATTTCATCCTCCCCTATGGGTAATTAGGACATTTGCTTAGGGTAAGTGCTCTCTAAAAATCCTTTTAAATATGAAAGCTCTTCCAACCCAAAGGATCTGTCTTCTGGCCACTGACAATTTAGGGTTTCCAAAAGCGTACTTGTTCCAACGTACTATTCAAAACCAATAAGCCTTATTATGTGGCTTGACCATAAACTACATAGCCAAAAAACTTCAGTAATGATATATTTCAGGATCTCAGTGTTATTAGTGCTGGCTCTTTTCTGTCTGTACCTGTAACTAACAACAACACAACAGAAATTATAGAAATATAGTCATTTCTTGAAAATATTTAGTCAATTGTCTTGTCTAGGATTTTGGTCAATATGGCACCAAATAGATATTGGAGCTTTAAAATAGAATTGATTGATTTTTTGGAATAATCTGGAATTCTAGATGTAATAAACATTTAAAATTGAATTCATTTAAATTAAGGTAGTTTCTCACACATCTTGTGTTATTTAGTAAAGACTCAGGACCAGTTTAACCTTTGTTACGTTGATACTTAGAATATACGATCTCTAACATCAGGATTATAAACAACCTAAGTTTGTAAATTCGTGATTTTAACTTTTTCCTGCTCTTAAAAATTGATATACTATCTTAATTAGTTTAAAAAGCCAGTCCTTTTTATTCACAGATTCAACTACCTTTAGAACATTCTTAGGAAAAAAATTGTGGCAGGGTACGCAGCATAGGGTAAAAAGAGCACTGTGTACTACCGTATTTCCTGTAATGAAAAATCTGCAATACAAAGCATGCAGTAGTAGAAAACCGTGTTCCTCTGAAGCACAGGTATAACGTGCATGTTGTAATGGATTTATCAGACTTGAGGAATAAGAATGCTCTAATAGTATGCTCATCCTGTTGGGAATAAATCTTTGGAATTTTAATTCACATGTGATTTGGAAAATCAACAGTAGCATCATTAAAAATTCCATCTGTAATCAATATTTGAGCCTATTCGTAACTATGTTTTCCTTTCTGTAACTGATGGATCCTGGTGGTTTGCCGTCTTACGAATCAATCTCACACTGAAGATTCTTGGCCTAGGACTCAGACATGATGGATTGTGGCCTTTCTCTGTACCCATTGCCTTAGGAAGTCCTTGAGTATAATTGTAACCAGTGTGTTTCATTCTTTTCCCCTGTGGCTATGGAAACCTCTTCAGGTTGGTGGCTACTGGGATAAGTCCTGTAGCACAGTGACTCAGCTGAAGGAAGGTCTCAACCGAATCCTCTGCCTGATCCCCTATAATGTGATCAATCAATCTGTCTGGGAGTGTATTATGCCGGAATGGCTGGAAGCCATCAGAACAGAAGTCCCAGATAATCAGTTAAAAGAATTCAGGGAAGTATTAAGGTGGGTAAGTAGTTTAATGAAGTCACTGTAATTATAATCATATCTAACGTTTGGTGAGCATGTACTGTATGCCGGTCACCCTACTAAGCGTTTTATATAATCTCATTTATTTTTTAACCACCCTGTGGAGAAACTTGAAGCCCCAACATGAAATAGCTGCAATACCTCAACCTAAGATGATTTGGCATTGTCCAGAAAAGATTTTGTTCTTGTGGAATAGTAAATAGATAAAAACAGATGTTTACTTATTTTGAAATTTTCAAATATAATTATAATTGGTGGGATGTGGTGGAAAAGTGCAAAGGGAAACTGTTTTAGATGCTAGGGAGCAATGCTAATGCCTTAGAAATGCAATTCCTTCTGTTAAACCTAATATGAGGAAGAACAGTAATGTTATTAACAACCATATGAATTATTTATAAGATCTCTATTTCAATGACATAAACTTCTCTTACAGTAAAGTGAAATATGCTGATAACAGTTCAGAATACAAACTAATCTAAAAGGCTTGGCTCTCCAAATAGGGAATAGTTAGAAAGACGGTGGTGGTATTAGTAGAACCCAATCTATGCCCATTGGTCATTTACTTTTGTTGCTCTGCTTTCCAGCAAAATGTTTGACATTGAACTCTGTCCTCTGCCTTTCTCAATGGAGGAGATGTTTGGTTTTATTAGTTGTCGGTTTACAGGATACCCCTCCTCTGTGCAGGAGCAAGCTTTACTGTGGCTTCATGTAAGTGAATAATACTTTCGATCATTTTAGGAAATAGTTCTTAGCTTATAAGCTTTAGATCCCTGGATCGAGAGAGTGGGAGTTATAGCAAAGACTTCGTAAGTCCCCATGTTTGCCAAGAAAGTGTATCTCCTATGCATAGATAAATGAGTAAATTTCAAATATATGTTGCTCTAGTTGTGGTTAATAACATATAAATATATAAATTGTGCAATAATATTACTGAATTCTTAGTAGCTTTAGGTCCTTTTGTATTTTTCCATCAATAGCTATTAAAAGTACAATAGCTGTCTTGTGGGATTCTGATAAATCTTTGATATTAAACAGGTCCTTTACTTGGAAAGATGGGGAAGGATTTAGTGAGTAGTTCATGCTGTTCCCTCAGCCTGGAATGACTTCCTTTCCTGTCTCTATTTGTGAACTCCAACCTATCTTTTAAAGTCCATCTCAAAAATTATCCCCTATGTGAACTTTCCTGCTACTTCAAACCCTCATCTTCCCAGGTTCTCTGTGTGAATTTGGTTCTATTTCTGTCTCACAGTTTTTGTCTGTCTCGCCACCTGATTTCAAGCTCTTGAGTACAGGGGCCAGGTCTTACTCATTTCTGTATTTATAACCCTCTTCATCCTCTCCTCCTAGAATATGGCACACGCTTGTATTTAAAAGTGGATGTTCAATTAAAGTTTATTAAATTAACTTGAATACCTGATATGAGTTTGGGCAGTTTTAGAAAATGAGGACAGAATCAATGTTTAGATTAACTACAGATACAGGTACATTTCTGTGTCATGCAAGGATAGGATCCCATAAGCTCTTCAAGTTGTAAAGACACCTTTTCGAAACTAAAGAGCAATATTCTTCGCATTTGACAAAGAGTAAAGGGACCATTTTTTAAAAAGTCAAAATTTGGACCAGCTCGGTAGCTCACACCTGTAATCCCAGAACTTTGGGAGGCAAAGGTGGGCAGATCACTTGCTCAGGAGTTCAAGACCAGCCTGGCCAACATGGCCAAAGCCCGTCTCTACAAAAAATACAAAAATTAGCTGGTCGTGGTGACGCACGCCTGTAGTCCCAGCTACTTGGGAGGCCGAGCCGGGAGAATCTCTTGAGCCCAGGAGATCGAGGCTGCAGTGAGCTATGATCAAGCCACTGCACTCTAGCCTGGGCAATAGAGTGAGACCCTGTCTCAAAAAACAAACAAACAAACAAACAGTCAACTTTGGGATTTAGAATTTAAACCATTTATTCCCAAATGGATTTCAGTAAGGTAATTCTCCTTTTAAGAAAGCCAGTCTTCCTACAGATGGCTGGATGTTGCCTCAGTTACCCCGTTGCACAGCCCTTACACTGTGCTCTTTGGGGATAAGCCCATACAGCTTTGTCCCCCCCTATAGCTACAGTGGCAACATTTACACGTTTTATGAACTGGGCTTTCATCCAGCCTTGGTTTATAAGACAGAGTGCTGCAGCTGAAGAAGGTTTTCCAGCCTTGGTCTATTTGGAGGATAGAGTGGACACTAAAGTGGTTAGAGTTGACTCATTTATAATTAATTCTGGAAGCACGTACAAGAGCTCCCATGTGCCAGGCACTGAAATAGGCACTGGAATAAAAAATGGGACCGGAAATAGTCCTTTCTGCGTACTTCCTTTCTTTAAGCAGCTCACAGTGGGAGGGATAGGATTAGATAATTAAACAGAAGAAAAAGTAATAATTGCTCTAATAAAGATATGTATAAAGGTTAAGAAAGCAGAAAACAGGGATGGATTAATTCTGTCTGAAGGAAGAAGGCATTTTTTTCCAGAAAATTAATGACAGAGAAAGTGACTTGATTTGGGCCCAGATTGACATGAAGTTGTACCAGACAGCAGGATCGGATGGGTCATTGAGATCAGAGTGGGGATGGACTGGAGAAGCAGTGCTAGTCCAGGAGAAAGGTGGGGATCTAAGGCACTAGTGGTGGGTATGGAGAGTGGGGGACAGCATCAAAAGAAACTGAGAAGTGTTAATAGAAAGAACATGGTGACCTATTGGATGCTGGGGGTGAGGAAAGGAGAAAGTTCAGTGATAACTTTGATTTTCTTAGTATGAAAATTGGAGGATGACTGTGTTGATAGAATACGTGTAAGGCTAATTATCCTTATGTTCAATAATTTGCTTTGGAAAAAGAAGGTTAAATATAGCTTTTTTGAGTTTTAAAATTTACATGTGTTTTTTGGGGGATATATGCCTTTTTTCCCTAGGTATTATCGGAGTTAGATATCATGGTTCCACTTCAACTACTAATAAGTATGTTTTCTGATGGAGTTAATTCAGTCAAAGAGCTGGCAAATCAAAGAAAATCAAGAGTCAGTGAACTGGCAGGGAACCTTGCATCTCGAAGGGTAATTATTGCCACATTTGTTCTTGTCTTGCTTTTAAAAATCTTGAAAACCCTTGTCAGTTATCCTACGCCTGAAAGTACTGTCATAAGAAACCAAAAATGTGTTTTCAGCCCATCTCGCTGTGTTCATCTTTTAAGTGCATTAAATAGTCACATTTGTTTGGTATAGTTTATAATCAGTAAGTTATTGAGTTTTCATTTTATTTTTAATTTCTTTGAATTTTAGCTTTCTCCCTTGATGAAAAAGAGTAGCTTTTTGGTAACATTCCATTTTTATGAGTCTCCTGGTGAATAAGAATTTTTTACCATCTCCTAGGCAGATCAGTGCTTCACTTTGGGGGTGAGGAGTCTGGGAGGAGTTTGGATGATTGTTTTTTTTTCCTTGTCTTTTGGGAAGATATGATCAACTACTGGTGACTGTGAGGGATGCTGTCACTGTGAACCAACTGAGCCCATTTTATTGACCCCTTTGCATCATTGTAGATGAGAAAAGTCAAGATAGTCTGGTCTAAAGTGTATACAAACTGCTGGACAGCTTTGGTTATTTTTCTATGGAGGCCTGATAGAGTCTCTGCTGATGTGCTGCTGTTCTCAGGCCGTGAGCAGCTGTGGAAAGGTTGACTCTTATTGGATGGTTGGCAGAAAATGTCCTCCACTCTTTCCTTGTCAAGCCTCTCTACAAAATTTCCCCCACTGTATGCCACAGGCCTCCAGCCATCCCACCTGACATCTAGGGATTAAAACATGGAACATGATTATGGGTTTGCATTCAGTGTTTTAAAGAATATCCTTACTTATTTTGTCATCTTCCTGATAGGAGCCAGCTGCTAACCATCTGTACTTTCTTTCTTTCTTCTGTAACCTTTAAGATGACATTCCTTTGTGTAGCACTTTATTCTGTGCAATGTGTTCACAGCAAACAATATCACAGAATTGTGTGAGGCAGCCAGGGAAGAACTCATTATCTTCATTTTACAACTACCTAACCTGATGTTCAGTGAAGTGAAGTGATTTCCTACAGAAACACCGTGAATACCTGGGTATTCTGATTCTTAATGGGGTAATCTTCCTTTTTACCTTAAAAATGGTGTTTGAAGAGCTTTGTGGTTACCACAAAGATTTTTAAGACAGAAAAATACCTAGGTGATAGGTTCAATCATACCCCAAACCTCAGCATCATGCAATATAACTTTGTAACAAACCTGCACATGTGTTCCCCCGATTCTAAAATAAAAATTGAAAAAGAAAAAAAAGAGAGAGAAATATGATTTGAGAGTGAAGTACAGATGTGTTAGTCAGGGTCCTGATTCAGAATTTATCCCAGATAGTTTAAATGACAGACTTTAATGGAGATTCTTCCTATAGTATTATGGGAAAGCTTAAAGGAGCTAAAGGAGCAATATGGGTGGACAAGACACCTAGAGTCCAGGTACAGTCCAGTAGAAAGTCCTTACACTCCCAGGGCTGAAGGAACAAGGGAAAGAGTTCCTGGGGCACCAAACGGGAGCTGAAACTGTAAGAAAGGGCTGGTTGGAGAAGTTACGGAGTGCTGGAGATGCTCCCAGAGATGTAGCACCCAAGTGGGCAGGGAGAGGGGAGAAATACTCCTGCCTCTCTCTCCTCCAGGTCTCAGGAATTCTGCTGGTACCTCCCATTGACTGAACCCAGTCAGGCTTGGTGGCTTATGCCTCTAATCCCAGCACTTCAGGAGGCTGAAGTGGGAGGATTGCTTGAGTCCAGGAGTTAGAGACCAGCCTGGGCCACATAATGAGACCTTGTCTCTACAAAAAAATTTTCAAAAACTTAGCTGGGCCTGGTGGAGACCTTGTCTCTACAAAAAAATTTTCAAAAACTTAGCTGGGCCTGGTGGTGCATGCCTTTTGTCCCAGCTACTTGGGAGGCTGAGGTGGGAGGATTGCTTGAGAGTGAGAGGTCAAGCCTGCAGAGAGCCGTGATCATGCCACTGCACTCCAGCTTGGGCAACAGAGCAAGACTGTCCCAAAACAAAACAACAACAAAATAATCCAAAAAAAACCATTGACTTAACCCAACTGGAAGCTAGGCAGCAAAGGAGCCAGAGGAGACTCAGTCCACGACTTCTTGGGCATAGAGTAGGGCCAAGGAGGTAGTAAGAGTCTGAGTGGGGGTTGGGTGGACAAATGGAGAATAACCAGTACAAAAGGTTTGTCATATATTGTTGTCTCATAATAGTTTAATAATTGTAATCCCCAGAGACCATCTTTTAACCAATCAGGTCAACCTGAGATTCTGTGCTTCTGATTCTAAACATTATCTTGCAATATTTTACTTTTGTAAGTTCTCATTTTTCGGGGTACAATTTTCAGTAGACTCAAACAATCCGGTCTAATTGGACATGTTTGATGGGTTGAAAAATGTAATGGCAGATGCCTTCATTCTTCAGGGTGTTGATGTCACTTCCTGACAACTAGGAAGTTTGAGTGGTTTTATTTCTTGTTTTTATATATTGAGAGAATCCTTAGTATTTGGAGGTACTAATGCCATTGGTTAAGGAAAGAAATAAGTGTGACAGCTGGAAATACCTTCCATAGAGTCCCCGAATATTTTACACAGCAATTTGAGCTTCTGTGAGTTCATTTCTATGTGTTGCCATTCTTTCTTGTAGGTGAGTGTTGCCTCTGATCCTGGCCGACGAGTTCAGCACAATATGCTTAGTCCATTTCATAGTCCTTTCCAGAGTCCGTTTCGGAGTCCTTTGCGTAGTCCGTTTCGTAGCCCTTTCAAGAATTTTGGACACCCAGGAGGAAGGACTATTGACTTTGATTGTGAAGATGATGAAATGAATCTAAATTGTTTCATCCTCATGTTTGATCTTCTCCTGAAGCAGGTAGCTGAAGCATGAGCTTCCTTTAGTTCAGAGGTGAAGAATGAGAGAAAGCGTTGTACAGCAATTCTTTCCATGTGTTGGGCATCTCCACACTTATCAAAATGATTCAGCATCACCCAAGACCTTTTGCAAACTCCTTTGGAGATTTTCTAAAAAGTCTGAAAACTACTTATGTGAATATCTGCAGTGATGTTGACATATGAGAATGGATTGAATTTTAGAAACACCCTAGTGTCATTAGAATTGATTCTGTTAAATAAATTGCATTAACAAAAAGGATGATACTATTGTTGGGAAGGGCAAGGTACAACTCTATAGTGATGAAGCTAATTTTAATATATTTTATACATTGATTTTTAAAATTAATTTAAAAAGAGAAGTTAAAAAGGTTTTGATGAGAACATTTCTTTTTAACCTTTTATTTTGAAATAATTTCAGATTTGCAGAAAAGTTACAAGAATACTATAAAGAATTCCCAAATACTCCTCCCCACAATTCTCCAGATGTTAACATTTACCACATCTGCTTCTCTTTCTCTGCATGTGTATGCGTTAATTTTTAATAGATCATTTGAGACTAAATTGCAGACATGATGTCCTTTTATCCCTAAACACTTCAGAGTGTATTTTCTAAAAAAAAGGACATTCTCTTACATAAACACAGTACAGTTATCAAAATCAGGAAATTAATAGTGTTATAGTACTACTACATAACTTGCAGAAATTATTAATTTTGAAAATTGATATAATAATAGTAATGTCATCTTTATAGCAAGAGAAAAAAGCCTGGCTTTGATTAAGGAACAATCTAGAAGCACTCATTGCAATTACAGATACTGTTTCCTTTGTCTTCTTTAATCTAGGACAGTTCCTCAGTCTTTATCTTTCATGTCCTTGACTTTTTTTTAAAATTATTTTTAATTTTTGTGGGTACCTCGTAGGTGTCTATACTTATGGGGCCTTGACATTTTTGAAGAGTATAGTCCAGTTATTTTGTGGACTGTCCCTCAATTTGAGTTTGCCTGATGCTTCCTTATGAATTAATTTGGGTCATGCATTTTTTTGGCAGGAAGACCACAGATGTGATGTTATGTCCTTTGTAATGCATCATGTCAGCAGGCGTAAGATATAATAATGTCCCATTACTGTGATGATAACTTTGGTCACCTTAACCAAGAGACCAAAATCTGCCACATTTTTCTGTGATAAAGTCACTATTTTCCCTTTTGTAACTAATAAGTAATTTGTAACTACCTTATGGATTTCCTGTTTATGATCAGGCTTTCATCCACTAGTGTTAGCATCAATGGATGACTCATCAATTATTACTATCATGACAGTCGAGTGATAATTTTCCAATTCCATCATTTCTTCTAAATGTATTCACTGGTATTCTACTGATGGAATACTTTCTCCTTCTTTCCCATTTATGTGTTTATTTATTTATCTACTCATCCCGCAGTGCCCATGGATTTTTATGTTATTTGGTGGGTTATAATCTGTTACTATGATTCTGTATTTTGATGCTCGTATTGTTCCGCATTTGGCCAGTGGGAATCTTTTCAAGCTGGCTCCTGTGTTCTTTTGGCACATCCACATCATTCTATGAACTCTTCCTTGATTTCTGGTGTGACAAGATGTTCCAGGCTCATCTTATATTTTCCTAGCCCCAGCCCTGGAATTCAGCCATTTCTCCAAGGAGCCCTGGTTCCTTTTAGCAGCTCATGGTATTTAGAAACCAAGATCTGGACTCTAGGTGAGGAGCAGCATTTTTTAAATGTGTAAAATCTCACAAACCGATTAGCCAAAAGCAACAACTCTCTTTTAAATCTCCTACATGATTTTTAAAATAATTCCAATTGCTTCATCTTGTGTTTATATTCCTTCTAGAAAAACCCACGGACAGCAATGTATATTCATGGTCTTGAAGCCTATATTGTCTTTAAATAATTCAATATTTCTGTCAGTTAGTGAAAATCATCCCCAAGTAGTGTGCCAATGGAATATTGGACAAATGGACCAAACTCCTTCTTCTTCTTTTTTTTTTGTGTGTGTGTGCGTGTGTCCTTTTTTTGATGTCTTTCAGATGGAGTTACAAGATGATGGAATCACGATGGGTTTAGAGCACAGCTTATCAAAGGACATTATTTCTATTATAAACAATGTCTTCCAAGCCCCCTGGGGGGGATCCCACACCTGCCAGAAGGACGAAAAAGCAATCGAGTGCAACTTATGTCAGTCTAGTATCCTCTGCTATCAGCTTGCTTGTGAACTCCTGGAGAGACTAGCTCCTAAAGAAGAAAGCCGGCTGGTGGTAAGCAGTTGAAGAAACGAGATGACCCATGTATAATAGCATTAAAGACTGCAGTAGCTGATGTAATGGAGTCTTCCTCCAGCAGCATCTTATACTCCATGCTGGGTTATACGTGAGACTGTGTTAAAAGAAACTTTTCCCATTGCTTCTGCCAACTCAGGCTCTTGGAAAGGGATACAAACTGAAGCCACGCTATACGGAATTCTATTAAGTGGCTTGAGTGAGGGTTGTAGCACCTCCATTCATATGGTTCCATGCATTAGTAGTATTCTTAAAAGAACTTTTATCACAAAGTTATATTACAAAGTTTAAGTGACAATGGATACTGTAAAATGTATTTTTTTTTTGAGACGGTGCCTTACTCTGTCTCCTATGCTGGAGTGCAGTAGCTTGATCATGGCTCACTGAAACCTCTGCCTCCCAGGCTCAGGTGATTCTCCCACTTCAGCCTCCCAAGAAGCTGGGACTACAGGTGCCCACCACCATGCCTGGCTAATTTTTAAATTATTTTTTGTGGAGACGGGGTTTTGCCATGTTGCCCAGGCTGGTCTTGAACTCCTGAGCTCAAGTGGTCTACCCTCCTCAACCTCCCAAAGTGCTGGGATTACAGGCATGAGCCACCATGCCTGGCCAAATGTATGCATTTTTAAATTGTTTCTCCATCTAGCTGTTGACAGACACTTGGGTTGCCATACCTTGCTGTCTGTAACTCACATGTTATAGCAGTTTTTCACTCCTAAAAATTTGACTACCCTGGACAACCAGTATTTGTGTCTTTAAATTTTTTTAAAAAAATTATTTATTATTATTATTGTTATTTTTAGAGATAGGGTCTTGCTCTGTCACCCAGGAGGGCAGTGGTGTGATCATGAATAGCTGCAGCCTTGAACTCCTGGACTTAAGAATCCTCCTACCTCAGCCTCCTCGGTAACTGGACACAGGCATGCCACCATGCCTGGATAATTTTAAACATTCTTTTAGAGATGAGGTCTCACTATGTTGCCCAGGCTGGTCTCAAATCCTGCCCTCAAGTGATCCTCCTTGCCTCACCCTCCCAAAGCACTGGGATTACAGGCATGAACCACCACACCTGGCCAGTATTTGCATCTTTTTTTTTTTTTTTTTTTTTTTTTTTGAGACAGAGTCTCACTCTGTCGCCCAGGCTGGAGTACTGTGGTATGATCTCGGCTCACTGCAACCTCTGCCTCCCAGGTTCAAGCGATTCTCCTGCCTCAGCCTCCCTAGCAGCTGGGATTACAGGCATGTGCCACCACGCCCAGCTAATTTTTGTATTTTTAGTAGAGACGGGGTTTCACCATGTTGGTCAGGCTGGTCTCGAATTCCCGACCTCGTGATCCGCCCACCTCGGCCTCCCAAAGTGCTGGGATTATAGGCATGAGCCACCATGCCCGGCCATTTGCATCTTAATATAGCTTTGTGAACCCGTTATTATTCCTTCCTAATCAAGTCCTGTTATTGAATAAAATGTACATGGGTGAGAATGACTTGATGAGTGGGACACTGATCTTGGAGACTAATGCAGAGGTGAGAAAGCAGGCCTAGGAAGATTTAATGATGTTTTTGATCTTCTTCTATATATATTTGAAGTGAAAGAAAATGTTTCAGCAATAGCGGATAGAGATTTCTTTTCACTGTTCCAGCAATAAGCTCCAGGGTCTTCTGGGGTGTGGTGCCTTGGCCTCTGGCCTCAGCAGCATGGGACCCGAGACACAGCAGGTGTGCAGTCCAGCTTTGCTGAGCTGAGCAAACCGTTCCTGACACCCCTCCAGGGCTGCTTACCTGGCTGCCTGTCCTGTTTATTTCAGGAGCCCACAGACAGCCTGGAGGATAGCCTCCTTTCTTCCAGACCAGAGTTTATCATAGGCCCTGAAGGGGAGGAGGAGGAGAATCCTGCAAGCAAGCATGGGGAGAACCCAGGCAACTGCACCGAGCCCGTGGAACATGCTGGTAGGTGTGCACTGACTGCCGGGGAATGCGCCACGTGCACATGGCCTGATGCTCAAATCACCGGGTTCTTGGTTTAATATCGACTTGGGCAAATTCAGACGTGGTTTCCTTAGTATAGACTCGTGCAGAGGAACATCTCCCAGCGGATTATAAAATGAACAGATCCGTTACAGTTCCCATAGAACCCAGTTCCCTGAGCATCTTTCTGGCAGCGGGCACCGGTTTTCAATAAAAACTCATCGCCTCCCTACTTACAATGCGAGGTATTCTCTGTGGACCAAGGCTGGGTGCTGACAATCTTGACAGCCACTCAGGGCATTTGGCTAAAGCAGAGTGTTTCTGAATAGAAGCAGTGGGGCTCTGGCGGTTGGGCTGTGCAGGCTGAGCTCGAAGGCTACTTTGCTGGCTCTTAGCTGGGACTGGGGAGCAGCCACTTTTTCATTTGTCTCAAAGCTCTTGGGTGGACGCAATGGGGGCAGTGAGATGGCAGATAGGCTCAGGAATCGTACTCTAGCTCCTCTCACATGAGGACGTTTAGGGATTTCAGGATGTGACCCCACGTGCCTCTGGGAAAGCCTGATTTCTAGCTCTGGGTGGTGGCACTCTGGGGATCTATATGAGACCTGGGGCAAATTTGGGCAGCTTTTCAATCTTCCTGCATCCATGATCCGGAAGAGTTAGAATAGCTTGCTCCTGGTCAGGCGCGGTGGCTCATACCTGTAATCCCAGTACTTTGGGAGGCCAAGGTGGGCGGATCACCTGAGGTCGGGAGTTCAAGACCAGCCTGGCCAACTTGGAGAAACCCTGTCTCTACTAAAAATACAAAATTAGCCAAGTGTGGTGGCTCATGCCTGTAATCCCAGCTACTAGGGAGATTGAGGCAGGAGAATCGCTTGAACTGGGCAGGCAGAGGTGGTGAGCCGAGATCGCACCATTGCACTCCAGCCTGGGCAACAAGAGTGAAACTCTGCTCAAAAAAAAAAAAAATAATAAATAAATAAAGAATAGCTTGCTCCTGGGAGCCCACTCCAGTATCAGGAGGCATGGGCTTGGCATCATTTCTTCAGTGAGCAGCAGATATTATTAGGGGACTGTTTTCTGGGGTTCATTGCAACTGTGGAGGTGTCTTATTCAAACGAAGGTAACCCTACTAAATCTTCGGTCAGAACTAACTGCTTCTCCATGGATCATATGAACAGTGAATTGTGTATGAATATCTCAGCTCACACTATTTCATGTCATAAACTTTAGAATTTGAAGGAATACCTGAGGTGAGCTGGTTCACTGGTTTTCGGTGTGCACTTCTTGAAGCTGTAAGGGCTCAGTGTGATTTCTTTTGGAACATCCTCAATTGGGGCAACCCCTGGGGGGAAGAGGAGGGCAAAATATAAAGACCCAGGCTCCCCACCTTGCTTCTGCCAGATTGCTCCAACTTACTCTCTTTCATATGTTGGAGGTCTTTTTTTTTTTTTTTTTTTAAGATAAGGGTCCTGCTCTGTCATCCAGGCTGGAGTGCAGGAGCCCGATCACGGCTCACTCCAGCCTTGACCACCTGGGCTCAAGCAGTCCTCCCACCTCAGCCTCCAGAGTAGCTGGGACCACAGACATGCTCCACCATGCCCGGCTAGTTTTTTAAACTTTTTGTAGAGATGGGTTTTCGCCATGTTGCTCAGGCTGTTCTCGAACTCCTAGACTCAAGTGATCCACCCGTCTCGGCCTCCCAAAGAGCTAGGATTACAGCATGAGCCACCACACCCGGCCATATGTTGGAATTCTAAGATTTTCTGCAAACAGAATATTCTGCAGAAAAGAAGTTTACAATCTGCTGATCCAGTTTAGCCTTTGTACTTGGCAGATGAGGAAAATAAATCCCAGATGGGTTAAACAACTTGCCCCTGGTCATGTCACTCCTACTATTCATTCACAATTTATACTTCATATTTCACATGATTCCAGAGCTGTAACGGAACATCGGAATCCCTGAGAAGCAGAAACACAAACAAAAGCTCCACTCCCCAGCTTCAAGTCTGGGTATCCCTGGGATGGGGACCTGGGAATGGGAAACAACTAATTAGTGGCAGGGTTGGGACTAGAACCCAGGTCTTCTACTTTAATTTAGGATTAATTAACTTGTTGTAGGTGCTGCAGCAGCCAGGGCCCAGGCCTACAGTTGTGTTTCTGTCAGGCATTCATGCCTATGGGAAGCTGGGACTTCACTCATGATCCAATAGCCTGTACTCTTTCTATGCAAATATATTTTTTAAACCTAAGCTAGCACACAGATCAATTAACTGCTGCTTTTATCTCTGCGTAATATTTTATTGGAGCAATGGTTAAAATTAAGCAATTTCTTTTTTCTTTTCTTTTTTTGAGACAGGGTCTTACTGTGTTGCCCAGGCTGGAGTGCAGTGGTGTGATCTCGGCTCACTGCAACCTCCACCTCCCAGGTTCAAGCAATTCTCATTTCTTAGCTTCCTGACTAGCTGGGACTACAGGCACCCACCACCACTCTGGCTAAGTTTTTTTTTTTTTTTAAGAGATGGGGTTTTGCCATGTTAGCTAGGCCGGTCTCGAACTCCTGACCTCAAGTGATCCACCTGCCTCAGCCTCCCAAAGTGCTAGGATTACAGGCGTGAGCCACTGCGCCTGGCCAGCAATTTATTTTTAAATGTTTTTCTTTTCCTTGCTGTATTGTTATACAGTCCACTTATTAAAACACATGCTTTGTTCTCCCCTGCATGCTCCTCCAGGCTCCTGTGGCAGCTTTAGCCTCTTTTCCTGCTCAGACTCTCCGCTGTCTTGCAGGATGCAGTTATAAATTGTCTCTGCAGGAGAGTCCCTCTTCTCTTTCTTCCAAGACCAGGGTTCCCTGCTGTTCAGAGCCTCTCTCCTGCTTCTGCTCTGCAGGCCTTAAGACCAGGGTTCCCTCAGAGCCTCTCTCCTGCTTCTGCTCTGCGGGCCTTCAGGCAGTGATCTGGAGCTCTTCTGTCCTAGAATTCAGGGGTGCTCTGTCGACACGTGTTCAGAGACTTCCCCTCCCTTCTAGTGTGTTTCCCTTTTTCCCATCTTGAGGCCTGGCCCTATTTCTTATCATGGTCAGATATGTCCACCACCAAAAATATATTTAAAACTTTCACATCAAACAAAACAGTCAAGTACTTATGACAAGCATTTAAAATACATTCAGGCGGAAGATTCCCAATGGACTTTTCAGTATCTAGATCAAGAGAATTTGACTGCCGTTGCCTCTGATCCTAGGGATTGCCAAAACGTGTAATGGTGATTTTAACACATTCTGCACTAGTTTCTGCATCTGGTTAACTTGTGAATTCTTTTCTCTAGCATGCCTCATGTATAATACATTGATGCCCCCAGTATGGGGGCAAAAGTTTTAGAGATCCTCCCGAGAGGGTGAAAATAATGAGTAGTTGTTCTCATCTGAATATGTTCAACTGTTTCAAAATCTACCTCTTTTTGTGAGAATCCATGGGATAAACCTCTTCAGTTGCTAGTACAAATTGAACACCTCTCTCTCTCTCTTTTTTTTTTTTTTTTGAGACTGAGTCTTGCTCTATTGCCCAGGCTGGAGTACAGTGGCTCAATATCAGCTCACTGCAACCTCCACCCTCCCAGGTTCAAGTGATTCTCTTGCCGCAGCCCCCAAGTAGCTGTGATTACAGATGCCCACCATCATGCCTGGCTAATTTTTGTATTTTCAGTAGAGATGGGGTTTCACCATGTTGGCCATGCTGGTCTTGAACTCTGACCTCAAGTGATCTACCCGCCTTGGCCTCCCAAAGTGCTGGGATTACAGGCATGAGCCACCGCGCCCATCCAAACACCTCTCTTTAATACCTGCATATCTCCCTTCCAATTAGGAAGGCATAGCTAGCCAGGTTCCAGGTCCCTTCAGGGAGCAGCAGAACTAACAGAACTAGCAGCACTGTGCAATCAATCATGTATTCAGTTGTCTTTGGGTAGGGTTAGCTCCAGGGAGCCAAAGACATCTGAATACATGATGGACTGCGCAGTGGAAAATGGAAACTGAGAATCCTCAATTCAGAAGATTTCCTGCACTTGTATCATAGCAGGGATATATGCTAATGTGGAGAGCAGATAAAAAGTTTTCTCAAACAATTTTGCATATATGTCAATTTTTTACTCTTCTTGGTTTTTATGATCTTGATAAATTGATGAATGATGGGGGAGAGGAAGAGTTAGCCTAATTTTTGTGTAATTATTTCTTCACAGCAGTAAAGAATGATACCGAAAGAAAATTTTGCTACCAACAGCTTCCGGTAACATTGAGACTAATATATACCATTTTCCAGGTATATTTTCTGATGTCTTTGAATACTTGGCTTGGTAGCATTACTGTTTTGGATAACTTAGTAACCATGTGGTTTTTTGTATAGGAAATGGCTAAGTTTGAAGAGCCAGACATTCTTTTTAATATGCTCAATTGCCTGAAGATTCTCTGTCTGCATGGAGAATGTTTATACATTGCCAGAAAAGATCACCCTCAATTTTTAGCCTACATTCAGGACCACATGTTGATTGCAAGGTACGTCTTCCTAATGGTTTGTTTTGATTGTTTATACATTAGGCTTTAGTTGTGAAAATTAAAGTTAGATTAAGATTTACTGGCTTGTTTGGGTTATTTTTTGAGCCAGGACAGCTCGATTGCCTATGATAACTACTTTTATTTTTCTTTTTTAGTCTAATTTAAAAGTACGTTAATACAAGGAATGGTAATTTCCATTTGCCTGATACTGAATAAATAGAAAAGTTAAAGTAAAAATTATTGTATGCCTTTCACTTGTTAGATGGCTTAAGAATATAGAAAATATAGAAAAATGCCAAAAAATACGTTAATATTTACCTAGTATAATTAAGTAAGGACTTACCTACCTTCTTACTTAAAATAGAACTGCTAATAGATGTCTAAATCTCTCCATATACTATCTGATAAGTTATTTTTTAGAGACTGGTGAGACATTTTGAAAATTATAATAAAACGTTACCCTAGATTTACAGCGTTTTTCCTCCTGAAAACCTTAAAATAACTTTTGCAATCTTCCTGGAAATAAATCAGAAACATCCTTATTTTATATGTATGAGAATGAGTCAGTAAAAAAGGAAAAGATTGGTTCAGGTTAACTTGATGACAAACCACATTGAGGCTCTATCTTTCTTTACTCATTTTGTTTATTTATTATTCATTCAACAAATATGAGGGCTTACTGTATACATTCTTGTTCTGGGTACTTAGGGAATTTGCAATCTAGTTTGGAAGGGGGTGAATCCTATATAGAGAAAAGGTGACCATATAATTTAGTATTCAAATTTGTGTACGTTTGAGAGTGAAGAGAGGTGGTCTTCATAATAACCCCAAGAGGATGAATATAAACTCGACAGTCTTGGTTAAACTAAGATTCATGGTCATGTATATGTAAGTCACTGTCAATCCAAGGGAATGTGATAAATGACTGCTTTATACAGCTCAGAGGTGGGAGAGAGCATTTCTGGATGAATGATGAATGATGAAAGGCTCTGGAGACAATACCACTTGAATGGGCATTGAGATAACGATAGAATTTTCATTGGTAGAGATTTGAGATGGGTGGGACATGTTGTAAAACCTGGGAATGTCAGGAGGAAACAGATAGCAGAGTTGGAAAGAAGGGACCAGAAATAAGCAGGGCATACTTGGGGGATACTGAAGCTTTATTTATTTATTTATTTATTTATTTTGCCGGATGGTGTGGATGTAAGGGAGTAATGGAAAATGAGGCTGGAGAAGTAGGTTGGGACCCAAGTATGAAGGGCCTTGAAGATAGGGATTTTATTTAATGATGTTTGGAGATCCATGGAAGACCTTAAAATAGAGTCAGAGGTGTGCTTTACTAGAATGAGTATGGAGAAAAGAGAGATTTTTGGAAAGCACCCAAATTTAAGAGAGTGCTAAGAGCACATTACAAAGCTTACTGAATATAAACACACAATGCAGAACTTTTTTCTGAAAGGTTTGTTAGAAGAGGAAAGGAAACATCAGATACTTAGAGAGAAAAGGGAGTAGACATTAAGGATTTTTAGGATAAAGAAAATCTGAACGGCCAGGTGCGATGGCTCATACCTGTAATCCCAGCACTTTGGGAGGCCGAGGCCGGCGGATCACGAGGTCAGGAGATCGAGACCATCCTGGCTAACACAGTGAAACCCTGTCTTTACTAAAAATACAGAAAAATTAGCTGGGCGTGGTGGTGGGCACCTTTAGTCCCAGCTACTCGGGAGGCTGAAGCAGGAGAATGACGTGAACCCGGGAGGTGGAGCTTGCAGTGAGCCGAGATCGTGCCACTACACTCCAGCCTGGGAGACAGAGGGAGACTCCGTCTCAAAAAAAAAAAAAAAAAAAAAAAAAAGAGAGAGAAAATCCGAACATATTTATGGTCAGTGGGAAAGGGCCAGAGAAAGAAAACAGTTAGTGGGTGCAAGTTCTGGAAGGCAGGAGAGTGTGCGATCAAGAACAAAAGGTAGGGTGGAAAACAGGAAGAATACCCTTTCCTTTGAAAGAAGATAAATTTTGAGGCAAAGAGAAAGTGTTAAGGGGAGTTTATAACGGCTGACTTAAGCCTTAAGAATATTAGGTGTTGATGTCTTCTCCTGAGAGATGATGACAGACATTGTGTTGGGAACTTCAGGAACATGGAAAAGAGTATGGGACAGCCTGCACGAGGAAAGCAGCAGGAAGTAAACAAGAAATAACCAAAGAATCACCAGCTTTAGGGTTCGGCTGAGGTTAGCTAGCACCAGTTTGCAGTGGACCAACTTAGTAGGGGTTTGGGTTTCTTTTTCTCCGGCGCTCAGGGGCTTAGGAGTGGACGAGAGCAAATGGGCAAAGGGTTTACTGGGGACCGGGGACTGGTGATATGGTTATGATGGAAGCTCAGAGGGATGAGGATTCCAGAGTGATGAAACGGTTGTCTCTGGGATCCATTCTACGATTGAAAGCAGATGAAGCCAGAAAAATTGATATTTGGGAGAAGAGTATGGAAAAGAGGGCAGAGGAGTCTCAGTCAGTATGGGCTGGGGGATGGGGGGGAAGTTGGGTGTTCTCAGCCTTATAGAGGGGAGGTCAGCATCTCATCCAGCAGAGTAAAGACAGAGGCCACTGGGGATGAGGAGGTGTGAATGAGACCAGGGCTTGATCCACTGATGGCATCTGCAGAGGCCCGCCTGAGGAGCAAGACTGAACTAGGTGCCTAATGGACCAAAGAATTGGGAGAGGACCCTGTGCATCAATGTCATGGGTTTCAAAAGAAAGAGGCTGCTAAGAGGAGGCCTGGAGGAAGTCTTGGGAAGCAAGGGTCATTTGGCCTGGTGAAGATGGGAGTCCAGACTCATTGAGACTCTAGACTCTCAAGAGAAAATCTTAAGGCCAGGCACAGTGGCTCATCCCTGTAATTCCAGCATGTCGGAAAATAGAGGTGGGAGGATCACTTAAGGCCAGGAGTTTTAGACCAGCTTGGGCAACATAGCAAGACCCCATCTCTGCTAAAACAAAATATTAGCCAAGTATGGTGGTGCAAGCCTTTAGTCCCAGCTACTGAGAGGCTGAGGTGGGAGGATTGCTTGATTTGAGGAGACTTTCTTCCATCTCTCCTGGGTTCTCATGGCTGCTGGCAATTGTTGGAATGTCTTGGCTATAGCTGCCTCACTCCAATCTTTGCCACATGGTCTTCTTCCCTGTGTGTCCCTGAGTGCCCCTTCCTCTTATTAGGGCACTAGTCATTCATTATATTTAGGACCCGCTCTATCCAGTAGGAACTCATCTTAACTGATGAAATCTAAATAAGGCCCCATCTTGAGGTTCTGATTGCACATGAATTTTCGGGGAGCACTCTTCAGCCCACTAGAGAAGCATACCATGAGAAAGGTGGAGGATCTATAGAAGTTTCTTCCCAAGAAAACAGGGATTCTACAGCTGCAGTGGGAGGAAGAAGCTGGGGAAAGGGAAAGGGCAGACATGGCTGACCTGGAGTGGGGAAGAGTAGGAATGACCCGGAGGGAACAGTGTGAAGTTCGAGACCATCAGCAGATCTGGACGAAAGGAGTGAGGGAAAAGGGTCGAGAGTTAGGCAGACGCTCCATGAATTCAACATGGGAATACGAGATGGGCATTATTTTTTATTGTGAAAGCAACCCCCCAGAATGTACACTTGCCAAATGGACTGTTAGTGCCATGGGACTACCCACTCGGCCTTTAGGGTCCATAGCCCAGGCTTTCTCCTTAAAGGGCCAGGTTTTCTCCGCAAAGTGCCACCATGACACAAAAACCATGATGGACAATGAAAGGACTTGTGGAAGAGATGCTCTGCCCCTTTCCAAACAAGTCTGCCCTCGAGAGCTGGGAAAGGCGAATGGGACTGGCCGAATCTTGGGCTTTGTCATGGAAATGGTTTTCTAGCTGGGCTGCCTGGTTTGCATTCTTCAACTACACCGGAAGTTCCATGAAGGCACAAATTATATCTTCTTTTTCCTTTGCACTCTTCCTAGGGCCTATTGTGCTCTGGAAGCATCATCGTCCTTGTAATCATGATGGTGGTAGCAGCTTCAGGTTTCTGCATACCTACTAAGTGCCATGCTCTCTGCACATCTTGTTTAAAGCCCACACTGGGAGGACACAAAGGTTTAGAGAATTTGCACATTGTTACACAGCTTATGAATGGCAGGGTTGGGATGAGGTCCCTGTTTGTCTGACTTCCACTTATTTAGATTAAGCATATGGCATTTAAAAAATCACTCCTTTTCATTCTATAGCTCTAGTATGCCTTCTGAAAAACAGCCAACTGGAGTGGCTCGTACCTCCATATGCTCTCTGTAAAATGGAGATGGCACGTGTCACTCTTCCCTTCTCTTACCGGTGCAGCATGAGCTATGTAAAGTCACAAATACAGGTGATCCTTGAACAATGGGGAGGTACAAATGTGCTGACCCCTGTGCAGTTGAAAATCCTTGTCTAACTTTTCTCTTCCCCAAAACTTAACCTCTAATAGCTTACTGTTGACCAGAAGCCTTATGATAACATAAAGAGCTGATTGACACATATTTTGTATGTTTTATGCATTATTTATTGTATTCTTACAATAAAGTAAGCCAGAGAAAAGAAAATGTTATTGAGAAAATCATAAGGAAAATGCATTTGCAGTACCGTACTGTGTTTATCAATACCGTAAGTTTATGCCATCTGTTTACAAGATGAATTGTCTGTTTGAAATGGTGAGCAGCTGCAGCTGCAGACCTCAAGCTATGGTACATGTCAAGCAATTCAACTTTTCCTAGCAACGTCGTGACTTTTGTCTGCTTTCTGGGAGCACTTCCAGCGTCACTAGTGGCACTTCGTATGGGACCCATGGTGCTATTCATGGTTTACGGTATTGCACTAAACACAATGAAAAAGACGCGAGAACTGCGAGGGATCACTTTTTACTGTGATTTGCAATTTACTGGAGAGAGGAACTGCTCACACAGACAGACAACACTTGAGCTCACCTGAATAGCAACAGGAGATGGCTACAAAATTATTGCTGTAGTACAGTGTGTACCACAGTTGGTTTTATGCAGTTATGATTTCATACTGCGTCTTTACATTTGCTTAACATTCCTCTCCACTGTGAGTGGCGCCACGTATGGTCTGTAAATGTTTGTGTGTGTAAGCTTTCATAAATTTTAACTTTTTATAATAGATTCGTGTATAATTTATGGTAGTAAATGTTAAAATAGACTAGTAACTACATATATTTTATACATTCATTACATAACTTTTCCTTTTTTTTTTTTTTTTTTTTGAGACTGAGTCTCGCTCTGTCGCCCAGGCTGGAGTGCAGTGGCTCAATCTCGGTTCACTGCAAGCTCTGCCTCCCGGGTTCACGCCATTCTCCTGCCTCAGCCCCCTGAGTAGGTGGGACTACAGGCGCCCACCACCACGCCCGGCTAATTTTTTGTATTTTTAGTAGAGACGGAGTTTCACTGTGTTAGCCAGGATGGTCTCGATCTCCTGACCTTGTGATCCACCTGCCTCAGCCTCCCAAAGTGCTGGGATTACAGGCGTGAGCCACTGCGCCTGGCCGACATAACTTTTCCTTAAATTTTTTCACTAGTTTTAGGCTACATGGTTCATCTGTGAACTTTTTAAAATTGTTGCAAATCTCCTAAAAAATTCAATATATTTATTGAAAACAATCCATGTATAAGTGGACCTGTACAGTTCAAACCTGTGTTGTTCAAGGGTCAACTGTAGTTTTGATTCTGATATTGACTCTGGAGTCAAATAGAAAACAAAACAAAACAAAACAACAACAAAAACAACCAAAAGGCATACTTTAAATAATTGAAAAAAATGGAAACAATAATGTATTATTACTAAAATATATTATATTCAGAATTATTCCTGTAGAACTTGATAGGAACTTAGCTGAAACTTGCTGAGGTGCAGGATGTTATCAGGGATCTCTTTCTCTGTCTTCTCCTCCTCCCCTTTCTCACTCCCTCCCCATCTCATAGCCCAACTGTGGCTTGGCTTCTTAAATGGAACTAAGTGTTGGCTTCTCCGTTAAGCACAGGCTGTCCCTGTGAGATGGGAAGGAGGGTCATTGGCAGTTGCAGGCTGACATCACCCTTCATTCCTGAGATTTCAGAAGGAGAGAGAGCCTCTTTCTCCCAGAGTGCATAACAGTCCCTGAAATAAGAGTTCTGTTATTCCCATGCTTGGGTCATACGCCTTCTCCTAGCTAATCACTTTATTCAGGTTGTTGACGTTCTTTGATCAGCCTGTTTGTGTTCCCCCTTATGATAGAGAAGGTTGGGGAGCTTGATTGATGACCTGTCTGTTCTTGGAGAGGCTGTTATTAAGAGAAAAAGAGTTGTTCTTTGACATCATAAGAGGCTGGGCAGGCCAAACCAACCAAACTTGCCAGATGCTCACTGTAAGAAAATTTTTAAAAATCACGTATTACTCCATCATCCTAACGTACCTAATTTTGACTTTGTATATTACTGAAGCCATTTATTTATATTGCTGAATTTACATTATGCAGATTTTTAAGTTATAAAATGTAATGTTAAGTAAAAGTGCTTTTCTGCAGTGTCACGTTAAGAGGACAGAGCATAGGAAACGTCTGTCAGAGGATTATCCTCTCGTGGATGAGTGTCATTTCACCAAAAGCACCCCTACCCACCGTCTTGTAACTACTCTTGCCATAAATTAAGAGGACAGGATCTTTTTCTGGAAAAGTTGTGATAACTGTCACCACTTTGCTTCTCCTTGATTCCCTAGCCTGTGGAGGGTCGTCAAATCCGAGTTCTCTCAGCTGTCTTCCCTGGCAGTCCCTCTTCTCCTCCATGCCCTGTCACTTCCTCATGGTGCTGACATCTTCTGGACAATCATAAATGGCAATTTCAACAGCAAAGACTGGAAGATGAGGTTTGAAGCAGGTACCTCTGTGTTAGCTTAAAACTCATTCTGGGTCACACAGTACACGGGTGTCTGGTCACGGCATCTTTTTTGGCACCTCCTTTCTTGTCCCTTCTTTTTAAAAGGCATTCTCCTGCTGGCTGGTGTCCTTTGGGGGTTCTGCTTTGAGCTTCCTCTCTAAAATAACAGCATTTTGCAGAGTGGTCCTTAGGGAGGGTGGTCCTGTCCAGGTTTGCATAGGACAGACCCAGCTTATGCCTGTTACCCAAGTGTAGCGATTAACTGCACCCATGTTTACTCCCAAACAGACACTGGCTTGGATTCAGTCAACCTATGAGTTTACTTGCATCGGTTACTGGGAATGTTTGTTAAAATGCACATTATCTGGCCACATCCTAGAGCTACCGAATCAGAATCTCAGTGGGAGGTGGGGGTGATGCCAGAAATTGAGGTTTTTTGTGTTTTTTTTTGAGACAGAGTCTTGCTGTGTTGTCCAGGCTGAAGTGCAGTGGCATGATCTCGGCTCACTGCAACCTCTGCCTCCTGAGTTCAAGTATTTCTTGTGCCTCAGCCTCCCAAGTAGCTGGGGCTACAGGTGCATGCTACTACACCAGGCTAATTTTTGTATTTTTAGTAGAGACAAGGTTTCAGTATGTTGATCAGGCTGGTCTTGAACTCCTGACCTCAGGTGATCTGCCCACCTTGGCCTCCCAAAGTGTTGGGATTACAGGCATGAGCCACTGTGCTGGGGCAGAAACTGAGATTTTTAATAAGAGGTTCAAGAATCTCTGCTGTATACCCTTGCCACTGAGGGATCAGGGACCAAGTCTGGTGCAGCTTGGGTATAATTTCCTAGTAAATAGAACAGCAGGTTCTCAGAGTAATGTGGTAAGGAAGGAACCTGGGAGGGTTCTCTTAGCCTCATGTCTGCTGGCCCACTCTCACTCCAATCTGCTAGTAGTTCCATTCTCGGGGTAGCAGGCGGGGTCGGCATGCCACAGTGTGGCTTCTCAGAACAGTTCTGTAGGTTTGTGTCTCAAAAGTTTGGCACAGAAATGGAAGTTTCATCAGTGAGGTAACTATTATACCTTTAGTTCAGTTCCTTAATATATGGCCACTTCAAAACGTTCTTGCTTTTTAATGCCCACAGGAATCTCAGGGGCTAGTTAGTATATATATATGACAGCACATCATGTTGTGGAGGGTTAGGATTAATCTTCTGAATCTCGGCTCTGGTTATGTTACTTCTCTTTCTTTCCTTTTTTTTTTTTCTGTTTGTTTGTTTGTTTTGAGATGGAGTCTTGCTCTATTGCACAAGCTGGAGTGCAGTGGAGTGATCTCGGCTCACTGCAACCTCTGCCTCCCGGGTTTAAGCGATTCTGTTGCCTCAGCCTCCTGAGCAGCTGGGACTACGGGCACCTGCCACCACACCCGGCTAATTTTTGTATTTTTACTAGAGATGGGGTTTCGCCATGTTGGCCAGGCTGGTCTTGAACTCCTGACCCCAGATGATCCACCCACCTCGACCTCCTAAAATGCTGAGATTACAGGCATGAGCCACCGTACCCGGCCAAGGTCATGTTACTTTTCTATTCAAGAAATTTTAATGGGGTTTTTTTGAATGCCTAGAGAATAAAGTTCAGACTCCTTAAACTGCCATTCAGATGGTCTGACTGCAACTGCAGGCAGCCTCATTTCCTGCGCTTCTTTCTACACACACCCTTGCTGTGTTCCCATTGCTTCCTGCCTCCCTTCATCCACGCGGGGGCCATTCTGGGCTCTCCACCTTTCATCCTCTTTCCTTTAAGGCCCTACACAAATGCCACCTCCACATGATCCACCTTCAAATGCCGCCATTGAGGTCCACCTTCTAGGTCCCCCCTGTGGAGAGTGGTTTATGTATCCCCGGATCTCCCATAGCATTTTATTTATACCACACTAGAGGCATTTACAGCTTTTTCAAAGTCATATTTCAGCTATAGTTGTACGTGTCTTATCTATTTTAGTCAATTTAACTTTGAGGTCAAGAGTTATGAATGATTCCTCTTTCCATTTACTTCTATCTCCTCCCAAGTGCCTAAGATAGTTTCTTAGTGGTATACATATGTGTGCTTAATATATATATATTTTAAAATAAGCGAATCAGTGAATTTATTGAATAAATTAGATATGTGCTAGGTGCTATGGGAGCAATAGAAAGAAGTGTAAGAGCAGATTGCTGTCCTCAGGAGGCTTCCGGTTTAATTGATGAGATCAAATATAAGCATGTAAGAGGTTGACAAATTATAAAAGGCATAAATATAATCAAGACCACAAAATAAAATATGTCATATAATGAGCACATATTGTGTTCATAGCTCATATTCTGAGCACACAAATGCAATATGTAAATTAATGATATGCAAATGAGTAGTACTTTTACAGGAGTTCATGGGATGGAAAGGCCACTCTAGGAGATCAGAGAAGACTTTACAAAACAGAATTTCAGCAGAGATTCTCTAAGGATGGTAGAATGTCAATAGGAAGAATACTGTAGGCTGGGTGCAGTGGCTCATGCCTGTAATCCCAGCACTTTGGGAGGCCAAAGCAGGCAGATCTCTTGAGGTCAGGAGTTCGAGACCAGCCTGGCCAACATGGTGAAACCCTGTCTCTACTAAAAATACTAAAGTTAGCTGGGCATGGTGGTGCCTGCCTGTAATCCCAGCTACTTGGGAGGCTGAGGCATGAGAATCACTTGAACCCGGGAGATGGAGGTTGCAGTGAGCTGAAATCGTGCCACTGCACTCCAGCCTGGGCAACAGAGTGAGACTCCATCTCAAAAAAACAAAACAAAACCAACAAACAAAAGAATATTCTAGGCTGTTGCAATAGCTTAAGCAAAATACTGAAACGTCTTAATTTGCATTGCACTATATTGCTTTGCTAGCTGTTGTAACTTTTTATAAAGCCATGCTTTAAGTGTGGATGGAATTGTTTAACATTGATTTGCAGAATAATTAGAAATCTATCAAGTAAGCGTATATTTATAGCATGGAAGAAATACCTGGCTTCGATAGCCCCAGGAAATGTCTATTTGGTCTGCCATTTCACACCACGACCTACTAAGAGTAGAGCAGGGGACCAGAACCCAGAGCCAGTACTGGTGGGCACCTCCTACCTCTCTGTTATCTGCAGAGCTTCTATGGAATGGCCACAGAAAGAAGCATAGAGGCATTTGGAATATTTTGAAATATAGCTGAAAGTTAAACAAAGAGAAAGACCATGAAAAAATTGTAAAAGACAACCCAGAGTTAGATCAAGGCTGCGTGGGAAAAAAAAGTTCTGCTCTGAGTAGAAAGAGTCTCTGCTGCACAGATGAAATGGAACACTCGAGATGGTGGTATTAGACTTTCCTGTTGGGATTTAAAGTAAACCATGCGGGAGACCCAGAGTTAACTTTTTGTCTGTGAGTTCAGTTCTCAGACTGGCTAAATAAATGTGTATGCGTGTGCCTGTAGGTGTGTGTGTATTTACGTATTTTGCCTTCTCTTTTACATTGCAGTGGAAAAAGTTGCTGTAATTTGTAGATTTCTGGATATTCACTCAGTAACCAAAAACCACCTGCTGAAGTACTCCCTGGCACATGCCTTCTGCTGCTTCCTGACAGCAGTGGAGGATGTCAACCCCGCAGTGGCTACCAGAGCTGGTCTCCTGCTTGACACCATAAAGAGGCCAGCATTGCAGGTGACATGTGATTTGTGTTATCTGCTCCGAAGGTGGTTTGTGTCAGCACTACTAAATCATTGCGTTGTTTGTCACGTCCTAGTCTGTTTGACCTGCTATAACAGAATACCATAAACTGGGTAGTTTATAAACAACAGAAATTTATTTCGCAGATTGTCTGCCGAGGGCCTGCTGTCTAGTTCATAGATGGGGCCTTTGCTGTGTCTGGGGCCTCTTTCATAAGGGCACTAGTTCCATTCATTAGGGCCCTGCCCTTATGACCTAATCATCTCTCAAAGCCCCACCTCCTAATACTATCATATTGGTGATTTAGTTTCAACAGGAATTTGGGGGTGAGGCCCTTGCACACATTTTCAGACCATAACATCACATATAATATTGACGATGATGATGGAGATTTTTTAACTGGAAGAAATATACCAGAACCACATCTTGCTAAAAGATCCCTTGTTGTTATTTGTTGATGCCACTTTTTTTTTAAGACACAGTCTTACTCTGTTGCCCAGGCTGATCATAACTCTCTGCAGCCTGAAACTCCTGGGCTCAAGTGATCCTCCTTCCTCAGCCTCCTGAATAGCTAGGACAACAGGTATACATCACCACACCCACCTAATTTTTAACTTTTTTTTTTGTAGAGACAGGATCTTGCTATATTGCCCAGGCTCGTCTTGAACTCCTGGCCTCCAGCAATCCTCCCGCTTTGGCCTCCCAGAGTGCTGGGATTATAAGCATGAGCTGTACTGCCTGGCCCATTTGTTGATACTTTCTTTTCAGTCTTTGTTCATATGCTGATATTACTTTGGACAGATGTAATTATTGCATAACGTGTGTGTGTGTGTGTGTGTGTGTGTGTGTGTGTGTGTGTGTGTGGCAGATTTTAAAACTAGGTTGGTTTATCTTACACCACTTAGCTAGCTCCTGGGCTGGAGGCCTCTGTTGTTAGAGCCTTGATGCTAACAGAAATCAGATAAATTATAGTTTTTTGCTTTGTTTTGTTTTGAGATAGAGTCTCATTTTCTTGCCCAGGCTGGAGTGCAGTGGTGTGATCTCGGCTCACTGCAACCTCCGCCTCCCGGGTTCAAGTGATTCTCATGCCTTAGTCTCCCGAATAGCTGGGACTACAGGCTTACGCCGCCACGCCTGGCTAATTTTTGTATTTTTAGTAAAGACAGGGTTTTGCTATGTTGGCCAGGCTGGTCTCGAACCCCTGGCTTCAAGTGATTCGCCTGCCTCGGCCTCCCAAAGTGCTGGGATTAGAGGCCTGAGCCACCACTGCGCCTGGCCTGAATTATAGTTTTAATCAAAGTAAAACATGAGAAGGTAAATATGCTACCATAACAAAACTTCACAAATTAAAGCCAAAGAGACAAGAAATATGAGACCTGGAGAGAGTGGTATATTTATCTTGTTTGGAACCTTTATTTTTTAGTGGAGACACCAAGTCTCAGAGAGATAATGTGACTTATCAAAGGACACAAAGTGATTTAATGAGAAAATCAAGATTAGAGCCTCCAAAGTTCTGATCTACTGTTTCTCCATGTTGCATCTGATTTATTATTTTGTTGTTATTATTCAACTAATGATAGCAAGAGCTGACATTCCTCAGATAGCTACTGTGTTTCCAGGGCAGTGTGTTAAAAGTGTCCTGTTATGCATTATCTTATTTAATCCTCACAGTTACCTTTTGTGTGTTCTCATTTTATGGATAGAGATGCTGAGAGTTAGAAAGGTTAAGCCACCTTTTCAGAGTCACATAGCTAGTTATCTGCAGAGGAAATTCAGCACTGATTTATAATACAGTCCACATACTTAAGTGTGTGTGTGTGTGTGTGTGTGTGTGTGTGTATGTGTGCATACACTGTCTCCCAATCCAGTGTAAACTTCTTCCTGCATTTTAAGACCAAGAAGCAAGGGCAAGCTTGCACGACCTGAAAGACTGAAGGGTTATGCTGCCTGTGGCACATTCTTTTTTTTGTAAAATCTCCAGTTGACTTCTGAATAGTTCTTCTCTGTTGATCTTACCAGGTACTTCTATGTCCTACCCCTGCTTAGGGCCTGGAACATAGGAGGCACTCATTAGATGACAGCTGAATTAATGAATGGGATGTTTGGATGAATTGCAATTTTTAAATCTCATTCTGTTAAAAAGAGGGGGAATGGTAAACTCAGACACTAGAGGAACAGGTTCTCAATCCATTCCAACTTTGATTAACATTCTATGTTCCACTCACATTCCAAGAAAACCAGGTGACTTTGCTTTTTTCGGAATCATGAAATTTTGGATTGAAAGTAGATTTCTAGACCATCTTTCTGTGTATTCTAAAATGTAACTTTGAAAGTACGCTTCTCTTAATGACTACAGGCATTAAAACCAGATGCAGCTGGGCGTGGTGGCTCGCGCCTGTAATCCCAGCACTTTGGGAGGCCAAGGAGGGCAGATCACGAGGTCAGGAGATCGAGACCATCCGGCTAACACAGTGAAACCTCGTCTCTACTAAAAATACAAAAAATTAGCCGGGCGTGGTGGCGGGCGCCTGTAGTCCCAGCTACTTGGGAGGCTGAGGCAGGAGAATTGCTTGAACCCGGGAGGCGGAGGTTGCAGTGAGCTGAGATCCCATCACTGCACTCCAGCCTGGGCGACAGAGTGAGACTTCATCTCAAAAAACAAACAAAGAAACAAACAAACAACAACAACAACAAAAAACCCAGATGCATTGACTTGAGGGTATTTGGATTAAGTGGTTATTATTTAACACATTAGAAAACCAATAGCATGCATTTAGTTCAGATTTCTGAATCAAAATTCAAGAGATATTCTACAAGGAAGATAAATTCCTCTTCTACATTTTTCTTTCCTACCAAAACTTCGAATCAAAAAAGATTCCAGTGGGATCATTCTACATTATAAGTTTGAATTGAGTAGGCTGCCTTGTTTCATTGACTTTGCCTAGTATATCGGCTTTGAAGTAACTTAGATGTTTATATCTGACTTTCTTCTTTTCTTTTTTTTTTTCCTCCTCTTTCCCAGGGTCTATGTCTTTGTCTTGACTTCCAGTTTGATACTGTGGTTAAAGACAGACCCACAATTTTGAGCAAGCTTTTACTCTTGCACTTTCTTAAGCAGGATATTCCTGCTCTGAGCTGGGAGTTCTTTGTCAATAGATTTGAGACGCTTTCTTTGGAAGCCCAGCTACATTTGGATTGTAACAAGGAATTTCCTTTTCCTACAAGTAAGTAAAATGAAGAACTTGCTGTAAACCGTTGCAGTTCCCATTGTGCTTGCCTAGACAAACAGAAGACATTGGCATGTCGTTTAATTCCTCTACAGAGGATGCCTTGACCTCATGCACTCAATTCATTAAATGATTATTGAATAGCTGCTGTAGTAATCCATAGATTTAAGCATATCCTGGCATTCCAAAATCAGAATTCTTTTCATTTCCTTGACCTATGATAACCATTTATGACTGTGTGTTCCCTAAATATGATTCAGTCATTATGTTTATAACATTTGTGAGCAATTTTAGGAAGCATATTTGCACCTTGCAAACTCACTCTTGCATACTTTCTAAATTTCAATAGTTTTGGGGACATAGGTGGGTTTTGGTTACATGGATAAGTTCTTTAGTGGTAATTTCTGAGATTTTGGTGCACCCGTCACCTGAGCATTGTACATTGTACCCAATGTGTAGTCTTTTATCCCTCACCCCCCTTCCACCCTTCCCCCCAAAGTCCCCAAATTCCGTTCTGTCATTCTTATGTCTTTGCATCCTCATAGCTTAGCTCCCACTTACAAGTGAGAACATACGATATTTGGTTTTCCACTTCTGCATTACTTCACTTAAAATAATGTTCTCCAACTCCATCCAGATTGCTGTGAATGCCATTATTTCATTCTTTTAAATGGCCAAGTAGTATTCCATGGTACATATGTATACCACATTTCCTTTATCCACTTGTTGATTAATGGTCATTTAGGCTGGTTCCATATTTTTGCAATTGTGAATTGTGCTGCTATAAACATGCATGTGCAAATGTCTTTTCCTATAATGACTTCCTTCCTTCTGGGTAGAGACCCAGTAGTGGGATTGCTGGATCAAATGGTAGTTCCACTTTTAGTTCTTTAAGGAATCTCCATACTGTTTTCCAAAGTGATTGTACCAATTTACACTCCTACCAACAGTGTAAAAGTGTTCCCTTTTTACCACATCCCCACCAATATCTGTTATTTTTGGATTTTTAAATTACGGCATTCTTGCAGGAGTAAGGTGGTATCTCATTGTGGTTTTAATTTGCATTTCCCTGATAATTAGTGATGTTGAGCATTTTTTCATATGTTTGTTGGCCGTTTGTATATCTTCTTTTGAGAATTTTCTATTCATGTCCTTTGCCTACTTTTTGATGGGATTATTATTATTATTTTGCTGATTTGTTTGAGTTCCTTATAGATTCTGGATATTGGTCCTCTGTCAGATGCATAGTTTGCAAATATTTTTCCCCATTCAGTGGGTTGTCTGTTTACTCTGCGGATTATTTTGTTTGCTGTGCAGAAACTTTTTAGTTTAATTAGGCTCCATCTGTTTATTTTTGTTTTTGTTGCATTTGCTTTTGAGTACTTGGTCATGAACTCTTTGCCTAAGTCAATGTCTAGAAGAGTTTTTCTGATGTTGTCTTCTAGAATTTTTACGGTTTCAGATCTTAGATTTAGCCTTTGATCCATCTTGAGTTGATTTTTGTATAAGGTGAGATACGAGTATCCAGTTTCATTCTTCTAGATGTGGCTTGCCAATTATCCCAGCACCATTTATTGAATACAGTGTCCTCTCCCCACTTTATGTTTTTATTTGCTTTGTTGAAGATCAGTTGGCTGTAAGTATTTAGCTTTGTTTTTGGGTTCTCTATTCCGTTCCATTGGTCTACAAGCCTATTTTAATACAAGTACCATGCTGTTTTGGTAACTATAGCCTTGTAGTATAGTTTAAACTCCAGGAATGCGATGCCTCCAGATGCATTCTTTTTGCTTAGTCTTGCTTTGGCTATGTGGGCTCTTTTTTTGGTTCCGTAGGAATTTTAGAGTTGGTTTTCTAGCTCTGTGAAGAATGATGATGGTACTTTGATGGGAATTGCATTGAATCTGCTGCCCAGGCTGATGTGTAGTGGTGTCATCATAGCTCACTGCAACCTCCAACTCTTGGGCTCAAGCAGTCCTCCCAGCTAATCTTCCTGAGTAGCTAGGACTATGGGGGTGAGCCACCATACCTGGCTAATTTTTCCTTTTTTGTAGAGATGGGGGTCTTGCTATATTGCCCAGGCTGGTCTCAAACTCCTGGCCTCAAGGGATCCTCCCACCATGGCCTCCCAAAGTGCTAGGATTACAGGCATGAGCCACCACACCTGGCCTCTTGCTTAGTTATTAATCAGTTACCTACAGCTCTGAATAGGTGGAGAAAAGACTTTTGTCACTCAACTATCCAATGATAACAAAATTAGATAATTTAATCTTGTGGTCTAAGCAGAAAAAAAATCATGATAGGCAATAGTTATTTTTGTATGTAGGACTCATCATAGAGGGAGATGTATATCCATGAAAAATGTATTTTAATATTGAAACTCTACACAGATGGATTGTTTTAGACTAGGTGGATTACAAAGCCCTGTGTAAAGGAGAGTGATAGTCTCTTTAATTCCTTTTGCAAAGCCATCACTGCTGTGAGGACCAATGTTGCTAACCTCAGCGATGCAGCCTTATGGAAGATCAAGAGAGCTCGCTTTGCAAGAAACCGCCAGAAGAGTGTACGTTCCCTGAGGGACAGCGTGAAAGGGCCTGTGGAATCCAAGAGGGCGCTCTCCCTCCCTGAGACCCTGACCTCCAAAATTCGTTGAGTATCTTCTTTCATCCTTCCGTTAAATCTGTTTAATGTCTTTCTGAGGCTGACTTGTCTTGTTGAATGTTCACAGAGAGTATAGCATGTTTAGCAAACTGAGTTTGTTCAATAAGTTTGGCTTTCAGATTCCCTAGAGAATCACTTCAGGGGTATAAATGCCTAGGGTTGCTTTTCCTAGTTTGCTGGGGTAGCAAAGCCCTGATCCAACAGTAGATGTTTTTGAAATGTAAAAGGCAGCAAATGCATTGATGCTTGGCATGCAACTTAGAAGAAACATTTGCTCCTAAGTCCTAGGACACCAAAGTTTGCACCACCAGCCTTGTATCCTAAGAGCTTTCTGAATAAGACTTAGACAATAAGACCTATCATGGCTAAGGAGGGACAGTTGAAATTTGGAATGTATTTTTTTTTTCATGTCTGATAGAAGCAGCCACACAAGCCCCCTAAGACAAACCAATAATAATGATTGCTTTTGAAATAGAGAAATCGGGCTGAGAAATTGAATTTCTGCTCATCTTCACCAGATAATTTATAAATAAAAATAAGCTTCATTGCCAATATTTTAAAAAAGACCATATATACTTGCTCTATAAAAGGTCTTTCTTTATATTATAGTTTTAAAGAGAATAAAATTTTCCTTAAATTACCAAATGACTAGATAAACTCTAATGATTAGTAATGACTCATGAAGGACAAATAATTAAAAATTCATTACTAAATCACCATACTAATGAATATGTTTAAATATATTACTAACTTGTAAAATTTATTAAATGATTTAATCTTCAAATAATCACTGTGAAGTAAATAAAATAATGACCCAAAACCTATTTCTTATCCTGTCAGAAGTTGAAAGGTCTGTTTTTCATTGGCATTTATTAGAATACAGCCTTATATAACATAACCATTTATAATCATAAATATGATTTGATTTTATTCATTACATTTTCTCTATTTTATGACAAGCTATGGAAATGTGTTCTTTTAAACTTTGAGAGAGTTAAGTATGAATGAAAGTTCTTTAAGTAATCAATAACACAGTTTTTCAGGGAGCAAAGATAATCACAGGTGATCATTTAAGAATAGCCAGTGGTAGTGCTAGGCCCCAGGTGAAACTGTTTAAATCCTAGAAACCAATACCTAGATTAAATAAATAACAAATTTTATATGAGTTTCCCAGCTCTATTTATATCCTAACTGATAAGTTTAGAATATAAAGTATATTTATTGTTATTTCTTGTTCATTAATTCACATGACAATTTTGAAGATGAAGTAACATTGAAGGATGTTCTTATGATTCAGATAAAAACTGCAAAACGTTTGTTACATAAACAACTTTTATGTGATGTTAATTCAAATAGAAAAATGAAACCTGCCCCTACTATCCCATAAAGTTAGCACTGAGTATATTTTCTAGGCTCCAGTTGTCTGTAATGCTTATTTAAATAGAGTTGTTGTTGATTTTTAAGCTATGAGGTTGACCAGGCATGAGCAGTCTGCTCCAGCTCTCGGTGGGACACCCGAACAGACGCCAGGTGGGTACTTCTGACATTGAAGGGCCATGTACAAGTGTCTATCACAGGTGGACAAGGTAGAGAATGCGGTGTCTCTAACTGGACCAGGGTGATATACCTAGGATTTGCAAGCTCAGAAGGGTCTTACCCCAGATGTTCAAGTGTTTGAACCCCTGATATGGCAATTCTTTCCATTTTGATATTAACAGATGACTTTTGATTCTATTAACTTTTGGTCCAGTAAGAAGCATCATATCACCTGAGTCTGTACCTTTCCCCAGAGAGCCAGTATGACTAGAGCTATCCATAGTATTTATATTTGTATGTGTCTTTACACATAGAAATATTTTGTTCATACATATCTGCTATAGGAAAACCATACATTTCATTTACATTTTAAAAGGTTATACATTTGAACCACTGTCATCCGCTCATCCCCTTAGCCATTCCTGATTCTTTGCAACTGTACATGCATTTCTGTTTCTCAGAGAAAGGAGAATTTCCTCTGTTTGGAGGACCATAGCATGATACAGTTTAATGATCATTTGATGTTCTGTGATATATTACAATTTATCATGAAGTAGCCTAAGAGGGCATTGGCAAGGAGATTCCACATGAATGGTGCCGTGACTCACTGGGAAGATTGTGAAGGTTCCGAATACCTGCTTATTAGTCAAAAACAAATTTGGTAACTCCCACCTATGTATCATGCTATAGAACATTTGAGTTTTCATCTAAGACTACTAGTTTTAAGGTAAATGTTTCAGAATGGTACAGACATTCTCAGAAGGAAAATTTCAAGTAAGGAGACTTTAAAGATCATTGTGTTTTATAAAAAGGACGTTTGAAAGAGAGGGAGTCCGAAGTGGGAGGGGAGAGAGAAAATCCCAGAGATCAACCAGGCAGACAGCAGATGGTGGCCAAAGTCTTTTCTCTTTTAAAATTGATGAGAAAAAAGGAATAGCAAACATTTGGTAGAGCCCCTCTACCTTGCCTTACACATCGCTCATGTACGCTACTGTGCTGTGATTTTTTTTAAAAGAATAAAAATAAGAACTTCTGATTCAAAGCTTCATTAGAAATATGAAATCCATGCAGTTCCCCTTCAGTGAGGCATTTTTGAGATTGTTCTTAGTCAGTTTCATAAATTATCTTTATTTTACTCTAGCTTGTCTCTTTGTCTTAAAGCTTAGCTGAGAAGCTAGTCTTTCATGATAATTATCCATTTTAACAATCCAACCCAAGAAGTCCCCTCACATTTCTGTGGGAAAACATGTACATGTGTTTCTTGCAGTTAAAAAAAGCCTTCAGGCATCTAATTATTCCACCAAAAGTGGCCAGATGGAAAAGAGGCAGATAACAGCATTGTTTAAATTAAATATGAAGCTAAAGCTTCAGGAAAGGTAATTTACATGACACCATCATAAGCAAAACTTGCTTAGATATGGAAATAGCTGGCTCAGTTTATAAGGCAATTTCAAACTACTGTAGGGTTCCATTTTTGCATTATTATTTACTGGACCCTGACTGTTTCTAACTTGGAAGCAAGGACATGCCAGATTTATCGTAAGATTGTGGAGAATGGTTTAAGACAGTAATTAAATGGAAACTGAAGAACTTGCTACTTAACGAACATACTTTTTTTGGTCCAAGTAATGAGCTCCTCTTTGCGGACCTCTTATTGATTAGACTTGAAATAAAGCAGATTCCCCTTTATACAACAAGATTTAAATTTAATTGCTGTTTAGGTTGAACTTTTTGGCAGTGGATTTACAATTTATGACTCTCTGATCTTAACCTTTACATAATACCCACAGAAAATGGAATAGAAAATTCTGTTTTCTATAGAAAGTATACTCTGCAAGGTTTGCAGAGAGTCACATTTCTCTATGACTTTTCAAATCAAAGGCTTTGTGCATCTAAATAAAATTCATAGAATCTTATAGCTGAAACATTAGTGATGTGTTAACAATCTCATTTTATAGAGGAAGAAACTGATTCTCACAAAAGAACAAGCTTGTTGGTGACTGTTCTGGGTCTCAAGCCCAGAGGTCCTGAGCTCTGTAACAAGGCAAGTAACTGCCCGTAGGAATTCAGCACCTTCATTTCATCCTAATTGATGGGATACACAATCTTTTTAACTGCTACTACAATTTGTATGATTAGACGTAAGGAGTACTTTCACTGGTGCTGTAAGAACCAGGAAATTTTGTCTTCATATATTTAGAATACTGATGAAGATTAATTGAATAGAATGCAGCAGTTATTATGTTATATAAGCACAATACTGAACTAATGGTATCAATCCCATGTGAACATAGGGTGCTTAATTATATCATGTTCCTCATCGCCTGGAACGCATAATTAAACAATAATAGGTATGTAATAATGATAATCCTTCCTGTATATATAGTATCTCTTTACTTACAGGAAAACTAATGTAGTGAGGGATTAAGTGATTCTGCTTTGGTGATTGCTTAAGGTCACATATGACTAACTAGTTAGGATCAGAACTGATGCTGGCATCCAAGGGATTTGGCTTTCTTTCTTTCTACCACAACTACCTCTTGATGAACTGGTCTTAGGGTATTTCTGCCCTGTGGGACGTGAGGACACCAGTCTGGTTATGGAGTTGGCCTGGGCTTTCAGGCCTGCTACAGAGTGGCTTAAGGCCATGAGTGTCCAGACCAAAAGACTTTGCCAGTTAGGACCCCAGATTGGTCCAGAGCTATCCCCATCTCTCGTGGGACTCGCGTACTCCAAGTTCTGCCTCAGCCTGCAGAGAAACCTGGAGATCTCTTGGCCTGCATTTGTATCCATAAGAGAAGGTGCCCAGTACTAGTTAGGATCAATAAAGCACTCTTGCATTGACCTTTCCTGTCTCCTTAGTGTCCCAGCCTAGAATTCCAAATAGCTTTTCTTTGGGCTCTTTCTTTCTACAGATGGTTTATGATTCACTTCTTCACTAACTTGCAAAATGCCTATTGACCATTAAGATCCAGTAAGTCAGAGTACAGTTGTTTTTATAGGAATACTCTTGTTTGAAGATATGTTTTTTGGAAGTGACAATTTTTGTTCAACAAATATTACAAATACTTTTTTTGAGATGGGGTCTTGCTATGTGGCTCAGGCTGGTCTTGAGCTTCTGGGCTCAAGGGATCCTCTCACCTCAGCCTCCCGAGTAGCTTGGATCAGAGGTGTGTGCCACAAATGCTTGTTCAACAAATATTTATTTTTCACCTGCTGGACTAGGAAATACGAAGAATACAAAGATGCTTTGGAAATTTTTATACTCTTAACTTGCTTACGGCCAAGTAAGGGATATTAAGTATGAACATCAGTAAACTCTCATCTTGAGTGAAAGTGACAGTACGTAGGATGAGTCATGTCAAATGCAAAGGGAGGGGAGCTTTCTACCAGCTGGAGACATCAGGGAAGGTCTCATGGACAGGTGGCTTTTCAGCCAGGCTTGATTGGTGGATGAGACATAAACACATGATAATAGGATGTGGAATAGGAAGGAGAAAAGGCAGGGATGGGGATCATAGGAGGATATGAAGTTAGCCACTGCCCCAGCTTTCCAGCCCTGCTGTGGATATGTGCACACACAAGGGAAAACTGAGGTAAGGAAGCAGGGAGATGAGCGAGGCAGTGTAGTGAGAGCTGCCTGTGGAATGGAACCTCATTTATAGTGCTTACTCATTGGCTGCCCTGGACCAAGTGCAGAGTAAGCTCATGGAGGGATCCTTTCTTCCTCTACCTAATTGTCACTTGTTGGTTTGGCAGAGGGGTCAGTGAGTCAGTTCACATAGAGAAACGTTCCAATATTCCTGCTGCTTTGGGACTTTATCAATTTTTCTCTTATACAGAATGTAAGCTCTGACATATTTATTTGAGTTTAGTGCACTTTGACAGACATTTATGTATAATAAGTATCTACTATATGTCAGACATTGGCCCCTATTCTGTGAGGGATATAAAGATGGATAAAATATGTCATTTGCCTTCAAGAAGCCTATGTTCTTATTGGAGTATTAAGGCAAATGAATACACAAAATGTTCTGCCTTGCATAATTGTCATTGGCCACATGGGAGTTAGGAAAATGCTGAAGGAAATTTTCCTCCATTCTTTTTTTCTCTCCTGTCCTCCCTCCTTTCTTGTCCTTAGAAATTTAAAGAATTTAGGGATCACATCCAATTGCTGAGAGGAATATTGGGTATATCTAATAAGAATGGCTTTTGGGGACCAGTTTATAGCACAAAATTGTTGGGGGAGGGTAGAGAACCACCTTGCAAGGTGAAGAGAGCACCATGAGCAAAGGTGCAAAGAGGGAAAAACGGCTCCATTCTGAGATCCACGAGTAGCCCAGCTTGTAAGAACGTTGACCATTTCGGGTGAAATAATAGGAGATAAGTCTGGAAAAGCAGATCCTGATCCTGCCTGGTTTCAAATCATCTGAATAAATAATGCTGTATTACACTTTGGAGTTTCAATCAGTTACACAGCTCTGTGGGCAGATTGTCATGGAATCAGTCCACATTAAAGGTATGGTAGGAATAGCTCTGCCTCCATAATTATAATTATAAATATATTTTCTCTTTATAGAAAATATAACGTCAGACCCTTTAACATGTTAAATCTCTATGGTTAGGACAGATATAGGAATTTCACAGACTAGAATTCAATACTATTAAGTGTTTTGTTTTCTTAGAGAAAATGCTTGTAGGCATTTAGTTTTGAAATGGAAATTTCATACCTTTTCTAGGTTAAAACATTAATATTGTCTTTATCGATGGAGAACATTTCAGCTTATCCACAACTCATTTTTCTTAGGGATTTGATTAAGGTAACTTGTCTTTATGAAGAGTGCACCAGTCACAAGCTTACTCTATTTCAAAGAGAGGCAATAAACGAAGTGCAGATTTGCAAAGCCCACTCTGGAGGGGTAAATTATTAGAATAAAAGGAGATTAACATTTTTTTATGCAAAAGTTTCCATAAACATCCTTTTTTCAGTACATTTGTTAAAGATTACTCATTACTTGCTATTCAGGGAAAGCAGCAAACTTAAGATCAGTGAAAATGATCAGTGAGATGGGCATGTATGAAATGACAGTCATCAGGAAAATATGATGTGATGGGAAAACTCAGGGTTGCACATTGTTTAGAAACATGCCCACTTGTAATGAGAAGAAGGGTTTTTAAATATTTAAGCTGAAGTCTGATGGTCTATTTTCTAGACTTGAATTGGGATGGAAGGAAATGGGCAGGGTCCTAGCTGGGCCTTGCTGGGAGCTCCCTTTCTTCTGTATTGAGGTCCCTTGATTCTCAGCACTATAAAACAAAGGAGCAACTTCCTCTCATACACTCTTCAGTTCCAATTTTTAACTTTGGGACTTTGGAGTTGAGCCAGTGTGAACATGAGGTGGCTGAGCAGGACTGAGTGATACATGTTCTCTTCAACCTTGCACCCCAGAGCTAAAAGGAGTTGAAGATTGAAGCTATATTGTAACAGCCATTACTTGCTGCCACAATAACTTTGAACCCTGCAGGGAACCCTGTCATATTCTTGGCCCAAACATGTCCAAAGCAATAATGGCCTTCTAGTTGTAAAGTAATACTCTAGTGGAAAAACAAATCTAGAGTAAATATTTTTCTTTTCTTTTCTTTCTTTCTTTTTTTTTTTTTGAGACAAGGTCTTGCTTTGTTGCCCAGGCTGGAGTAGAGTGGCATGATCACAGCTCACTGCAGCTTCAACTTCCCAAGCTCATGTGATCCTCCTGCCTCAGCCTCCCGAGTAGCTGGGACTACAGGTGTGCACCACCATGTCCAGCTAATTTTTGTATTTTTGGTAGAGACCAGGTCTTGTCATGTTGCCTAGGCTGGTCTCAAACTCCTGGGCTCAAGTGATTCTCCCACCTCGGCCTCCCAAAGTGCTGGGATTACAGATGTGAGCCACTTTGCCCAGCCTGAGTAAACTATTTTTCAATGCTGAAAAAATAGCCCTGTAAACTTTTTCTATTTTGCCTTACAAGGATTTACATAGGTATTGTATTTGGTCAAATCATATATTATGAACCACATGCTGTGATGCTTCACCTTTCTAGCCTCTCATTGAAATAGGGTGTTCCACATACATTGATTTTTTTCCTGATGCATGCCTAATAAGTAATTATAATATTAACAATTTATTGATCACCCTGCATGTGAAACACTGTAATAAACAAATTCTTAGGTTTTATTTGAATAATTTTTGATAAAAAGTTTCTCTAAAGTGCGTCATACATACTCATTCCTTCATGAACAGATTGTATGAGGCAGAAAAGTGTGAGTGTCCTGGAATCATACTAAAGTGTGTCAGATGGTTTTCTCTGTATTAGAGGCTCTTACGCTAAGCTGTCTCTGTTGCCTCTTCACTTACTGTCAACTATCCCTTCTCAGCAGTTCACTTTTGAACAGACCAACATTCATCTGATTGTCTGGGAAACTCGACAACTAAGCTTGTTACCTTATGTGCAGGTCTGAACTGGTAAATTCCGAATTTGACCTTCATGCTCCTATCCCAGAGAAAAAGTATGTGGGCTTGAGATAGCAAATTTTTGCAATTCCCAGAAACATTTCTTATGCCTCGCGTCTCTTGGCTGTGTCCTGGAAGGCTGAGATTTTGCCAAATTAACTGAGGAGTTAATAGGTATAAATGACTGCCGAACTCTTTGTTGCATCCTTTATACCGTAATAATAATGGGTGTAACCAAGGCTTGGTTTATAATGGTTTGTAACCAAAGCTTGTCATCATTTAGTAGAATGTTTCCTTGCAGAATGAGAGATGAGAATGCCAGTGTGCTGATCTAACCCACCAGACAAAACATTTGTTTTCAATTTAGAAATTCTAATGTTTCTTATTAAAAAAAAAAAGGACAAGAGTATTTTGAATAATCCCCAAACCATAAATATAGAAGAGCAAATATCAGTCTTCCTTCTCCCAAAGTCCTGAACCAAACCTGATAAGAAGGGGCAGAAGAACAAAGAGAGACAAGGTAACTTCTGACTTTGAAAAATAACAGAGAAAGTCAATGTCAGGGAGCTGCTCAGATGCTGTTATTTACTAGGTTAAGAGGAGGCCAAGGGCGAAGGTATTTTTTCTTTCCATGTGAACTTTCCGCTCACCTTCATGTGGTGTTTTTCTGTTTTTAAAAGTTCATGCTTCGCTCTCTTTCTGTTTGTGTCCTCTCCCTTCCTTGTATGTTTCTCATGACATACAGCAGGGCTTATAATTTGCTATTTATAATTTTGGCTATTTCATTTAAAGAGTGCCTATTGCTAATATCTCAGGGTTTGGAAAAGATTTGTTTTTTGCACTAGCTGATTAATGAACATAACTAAATTGAGATAATAATTTAAACAAAATAACCCAGTGGTTTTGCCCTCAGTGGATTTTAGACTATAACGTTTTGTAGTTATTCTTACATGCTTATTTTACAAAGCTGGAAGGGAAACTTCCTTTATCACTGAGGATAAAACTTTGCCAACATATTAAAAAATTTGCTAAATGCAAAATTTATGTAGGCATTTGTCTTGCTGTTTCAGGATAATATTGCTTCATAGCACCCTATTTTTATTCCCATTCCCTAATTCTCCCAGATTACTTGGTTGTTGATGAATACAATAACTTTCACCCCTGGACTAGGGCTCTGCCTACTAGGCCATATTGTGCCTTTAAGTTTCTTAAAGTCTGTCTGGAGCAGAAAATTTTGTAGACGCAGAAACAAGGGTGCCTTATCAATATCTAAGAGAGATTTTAGTGTCACTTCACTTGTGAGTGAGCCACCCACTGACAGCCTTTCTTCTACTGACAGGACAACAATCTCCTGAGAATGACAACACCATCAAGGACCTGCTCCCAGAAGACGCTGGGATCGACCACCAGACAGTTCACCAGCTGATTACAGTGCTCATGAAGTTCATGGCCAAGGATGAAAGCAGCGCTGAGTCAGACATCAGCAGTGCAAAGGCCTTCAACACGGTCAAGCGACACCTGTACGTCTTACTCGGCTATGACCAGCAGGAAGGTTGCTTCATGATTGCACCTCAAAAAATGCGCCTGTCAACTTGCTTTAATGCATTCATTGCAGGAATTGCCCAAGTAAGTGTAATAACAGCTTTCAGAAGTCACACCTTTATACTTTTAGTAGAAGCAAGGCATTACATACCATGTAGCCAACGTTGGTTCAGCATAAAGGTTTGTACAAATTGCTTGGTATTATGCAGGAGTATGTGGAGGGGAATGTGAACATTAGTAAGAATTGGGAGCCTGGCTGAGGAATAGTGAGACAGAAAATGACAGAGAGAGAGACTGCATGCGTGTGTGTGTGTGTGTGTGTGTGAGAGAGAGAGAGAGAAAGATGCTAACCTTGTAGCATATGAAGAGTGTCTGTACCTTGATATGATAGTTACATAATCATTTTACTATATTTGGTTTCTTTTTTTTTTTTTGAGATGGAGTCTCGCTCTGTTGCCCAGGCTGGAGTGCAGTGGCGTGATCTCAGCTCGCTGCAAGTCCGCTTCCCGGGTTCACGCCATTCTCCTGCCTCAGCCTCCCAAGTAGCTGGGACTACAGGCGCCCGCCACCATGCCCAGCTAATTTTTTATATTTTTAGTAGAGATGGGGTTTCATCGTGTTAGCCAGGATGGTCTTGATCTCCTGACCTCGTGATCCGCCCATCTTGGCCTCCCAAAGTGCTGGGATTACAGGCGTGAGCCACTGCGCCCGGCCAGTATATTTGGTTTCTAGATCACTGTGCCTATTTTTTTTCAATTACTAACCAAAAATACTTAAATTTGGTTTGTTAATTCTATGTTAGAAATTATAATTTTAGTTTATATTAATTTCAATTGTATCTTAATGAAGAAATCTTTCCAGTTAGAAGGAGGTTCTAATATTCACATGTTCCAATACTTTGTTTGGTGTAAAACAGCTAAATTTGGAGCTACGTAAAGCCTTGTTTTCTCTGTGTGTTTCAGCTACTTTCCATTTGGTATTACACACTCAAATTTACATTTATCTATTAAAATTGCCATTTTATCAAACATTTTCATGCACAGTAAAAAAAAAAAAAAAAGAATTGGTAGCCTGGTATCATCAAGGGAGCATGGGAGATTTTTTTCCTTTTGTAAAATATACATACAATTTGCCATTTTAACAGTTGTAAGTGTACAGTTCAGTGGCATTGAGTAATTTTATGTTATTGTGTAACCATCACAAGCATCCATCCTCAGAACTTTTTTATCATCCTAAACTGAAACTCTGTACCCATTAAACAATAAAAGAGTATAGGCTTTTTTGTTTGTGTGGTTTTATTTTTATTTATTTATTTATTTATTTATTTATTTATTTAGAGACGGAGTCTCGCTGTGTGGCCAGGCTGGAGTGCAGTGGCGCAGTCTCGGCTCACTGCAAGCTCCGCCTCCTGGGTTCAGGCCATTCTCCTGCTTCAGCCTCCAGAATAGCTGGGATCACAGGCACCCGCCACCACGCTTAGCTAATTTTTTTGTATTTTTAGTAGAGACGAGGTTTCACCATGTTGGTCAGGCTGGTCTTGAGCTCCTGGCCTCAAGTGATCCACCCACCTTGGCCTCCCAAAGTGCTAGAATTACAGGCATGAGCCACGGCGCCCGGCCACTGTTTGTGTGTGTTTAAAAAAAAAAAAAAAAAATCCTCTTCCTTTTTTGGCTTCAGGTGGAGAGAGTTGAATTAATCATACAACTTAACTTTATGCCACACCATCATCACTGGCTTTTCCATGTGCATCTGCTACTTCTAACTGCTGTATTGCATGCCATGGTGGACAGACACCATACTTTACTCATCCATTCCCCTAGTTATGGACTCATATTGCTCCCAATGCCTCACTACCCCAAACAGTTCAGTAATAAGCATCTTTGTATACACACCGTATCAGCCAATGTGAGAATTCCTTAGGGAGATGGATCCAGAAGAACTGCTGGGTGGTAGGGTAAATGTATGCCTAATTTGGTCAGTGCTACAAATCTCACTCTCCAGAACAGCTGCACCAATCTGCAAAGATAGAGGACTTGGGGCTACAGAGATGTGGATATGAATTTCAGCTCCACCTCTGTTATTAGTTGCTAGGGCTTAGGCACTCTCTGCTTGCTTGCTTATTGGTACACAGATTTCCTTTTTTGATAGATTAGAGAAAACATATTGCAAAGCACCTTGATCAATGCCTGTCTCATGGTAGGAACTCAATAGATGATTGCTGTTATTGTCAATTAGCTCAAATAGATTGTAACATAATGAACAAAGATGAGCAACGTGAGAGCAATGTGCGTGTAGTCGTCCTGTGCTGATGCTGATAACTGGATGGATCACCGCTTTTTCTCAGCTGTCACTGTTTCAGATACCAAAGCCTCCCTCCCTCTTCTCCCCACCCTCTAAGTCCACATTATGCATGTCTACTTTAGAAATATAAGCTAAAATCAAGGCTGGGCATGGTGGCTCATGCTTGTAATCCCAGCACTTTGGTAGGCCGAGGTGGGAGGATCACGAGGTCAGGAGTTCGAAACCTGCCTGGCCAATATGGTGAAACCCTGTCTCTACTAAAAATACAAAAATTAGCTGGGTGTGGTGCCATGTGCCTGTAGTCCCAGCTACATGGGAGACTGAGGCAGGTGAATCGCTGGAACCTGGGAGGTAGAGTTGCAGTGAGCCAAGATTGCACCACTAAACTCCAGCCTGGGTGACAGAGTGAGACTCCATCTCAAAAAAAAAAAAAAAAAAAAAAAAAGAAAAGAAGAAAAGAAGAAAAGAAAAAAAGAAATATAAGCTAAAAATTAAAAATTAAATTTTTATATGGGGTTTGTATAACTCCAGAAAACCCGTGTCAAAAATAACTCCCTAACATTTTGGCATATATTGCTCCCTCCAAATTTATACACATACATAATTTCATACTCACATATGTATGTCTGTGCATTTTTACAATAATAGGTTCATATTATACATACTGATATATATGCCACCTTTTTAAAATTTTTTTATTTCAATGGGTTTTTGGCGAACAGGTGGTGTTTGCTTACATGGTTAAGTTCTTTAGTGGTGATTTCTGAGATTTTGGTGCAACCTTTTTAAACCTAAAATTTATTATGAAGTTTATATCATGTAAATAAATTTGTATCATATTCTGTATAGTGGCTACATAGTTTTCTGTAGTTATACAAACAGTATTTTGTTTATCTAATCCCATATTATTGAATATGGAGGTTGTTTTCAGTTTGGGGTGACTATAAACAAAGCCATGCTGAATTTCTTTATACATACATTTTGGAACACTTGTCTGATTATGTCTTTGGGATATATTTAATGGCTGTATTAGACGGTATATGCTTTTTCTTTCTTTCTTTTTTCCTTTTTTTTTTTTTTTTTTTGAGACAGGGTCTCACTCTGGTAGCCCAGGCTGGAGTGCAGTGGTGTGATCATGGCTCACTGCAGCCTCGACCTCCCAGGCTCAGAGGATCCTCCCAGCTCAGCCTCCCGAGTAGCTAGGACTATAGGTGTGTGCCACCACACCGAATTAACTTATTGTATTTTTGGTAGAGACAGGGTTTCGCCGTGTTGCCTGAGCATACTCTTGGGCTCAAGCAATCTATCTGCCTCAGCCTCCTAAAGTGCTGGGATTGCAGGCATGAGCCACTGCACCTGGCATGTGCTTTTTCTTATTCCTGAATATATATTACTAAATTGTTCTCCTGAAAGATTGTATCAAGTTTGGTTGGTATAATACTTGGTTCAGATTGAACCAAGTATTGCCGGTCGTCTAGGAATTCCCATTTCTGCAGGTGGTTACCAATACTAGGTTTCTTCATTGTCTAGTTTAACTCTGGTTAATAGTTGAATGGACAAAATTTTATTTTCAATAGGTACTGAAACAAATAATTAATTAGATTAAAACTATTTTCATTTACAAGTTTCAAAAATTTTTTGTGAGGTTGGACTTTTCCTCCTTCTTGCGTACTAGCCATTACTTTTAATATTCTGTGGGATGCCTGTTAAATATTTTGCCTGTTAAAAATTTTAACCACTGGGATGGCTCAAATTTTTCCTTTTGACCTCTGAGTGTTCTTTGTAGTTTTCCATCAGTTATTAATATTTTTTCTATTTCAGGTTATGGACTATAACATTAACTTGGGAAAACACCTTCTCCCCTTAGTGGTTCAGGTGCTCAAATACTGCTCTTGTCCTCAACTCCGGCATTATTTCCAACAGCCGCCTCGTTGCTCCCTCTGGTCCCTAAAGCCTCACATCCGGCAGATGTGGTTGAAGGCCTTGCTTGTCATCCTTTACAAGGTGAGCTGGGTGGTCACTGCTGTTTTGGATGCAATGGTTCTCTTAGAGAGCATATAGCATTAGGAGAACACCTGAGTCTTTAGTTGAAAATTTTGTAGAAGTTTGACCTTCAGAAGGAAGATCAGGATATGCAATTACTGTTAAGAACCAAAGAGCTATTGAAATGAAAATAGAAATGGGAGGCCCTGTTAATATATGCTCTAAAAATGTTTAAAACAAAGAATGATAAATGGTAGGCTACTGATCAAGAACCTCTGTTTATACTCAGTCTTGTATTTTGTCTAAGTATTATTATTTCAGAAAACAAAAGATATCTGAAATTGTATTCATCCACTAAAGGTTTATGCCAGATAATTTTCTTGAAAAGAAATGTAACTATGAACTGGCATGCATTGCTGTCAGTGGTTTGGTGAAGGAGGAAATGAATATGGTCCCTTGTAAAAATAAGGCCATGGGGGAGGGCGTGGTGGCTCACTGCTGTAATCCCAGCACTTATGGGAGGCCGAGGTGGGTAGGTTGCCTGACTCCGGGAGTTCGAGCCCAGCCTGAGCAACATGGTGAAATCCCATCTCTACAAAAAATTAGCCAAGCATGGTTGCACGTGCCTGGTCCCACCTACTTGGGAGGCTGAGGTGGGAGGATCACCTGAGCCCGGTAGGCTGCTATGATCACGCCACAGCACTCCAACCTGGGTGACAGAGTGAGACCCTGTCTCTAACTAAACAAATAAATAAGGCCATGAGCAGAATTTGTTTCTACTTCTCTCTCTCTCTCATATATATATTTATCCCCAAGAGATACTGCAAAAAGTATCCAGCAAGATCAGGTGGAAAAGCTTACCCTCTAAAATAACCATTTATCTTTTTCTCTCTCGTTTCATTGGGCAGTATCCATACCGAGACTGTGATATCAGCAAGATCCTGCTGCATCTGATTCACATAACAGTCAATACACTCAATGCGCAGTATCATAGCTGCAAGCCCCATGCCACGGCAGGACCTTTGTACAGTGACAACAGTAACATAAGCAGATACAGCGAAAAAGAAAAAGGTACATATCTAAATTCTATCCCAAACCTAGCTTCAATACATAATAGATTTCTGGACAATGTTTTCTTAGGAGATAGAAGAGTGTTCCCAGATATCATTCTGGAGTAAAAAAAAAAATCACTTTCTTAATTTTCCAACTTTCCATGAATGTTGCTGCTTTAACTTTGAAATTGAGCATTCAAGAGGAATAAATGATGTGCTTCCAAAGCCTGTATCATAAGAAATAATATTTTGTAAGATATTTTCTGCTGTTTGAATCAGGAGCCTTTGTAAGCCTTTTCTTACGTGTTAGAAGCATCTCGTTTTTGGGCTATAAAATAAGTCTTGGTTGGCACACAGTGGAGCCATTCTTTGTAGGTCTCTAGTTTGCCCTGGTCTTTGCGCTCATAGAGTTTCAATGGAGTCTAAGTTTGCTGAAGTGCTTTTTCCTAGACTTTTAATTTAATACAAAGTGATTCAAGGCAAGGGAAATGAAACATTTTTGCTGCATAGGTGTAAGCTATCTCCATTATCAACACTTTTTCTATTGCTACCTTTTTCTAAAAGGGGCAGTAGAATGCAACTTTAGCTAGGGTAAAATTGCAGCCTGTTTTCAGGTGAGACACGAAGAACCAGGGTGTATATTTTTAGTTTTTAGTGTAAGTCACGGCTGACTAGATTTTAAATTGACATCATTTAATCTAGTCTTTGGAAAAAACCAAGTGTCCACTGACCCTTTATGAGGTTAGTAGAGTCTGTTTTAGTAGGACTGCTCTGGAGATACCTCAAAAGTATAAATTGTACCAGTGTTCCTGTTTGTTATTGCTGAAAGTTCCAAAAATCTAGTTTGGCTACAGACGGAACTCGAGAACTAGGTTCTTTAAGTTCTGGTACCATTCAGATCCCTCCTAAAGAATATCTTGTCTACCAGTTTAGGGTTTAGTCTCTGGCAAATTGGGGAGATCTGTTAAGCTATGGATGTTTTCAGCGTGGGCTTAGTGTTTGGGCCAAACCCTGATGAACCTTTCTGGATGGGAGGCGCCATCTTGTGGTCTTTCAGTCTTGAGTGTTCAATGCATTTTGAAAATTGTTTCAAAGTTATGTAATGCAAGTCACGTAACTATTGGTTGGAAAAACTGCATTTTTCAAAGGATATTTTTCCAAAAAGGAAATAGAGAAGTAAAACAGATTATTGTGTTGCGTTTCCCCAGAAACATGGGAATTTGATAGGCATTCCCATCTTTGTGGAAGTTCACTGGGTTTAAAAACAAATTCATTTTGATTAACATTTATTTTTATTTAATTAAAAAGTTTAGTATGGTTATTTCATCTAAAATTTACTACTTCAAGTTTCATTTACTTGTAGAATTTTGTGCATTAGAACAGGGTCAGTCCTTAAAACTTGATGTATATACTGCCCTTATGCTAAAAAAAACCTTGAATAATCATAATCGCACCTGAGCCTCATTTGTCATATAGGTAGATGTAAATACAGGCCAAACATTATGAGTTCAGTGATATTCAACTTGAATAGTAGGTAAACTCATTATGATGCTATTAAATGCATTTTAGTAGCCTTTTCTGTTGCCACTTTGTACGTGGCTTTGGCCTTTCAAAAGGACGAAAGAAGAAAATTGGTTAAGTAAACTTTATGGGTTGCAACATATGAACTCTTTCCTCATTAACATATTTTGGGGTTTATCTTGGATTTAAAAATGGCCACATGGGTGTAGAAGGGAGGACGTAGAAACAAGTTCAACAGGCACTCAAAGTGACCGGTTTGTTTATGTAGGATTAGGGATCATAAGTGTCAAAGATTCTTTCTGGGATTCATGAGATCCGTAATAGTTACACGTGGTAAGCGCCTCAGAGAAGAGTCTTACTTTAATAGGAGGAAATGTTATTTTCTGTTTTCTTTTTCCTTTGTTTACTCTTTCAGTCCATAATCATTCGTGGAGCTTTTGAGATGACAAGTGGCTTTTCTAAGCTTTTTCTGTGTGTTGCGTGTCTCATTATCAAATGTAGAGTACAGTATTTTGCATTCACACCGTATAAGGTGCATGTACTGTTAGGCTGTGTCTATGCCAGTTACCAAATCCCATAAAGGCAGATTTTTTTTTCTTTTTTGGAAAGCCCAAGATCCACTCATTTTGTTTAATTTCCTTTCGCCAAATCAGCCTGAAAATCCACGCAAAGCAGACAAGTCCAAGCAGTGTCACAGGCTCCTGGAAAAAGTAGCTGACATCTATGTGTCATCTGGTGTTAAGCACACTGGAAAAGTTTCCCAAAAAGGCGCTATTGGACTCTCAAGAAGCCTCTCCTTAAAAATGCTGCCAATTGTCATGTGAAAAGTGATGGGCAATCTTGTAACAGCTTGCTCTGTCCAATAGATGGAGAATTTGATGCCTGGATGAAATACCAACCCATGGCTAGACTTGGGCTGGTGCAGAAACTAACCCAGACCTTGTTCCATAATGCTTTCATTGAAATGCTTGTGTAGACACAGCCTAAGAGAGAATAACCTCTTAAGTGTAATTTTGACTTTCTCTCCCCAATTAGAAGAAGATAGTGTTTTTGATGAATCTGATATTCATGATACACCTACTGGACCCTGCAATAAAGAGTCTCAAACTTTTTTTGCAAGATTGAAAAGAATAGGCGGCAGCAAAATGGTGAAATATCAGCCGGTTGAGATGAATGTTCAGAGAAGTATGAATTTTTTCTCTTAGTAATTTTATGCAGAAATGTTGTACTCTACCGTTTGTTTGGGGTGAAATCTTAATTTTATTATGTTACTACACATTTTAATACCGTTGATTTATATATATGTATGCACAAACAGTATATATATATACACATTTATATATATACGTGAATCGACAGATACATCATTAATGTCATGATCGTCTTTGAGAGCCATTGCTTGATTTGATTTGTTGCAAAATGTTTGCTTCTCTTCCACACGATTTGAATACAGTTTCCTAGATCTGCCTCAGCCAAAAAATGATCCCCTCTCCTATGCACAAATGAACAGAGCTGAGGAATTATCCCGAAGCCCGATTTTGGAAATCAGATCTTAAACTGCCATTTTGGTTTCTTTCATTCGTAAATTTTCCAGTTTTTGAAATTAGAACGAACCTTACAAAAACTTGGCCAGAAAGTTCGTTTTCCCTCCTGGTGGAGCTGGGATTGTGATGATGATTTATGCCAATTGTATGCCCAAGGATGAGGGGAAAAAATGGTGAAATCTCCAAGTAAAATAGTACTAGCTTTTTCTGTTTTGATCAGGTGAAATAGAACTGGCTGAATATAGAGAGACGGGTGCATTACAAGACAGCCTTCTCCACTGTGTGAGAGAAGAAAGCATTCCGAAAAAAAAGCTACGCTCTTTCAAACAAAAATCTCTTGATATAGGGAATGCAGACTCGCTTTTGTTTACATTAGACGAACATCGTAGGAAGTCGTGCATAGATCGGTGTGACATAGAGAAGCCTCCGACCCAAGCTGCGTATATCGCACAAAGACCAAACGACCCTGGACGTTCTAGACAGAACTCTGCTACGAGGCCTGACAATAGTGAAATCCCCGAGAACCCAGCTATGGAAGGGTTTCCAGATGCTCGAAGGCCTGTCATACCAGAGGTTAGGTTAAACTGTATGGAGACTTTCGAGGTGAAAGTTGACTCGCCGGTAAAGCCTGCTCCTAAAGAGGATTTAGATCTGATAGATCTATCCTCAGATTCAACCTCGGGGCCTGAAAAACACTCTATACTCTCAACCTCCGACAGCGACTCTCTTGTATTTGAGCCTCTTCCCCCTCTCAGAATAGTCGAGAGTGACGAAGAAGAGGAGACGATGAACCAAGGCGATGACGGCCCCTCCGGTAAAAATGCTGCCTCTTCTCCCTCCGTCCCCAGCCATCCCTCCGTCCTCAGCCTGAGCACAGCTCCGCTTGTACAAGTAAGTGTGGAGGATTGTTCCAAAGACTTTTCTTCTAAGGACTCAGGAAATAATCAGTCAGCAGGGAACACTGACTCTGCCCTCATCACTCTGGAAGACCCTATGGACGCCGAAGGATCCTCAAAGCCAGAGGAGCTGCCAGAGTTCTCCTGCGGTAGCCCACTGACGCTGAAGCAAAAACGAGACCTCCTTCAGAAGTCGTTTGCTCTCCCCGAGATGTCGCTGGATGATCACCCTGACCCGGGCACTGAGGGGGAGAAGCCTGGGGAGCTGATGCCAAGTTCAGGGGCAAAAACCGTCCTCCTCAAAGTTCCCGAAGATGCAGAGAACCCCACAGAAAGTGAGAAGCCTGATACCAGTGCAGAATCTGATACAGAACAGAATCCTGAAAGGAAGGTGGAAGAGGATGGAGCTGAGGAATCCGAATTTAAGATTCAGATTGTTCCCAGGCAGAGGAAGCAGAGGAAGATTGCTGTCAGTGCTATCCAGAGAGAGTACCTCGACATCTCCTTCAACATTCTGGACAAACTGGGAGAACAGAAAGATCCAGGTAAGCTCGCCTCTCTTCTTTCTCTCAGCCTTAACTTTAAGTTTGTGCATCTTGTTTGATAGGGTACCGGCACTGAATATGCATCAGACTCAAACTCTTATAATGTCAGGGTGTGACATTATAATGGCTTCTCAATCACTCTGAATCCTTCCTGTTTAATGGACAATGTTGGATGCAGATGTGGTTCTACTGGCTCCACAAATGTTTCTGTTTTTGTTGTTTTAAACTCTGCAGTCAATTCTTGACCACCCTTGGCAATGAGATGCATTGGTTAATTCGTATCAGGATAATCCAGGTATCATCTCAGCCTTCCTCAAACAGCAAAAGTCATTAACTTGAACTCTTTGCTTTCTTTTTTTCTCTGCCCTGTACTAGTGAGCTATGATATAGTCCAAAGAAGGAACCAATGTGGAGGCTAAAATAAAGCAGAGTGCCCTAGAATGATTAAGAATTGACTGTATAATCACTTACAGGGCATACAGCTGATTGTAGATACTAACCAAATATCAGAAACCAAAAAATACCAGTTACAGCCTAGACCCTAACCCACGGTCATCACTTGGTGATGAAGTTATCACAGCCCATGGGTTTCCTGCCTCAGGGCCATTTCTTGTGTTTGCTTGGAGGCATTGTTTCTAAGAAAGATAACTTGAAAGAAATGGCAAGCCCATGATCCACCTCATCCTATAACAGTCTTCTGTAATGTTACCGCAACACTGATCAAAACCCATCTTCATTTCTTAGTTCAGATCTTTTAAAAAAAGTTAATGGGGCTGGGCGTAGTGGTTCATGCCTGTAATCCCAGCATTTTGGGAGGCTGAGGCGGGCAGATCATGAGATCAAGAGATCAAGACCATCCTGGCCAACATAGTGAAACCCCGTCTCTACTAAGAATACAAAAATTAGTTGGGCGTGGTGGCGCACGCCTATCATCCCAGCTACTCAGGAGGCTGAGGCAGGAGAATTGCTTGAACCTGGGAGGCGGAGGTTACAGTGAGGTGAGATGGTGCCACTGCACTCCAGCCTGGTGACAGAGTGAGACTCCGTCTAAAAAAATAAAATAAAATAAAAAAGTTAATGGGACTTTAGAAGAAATGGAATTGGCTAGGGATGATTATTTTAGTAGATATATAGACTGTGGAATGTTAAAAACTGGTGAAGGTCTTAAAGACCTCTAGCCTAGCCCCTCATATTATACAGGAAGATACCGAGGCTTAGAGGAGGGGATGCACCAGGTCACATGGCCAGACAGAAGCAGTGCCTGATTCCAGTCACGTTTTCCCGCTGTTCCACACAAAAGCCACTTCTAAGGGAATGCACTCGGCTTTTTTATTTGCCCCAGGCATTTCCAGAGGTTTCTAGCTGCCCTTTAGCTCCTAGGACAGAGCTGTCTACCTCAAAAACGCGCTGTAAAAATCTGTTGAATGAACATTGGCGTGTTTGGAAAGGGTCATGCTCCAGCCAGGCAGGGAAAAAACGGTCCTTGTTCATAACAAGAAAGTTTAAGAAGTTAAGAAGGCTTTCAGGGAAACTGGGACACCTTTTTATTGTTTGGGGCCAGGAACATGGTTGCATATGGAAGGAGGAGGGCATTGACCTAGAAATGATAGAGGTCTATAGGGCTGGTGCATACGAAGCTGAGGTCTACAGGGTGAGTCTCTGTGATGTGTAGGTTGCATGTAGGTTCTAGCATGCAGGTTTGTGTGTGCAACTGTGTTGGCTTCTTTATTCACCCTTATGTTTGATTGTTCCCCAGACTACCAGGGAGGAAATTATTTGTTAACAGAACAGGGGAAAAATACATGATAGTTATAACATGTCTTTAAAATGGCATAATATTATTTTACTGTCATCATAATTGTATGTCTCCATAAGGCTTTGCCTCCCACTGACTCTGATCTGATCTCTTCTGCCCCTCCTTGCTGGGCATGGGAAGGAGTCCCGTGTGCTCAGAGCATGACCCAGGCGTCCCCAGACTTTCCTGTGTCCATCATCAGGAGTGAGGGAGGCCCATACACTTGCCCCTCCAAACCCTCCCAGACGCACAGCCTTGCCCCTGCTAACTGCCAGGAGTCCAGGACTAACCTCACTGTGCACTTCACTCTGTTTACGTCAGTCCCTAGAGTACTGGGTCGTCCTCCGTATCCCTCACTCAGAGCTCCACAAGGCCTTGCATACCTTCTGTTCTGAAGCTTTCTCCTTCGTTACCCTGACTCCTGAAACCCTTCCCCTGTGTCCTAGGAAATTCATGGTCCTTCATGAGCAAAATCCCTCACACACATTCTCCTCTATTTCCCTTGCCTTCTGAGTCTAATGGAAGCCCAGCTCTCCCTGAGGACATTGCTTTCCCTACAGCCCATGTCACTGGACTTGGCCAGGGGCAGCATCTTCCTTGCTCCACACTTCCCCTTTCAGACCCTTCCCTTCTTGTCTCTAGAAACTCCCTCTCTGAGCTGCATACCCTCAGATCACGGCACCCACTACTTGCATTGCTGCATCATCACGAACCCTGGCTCTTCCTCACTTGTTGACAAATTTGATTCGTGGCCCTTCTTATTCTTTCCTAAATTATTCCTGTCTTAATTCCTGTGGATTTTAATATTAGTGTAGATGACACTCCTGACACTTGGTTTCCTTGAATGCATCTTCTCCAGCGATTGTTTTTTTATCCTCCACCTTAGCTCAGCTGCTCACACCCATGGTCACATTGCAGACCTTATTATTTGCCAATAACTGCAACCTCTTCATGATCTCAGTTTCATCTCTCATCCTCTGATTACCATTTCTTCTCTCCCTGGACAATTGTGTATTGATCCAAGTATTTTTTTGCTGTCCCTCCCCTACTTCGTGTCTTTTCTCCTTACTCAACTTAAACTCAAGGCTATCAATGTAATCCCTCCCTGCCTGCACCCTCTTGGGCCTTTCCCTTTTTAGATTTGCTTGGCTAAACACAACCTGTGTTAAATCCAGCTTTCCCTCTACCAGTACCTGCACCTATCAGATGAATGTGACTGGGTGAAAACACATAATGCATTTTTCAAGAAATTAAAAGAAAATTAAGAAATGTGCTTGAATTCCTTAACATGACCAGTGAAAACATAGATCCAGGATTGGTCAGCAACAGCACATGGGCCAAATCTGTCCCACTGCCTCATTTTGCAAATGAAATTGTATGAAGTGCAACTACATGCACAAAATAAAATTTAAAAAAAGAAAAACAAAAACACATAATGTTGGCTGGTATCATTTTAAATTAATGGCCATGAACCTCAACTGGGTCCTTCAACCTGACAATCGTAACATATTTTCCTGGTCCATTCACATTTCCAGTCTCCTAAATGACTATTTCATAGCTACTTTTCTCCCCAAACTTTCAATAAGTCTTGCAATTGACATAATTAGAAGGACTTTCCACAGCCTCCTATCACCTTATCTGCCCACCTTCCAGCTTCTGCACCTACACACCTGGACTTCCTGGCTGGGGCTGTATGTAGGTTAACTGTCTGTAGTCCTGTCTACACCCAGCCTTTCCACATGTGGACACGATTCTATCTCTCTCGCTTACTCAAGAATATAGGCCCCTAAAATTCTCCCTTCTGTATCCTCTCTTAGTATTTTTTTTTCCTAAAGGACCCTTGATTTGAGCCTGCAAACATAATCTTATTTCTCTTTCTTAAACAAACAAAAGCACTTGATCCATGTTCTCCCAACTATTAGCCCATTTTACTCCTTTCCTTGTAGCAAAACATTTTGGAAGAGATAGAATAGAGTTGTCTCTCCCAAATTCTATTAAAGTTGTCTCTTCCAAACTCTATACTAAAACATACTAATGAATTAAAATTAAAAGAAAACAAAAACACATAATGTTGATTGGTATCATTTTAAATTTTGGTATCATTTAATTTTTGGTATCATTTTTAATGTTTTAGTATAGAGTTTGGAAGAGACAAACATTAGTATAGAGTTTGGAAGAGACAAACGTTAGTATAGAGTTTGGAAGAGACAACTCTATACTATCTCCAATTTTCTTCCAGTCTGTTATTTCTAAAAGCTGTTCATAAGCTGGGCATGGTGGCACACACCTGTAGTCCCAGCTGCTTGGAGTGCTGAAGCAGGAGGATCTCTTGAGACTGGAAGTTGGAGGCTGTAGTGTGCTATGATTGCACTTGTGAATAGCCACAGCACTCCAGCCTGGACAACATGGTGATACCCTGTCTCTTAAAAAAATCATTCCTATGAAGCTTTCATTCCTACTATTTCACCCAAAGAGCAGTTGTCAAGGTCACCAGTGTCCTTCACTGCTAAATCTGTCAGCAGTCAGTCATGAGGTCTGATGCTGACATATCTGCAGTCTTTGACACTGTTGGTCACCCCATCATTCTCTTTGGTTCCTCTCTATTTCCTTAATGACAGAGTGACTTGTGGTCTCTGTCCTTGATCCTAGTCTCTTCTCTATGAACTCTCCCTCTCTCAATGGTCTCATCTGGTTTTAGCCTTTAGATATTGTCTGTATGCTAAGACAACCATCAGTGACCTATTGCGGAAATAATGCTGTGTAACAAACACCTCAGCAGCTTACAACAAGTATTTATTTAGTTCGAGAGTCTACAACTCACCTGGGGATTGGCCAAGGCTGGGTGGCTAGGCTCTGCTTCTCATGCCTGCTGACCTCGACCTGGACCTTGAAGCCTGGAAATATTCTGCCATGGTGATGGCAGAGTCACAAAAGAACAAGCCGTGTTGCACAGGCACTTTCCAAGCCTCTGGCCATGTTATTCTTGCAAACATTCTGTCAGCCAAAGCAAATCACATGGCTGAACCAAAGTCAAGAGGGGAAATATACTCTCCCTCTTTAGTGGTAGAACTTTAAAGTCACATGGTGAAAGGCATGGATTCAGGGAGATATGAAGAATTGGGGCCACATCTCTCAAATATTGCATGGGACTATTTTTACTCATATGAAAATATTATCTGTTGTTTATCTGAAATTAACATTTAACTGAGCATCTTCTATTTAATCTGGCAAACTTAATCTACCTTCAAAACACATCCAGAATGTGGCACCTTCTTCTTACCTCCACTGTTTCCACTCTGGCCTGAGCCACTGACATCTCTGACCTAGATGAACTGCTAGAGCCTCCTGACTTTAGAAAAAATGGAATTGGCTAGGGATGATTATTTTAGTAGTATTTTATTTAGTAGTAGTATTTTACACTCCTATTACCTTCATGTCCTCTCAACACAACAGCCGGAGTGATCTTTTAAAATAGGAGATTACACCATTCCCCTGCTTAAAGACTTCCAGTGACTCGCTATTTCTTTCATAGCAAAACACAAGTTCTTTAAATTCCTGCAAAGCCCTATGTGGTCCTAGTCCTCATTGGCTCTCAACTGCATTCACACTATTCTCACCACAATGCTACCTAGCCACAGTGACCCCTTGTCAGGTCTTGAACACCCGCCTTTGTATTCTTTACCTTTGGGCCTTTCCACTGATTGCTCCCTCAACCTGGAACTGCCAAATATCTGTCTGGCTCATTCTCTCCCTTTTAATTCTTTGATCCAACACCAGGTTCTCTGCGATGCCCTACTCTCCAGCCCCTACCTGGTATCTTGATGTCTGTCTTTCTCTTCTCTGTTTCTCTCCTACAGAGAATTGATCTTCCAACATACAATAATTTATTCACTTTTATGCGTATGAATTATTGTCTGTCTCTCCCCTCCCAAATGAAAGCTCCTGAAGGCAAAGATTTTGTCTGATTTGTTCACTGACTCTATCACAAGTGACCAATAGAGAGCTGGCAAATGTCTGATGAAGGAATGAAAGGATAGCCTGACATTTTCTTCCCATCACTATAAAAATTGAATACAAATATTTTAAGCCAAGTGGATAGCTCTATTCAGATATTTATCTTAAATTTATGCAAGTAAAATCTTTCATAAAATGATGGAGGGCTGAGGAAAGATTGCCTCGCTAACAGAATCTTAGTACACTAATGCTTATTACCGACCTTCTTACAGCAAGACGTTTCTTTAAAATTAAAGATACAGCAAGGATTTTAATGGGGATACCAAGGCCAGGCACGGTGGCTTATGCCTGTAATCCGAGCACTTTGGGAGGCCAAGGTGGGTGTATCACCTGAGGTCAGGAGTTCGAGACCAGTCTGGCCAACATGGTGAAACCCCATCTCTACTAAAAATACAAAAATTAGCTGGGCATGGTGGTGTGTGCCTGTAATCCCAGCTACTCAGAAGACTGAGGCAGGAGAATCACTTGAACCTAGGAGGCAGAGGTTGCACTGAGCTGAGTTCATGCCACTGCACTCCAGACTGGGCAATAGAGCAAGACTCCATCTCACACACACTCATATACACACACACAAATAGGCATACCCAAACTCTAAAAGGCTTAATAATCTTTCAGAGAATCCTTGAAAATTAGCTTTAAGCTTTTTCACTAACATTATTGGTGAGATTATTAGGCGTTAGTTGTAGCCTGCATAGAGTGCAGGCCAGTAAGGGTAAGAGAGATAATTATGCATGTTTTTGATTAGTAGTTTGGGGAGGATACCTAAGAGAAAAATCATAGCTGACCTTTACTATCTTAATGGCTAAAGTAATTTAACATTAGTCATTATGCTTTATTAAGAGGGTTTGGGAAACTTTACAAGAGTTATGCTTTTTTGTTATCAAGAGGTTATTAATCTGGCAACCATACCTACTTGAAAGGCCTCTGAGAATCAAAAATAGATGCTTCGAAATCAGTGCTCAGGAACCTTTCTCCTAGACCCTCACCTAGGATCTGTTCTATAGTTTAGCAAGTTTAATGATCATCTAATAATAGAATGGCATTTGTTTCCTTAAAGTGTATGTTTGTATGAATGTATGAGGTTTGCTCTCTGGCAAGAAAAAACAATTTGCACCATGACAAGGATGAGACAGAAACACTATTAAGCTTAAGAACTTGAAGCCATTTAGGGTTGACATCCCTGAATTCCAGTACAGTGTAGTCATGGGAGCCCATGGTGGTAACTCCAAGCCAGCAAGATGCTCAGTATATTCACTGCATGGTGCTGCCTAAGATGGCAACAAGGTTTGGAAAGAAGCCAGTAAACTTTTCAGCAGGTTTTGAAAAATAATTTGTAGTTACCTAGAATAATGTGGGACAGAGTGTTTCCCATTACTGATAGGTTAATAAGACAATATTATATGCAGAAAATATTTCACTTTAAATTCAACATTTGTCAAATAGGAGAGCCAATGGCAGTCTGTTTCTTGCTCAACAAATAAAATACAAAATCTGAATTAATCATGCATATTTATTTCGGGTTGAGTACAGTCCATGCTCCTAAATCACTTAAGGGTTAGCGAAGGCTATGGGCAAGGAAACAGACAATTAGATTATAGTGTGGTAAGTCTGGAGAAGGTTAAAGACAAGGTGCTCTGTAATTACATCAAAAGGGCACCTGACCCAGCATTTTTGTTTGTATATTTTTGTGGAGAGAGGTTGTAGAAGCCTCCCTAAAGGAGGAATTTTCTATATAAATTGAGACGCAAATGATAAGTAGGAAATTGTCAGACAAAGGTGGAGTACCTAGACAGGAGATAGGGATGAACTATTAAGCATATTTAGGTCTTAGATGAAAAGAAATTTAGTACAGAAAGGTTAAGGAATTTGTTTGGGGATATGCATTGTGAACAGCTGAGCTTTAGCTCTGTAATTTTGCTATCATTAATCTCCAAAAGGCAGATCCATAGGTGCAGAATGTCACATAGAGTCAGCTCTCCCTGGAGCATTGTAACTAGTGTATATGTAATTCCATGAAAGTAATTATTAGGCCAGGAAAGTGTATAAAGAGTTGAATGGTTGTAGTAGACAAGAGGTAAAAGATATAGAAAAGGTTCTTGAACTTGCTTTTAATCAGTGTCCTGAGTTTTAAATAATATTTCTGTTTGTAGATCCTTCTACTAAAGGACTTTCAACTTTGGAAATGCCACGAGAATCTTCATCTGCCCCTACGTTAGATGCAGGTGTGCCGGAAACAAGTAGCCATTCCTCAATATCAAGTAAGATTTCCTCTGCTGATTATTTCATCTATGCATTTATTTTGGAACACTGTCTGCTGCCTTGTTTTCAATTTTCCCAATCTTGGTATTGTATATATATTTTAATGTTGCATCAGCTTCCTTGGTGATAGTATGTTGTATATTCTCAGAGACCCTGAGGAGTAGGATGGCCCACTTTCGTCCGTATCTCTAGTGTTTGATAAATCACTATGGTTACTGACTGGCCAAGTATCCTAATTTGTTAAGGAATGATCACTGAATTCCATTATTCAATAAAATAAAAATTGTATAACCTGAACATAAAACACGGAACAGGTTTTGGGGCACATGAAAAGCATTGTCTATGGCAGAATTTTACATGGAACACTTTTATTTAATTTGAGTCGCCTCCATCATTGACAAAATTTGATCTAGGTTATCGTAAAATAAATGTATGATATATCATATTCCCAAAGTCATGACTGAATTTAGCTCTTTTGGATTGGAGAGTGGAAATGGCACGACATTTTACAGGACCTGTAGGAGGCGAGTATTTTGAAACTGGCTTCTGTTACTGGGTCCTAGATTTTGTCCATGGGAGCTTGAGTTCCACTGAAGTTCCATAAGCATGTCCACATGTCTCAGTGGGGTTAATTACGAGACTTTAGCATGAGACAGTCTTACCAAGAATCAGAGATATGAACATAGATGCAATTTCTATAAACCTTTGTCATATGTGCTGATAAATGTTGTGTTCCATGTGGACATTGCCTGAAAAGCTATTTAATAATTTTCATTTGACCATCTTTTGATGATCCTGAAAAAACAGATAAAGATCTTAAATACTGGACTGGTAGTTTGGAACATCATCATCTTCATTGTTCATTCATTCATGCATTCATTCATTCAGCAACTATTTACTAAGTGTCTGCTGGATGCCAGACACTGTGCTTGGCACTGGAGGTCAAAAGTGAATAAATAAAACACCGCTTGTTCTCCAGGAGTTTGCAGTCATAATAGTAATTATAGCTACTATCTATTTAACATCTATCATGTGCCAGGCACTGTGCCAAGTGGCTCACACACATTGTTATCTGATCCAATTGTTACATCAACACATGCGTGATAGATGTTGTTGGCCCCATATTATAGATTAGGTAATTGAGATCCAGAGAAGCTAAATGACTTGCCTAAAGTCAAATATCTACTAAGTGATAGATTCAGGAATTGATGCTAGGCCCTTTAGACTTACAAAGCCATGTTCATTTTTAGTATACCACACTTCCTTTAAATAATTCAAATTCAGTTGTAATAAGGATTATGGAAATTCTAAGAAATAGTTTCCAAATGACAGTTATTTGCCCTTTTGGTAGCAAAGAAGAATGGCTAGTTCTGAATCTAATTATTCTTCTTTTATTACAAAAATCTGTTAGATCACATGATAAAATGCCAATTTTATGACCACATACTAAAATCATAAAAGTGTATCTTCTCCTAATTTGTACGAGTTATCTTTAATAAAAGATAGTGGGCTGGGTGTGGTGGCTCACGCCTGTAATCCCAGCACTTGGGAAGCTGAGGCAGGAGGATCACTTGAGCCCAGGAATTCGAGACCAGCCTGGGTAACATAGTGAGGCCCCAGTCTCTATAAAAAAATTAAAAATTAGCCAGGCGTGGTGGCGCGCACCATAGTCCCAGCTACTGGGGAGGGCAAAGTGGGAGGATCGCTCAAGCATGGGAGATGGCGGCTGCAGTGAGCTGTGATTGTGCCACTCCACTCCAGCCTGTGCACCCTGTCTCAAAAAAAAAAAAATGAAGAAATAAAAAGATAGTGAATTAGAGTATAATTTGAAATAGGATTATTAGCTCAGTAGGACTCAAATGATAGTTAAATATACCATAAAATGAATTTACAAATTACAAATGTTTCATGATCCCAAAGTCATGATTGATCTAGACTTTGGATTTAGCTTAGCACTTAATTAGATTTCCACCTTTCTCCTCCTTGCCATTAAAAGCATGCATTCTATAGCTCTTGGTGGTGTGTTCTTGGAGGTATCATGCCTGGTACCTTATACACTGAGCTAAACATTAAGGGTTTTATTCTCAGGGAATTCTGCTGTCTTTGAAAACACCTGAGAATTGAAGAAATTATTCAATCATCAGAGGTTTAAAATTTTCATTTGATTGAGTCTTCTAGATGCTGCTAAGTTTTAAATTTGTTGCATCTTCAAAAAGAATTCTGCTTTTGAATTTTACTTAAAGATGTGCTTTTCAAGTGAGTCATAACATTGTAAGTTTTACCAATTAGTGGCAAAAACCAGAGATGTTTAGTATTAGGTTGAGTAGTCATTTCCATGAGTTAGGTTAATATTGACTTTAAGACACAAGAATTCCCATCACATCCTTCCCTTTTGATCAGTTTATCAGCTGGTTATTTCGTAGCTAAACGTGTTGTGACCACCATTAATCAAACAGCATGCTAGTTACATTAAAAATAATGTTATAATTGATTTCACATCACACCAAGTTGCCACCTTGGTGCCATGATTGTGAAATGTGTGTATAACATTGAAGAGTTTCCAGGGGCCATGCGGTCATCCCGGTCTCTACCATCCCTTTCTAGGGCGTGTAGTTGATAGCTTCAGTTTCTGAAGTTTTTCTTATAACACAGAGAATAACCACAAGTTGTCAAATATACAAGGTATTTGGGGTCATGCAGAAAAGTTGCATCCATGATGCTCTGCCTCTCTCACTGGGCTGGTTGGTAGGGATTGGTGGGACTGCTGGGAATAGGACCAGAGGAGACTGCTTTCCAACTCAGCAATCTACTGGCAAAAGTGTTTTTCATTGTTTTCTGGTTTGGAAATGCTAATAACTTGACATTTCACTGATGGGATATGTTTCAATGCTTAACTTACAGGATAAAAATGTTACCACTTTTTAAAAACAAAGATGTGTACTAGAATATACTCGTGGAATGTTGTTTGATTCACATTTTTCAAACAGTAGGCAGAGGCTCGCACAGAGATTGAAAACAGCATTGACTTTGGAGTTGATATGTTTTGGTTTTAGGACCACCTCAGTTGCTGACTGGTTCCAAGTCATATAATTTCATTTGCTTCAATTTCTCTCTCTAAAAATTGGGGTTGATATGTGTCATCCTACCCTAAAATATACACGCACACACACACATCATGTACACACGCACACATACACAAGGACCTCATGGGGCTATGAGGAAGATGGAAATAATGTATGCACAAGCTCTGTTAAAGAAAGTTAAGCCATACATTTAAATTTGTTATTTGTCTTAAATCATTTTTGAAACATGGCAGAGTATATAATTTTAAAAGTAGATGAAGATAATCATATTTCATTCAGTTATAACTGGGATAAATATTTACAGGCGACAAATCAGTGCTAATGGGCACTGTTACCATCCTCACTGTGTGAAGAAAGGCATCCGGAACAGCAGAGTACCTTAATTTTTCATTTGAACAGAAGCATACAATTTACCAAAAATTATGAATAGCAAATGAAGGGTCAATTAAAATTCTATATGGATGTGTGGAGCCTTTGTGTGCTGTGGAAATTTATTATTATAATCATCTCCTAATTTCCTCCATCTAGCTCAGTATAGGCAGATGAAAAGGGGATCCCTGGGAGTTCTGACAATGAGCCAGTTAATGAAGCGGCAGCTGGAGCATCAGTCTAGCGCCCCCCATAACATCAGCAACTGGGACACTGGTGGGTCAAGCTTTTTCTTCTCATTCTACCTCTCGGATTAGTGAATGCTACTTTCTCTGTGTCCACTCTGCTCCCTTGTTAAAGAATAGATTTTCTCTCATGTTCTTTGGTTCAGGTAATTTTTCAAAACCACCTAAGGTAATTAGTAAGTCTATTTAAACTTCCCAAGTGTTCTAGAGTGACACGCTCTTCCGTTGAGGCTGGCCCAACTCTTGTTCTCTCTAAGACCCAGATTCCAGATATTAGGTTATTGATCTGGGGAGGAGGGAATGGAACTATGGTTTCATGATGCAAATAAAAAAGAAAACACACAGCAGATTATCAGTATTCTCTGTTGTATAAACTACAAAGTACGCCCCAAATGAGGGAATATTTATAGTAATACTAATAGTGATAAAAATTGTCAGCTTAGTGACATCATGATCTGCCAGTAGGTTTGGGAATATGAGTTCTGTGTTTTAGCCAGCAGGGTCACCAGGTTGCAGCCGCACACCCCCATGCTCATAAGATGGAACTGCATCTAACCTCAATTTTAAAGTAAGAATTGACTGCCATGACATGTCTATTCTAAACATGATCACTCTGCATTTTCTAAACTTTGTTACCACGTTTTGTACGTGTACTACCTTATCAAGCCAGTAGTACAGCCACAATCCTCTTTTAAGTGCCTGCCTTTTCTGTTTTTTTTCTTCCATAATTAAATGGGTCATTTGAGTTACAAGATTCTATATGTGAAAACACCTTGCAACATGCATGCACCACTAAAATGTAAGGGCTTATTATGGTGATATGCTCTGGGGCCTACCCTTGAATCGGACTCTTTTAGTATCGTGATTAATACTTTCTGGCTGCAGTGATGTGAGATTATTTTAATATTCTTCCTGATGACTATGAATTATAATATCCACAAAAGCAAAATATTGAGATACTTTTATTTTCTTCAAAGCCATAGTATTTATGTACATAATTTTACTTGCCCTCATTATTCTTAGAGAGAGAGAGAGAGTGCTAGTCTAGATAACTAAATCCCACACAGCATACCCAATCTCACATTTAACAGATAGTTTCAACTCTCCTGGACTTTATAAGGGTTCTTTACATTGTAAAGGTTTAGTGTTTTCTCTTCATTTTAGTGATATGTGGTAGTGAGCAGTGAATAGCCAAGAGCCAACAGGCAAGGGAGAGAAGGAGAAAGACTGGACAGCCAACCTCAGGAGTTCACTGGGTTTGAATGAAGTCTTTCTGCCTACACCAAAGAGGACTGTGCTTTCTTCTTTATGGAGATGAAGCGATGTAAGGAACTGAGAATGGCAGCTTTTGTTTGATTAGGTCTCTGATAATTAAATGCTGATGTGAGGGCTCTGAAGATGATTTTTACCTTGCTTCTGTTTTCTGCAGCAGGTAGCTCAGCCTAAGCTAACCAACCAGTTTAGATTCCGACTACAATGACAACCTACTTCAATGGGCACAGTAGTTATAAAAAGGCAAACTGATCTCAATTTTCAGTCCAAATTTTAATCTAAGAAAATCTACATGATGCCAAATAACCCATTTAACGGAATTTTTCACTTTTCAACCAAATTTCAATCTTGTTCATGTCACTCTGGTTTGCCATTTAATATTTCCCATTTATATGCTGTCTGAATTTCTTTCCCGAGTTTTCCTGGGCCTGTTTTCCATCCTCCAAATTGGTTCTCGTGGTTCTCGAGTCACCAAGTCCTACAAGCATCATCTCAATATTCTTGTTTTGATTAGCGCCAGAAAAAGTCCTCCTCACATCCGAGCCTAGGGGAGAGTCTGTGACTGTGTAGTACAATGTTAGGTGGCATGTCACTTTAAACTACACATGTAGCTTCAGTAATTTGCTGGTCTCCACCAGAACAGATGTGGCCATGTAGGCACCTGAGAAAGGCAGCCTAAAACATGGATCTGATCAGTTCACGTCAGCACACACCAGCTCCACCCTGAGAGCTGCCTCTTCTCCACCCATGCATATGAGACCTGCCTCTTCTCCACCCATGCATGGCGCCATGACTTACTGCTTTGCCTCATCTTTCATGTGAACAAACATTTTTGAAGCACCATGCCTCCATTTTTGCCCCCTCCCCCTTATTCCTGTTCCCCATCCCTCAGTCCAACACCTGTCATTTCCTTCTACCAGTTCCACATGTTTCCAGTGTGACCTTTCTGGCCATTGCCCCAAATGATCACTTATGTACTTACTGATTTGCATAAAACATTTCTGTCATGGCTGTGATATTAGCCTTTCGTTTCCTATCTGGAGATATGAGATTTGAACTTTTTTGTGGGGGCAGGGTGGGGTGCTTGTCTGGACTTTTTGGGATAGTTTTAGATGCTGTCCTGCTTTTAGTTGCATTTCATAGAACTGAATGGCAGGTTTGTAGTAAAGCCCCAAATAACCCTACCCTAAAATCTAGGATGTGTTCTGTAAATGTTAATAATACATAGTAACAGTGACCAAAAAATTGGCCCCCAGAGATGATTGGTTAAATTCTTTGTGTTCTAAATGGTGCTAAGATGACCACATCAAAGACTGAAACCCTCTATTTATCCACAGAACAGATACAGCCTGGGAAACGCCAGTGTAACGTGCCAACGTGCCTAAACCCTGACCTGGAGGGACAGCCATTGAGGATGAGAGGTTAGTTGAGTCACAGAGTCTCTGGCTGTAAAAGCTGAAGGAGACTGGACATGTCCATCATTTGGTCACCCAGCAGGTGCAGGCTTTTTCTTAGCACCTCCATGGAGTGGGGATGACCTTTGCCCAAACACCCCCAGTGGCTGAGAGTGCGTGACATCTCATCTTTGAACATGGCCAACAGTTCTTCCTTATAGTGACTTTCTAACCCTTGCACACAAAACAAGTCTAGTCTTCTCTCATATATATATATGTTCAAGCCATTCTCCTGCCCCAGCCTCCCGAGGAGTAGCTGGGATTACAGGCATGCACCACCACACCCAGATAATTTTTGTACTTTTAGTAGAGATGAGGTTTCACCATGTTGGCCAGGCTAGTCACAAACTCCTGACCTCAGGTGATCCACCTGCCTCGACCTCCCAAAGTGCTGGGATTATAGGCATGAGCCACCATGCCTGGCCTCTTCTATAATTTTTGGACATTGCTTATTCCCTCAGTCCTTTCTGGACCAGACATTCCTAGGTCCTTCAGCATTCCTCCTCAGACATATCAGTTTTCCATATCATGCCATATCTACTCTTCTGAGCATGGTCCAGCTAATCTGTATTTTTTTCTAGAATATTGAGGTCATAGGCTAATAGTTTCTTTCCAGCTCTCTGAAGTATACATTGAAAAGATTCACTTGAATTGATGCTGCTCACAGAAGCAAGCTGAAGGCCAATCTGTGCTAAGGTCAGAATATTCATTTTCAAAATTAATCCCATGAATTTAAAGTAGTTAATTGTTACCTTTGTTCTTTTTTAATTGAGAAGGCAGATTAACCTATCATTGGTAGAAAAGCAGAATACCCAGAAAGAATTATAATCCCATCTCACAACTAGTCTTTTAAATCAAGTAGACCTATTTTTCTAGACCATGTCACTCTTCTAATTTTCCTAAGGAATGAGGTGCTATTGATCTCCAGCTTTTGCTCACATTTCTTTGGCAATGAATAGCAGTTTTAGTCCCTGTACTGGATGAGGTAAGATTCTTCTCATCTATGGGGCTAGGAAAAGCTTTGATGAGTAGAAGTAAGGGTGGTTGAACAAATCTTTGGTGCTTGTTCATGATCTGGTGACTCAGTAGCAGCAAAAGTGGAATGAAGTGATGAGAACACTAAGATGGAAAGTCAGTCTCTTTCATGGTAAACTCAAGAGCCCATCAGTACAGCTGGGGGATTGATCCATGCATGCCTTTGAGACAAACACCTTCATAATTTTTCCTGTCTCCAAGACTCGCAAAGGGACTTTTGTCAAAATCTTCAGCTTCAAAGTTGGGCTCTGGAGGTGGGCCCCTCTTCATTCAAATTTCTGAGAGCCCTCTGTTTCTGCTGCTAGCTCAGTGTAGCGTGCACTTCAGCTATTCAGAAGGGGAGCCAGTAGTGGAGGCATCAGAAATGTCGGCAGCAACTTGGGGGTGATAGGGACTGCCTTTAACATTGCAGACTTATTGTGACTGAAGTATAACAACGGTGGCTGAGGTCTGTGGCTTCCTTTTTGCATTTCCCACCTCCTCCTAGTACATTACTTTTTGTTCCTACTTCAGTAGCAATATTTAGCGATCCATTGATTCAGCCAGTGTTGCCCTATGGGGATCAGTGTCCAATAACTGAACCTGTCTGCTTTTATAGATGACGGCCATAAATATTGCATCATACATTCCGTGCTGTCATATGGAAAAACAACTTCACAATGCTATTGTCAAAAACACCTCTTTCTTGGCATTTGTATTAGGCAATAATTAGTTTGAAACTGCCAGAATGACTTCGAGTGCCTCCCTTTTCTTGACTTTAATTGTGATTACTATATAATAGTAATTGGCAATAATCTTCTGAAAGGCTTGACTCAGAGGTTTTTTAATTAAAAAATCAATTTCTTATGTTTCTAGTAAGTCTATGTATGTATCATCATATATTGTATGGGCTGAATTTTTCCACTTTTAGCACAAGCATTCTGACATCTGGTCAATGTGGTCTGTCAATGTTCAAGAAATGTGGAGTATTGAATTTAAATTTTCTGTGTGTTGGTTTCTTGAAGCAACTTCATGCGGTTTACCGTGCTATTTAGTAATCAATTGTGTCTTCATTTATCTTGGACTATTTCTTGCCTTTTCTGTTATTAATCAGTGTACATTTATGCTTGTAATTCTGTTGCTTCCACTCAAAGTAACATCTTTATGAAACAATTGAAGATCTTTGTGAATTATACACTTACGTATACTTAGGGAAGGATGTTATCTTGGATATAGCTGATAAACATAGTAGTAAAATTTGGATTCCCATTTGGGAGCTTAGGAAGTGACATAAAGATATTTTCAGATACTTTCCTTTGCAGTTTGGATTTGCAAATGTTCTTCTTATACTCGTGTAACCTTTGATCAGGCAAAGGAGTCTGCAGAATGGAAGCATCTTGACTTTTCAAAGGCTCAACACTATTTTTTCTTCCGAAAATTCAGATTGAAACACATTGCCCACTTGGCTAGCTTTATGAATATTTTGATTCCTTTAGAAACTCATTGTCTGAATCATTCTCCTATTTGAGGAAATCTTTCCCCTATTTGAGGAAAGGTCATACCGGGTTTTTGTTTGCTTGTTTGTTTTCTCCCAGCACCAAGATACTAATTCCTTGATGAGAAAGATTATTTAATGACTCTTGGATTTTTCTGCCTTCTTTCCTGTTTGAGGAACTTAGCGTTTTAGTTATTACTTTGTAGAACATGGCATTATTCTGGATGATCCCTTTGAGATTCTTCTTGGGGTGCTTCATTTTCATGAGACTCTGTCTTGCACTAGTGGCTTTCTTAATGGAGAACAGCTTCCTGACTTTCCAGACTGATTTACTCATCCCTGGACCATGTTGCTAAGATTCTTGCCTCAGATTTCTTTGAAGACATCAAACCCCAAAGTTTTAAACACCGTGGTATCGATTGGCTGACGTGGAATGAGTCACTGGATGGTTCCTTCAAAAAAACTTGATATCACATTCATAAATACTTCAGTTTGAAAAATGCAAGGCCAGGCACAGTGGCTCACAGCTGTAATCCTAGCATTTTGGGAGGCTGAGGTGGGAGGATCCCTTGAGCCTAGGATCTTGAGACAAGCCCAGGTAACAAGGTGAGACCTTGTCTTTACAAAAACTTAAAAATTAGCCAGGCATTGTGGCGTGTGCCTGTAGCCCCAGCCACTTGTGTGGCTGAGGTGGGAGGATTGCTTCAGCCTGGGAGGTTGAGGCTGCAGTGAGCTGTGCTCACGCCACTGCATTCCAACCAGGGTGACAGAGCAAGACCTTGTCACAAACAAACAAACAAACACACTGATATTTCTTAGCTCAAAGATCTCCACTGCTTAAGTGCATGGAGTTCTGGGATCTTACCACCTTCCCATATTAGCAAAACTGTAATGTTGATATGCGTTTGTGATTTTAGAAATGCAGTATCATATGGGAAGTTTCCATTTATGCCTACAAATAAGAATTGTAGCTCTTTTAAGGGTACCCTTGAATAGATTTTCCCCTTTGTCTTTCATCTTTGTCTTTGGACCCTGCTGGCACACCTGAGCTCTTTCTGATTTCTTTCAAAGTCAAGAAGCAAAGAGAGAGAAGTCTAGCTCTTCACTTCAACCAAGCAGAAACAAATCACAATCTTTCTTGACTTCATTTCATGATTGAGGGCTTTCTGCAGTACAGTTGGGATGTCCAAGTTGTATTCCTGGGAATGTGATCTTTGGAGGGTTTCTAAGAGGAGAACCAGGCCTTTCTTGGCCCCTTGAAGCTCATCTATATTCACTGGTTGTCCCTTTGCTGCTTACCCAGGTGCCACCAAATCCAGCCTGCTATCAGCACCAAGCATAGTCAGTATGTTTGTGCCTGCACCTGAAGAGTTCACTGACGAGCAGCCGACGGTGATGACGGACAAGTAAGCTCGCACAGTTATTTTCTTCACCATGTTTACAGAATTTAAGTTTGGTTACCACAGTGGTGAGAAAGTTTCAGAAAAAGCATGCTTTGCTTTTAAGTCATAATTTGTTCCTCCAGTATATTGCCTGGCACACAGATGCTTGTTCAGTGAGTATGATAAAGAATAACCAAAGCGGGTGGATTGCTTGAGCCCAGGAGTTTGAGACTAGCCTGGGCAACATGGCAAAACCCTGTTTCTACTAAAATTACTAAAATTAGCCAGGTATGATGGTGTGTGCCTGTAGTCCCAGCTGCTAGGGAGGCTGAGGTGGGAGGATCACTTGAGCCTGGGAGGTTGAGGCTGTGGTGAGCTGTGATAGCGCCACTACACTCCTGCCTGGGTGATAGAGTGACTGTCTCAAAAGCAAAACAAAACAAAACAAAGCACTTGTAAGATTTCAAGTTTAGAGAAATCCCCTTGGACCAGGAAGCCTTCTTGGTAAAAGTGACCTGATTGATAAATTAGGTAGATGATATGGTTTGGCTATGTTCCCACCCAAATCTCACCTTGAATTGTAATAATCCCCACATGTCAAAGGTGGGGCCAGGTGGAGATAATTGAATCATGGGGGCAGTTTCCCCCATACTGTTCTCATGGCAGTGAATAAGTCTCATGAGATCTGATGATTTTATGAATGGGAGTTCCCCTGCACAAGCTCTCTTGCCTCCTGCCATGTAAGATGTGACTTTGCTCCCCCTTGCCTTCCACCATGATTGTGAGGCCACTCCAGCCATGTGGAACTGAGAGTCAATTAAACGTCTTTCCTTTATGAATTACCTAGTCTTGGGTATGTCTTTATTAGCAGCATGAGAACAGACTAATACAGTATGCTTCTGATAAAAGGTGAGGAAGGGGCCAGGCGCGGTGGCTCATGCCTGTAATCCCAGCACTTTGGGAGGCTGAGATGGGTGGATCACGAGGTCAGGAGATCGAGACCATCCTGGCTAACATGGTGAAACCCTGTCTCTACTAAAAATACAAAAAAATTAGCTGGGCCTGGTGGCGGGCACGTGTAGTCCCAGCTACTCGGGAGGCTGAGGCAGGAGAATGTCGTGAACCTGGGAGGCGGAGCTTGCAGTGAGCCGAGATTGTGCCACTGCACTCCAGCCTGGGTGACAGAGCAAGACTCCATCTCAAAAAAAAAAAAAAAAAAAAGTGAGGAAGGTAAGGTGGAAGGGGCTGATGTGAGTATCCCTGTAGCTGACCATCCATTACTCATTGTAATGACCTGACAGCCATGACTGAAGAAGCGGTGGTGCCTGTCTCATGCAGCTGCCTTGGAAGGTCCACACAGGTCATTGAGTTGCCCATGGAGGGCTCTCTCCAGCTCTTCCTTTGGGATTACCCCGCTCCCCAAGTCTTAATCTTTCCTATTTGCCTTTCTGTGCACTCCATTTCTTTTCTTTTTTACTTAGAAATGTGAATCCTGTATTTTAAAATGTCAATTTGTAAGAAATTTTTATGCTCTTTCTTTGGCCTATATTTAGGAAGTTTTCAGAAGGAAGGGTCACAACAACAGTTGTAGTTCTTGATTCCCTGCTATTCCCATTAGACTTTCGCTTCCTTTTATAAAACTGCTCACTTTATCAGCTGGCTTTGGTCGTGTTGAATGAAATGGACCCTACATTAGGACACTACAAAGAGCGGTAGGTTGGAAGTTACCTAAAAGCGGGTGCCATTGTTTGTGCTTTTACATATGACACTCGGCAGGCCTGGTGAGTTCATAAAACTCATCTGAGTGAGTGGTGGAGAAGAGACTCCATTGTCTCCTCAGGCTTTCCAGATGGTTCTGTAGACTTGACTACCCTGTCTCTTACCCACAAATAGAACATTTTCTGAAAGCCTCCATCCGTGCCTAAGCATTTTGCATTTTTAACTTCAACAAATTAAAAACAAATCTAGTTACTGACTTTCCTCAGCAATAATGTCAAATGCATCAAATCCTTCATCCACAGGCTTCAAACTGATGGCCCAGTTGGTACTCATTCTAAGTGAGAGCAGTCACTCACATGCAGGCCAGATGCTGGGGAACTGAAAGAACATTTTCAGTCATCAGAGGCACCTTCGTGGTCTCTACCATGTGTGCTGTTTCTGTATCTGTGGTGATGGCAGCACTGGAATCCTCTACTGATTACCAGAGTGGGGCTCCTGATCTCCTTTTGGAGACTTTTCCAAGACCTACTAAAAACAGCCGTGTGTGTAGTATATTATATCTTGAGACCATGGTTCTTTCTTTCATGGAAAGCATGTCTCTCTTTTCTTTGCAGATGCCATGACTGTGGGGCCATTCTTGAAGAATACGATGAAGAGACACTTGGGCTAGCCATCGTGGTCCTCTCCACATTCATTCACTTAAGCCCAGACCTGGCAGCCCCGCTGCTGCTGGATATCATGCAGTCTGTGGGAAGGTGAATGTCAGCTTCTGTTTTGTTTGGTAGGAAGGTCCTTTATTCAGTCTCTATCTTGAACTAAAAACTACCAGTTCAAAAGTGAAACATTCAGCCACCTTGTAGATACTGGTATTTGTGACATCAACTCAGACTAGTTTTAAAAACCAAATAGACTCGTCTTTCGACTGAATTCTCCAGCTGCGTAGGGTCATGAGTCACAATGTCAGAGCAAAGCTAGGGGCAACTGCACTAAGGAAACCCCACTGTTTGTTACCCCTGTCACTAAATGAGCTAATGGTTGTAACCACGCACACAACTGTCAGCAGTTGATAGTAAACACTTCGTAAGTATTACCTGTTATTATTATTTCTCTTTACCTGTTTTGAGATGGATTTTCTAGGCATTTGTAATCTCAAGGACACCTCATTTAACTATGAAACTTGGGGCATTGTTGTGTGAGGAGACACATAGTAATTATAGCAGGTTCACATTTCTGACTCAGATAAAAGAAGGATGCACACATTTGGGGAACAGGGCTTTCAACCTGACTGAGAGATTACGCTTAGCTGCTTTGAGGGTGTTCATGCTAAGAAAATTCTATTTAGTAGATAGGACATTAGAAGATAAAGATATATTTCATGGATATGAAGAAAGCTCAAATTCAATAACAAACTGTAGTCTTAGCGTGCACAACTTATAGGAGAGGGTTGAATTAAATGCCACATAAATGTATTAACATTTCCAATCTGTGTGAACAGTGCCAGGTGCTTTAGGCTGCAGGCGTTAGACAGAGCTCTTGGCCTCAGGTACTTTGGGCTTAGTTGCTGTGACAGTTACTGTGGACTCATTGACTAGCCAAATAAGATAGGGTGTGATTAAATGCTGTAATGAGTGGAATGAGAGAGAGCTAAGTGCTAGAGAAGATTAGTATAGGAAAGATGTCTTAAAGTTTATAAGGAGGAGGTAGCACAAGAACTGGATTCTGCAAACTCTTGGCATTTGAGGAAAGGAAAGAGAATGACTCTTAATGTTGCTAAAATTTAATCCTTTTTTAAAAATGAAAAAATGTTGACTTCAAGTTGAAGACAAATAGGAAAGCATTATAAACTCCTCAACCCCAAAAGTGTATGGCTTTCTTATCCTCCCTCCCTCCAGTTTTTTTGGTAGTGTCCTTAGGAGTCATATAGACAGATTGTATAAAGGTAAGTGTGACCATTGCATCTCAAGACTTCAAAATAGCCCATGTGCCAAGTAAGGGATGGATATGGGGATATGGAGAGATAAGAGAAGATGAATTACTTCATTTAAGCCCTTGAGTTTGACCTAGTCATAGTAATTGCAGAATAAATGTTGTCAGCTATCAGCAATACTTGGGGAGTTGAGAGTTTTTATTAATACCAGGTCACAATTTCTACTATCAATACTTCTTAGTTTCAGAATGTATAGAATTATTGTTCTGGTCTGTTATCATCTCTTTGAAACAGATGATCTAAGTTGTCATAGCTATATAGAGGGGTTTGTTTCAGTTTTGTTTCTTTTGTTTGTTTTAACATAAGTGAGAACAATATGTGTTCAAACATTGCCAACTGTTAGGATTGAAACACATGAGCTTTGAAGAAAAGCAAGGGAAAACCAGTAGCAGATACATTTTTACATATTTACATACACATATATTTAAATCTCTACCTCCTTTGGGTAGACTAGCAAGAGACAGGGAGTACATTTAGTGCAAGCTGCCACAATTCTTAGCAACCTAAGCCTAATCACCAAAGCTACCAAGAAAACAGATTCAACTGTCAGCTAATTCAGGGCTTCCTGGCATGCCTCACTTCATCACGAAGAACAGATGAGATCATGTGGTTTTACAAACACATTGTTTATTTGCGCTAATTATGACCACGGGGACCATTCCCAGCAATTCCAAGAGTTTGTAAGCTCAGCATAACGCTTTCGTGGATCACTCAAGCTTTTCCATATGATCTCATACTTTGCTGTCTGCTTGGATCCCTCTTACATGATCCCTTTCTGTAGGTACAGCCTTTAAAATCTCATTTGCTGCACCATTAATTACTGTTACTGTTTAGTTTACTTGTCAATGTTTATCTATTTTTTGTAGTGACATTAGCATGAGAAGGTCTGTAAACAACACAACTGGGAATGGTGTCTGGTGTTAGTGGTTGCTGGACCCCCTATTCTTCTCTAAGTGGGGTCTTGGCTCAGCTCACTCTTACACCTGTAGTCCTAATCAAGTAAATAAATTTGCAACATTCTCCTTATCTGTTTCTTCAGTATCTTACTGATCCAGACATGTTATTCTAAACCCATCAGTATAGTCCATTCTCTTTCTATATGATAACATATAGAATATTTCCACACATACAGAACCGTATAATTATACTTTTCTGGAAATTACATGCTCCATATCGTTTACTTAACCAATACATTTCTCTTCTCAATGTAACATTTCCTTTTTCCTCATTTCAACCCAACAGCTGACAAATATTCCTGTTATCTATTTTACTATCTTATGGAGGCTTTTACCACTTGTGGTTTGTTTATAGTTAGGTTTCAGAGGTTATATACAAAGAAATGAATTTCGAGTTGAGTTAATATGGAGAGGAGCTGGGTCAAATGTTGTTGTGATAACTGTCTGGCCTGGCTGCAGGCACCATTTTGTAGAAAACCAACTTTAACTGCAAGTGTTTCCATGAAAATGTCTAACTTGATATAGCAGGTCTCAAGGACTAGGTCAAGTTTAACTCTAGAGACTGACCACTGAGTGGGCCCTCTGTACTGTCAAGGGAATTGTCAACATTATACATGTCTCCCCATCTAAACTGGAAACACAACAGGTCCTCCCACAATATTAATGCATTTCATCATGGAAACCTAAGATATTTGTGTGACTCTCTTTACTTTATTTCCTAGATTGGCATCCAGTACTACCTTTTCTAATCAAGCAGAAAGGTAAGGTCCTAACGGGAGCCCAGATCTCACTTTCTTTTCTCCTCTGTGCATGTTCATCCTGTTTCTAAAACACCAGTGTGGGGCTGGGTGCAGTGGCTCGCGTCTGTAATCTCAGCACTTTGGGAGGCCAGGGTGGGAGGATCACTCGAGCCCGGGAGTTCAAGACCATCCTGGGCAACATAGCAAGACCCTGTCTCAATAAAAAATAAAAAATAAAAAAAATACCAGCTTGTGCACCACGGAGGGAATATTGTTAGGCTCCAATTGCAGCTCTAGAGAGCACTAGTTATTCATTTTCTGTTCATGCCTTTATTCATTCATTCATTCACTCATTTTAGCCAACAAATACTTTTAAGCCCACCCTGTGCTAGACACTCAGGCCTTCACTGGGGGCAAAACTGACATGATTCCTGCCGTCATGGGGCTTATAGTCTATCCATGAAGCCAATGTGAATAAAATATTTGCACAAATTTATAATTGTAAACTGTGCTAAGTGCTATGAAGAAAAAGTACAGAGAGACTTATATAACAGTAATTCATTCAACAAGTATTTATGGAGTGACTACTAGTTATTGAGGTTATAGTAACTATAACAAAACATCAAATCCTGGCTCTCACGGAACTTACATTCTACTTGAGGAGGGAGAAAATAAGCAAATTAACCAACAGGAAAACTGACTATGTAATTTGATATCATTTAGTGCTAAATGCAAGAAAATGAATCTAGCAAGTCTGGGAGATAGAGAGTGCCCGGAGCTGGTGTTTTAGATATAATGGTCAAGGACAGCATTTTTGAGGAGGTAATATTTGAACAAAACATGAATAAAGTGAGAGAGTGATCCATGCAGTAATTTATAGAAATAACATTCCAGGCAGAGGGAGCAGCAAATACAAAGTCTCTAAGTCAGGAAAATGCCTCATATATTTGGAAAACAGACTAATGTGGCTGGAGCAGGTTGAGTATGAAAAAGAGTGGGAGGAGATGAGAGGGAAGAGGCAGTGTGAGCCAGGCCAAGTAGAGCCCTGCAGGTCATTTTAAGGATGCAGCAGGGAGTCATTGGAGTGAGGAGCAATGTGCTTTAACCTGCTGCATTAGTCCACTTTCACACTGCTGATAATGACATGCCTAAGACTGGGTAATTTATAAAAGAAAGTGGTTTAATTGACTCACAGTTCCACATGGCTGGGGAGGCCTCACAATCATGGTGGAAGATGAAGGAAGAGCAAAGGGACGTCTTACATGGCAGCCAGCAAAGAGAGAGCTTGTGCAGGGGAACTCCCATTTATAAAACCATCAGATCTCGTGAGACTTATTCACTACCACAAGGACAGTATGGGGAAAACCACCCCTATGATTCAGTTATCTCCCACTGGGCCCCTCCCACAACGTGTGGGAATTATGGGAGCTACAATTCAAAATGAGATTTGGGTGGAGACACAGGCAAACCATATTACCTGCTTTGAAGGATCACTGCCTAGTTACTGATCAAGGGGCATGAAGTTTTAGTCAAGCCAGATGAATGAGCTCTGAAGATCTGCTGTATGGCATTGCATCTACAGTCAACAGTAATGTATTGTACATGAACACTTGTTAAGAGAATAGTTCTCATGTTAAGTGTTCTTACACAATAAAATAAATCTTTTTAAGGAAAAAAAATTTTGAGGACCCCTCTGGCTTCTCTGTTGAAAATAGGTTATGGGGAAGGGGTAAAAATGGAAGGAGGGAACCAGTTTGGAGACCATGTTAGCGGTGCAGGTGAGAGGTTAGTGGTTTGGTCTAAAGTGGTGAGAGGCAGCCACATTAAGGATATATTTAGGAAATATTTTGAAGTAGAGCCAACAGAATTTGCTGATAGATTGGATGTTGGGTGTGAGAGAAAGAGAGGAGGCAAGAATGACTCCTAGGTTTTGGTTTAAACAACTGGGTGGGCGGGTGTGGCATTTGCTGAGATGAGCAAGCCTGGATGAGAGCTGATGGTGTGAGTGGGTGTAACGGGTGGTCCCAGTCTGGTCTTGGTAGTGGTAGAGGAGGGGAGAATGAGGGGAGGGCTTCCCTTAAGAAGTGATGTTTAAACTAAGATCTGAAAAAATGAGTTTAACCTGATTATGCACATAGTTATGGAAAGAGCATGGTAAAAACAGTGTGTAGGAGGAACTATGAAAAAGCCAATATAACCACAGCACAGAGATGCAAGCACTTGCTGAGTTTGACTTACCAGATTGTGTATGACTTATAAACCACATTAAATATTTTGGACTTTCTTCTAGCAGCAGTGGGAAGACAGTGAAGGATTTGTAAGCAGCAAGGTGTGTGTGTGCGTGCGTGTGTATAGCATGTAGAAAGGCTACTTTGACTGCAGTGGGGAGAAAGAACCAGAAGAGGGCAGGGACGGATGCTGTGTGTGACTTTGGCCACATTGATCTCTCTGCCTTAGCTTCCTCATCTGTAAAAGAGAGATACTAATATATGCCTTCTTGTGCCTCAGGGGTATTTTCTGTGGACTCAAATGATAGAGTGTATATGATAGCATAACTGTAGCAGGTCCTACAAACATAAGATGATATTATTGTTGACATCGCATTTCTATAATTTATTTTAGGGATGTTTGCTTTTCTTTCTTATGTTCTATTCGATGAATGGCTTTTTAAAAAACTTATTTTCTTAACATTTTTTATGGAAGATTTTAAACATACTGCAAAGTTGAAAGAATTATACAGTGAACTCTCATATACCTATCACCTAGATTTTAAAACAAATATTTTATTTTCTTTATCATGCATCCAACCATCTATCTATCCATCAATTCATTTTTTTGGATGTATTTCAGAGTAAATTTCAGATATTAGAATATATTTTCCCCTACATACTTCAGCAAAGTTAGCATTAACTCAAGTTCAATTTTTGTATACAGTTGTTTCTTTTTTCCTCCAGCTTTATTGAGGTATAATTGAGAAATAAAAATTATATCTATTTAAGATATAAATGTGATCTTTTGATAGATGTGTACATTGTGAAATGATTACCACAATCAAGCTAATTAACATATCACCTCACATAGTTATCTTTTTATTTTTTGGTGAAAACATTTGAAATCTACTCTCTCAGCAAATTTCAAGTATACGATACATTGTTGTTAACTATACTCACCATATTGTACATTGACGATGGTTGTTTCTTTTGTAAAATTTACATACAAGGAAGTGCACAAATCTTAAGTGTTTATTCCTTGAGTTTTGTCAAATGCATATGACTGTGTAACCCAAACCCCTGTAAAGATAGAGAACATTACCATTATTCCCAGAAAGTTCTCTCGTGCACGTTTCCAGCTAATCTCTACCCCCATAGAGGCAAACACTGTTGTGATATTTTTCCACATGGGTTGATTTTGCCCATTCTAGACTTCATGTCAATGGAATCCTACTGTATGCACTCTTTTGTGTCCAACTTCTGTTACTCAGCATGATGTTTTTGAGATTTATCCATGTTGCTGCTTTTTTATCAGGAGTTTGTTTCTTTTTCAAGGCTGAATTGTATCCCATAATTTGCTTTTTTATTTTCTTATTGAAGGACTTCTAGGTTTTTTCAGTTGGGGGGTATAAAAAAATAGATCTATTGTGAACATTCTTATAAAAGCCCTTTTTAAAACAAGTGTTTTTATTTCTCTTGGGTAAAATACCTAGGGATGATATTGTTGGGTTACAGGATAGGTATATGTTTAATTTTATCAGAAACTACTGGAACTTCTCTTAAAGTGGTTATGCCACTTTATATTACCAATCATCAATGTATTCTGGTTGTTTCATATTCTTGCCCAACTTTGGCATTGTTGGTCTTTTTAATTTTGGTCATTCTGGTGGATGTGTAATGGGTATTTCATTATAGTTTTAACTTGCATTTCTCTATGACATTTTTTCAAGTGCTCATTGACCCATTGCGTATATTCTTTTGAGAAGTGTCTGGTCAAATCTTTTGAATATTTTAATTGGGTTGTTGTCTTTTTATTGCTGAGTTGTAAGACTTTATATATACTGAATACTAGTCCTTTGTTAAGTATGTTTTGAGAATATTTTCACCCAGTCTGGGGCATGCCTATTTCTTTTCTTAGTGGTATCTTTTGCTGAGAAATGTTTAATTTAGGTGAATTCTAATGCATTAAAACAAAACATTACAATTATTGCTTCTTTTTATTTGTCTAAGAAACCTTTGTTTACTTCCAAGTCATGCAGATATTCTCTAATGTTTTCTTATAAAGGCTTTATGGTTTTCATATGTATATTTGGCATTTATAAAACCCATCTCAAATTAATTTTTATGTATGGTGTGAGGCAGCAGTAGGAGTTCATTTTTATCTATGTGGATATTCAGTTTTTCAGCACAGTTAAAAAAGATATTTTCTTTTCTTATTGGATCACTGTGGTGCCTGTTAAGCTTAGAAACCATGGAAGGGTGGATCTATTTCTGGGCTCTCTATTCTGTTCCATTGATCTATATATTAATTCTTAAGTTTGCACCACACTGTCTTGATTATAGTACCTTCATAGTAAGTAGTAAGTGTTAAAGTCAGGTAGCATTAGTCCTCCAAATTTAGTTATCTTTTTCAAGATTGGTTTGGATCTCTACATTCTTTACATTTTCATATAAATTTTGGAATAAGCTTGTCATTCTTATCAAAAAAGTCTGCTGGGCTTGTATTGAAAGAACAAATCAATTTGGGGGTAACTGACAGCATGAAAATATTGAATCTTCCAATTCATGAACATGGTATATATCTCATTTTCATGAGATCTTTAATTTCTCTCAGCAATGTTTTTTAGTTTTCAGTGTAGAGGTCTTGCCATTTTTGTTAAATTTATTCTCAAGAATTTTATGTTTTTTATACTAATGTAAATGGAATTTTTAAAAATTTCAACTTTTTGTTGCTGATATCTAAATAACAATTGATTTTTGCATATTAGCATGTATTCTAGCTAAATTCACTTATTAGTTCTAGTAGTTGCTTTGTAGATCTCTTTAGGATTTGATTTTGTATGGAAAAATCATCTGTAAATAGCAAGAGTTTTACTACTTCCTTTCTGATCTTTATGCCTTTTGTTTCTTTTGTTTTTTTTGAAACAGAGTTTCGCTCTTGTTGCCCAGGCTGGAATGCAGTGGTGCAATCTCGGCTCACAGCAACCTCTGCCTCCTGGGTTTAAAGGATTCTCCTGCCTCAGGCTCCCAAGTAGCTGGGATTATAGCATGCACCACCATACCTGGCTAATTTTGTATTTTTTTTTTTTTTTTTTTTTTTTTTTTACTAGAGGCCATGGTTTCTCTATGTTGGTCAGGCTGGTCTGGAACTCCTGACCTCAGGTGATCCACCCACCTCGGCCTCCCAAAGTGCTGGGATTACAGGCGTGAGCCACCGCACCCCGCCTTTTGTTTCTTTTTATTGCCTTATTGCAATGGCTCAGACTGCCAGTGTAATCATAGAGATGGGAGAGTCGGCACCCTTTTCTTGTTTCCTCTCTTACAGGGAAAGTATTCAATATTTACTATTAATCGCAGTAGCTATAGGTTTTTTTATAGATGCCCTTTAGCAAATTGAGGTATTTCCAGTTTGAGGGTTTTTGTTGTTGTTGCTGTTGCTGTTGTTGAGGCAGGGTCTTGCTCTATCACCCAGGCTGGAGTGCAGTGGCACCATCTTGTCAGTCTCAACCTCCCTGGCTCAAGTGATCCTCCCACCTCAGCCTCCTGAGTAGCTGGGACTACAGGTGTGTGCCACCATGCCCAGCTAGTTTTTTGTATTTTTTGTAGAAATGAGGGGGGTTTGCCCTGTTTCCCAGGCTGGTCTCCAACTCTTAGGCTCATGCAGTCTTCCTGCCTTGGCCTCCCAAAATGCTGGGATTACAGGCGATAGTCACTGTGCCTGGCCCAGTCTGAGTTTTTGTCATGATGTGTGTTGACTTTTGTGAGATGTATTTTCTGCATCTATTGAGATATAAGCTTTTTGTCCGTTATTTCTTAATATATTGAATTATACTGGCTGATTTTTGAGTATTAAACTATTGTTATTCTCTTGGAATAAACTCTACTTGGTCATGACCCTACTTGGTCTTTTAATCTATAGCTGGATTCAGTGGCCATGACGACTATGGGTCTGTCTGTCCTCTTCCCATTTCTTTTCTGTTTCCTTCTTTTTTAAAATTTATTTTGATAATGGCTTTATTAATTTTAGTTTTAGGGCTATGCTGCCTGCATCAAACAAATTGGGAAGGGTTCTCTCCTTCTCTATTTTCTGAAGTTATTGTAAGTTCGGCGTTATTTTTTCCTGAAGAATATTTTTGACCTAAAACTTTGAACCAGCATTTCAGGGTAGATGTGGCACAATGAGGTAATAATTGGCATAATTAGGTAAGCAGTACTTCTTACTCTTTATCTATTTACGTTCTTTGATTTTCTCTTTTTTCCTTCTGGTAACTTACCCCCTAACTACATCAAGAAGCATCCTTTCTGGTACCTTAGTCTAAGGGGCAGGGCCTCATAAATTTGGCCCTACTTTTGATGTGCAGAGGTGCACATGAAGGGTGAAGGTCAAATTGCACCTGTCAAAGTCCAGCCTTTTTACAAGTGTCAGCTCAGATGCCCAAAGAAAACTTCCCACATCTCCTAATGAGAATGAACATCTCTCTCACTGCATATATATATATATATATGAATTTTTTTTTCCTCAGAGCAACTCTGTCTTAGCCAGTGACACTTTCCTGGGAGGATTTTCCTGGTAATCCTCATCCAGGGCTCCAGTCTTGACTGTCATTCTGTGAGCATGTGACCTTTGTATGTGACCTCTTCTCTCAGGATCTCATAACCTTCCTGAGTCCATTGTGGGACCTGGAATACGTCTGAGACTACACTGGCATTTCATGGTTCTCTCTTTCTAAAAACTTCTTGTTAACAGGGATTAGGTTTGAGTAGAATATTTCATTTCACTGATGAACATGACAGTGAGCTATCCCATCAGAGGCATGGTGTGCAAATGTCTGAACTCTAAGTAAATATCTGAACACCTGCTCACTGGCCCATGACTTCGTGTCTTTTCTCCCCTGTTCAACTCCAGCATGATGGTTCCCGGCAATGCGGCGGGGGTGGCCAAGCAGTTCCTGCGCTGCATCTTCCATCAGTTGGCCCCCAACGGCATCTTCCCGCAGCTGTTCCAAAGCACGATCAAAGGTAATTCATCCACTGAGGATCCAGGCACCACAAATTTGCCTCATCCCAGACACCCAAACACTAAATCCGATCGTTGACTTTCCAGATGGGACTTTTTTACGGACCTTAGCCTCGTCTCTGATGGACTTCAATGAGCTGAGCTCCATCGCAGCTCTCAGTCAGCTCCTAGAGGTGGGTTTCCTTTAATGACACCCTAAGCCCCAGCCGAAACTCTAAGCCCCAGCACAACTGTGGGCTGTGTTTCTTTGAGTCACACCATAGGATACTGCTGAGGAAGGATTGCAATGTTATTTAATTTAAAAATGAAATCTAAAATTTTAAAATTAAAAAATATATATTAAATTTAAAGCTAAGGGCTGAGTGCAGTGGCTCATGCCTATAATCCCAGCACTTTGGGAGACTGAGGCAGGAGGATTGCTCGAGGCCAGGAGTTCAAGACTAGCCTGTGCAACATAGCAAGACCCCCATCTCTACAAAATAAAAATAAAAGAAATTAGCTGGCATGGTGACACATGCCTGTAGTCCCAGCTACTCAGGAGACTGAGGGGGAAGGATCACTTGAACTCAGGAGTTGGGGGCTGCAGTGAGCTGTGATGGCTACATTACACTCCAAGTTGTAATGGCTACATTACACTCCAATGGCTACATTACACTCGCAACGGAGCGAGACCCCCAACTCAAAAGAAAAATAATAGAAAATGCTAAAATTTAAATAATTTAAATTTTAAAAATTAACATAATTTAAATTTTAAAAATTAACATAATTTAAATTTTAAAAAGTTAATTAAGAAATAGAATTGCATAGAATAGTGTCAGTTGGACATTGCGGCTTTGCGTGGATTTACTCTTCATTGAAAACTTCTCCATACCCTCAGCTAAGTCGTGACCTTGCTTCCACAGAACAACTTGGTTTTCCAAGGGCAGAGTGGTGGGTGGAGCTATGGGCGTTGGATCAAGAGACTTGGGTTCAAGTCTCAGCACTGCTGCAGGTCAGCTCTTGGGGTTTGCTTGCGGGAGATGCTCACTGCTAGAAAAAAAGCTGCAGCTCCTGTAACTCTATGCTCAGTCTTTGTGCTGGGGATTATTTACAGTGAGCATCATTCATTGTTTTCTTAGCACCTAACCACACCAATTGTAGACCCTTGGAAGCTGTTTCCTATTTCTTGCTCACTTTTCACCTCTCATCAATTTTCCCCCTTAAGTTTGTCTGAACGATTTTCTCGTTATCCTTCCAGTCTATCACAGGGATTGGCCTATGTAGTAGGCACTGAACACGTTTATAGCCTGAAGATGTGACTTTTAAACTGACATTTACCAAATAGCGCTATGCATTCCCGTGCTGTTTCAGCAGTTGATGGCCTATGCTTTTGTGTTTTTAGGGTCTAAATAACAAAAAGAATTTACCAGCAGGGGGTGCTATGATTCGCTGTTTGGAAAACATTGCAACCTTCATGGAAGCTTTGCCTATGGATTCTCCTAGTAGCCTCTGGACCACAATTAGCAACCAGTTTCAGACATTTTTTGCCAAGCTGCCTTGTGTTTTACCTCTGAAGGTAAGCTGAGCCGAAGGTTTCATTTTCAATTAATTTCTTACCATTTTCAGACCGTTTATTTACAAGCAGCAGAGTCTTGGGTGATTTAATGTATCGCAAAGGTTAATGAGGAAACTCCGTCAGCCATGGAGTGAGGATGCTTATTTGGGTTGTTCTGTCTTCTCTTAGAGAATGACAGGAATGTGGAGTGAGCATTTTGCTCACTGACTATGAATATGCATGTTTCCAGTTGATTTGAAAAAAAAAAAAAAAAACAAAAAAACAGCCAGGAAGACATGAGTAGACTGTGTTTATCCGGCAGTTTTTCTCCCGTAGATATTAAATAAGTAAGTAAATAGTTTTGTCCAAAAGCAGCTCAGACATATAATGTAAAGTTTCCATTTTAGAGAATTATCTAAAGGGAAGTAATTGCTGTGTTTGTGAATGATGATGTTTCTGCTTGACTGTTACCCCCTACACCATACCATCTCCCAAGAATACACACACAATTACCTACCTGGAAATCTGGTGGCCCAAGGATCATTGACAACATGAGCTCAGTAAATGCAAATAAGAAGCCAATACTGTTAAAGCTGGAAGAAACCTATAAAGATCATCCCTTCCAATGCCTCTGTTTTCTAAATGAATTCTGCAAATTCAGAGAGATGGTATAGCTTCTGGAAACAACACAGTGGTGGCAATGTGAGGATTAGAACTGAGGTTTTCTGACTCACAGTCCAGTGCTCATTTCACTAGCAGACTCTTCTTGCCCTTCTGCAGCAGGGGTGAGTTGAAGGCATTCATGTCTCTAGAGTAGGGGGCAGAGTGGTGGCTGGCAGTGGTGTTGCTGGCTTTGAACCTGACCTGTTCCATGAGGTTTTTTGTGCTTTCTCTATGCAGATTACAGAAGCATTTAACTGGCAACAAAATGAATCAGGCAGGGCATAGCGGCTCATGCCTGTAATCCCAACACTTTGAGAGGCAGAGGTAGGGGGATCGCTTGAACCCAGGAGTTTGAGAGCAGTCTGGGGAGCATGGCGAGACCTCGTCTCTACGAAAGATTAAAAAAAAAAAACATAGGCTAGGCAATATAGTGAGACTCTGTCTCTTAAAAAAAATTAGCTGGGCAAGGTGGCATGCACCTGTAGTCCCAGCTACTTGGGAGGCTGAGGTGTGCTCATTGTTTGAGCCCAGGAGGTTGAGACTGCAGTGAGCCATGATCGCACCACTGCACTCTAGCCTGGATGACAGAGAGAGACTCTGTCTCAAAAATAAATAAACAAATAGAAAGTATTTTAAAAATTAGCCAGGCGTAATGGCATGTACCTTTTGTCCCAGCTACTTGGGAGGCTGAGGTGGGAAGATTGCTTGAGCCTGGGAAGTCGAGGTTGTAATGAGCCATATTTGTGCCACTGCACTCCAGCCTGGGCAACAGAGTGAGATCTTGTTTCAAAAATATAAGATAAAATAAAAATAAAGTGCATTTCCCATAGACAGAAAAACAAAAGGATCAGGTTACCTATTAGTAGCTCCACTTCTGAAATGAGTATTATGTAACATAAGATACTTGATAAAGATCAACAACCTATGCTAATACATTTTTCCAAATGGGCAGATACTACTAATAGGTCTGTAAGGGATAATGCAGGGACCCTTAGCTCAGCGTGTGCTGCTTTGAGCTTTGAGTTACTGTAAGAAGCAGGAGTATAGAGGAGGGATCTTTACCACCTCTTATATTCTATGATCCTCGTTTGCCCACAGATGTGGAGTAGCTGAATAAATCCAAGCAAGAAGGGTTAGTACTTTGAAACTGTGTATGTGTATAGCTACTGTACATCAACACACAGGAAACTGAGTGCACAAATTTTAAGCACATGGAACCTCCTAGGACCCGAGAACCAATCAGGGCTTCACTGCTAAAGAGCCGCACAGGCTAAGAGAAGGGATGGGATGAGGTATGGCAAATTTTTTTTTTTTTTTTTTGAGACAGAGTCTCGCTCTGTCACCCAGGCTGGAGTGCAGTGGCACAATCTCGGCTCACTGCAAGCTCCGCCTCCTGGGTTCACGCCATTCTCCTGCCTCAGCTTCCTGAGTAGCTGGGACTACAGGCGCCCACCACCATGCCCAGCTAATTTTTTGTATTTTTAGTAGAGACGGGGTTTCACCATGTTAGCCAGGATGGTCTTAATCTCCTGACCTTGTGGTCCTCCTGCCTCGGCCTCCCAAAGTGCTGGGATTACAGGCGTGAGCCAAAGCGCCCGGCTGAGGTATGGCAAATTTAAATGCCTGTGTGCCGATGTGACTGTCAGAAGATTTAACTTGGGCACAGAAGAGTGGCAAGTGTTGCCAGCTGTAAACAAGTGGCGTGCCTAATTTGTGACAATCAACCTGCCCATAGGGACCCTGCCTACAGGGTTAATAAAGGAGAAAAGATAATAAGGAGAATTGAGACCCTTAGGAACTAGAATGTGCCAGTCCTTCTATGAGGTCAGTGGCTACTCACGCCTGCCAATTGTTGTTCTGTGGGAGCGCAGGCTTCTGGTTGTCTGTCTTCCTTTTTTTTCCCAAGAGAACATTTTCTGGTTTTTAAATCACTATGGGGGCCTGATGAGCAGCCAGTTTTCAGCCTCTGGTTTAAAGTAGTGTAAATGTCACATCAACTCCGATGAGTGTCGAGCAGATTAAATAGAACCAGTGGTTCCCTTAGAAGGCACTTGTGAAATACTTTCAAAATCTGTGTAAGAATTTCTCCCGCTAGGGCAGATCTGGGCACTGCCCCTGATCATCTTCTGCCTTTGTTTTTAATCTCTGGGGAAAATAATAAGCCACTGAAACCTTCTATAGTTTGTTTTCATCAGTTTATAGAAGCAGATCTCAAACGTCAGTGTGCATCACTGTCCCTGAAGGACTTGCTAAAACACAACTTACTGGGCCTGATTTGGGAGTTTCTGATTCAGCAGGGGTAGGGCTTGAGGATTTGCATTCTGGCACATTTCTAGCTGCTGGTTCTGGGATTCCACTTGGAAAACTCCTGCTTATTTTTTACTATCTTGAGGAAGTTAATGTAGGTGCACAGCTGCAGAAATTTAACTATAGCCTGCTATTGTGATCTATTTACCATATCATTGTTTATTCTTGCTGTAACGTTTACCCCCAGTCCTAGTAAACTCAATTTAAAAAGTACATTTTGATGTGGAATCTTGTCAATATAGAACTTGAATGGATAGGTAAGGCATGATTTTGTCTTGTAGAAATTTTACTGCATTTTCTCAGGTTTTTGTCGTGTTGCTTCATAGCAGAGAAAGGGCAGATGAAACTGGTTCTTATGTGGATTCATGGTTTTTTTAAAAATAGATCTAAGTAGTTTTTTTCCCTAAAAAGTCCTTTCACAAATTGGTGCATCTCTTTAGAATTAGATACATTTAATATCTACCCAACAAATTTCTGTTCATTGTCTGTCCATCTATTCATCCATCCATCCATCCATCCATCCATCCACCCATCCATCCACCATGTCTCTATTCAACTGTCTATCTCATTAATTTTTAGGGCTATATCTTTGAAAAATACTTTAGGAGCTGTGTTTAATTATTTAATTGTTTACCATTGTATAATTGTTTAATTAAAATTGTTTTAACCTGAGAATGACTTTTTTCAACAAGGATATTATGGCATGGGAATCTGTTGAGATGCAGTCATATTTCAGATTTTCCTTTTGCTAAACTAAATGCTTTCAGAACATATTTGAAGCAAAAGTTATATTAAGGTGGAAACTAATTTTTACTTTTTTTCATATTTATTCACAGTGTTCTTTAGATTCCAGTTTAAGAATTATGATTTGCCTCTTGAAGATCCCTTCTACCAATGCTACAAGGGTATGTATGTTTCAGAAAAACATAACCAATTGGTTAGTCAGTTTTTTTTAACCTAATGAGATAGGCTTGTAGCAATACTGAAGACATAGTTATGGCATACTGAATGCTTCCCTTTCAGCCTCCTTCTTTTTCTTCATGCTAGGTCAGTGCCTTGTATAAAGAACTCTATCTAATACATCACAATGTCATGGTTTATAACTGGTCCTGCTAACCCTGGGCCATGCCCCCCAATCCATCCCCCATACTACTAACTAGGCGATCCTTCTAAACAGGATCTTATCGTGTTGGTTCTTTGCTTTAAAATCTCTGATAACTTCTCATTTCTGTCAGGATGATGTCCAGATTCCTTAATGTGGTATCTAAGATGTTACTTCATAACTCTCCAGCCCACCTTTCCAATTTAATCTTTGGCTCCATGTCTTATTCATCCCTTCCTCCTATGCACTTTCAGAATCAGCGTTATCATCATCATCATCGAAACAACAACCACTGTTTGTTATCATATGGCAGACATTATGCTTAATGCTTCAGATATATAATCTTATTTAATTTCATACTTCCTTGCCTTTGCTTAGGCCATTTCCTTTGCCTGAAATGTTTTATGCCCTTGCTGGTGTGGTGAACTCCTTCTCATTCTTCAAGGTCCCATTTAATGAAAAAACATATTCATATTATCTGTAGTAACTTTTTCCTGTATCAGCTTCCATGGTATTTGATAGAGCTCTCTATAGTAGCACTTACATTGCCCTGAAGTGGTTCCAATGAGACCACAAGCTTCAAGAAGTTCTGCACCGTGTCTCATTCACTTTTGTATTCCAAGCTGTATTTCTGCACTGCATTCGCTGCAGTGGTACAATAGTTTGCATTGCTATAGCTTGTAATTACTATTTAATATACCAACAATGTACGTATTCTGCAACTGTTTAACTTGACTGTGCTTTCATAGACTCATGGTTTATGCTAGAAAGTTACAAAGAGATCATTGGTTCAATCCACTCATTTACAGACGAGGAAACAGGCTCAGAGAGATGGATTGTCTTGGCCAAGATCACATAGCTGGTTAGTAGAAGATTTGTGACTTGAACATAAGTCTTTTGGGTCCATATCGCCCCATCACTATGCTGCTCTTCTAAATATAAGAGCAAGTTTCCATATAGGCTTGAATTCAGGCTTCTCTTTTTGACCAATAAGGATACATTATGTGCAACATGAGACATTCCTATTCCTTTCATCTATTGACAATGTTTCAAGACAATAGCATATATATATATATATATATATATATATATATATATATATATATGTGTGTGTGTGTGTGTTCATTTTATTTTATTTTATTTTATTTTGAGACAGAGTCTCGCTCTGTCACCCAGGCTGGAGTGCAGTGATGCCAACTTGGCTCACTGCAGCCTCCGGCTCCCGGGTTCAAACAATTCTCCCTGCCTCAGCCTCCCAAGTAGCTGGGACTACAGGCATGCACCATACACCTGGCTAATTTTTGTATTTTTAGTAGAGATGAGGTTTCACCATGTTGGCCAGGCTGGTCTCGAACTCCTGACCTCAAGTGATCCACCAGCCTCAGCCTCCCAAAGTGCTGGGATTACAGGCATGTCCCACTGCGCCCAACCTCAAGGCAATAGCATTTATATGGAGCAAAGAATAATGAATCATTAGTACTAAGTCTGTGAGTTTCTTTAAGATTTTCTATATGGAAAGCACCACATGGATTTCTGTGGGGGAATACAAATAAGTAAAAAACAGAATTCCTATCTTTAGGGGCAACTAACACAAAGTGCATTCATTTTCATATCGATTAGAAAAAAGAACCTCAAATACGCTCATGTCCTTTAATTTAGTCATTTTTTTTCTGGGAATCTATTCAAGGAAGAAAATGCAAATGCTAATTTCATGTAAAATATATTTATTGGGTTGTTATTTATAGTAAAATGTGACTTTGTGGCCATTAAAATGGATGATTATGAAGAATTAAATGGCACTGAGAATTTCTGATGTTGTATTAAGTTAATATAAAACAAAATATAGGATTGTACATGTGTAATATTTCCACTACATATCAAAATATAATCACAAGGTGGTGGGACTATGGATGACTTTTACTTCTTCCTCATGTGTCCTTTCCTACATATCTTGAGTTTGACATTGAACATGTATGACTTTTGAAAACCAGACAGTGAGCACTATAGAGATTGAGAAGTATTGGAACTCATGGCATGCAAGTGTTTTGGAGTCCAGTTAAAATCCTATCTTCTCTGCAGAGCAATTCTACCTCTGGAAAATTGCCCTGGAACTTGGCTTTGAATTCTACCTGATACCTTTATGGTCTTAGGCAAATTGCTTGTCTACTTAACTGCCTAAGCTGCAGAGCAGGAATGGATACTAAAGCTTCAGAAGGTTAATAATGAAGATCATAGCTAACACTGATGGAGAGCTTACTGGTGCCAAGTGCTTTACATATATTATCTCTTTTAATTCTCATAACTTGCACCCTAATGAGGTGGAAGCCATTATTATCCCCCTTTTACAGAGGAGAAAACCAAGTTCCAGAGAGATTAAATCACTTATTCAAGGTCACAGTGAGCTAGAGTGTGAAAACCCTTGTGTCAGAATTTAGTGCTTGTGTCATTACCTATATTATAACACACTGTCTCCCAGGATAGTTATGAGAAATTTGAGTAAGATAAACTATATGAAATCATCCATCTAACTCTGTCTGACACTCAGTAGGTACTCAACAAATGTTTCTAAATGACTTAAGAAAGCATATGGAACTAAAACTGATCCTTCATGGGTAGGATTCAGGGGGAGAAACCAAAACAGACTATGCCTTCCTGATTAACATTGGCAGGAGGCTGGGTTGTGATGAATTTTATCTAAGCTATAGTACTTTAGTACTTACACGTAAGGGTGGTTTGCACTACTTAACCCAGAAGACAGGCTTCCAGATCTGAATATGATGAACTCATAAATACTTAAATGTTCTGAAAATAAAGTGGAAGATCCCACTGCAAACCCCACACTCTTGATTGCTTAGGGTGGACACGAAGACAGGGTTGTAGTAAGGAAGGTTTGTAAATGATACCATATGGAAAAATGAATGTCTTTTTGAGCAGTGAAATGATTTGGTCCTGCTCTTTGAGCCCTTGACTGAAGGTGCAGTTCTGTTTTTATTAGACCAATGGGGTTGCTACAGGAGCCACTGGGCAACAGAGTTTTCAATTAAAAAAAAGTGATTCCATTAGTTAAAGTATCATAAGATTTTAATACTTTTTTTGAAATGAAGTAATCAGCAATTGACTTTATTTGGCCCCAATCTCATTGCAGAGTTTGTTGGAACCATTTTCAAAACTGCTCAGCTTTGTAATTCAGAATGCCGTCTTCACTCTGGCCTACCTGGTGGAGCTGTGTGGCTTATGTTACCGAGCTTTCACTAAGGTAAGCAAGCTTCCATATGTGTGTTCCTGTGAAACTGAAAACTGGCAGAAATATATTCTTTTGAATCAGTGTCAAGTCCCTTTTAGCTCAGTTGCTTCCATATAGTTAAAAATGAGTAATTCTACTGAGGTCTAATAAATACCATGGTAAGGAAACACTTTAAACACACACACACACACACACACACACAAACACACATACAATGTCTAAAATATGCACATATGCAGATTCAGAGAACTGAGGGTCATGTGGTTAGAACAGAAGTGGTATTTTTAATGAAAAGAGCTAATGGTTGACATGACCTCTTAAGGTCCTTTTCAAGTTCATCATCCCATGATTAGTGGGGCAAGGCATCTCTACATATCATTTTTATACCCAAAGTAGAAAAATATCAGCTGTCATTTGTAAAAGCCTTTGAAGAGCTCCTTAATTCTCATCATTTGTCTGTCTCTCCAGGTCTGGGTTCTTGGCCTCTGAGATTGGAATCTTATCTCATCTTTTGTCATCTTGCCTTAATAATGGTTTCTCTATTGCATTATCTGTAGAACCCCTGGCCCACTACTGAGAAAGTGGAAAAGTACTGCTGGCCCAGTGGCAGTAGCAGCCTTGTTGGAGCTGGTAGATGCTGTCCTAATGGAAAATCAGAAGGCAGGGCAAAATGGGAGCATTTCTGTCCTTAAGAACAATGTGCAAATGTTACCCTTTCAATTTCCTAATTTTCCAAGCTTGTTTTCAATGGGTCTCTGTTTCTGTTGTTCTCTCTTGAACATTCAGAATGTTTCTTATTCATGTTGTCCATTTCTATAAGCCCTTTATTTTCCTCATAAAAATCTAATTTTATACTGAGGCTTTCATTCTATTTAAAGCATTCTTGTCCCCTTTCTTACCAACTTGGGTCCATTCTGTCATGTTAAATGTTCCATGGTAATCTTTGTTTTTCTGATTAGAAACTATTTATTACCCTGCCTGGAGCAATATGTTTTCTAACTACCATGATGGTCAGCATTTTTTTCTTCTTTTAGAAACTTCTTGAAAGATAACTTCTTCTTCTTTTTCACTTAAAAATGTAGATCTATAAGACACAGCACCAAAAAGATTTTCTATTTCTAGAAACCATTTGATTTCTTCATTGTGTTTATGTTTAATTTGTTTAAATTATACCTTTTTTGGGGGAAGAATCATAATAAGTTTATACTTTCTATGTTGTACACTGTAGATATTGATTACAGGGGACCTTCTAGCATTTGGATTCAAGATATTATTGGTTTTCAATTCAAAATATTCATTACACAGGATATCTCCTCATAATCCCTCATAACTTTAGTGGCCTTTTACTTCCCATTATCATCTACCCTTTCTCATTCTAATACAAGATGATGATTACTTGTAGAAAGCTTTAGTTGATGGTGTTCCTACCTTCCTCACAGATAATGAGAAACTATAAGAAATCGTTTAAAAATAGCAGTAGCTAATTGAGCTGTCTCCCTTATATAATCAAAAGAAAAGGCATAGAAAGGTAAGAACTTTGGAGACTTCACTTTCTAGCAAACTGGTAGTCTAGATACCCTGAAAACCACCCCACTTAAAATACTAGGAACACTGGATGAAATGTAATAAAGGTGATTTTTAATGTAGAGCTAATTTTATAGAATGAAAGGGGCAAAAATGAAGCGGGATTGACAATCAGAGTGGTAAGCATATAAGTAGCCCTGTGGTGGGGCTGTTGCTTGTCTTGGTAACTTAGTGGCTAGAGTTTTAAAGCCCATACAAAGAAAAGAGATGAAGTCTTGGGATTATCCAGGCAGGGAGTTTGATCTGAGTTATCCCTAGCAAAAGGTCAGAACCCTTGAAAGCCTATTCACTTGGTAAAAGGGTGGTTTGGAAAGAATACATTCTTATATAGAGGTGACAAAGAATGGTATCTGTCTCAGTTTGGGAACTGGGAGAAAGATTTATAGTCTCCCTTGAAAATTAGTAAACATGGGCCTATCTTGGATCAGGTTTAGAGTTTGAATTTATAATATCTGCATGCTCTTGGAACTCCCAAGTTGAAGAGTCAAATAACATTAGTGCTTAGTAAGTAATAACCTTGGAATATCTGGCAGAAGCAAGATCAAAACAAGCCTCAACCCTCTCTGGAGGAATATATCTCCAACCTAGGCCCAGCAGGATTCCTATAGTTAAAATCCTAATGAACATGAGCTCATAATCTAAAATTACAAAGCAAATGAAGATACAACCCACCTTGTGATAGATTAGGAAAGTCAACAAGTAGCAAGATCATTTCCCACAAGAACTTTCAATATTAAAACTGTGATAAAGACTATAAATGATATACATATCATTAAAAATGACAATATATAAGTGACTATACTTTAAATGATATGCATATGAAGAATGTATATATAAATATTATAAAATATAATAAAAATATAAATCTAAATGACTATACTTTAAATGATAAGCATATGAAAAATAAATAAAATAATATAATAGATTTAGTCATTTCAAAAAAAAAAGAAAATAAACCAGACAGATTTAAACAAAGTAGAAATTCTAGAAATGAAAAACAATCACTGATATAAAAAACTTAATGGATAGATTAAATAGTAAATTAGACATAGCCAAAGAGAGAATTGGTGAAATGGAAAATAGATGAGAAGAAATTACCTAGAATTCAGAAGAGAGAGATAAAGAGATGAATATAAAGAGAAATTCTAACAGATATCTAATAAATATTTCAGATAAGGAAAATAGGCTTTTTATCAATTCTAGAGTTGATGGAAATATTTAATTTTCTGATTCAGGAAGCACAATGAGCCCTGAAAGTATTATAAATAAACTAAAGTTTTACCTGCTCATGTCATAATGTACATGAGTAGGTATAACTTGTCAAAACAGTCAAGACAAAGAAAATATTTTCAGAAAAACCAAGGGAAAAGACACTCTGAAGACAGACAATACACTTCTCAACAGCACAATAGAAGCCAGAAGATAATTGAAAAAAAAAGTCTTTAAAATGATAAGAAAAAAGAACTATCTACTTGGAATTCTCTACCAGCTAAGCTATCCTTCAAGAATGAAGGATAAATAGATATTATATCAGGAAAATAAGAAGGCTTCTAATAGATTCTTACTGAAACAACTACTAAAAGATGTAAGAAGGAAAGTGAACCAAGAAGGAAGGAGTGAAATGTGTGAAGGAATGATGCTCAGAAATTGGTACAGTGTGAAAATCTAAGTGACCATTGATAATACAAAGCAGTAATAATAATAATGTTAGTCAGATAGGCATAAAAACAAAATGACAATAGAATACTAGAAAATAGTACTCTGTAAGGGGTGTGTGTTTGTGTGTGTGTGTGTGTGTGTGGTTGGAGACTGGAGTTAAAGCATTCTATATATTATCTACAAGAAGGACAGAGATAATGAATAACTTTGAACTCTTAAGAATACAGGTAGACATTGTAAATGTAAACTCCAAAGGCCAGAAATAGAATTTATAAGTTCCAAACATAGAATAAAACAAGAATAAAAATTCAATCAAGACAAAAAGAGAAGCATAGAACAAGCTGTAATAAGCACACGTAGGATGACAGAATCACAATAAATATAAGTTTACTAGACTCACTAGGGATTGTCAGATTGACTTTTAAAAATTAATCTACATCTAAAACATGTCTAAAGACAGCAAGAAAATTTAAAAGAAAAAGGTTGAAAAAGATATACCAGACTAATACTAATAAAAAGAAAGCTGAAGTTAGTCAACTGACTTTAAGTTGAAAAGCATTATTACAAAGAAAGTCACAATATATTGATAAGAGGAGCAACTCACCAGGATAATGTGACAATTCAAAAATTACACAGAGCTAATAATATAGCCTCCAAATATATAAAACAAAATATAATAGGCTTACAAAGATAAATTGATAAATTCACAGTTATACAGGGAGATTTTCTCTTTCAGTTATGGATAGATCAAGCAGATAAAACATATAGTAGATTCAAACAATAACAGTGAGCAAAGTGGATGCAACGGTCATATAAAGAATCCTGAATCAACCAATTTTAGAACAGATTTAAAAATGTGGAAGATTTTAAAACATGGAACAGATAGTAGGCAATTAATTAATTAAAGAAAGGAAGCAGTAAAGATAATAGCAGAAATTAATGAAATAAAAAACAGATATACCAGCCTGGGCAACATAACAAGACCCTGTCTCTACAGAAAAATAAAACAATTAGCCAGTGTGATAGCATGCACCTGTAGTCCTAGCTGCTCTGGAGGCTGAGGTGGGAGGATTGCTTAAACCCAGGAGTTTGAGGCTGCCACAAGCTATGATTGCACCAACTGCACTCTAGGCTAGGTGACAGAGCAAGACCCTTTCTTCTTCTTTGAAAAAAAGAAAGAAGGAAGGAAGGAGAGAGAGAAGAAGGAAAGGAAGAAAGGAAGGAATGAAGGAGAGGGAGAGAAGGAGGGAAGGAAGGAAGGACAAAGGAAGGAACAAAGGAGGGAGAGAAGGAGGGAAGGAAGGAAAGAAGGAAGGAAAACATAGATACAATGGAAGATCAATACAACAGAAAGGTGGCTCTTTGACTAGACTAATAAAATAGACAAACCGTTGGCAAGACTGATCAAGAAAACCAGATAAAACACACTGATAAAGAATATCAGCATAACTACAGACAGAGATTTTGAAATCAACAACCTTATGCCAGTAAATTTGAAATCTTTGACAGTAGGTACAATTTTCTAGAAATATATAATACAAAACATCCAGAAAGAAAGAAAAAGAAGTAACTGACTAGACTTAGGTGCCTGGAAAATGGAATCAATAGTTAAAAACCTACCCTCAAAAACTATTCCAGCTTTAGAGGACAACTTCTACTAAACATTTAAGAACTGATCGATCTCTTCTTTATACAAACTAATAGAATAGAAAAAAAGGAACACTTCCCAACACATTTCATGAGGCCAGTAGAATTTTGATATCAACCAGAGAAGGACAATAGGGGAAAGGAAAATTATAGGTCAATATCCTTCATAGATGCAAAACTTCTGAATGAATAATAGCAAATCAATCATTAAAAATAGGGCCTCTTGACAGAGTTGGAAATGTCTCAAAATATAAAAATGTTTAAATATTAGAACATCTATTAATATCACCATGTTATCAGATTGAAGAAGTAAAACTTCTATCATTATTCAGCAGGTGCAAGAAAATAATTTTTTGTAATTCAGTCATTTATCATAAGCTCTTATCAAACTAGGAATAGAAGGGAACTTTCTTAACTTCATATAGTGGGTCTACCAGAAACATCTAGCCAGCATTATATTTAATGGTGAAATGCTAAGAGTCATCCCTTTAAAATCATAAATAAGATGAGAAAGTCTATCATCACTGTTTCTATTTATCATGGTGCTGGAGGTCCCATTCAGTTCTGCAAGACAGGAAGAAGAAATCAAAGGTATAAGGATTAGAAAGGAAAAATACAACTCTCATTTTTCATAGGTGATACGATTACAAATGAACCAAAGGGAATCTATAGACAGCTTTTTAGAACCTACAAGAGAGCTCAGCAAGGATGCTGGATACAAATGAATACCCAGAAATCACCAAATTTTAATATTCAACTACAGATGATTATAAAACATACTTTTAAAATGTCATCTATTGTGGTGACAAAAGATAAATCTATTAAGAATGTGCAATGGCTGGGTGTGGTGGCTCATGCCTATAATCCCTTCACTTTGGAAGGCCAAGGTGGGAAGATCGCTTGAGCCCAGGAGCCTGAGACCAGCCTGGGCAACAAGGCGAGACTCCATCTCTATACAAAAAAAAAATTAGGCGGGGCAAAGTGGCTCATGCATGTGATCCTAGCACTTTGGGAGGTGAAGGTGGGTGGATTGTCTGAGCTCAGAAGTTTGAGACCAGCCTGGGCAACATAGTGAAACACTGTCTCTACCAAAATACAAAAATTTCGCTGGGCATAATGGCACGCACCTGTAGTCCCATTGCTTGGGAGGCTGAGGTGGGAGAATTGCTTAGCCCCAGGAGGTAGAGGTTGCAGTGAACCGTGACTGTACCACTGCACTACAGCCTGGGTGACAGAGTGAGACTCTGTGTCCTTCACAAAAAAAAAAAAAAAAATTATCCTCTAGTCCTAGCTATTTGCGGGGCTGAGGTGGGAAAATCACCTGAGTCTGGGGGTTTGTGGCTACAGTGAGCTTTCAGCCTGGGCAACAGAGTGAGAACATTGTCTAAAAAAAAAAAAAAAAAAAAAAAAGAATATGCAAGAACTTTATGGAGATAACTGGAACATTTTACTGGAGAGCATTACACAATGTTAAATAAATGGAAAGAGATTTTATGTTCATGGATGAAGACCCAGAGTAGTAAAAACAGGTAATTCTCACAGAACAACCTATAGGTTTAGTATAATGACAATTAAAATCCTGGATTTTCTCTTCTGGTGGTGGTAAACAAGATAATTTGAACCTGTTTTCCCAGTTAACTTAAAAAGTAAAAAGAAAAAAAGTGAACAAAACATTTTCTGAAAACTTCTTCAAAATGCTAACTATATAGAGAAGGGTTATGAGGCTCAGATCAGGAAGAGCCCAGATATTCAGAGGTGTTAGCCCAGCACTGATGGCCATTTTTACCCAGGGAGTGTTTGTCAATCTAGATGTGACTGAGAGGCTGCAGTTTTGGAAGCCCCATGAGGCTAGAGGAACAAAAGTCCGGATCCAGAACCTACCAAGAATGGAGACCCTGATGCCATGCCTCCTGACCCACACATTTTTGGCTTTACATTTTGGTGTAAAGACACCCCCATAGTAACTTTCCTTCATGTGGACACAGCTCAGTGTCAAGCCCTGTGGTAGCCCAATGTAAAATATTACAAGCCTTGTATGTGTATTAAGGTAACCCTGAGCCTGGGTAACATGGCAAAACCTCGTCTCTATAAAAAAATTTTAAAAAAATTAGCTGGGCATGGTAGCGCATGCCTGTAGTTCCAGCTACTCTGAAGGCTGAGGTGGAAGGATCACTTGAGCCCAGGCGGTCAAGGCTGCAGTGAGCTGTGATTGTGCCCCCGACACTAAACAAACAGAAAGCTCTTTGAAGGAAGGTAGCATTTCAGGCTGCAAACCATTTCTGCAAATATCTTCCTAACAAAGCATTCAGCACACAATCAAAGATAACCAGACATATGAGGGGGCAAGACACAATGAGTGAAAATGAATAGGAAGAAAAGACAGTGGAGACAACCCCACAGGGACTCTACTTATTTGATTATGAAAGGATTAAGATACACAGGGCTTCTGAGACACTTGCAATGTGCTGTTGTTTGTCTGGGAGGTGATTACATGAGTGTTCGGTCCATCTTCTGAGACTGGAAAAACTCAAACTCAAGCCATGTTTTTCCTCTGCTCTCACAGTTATCAAGACCAAAGACTTCTGTGATCAAATGTGTGGAGATTTCTTCCCACCAAAAAGCAAGCAATGGATTCTGCAGAATAGACTCATTTCTATTCTGACACTAATTACCTGGAGATAGCATCAGATCCCATGGGTTGAGGGCTCAGCCCCTAAGACTGTCCTCCATCTCCCACCTTCATTTGCCAATTGCAGGCTCTGGTTGTTTTACCCGTGCTTTTGTCTAATTGGTTATAAATTAGGGATCCTTCCTCTTTGGGCTCAATTAATTTGGTAGAGCAGCTCACAGAACTCAGGAAAGCACTTGCTTACATTTACCAGTTATAAAGGATATTAGAAAGGATATAGATGAAGAGATGTATAACGCAAGGCACATGGGAAGGGGCACAGAGCTTCCATGCCTTCTCTGGGCATGCCACCTTCCAGGAACCCTCCATGTGTTTAGCTATCCAGAAGCTCTCCAAACCCTTTTCTTTTGGGTTTTTATGGAGGTTTCATTATGTAGACATGGTCAATTAATCCATTGACCATTGGTGATCAATCCAGCCATCAACCCTTCTAAGCACTTCTCTAAAGGTTGAGGGGTGGGGCTGATAGCCCCAACTCTCTAATTGTGCCTTGGTCTTTCAGATGATCAGTCCTCTTCCTAATGCTACCTAGGCTGCCAGCCATCAGTCAACTTATTAGCATACAAAAAGAATCAGTTTGGGAGAGTCTAAGGATTTTAGGAGTTGTATATCAGATACAGGATCAAAGACCAAATATATATTTTACAGTATCATACATATGAATCCATTTAACTGTATGCTTATATTTTATGTACTTTTCTGCACATGTGTTATATTCAACAATAGAAAAGTCTTACAAAATTGAAACCAATTCAACATTCCATCAACAGGGGGACTGATTGATTAATTTTGGTGTATTCATACAATAATATATTGTTAAGCTGTTGAGTTGAAAGAACCAGAGCTATATGTATCAATAAGGATAATTTCAAAGATATATTGCAGTGAGTAATTACAAGTTGTGGAAAGATATGCACAAGATAACATTACAGAAAGTTTAAAAATGCCAAACAATATTATATATTATAATGGAGACAAACATATGTAGTTAAACTGTAAAAACATACATGAAATAATAAATACCAGATTCAGAATAGTGGCCACTTCAAAGAAGAGAGAAAGGAAGAAAGAAAAGAGAGCACTGTATAGGTAGCTTCAGCTGTTTCTGTGATATTTATTATTTAAAAAGGATGAATCAACTTTCAACCAGGGATTAATATCCAGAATATACAAGGAACTCAAACTCAACAGTAAAAAAACAAAAAACAGGGCCAGGCGCGGTGGCTCACACCTGTAATCCCAGCACTTTCGGAGGCCGAGGCAGGTGGATCACCTGAGATTGGGAGTACAAGACCAGCCTGACCAACATGGAGAAACCCCATCTCTACTAAAAATACAAAATTAACTGGGCATGATGGCACATGTCTGTAATCCCAGCTACTTGAGAGGCTGAGGCAGGAGAATTGCTTGAACCCGGGAGGCAGAGGTTGCAGTGAGCTGAGATAGTACAATTGCACTCCAGCCTGGGCAACAAGAGTGAAACCCTGTCTAAAAACAAACAAGCAAACAACAACAACAACAAAAATGTAAATAATCCCACTAAATAAATAATCCCTCTAAGTAAATAATCCCACTAAACAGTGGGCAAAGGACCTAAATAGACATTTCTCAAAAGAAGACATACAAATGGCCAACAGGCATATGAAAAAAAATGCTCAATATCTCTAATCATCAGGGAAATGCAAATCAAAACCACAATGAGATATCATCTTACCCCAGTTAGAAAGGCTATTATCAAAAGGACAAAAAATAACAGATCCTGGCGAGGATATGGAGAAAAGGGAACTCTTGCGCCCTGTTGGTAGGAATTTAAATTATGAAGCCACTATAGGAAACAGTATAGATATTTCTCAAAAGACTAAAAAGTACCTGTCCTATGATTCAACAATGTGACTACTTGGTATTTATCCAAATGAAAAGAAATCAGTATATCAAAAGGATACCTGCACTCCCATGTTTATTGCAGCAGTATTCACAATAGCAAGAGTATGGAGTCAACCTAAGTGTCCATCAATGGACAAATGGATAAAGAAATGTGGCATGTATACATAATGAACTACTATTCAACCATAAAAAATAGCAACAGGGATGGAATTGGAGTTTGTTATGTTAAGTGAAATAATCCAGGCACAGAAAGACAAATATCATATGTTCTCACTTATATGGGGATGCTAAAAAAAGATTGATTTCATGGAGGTAGAGTGTGGAAGGATAGCTACCAGAGGCTGGGAAGGGTGTGTGTGGGGAGGATGAAGAGAGTGGTTCATGGGTACAAGCATACAGTTAGATAGAAGAAATGAGTTCTAATGTTCAATAGCAGAGTAAGGTGACCATAACTAATGACAGTATATTGTGCATTTCAAAATACTATAAGTGAGGACTTGAAATGTTCCCAATGCATAGAAATGATAAATACTCAAGATGATGAATAACCTAAATACTCTAACTTGATCACTACACATTCTGTGCATGCAACAGAATATCACATGTACCCCATAAATATGTACAAATATTATGTATGAATTTAAGAAAGAATGAAAGAAGCTAGGATTCCAAAAAAGGATGAATCAAATAAAGCAAAATGATGTGATCTGACAAAGAGGGTGGTAGGTGCATACTGTATTCCATTCTCTCCATTTTTCTGGATGCTTGAAATAGTCCATTTCAGAAATAAGTTCCTTGGAGAGGTCACAGAATAAAGAGTTGTATATGTTTCTCTCTAAATCATTTTGTGTTGAAAAAATACTTTTCGACTGATTTAATTGCTGCAGTTCTTGGAACCTGTTTCCTGTGAATAAGAACCAAATACTGGGGCATCAGTGTTTAAGAGATAGCTTATCTTTTTCTTATCCATTAAATTATTTGTCCTCAGTGCTCCTGTAAACTCATTACACACACAAAAATGCCTTTTTTTTGTTCTAATTTTATTTCTTGAGGACACTTCACTATGCATTTTTGAATACTGTTTTTTATTTCTGACCCGTGAATTTTTTGGAAGCTCTTTTGACATGGATATACTCTAATTGAATTTCTAAAATCACTTACCTCCTTCTGTTTTGTTTTCTTTAGGAACGAGATAAATTCTACTTGTCTCGTAGTGTTGTTCTAGAACTTCTGCAGGCCCTAAAGCTCAAATCTCCTTTACCAGATACAAACCTTCTTCTGCTTGTTCAGGTAAGCTCATGCTTGATTTGTAAAACTTTTCATGAGATCCATGTATGTTTGGGAAAATTAAGGGAGGTGTAGAGTGTATGCATAGAACTAAATATCTTTGCTTAGAGATGATAAATAATATATCTTATATGGACCATGATCTAACTAATAGTATGCACCTGACGCTTCCACTGGCTAAAAAAGTCCAAGAAGGAGTATTGATTTTGTTCCTACTGTGGAATTAGTTCTGTGGGGGTTAAAAAGAAGAATAAAACAATAATTTTTGTCCCCAAGAAATGCGTGATCCAGTAGGTTAGAGGGTCAGGTCAGTCACCAGAGCTGAGACAGGTCTACTGAGGCCAGAAGTGGGGGAACAGGCTGAGGTCTGACTGCAGAGTCAAATGAGTATGGGTGATCCCTGAATCTCTGTGAGCAGAAGTAAAGGAGAGGGTGGGTCAGGCCAGAGACAGTCAAATGGCAGGATGCACTGAGTGGTACCCACAGTTGGGTGTAGGTACGCTTCAGCCCTCAGGGGACCACTGAAGCTGAGGACCACTATAAGGCAGGCTTTCGAGAACTGGCAACAATTATGCTTTTGGTTTTAGGGCTTCTGAGGGACTAAAGCCTTCTACCCTGCTGTCCTTAACTCAGCATCTTAGGCAGGCATGCAGGTTTCGATGACCTGAGACAGGCTATGATAGTGCCATGAGAGAAAGAGGTAAAAAAACTCCTAGGGAGAAGTTGAGAGCAGGATGGATCCCACCCCTTATGATGTGAAATCAGAGACTTCATGAAGGAAGTAGCATTTGAGTTGGGTCACAAACGACTGGAGGGTACAGACAAATGTCTTTGCCTGGGATTAGGGTTCAGCATAGAGAGGTTGACTGGCTTCAAGCATAGGGGAGGCTTAGGCAGGATGGTGGAGTACATTTAGGGATAATGGCATGAGGATAGGGTTGAGAAAAAGTAGAATGGCTGTGCCAGAGGAATCAGCAGGGGTTCAGGTAACCTGGCACCCTGCCTCTCACCCAAGGGTTGAGGCTAGATTTAGAGACTTGGCCATGAGCTACAGCTGGGATCAGGGTGTCATTCAATGGCCTTTGGGTAAAGTGCCCAGCCATTGCATCACAGCTGTGTCAGCACTCGCTGATGAGCATTAAGACCAGTCCCAGAGTCTGGGCCTACAAGCTGAGGGTTAAATGATTGAAGGAATATGGGAGCTTGGTATCAAGGAACTAGACAGATTTCCCTGAATTCTAAGTACTCATTTTGGAGACATGAGAGAGAAGGGAACACTAATGGAGGACCTATTATGTGTTAAGCATTTGATCCTTACAGCTTCGTGAAGCATTGGTTCTGTATTGCATGGGGGGGTTCAGTGGCTTGCCCAAGACCACGGTGCTGGCCTAAGTGACAGGTAGTATCAAGCACCTGATTTCAGTGTGTTAGGGCTCAGAGCCCAGCTCCCTTTGGTATAACACACAGCCTTGACAGGCCCTTTCCATCCCTTACGTGGATTACTGTAACAGCTCTTAGCTTTGTGCACCTCTTTAATCTCTTTCCGCACCAACCCAATCTTCTGGCCTGTGGCTGCCTAGAGGAATTTTGCTGAAACTCCGCTTTTCTGATAGAGATCACTCTTGCATCAGAAACCTAGAGTGACCTTGTAAGGTCTGAACTATCCAGGTCTTCCATCATCTGGCCACATCTGACTCTTCAGCAGTATTTCCCACCACAAATATTTACTGACCACCTATCTTGGGCTGGGTTCTGGGAATATAGAGATGTGACAGGCATATCCTGATAATGTGCCAATTACTCTCCTGAAAGTCTAGACAGTGTATAAAACACTGTGGAAGAGGAAGTGGCTAACTGAACCTAGGAGACGGAGGAAGGCTTATGAAGCATTATGAGGCCTGACATGGGCCAGGTGCTCTGCAGGGTGCTGGGGAAACAGAAGAATCAGCCATGACCCCTTCCTTCCAGGAGTTTACAATTTAGCAATTGAAGTTGACATGTAAGTTAAAAAAAAAAATTCCCACATAGTGCAACGGGTACAGTAGTAGAGATGTGTACTGAGTAAGGAAGTGTTGTTTGTAGAAGAGTTCACATGCACCTTGAAGGATGCACAGAAGTTCAGGAGTTGACCCAGTAGAGAAGATGAGGAACAACTCTTGTCATTTACTGTTGAATATCCACTGCCTGGTCTCCGTACTCCCTCTCTAGAGACTACAAATCATTAGGATCAGAACTGAGTTTTTCTCAAAGGCTTGAGATTTAATTAAAAAGTTGGTGTACTTTCAATGAATGGTCTTGAGTTGTCTTTGAAGGGCTTTCTAGGACACATTGAACTCTCAGTGAGTCAGTGATTGCTGGAAAATGACAGCAATGGATGCAGGGCATGCTGTCATCAGAATGAAGTGGCTCTTATTATACCAAGTTACTGGACATCCCAGGAGGAAGACAAGCAAAGTCACAGCCAGAAAATATCTGTGCTCCTAAAGAGAAACCAACTTTGCATTTCTCTCTGTGGATTGCACTGGCCAGGCCCTTCTGCTCACATAGCAGCAGCAACACTGCCTTTGAGAACAAGCAGTGTTCACACAGACTTTTTTACTTATTTATTTTTAATTAATTTTTGAGACAAGATGTTGCTCTGTCACCCAGGTTGGAACGCAGTGGCATGGTCTTAGCTCACTGCAACCTCTGCCTCCCTGGCTCAAGTGATCCTCCTACCTCAGCCTCTGATGTAGCTGGGACTACAGGTGTGGGCCACCATGCCTGGCCAATTTTTTAAATATTTTTAGTAGAGATGGGGATTGGCCATGTTGCGCAGGCTGGTCTTGAACTCCTGGACTCAAGCTATCCACTCATCTTCGCCTCTCAAGGTGCTGGGATTACAGGTGTGAACCACTGCTCTTGGCCCAAAAAGATCTTTTTGAAGATTCATGGGATCTACACTGACTTGGAGGAGAGGGCAGGTGAACAGGGCTTAGGGAAATATCCCGGGAGGGATTTAAGGTTAGCAGCCTGACTGTGTCTGGAGGTCACTTGCTTCTGAGAGTGTTGCAGTTGGAGATGTGCCACCTGAAAACCACCTAGACTTCAGGGCACTGAAGGTGCTTTCCTGCGGACAGTGAACAGCATTCCCTTAATTGCCCTTTGTCTTGAGCAGAGCAGATCTGTGTGGCTGATCTTCTTGGGGTCTAGCACTCCATACTGTAACTGCTGGAGACTGGTTTTCAATGCAATACATTAGTCAACTGTAATAAGCACTTGTCACAAGATGCCAAAAGAACACTGACAGTTTAAATTACCCAGTGCTTAAGGAAACCACAAAAACAGTGATTATTGCATCACAGTTAGGTGAATAAATAACAAAAACAAATGAAGAAGAAAGACAGCAAAAAGATACTTCTGAATGTGTTTTATGGGTTTTCATCTACCATTTCATCTTTTTAAAACAAATGTGTGACTTGTCATTGAAATCATTAAGTTACAAAACATCAAGTTGTAAAATTATTCAGATTGAAGGGGTATTTTGGAGACATTTTCAGATCATGCCCAGGAAAAACAACTTTATGGAAATGTTTCAGTCTTCTCCAACAAAAAATGTTGAGCGTGGTTTGTTCCTGGGTTTCAGCACCAAGGGAAAAAAAAATTAAGCCATTTCAAAGTAACAAATCTTTGTTCTATAAACTCTTAAGCAATTTTTATTTCTAATCAGAGAAATAAAAGTGAGGCATACCTTAAAACAGAGTAGTTCCCTTTTCTGCCCTGTGGTCCTGCCTAAGTCATGGAGAGAAGTCTTCCATGGGGCCACACATGGTATATTAGTCTGTTCTCATGCTGCTAATAAAGATATACCTGAGACTGGATAATTTATAAAAGAAAGAGGTTTAATTGACTCACAGTTCCACATGGTTGGGGAGGCCTCACAATCACGGCGAAGGTGATTGAGGAGCAAATTCATGTCTTACATGGCAGCAGGCAAAAGAGCTTGTGCAGGGGAACTCCCATTTATAAAACCATCAGATCTTGTGAGATTTATTCACTACCATGAGAACAGTATGGGGGAAACCACCCTCACCATTCAATTATCTCCACCTGGCCCCTTGACACATGGGGATTATTACAATTCAAGGTGAGATTTGTGTGGGGACATAGCCAAACCATGTCAGATGGGATGAGGAGAAACGTTGTTTCTCTTGTGAGTAGTTCCTCTTTTTTTTTGAAATGGAGGCTTGCTCTGTCACCCAGGCTGGAGTGCAATGGTGCAATCTCAGCTCACTGCAACCTCCACCTCCTGGATTCAAGTGATTCTCCTGTCTCAGCCTCCTGAGTAGCTGGGACTACAGGCACGCACCACCACACCCAGCTAATTTTTGTATTTTTAGTAGAGATGGGGTTTCACCATGTTGATCAGGCTGGTCTCAAACTCCTGACCTCGTGATATGCCTGCCTCGGCCTCCCAAAGTGCTGGGATTACAGGCGTGAGCCACTGCGCCTGGCCTAGTGCCTCTTTCTAGGGTTTCTCAGTTGCTTTTTTTCTTGCCCTTGACTGCCTGGGTCCTCCAGGTGTTCTCTGTAGAATAGTGGAAATGACAGCCTACTCTCTGGAAGCTTCTTTTAGGCCAAAGATCTAGGCTGGAGTCAGAGGAAACCTTTCCCCTTTACCTTTGGGCATTGTCACCTCCTGGCACTTGGACAACCAGGCTTACATCAGGGACAGATGATCTGCCAGGAGCAGACAGTGACTTTCTTTATGTATATCAGTGACCATCATCTGAAGGCCACCCAGTGAGGATGGGTTTAGTTAACTGAAAATGCAATTTGGAAATGTAAAAAAGATCAGTAACCAGAAGGAAAAACTCCCTAGGTGATCCATCACGAATGACACTGGTCCCCATGCTGAAAACAGAGTCTGTTGCTCCAATGTTGCATTTCCCGTTCATTCTTTCACCCCATAGGGAACTGCTGATATTTCCTCTACTACTTTTCTAATTAATAACAGTAGATAGATGAGCTCACTAAGATGGAACCATTTCTATTCTTCTCATAGATAGACCATACCTTTGTGTTGCCAAATACTCTGGCAGTAAGAGAGGCCCCTAAAAGAACAAATAGAATGCTTGTCCAAGAAATGTGGGATCACCCAAGTTTTAAACATGTCAAGACAGTAACTGGTACCAATCTGTTTTTTAATTCCTAGAAGTTCTCCCTGGAGGCCTGGCATCATGGGGAATTCCCCAGCTGCCTCTATTGTGGTTGTCTAGCCATGACCACTGTTGTTTACGTATAAAGTTTTTTTACATATGAAGTTTACATATGTAAAGTTTATGTGTGAATTTACATGTGAAGCTGGGTGGCCTTAAATGTTCAGGTGGATTTTTTCTTTTTAATGAAAAAGAGGCGTGGAGATAGGAAAGAATTTGCTGAATAGAAAAATGTCATTTCAGAGTCCAAATTGTTGATCCCCAGGGCATAGTTCTCCTTTTGCATTTTGGACAGATGCACTAGCACATTATTTTAATTCAGATCTATTGACGTTTTTGCTTTTTGTTTCCAATATTTTCTTTTTTGCTGGTTTGCTGTGGATATTTTATGTGTAATAGGTTATTATAATTGTTCTCAAGATAGATTAGAGTTTTCATAATAAGTGATAACTCCCACCATAAAGACTGTTTAAGTTCAAATCAGAAAGAATTTCCTTAGCTCCTATTATGTGTCAAGAGTAGATATTCGACCGGGTGTGGTGCCTCACGCCTGTAATCCCAACACTTTGGGAGGCTGAGGCAGGCGGATCACGAAGTCAAGAGATCGAGACCATCCTGGCTAACATGGTGAAACCCCGTCTCTACTAAAAATACAAAAATTAGCTGGATGTGGTGGCATCTGCCTGTATTTCCAGCTACTCGGGAGGCTGAGGCAGGAGAATCGCTTGAGCCCGGGACACAGAGGTTGCAGTGAGCCGAGATCGCGCGACTGCACTCCAGCCTGGCAACAGAGCGAGATTCCATCTCAAAAAAAAAAAGTAGATATTCTGCTAATTTGCATGTACCACTCCCAGTCTGTGGGGTATACCTGCATATTGAAGTTATGAGAGATCATATTGTTGAAGAAAGGTTTTCTTTTAAAGATGTGTTCGTTGTGGGCTGGAGGACAGAGAACTGGTGGAGGAACAGCTGTTGTTTTTAATTCACAGAGTTATCATTGAATGGGGTTATTAATATTAGTTGAGTTCGTAACAATGTGATCACTCTGAGATTAGAGGTGAAGACATTATTTTGGGTATCATTTTGATAATGAAGTTAGTAATGACATATAATAGATATCATGTTTCTTTTGTATTCATGGGGGAATGCATATTTCAGTGCCCGATTTCCCTCAAGGTACAGAACTCTTCCTTCGACAGCGATCATCATTTCCTTCCCTGATTCTTGTTATATATGATTATATTTTGAGCAGCTCTATAACATCATAATAGATTTTTTTTCAGTTTATGGTTGGCAGCCATAGAAAACAAAGACAGAAAGGTTTATTAAGGTTTTAGTTGTGCATCTGATGTAAAAATATGCTGGATGACAATGCATGGATAAAAAAAAGATGATTTCTGAGGCTTATGCACTTTTATTTCCTTTAATATGCCGGATTCTCTGTGTACCTCCTTTACTTTTAGGGTGATTTTTGATTAATTCTGACTAGTAAGAGTTCTCATAAATCAGACAGTTGGATCCAACCTCAGATCTTGACGCTGTGTGATTGCTAACCATGCTGAAATGTGCTTACATTATGCTCTGCATTGCACTTTGCTGAGTATTATAGGTGAGAAAGTGATCTGCTGAAGGGAGATACAGACATTTAAAATTTTACTTCTTCACAAACCTTATCTTGACCTCAAGGGCCCATCCAGGCCATGCAAACATACTTAAGTGGGGTCTAGGACTTTAAACCATCCTTATAGAGACAGCTCTAAGTGAGCCCCTTACCTCGCATAGTAGATATGGCTCTGTCTCCCCTGTGGCCTCTCTTAGCTATGCAATATCATTTCTGATGTAAATAACTTAATTAAAATTAATGCTGTTGTCCTCACAGAGGTTTTAGAACTCAATTATAAGTTGTTTGTCTTAGACTGAAGACTTAGATAGCTATTTATTTATTTATTTATTTATTTGAAGCAGAGTCTCACTCTGCTGCCCAGGCTGGAGTGCAGTGGTGCCATCTCGGCTCACTGCAACCTCTGCCCCCCAGGTTCAAGCGATTCTTCTCCTGCCTCAGCCTCCTGAGTAGCTGGGTTACAGGCATGTGCCACCACACCTGGCTAATTTCCACCTCAGCCTCCCAAAGTGCTGAGATTACAAGCGTGAGCCACCACACCTGGCCTAGATAGCTTTTTAAAATGAATTTTATGGGAAAACATGCAATCTCTACCAGGAGACTGGGTTGGGAGTGTTCCTTCTGTTCACTGTGTACGTCTATCAAATATTTCAGGTTTCATTTTTTTACTTATAGGTTTTGGCTGGAGTTAAAGGCTTTACATTTTCTAAAACCTGATTTATTTACTTTTCCTTACATTAGAAATAAGCTTAAGTTAGGTGAGCAGACATAGCAAACCTGGATAAGATCATAGAAAACGCTAGGTGTTCCCAGGATGTTACCAGTTGTCCCCTTCTATGCCAGATTCAGAGTTAATGGCTAAATAGATTCTTCAGTTTTCTGTAACTGTATTTGAGGCAAATGGAAATGACAGAATGTTAATGTGGAGATCTGTGTCCACTCCTGTCACACAGCTCTTGGGGACAGCTCTGCTTGTGCCCTCTTGCCCCCATTCAGTTACATATACTTACGTGCTTTCCATGGAGGACGCCCCTCCCACACTTGAACACCAGCTCTTGGCCCTGAGCCGGAAGTCTAAGGGTTCCTTGGCCTCAGGAGGCCTTTGGCTTAGAGGTGTACCCAGTTAGCCAAAACCTGCTACCTGTTAATAATGCTTACATTTAAACCCCTGACTAGCCCGATAATATGCTGGTTTCTGTTCCTTTGTTCCATGCCTCCTTATCAGGCCTCCTAGAGATTTACTCTGCGACCCTAGTTGTTATTACTTCTCTCTAGTGTGACAGGGACCGAGCCTGCTGACCCATTCAGCTTCCCTGTGCCTTCCAGTATGAGAACAAAATGAATGAGAAGGCGGAGCGACTGGTGCTGAAACTTCTGAACTCTGCACAGCAGCAGTTTCAGGTCCCAAAGTTGTTAAGGCTACTGGCCAGAGGGCAGGAAATATAAATTGAACAGGACCTAATTGCTCATAGCCAACTCTACTTCATGGTTAACTTTTTTTCCTAAGACTATTAATAAATAATTGAGTGCTGCATTAAGTGAGAAACACCTGTCAAAATCTGTAATGAAGCAAATTAAATTGAAATCTGGCAAATCCATTCTTGTAATGATCTCAAGTCATAACTGGCTAATGGATTTGCTTTGTAAACTCTCACTGAGCCCCTCTGAGGTGTCCGGCACCAAGCTAGTGCTGGGGATGAGGTGCATCAAGCCTGTGCTCTTGAAGAGCTCACAGCAGGTTGAGAAATGGACCCATAAGTCACTGCAGTCTGACGTGGTGACTGTTACAATGGAAGTGTGTGAAAAGTCCTCTGGGCCCCCAGAGAAGGAGTGGGGGTCTTTATCAGCACAAAGGATACATGTGGATGAATAGGGGCAGGAAGATGAGATGCTGAAGTTCCCCTGTGGGGAAGAAACAGGTAGAATACTCACTCTGAGGTTGATTGTTTTTCTGGTTTCTTTCTAAATATATGATACGATAATAGAAATCATGAAACTGTATGAAATGTGCTTACAGTAACTGTCAAGAAGTACTAAACAATAAATAGAATGACTTCACAATAAATCTGACAATGCTGACATCTTTTATTTTTTCTTTGATTGAATGCACCATTTCAGTGCCACTTAACAGTCTGGGTAAAGTAAGACTCTGTGTGTTAATTTTAGTACTGTGATTCTGAGTTTCTGATAGGAATGAACCATCATGATTAGCAAATCTGATCTATCCAAGGCAGATCGTCATGAAAATAAACACTAATTAATTTAAGCCAAGTTAATAAAATGATAAATTACTTATTAATGTCCAGATACCCTTAAAAATAATTATCCTTTCACTTTTTTATTAGTTTATTTGTGCAGATGCTGGAACCAAACTAGCTGAGTCAACAATCCTGAGCAAGCAGATGATAGCCTCTGTACCTGGAGTAAGTCCTGACCAAATTCATTGTCTACATACTTACATTTCATAGAATAGTAGTTAAGAATGTAGGCTTTAGACTTACATCAGGGTTTGAGGCCTGCCATTTACTAGCTATGTGACTTTTGGAACGTATTTTAACCTATAATTCTTTGATTCATAACATCTGTCAAATGGGATATAACAGGGTTTAACATATAGTTTGAGGATTGAACGAGATAATGCATGCAAAGCATATTAGCAAGGAGCCAGACATAGTAAATGCTGTGAAAATGTTATCTATTAAAAATATTAACAAACATTGCCTATTTTTTGATATTTTAGTTATTTTCTATATTTTTCTATTGTAACTAATATGCAAAGAACATCTTTGTGCTTAAATCTTTGTCCATACTTCAGACCATTTCTTTATAATAGATTTCTGGGAATAGAATGACTAAACTATGTTTTTTTTTTTAAGGGTTCTTGATAATGTAATACAAGGTTCTATGAGACAAAAATCCCAATTCTCAACGACTTATGAAAGTTTATTGTTTGCTCATATGAAGTTTAAATGGGTATCCTGATTAGTAGGGAAAGGGGGATTTCCACGTGCATACTCGGGGATCAGGTTTCTTCCATTATGTGCAGTCCGCTGCAATCAGCTTGATTGTGGTTGGGGAAAGGGAAGAGAATATGGCCCATGGGGTTTTCACAGGCCAAGTCTAAAAGTGTGTGGTTTTTTTCCTACTCACATTCCATTGGCTAGAACTCAGTCACATGACCACACCCAACTGCAAGGGATGATGGGAAATGTGGTCTAGTTGTGGGCCAAGGAAGAAGACAGACCTGGGGAGTGGCTAGCCAGTCTCTGCTGCATGCTCGCTGTTTCCTTTATCGTTTAATTCTTTAAAACTCAATATTTGCTACCTATGCCATAGCTAAAAAAATAATGTCCCTAATAATAAAAGGGTTATTGAAATCAGTAATTAAAAGACGAACATTCCAACAACAACAGAAAAGCAACATATAGGTCCCTTTCTGATGACCAATAAGCCATTAAAAATAAACCTTTTACTCTGATAGCAATCAATGAATTGTAAGTTAATATGAAGTATAAAAATATTTTAAAATATAAAAATTAAAATCGGCTAGCCAATCAGCAGACTTTTCTGTCTCAAAAAAAAAAAAACACACACTTCATCAGGGCATGAAGGACATATAGGAAGCTGCATATCTTTAATGTATGTGACTTGATGAGTTTGGAAATGATTATACATTCATGAAACTACTACTGTGATCTATGCCATGAACATATCCATCATCTCCAACAGTTTCTTCCTGCCCTATTTGTTTTTTTGTTTGTTTGTCATTAGCAATGAGAGCACTTTACATAAGATCTACCTTCTTAAGAAATTTCTAAGTATGTAATGCAATATTTCTAACTCTAGGGACTCCGCTGCTCCGTAAATCTCTAGGACTTACTCACTTTGCATAATTGAAGCCTTGGACCTTTTGACTAATACCTCCCCATTTTTCCCTCCCCAGCAGATCCACCTCAATGATTAGACTTATTGATGGTAAAATGAAACAAGCATTCTTGTAAGCCACTAGTGGTAGTAAAACCAACCTTGCTGGAGGGCAGTTTGACAATCTTCCTTTAGGAATATGTCTGAGAAAATAAATATGCACATGTTTTATATTAAGTATGTTTATTAAAGCATCATTTAAAATAGCAGAAATATGGAAACAAAGTAAATGTCTAACATCATCAGGGTATTGTTTAAATAAAATAAGTTGCATCCATAAGGTAAGACTATTATGTACCTACCAAATCAAAGTTTCAAATAATATTTAATTAATTGGAAAATGCTTATGATGTATTTAATTAAAAAGCAAGTTAGAAAAATGTTATCTCAATCTTATAAACATTATATGTATGTGTGTATGTTATATACATTAGAAAAATTAAAAAAACTTGGAAGGAAATATTAACAGTAGTTTTCCCAGAGGTGGAGGACAGGAAATTAGGATTATGGTGATTTCAATTTTAATTTTAATGATCTGTATTTTCCAAATTTCCTATATTAAACATGTGTTGCTTTTATAATCTAAGAAATGTAACTTTAAAATCAAATATTAGTTTTGAGGAAGAATTAGCTATGGTTTGCTTCAATTTGTGAGTTTGAGTTTTGAATATTTTCAACTTTTTAATCGTTAGTTTTCCTATGAAATAAATGTAGCTCTTCTGAAACAAATGGAGCTTGACTTCTTCTGTTTTGTTTCTTAAGTAACACACCTAAGGTTATTCTTAAGCTTTGCAAAGTAGAAAAAAAGGAGGAGGGATTGGAAATTATATGTTTTGTTTCCTAAGTATATATGGCTCACTAAGATTCTCTTGACCATACAGTGAATTTTAAGGCTTTTATCAGATGTAGCTGGTTGTCTCTAAAACAAAAGTGACTTGGTGGTAGTAAATTCCTTGCTCTCATTTTTTGAGATTCAAACTTAAAAGACAAATATTGAATAATGCTCCTAGGAATTATTTTCAGTGACATTTGCCTAGTTGAAATGCTATAAAATATTGCCTATGAAAGAAACAAATCCCTTTCAAGAAATTCAAGAACATAGTCTCCAGTCCTATTTGCATGACATGTGAAAGGTCAGAGAAAATGGAATAAATCGCGGGGAAATCCTTTCTTGCACGAAAGGATTAATATTCCAAAAGCAGGAACACAATAACCTTTTATAATTCCTTCACTTGATTTAAATTAAAAGAAGAAAACTTTGGAACGTACGAAATGCTTGGAAAACACTCTGACAGACTGCCAATGACCTTACTTTGCTGTTTGTTATCCTGTCAGAAGAACTGACAAGCGTAACATTCTAGAAGAGAGAGAAGGTGATATAGTTCAGTACCGCGCAGATTTACATGAATATGGGAAAATGAGAGCCACTGGGTGAGCTAGTTAAGTCTATAATGTTCCAGATTTTCCTGAAGAAAGCCGAGGAAGGCCTTTAGCGTAGTATTCATCTGGCTTCAAAGCCTGCCTCGTTTGATCCACATGATACCCAGCCTGATGTGTGGTTTCTCTCATACGGCTTTGATATAGCAGCCTGCTTGTTCATTTTCCTTTGCTTTGCTTATAATCCTAAATTCACTGCATTCTCAGGGAGAGCAGGCCAATGTCATTTAACGACCTAAAACACAAACTTGCTTTCTTTTCCTTCAAAACTTTTCAAACACACTTCAAGCATGTGGGGAAGATGACCATTTCGTTTCTTTCTTTTATTTATCCCCTAGCAAGAACTTGACAGTAATACATGTATCTATTTAGTAGTGTACCTACTGTGTATAAGAAGTTAATTTGCAAGCGACTTGACTAGCATGAGAATTTTTGACTCTTTCAGCAAACACGATGCTTGTTTATGTACTTTTTTGACAGAAAATAGATTCAAGATTCTGGTGGTAGAATTTGGTGGCACGTATTTTATGTGTAGCTAAGACTTCCCTAGAATGAGAATGTGTTGCTATGTTTTGGGATGAATGATGTCCTAAAGACTCTGATGCTAATGGCATGACATAGGCTGAATCTTTGCATACAAAGCAGTTTAAAAACAAGCACACACACACACAAAATCAGTTCAATTACCCAGTGGATAAAAGCATTTAGCCCCATCTCCCATAGGCCTCTCCTGTTTCTTTGTTCTCTGCCACAAACCTTCTATCAATTTTTGTCCAAATGCTGGGCAGACAGTCACAGACCAAGCTGAGAGTAATGGAGTGAGTCAGAAATCCAGAAAGTAAAACGACTCCTTAGTAAACAACGTGAAACCAGAGTGAGGCAATCATTGGAGTCAGGGCAAAAATGAAGGTGTGACCCAGCTGTGTCCTTGTGTTTCAGTGTGGGACTGCAGCGATGGAGTGTGTGAGGCAGTACATCAACGAAGTGCTGGATTTCATGGCAGACATGCACACGCTGACCAAACTGAAGGTGAGATGACCGCCACCTGCTCATCCCTCAGGTTCACAAAACAGAGATGCTTTGAGAGAATTAAGCAGACCATAGGGAACTTATCGCTACCTGGGGAGGCAGCCGTGGCACTGTTGAATGAGCCCCTGTCTTGGGGGATCAAAGAGCCAGGGTCCAGCTTTGCAAAGAGGAAAAGAGGAAGGGAAAGGACATTCACATGGCATCAGCCACATGCATAGCTTTACTTTTGCCATATATTCACTTCTCACAATACCTCTGTTAAGATACTATCCCCATTTTACAAATGGAGAAACTGAGGCTTGGGGTGGTGTAGTACTTGCTCAAGTCACACTACTAAGTGGTAAAGTCAAGGTTGAACCCAAGATTCTTGTGACTCTCAATTCATTCTCTTTTTACCACATAGCATCGTTTAATTACCTTGAGCATCAGTTTCCTCATTTGAAGAACGAATCTAATCATCTGTACCTTGCCTGACTGTTACGAGGGTTTGATCAAAAATAATGTACGTGAAGAGACTTTCATAAACTGTAGCACATTATGCAAACATACACCATGTATTATTTTTTGCTCCATTGAAGCTGTTTTCTTAAAATCCTTGATGAAAGGGGATAGAACAAAATTTAATTTGCATATGGACAAAATCCCAGTGAAATTGTTGAGATTATTGAGTTTTTGCAGGGTGGAATGAATTGCTGATGCAGGTCCACTTTCCTGCTGTGATTCAACTAGGGAGCTAAAAGATGAATAGTTTGAGAGATCTGAGGAAGGCCCTAGACAGAGGGCAGAAGAGAATCCAAACATGGTCCAAGGAGCAGCCAAATTGCAATCTGGTGCTAGATGATTCCTTTTTGATAATTAGGAGCTAGTGATCCCAGAAGTTCATCAGCCAAAAATATCATCCCTTAATCACTGAACTGTTCTCTGGCTCTGCTCAGACGATCAAAGTGGTTTTTGGTACAGTGATAGATTTGCAAATCCCAGGCAGAAAGTAGAATCAAAATGTAAACTGAGAATATCTCACGATATGTAAACCCATTCATTTCTTAATGAGCTCCCCTGTCGTTCGCTCCTGTGCCGGTTACTGCTTGCTGAATCTGAATACCCATACTTAAATGACTTTGATGTACAAAGAAGAGGAAACAATTATTACCTAAACATGTTTAGGTTGTTTTGCAGATGCTTTCGAAAAATAATAAGTAGGAACCAGGATCATCAAAAGGTTGGAAATACAGACATAATCTCACCCTCTGATTTTACATATTGGGAAACAAATCAGAAGGATCAAGTGGCAAGTGGCTTATCTAAGGCCATGGGACTAGCTAGGACAGACCTGGGTCTAGAACCTAGGTCTCAATGCCTAGTTCAGTGCCCTTCCCACTGAGCTCACACTGAGCAAAGAAATCTTTCTAAATTAATTCAACAAATAGGTATGAGCACCTGTAATGTCGTGGCACTGTTCTAGGCATTGGGGATGCTGTGATGAGCAAAAGCGGACACAGTAGCTGCTCTCATTTAATTTATAGTCTGGTAGTGGAGGCCACATTTAGTGAACATTTCACACAAACTACAGTAAAAATGTGTCTCTCACAATTGCTATGAAAAAGAGGCAGAAGGCAGCACGGACCTGGCCGGGGAGGTCAGGGAAGGCTTCCCAGAGGAAGTTACATTTGAGCTAAAACCTGAACAATTAGGTGAAGAGAGGCAGGAATGGCATTCCAGACAAAGGGAATAGCAGCAGGGGGGAACACAGAGAGCCAACACAGCTGGAGCTGCAGGCAGAAGGGGTAAGTTCTCAGTGGCTGGATCTTTCTGGCTTTGTAGGCTAGGGAACTTTCCCTCCTTTTATCCTAAGAACAATGGGAAGGCTCTGAAGAAGTTTAAGCAGGTTGTTTGCTCAGAGTGGCGATAAGCGGGGTGGAAATGACAACCTCTTCTTTTCAAAGAATGGCCTGGAATGAATCCAGGTGTCTGCCAGAGTTACAAAATACCATTCGGTTTTGTAGAGCCACATGAAGACATGTTCCCAGCCTCTGCATGAAGATACCTTTGGGGGACATCTCAAAGTGGGGCTGGCCCAGATTGCAGCCATGGACATCTCACGGGGCAACCACAGAGATAACAAAGCTGTGATCCGCTATCTGCCTTGGCTTTATCATCCCCCCTCTGCAATGCAGCAAGGGTAAGACCCTTACTATTCCGGGAATGAGGGTAAAGAAGGCAGGAGACACCCCTGAGTTTCCTCGGGCTCAGCTAGAGTTAAGGAGTACACCGAAGATTTATGACAGTGGAATATACTTGGTTAGGAAGATGGAAATCAGATCCCATCTCCTTACGTACTTGCTGACCCAGAATGCTCTTTGACATGCTGCCAAAAAATAAACCTGTCCTCCCACAAAAACCTCAATTGTCCTTTCATGAAGAATGAAAATTTTGAGCTTAGAATTACCACTTTAATGCTTGATTTCAACTAGTTAAGTAAATTAATAGGTATGTATCAATATATTTGCCTTCAAGCAGCTTAGATTGTAGCTGGAACAAAAGCTATAACAGGGATGAAATCGGTGCAAGATTGTACAAGCCCCTGGCTCTGCCTTTTAGGGAGGCTAAAGAAGAGAGAGGCATGTATGGGTTTGTTGACTTGGGAACTCAGAGTAGGTTTGAGCCCACCCTTTTGTGTGGTCAGCCTTCCTGTCCAGAGGAAAAGTGTAGAGTGGGAATGAGAAGGGTAGGAGGAAAAGATCACTGGGGAGCAGGAAAATGGGCAGCTGTGTTATATCTCCTCATCTCTTTCCTCCCCTCTACTGGGGATGCCAGAGAAGAAATTTCTTTTTTTTTTTTTTTTTTTTGAGACGGAGTCTTGCTCTGTTGCCCAGGCTGGAGTGCAGTGGCACCATCTCAGCTAACTGCAACCTTCGCCTCCTGGGTTTAAGTGATCCTCCTGCCTCAGCCCCCCAGTAGCTGTAATTACAGGCATGCACCACCACGCCCAGCTAATTTTTCTATTTTTAGTAGAGACGGGGTTTTGCCATGTTGGCCAGGCTGATCTCGAACTCGTGACCTCAGGTGATCCACCCGCCTCAGCCTCCCAAAGCACTGGGATTACAGGCGTGAGCCACCGCGCCCGGCCCACCAGAGAAGAAATTTCTAAAGGCAGGAGTGGAAAGGGTTTAGAAAGAGAAGCTAGTCAGAGAGGCAGTCAGCCTTGTGGAAGAATGCTGTGTAATCCTGTGTCACCAAAGGCTGTTCTTTTCTCAAGAAGCTGAGATCCAGGATTAGAGTGGAAAACAAGAAAAACAGATATATCATTTTGTTGACACTCAATTGCCTTGGCGTTTTGTTTTATGTGATTGCCTGCAAGACCACACTTTCAATCCCTTCCTTCAATAAGCATTTGTTATGCACCCAATGAAACACAAAACATAAAATCATCTTTAACACTCCTTCTTCTCTAATAGACCTAAAGAATTCATTGAGTGTGTCTCCCATATCCGACTGTTGTCCTGGCTGCTGCTGGGTTCCCTCACTCACAATGCAGTGTGCCCAAATGCCTCCTCTCCCTGCCTGCCCATTCCTCTGGATGCAGGCTCCCACGTTGCAGACCATCTTATTGTTATCCTGATTGGATTTCCAGAGCAATCAAAGGTAAGTGATTTCTGCAAGATTAAGACCGTATGCATCGCAATTGCTAATGGAAACCTTATCAGCCAATTATGTTTCTTCTGAGAAGAAAATACATCTTATCATTTGCCCTCCTGTGGATGTTAGAAACACAACTTTGTGCTAATGTCTTATTTAAAGTTGTTTAGATTCCCAGACTGTCTTTCCCCCCGCCCCCAAATTGTTTTTCGGCTTACTTTTATAAAGATAAATCATGGAGTCAAGCAAGAGTTGGCTTCCCAGGCATTTCTGTCTCAAAATAATGAAGAGAAATAAAAGGCTAGAAATATAATCAAAATTCTGTGATCAGTTTTTAAAACCAGAGACAAAACAAAGGAAAATTCATTCTCTATCTAATTCTTCATGTACCATCTTTTCAACTGAAATCTCTAGAGATACAGGAAAATACAAAATGAAAACAAGAAGGCCAGTTGGGAACTCACTAAAGCACACATTGGCATGACCTACACAGGGGAACTTTGTAAATTGCAGAGACAGGTGATGTGCTAAAGGAAGAAAGTAGACCCAAGGCAGGCACCAGTCATGAGCCTGTGCAGGCAAACCGGACACATTGGTACTAATCAGCTCCGAGGAGCCAGGGGACCTTCACAGAGCTTCGGCAAGTTCTGGGAGGTCACATTGGTCTTGGGGACAGCTCGGGTTTGGGACAGGGCAAGCTGACGATGTGATAAAATGGCGCACCCATCCCAATGATCCAAATGATGTTCACAAAAGGAATTAGGCAGTCGATTCCTAATATTTCTACTCAGATCCGGGTTTGATTCCTAACTATGGTACTTGCGATTTTGTGAGCTTGACAAGTGTGTCTAACCTCTCTATTATTCAGATTTTCATCTGTGAAATAGACGAGGGGATGGTTGGAGAGTGATGGAGGTGATATAGGAAAAGCCTCTGGCGCCATCTCTGGCGTGTTGTAGGTGCTCTCTCTGCACGTGCTTTCCGCTAGGAGGAGGATCTCCGCTGCTGCTGCTATGATTATGAACTTCTGGGCGTGTATTCACGTATATCACCTGCTTTACTCCCATGCTTTGAAGAGACTACTATTATCCCCATTTTACAGATGAGGAAACATCCTAACATGGCAGAATGATTATTCTCCCTAATCTAGTTTAGGGATGGGAATGTCAGTTTCATTAAAGGGCAAGGGGGTGGGTAGATTTCTTCAGCAAATTAAGGTGCCTTCTCTTAAAAAATGTGCTTTGTTCTCTGAGCACACTCCCACTGGTGGAGAAGAGAGCACAGCAGATAGTTTCAAGGTGATGAATCATGACTTTGTAACTCTGAGATAACGTTATGCCTTTGTGCTTCCCCTGTGCTCCCTGGCAAGACCAAAGCCATGCGGGAGGACTCCGTGGAGGGCCACAGCCTGCTGGGATGCAATGCACTGATGCCGTCTTCTTCCTTTTCAGACCTCCGTGCTGCACATGTGCTCCCTCTTCCACGCGTTCATCTTTGCTCAGCTGTGGACAGTTTATTGCGAGCAAAGTGCCGTCGCTACAAATCTCCAAAATCAGAATGAATTCAGCTTCACGGCGATACTGACAGCACTAGAATTTTGGAGTAGGGTGACACCCAGCATCCTTCAGCTAATGGCCCATAACAAAGTGGTGAGTTCACAGACGAGTTTCCCTTCTGAGATGGAATCTCAAAGTGTCCACACCACTCCTAATCCTCACACTCCCTGTTTTCACAGATCTCAGTTGTAAGGTTATATAAATGGATCGGGGATATGTTACCTTATAAGCTGGATGTTCTGCTTGCATAAGCATTTTGATTAAAAATAAGCATTTTGATTAAAAACAAAATAATAGTTCAAGAGATCTATTGTACGCCGTGGTGACTACAGTTAATAACAATATATTCTATACTTGAAAATTGCTACGAGGAGATTTCAAATGTTCTCACCATAAAAAATAAGTACGTAAGGCAATGTACATGTTAAATAGCTTGATTTAGCCATTCCACAATGTATATCTATCTCAAAACTTTTATATTGATATATGAATATTAAAAAAGCAAACAAGTACAGTTATTAATATTAAAAACAATTTTTATTTTTTCTGCCTAACATCAAATGTATGTTGTATGAAATATCTACCTTGAAGGGTTGTTTGATGCTATAATGTCAGAGGGTTAGGAGTGAGATTCATATTAATTGAGGATTGCAAAGCAATTTAGAAAAACCTTAGCCAATTGGGTAATCTATTTGTGGTGGTTTAAGAGTAGACTGACTACAGGTGTTCATTCCACTCAGGCCTCAAAGCCTGAAAAGAGCCTCACGTTTTCAAGCTGGCTTATAGGGACCTATGCTCCCCAATCTTCAAATCCAGTACTGTTGAATGTAGACGGCTACCAAGAAAGGGGCTGTTCCAGAGCTCATTGGAAAATGTCTGGGGTATGGCTAGCCTAAGCCCACTTCATTGAACCAGTGTGGAGTATTCATCCTGGAGTCAAGGTTGGAGGATATATGGAAGGAATTTACAAGGGAGTCCTTTGGTTCTGACTGTGTATTGGAGGAGGACTCTCAGCTGGGAAAGCTGCAACCAGCGTCTTGTTATGGGGACACCATCAATAGAGTTCTTGTTTGTGAGGAGCAGGGGACCTGGAGGGACACCATAATGATGATTCCAGTGTACCCTGAAACCCAACACTACACTGCCCACAAAAGGCATTCAGGAAATTTTTTTTAATTGATAGAATAATAGTCTAAGAAGTATTTTCTTTTGGTTCTTAATTAGAAAGGGGATGGTATATTTCCTTTAGTGAAGCACTTTGTTCTTTAGAGATGCAAATGATACAGGCAATTCTATGTGTAGAGAGATGTCTTAGTTCAATTTAAAGGAAGTTTATGTGAAAATCTTAGCGTTTGAATAGTTCTGTTAATGGAAAATAATTACATTTATTGGATCACAGATTCTAGGACTAATGAAGAATTTGGAGATCAAACATTCTATTCTGTTATTTCACAGACAACAAAACTGAGGCCTTACACTTAAGCTAGAGATTAAAAATGTTCCTTCTATCATTAGTTTTTTGATACCAAGAAATACCTCTCCTCCAAATCACTCTCCATATTTAAATGTTACAAATGAATTTGTTGCACATGAATTTTATGCAAATGATATTACAAAAGAATTTGAATTAAATTCATTCTGAAAATTTTGTTAAACCATATAAGCCAGTCTGGTAAAATCTCCCTGGAATATTTAAAATCCAGCCATAGGAATTTCTGATGAGGGACATCACCTCTACTGTCTTTGAACTGTCGTAAGCATGGCTACATTGTCCCACGGAGAATAAAGCCTCGGAAGCAGATCTGCAGTGAATTAAACAGTTATTGCCGATGAAGACACTGTGTAGAAAGGATCAAGATTGAGAAAGGATCAAGATATTACTGGGGAACATTGATGTGAAAATTACCCTAGTCTAATGTAAATCCCCTTACCTTGCAAAAGATATCCAGAAAACCAAGGAAAATAGTCTGTAATTGTCTGACTTTGTATCTGGTGCTTTCTCTAAGACAAATTAATTTAGTTTCAAATAATATTATTTTAAATCATTATATGGTGTATAAAAGTAATTCAAGCATTTGTCATCTCCCCTCCCTGGGTACCCTCCTCTCAAACAGACTAGCGTGATACAGAACTCTTACACCCAAAGAGTTCCGTAGTTAGAAATGAAGGCAACAGAGGCCATTTATCCCCTGGTGTGAGTCAGTGCAGTGCAGATTAGTGAGATCAATGCCTGAATTCCATTGGCAGCCCTGAGTTGAATGAGGGAGGCATGACAATTACCAAGCCTCTGGAGCTTTTTTAAAATTCTTTTTCTGGTTTGACGTTTCAGAGGTGAATGAACACCACTGCCAGTGGTCTCCTACGGTCATTACACAGAAAGACCTCATGGGCACAGGACATCGGTCTTCTGCGGCTGCAAACTAGTTTGCAAGGTTTCTATATCACTGGAAATGGAATTAACTTTCATGTTTGTTGTTTCAGATGGTAGAAATGGTGTGTCTCCATGTGATTAGTTTAATGGAGGCATTGCAGGAATGCAATTCGACCATTTTTGTCAAGGTAGGAAAACCTTATGATTTTTAAAGACCATTTCTTACTGCTAAAAACAAATGTGGATTTATGTTGAAGGTACTTTCTGAAGATAATTAGTTTTAACATTCAGAGTTGGGGCTGGAGAATTCAGGCTCCTATAACAACCCTTTACCAAATGGTTATTGCATTAATTTTGCTCTTGGTCTACCACTGTGACCAACTTTACCTGGGTTAAATCTATCAGACCAGGCCAAGCATGGTGGCTCATGCCCATAGTCCCAGCATTTTAGGAGGCTGAAGCAGGAGGATTGCTTGAGCCCAGAAGTTTGAGACCAGCCTGGGCAATATAGTGAGACCTTGTGTCTACCAAAAAACAAACAAAAAAAAAGGTAACACAAGTACTGAAAATATTACTGGGGAATATTGATGTGAAAATTACGCTATTCTAATATAAATCACCTTACCTTGCAAAACATATCCAGAAAACCAAGGAAAATAGTCTGTAATTGTCTGACATGGTATCTGGTGCTTTCTCTAAGACAAATTAATTTAGTTTCAAATAATATTATTTTAAATCATTATACAGTGTATAAAAGAAATTCAAGCATTTGTCATCTCCCCTCCCTGGATACCCTCCTCTCATCAGAAACAGACTAGTGTGATACAAAAACGAAACAGTAGAGAACTTGGTTTCCCACTCCGTTTATCTTTCTGCCTCCCCTCTTTTTCCTTTCCTTCCTATCGTTCCACCTCTTTGTCTCTCTGATCCTTCTTCCTCTCCTTGTATCTCTTCTTGTATTTCTTTATCTTTCACCTCTATATTCTATTATCTTGGCCACTGTCACCAACCACCATCACCACCCACTAGTGGGCATCAACTTGGAACCTTATAACTTGCTGTTTCATTCCTTGGTTAACTCCACTCTTCAACAAAGAACATTTGTCACATTCACTCACACTATGCTGAGGAAAAGCAGCCCATTTTCAGGGAAAACTTGACTGTTACCAGAACAGAACAAGATCATTGGTTCAAATGGGTTAGATATATGATATGTAGCTTGATAATAGCAAAAGTCAACACTGTTGGAGTGCAGTGGTGCAATAATATACATATGGCAAATGGTACATATTTAAAACGTGCAGTTTGGTAAGTCTTGACTTACATTATGCCATGCACCATGATCAAGACAATGAACATATCCATCACCTCCAAAAGTTTTTTCAGGCCAGGCATGGTGGCTTATGCCTGTAATCCCAACACATTGGGAGGCTGAGGTGGGCAGATCACTTGAGGCCAGGAGTTCAAGACTAGCCTGGCCAACATGGTGAAACACCATCTCTACTAAAAATACCAACATCAGCCAGGCATGGTGGCACACACTTGTAATCCCAGCTACACGGGAGGCTGAGGCAGGATAATCGCTTAACCCGGAAGGTGGAGGTTGCAGTGAGCCTAGATTTTGCCACTGCAGTCCAGCCTGGGCAACAGGATGAGACTTTGTCTCAAAAAAAAAAAAAAAAAAAAGCAAACAAAAAAACAACCAAAACTTTTTTCATACCCCTTTATAATCCTTCAGTTGGGTTACTCATCTCCCTGTCCCCAGATGACTACTGACCTGCTTTCTGTCACTATAGATCAGCTTGCACTTTCTAGAATTTTCTTTAAGTGGATTCATACAGTATATACTTCTTTTGCCTTCTTTCACTTGTAATAATTATATTGCGATTAATCCATGTTATTGCATGTAGCAGTGGACAATTACTTTTTATTTCAGAGTAGTAGTCCATTGTATGAATATACCACATTTTCCTTATTCATTTATCAGTTATTTGACATCTAGGGGGTTTCCAGTTTGGGGCTTTTACAGATAAATCTGCTATGAAGAGTCATGAAGATGTCTTTGTGTACATATATGTTTTCATGTATGTTGGGCAAATACCTAGGAGTAGAATGTCTGGGCCATGTGACAGATGTATATTTACCTTTAAAAAAATTGTTTTCCAAACCATTTTCCAAAGCTGTTGTGCTCTGTTACATCCAGTATATGAACAGTGTATGAGCATTCCCAGTTCCCCCACATCTTTGTCAACACTTGGCATAGTCAATCTTTAATATTAATTATTCTAAGAGTTGTGTACTGGTATCTTGTTGTGGTTTTAAATAGCATTTTCCTGTTTGCTAATGACATTAAGCATCTTTTCATGTACTTATTTGCTGTCCATATGTCTGCTTGGTGAAGTATCTGTTAAAATTATTTGCCCATTTTTTATTGGGTTGGGTTTTTTCCTGATTACTGAAGTTTGAGATACAAGTCCTTTATCAGGTATGTGATTTGCAAAGATTTTTCTCTGTGGTTTGTCTTTGGAATTTTTAATTTTGATGAAGTACCATTTACCAATTTTTTTCTTTTATGAATCATGCTTTTGATGTTGTATTTTAAAAAATCTTTGCCTAGCCCAAAAATAATAAAGAGTTTTATTTGTGTTTTATTCTAAGTGTTATCTATGTTTTCACTTGGGTGTTAGTTTACATCTGTGATCTATTTTGAGTTAACTTTTGTATATGGTGTGAGGTGTGGATTGAGGTACCTTTTTTGTATATGGATAGTCAGTTATTCCAGCATCATTGTTAAAAATACTATACTTTCTCCGTCAAATTGCCTTTGCACTTTTGTCAAAAATCAAATAACTATACAATTCTATTTCTGACTTCTTGATTCTGTCCCATTGATCTCTATTTCTTTATTTTTATTTTTATTTTTTTTCCTGAGACAGAGTCTCACTCTGTCACCCAGGCTGGAGTGTAATGGTGCAATCTCGGCTTACTGCAACCTCCATCTCCCAGGTCCAAGTGATTCTCCTGCCTCAGCCTCCTGAATAGCTGGGATTACAGACACCTGCCACCATGCCCAGCTAATTTTTGTATTTTTAATAGAGACAGGGTTTCACTATGTTGGCCAGGCTGGTCTCGAACTCCTGACCTCAGGTGATCTGCCCACCTTGGCCTCCCAAAGTGCTGAGATTATAGGTGTGAGCCACTATGCCCGGCCAGATCTCTGTCTATTTTTATAACACACTGTCTGCGTTACTATAGCTTTATAATATTCATTGAAATCAGGTAGTGTCAGCCTTCTAAATTCATTCATCTTTTTCAAAGTTGTTTGGCTATTCTAGGTCATTTGCCATTCGAGATAAATTTTAAAATTGGTTTGTCAATTTCTACAAAAAGATTGTTAGGGGGTGGACACAGTGGCTCATGCCTGTAATCCTAGTGCTTTGGAGGGCCAAGGAGGGAGGATTGCTTGGGTCAAGGAGTTCAAGACCAGCCTGGACAGCCTGGCAGCATATTGAGACCCAGTCTCTACCCTGCAAAAAAAAGATTTTTTTAATTAGCTGGGTATGGTAGCACATGCCTGTAGTTCTAGCTACTTGGGAGGCTGAGGTAGAGCACAATGATTTGAGACTTTTCTTTTCTAATATAAGTGATTAGTGCTATAAATTTTCCTCTAAGCACTGGTTTAGCTGCATCCAACAATTTGGCATGTTGTGTTCTCATTTTTATTCAGTTCAAAATACTTTCTAACTTCTCTTTTGCTTTCTTTCTGGCATTGATTATTTAGAACTATATTGTTTTACTTCCAAATATTTAAAGATTTCCAGAGATTTTTCTGTTATGGATTTGTAGTTCTAATGTATCAGAGAATATACTTTATATAATTTGATTCATTTTAAATTATTGAGACTTGCTTTATGGCCCAGAATATTGTGTATCTTCATAAATGCTCTGTGTGCACTAGAAAAGAATGTGTCTTCTGCTGTTGTTGCTTGGAGTTTCCTAAGTAAGTTAGTTCAAAGTTTTTGATTGTATTGCTCAAGTCTTCTATGTCCTTCTTGTTATGTCTGTCAACTTATTCTATCAATTATTGAGAAAGGGGTATTGAAATATCTCTGAATGTGGATTTATTTTTGCTTAATGTATTATGAAGCTCTGTTATTAGGCTTATGTCTTTAGGATTGCTATATTTTCCTAATGAATTGAAATTATAAAATGTCCCTCTTCATCTTTGGTAATATTTTTAGTTTAGTTTAGGTTTTTTTTTTTTTTTTTTTTTTTTTTTGAGATCAGGTCTTGCTCTGTCACCCAGACTGGAGTGCCGTGGTGCGATCTTGGCTCGCCACAACCTCTGCCTCCCGGGTTCAAGCAATTCTCGTGCTTTAGTCTCCTGAGTAGCTGGGACCACAGGTGCCCACCGCCATGCCCAGCTAATTTTTGTATTTTTAGTAGAGACGGGGTTTCACCGTGTTGGCCAGGCTGGTCTTGAACTCCTGACCTCAAGGGATCTGCCCACCTTGGCCTCCCAAAGTGCTGGGATGACAGACATAAGCCACCGTGCTCAGGCTGAAAAAACTTGGAGGTGATGGATATGTTCGTTATCTTGATTGTGGTGCATGGCATAATGTAAGTCAAGACTTATCAAACTGGGTGTTTTAAATATGTACCATTTACTATATATGTATTATTGCACCACTGCACTTGAACAGTGTTGACTTTTGCTATATCAAATTACTAAATGTTACCCATCTTTGGTAATATTTACTAATAAAACAGTCCAGCTTTCTTTTGACTAATGATAGGATGGTACATATTTTTTCATCTTTTTACTTTTAACCTATCTATGTTTTTGTATTTAAACTGCATTTCTTATAAGCAGCATAAAGTTGGATGTTGCTTTTAAAAAAATGCAATCTGACAGTCTCTTCCTTTTGATTGAGGTTTTTAGATCATTTTCATTTAATGTGTTTTGTGATATTGTTGGGTTTAAATCTATTATCTTACTGCTTGTTTTCTATATTTCACATCTGTTCTTTGTCTCCTGTCCTCTCTTTTTGTGCCTTCTTTTGGATTAAGGTTTTTATGATTAAATTTTGGATATAATTTCCTTTTCTTTGTCTAATTAAGATAAACTGAGATGGCAACTAAGATAATTAACTTAAGAACTTCCTTCTTTTCAAACATCAGCATTTAGTGCTCTAAATTTCCTTTCAATACTGTTTTAGCTGCTTTCCCCCAGATTTTGAGAGATTCTCATTTCCATTCAGATCAAAATGTTAATTTCCAGTTTGGTTTCTTCTTTGCCCCTTAAGTTGTTTAGAAGTGTGTTTTTTAATTATCTTTTAGCTGTATGTCTTTGTTGTTGTGTTAGTGGTTGATTCAGAGTTTATAGTATATATTTTTAATCACAGTCTGCCTTCAAGGAATATTATACCACCTCATATATTGTATAAGAACTGTACAATAATATACCTCCATTTCCCACCTCCTGACTTTTTGCTATTATTGTCATACATTTTCTATATATTTTATAAAGCAAATCATACATTATTATTTTTGCTTTAAACAGTTGACTATCTCTTAAAGAGATTTTAAACAAGTTTTATGTTCAGTTATATTTGCTATAATTGCCATATTTATATTTGCCATTTTAATGCTCTTCATTTCATTCTATAGATCTAAACATTCATCTTTCATCTTTCCTTCTGCCCAAAGGATTTTCTGTAAAGTCTCCTGTGCAGGTCAGCTGGTGATTAATTGTTTTAGGTTTTGTATGTTTTAGAAGCTTTATTTTGCTTTCAATTTTGAAAGACAGTTTCACTGGGTATTGAATTCTAGATGGATGGTTTCGGAGGTTTTTTTTTTTTTTCAATACTTTAAAGATATTGCTCCTCCATTGTCTTTTTGCTTATATTGTTTCCAACAAGAAATCTGTCATTCTTATCTTTTTTGTCTGTATGTGATATGTCTTTTTTCCTCTGTTGTCTTTGCCACTATGGTTAAGCAATTTGATGATGCTATGCCTTGGTAGAGTTTTCTTCATATTTCTGGTGCTTGGGTTTGGTGAGCTTCTTGAATCTCTGGATTTATAGTTTTCATTAGATTTGGAAAAATATCAGCCATTGTTTCTTCAAATATTTTATTCAGTGCCTCTACTCAACATGCCCAATCTTTCTTCTACCTTCTTGACCATATTGAATATAGGTATCATAACTGTTTTAATGTCCTTGTCTGTTAGTTCTGTTATCTGTGTCATTTTTGTTTTATTTTCTGTTAATGGATTTTTCTCCTCATTCGTGTGTTTCTTTTGTTGTTGTTGTTTCTTAGCATGCCTGGTAATTTTTTATTGTATTCTTGACATTGTTAATTTGACTTTCTTGGGTGATGGATATTTTTATATTCATATAAAATATTCTTAAGCTGTATTCTGTGACATAGTTACATAACTTACAAATATCTTTATCCTTCTGAGGCTAACATTTAAGCTTTGTTAGGTATTGATCAGAGCAGCAATTTTTGTAGGGCACGTAGTTCTTCACTGCTGCTGCTGTATACCACTATCCTTATCAGTACTCTCATGATGTTCTATGAGTTATAAGATTTTTCCACTCTGACTAATAGGAACACAAAATATTCTTGGCCCTATATAATCACCAGGGGATTTTTTTCCTTCTAAGATTTTCGGGTCGTTTTTTCTCCAGTGTTGGGTAGTTTTTATAACTTGCATGTACTGGTCAGCACTCAGCTGAAGACTCAGGGGGATCCCTTTTCAGATCTTTGGAGTTGTCTCTCTCTCTGTAGATCTCTCCTGTCCAGTACTCTACCTTGAAAACTGTAGTCACTTTGACCTCCCAGGGCTCCTGGCTACCTCTCCTCACTCAGGAAGACTGCCAGGCTCCACCTGCATTCCTGCTGCCAGTGCTACTGCCTGAAAACTCTCTCTAGGCAGTGAGCTGGAATACCTGCAGGACTCACCTGGTTTGTTTCCTTTCCCTCAGTGATCTCTGTCCTGCATTTCTTGATGCTCAATACCTGAAAAACATTGTTTTTTATAGTTTGTCTGGATTTTTAGTTGTCCCAGGCAGGAGGGTAAATCTGGTCTTTGTTACTCCATCTTGGCTGAAAGAGAAAGTTTCATCACCAATTTTAATTTTGAGGGCTGGAATAAGCAGGATTGAAATGAGTACAGTCCAACCAGGCAGGAAGTCTTCCATTTGTTCTGTAGCATGAACCAAGATAAGAGGAAGGGTATCACTTTTATTCTTGTGAAAACCTATTTTTTAAATGTCCTTCAGTTTTCAGGATATTGTTTCTGAAGAGGGGGGAGAAAAAAAAGCCCAACCAACTTTACTCCATCATAACATTGCAGAGCCCAAAATAAATCACATCTAATTCTTACTGACAGATTTGTAGGAACCACTAGCAAAAGAGAATGAAAATGAAAGTTATTCAATAAGTCAAATTAACATTTCTGAAATAGGGTGATGGCTGGGTTATATAATGTCATCAATAATGATGAGCTTTAACTGGATACATTTAGTCACGTGATTTGCAAATCACAAACCTGAAGGTCCCTTGCAGGTATATTTTAGAATCACATGGTCATAGATTACATCAATGGGGAAATAATAAAAACACTTTTAGACCAACATCACTATTCCCCTTGCTTGCTTCACATGGACGCTTAGCCACAGTGGCAGCACTGGGAAAGGTATCCACCCAGGGACAGGGTACTCAGTACTCCCTGACCCTACTCTTCTCAAGTCCCTCACAATTCTTAACAGGAGGTTAGTTTGGGTATTTCCCAAATATCAAGAGGCGTATGGGCCCACTTCTGTATTAAATAGTCAAAGGTCAACAAAGTCTGTAGCATCAGCACCCTCCAGGGCTTGCTTTTTGCTGTGCAGAAATTATAGGGGGAGACAGTTAGACTAGATAAATTTTTTTTTTCCATTCAGAATGTCTAGAGGAGCCAGTCCTAGTAAGGGTCAGAGGGCACAGCCTTATCTGGTACCAATCTTTGTAATCCCACCGTTTTGTTATGAGGGTTGGGGGACAGGGGGAGGCATGGAGAGGGTGGCATCTTCTGATATTTTCAGCTTTAGTCTCATTACATTTTCTGATACACACCATACTCCATTTATAAACACAGTATTCATGTTAGAGACCAAGTGTTAGCTAGCTGCAACAGAAACACTACGTTTAGGAATGTTTAGGAGTAAATGTCAATAGAAGTCAAATTAGCGAATTATATACATCAACAGAATGTTAAAAGTCAAACAACAGCCAGATTTAGCCTTGGGAACAAAAACAGGGAGAGAAATGCAGCTTATCACTTCACCAAGTTCATTTTAAAGAAAATGTGATGAATTCAATGAAACCAGCAGCTTATGGCTATGACTAACTTTGAACTCTGAGGTCATTCACATACTGTCCCCCATCCCAAAAAGCTCTCCTTCGTCTTTGGTTTTGTTCATTACATCAGTGTCCCCCAGTTTGCCCAGGTTAGAAACCTCTACCTCTTCTTTGACCTTTTCCTCACTTGAAAGAGCAGACTCATCCTCAGATCCTCAAGATTTGTCTCTGCAGGTGGAATCCTTCCCCATCCCCAGAAACTGTCCCTGGTCTTCTCTGGACCATTGAGGCAACCTCCACAGTGGCTCTTGCCTCCATTCCCTGCCTCCTTCTTCACCCTAATCTGCAGGCTGCTGCCACGGTGATCTGTCTGGAGCACTGTTTTGCTCATGGTGAATAGAGCATCCCCTCTTCGGAAGTTGTATTGAATTTGGAATAAAATTCAGATCCCCTAATTTGGCATTTAGGGCCATCTGGTGGGCTAAGGGTGTGAAGGCCTGGCCTGTGCTTTTCTAAACTTGTTTTTCATGGCCGTTTTCTAAGAGCCTCACATGTCAGCATCACGTGACTGTCTCCCCTCCCCGACTCTCTGCACACTCCCACCAATGAGCTTCGCCATGCCTTCTCTCTGCTTCCTGGAATGCCCTTGTTCTGGCTTCCCAGGACTACCAAGGTATTACAGTCTGGGTGGTTCAACCAACAGAAATGTATTCCCTGGAAGTTCTGGAGACCAGAAGGCTGAGATCAAGGTGTCGGCAGGGTTGGTTTCTTTTAAGGGATTGGAGAGAGAATTTGTTCCAGACCTGTCTCCTAGCTTCTGGTGGTTTGCTGGGTCTTTGGGGTTCCTTGGCTTGTAGGTCCCTGTCTTCATCTTCACATAGCATGCTTTCTGTGTGTTTGTGTGTAGGTGTCTAAACTCCCCTTTTTATAAGGACACCCGTTATATTGGATTAGGGGCTCACCCTACTCAAGTATGACCCCATCTTAACTAATTTACATATTCAACAATCCCATTTCCAAATAAGGTCACATTGTGATGCAGTGCAGATTAGGACCTCAATATAGATTTTAATGGGGCACAATTCAATGCATGACAACACTACTCCTTTATTTGAGTGGAGGGTTGGAAGGAATATGGAGCGAAATGATATGATGCATATTGGTGTATTAAAGATCTGAGAAGTACTGAAATATAGAAACTAACATTTCCAAACCTATTGGATCGGAGTCCCCCTCCACCATTTAAAAGCTCTCCAAATTAGAGTGCCATGGGACACAGTTTGAGGAATGCCATATTCTGTCTCCGACTTCTGGATGCACAAGGCCATGAATATTTACTTAGATTTTAAAGGACTGAAACACGGAGGAGGGCCCAAAGCAGAGAGAAGGAGCAGCTTCTGGAGGTCCTCAGGCCAGGGCACCTATGACCTCCTCCCAGGAAGGACCACATCAGAGGGGTTGAGGTCCTGTCAGAGAGGCAGCAGAGGGCCAGGGTTCTCCAGCAGGGACTTGCTGCTTGGCTGTGTGTGCTCCCACACTTCGCAGACACCCGGCTCAGTCTCGCTGTATTACACCTTCCAGATCGCAGCCAGGCATCTTGGAGTGGTCTTTCTCGCTCACTTAAGTGTTCCATCCACTGACCAGAGATATTTTCTTAATGACTACAGGCAAATAGAGTCGCCATTCCACTCAGACACTCAGTTCTAAAGATCCTGTGGAGGAAATTCTATTTCAAGAAAGTGAGGATTTAATTAAATAAATACACATTTAATTTCCTGTGCTTGGTAGCTTTCGAGAGACAATCAGTCATTTACTCTAAAGTGTGTATCTCAGGCACTCATGGGGCGCTTATTAACCTCCAAATGCCACTGGCTCAGCGGGGTTTGGCCTCAGAAAGACATTTTGCTGATAACGGGTAGCCCTGCAGCAGGGCCCACATCCGTGCGCGACGTGAAAGGGATTCAATGTGGCCTGTTTTCCCTTGCAATGAGCGAAGCTTTGTGGGAGAATAGAGGACACTAATAATGAAGCTTTTGTCTTTCTCTATACAGCTGATACCTATGTGGTTGCCAATGATTCAGTCAAATATCAAGGTAAGTCACTCCCTGGGCTGATTGGAAGCTCGGTTTCCTGCAGAGAACGTATAACGTTCCTAGGGATTGTTGATGCTCCATTTACTATGGAGAAGGATGAATTCAACCTGCTCCTGGCCTTAGAGGGCTGATAATGCAGGAGACCTGTGGGCCAGGTAAGGGCTCTGCAGGCAGGGGGTGGCAGCAGGAACCATTGTCCTACTGCTTGAGGTTGGTGAGGATGCAGTGGAGGGCGGTATCCCAGGGTCTGAGCAAGCCTCAATCCACTGATGAGAGTACAGGCCGAGGCCGGGTGCAATGGCTTCTGTCTGTAATCCCAGCACTTTGAGAGGCCATTGTGGGAGGTTTGCTTGAGGCCAGAAGTTGGAGATCAGCCTGGGCAACATAGCGAGACCCCATCTCTGCAAAAGAATAAAAATTTAACTGGCTGTGGTGGCATGCACCTGTGGTTCTAGCTACTTAGGAGGCTGAGGTGGGAGGATCACTTGGAAGCCCAGGAGTTCGAGGCTACAGTGAGCTATGATCCTGCCACTGCGCTCCAGCTTAGGCAACAGAGTGAGACCCTGTCTCTATTTTAAAAAAAGAAATCAAAGAAATATAAATTGGAAATGAAAAAATAAACTGTCACTATTTGCAGTAACAAGATTGTGTATATATAGACAGAGCAAGACCCAGTCTCTCAAAAAAAAAAAAAAAAAAAAAAAAAGAGGAGTAGCATACCGACCCCTTGGAGGATACCTAGGCACATTCAGTGATGTGTCCTGGTTGCTAAAATGGATTTTCTATCATGAGAAGAATTCTGTTATGACAGGACAACCTCAAATAAATGATAGGATTGAGCTACAAGGAACCTACTGCCTCATTTTATATATGAAGAAATTTAGGACCAAAAGGAAGAGTGACTTGGTCAGGGCCCCACAGCCTAAAAGAGGAGATCCCGCCTGAATATGTTTCCCAGCCCCAGGCTTTGCCTTGACTGGCGCTTTGTCATTGTAGGGGCAAACATACTCTATGACCAGCAAACAGAGTTACTGGGCGTGACTTAAGATGGCAAAGCCAGCTGCCTGCTCCATCCAAACCGGGTCCTGTCTGTAGCACTAAGAGTGTCAGGGGGATGGGAGGAAAAGCTGGAAAGTTTTTTGCTGGGTTTCTTCTCCGAGTTGGGGAGGGATGCTAGTGGAAGGAAAGCGGTATGAACTCAGGGTACCCAGACACCAAAAGAGAAAAATGCGGCTGTCAACAATGACCACAGCCTTTGAGTCCTGATTACGGCCTTGGTGCTATTTGTGGCGGCCGTCGGGGGCATGGGCACTGCTGAAAACTGCCTCTCGGTACTAGTTTTTTCTGTGAAAAGAGAGTTTCTTGCACTCTCAGCTTGAAGCATTTTAAATTGCCTCTCTTACCCTTTCCCGGCTTTATGGCAATCTGTGGCGATTGCCCAGATGGCCAGGAGCAGGCCGACAGAACTCCCTAAGAAGCTTGGAGAAAGAAGAGAAGCTATCATCCTAGCTTCTTCATGTGCCAAGTTCTGTTCTGAGCACTTTTTTAACCCATTTGTCCTACACAAACCCCCTGAGTAAGTGTCACTATCCCCCCTTTACCCATGAGAAAACCCAAACACGGACCAATAAACCTTGTTCCCAAAGTCGCCTATAGAAGAGCCAGGCTTTGAACACAGGGATCCTGACAGCAGAACCCGGGCACTTCACCACCACACCAGGTCCCTGTCGTAAACAGTTCACTGGGGCCAAGTTTATGTGTTAGCCCAGCACTGGTGTGGCAGCTTTATGTTTTCATTGCAGTGAGTCTGTCAAGGTGAGCATGTCATTATTATGATGGGTTTGGGCCAGGACGACTCTAGAAAACACGGTGCGATCCCCCGCCCTGGGCACTGCCAGAGTAGAGAGTTTGCCTTCTTCAGGCCAGACAACCCTTGAGCCAAGCCTAAATTCTGCCTGCAAGAAGCCGCCCGGGTCGACACTCCCTGGGTTGCCCGTGAAAAGAAATAAACTAAAACCTCTTGCCCTTTTTCGACAGCACTTATCTGCGGGACTCCAGCTTCGCCTCCAGGCTATTCAGAACCACGTGAACCACCACAGCCTAAGGACGCTGCCGGGCTCGGGCCAGAGCAGTGCTGGCCTGGCAGCCCTCCGAAAGTGGTTGCAGTGCACTCAGTTCAAAATGGCCCAGGTGGAGATCCAGTCCTCGGAAGCAGCCTCTCAATTTTATCCTCTATGAGTGGACTCCTCGGCGCTCAGTGTCAACACTCTGGTTTAGCAATAATGGGTTTAAAAACAAACAATTTGATCCAAGCAGGTTGGGGAACATATTGGTACTGTACATTCTCTTTCTAGTTTAGTAAAAGATGTGCAAAGGCCAGAGAGGGCCGAAAATGAAGCTTTCTTGCTACACATATTTCTGATGACTCCTTGGGCTATCTGATTAAGTGTTTCCTTACATTATTTTTTAAAAACCAAATCATTTTTCTTTAACTAACTTCTATTTTTTTTAAGAAAAAAAAATAGACTGGTGGGTACTCACAGAAAAGTTGTATAAGTCCCCCTGTTGCTATTTTTGATGATAGAGAATAAATAGGGTTTTTGAAACCTTTGTAGTGTTTTTTCTTAAAATCCACTCTTGGCAATGCAATAAAAAAAACCGTCACCATAAGCCAGTGACACCTGACTGAAGCTTTTTGTCTTTATCCTGGGAAAAGTGGCAGCTTGCAAGGAACATTACAAAGTGCACTTAGAAATTAGGTGGTTAAACTGTGCCAATTGTTTTCGTTGTTTTATAATATCATTTTCCAAAACTGTCCAGTAAGTTTTATTATTTTTAAAACTAGTTTTTCAACTCATTAGTTCTAGGCTGTACTCTCTTGTAAGCTTTATGATAACCACTTTAGTTTTGTGAATAATAAATTTTATTCTTTTGTTAATACTTGTATACAATTTAATTGAAAACTGTAGCTTGCACACTGGACCAGATGAGTCCCTCACTGGCACAGTGCCCTGCACCTGGAGTGATGTTTCATAAAACGGAATTTTAATAGTGTAAGAGCACCAAGATTTCTCTGCACCTATACCTAGCGTTGGACTGTGCATTCCAAATGAAATTCCTCCTCTTTATCCCTGTAATGCACTGACTAACAGAAGACTTACTACACATTTAAACTGTATATTGACATGCTATTAAATGCGTTTTTTATTATCTTTGTGAGCCTGGGGTTTTTTAAAACCAGTTTATAGAGCTAGAGTTTAGTTCCTGACAACCATTCCTTCTAAAGTTCTACAGCTTCTAACTTCACTTAAAACTGAAATTATGAATAAGAAAAGGCTTTCTTTCTGGCCATTTGATGAGAGGAATACACAATTTGTTTGAAGTCCACCTCTAGGAAGGACCCTGAGGGCAAAAGACCTTTTTTTTTTAATGTTTGTTATTAAGGGGCTTCCTTTTTCTTCTGGGAGCTCTGAGATCTTAATGCTTCTCAGAGGAAAACAAGCCCTCAGATGTTTAATTGTTCATATGAGTTCTAGAAAGAGTGATCTTCAAATCTTCATCCTTATACAAATTGCAGAGGACCATTCAGGCTCAGTATGGAGAGTACAGAAGTGATCATTCTTCATATCTGGCTAACAAACTCTTCTGAAAGGCCTCTCCCTGGACAGAACCCTTCTCCGTCTCAGTCATGCTTGGCTGAGCTTCCGTGAACATTTTGTCTCATAGTCAAGTTGTGCATTTGTTTATCTCACTTGTAAACGGTGACAGCTTTGAGCATACGTGCTATCTCTGTCTCCTCATGGTTTGGCACACAGTACATGTTTAATTAATGTCTATCGAATGGAATGGATTCAGTTAAGCAACAGGCCTTGCTTGAGCTCCCCATGGGCACCATGAGCTTTGCATGTGACATTCTCTTTTTTTGCATCGGTTCCTGGAGGAGGAGGAGGCTCTGGCTGCTTCCCCTGTGAGGGTTTCTACTGACATCCTCATCTGGGCTCAGCTGCAGGCCTGGCTCTTGGCTAGTCCTGAGCCCACCCTGCCCCAGGCAGCCAGGATCTTAGTGGCCCCATCCTACCAGTAGACAAGGTCCAAAGTTACCCACACCTTCTTCTCCCACTCCCTCTTCTTTGCCCAGTTCTTTGAATGGACTTCTGCCTGAACTTTTCTTTGTGTTTGCATCTTCCCCAAGCTGCAGACGAACCCTTAACCTGGCACTCTTGACTGGGGCCCCCATTTAATGCTTCCAACTGTCTGGACCTGTTTCCTTGACCTAGAGTCTTGGTCACTCCCAGGCAAATCTCTCTCCTTGCTCTTGAGAACCAGGACCCTTTTCCCTGTCAACTGACCCAAATGCTGTCCCTGCTGGCACCCTGCCACTTCACTGGCTGATGGAAACTAGTGAGCTTCCCCCAGCCTATGCTGCACCCGCCATTGCCAGTGTCCTCATCTTCTTCCGCAACCTCATGTCCACCCTCCAACAAGTCGGGCTCAGGCACTTCGATGAAAAAAAGAGAGGGGACCAAAAGCTTCCAACCAGTTGGGCTCAGGCACTTAGAAGAAAAAAGGAAGAGAGGGGACTTATGGAAATTTAGCAAGATTGGCACTAATAATAAGTCGGAAGAGAACCCATTCACCTAAGGCAGAGGAGTCAGCACCCTCCGCTCACAGGTGCAATGGAGCCCACAGCCTGTTTTTGCAAAGTTTTAGTGGAAACAGTCACACTCGCCATTTACATATTGTGTAGGGCTGAGTTTGTGCTACAATAGTAGGCAGAGTTGCGACAGAGACTGTATGACTCAGAATGCCTAAAATATTTACCATCTGGCCCTTTACAGAAAAAGAGTGCTGACCTCTGACCTATGTAAAGGCCCCTGAAAGGCACTGAGCTGGAGCCAGCCCTTCTGTGGATATATTTCCCTTACCACCTTAGGGGCACTGGGATTTCCATATTAGTGTTTCCTCATCTGTAAAATGGGGACAATGACACACATTCTACCTCAGAGGGCTGTTGAGATGATGAAAGAATGCAAGAAAAGGGCTTAGGGCAACACCTAGCACGTGGTAAGCACTTGTTAAAAGTTACTGATTATTCCTTTTATTCTTATGTTTAAGCCTGGAGAAGTAAAGCTACTTGCCCAAGGTCATGCAGCTAGTAAGAGGCAGAGCCAGGACTTGACCCAGGCTATCAGACCCCCAAGGACTGTGCTCCCAGCCGCTGCCCATATGAACTTCTGCCACAGCACACATCATCCCCAGGTGATGGCCACAAATGCAGAACAGAGGGCAGGGAGATCTCAGCAAAATTTACCTGATCCAAATTTGACCAGCACTAATTATTGGCGTGGAGAACGGCCACAGTACAGACTGTTTTCCTTTCCACATAGCACCCTATTGGTTTCAGTGTGTGAACAGAATACACTGAGATTCCCAAGGGTGGAATCGGCCCAAATCTCCAAATGTGTAGATTCTATTCTTAATGATTTTTCACAAAGGGCATGCCTCTTATGAGTTGGGTGACCTTGGACAAGTTACTAAACCTCCCTGGACCTCTGTTTTTCCTTCTCTGTAATATGGTGCTGTCTACCCATCTTCCTGGGGTGATGGAAAGCTCAAATGGGTGGAGAACTGTGATGGTACTTGGGAAACTGCGCTGGAATCTGTGCATCCCTGGGAAGACTTGCTGCCTCCTGAAGAGCACACAGAGGGACAGCTCACAGCTACAGGCTCATTTGGTTTTGTTTCTTCAGCCAGTGCCTCAGGATTAAGACCTACAATACCCAGGAGAGCCCAAACATGGCAGTAGCCAAGAGCATCCAGTCTCCACTGTGTACCATCTCTTAGCAAGCATGTCATTCAGCCTGACACCGGGATGTTTCCAGCAAATCTCTTCCCGAAGACTCTCATCAGAGGCCAAGTGGTTGCAGCAGATTCGTCTCTGTTTCCAAGCTACAACAGGCCAAATAAGACTGGATTGGATCAGAGAAGATGGGTCCTCCCATCTCTTTCATGAGCTGGGCCCCTGGCATTAATTGGACAATGCAGATCGTTTATTATACTTCTTTAATAGAACTGATGGGCAAATATGTATATTTGGAAAATTGGTGTTTTGACAGTAATGGTAGGTTCTTAAGAAGAATGAAGGGAGTGGTTGGAACCCAATGGAATAGTACTGAACCGTGTTTTTGTGGAGTTTGAATGCTTTGGGAGACGGCTGATGTGTTATTAGTAAAAGGCTGGCCAGTTCTTCACTGACAGGAACGAGTAGTGAGCCTCAGTTGAAGGGGATACAAGAGAAACAATAATAGCCACCATTTATTGAGCATCTACTAGATACAAGCACTCTACATACATGATTTTTATTCCTTAGCCCCTTCCCCTGGGTGAGATAAGCCTTGTTATTATCCCCACTTTGCAGGTGAGGCAACTGAGGCCCAGCGGTTAAGTGCCTTATCCAAGATCATGCAGCTAGCGGGAGTAGCATTAGGACTGAAGGCCGTCTGCCTCCAAAGCAGGGCCTCACTCAATACATGTTCATTTCTATTCCCTGTTTTTGGGGTCTAGGCTCCTTTGGCTAAAATGTGCCAGAAGCATGGGGTAGAGAGATCTGAGGGTCTTTTTCTTTGAGGTGGCTCAATGTTATCGGCATCTCTGTTTATCACTTCATCTCACATAGGCATTTTTCCCCTTGCTTTGGGAATTCATGTACATGCAAAAAAAATTTGGATTACAAATTAAATCACATTTAGTTTCCCACTTAATATAGTAGTTTTAGGAGAAAGAATAATTATGAGTAGAAGATTGTGATGATAGGGCTGGGCACGGTGGCTCATGCCTGTAATCCCAGCATTTTGGGAGGCCGAGGCAGGCGGATCACCTGAGGTCAGGAGTTCGAGATCAGCCTGGCCAACATGGTGAAACCCCGCCTCTGCTAAAAATACAAAAATTAGCCAGGCTTGGTGGTGCGTGCCTATAGTCCCAGCTACTCAGGAGGCTGAGGCACAAGAATCGCTTGAACCCAGGAGGCGGAGGTTGCAGTGAGCCGGCCGAGATCGTGACACTGCACTGCAGCCTGGGTGACAGAGCAAGACTCCATCTCAAAAAATAAAAAAATAAATAAATAAAGATTGTGATGATAAACTCTGCTAGATTAGGGGCCTATTGAGGGTTTACCCAGCCCTAAGGAAACTTGCCCCTAATTACTTATAATCATAGTGACCAGTAGGAGAGCTTGTCATATATAGCAGTTTTGATATAGTAACTTCACAACAGTTAATCTTCACAACAATGCTGTGAGGCAGACACTTCTATTATTAACCCCATATTAGAAACGGGAAAAGGCAGGCATGGAGAGATTAAATAATTGCAGGAATCATTCAGTAAGAGATAGAGCAAAATTTGAATCTGAATATTTCTGCCTCCAAAGCCCAGGTTCGAGCTATTACATATTACCAATAGCTAAATGATAGGAAGCCCCTTGTTACTCATCTGACCTCCAAGGTAACCTAGAGTCATTTAGATCACAAGTTACCAGCTGGCAACCTGCCGGCTGGCCCTGGCCCAGAGCATATTTTCTTTGCTGCGCTTGAATTTCTAATTTCTTCCTTTGGTCTGGATACTTCTGGTGTAATATGCAGTCTCCAGCTTTGCTCAGTTCCCGCCACTGACCTCAGTCTCCAAAGCAAGAAGAACAACCCACCAGCCCATGGGCAGAAATCCTGCCACCTCGGGGCTGGTTTACAAGGCCTGGTGTGCTCATTCATTCACCTGCCTGGCCCTGCAGGGCAGTGGTTTTGCTCTCCACTTTAGACTGGCTCTCCCATTTTATGGGCCAAGAGGGGTGGGATGTTCCCAGCGCCACTCAGCCATGCTGTCTGCCCCATGTGGCCCTTCCTTTCCCTGGCATCACTCCTCTGCCCCCACCTGCCCCTCCATATGCCAACCATCAGCCCTGACCCTGTTTCAGGCCAGGGCTGTTCTCTCCAACCCACGACCGTCCTGGATTCCTCTCACTCAGAGAAGCTGAGGTCAGGTGGGTGGGGCAAGGTGAGCCCCTGGCACCAGCTCTTCCCTGCAGGGTGTGCAGGACCTTTGTGGAAGCCACAGATTTGGCTGTTTTAAGAACAAAGAGCTGGCTTTTTAATTATGCAGCCCAGACAGGCTCCCCGCAGGTGGGTGGAGAGGGAGCTCCCCAGGGCTGCCTAGCAGACGCCCTGATTTCCACTCCTTGAAGTGGCCACTTGGAGAAGGAACCAGCAAGCAATCAAGCATGAAGGACAGAAAAACTCTCCAGGTGAGGACAATCACTCTGCCCAGTGGGGATGCAGGGTGTGGGGGGCTCTGCGGACAGCAGGGTGTGCCCAGGGCCTCCAGCTTGCAGTGCAGAAGCTGGGCTCCCATGCTGGGCTCGGGTGGGGGAGGCAGGTGGAGAGGAACCCAGACAGGGCTTTGCAGCCAGGTTGGTTCTCAGAGTTGGAGTCTGGACTTCCTTGCTAACTTGCTCTCTGACCACAGGTGAGTCATTTAATCTCACTAAGCTTCAGTTTCATCAACTGCAAAATGGAGATGACAATTCCTCTTTCCTGTAAGGAGTGAAGGGAATGATGGCTGTCACGTACCGGGCACAGAGTGGGAATCCCAAACAAGAATGGGAGCTAACCTTGATGAGGCACGCCCTACTCGATGCATGCCTGGCTCTGTGTTAAATTCCTTGCAGTCACACAGCCATTTATTCTTCAAATTGTAATGCCGTGTGGCAGCTGGTGTTTTGCTGAAATGAAATCACAGCTTGCAATGGGCATTTGGCTCCCATTCTTCTGAGCGTGGTGCTCCCACGCTGCTGGCTTCGTGTGGTGACTCACGGCCCACTCACGTCTCTATGTTTGAATGAGCAACCGGGAAATCCTCCTCCATATGGTGCGTTCTGCCAGCATTTGGACTTCACACGGTGTGAGCGCATGATTGGGTTTGGAATGGGGATAATATTTTGAAAATAATAAATGGATATATTCTTTATTCTTCTCCAGGAAACCACGTGCCCCTGTCTAGTTCCATGGATTTCATGGGGCAGGAGGAAGTTGGGATGTAGGGGAAGTTCTGGCAGACAGGACGAGGAGGCAGACAGATCACCTCTTCAGGACCGCAGGGGATTGTCAGCAAGAGAAAAAGGGAGACAAATTCAGGGGGGCGCTGGGAGGCCAGGTGGGCGTGTCTTCACCTTCCCTCTTACGGGTGAGGATGTTGTAGAGATGCCCAGTTGAAAAGGCCCCTGGGAGCCCTGGAAGATGGTGGCGCATAAACCTCGAAGAGAGGCATCCACAGCCCTCCCTGAACCAGGTGAGTGTGCAGAGTTCAAAAGTCTCCATGGGCGTTCAGGAACACGTACAGAGGCTGCAGTCAGGAGGAGGAGGCTGCTTCGAGCCTGGACATTTGCAACTGGAGTGATGGGGGCAGGGGTCACCCTTCGCCTAGAAAAGCCCAGGCACAGCCCCACAGTCACCTGTCCAGGAAGCAGCCCAGGCCAGCCCCTCTGCAGCAGAGACCTGTGAGAACCCAGAAGATGCCGTGTGGCCTGAGCCCAGCTCCCCTGCACCAGGCTACAGATATCTGCTCAGGGGTGCCTGCGGGTGCTTCTTACAGGGAGCAGCCCAGGAAGATGCCTCAATGACTAAGGGTCTATCTACAAGACCCAGAGTCACCCAAAAGACTCTGGTCAAACCAGAAGAGGCTGCAATGCCATCAATCCACAAATTCAGGGTTTTTATTCCTCTCCCCCCTCACACCCAGTGAGGCAGGGACTCTGGACAGTTATATGAAATAAAATGCTATTTTTTCCTTTATGCCTGTGTGTACTGTGTAAAATGTATAACCCACTGTTAATTAACAAATATTTCCCATGCCCAGCACGTTTGGATGTTTGGAGGGCTGGATGTTTGATGACGAATAAGGCCCCTGCTCCCGCCATCTTACATTGAAATGGGAGGAGAAAGGCAGGTACACAGATGGGCAATTGTTCTTAGGGGCTGAGAAGTGCTGTACTGAAAATAAACTCAGGTGATAGAATAGAGAATGATGAGATGTGCTCAAAGAGAGCCACAGGTGGTAATCGGAAAAAGAGCCACTGGAGATTATCTCCCGCAACTTCACAGATGAGAAATCCGAGGCTCAGAGGGAAAGAGCATTGCAGAAGTCACATATGAAGAGATTTTGTTAGACCCAGGGGTCCCTGACTGCAGCTGCTGTGTGCTTCCCACGGCAGGGGAGATACTCGGCTATAAATCCAGCTGAAATGGACCATTTAAAATCCAAGGAACTGTCTGGGTTGGAAGAGCTTGGAACTAACTTGTAGCCACACAGAGCTAGGTCTGAATTGCACTCTGTGCCTTAACTGCTTTTTTTTTTTTTTTTTAACCCCTTGGTAAGCCACTTAACCTCAGTTTACTCATCTGTACAATGGGGGTAATCTTCCTGCCTCCTAGGCTTGCAGGGACTATTAAAGAGATAAAGTACATGAAGCCCTGGGAAGCTGGCCCTGAGTGTCCCTTTATGTCCACACTGTCGTCATTGTCACTGTGCACATTGTGGGGCCATTGCCACCACCACCCTACCCCTGGAGGGCAGGGGCCTTGTCTTGCTTCCCTCTGTATCCCCAGGACACAGCACGTGTCCCCAGTCAACACTAGGATATGAGTGAGCAGCCGCTGTCTAGGGACTGCCAGGCTCAGGCAGTGGAGGATAACCAACTGGAAACATCCGCCAGAGAGGGCAGAGAGTGGGAGCTCTGCGTGCAGGGCTGTCTGTGCCGCCCAGGAGAGGGGGCATTCCTCTGGCTCTGTGCATGCATGGCTTTATGATCCACGTGTGTTCAGCGAGGAGGCTGCCTCTGAAGGGGACCTGGATAGCAGATGAGTGGTGGCCAGGCAGAAACTGGAGGGAGAGGTGAGCTGGGCAAGGACAGCGAAGCCCAGCCAAGGGGTGGGCGTGGGAACTCGAGGCTGGCAGTGAGTGTGGTTTGCTGGATGATGGGGCGTGGGGTGGGGTGAGCAGTGAGGAGTGGGGCTGGGGAAGCCTCGGGGCCCAGGGCAGCTAGACTAAAGATGGGTCCACAGCAGCCAGCAGGGTGGGCTTGAGTGCTCAGCTGGGCAGGCAGGGGTTGCGTGGAGTGAGGAGAAGCCTGAGGCAGGTAGAGAGAGGGAGTGGAAGTAGGGGATGGTATGGGGAGGAGCTGGGTAAGTGGAGGTGGGTTGGAGAGCAGATGGGAGGGCCCAAGTAGGACTCACCAGGTTGAAGGAGCTGGGGACCTCTGAGGTTTCCAGCTGGGGCCTCTGGTTTGGGAAGCTGAACTCTGTGTTCAGTGTGGTACCTGGCTGGTAGCAGAGCCACTTAAGGATCTGGGGACTGACTGACTGGATGAACATATGATGGAGAGCAGAAGGAGCCCCAGAGGAGAGCCCGGAGAGGAGAGGAGGACAGGCTGGGAATGCGGCTCCACCTGCCCCCACAAGCAGGCCCTCACAGAGCTGGATCTCCCAGACAAAGGCAGCCATAGGTGTCTGGAGCACAGGCTGTGGACACCACTTGTGCCAGGCATGGAGACAGGGCATCCTCCATGTGTCACAGGACTGGTCAGCTACTTCCTAAGTGGGAGGATGGTAGAGGAACAGGAAGCCAGTCACTCAATGGGGGCTGTCATGAGCCTGGTGATGTGGGTGAGTCTGCCCAAAGGTGAGGCCACAGAGCGGCCACGTTACTGAGCCAGCTGCCACCCGAAGCCAGCGCAGCAGCTCACTCAGGCTCACAGGACCATCTTCTGTGATGTCACACCATAGTATCATGTGTGAGGAAGGCAGGAGGAAGAGCCTTCCTGCCATCACTTGCTCTCATGCATCCAAGACAGTAATTCTGCCACCCTGCCAGGTGCTGGGCAGGGATGTTCTGTGGGTCCTGCTGCATCTCCCACCTCACGGGCAGCAGCAGGACCCCAGAGCAGGACATGGAGCTGTAAGGTGGCCAGAGCATAGTTTGTCATGTTGGCCATAGGAGCTGTCGTCACCAGTGGCCAAAGTCCCCAAAGGTGTGAGGTGGAGACACTGGGCTGGCCCCTAGGAGGGCTCTGACGCTGCACCTGTGTGCTGATGGCTCCCGGCACCTGTATGCTCAGCCGATCACCACCTCCCTCTGCCAGGCTGGCCCTGAGTCCCCATTCCCAGGCCCCTGCACAAGCAGGCAGAGCACTGCACATAGGCCTGCCACTCCCTGCTGGCCTCCGAGCTTGCTGCTGAGGACGCCTGGGCTGAGGGTGCACAGGAGTGGGTGTGAGGCCTGAGATGTCCCACTGAACCCTCACCAGCTTTCAGGCAGGCCCCAGGAGGGGGCCAGTGGACAGAGGAGCCCTCACTATCACACAGGCTCTTTCATTAAAGACAACAGTGACAGTCATTGTAACAATGGCCATCTTCTACTGCGTGTCTACTGCGTCTTCTACTGCGTATGCAGGCCAACAGCAGCTCACAGAATCCCAGGTGCGAGGGGCGCTTGTAACAGGAGTGCCTTTAATAACTTCCATGTTCCCTCCATGTCCCTGATGCCTGGGACACAAGCCCTTCCCTGAGTTCCTGCACTGAGCTCCTGTCCCCTGGGCTGTGAGCCCAGTTAGGGGGATATACCTGCCCACTGGCTCTGGGCACACAGGGCTCTTAGCTGGCCCTCACTGAGCTAACTCTGAAGCCCCAGGGAAGCCAGGCAGGGGTGGAGAGAGTCTGAGTTGTGGCCCCTCGCTTGTGCCCAGTGGCCGGGCCTTGAAGGCACCAGGCTGGGTTCAACCCCCAGCCCCATCCCTGTTTCCTGGTATGTGCTTGACCTTGGCCATTGTGCTCCATTTCTGACCTGTCTCCTCACTCCAAACAGGAGGATGAAGATGCTGCAGGTGCAACTTTTTCTCTCTTCCTACATCCCTCCTGGCCCATCACACCGGAAGCTCTTCCCCACGGCTGCTTCCTGTGAGGCTTGCCTGAGGGTGAGGCTGGAGCGGGGAAAACAAAGCAGCGGGGTGGTGGCGGGAGCTTGAGCCTGGGGGGCCCTGTGCCCTTTGGGCCCCTCTGCGTGGGGGTGCAGGGCAAGCCTCCATTCTCCATGCAACTGGCCAGGTAAGGAGGCTTTGCAGAGCAGCCTGTGGGTGCTGAGGTCTACACATGGGGTGGACATCCAGGAGGCTGACCCTGGCCACCGTCACCCTGTTGGTGTGGCCGGCTGATTCCTGCTCCCTGTGATTCCTGTGAGCACTTGTCAACTTAGGGCGACCTTCTTGTCCCATTTTCCCCAGATATCCCCGGTTTTAGCCCTGAAAGTCCCAGGTTCAGGAGAATCTCTCAGTCCCAGGCAAACTGGGAAGGTTGGTCGCCCTATTCTCAATTAAGTCAAGGGTCAAGGCGGTGGGTGGCAGGCTGAGGGACAGAATTGGCCTTTGAAAGCCCCATAAATACCGACCCTGGGGCGTTGGGATAAAACATACAGAGATATCCCATGGAAGGTCCCCAGCCCAGCCCTGGGGTATAGCAGGACCCTAGTGAAGGATCCCCCCATCCCTCAGGCCGGCCTTCTCCTTTCCCCCACCCCACAAATGACAACTGACAGACATCTCTATATTTTTATTGAAAATAAAAAAGTCATGGTGCTTTCTTCCTCATAAGTGGCATATGGACACCCCCAGTGCTGCCGGTCTCGCTTCCGGTACAAAAGTCTCAGCAGGAAACCAACCTTAATGGCTTGTTGGTGGATAAGACGGCATCAACTTGTACATTTGCCCATTGAGAGAACTCCCAGGAGCAACTGTCCTCTCTCCAGTACACGCGGCACGTTGCTAAGAAGGCAGATTTCAGGATATTCACATTCATGCATTACGTATCTCACACTACCTGGGCAGTTTAACTCATACTTTGTACAGATGCAGAGAGTACAGTAGTTGTATTTATATATATATATATATGTAGAGATCTCTTTAAATATATATAGCTATATATAATATATATGTTTATATGTTTACACCTATTAGTCTTTCTTCCAAAACTTCCTTTAGAAGCTTCTTAGGAACACCTGAAACCTCTGGGAGATCCTATGATCTGAGTTCCAAAGTTGGGGTCAACTGTGAGACGGCTGGAAAAGATCTATTTGAGAAAATGAGAAGGGAAGTGCATTTCATTCTTGACCTCAGGGCTCGGACTAGCCTGAGGATCGGTGTGTGTCTAGAGACTGCCGGCTCATTTTAAATAAAAGTTCTAAGCTCAAATACTAGGCCGGCAGGGTTTTAAGTACCCTTATGTCTCTGTAAGCTCAAAATCTAGTGGGTCTCCCTTGCTGTGCCGTATACTTGTTTTTTGAATGGGCGGTCTTGGGCTTGAGGTGGGGGGTGGATATTAAGTGAATCTTTTAAAAAAACTAGGCTCTTCCCTTGATTTTTGCTAACTGGGGTGAGAAGGGATTTTACAAGCCCAGCTGAGAGGGAATTTATGTGCAGACTAGAGCCCTGGATGCGTCAGCGGCTCAGGGAAGAGGATACAGGCCCCAAAACGTGGTGATGGCTCAGCTGATTCCTCACCAGGGAGCCTCGCCTGGGGCTGGAAGATTAGGCTAACTGCAAAATCCAGGCCTCCTAGGTTTAAGCCAAGGTAGGGAATGATGGGACCAGGCGAGTGTGCGCAAAGCTGGGCTGTGCCCAGCCCCTTCAGGCTGCCCACCACTCCATGGTCCCTTAGCCAGGAACCTCCCCTCTTAGAGAAGGTGCCCTCTGATCACTCCTGAGCTTCTGGACAGCCCAAGGCATGGGCACTTTCTCATGGTTGCAGCACAGGGTGGTGTGTGCTTAGGGCTAGGGTCCTGCCCAGGGGTCTGCTTAGGGCACAGCTTGGGGGTTCAACAGGCACCAGAAGGCTGAAGGCAGTAGGGGAGAGTGCCCTGGGGTGGGGTCTGCTGGGTTTCCCCCTTTAACCTGCTGCTGGCCCACACCCTCTGGCCTATTTGTCAGCTGGCTCCGCACCTCAAGAGCACTGTGAAGTACTGGCCAGGTCAGGAGCAGGGGGTGGCACTATGCTGATGCCCAGGTGTCCAGGGGAAGCAAAATTCAAATCTAAACCCCAAACAAGTCCTCAAATAGAAGGAAATGAGGAAAGAAGAAAACCCCTTTATGGGAGGGTATGCCCTGGGCCTGTCCTCAGCCCACACCTGATGACCTGGGCAGGACAATGACACACAGACAGCTCCGTGGGCACTAGGACTCTGGGACAATGGGCTTTTTAAGGTTCGGCCCAAATGGGGACCGGTTTTCAGGTGTGTCTGTCTTCTCTGGACTTCAAAGTCTCACCTGTAGCTTAAACACCTATCAGAGGAGCACACTGGAGGTTTAGGAGGCAAACCAGGTCTTAGAGGGCTCGACAGTGGAACCATTCAATGCATTGGGCTCCTTCTGAGCACATATGTAGGGGTGGTGGGGAGAGCCAGGGGGCCAGGAGTGTCCCACTCATTTTCCAGGAGATGCAAAATCACCCTGTCTCCGTGGGTTTCCTGATGTGGCCCACAGGGAAGGCTGCCACTTGGGAGACAGGCCAACAGGGCAGGGGTCACCAGCCTGGAGGACCCCTCTCCTCCTGTCCCATTTCATCCCTTGATCCTCCAACCACGCTGGAGGGCTCAGCGCTTCTATAGCATGAGACTGTGGAAACAGACATTGAAAGGAAGACCCTGGAAGAACAACACCTCCTTCTTGGCGACTGGGGCTCGGGGTAGGGTAAAATGGGGAGATGATGGAGGACTCTGGGAGAGGGCCTGAGTACAACAGTCAGGCCTCAGGGGACTGTGGGGGACATCCAGCGCCTGGCCAGCATCAGCCTGGTACAGCAGGCCCACAGTGGATTTGGCACAAGTAGTGGCCTCTGCTGACTAAGGCAGGGCCTGGCTCACACAGATGCATCAGTTCCTATGGGGTCAAGTGTGGGGATGAGTCTGAGGACAGGTGCAGTGGCCTCTGCCCTTGCCCAGTGGCCCTGGGCTGCGGGTTCAGTGAGTCGTTTTGCCCCCGGAAGGCCAGACACTGCCCCCGAGTGTAAACGCACTCCTGTGTCTGCTCAGGAGGGGATTCTGCAGGCTGGACTCACAGCCCTCCATGGCAGGCAGTCAGGAGCCTAGGGTGTAGGGTGTCAGTGGGGATAGGAGGGAGAAGGCAGGCCCTGAAGATTGACAACAACTGCAGATGGGGCGATGAACAGATGTGTGGGAAGCACCTTTGAAAGGGGACGTCTGTCTGCTGGCTGTGCCGATGGCTTCTGTTGAGAATGTGAACAGTGGAGCAGGCAGGCTTCCTGGGAGGAGGAGAGGTTTTCCGGCAGGGAGTGGGCTCCGGACCATCTTTCTTTTGGCTAAAGGGGGAAGCCTCCCTGCCACAGTAGAAAGACAGATCCCTCTGGCTTCGCCAGTGCGCATGCTTTAGACAGCAGCTGGGGGCAGTCGACAGACCAGACACCAGACAGGGAGGAGGATGTGGAGGGCCTGGGGTGGGGACACTGCCCAGGTGCTGCGCCGGGCTCAGCCTGGTGTCCGAGCTGCCTGGGCCCGCAGGCTGACCAGGGGCAAGCCTGGGAAGACAATGGTTTCTCCTTCGGGAGGCTCAGGGCCTGTGAGGCAATGAAGTCCTGGACAAGCTCAGGGTTAGCTCATGTCCACCTGCTTTCCCATGTCCACCAGTGCCACCAAGGTGTCCCTCTGGCCAGCGGGTCCAGGGCCTGCAGACTCACACCACTGCGTTGTTCACGTCTACTCCTTTGTTGCTCTGCGAAGCACTCATGGGATACTCAGCAACGCTGGTGCCATTTTCGTCTTTTCTCAGTGGTTTCCTGGAAGTGGGGGGAGGGGACAGGAAAGGCAAAGGAGGGGGAGGCAGGGACACCATTAGTTATCACTGATGGTGGGGTGTAACCTCCAGCTAGCATCCCTGCTCCGTGAGAGTGTCAGAAGGAAGCCAATGGCTCTGTCCTCGGTTAGCATCCTTGGGCTGCTAGTCCTTGTGGGGTTAATCAGAAGCTGGACGTGGTCTTAACTCGGGTGTCATGAAAACCGGGGCACAGTTGAGAGGGAAAGAGGGGAGCTATTAATGATGAAGCAGGGACAACAGGTATGAGTCCAGGCTGTTTTGGACAAACAAGAAAGTATGTTCAGTCTAGCACGATCAGGCCTTGACTGATCTCTTCGATCAGGGCAGAGACAGTTAACAGAAGAGAAGTGCTAGGGGTTGAGTTCTGCAGTCTTCCTCAGTGTGGGCAAAGGCAAATTCAAAATGTGATGAAGCAGATGGTGCTAGTGGTGATGCTGGTGGTAATGGGGTGGTGGTGGTAGTGGTGATGCTGGTGGTAATGGGGTGATGGTGGTAGTGGTGATGCTGGTGGTAATGGGGTGGTGGTGGTAGTGGTGATGCTGGTGGTAATGGGGTGATGGTGGTAGTGGTGATGCTGGTGGTAATGGGGTGGTGGTGGTAGTGGTGATGCTGGTGGTAATGGGGTGGTGGTGGTAGTGGTGATGCTGGTGGTAATGGGGTGGTGGTGGTAGTGGTGATGCTGGTGGTAATGGGGTGGTGGTGGTAGTGGTGATGCTGGTGGTAATGGGGTGGTGGTGGTAGTGGTGATGCTGGTGGTAATGGGGTGATGGTGGTAGTGGTGATGCTGGTGGTAATGGGGTGATGGTGGTAGTGGTGATGCTGGTGGTAATGGGGTGATGGAGGTAGCAATGGTGATGGTGGCAGCAGTGATGATGCTAATGATGGTGGTGATGATAGTGATGGTTAGGGTAATGGTGGTGGTGATGGTTCGGTTGACAATGGTGGTGATGGTGATACTCGTGATGGAGGTGATGGTGGTGTTGAAGGTTAAAATGCTGGTGGTGATAGTGATGGTGGTTATATGGTGGTGGAGGTGGTATTGGTGGTGGTGATGGCAGTGGTGGTGGCGATGGTGATAGCGGTAATGATGATGGGGTGATGATGGTAATGATGATGATAGTGGTGGTTAGCGTAATGGTTGTGATGGTTGGGTTAACAGTGGTGGTGATGGAGGTGATGATGGCGGTGATGATGGTGACAGTGGTAATGAAGATGGGGTGGCGATGATAGTGATGGTAATGGCAGCGGTGGTAGCAATGATGGTGGTGAATATCTACACTAAGTTAGTACACATCAGTGGTTCCTGAACACTTTAAACTGAGCCATTTGAAGCTCATTCCAGAGGGCCCCTAACCCCAAAAGTGGTTTTTCCTACGCATATAAGGGATCAGGAAGGCTGGGAGGGAGGCTCTGAGAAGGCTGTTGCTCACTTGCTGGGGTTCTGAAATTACAGTGTACTTTTGGGCCTGGCTCAAGTCTCACTTCCTCCCTCCCTCAAGTTGTTCAGGAGGGCTCTGGCCCCCAGCCTGAGTGTCTGTATCCTCCTGGTCTAAGCCACATGCTCTCTGTAGCCCAATTCCATGCCACAATTCCGCTATCTCATCCCCACGGGGCTGTAGCCCAGCCCCCTCCAGGGTTCCCAGGGGTGCCAGGGTTGAGCCCGGATCTGCCCTTGCTGGTAGCTGTCCAGGCTGGACACTTATGGTCATTATCATAGGCCCAGGAGTTGATTGCTTCTGCCTTTTCAAATGTTCCCAGAGCCTCCCCAGAGCCACAGTCAGAAGGGCTGGTGCCTGGTGACCAGCTCGATGTCTCTGGGATAAAGCCCTGAGTGAGTGAGTTCAGAGGAGGCAGGGTCTGTGAGGGGATCATTAGCAGTTCATGGGAAGAACAATCAGGCCCACTCAGAGACTACACACTGAGCTCAGTCTGGTAGCAAACTGTTCCCTTTTCTCCTGCAGCAGAAGTAGCTCAAAACTTCTGCTAAGCAAGCCAAGTGCACTCATTCCAGGTGGTCAAGCCCAGCCACCGTGGCTTCTTCCAGGAATGCAAGAGGCAAACCCACAATTCCTCCCACAGTGCATCATGCTTTGTGCAAAGCACTCTCCGTCACAGAGATTTCCTTGTCCCTTCTCTCAGTGGTCACCTTAAGAAGCTAGGCCTGGAGTAAGAGATTCATTTCATGGGGAAACTGAGGCTTAGAGAGGGCTTAATTTGCCCAAGGACGCTCATCTGGTTTGTGGTGGGGCCTGGACCACCACCCACTAACACTGTGTCTTGGCCAGACATCTATCTTCCCATTATTATTATTGTTACTACTATTTTGGAGATGGGGTCTTGCTCTGTTGCCTAGGCAGTGGCAACATCACAGCTCACTGCAACCTTGCACTCCTGAGCTCAAGTGATCCTCCAGCTTTAGCCTCCTGAGTAGCTGGGATTACAGGTGTATGCCACCAAGCCTGGCTAAGTTTTAAATTTTTTGTAGAGACAGGGTCTCGCTATGTTGCCCAGGCTGTTCTTGAACTCCTGGCCTCAAGTGATCCTCCCGTCTCGGCCTCCCAAAGTGCCAGCATCTTCCCATTTAATCAGCATTCCCAGCAGGTATTCCCATATGAGCTCTGGGACCTCATCAACTTGGGAAAGCCTTCCTCCACCCCCCTCTTAGAGATTCTGCAGAGTCCTCCAAGAAAACTGTCTCCTTTTGCTTTAACTCAGCATATCCCACACGTGAATCTGAGAACACCATTTATGTAGACGCTAACAGATACTCTCTGGAAACTCTGGGTTTACAGGCCTCAGCTGTGCTACCTTGTTTATGTCGGGATCCATGGGAAATGATGGACTCTGCAGCCAAGCTCTGCCCTGGGCCTTTTGCTCCCTCTGTCCCCTTCATCCCCGTTCCTGTCCTACCCACCCCTTTTCCAGAAAGCCTTAAGCAGCTCTGATGTTGCTGGGTGTGCCTGACTTCTGACTCCATGAAATCTGCATGGCCTGGACAATTTGTGGGGGTGACATTTTCTTACAGTGAGATCCTGTGCTCCCCAGTGAGGCCGCTGAGGGACTCAAGTGGGATAAATATATCACGAATACATGAAGGGAAGAAAGGACATCAGCATCAGGATTCCAGAAAATATTAACAGGCAGAAAAGAGTCTGGACCCAAGCCCACACTGCATTCTCCTTAATACATATTACATATTGGGCTTAGGGCTAAAATAAAAACAATTGCAACAGGTCCAGATCATGGGAGATATGGCTTAAGGGCCTTCTAGGGTGGATAATGAAGAAATGAAGGCGGCATGGAGCTCCCTTAGAAATAACTAAGCCTGGATGGCTCAAGGTTTCCACCCTTTTGCGGCTAAGGTGAGGCGGTCAGTAGGATTTCTATTGGCAGGAGGCAAGGAGACAGTTCTAAAGGCTTCCTGCCATCTCTGAGACCCCTTCGTACTCGCGGGCCCTGGGGAAGAGGTGGCTCGGAAGAGCTAAGCAGGAAGTGAGCCTGGCAGGAGGACCCTGGAAGGCAGGGTGAGGAGGGGGCCCAGGGCCTTCGCAGCTGCTCAGCCAGTTTCCCAGACAGGAAAGCAGGCAGAGGGGCTTGGCAGAGGCTCGGCACCTGTGGCAGGTAAGGGGCTCGGCACCTGTGGCAGGTAAGGGCCCCAGACAGGAGCATTCGGGAGCCCGCGCGTGGTGATGGGGGAGGGTGGCAGCCGAGGGCTCTCCTGAGAAATGGTCATGATCTGCTCCCCTCCTGCCACCGGAGCTGAGTCCCCAACCACTCTCCTGCCTGGACTGCTGCTCCCAAAGCCTTTCTGGGATTCACTGCAGCCCATGGAAGCTGGGTGTTCCCTAAAGCGAAGACGGCTCCACCTCTGCACCCCCCCAACTCCACCCCTCCATCAAGCACGGCACTTCAGGGTGACGCTGCGGAAGTGCTAAGCGGCAGATGTCAAGGCTCAGTAAACCCCCGCCCCACCATTTTCTGGCCGTGTGACTTCAGGCAAGCTACATAGCCTCTCTATGCCTCAGTTTCTTGTCTTTGAAATGAGCACAATAGTGGTGTCCATTTCATAGGCTTGTTGGGAGGATTAAACACGTTAGTCCATGTCAAGCACTTAGACAAGCGTCTGGCATACCGTAAGTGCTCCATAAATGTTTGTTAGCTCTCAGTACTGCTGGGGAAAAGGTGTCACCAGGTAGCTGGCCCCACCGGCTGGCAGCAGCCAAGGTTCTCCAGTCTGCACAGACTTCCTACCTAACGCGTGCCCCGTGGGGCTCCGGAAATGCTAGAGAGAGTTGTTAGGACCCAGCCTGGCTCTGCAGCTCTGTGAGTCAGCTGAGGCTGGTCTCATTAAACCAAGAAGAGGCATTTCCACCCTGGTCCAGGCAGAGATGGCCACAGAGGGCTCCCTAGATGGCATGGTTCCTAGAAACCAAGAGAGAGGTTAGTGAGACTTTCCTTGGCGGCACCCAGGATTCCTGCTTGTAGGAGGGTGGGCTCTGCCACCTTCAGACTTCTTGTCCCCTGCCCTGGGCTTGGAGGGCAGCAGGCTCCCACATTCCCTGCTCGGAGTGCCGCGCGGACAGCTCCAGCCGCACATGCCAGCAGCCACGAGGGGCCCCTGCAGAAACTGTGCCTCCACCGGCATCTTTGGCCTGGGCAAGGAGGGCCAGGACCCAGGTACCCCTCTTAGGCCCTGCTGATCATGATGTGACAGCCTCCCGCTCAGCCTGCTGCTCTGTGGGGATGGAGGAGATGGAGGCAAAGAACAACTCTGGGAGCCTAAGAAGGGAGGCTGTCTTCCTGCCTCATGCGCCCCTGGGAGAAGTGAAAGTTAAAGGTCCTGGACTCACCTCTTATGAAGGTATTCATCCCCCGACTGCCCACCCCGACACCCTCCCACACCCATACACACACATGAACCTGCGTAACACACACAGGCACGTACACATAGACACATGTACACATGCACAAATCCACATACACACACACTATACACATACACATGTACGCAAACACACACATATATAATATACACATAGACACATGTACACATGCACAAATCCACACACACATACAATATACACATACACATAGACACATGTACATATGCACAAACCCATACAAACATGTACTTACACACACACATATATGTACACACAGGCACATACGCATAAATGTACAAATCCACACACACAAACAATATACACATACACACATGTACTTCAACACACACACAATATACACATACACACATGTCCCTACACACATATGCACACATACACATATGTGCACATGCATGCACACATACATATGAATACACATATGCATATGCATACCTACAGACATATATCCCCACACTCATATACACACACACTCAGCGTTCCATGATGAGACTCCTCTGTAGACCTCAGACTTCCCCAAACCTGGGTCAAGAAGCTACAAAAAGCCTTTCTGAGCCTCGAGGGCGTCACCGTGAGAAGCAGCAGCCCCACGTCCAGCCTCCATCGCCCAGGGGGGTGGGAGACAGGCATGCGGCAGACAAGCGTCCTCACAGCCAGTGGGACCCACTGTCTGGACCATCCCCTGGGATCACCTGTTTGGCCGCCTCCGCTGAGCTGCGGCGGAACTGGCGACTGTGCATTTCTCATGCTTGCATCCTCCCCTGGGAGCTGTGGGCCGAGGGGAGCAGAGAGGGGTCTGCCGGGGGAGGGGCTTCTCACAGGCGTGACTCTCTCTCCCCTTGAGCACTGCTCTGCAGCCTGGGATTTGATCTAGGGCAGAGCCCTTCCCAGCCCGGAGGCTGAAGAAAGGATTGCGGGCTCATGCACAGAGCCCTGGACAGGGACCTCCAAGCTAGCTCAGGCCTCGGTGACTGTCCTTCAAGCCTCTGAGATGCCAGAATGGTGCTGGGGGATGGAGATCCCTGCTGGGGATTCTGTGGGCAGAAGCGGCCCAGACGGTGTCCATCTCACTGGGGGTCTGGGCACCCGCCTCCCTGAAACTCCAGGGACAATGCCTCCCTGCCACCCGCCTCTGTGCTGGGGATGAAGGGGCTGGGGAACACCTCTGGGTAGAAGGGCCTTCGGCTGAGGTCTGGTGGAGGTCCTATACAGAACAGGTGGGCACAGGCAGACACATGTGGGCATGCCCTTGGACACCAGCCCCAGGTCACGGAACCCCCCTTCACCTTGTCTTCCTGTCACAAAACCTCCCTTCACCTTGTCTTGCTGTCACAAAAGGCCTTCATTGGTAATGGGAATACACAAAGCCATCTGTTCTTCCTAGAGGCTGGGTTTCCAGGAGAGACCTGCCCTGAGCTCCTGGGCGGTCACGCCCCACCAGGGCTCCCCTGCATCCTACGCTGCTCAGCTGTCCTGAGCCAGCCCAGCCCAGCCTGGTCACCATGGGCACTACAGAAATGCCCGGCACTGCTTCGGGGGCTCCTGAAGCAAACAAGGAGGCTGAGGGGGTGTCTCCCCAAGAGAAGCGGCCCATCCCCCTCCCCCGGACTCCCCAACCTCAGGCACAGGGCGCCTCTCTTCACGGGCAAGATTCATTCACAGGTGGCTCCACCTCCATGGTCCTGTGGGTTCGGCTCATTTGAGTGCACACAACGGACTCATATGGCCCAAGGACACTGGCCTCGACCTGGCACCAGGTTGGTAGTCATCTGACCAGCAGTACACAAATGAACAGACTGCAGCAAATTAAGAGAGGAACTAAGACGGCAAAGAACCAGGCGTCGAGGGAGAGAATAGCGGGAGGCCTGGTAGGCTGACAGGTCAGCGAGGTCCAGGGGATGAGAAGGACCCTGCCATGCAAGGAGCAGGACAGAGCTGGGATGGAGGCCTGTGCAGCTGGAGAGTCCTGAGCGAGGGCGGAGAGGAGGAGAAAAACACCAGCAGGAGCAGTGGGGCAGAAGCCAGCCCCTGTAGGGTGCAGCTGGCCGGGGCAAGGTGTCTGGGTCTTATCCTGACTGCAGTGGGCGTCACCTGAAGACTTCTTAAATGGGGGTTCCCATTTACCCTCACCCTGCCCCATGACCTTGACCCAGCATGTCTGGAGAGATGGGTCCAGAGAGGCATGCATTTCTTGATGACAAAAGAAAAAGGCCCCAAGAAGCAGGGATCCGTCTGGGTCTCCCATCAGCTGGCCCAGAGCACACACACCCTCAATCTGCTGAGCATTCTGTCCATGACTGTCCACGGTGCACGGAGGCCTGGGCTCCATGCGCCCCACACCAAGGATGCCGGCAGATGAAGCAGGCTCGTCCCTGCTGCCTGCATCACACGGCAGGATGGGATCTTATCACCCATCATGGAAGATGGGTCTTTATAGGGGGACAAATAAGTCCAAAGAAGCATTCCAGCCCAGGGCAGGTAAGGACCTCGTGCCCCTGCCCCTTGCTGGCCTGACCTCTTCCTGGATGGAGGATGTGGGTGTGATGGTGAGGACACTGCATCTTCTGGGACTCCAAAGAGCCAAGCCCCAGACAGCCTAGAAGGTGGCAGTGAGGCCCAGGGGAAGGCGCACTGGCCAAGGAGTCAGAAGATCGAGTCTTGATTCTGGACTAAGCACAGGTGCCAGCTCCTTGAATTCAGCCCAGGTTCCAAAGGATGCAGGATAGTCTCTGAGCAGCCAAGGCCATGCATCAATGCTCAGCACTTGCCCTCAGGAGGCCCTTCCTTGGAGTACACTAACTTTGACCTGACTCACAGTACAACCAGGTGTGGTGATTCTGGGTTGGATTTGGGGCAGTGGGGAGGAGGGAGTGTTGCTACAGGTACGCATGTGAACAGCAGGGAGAGGTGACAGATGGGAACCACATTGAGACCCTACCTGGCCAAGAGGCTTTGGCCCATGAGATAACCCCCAGTCTCAGGGCCCCAGGAATGCACCAAGATGCATTCAAGGTGAATTTCTTGCTCCTGGAAGTTTGTGGTGAGTTGAGGGTGGATGGAGCAGTTCCACTCCTGTCCTGATTCCTGGTCCTCACTGCTGGCCTCTGGGCCTGGCCAACCTTTTCTTCCCCATGCCCCTCCTTTGGCCCTGACTCTGCAGATCAGCTGAAGGCCAGAGCAGGCAACGAGGGAGAGAGGGCTGGGTTGGCCCCTGGCACAGTAGGTGTGTCCTGCGGGGAGGAAGAAGAGGAGGTAGATGGCGGAGCTGCTTCACTGCATTCACATCCTGGGAGTGTGTTATGCGCAGGTGGGAGAGAGGCTGTGCTATTCCGAAGCTTGGAGAGGGGACCGCTGAGTCAGGGTACATGCGTATGGGGAAGGGAGAGAATGGCAGGAGGCCTACTGAAGAAATGGGGTTGAGAGGGAGGGGGCAGGAATGGCAGGGGGCTGGGAAAACTGAAACTGGTGAAGGGGTGAGGCCCAACACTTAAAATTTGGTGCATGTTATTTACACCAAAAGCAGACGATTTCACTCACCCAGATAGAGAAAAAAAATGAGTTTACTGCAATTCTAAATAGAGTCTGTCAGTTTAAAAGGTGGACTCTGGCAAGTCTGTGGGAACAAGCCTCCATTCACACCACAGAAACCACCACTGACCAGTTTCTATGTGCCAGGCATCGTGCCAGGCACCGTCGGGAGAGAGATGAGTAAGATGAGATGACCAATCCCCATCTACCGTGTGTGCACACAACCACGCATTCGCAAGGGTGTGGGCACACGAACACCGACATACACCTACCTACAGCAGAAAGCAGAATTGTAAATTCAGGGACAGCTATAACTCTAGCAGTTGGACAGGGAAGAGAGAGCTCTATACTCGTCCAGGATGACATCTCAGAGGAGGTGGCATTTGAGTTGGGTCTCCAGGGAGGAGCAGCAAGGACTCAACTGGAAGAAATGAGGGGAAGGACACTGACCAGAGAGACCTCTGGGAGTGCTCGATGAGCCAGGAGGAGGGCAGGAAACCTCTGGAACCTGAACCATTTCTCTCCCCACCAAGGCCTCAGTTCCCACATCAGTAAAACAAGGGATTGGCCCTTGACCATGAAGGTTCATTCTGGCTCAGACTCCATAGGAAACTCATTTCCACCCCTCCCTGGCATTCCAGGTGCCCCCAGGTAACCAGATCTTCTCTATATGCCACACATTCAGTAAGAACTAACCTTTCTCTGGGCTATCCCAAAGCTCCAGAAAGAGTGTAAATCCTAAAAAGAAAACTAATTTCACTGATTAACTTTCTATTGAGTCTATGATCCAGGAAAGATCTTGGGAAAAATATCCATGAAATAATCAAGCTAAGGAGATGAAAGACTGGAGTTGGAGAGGGAGGGAGAGAGCTGAGGGTAGCAGGTTCCCAGGGAGGAGCCATATTGGGATCATCCAGCTTGGAAGGGTGCTGGAGAGGATGATTGTAGGGTGACAACTGTGCAACAGGCTCAGAGACCCACAGTCCACCTGGAGAGGAGCATGGAGCCCCCAGGACAAAAATGGAACTGATAAATTTGACTGTGTTGAGAGGAGGCATTGTTAACCCCAGGAAAGGAAACAGCATAGTACGCTATGTGGCTCAGCTATGCACAATATGTTCTTTGTTACACTAAGGTAAGCACTGAATAGGCACAGAATCCCATACTGAGCCCCATTCTAGGTGGAGAATGAGAAGAGGGGAAGTATGTTGTATGTCTGTACTGCAAGGGTGCTGGCCTTGGTATCTTCCACAGTGGAAAGTAAATAGATGGTGCTTAAAATGGAAAGAAAATTTAAATAGCAGTATACACATCACTTAGCATATGGAGAGAAACATCAGAAGAAACAGCTAACTGTTGAAAGTGGTTGCCTCTCAAGAATGTGACTTGGGGGAAAAGACAGGGGGCTGCTGTCTTTCTTAAGAGCCTTGGGAGCACATTTGACATTTTAAGCCATAGTATGTATATGTATTCCTTTGATAAAAATTAAAACTAAATTAAAAGGAGGGAATAAATGTGCAATGCTCTAGCCATACTTTCTAATCATTAAGCTGTCTCAAAAGGCATGCACAACATGCCTGACTCTTTGGAGAGGACACAACCTTCACTCCTTTCTCCTTCTCTTCCCCATTAACCTGTATTTTTTTTCTCTTCATAGTCTTTAAGATCACCTCATTTATTAATTTGCTGGTGTGTGTGCTTAATCTGCCTCCTCCAGCAGGAGGAGAACAGGGACTGTCTTGTTTCTTCTGCATCCCTTGTGCTTAGTCCCCAGCACACATTAGGTGCTCAATAAATGGATCAACACTGAACAGTCCTGTGCCAGTCAATGGGTTTTCTAAGGCACCATCAAAAAGGCTTGAGCATTCAAAAGTGCTCGTTCTACTGAAAGTGGCTCAACCACAAACAGCTGATGAGGACCAGAGCCCAGCAATAAGTGGTGCTTAGGCACAATCACGCACACTCAAGCCCACATCCAGGAAGCAGCACGCTTGCTTAAGGTCAGCAATTAACGTCTGCAGGGTCAGCCAAACCGTCCTGAGACCACGTATTGGTCTTTCTGCCAATTATACCAGTAAGTGAGAGGGAAATGGCTGTCCAGTGGCTTCATGGCAATTGGGAACAGACCCACGCCACAGATGGCCAATGGAGGCAAGGTGTTCATCCTGTGCCAGCATGGGCGTGTCTCCGTGCAGGGGGTGGGCATCATCTCCCCTCAACACAGGAGCTCTTCTCTGAGTGAAGGGTGTGGCTGTCAGAGAAGCTGCAAATGCCACCCCAGGAAAACAGCCACATCCCTGCAAGTGCACAGGCCTGTGGGGCTCCCCAAGCTGGGATCTGAGGTCTACCTGGGCAGCGGGTGCCTTGCCCCTTGGAGCTTTATCTTGATGACTCTCTGTGGTCATCACTGGTTTTAGGTTTGTCTCCTGCCCTGGACGGACACTCGTGTTGTCTCTGCTCTTCTGCCTCTCCTCTGACTGTGATCCACCGTTCTTTGGGGGCAGTCTGGTCTGATTGATGTCCACTTCTTCCCCCGAAAAGGTATGTGCAGCATGGGCAGGGACTGTGCCGGTGGTGCCCACTCCTGTAGCCCAGTGCCTGGCACCTGGTCCTGGCACCTGGCCCAGCCCTGGCGGGCACAGTGATCAGCATTTATACGTCCAAGAGGCTGAATGCCTGAGTGGTGATGGTCCCCCTGCGATCCAGGATGGGGACACAAAAGGCTGCTCGGAGATTGTCATTTCAGAGAGGGAAAACGGAGGCCACAGAGGGAAGCGATACCTGCTGAGCCCAGCTGAGCCCAGCTGAGCCCGGCGGGGCTGGGGCTGGGAAGGGAACAGGCCTGGGGACTTGACTCCCAGTTCTGGGCTCTTTTAACAAATCAGGCTGTCCTGCTGTCAGAAACATGTGCCCGTCAGGCCTAGGGGTGGGAGGACACCCAGGTGCCAGGCACGGGGGTACCCAGCACCCAAGGGCTCTGGGGCCTGCTCTCCATGTGGCTGTAGATAAAAAGGCTTGTTTACAACAAGCCCGGGGCAATGAAGCCACCAAAATGCATGTTGCATGGGCTCCCTATGGCTGGGAACCCCCTCTGGAGTTTGGGGTCATTGACAGCAGACTTGGGGGCCACTGCTCGTGCTCATGCAAATTCAAGTAACACCCTCCCCGCCCAGTCCCCTGGCCTGGCTAATGTACCTCTTTAAGAAACCTCCCACCCCACCTGGCTACCAGGTCTGGGCAAGGTGCCCCTCCTCTGAACACCGTCTACCCAGTGCACAGGTGGGACTTGGTGAAGGCTTGCTGAGTCACAGGAGAAGTGTTATTTCACCTAATCTGCGTCTAGCAAGTGCTAGTGAGACTCTTCCTCCTGCCAAGGTCCAGCCCCCTTTCAGCCAGGCCTTGGACACAGATGTGAGGGCCCTGCGGGGTGCGCCTTCCACAGCTGCAACTCAGCCCTCGGTGCCGCCCGTCCCTGCCGAGGCCCGTGTCCCGGCAGCTGACACCCCCAGGTGCCAAGGCATCTCCAGAGTCACCTCCTCCCTGACCTACCCGATTCTAGAAACATCCTCTTGGCAACCTGGCTCTGAAAGGCTGTGTTGGGGCCATTTACAAAGATCTCTTGGAAATTCCTAGGACTCGAGGCTATGAGAGTTAAAAGAAAAAAAAAAGAGTAGGGTTTATCACTAAATTTTCCTTTTAATGGTTTTGCAGTGACATGAGATACTTTTGTTTCCTGAGAGAAAAGGCATGTTTTAGATGAATTATTGACCAAAAACAATTGGCCGTGAGCAAGAAATCCTCCACTTCGCTGGAGAGAAATGTGGACAGGCAGCTGGCCTGAGTGAGGATGCTATCTCTTACAGCCCCAGCTGAGGTCAGCGCCTGGGGGGGCAGTGGGGAGCACTCTGCTCTGTAGGCGGGGTTGCAGCTTCTGCTGCCTCCTTCTCTCTCCACCAAGGGGTTAGGCCGCCCTCCCCAGCCTCCTTCTAGGTGGGTTTTGGCAGTATTGGGCTCTATTTCTGCCTTCACCCTCAATGAACACAGTCCCCTCTTGTCATTAAATATCTGTCTGCTGCACCAGGGATACTCTCTCTGGACTATGAAGACCTCGAGGTCAAAGGGCTGGGTCCTATTCCTCGGTGTCCCCAGGTCTTGGTCTGCAGATGGATGCACAGCCTGGTGCAGGGCAGCAAAGGGGCTGCGCAGCATAGCGTCGGCTTACACCCCAACTGCCTGCTTCACGGGCTTTCTGCCCTGTGCCCCCGGGAGGCCGACCTTACTGACGGTGTGTCCTGATTCCCCTGCTTCTTGGGTTTGGCCAGTGTGAGGCACCCACGGGAAACCTAAGCATGGAGAGCTGCTGGGAGCAATTCTTCCCCCTTCCTGCCTGTTTTGGGGCTGCTTCTCTGACAGTTCCAACCGCAACTCCTGCTAGGCGGCCCTTCTCCTAAGTGCGAGTCTCTCACGAGGTTCCCACGGCACTAGTTTCCCGCTTGCCTGTCTTCCTAGAGGTGCTAACCGCCCCCACTCTGCAAGTCCCTGAGTGCCTCACCTGCCCCACTTGCTCTCTGGGCCTGCCCAAAGCGCTGGAATAATCCTCGCCACCCGCTGGAAGAAGCCCCATCCATGCCCCAGAGGAGCACCACCCACACCCCTGGAAGAAGCCCCGCCCACACCACATAAGGATCCCCGCCCATGCCTCTAGAAGAAGCCCCGCCCACGCCCTGGTGGAGCCCCGCCCCTGCCCCTGGAAGAAGCCCACTATCTGAAGTCTGGTCCACTGAGCCATCTGGGATGAGTTCTGTTTTTTCCAGGGTGCTAACAGACCCAGGAGCCAAGAGCTCAGAGAAAGTGGAAGAGGACAGACAGGAGGCCCCTCTATAGCTGCTCTGAGATGACGCCCCTCACACCCTTCCTGGGAGCCCCCAGCCCACCTGAGACAAAGCCCAGCAGGCTACCGCTGAGCAGCACTGCCCTAGTGAGCTATTAATGTGAGTTTGTTCTCTTTCCCTCCTCCGGTAGAAGCAGGTAGCACATTTCTTCAGGGGAGGTTTGGGGCAGGGAGGGAGGCAGAAGTGGCTCAGGTGTCTTTTGTAAGAACACGAGTTTATATTAAACAGATTATTCATGTTGAGCCTCTCCCAGGGGAAGTGGGGCGTGTCTGCAAGGAGACTGGCAGCCATGGCCTGGTGGCGCACACTCTTCCCCCAAAAAGCAGCTACCGAAGCTAATCTTCAGTACTTCCTAGTGTCTAGTCACGGGCAAAGTCACCACTCAGCCTGGTGACAAAGGCCTCCCCAGTCAGGCTCACGGCTTCCCAGCCTCATCTCCTGCGTCGCAGGGGCTTCCTGGTGTCCGGCTGCTCCCCTCACAGGTGCCTTGACCTAGAATGCCTCCTCTGCTCCGCTGCTTAAAACCCTCCTCCCATTCCAGCAGGCCCTCAGCTCAAATGCTTTATGGTCCAGATCAGAATGCACCGTGACTCCTCCGGGCAGCCACAGCGGGCTGCCAGCAAACCTCGCACAGCCTCATGGAGCAGCCTGTAGGCACAGCCTCTGTCTTACCTCTTTGTATGCCCACCAAGCCTGGCACAAAGAAGGTGCCTACAAAACACGTGGGAATTGGATTAGCTATGTCCCCTGGGAGACTCCAACCATCCACTTTGGTTTTCTTTCTTCCTTTTTTTTTTTTTTTTTGAGATGGAGTCTCGCTCTGTCGCCCAGTCTGGAGTGCAGTGGTGTGCTCTCAGCGCACTGCAACCTCCGCCTCCCAGGTTCAAGAGATTCTCCTGCCTCAGCCTCCTGAGGCTGGGATTATAGGCGTGTGCCACCATGACCTGCTAATTTTGTATTTTTAGTAGAGACGGGGTTTCACCATGTGGGTCAGGCTGGTCTCAAACTCCTGACCTCAGGTGATCCACCCGCCTCCACCTCCCAAAATGCCGGGATTACAGGCGTGAGCCACCACACCTGGCCCCACCTTGGTTTTCAAGACTAAGCCGCTACCCAGAGTTACAGGGTCTTAGAGCATTGGGCCTTTCTGTCTGTATGTCCTTCTGGCCTCAAAGAAGCACAGACGGACCTCACCAAACCCCGAGTGTCCCCTCTCCCACATCCCTGAGGAAGGGCAGGCAGGAATACCGAGGTCTGTTCTTAGCCCAACACTGGAGTCGAACTCGTCAATAACCCTGAAACACGGTGTGTAGTCAGGGCTGGGCTTTGGAGTATTTTTGTTCTGGGTTCAATTTCTGACTCCATTGCTCACCAGTTGTGCCACCCTGGGCAGCTCTCCAACTCCTTAGAACCTCAACCTCCTCTGCAAAATGGAGCTGACTGGGAAAATGTAGGTGGAGATGAACTAAGAGAACGTTGGTGAGGAGAACCCAGTGCCCGGCTGAGGTATTGCTGATTACAGTTATGCCTGTGTTATTTATCAGTGTTTTTGGAGACTGCCCTGCAGCATGTGCATTTTGGGCAGAGGGGGCTCTGAGTTTGGGTTCTCGGCTGGGTGGCAGATGCCCAGGACATGGCCTGTCCTGCATGGAGCCGCCATGCCCGGGCCCTGCCGCCAGGTGTCCTCCCTCCTGTGCCCCGTTACCAGGACGCTCCTGGTCTATTGGCTTTCTGTGGCCCCCCATCCTGTGTGCCTGACTTGTTTTAAGACTTTTACCTTGATATTTTACTTTCTGCTTTTGAATTACTAAAGTGAAATCACATAGAACAACCAACTTAAAGAGTAAACTTAAATATTTTAGATGTTAGGAATGTTCTTAATGTGGCCCTCTAATTTTGGGAGTCAGGAAATGTTTTAAAAACTTCCTTAGAAATATTATATTGTTAACAACTCCTATGACTCTTTGGTGTTTTGCAACATTTTTGTATTTTTCACGTTGCACTGGGCCTGACATATAATTGGTGCTAATCAATTGCTTGTGGAATCAAACTCTCTAAAGTGACAGAGACATTATTTCTGAGATCAACTTTAAAATATTTCGGCAATGAAAAAGATCAAAGGAAAAATAAAATAGATATAGCAAATACAGCAAAATCTTGATGAACTGTTGAATCGGGGTGAGGGTAGATGGAAGGTCACTGTATATTCTTTCTGCTTCTTATATGCTTAACAACTTTTATAATTTAAAATAATGATACGGGATGTGTGTAGGAGCCCCAAGCCCAGCTGGGGTTCCCTTCGGCTTGAAGCTGGGTGCAGTGAGTGAGCACTCACCTTTTTATGGCTTTGTAGCAAATGATGACAAGCACAGTCAGAAACACCAGGGAGGCACAGCATACGGCAATGATGATCACCAGCCCCGACCACCAGCTTTCCTCAGTGGGGCAAGAGGTAGAGTTGGGAGCTGAAAAAGACAGGAGCAGCCTGAGTGTCACCTGGATGAGCTGGTCATGGCCAGTGACAGAGGTGGGACCATCATGGGTGACACCAACAGAGGCGTGGGGAGGTCACTGGTGGGACCATCATGGGTGACACCAACAGAGGCGTGGGGAGGTCACTGGTGGGACCATTATGGGTGACACCAACAGAGGCATGGGGAGGTCACTGGTGGGACCATCATGGGTGACACTAACAGAGGCGTGGGGAGGTCACTGGTGGGACCATTATGGGTGACACCAACAGAGGCACAGGGAGGCCACTGGCATCCATCACCTGGCTGAAGGCTCCCTGACCTTTCCGGCCATCCCTGCCCCCACCCTGCGGCAGGTGACATCATGGCTGGCCCCCAGCCAGGCTGGCCTCTGAGCGCCTCCATCCCTGCCCCGGCGTGCTCAGAGCAGGGGCTGAGCGCCACGCCCCAGGCCATCCATCCTCCCTCGGCATGAGCTAACTGACAGCAGGGTCAGGTCTAATTCCCCATAAAAAATAACAGAGCATCTCATTCTCTCAGCTGAGGCACTAAATCTGGTTCCTCTGCAGGCGGGGGTGGGGAGCGGGGCTCACAGGGGATGCTGAGGGAGGAAGGAAAGAAAGGGAGGACTGCCAATGTCCGTTTCTTGAGCTAATTTCTTGCAAGACGCAGACTTTCTCCCTTCTTGGATTCAGCCCGTGGGGTGGGTATTTGCCGCTGTCTCAGTTTGCACGGGGGTGGTCAAAATTTGGAAAAGTGTCACTGACAAGGCACCGGACACTGGTGCTCCAGGGCCCTCTCTTAGTCACTCAATCCGTGGAGTCCTTGGGGTGAACCTGTCCTCCCTCCCTTGGCACAGGCTGTCTTGGGGTGGACCTGAAGGACTTGTGTCAGTGAGGCCGGTTCGCTTTCCTCTGAGAAAAGCAAAGACATCACACAGCCTCATCCCAGGGCTTCTGGGAAGACTCAGACACAACTGGAAAGGAGTGCCCAGAATTGCAAAAGGAATGGGAGGGAGAAAGGAAGGAAGTGAGAGGGAAAAGAGAAACAAAGAGGAAAGGGGATGATGAGGGAGGAAGGAAGGGATGGACGGATGGATGGATGGACAGAGAGACAGTATTAACTTTGGACAGGTCTCCAAGACGTGAATATATGCAAAAGAATCAGAAATACACCCCAGACTTGGTGTCCACTCTATGATAGATACTTTGAGGGGTGCAACAGTAAGTGGGGAACCAGGGGATGACTTCCCAAAGGGTAATATGGATGGCTTCATTATTATGATTTTTATCAAAGTGTAATCTACATCTAGTGAAATGCACCCCCCATCTTAAAAGTACCATCCTCTGAGCTTTGACAAATGCATGCACCAGTGGAAGCCGCACCTTCAGCATGACACAGAATATTTCCAACAGCCCAGAAAGTGTCCCCGTGCCTCTTTCTAATCAGTCCCACCCTGGGGCAACCACTATTCTGATTTCTAAAATCACTGATTAGATTTGCTTGGTTTTGACATTCACATACATGGAATCATGCAGTGTGTATTTTTTTTGTTCCTTTATTTAGCATAGCGTTTCTGAGATTCATCCATGTTACTGTGTATTTCAGCAGCTCCTTCCTTTGTTGCTGAATAGTATTTCTTTATATGAACATATCACAATTTGTTGTTGTTTTTTCTTTCTTTTTTTTTTTTGAGACGGAGTTTCGCTCTTGTTGCCCAGGCTGGAGTGCAGTGGCACGATCTCAGCTCACCACAACCTCTGCCTCCTCGGTTCAAGTGATTCTCCTGCCTCAGCCTCCCAAGTAGCTGGGATTACAGATATGCGCCACCATGCCCAGCTAATTTTGTATTTTTAGTAGAGACGGGGTTTCTCCATGTTGGTCAGGCTGGTCTCGAACTCCTGACCTCAGGTGATCTGCCCACCTCGGTCTCCCAAAGTGCTGGGATTACAGGCATGAGCCACTGTGCCTGGCCACAATTTGTTTATCCGTTCACCTGATGACCAACACCTAGGTTGTTTCCAGTTCTGACTATCTTGAATAGAACTGCTATAAGCATTTGTGTACAAGTCTTTGTACAGACACATTTTCCTATTTCTCTTGGATAAATATCTAGGAGTGGAACGGCTGGGTTGTGTGGTGTGTGTATGATAAACTTTAGAAGGACATGCCAAGCTGTTTTTCCTGAATGCTTGTACCTTTGTACATTCTGTGCAGCATGAAGAAAGGTGGAAAGAAGGAAGAAGATGGCAAGAAGGGAGCAGTTACTGATTTGTTGCAGCTGGATTAGGAGATCCAGGGAGCCACTATGTGCTTCCTAGTGAACCAGCACCGAAACCCCACTAACAAATGCAAGGTGCCTAGGAGTGAGCCTCAGGTGTCACAGAGACCAAGTCGAATCAGAAATTCTTCCTGATGGTGGTTCACGCCTGTAATCCCAGCAGTTTGGGAGGCCGAGGAAGGTGGATCACCTGAGGTCAGGAGTTTGAGACCAGCCTGACCAACATAGTGAAACCCCGTCTCTACTAAAAATACAAAAATTATCTGGGCATGGTGGCAGGCACCTGTAATCCCAGCTACTCAGGAGGCTGAGGCAGAAGAATCGCTTGAACCGGGAGGTGGAGGTTGCAGTGAGCTAAGATTGTGCCATTGCACTCCAGCCTGGGTGACAGAGCAAGACTCCAGCTAAAAAAAAAATCAATAAATAAAATAAAATAAAAAGAAAGAAATGCTTCCTGAGAGATGGCTGATAGGAGGATGCCACTGGGCCTCTCAGTCAGGGCAGCACCAGGCCTTTAGAAACCTCAACACTGAAAAGATACAGAATATAGCATTGAAAATAGGAATGAACTCTAAAATAAGAAAAAGGAGACCCAAAGGGATTCTCATTTTCCCCATGATGAACTTGTTCAAGGCTTTCTTGGTGAAATATCAAACAAAAAATCCTTCCCTCCAATTCCTCACCTTGGGGTATCCCTGACTTGGCTGTGTCTTCCTGGGGTGATGCCCCCACCTTCCCTACACTCTGGGAAGTCAGAAGTCACTGCTGGAGAGTCAGAAATATAGCCAGATCATCCAAGGCTGTTCTGTCTACACTGCACCCCTAAGCCTCAAAGGTCTACCTCCTCATTTTCACCACAAAGGGAAGCAATTTTGGTTTCCATGGCTCTACTTCTTCAGGCTGTGACACCTCTGGGAGAGACCCCAGGGCCATGCCTGCCACCAATGGTCCAGGACCACAGACAGTCACACCGACACTCCTGTGGCTGGGGACAGAGCTACCAGTGTGTGGTCTCAGCCAGGGGCTGCCACACCCCCTCCAGTAAGCACTTGGAAATATCGGAGTGGGTGCTGTCTTTGGTTGTTGCAATGTGTGATCCCAGCAGCTACGGATGTTAATGACAATGAACTGGATACTCTCACACAAGGCAGAATTGTCCCTTGAAAAATACTAACAGGGCCCCTGTTGAGAAATTTCATCAACTTGATTGATTATAAGCCTCATAGGGAATTTGGCACTAAATTTCACAGTGCCTCTCTTCTTTACATTCTCTGTTAGTTAAGTGGGAATTTTCTTTTGCTATTCCTTTTCAAACATAATTGATACTGAAAGCAGTGAGCCCATGGTTCACAGTATCCTGCACAGGGTCCCCTCTAATATTCTGCAAGCACACTTATCACCGCATGTGTATGAGAAAACTACCAGAGGCAAAAACACTAACGGCTATGAAATGAGGGAGGCATTTTGTGAAACCTAGTGAAGGCATACATCTTGGATTTTGCTCAGAAAGCCAGCTGTTGTGTTCAAAGAATGCATGCTTATTTATCCTTGCTTGAGTCAATTAGAGAATGTTGGAGCTGGAGGAAGTCTAGGAGGTGTTATTTCAGAAAAGAGAATACAATATGGAGTCCCAGGATCAAGAAGCAACTTTCCCAAGGGCCGGGGTTGGGACCCTGATCTTTGGGCTACAGCTGGGTCTATCCCTGCCTGAACTTCCCTCCCATGGGGTGTGGCCAGCACCTCTTTCTGGAGGTGCTAAGACAGCTTACATGTGTACAGACTGATGGTTCATATTTGAGAAGATAGCATCATGAAGGTGCTCATTCAGTCATTTGTTCATCCAGCAAACTGAGCACCCTCGGTGCCTGGCAGTGTGCTGGGATCTGGGAGTACAAAGATAAATCAGACGTAAACTATGCCTTTACCAGGGCTGGTGCTAGCCGCCCCATGAATTATTAATTACAAAGCTAAGACCTGATCATCTTGCTCAGGAGTCTCCGGGGGAAGAGGCACGCATGAATTGCTAATACAGAAGGTGAAGGTTATTTCAGGGATGCGGGTGATGCTTTGTGAGAGACAGGTGGTCAGACAGGGAGGCTGAGACAATCAGAGAGTGCCAAGTTCCAGGACTGAGGCTACCTGGGCTCTCTGCCTCCTCTGTCACCCCCTCTACCTCCCAGCCAAGATTCTGCAAACACAACAGAAAGGCAGGAGTTGACATCTCAGGGGTCGCAACACCTTGTCTTCCCCGAGGCTCAGTGAGGCTTTGTCCGCTGTATTCATTTAACACTCCTGACGCCTGTAAAGACGATGAAGCTGGCAACCAGAGAGAGCAACTGCAAGCTGCCCAGGCTCAGTTTTGCTTCATCAGAGGAGCAGCTGTCTTCTCATTATGAGATGCATCGTTAAAAGCTTTGGACTTCTGCTTCCAGCCAAGATGGAGTAACAGGGGCCAGATCTGCCCTCCTGTCTGAAACATCCAAAAACCATACCAAAGATTTGAAACAGTGGTTTTTAAAAGAGGCAACCAAAGACACTGATTTCCCAAGAGACGATGAAACAAATGAGGTGAGTCCTACCATAGGCCCAGCTCACTGCCTTGAGAGAGTTTCCAAAACAGTAGTGCAGGAAGAGAGAATCCGCAGGGCCTGGCCAGCTCCATAAGTTGGAGAGATTCAGCTGAGAGTCCAGAGAGTGAACAACACAGATGAGGTCTCTCCCCAGGGGAACTCTGAGAAGAGTAGAAGCAGCCAGTGGTGAGCAAATACACCAATAAATATATAATGGCACATCGTGGCAAGTGCTGGGAAATAAATAGAAAAGAGAGGTCCCATGGATGTTTGCAGAAGAAGCAGGTGGGGTGGGTAGCTTTGGATGTGCCCACCTGTATGGGGTCCAGGGAGGCTAAGGAGACCAAGGAGACCAGAAAATTCCCTTGGGCAGGGTAGGGGAGGTGGACGTGTGGACCCACCCAAGGTCCAATGCATGAAAGGAATGTGTGAGGTCAGACAAGCCCTCCAGGTACTCTTGGTGGCAAATGCCTCCCCTATCGTCCTCATAGGGTTTTTGTGACTATCAGAGGAGATGATGGAGGCAGCCTTTTGGTGGGTACCAGGAGTAGGAAAGACTTCAAGACACTGCTAGGCACAATGGCGCATAGCTCAGTTATATTCCCCTTTCAGAAGTGGAGAAACAGGCCACACAGCCAGGGGCCTTGCGACGGTACTCACAGCTAACTCAGTACATACTAATGTATGACCCGGGCAAACAGCTTTCCCCGTCAGAGCCAGCTGTTGGAGAGAAGCTGCACACAGGAGGTGCTGGACTGACAGGAGGGAACAGAGCCAGGGATGAATGAATCAAACAGATAGCGAGTAGGTTGGAAACAATCTCGGTTTTGCAAGATATCTTTAAATAGGAATGCCGTCTGAGTCTAGAAGAGGGGAGTGAGAGCCATGTTCTTGGTTTTAAAATTGCTTCTCCACTGTGAGATGGAGGCTTTATCCACTGCTGGGTCTCTTGACCCTGTGAGTGGCAGCCCACTCGCCCCCATGGCTCCCTGGTTCCGGAGCACAGCCTGAGTACCAGACATTGCTGGTGACACCATGGGCATGCTGGGGGCCTCTGGGCCTCAGAGGCATCATTAGATGGCTCTCCTAACTTTCCAAGTCTTTGGGGACTCAAGCCCTGGGCTGCATGAGCAGCTTCCTGACTGTTCCCCAGGAGCTGAAAGGACCTGGCGCTTCACTGGCCTTGATTGTAGTCAGGTGGGAGCTGTCACTGCAGTTGCTGTCTCTGCTTCCGGCTTCCTGAGCAGCCCAGCTCCGGGCCCATCAGGCGGGTCACAACCGCTGACAATGCAGTCTAGTGCCACTTGTCTAGGACCCCCCTGTGCCGTAGAGATCAACCTCCATCTCCCTCAAGGAGCCGATGTCGGTGAATGTGCTTCCCAAGACTCCGAGGTTAAGTTCAGCCTTTGCTGTGGGAAACCGAAGGCAGAAGCACCTGGGCTGGGAGTTGTTTCTCTGTCTTAAAACCAGTGTGGGCCTGGTGACTCGGCCATGGGGAGCAGAGGTGAAAGGAGTCACAGCCCTGCTTCAGGGACAGTCTCATGGCACCGCTGGTCCTCAGCGTGTGCAGGGGTCCCCTTTGGCACCACTCCCTCCCGCCCACCAAAGTGTCTTGAGGAAACTGTCCAGAATGTCACGGAAAAGTGCAAATGCACGGGACTCGGTGCGCGCTGAAAGGGGGCGGGACGCTGAAAAGCACTTAGGAACGTGTGTCCTCTTCGGCCCTGCCTCAGCCAGCTTGCTGAAGCGCCCGCTGGTTTTGTCTGTCTCACAAGGACAGTGTGGGGGCCGGAGCTTTGCTAAAGATTTGTGTGATGCAGAGTCTGTTTTGTAGACCCTTTGGACAGAGGCAGAAACTGAGGATCAAAAAGGGGAGGACCCTGCCCGAGGCCACACAGGGACCAGACCCAGGTCCTCTGGTCTCTCAGCCTCATTTATGAACTGCCCCCCAAAGCACCACAAAGGACGCGGTTTCTCAGAAGTCTCTTCTGGGCTGACCACCCTTTCCCTGCCTCAGGGCCCCCAGCCCCAAGGCCACTGAGGAAGGAGTGGTGTGGGGGTGGGGCCGGCCACTCTTCTGCGGTGCCTGCTCCCACACCGGGTCCCATTGTCTCAGGGACACAAGGGCCGCCTCTCAGGCCACTGCTCTCCATTCCTGGGCACAGGGTGCCCTTGCGGAGGCCGGTGCCAGGGCGTCCACCTCCTATGGCGGCTGGGGGAGGTCTGGAGAGCCAGCCTGGGTGCGGGGCTGCTCACTCACTCCTCACCCCGAAGGCAACCAGAGCATGTGGGCCGCACTTGAAAACCACAAATACAAAATCAGACCTCGATGCCTTGGCCAGCCTCTGCAACAAGCCCCTATTTCTACAGAGAAATGAGAAATCTCCTTTGGGATGTGACTGGATGAACACGGTGCCCTTGTGCGCCTGCAATTCAGGGCCCCCCCACGCCTTCTCTGCCAGTGGGAATTTGGCTCAGGCTTCTGGGTTTAGCATGGAGACCCCCTGTTTCATAAGTCTCCCCAATTCCTCCCTCCAATCACGGATTCCTACAGCAGGAAGCTCTTGGCTGCCCATAACCACAGGTGAGAGGCACCCGTGCCTGGCCCATGCTTGACAGAAAGCCAGGGAGGTGCATTTAGCCTCCCTGGGGCACAGAGCTCCTGGGGGTGCCTCAGTGGCCTGCCTTTTCCAAAACTAAGGGACACACCCTTCTCTACTGTGCAGGAGGGAAGCAGCTTGTGGGCACTGTAGCCTAAACGGGTCTCTTGCCCTGCAGCCTGTAGCCCGGGGCGGGGGTGGGAGGGGAGTGTCCCCGGGAAGTGATGCTGGCTTGGCCTGTTTTGGGGCAGTCTGTCTCTTGCCCACCTCCCCCATACTGCCTCCTGCATGCCAACCATGCCCCTTCCTGCCCCAGGAAGCTGGGCTTCGGTGGCCGGCAGCACTGAGCACGTCCCCCCTCTCACCCACCATAGACAGGAACAGTGGGCCTGTGGATATGCATAACGCCTTGGTCAGCCTGTGGTGGGTGGTTTGGCAGGAAGTCAGACCTCAATATGCCACCAGGACGGTCTCAGGGCTCCAGAGCAGCCCAAGCCACAAGGGTGGGCCAGGCTGGACTCTTCGCTGAGCTTCATGGGGAGAGTTGTCAGAGCCCCGGGTCCCACCCTCACTGCTGTACGAGTGGCCCTGAAAACATCCTCTCTGCCCTCAACCTCTTCTCAGCAACTGCTTTGTGTGTGCAGCGCCTTTCAGGCCCCCAGCCCCAGCCTGGTGGGCCCCCTGTGCTGGAGGCATCCAGCAGGGAGTGGGGCCTCCTTGCCCCACGCTCCTCAATACCGCTGGGGCAGTGCCTTCCTCCTGGCTCAGGCCCCCACCTGGGCATTCCCTCTGCCCTCTGAGTGGCCACATCCTGTGGCTGCTCCCTTCAACCCCCTCTCCACCTTCTTCCTGACTCCAGCCCTGTGCTGGGTCTGCTGGGTTATCACGGTTGTCCCATCCCCCTGCCAGCCCCTCCTTCCTGGGATATCACATCAGCTGCCCAGTTCAGCACAGTGGTTATCCACACGGGCTTTGAATCAGAAGTACCAGGAGTTAAAATCCAGATCCTGACTTTGGGCAAGTCATTGACTCTGTTAGATTTAATCTCAGTTTCTTCCACTGTAAGTCGGGGGAAGGCAACAGAACCGCCTCCTCAGAGCTGGTGCAAAGACAACGTGAGAGACACGATCAGAGAGCCAGCAGCAGACACCCCTCCGCCGCTGCCCCCATCCTTCCCCTTCTCCCTGCAGAACTCTGATTCCCCTCCTATATCCCCCACCCTCCAGAGGGCCTAGGCTTTGGGAGAGGCGGGCTCAGCCTAGGAGGTCGGTTTTCAGGGGTCGCAGCCGGGCCTGGTTGTTCCAGTACTTATGCCCCTAATTGGTTTAGAGGTCATAGAGTTCCCGCAAGGACAGGAGAGGAAAAGTCTGCTGGGGGCTCCTGGGAATGGTTTCCCAGCTCTTAAGGGAGATGCAGAGGAGGTGGCTTCTCCTCCTGCACACTGCTGTGTCCTTTACTCCAAAGCTGAGCAGCTTATGGGGGCTGAGGGTGCTGGGGTGCAGGGTTGGGGGGCTCTCAGTGTGACGCACGGTGGTCAGGGTCAGTCTCCAGAGGAGACACTGGAGCAAAGACTGGAATTCGGCAGGGAGTTCATCATACAGGTATCTGGGGGAAGGAATGGCTGGAGTGCAGGCCCGGAGGTGAGTGTGGGCCTGGCAGTTCTGGGGAGCAGGAAGGAGGCCAGTGTGGCCTAGAGGGAGTCGCGAGGGGAGACTAGAAGGAGATGGGACCACATGGGGCCATGGGGATGCCATAAGGAGGCCATGGGGAGGACTTAAGAGAGGGTGGTGAATTCTGACCTACAGGTCAGCACAGTCCCTCTGTGTTTAAACTGGGTGTGTGGCGTGGGGGAAGGGCGGGAGGCTGCGGGGATACTGCTGATAACCTAGCAGCGAGATGGCGGGGCTCAGACTCAGGGTTCTCCGCAGAGGCGGTGAGGAAAGGTCAGAGTCTGGAAATGCTCTCGAGGTGGATTTCATGGAAATGTGGATGTGGGCAGCAGACACAGAGAGGAGCTAAGGATGACTCTGAGGGTTTGGGGCTGTGCTTGTGGGAGGAGGAAGCTGTCACCAACTGATGGGGAAGATTACTGGGTCCGTGCAGCTTTGGGACGGGTGTGGAGGTCAGGTGTGAAGTCTGAAATTGTCACACACCACGGGAGACAGTGAGAAAGCAGCTGGGGCCGGACTCTGCGTTGAGAATCGAGAACTGGAGGCAGGCATTTGGCAGTGGCCAGCACCTAGCCCTGAGACTGGAGGGGGTTGTCAAGTGGGAGAGGGTAGGCAGAGGGGAGAAGAGGGCCAAGGCCTGGCCCTGGGGCACCTCAACATGAGGAGGTGCAGAGGAGGGTGACAGGGGAGGCTTGTGAGGAAGGCGGCCCAAGCCATCCGGTCCTGCAGCCACGTCAGGAAGGGACGTCCAGGAGGAGGGGAGGTCAAGTGTGTCCACCGCAGCTGATGGTCAAGTACAGCGAGGCTGGGAGCCAGCCATGGGATGGTGCCACGTGGCAGTTGCTGCTGGCCGCTGAAAAGTGGTTTGGCGGGAGTGGAGGGAGGAAGCCGGATTCGGGGAGTCAAAGAGAGAATGAGAGGAAATGGAAATGGTGGGGATGCACAACTCGCGGTTCAAGTTTTGCTGCAAAAGGGAGCGGCATCGTGGAGCCATATCTGGGGGGAGAAGTCATGGGAAGGATTTCAAGGCAGGAGGTGGAGTGTGTGAGTGTGTGAGAGTGTGAGTGTGGGGGAGTGTGTGAGTGCATGGGAGTATTGTGTATGAGTGTGTGAGAGTGTGTGGGGGAGTGTGTGAGTGCATGGGAGTATTGTGTATGAGTGTGTGAGAGTGAGTGTGTGACAGAGTACATGGGAGTGCATATGAGTGTGTGAGTGTATGAGTGTGTATATGAGTGTGCGAGTGGGAAGTGTGTGGAGTGCAAGTGTGTGGGAGAGTGTGTGTATGAGTATGTGAGAGTGTAAGGGGACTGAGTGTGTGGGAGTGTGATTGTGTGTGAGAGTGTATGAGTGTGTGTATGAGTGTGTGTGAGTGGGGACTGAGTGGGAGAGTGTGTGTATGAGTGTGTAAGAGTGGGGGACTGTGTGGAGTGTGATTATGTGAGTGTGTGTGTATGAGTGTGTGTGTATAAGTGTGTGAGTATGAGTTGGGACTGAGTGGGAGAGTGTATATGAGTGTGTGAGAGTGGGGGACTGTGTGTGGGAGTGTGTGAGTGTGTGTATGTGAGTGTGAATGTGTATGTGTGTGAGTGCGTATGAGTGTGTGAATGTGTATGTGTGTGAATGAGTGTGCATGAGTGTGAGAGACTGTGTGAGTGCTGATGGCTGTGGCCCAGGCGAGGGGGAAGAGCTGAGCCCAAGGGGGCCTGTGCCCGGTGTGTGTGATAAAGTGAGAGCAGGGAGAGAGGGGTGAGGGGCCCACAGGGAGCAAGGACAATGCTTGGCCAGATGACGAAACTGAGATTGAACCCAGACAGTCTGGCCCCAGGGCCAACCTGTGACGGCTGCATAGACACAAAGCAGGCAAGTCCCCGCATGTGACAAACGGCCAGGAGAGACGCTTTGGGGGACTGGAGGGAGCAACGCAGTGTGTGGAAAGGGGCGATAGGGCCACCCTGGGCATCAGGAAGGCCTCTCTGAGGAGGCGACGTTCAAGCTGAGCCCGACAGGGTGCAGGAGCAGTCCTGTGAGAAGGTGCCAGCAAAGGAAGGAACGGGGGACACAGGCAGCGGCACCGGGAGCCTCTCTGCCCCCCTGGCTGGTGGCCGAGGCCCTTCCTGAGCCCTGGGTGAGGGGCTCTGTGCCCTTCCATCTATGGCTCCTTATCTGTAGCCTGTGCTCTGCGGGCCACTTGCTCCCCTGGCTTATCTATTTCTGCCTGGTGCTCTGTGCGCGGAGCCCAGTGTGGTGGCAGATTGGCTGCTTATCATCAAGGGCACTGTTCTCAGGCTCGGCTCCTGAGGGGACATTAAAAAAAACCCCAATACATTATTAATAATTGTCTCCATCATTCCTGTGCCTAATTAGGAAAGGAAAATTATGAATCGGGCTTATGTCTCTTGGTGGGGGCAGCCTCAGCTTTTCCCGGTGCAAGGGAGGGTCTGGGTGGAGGCTGGGGCAGGAGCCGGGAACAGCAGGACACTGCCTGATAGAATTAATTACGCTTCTGGTAGCGACTGGAGAACACGTCCCCCTTGTTTTTGCCCAAATAGCCCTCTTTGTTAGACTCCTTAAGGCAAGGCCTTGTTACTCAACAGCATCTACTCTCTTTTAGTAGCTGCATTCCACCCTTTTTCTGTCCTGGCCCTTGGTCCCCTCCCCAGATCTGCCAGGCCTTCTGTTCCCACCAGGGCTGCAGACGCACGGCTGCGCAGAAGGTCCGCATACTTGCCAGCTTTAGGGCAGCCCAGTGCCTTTGAGAAGCAACGAGAGGGGGCCACATGCAGAACTGTGCCCACCCACCCTCGCTGCCTTGATGACTCCTCCTCATTCAGCTGCGAATCCACTCACTGATTCGCTCAATACACATCTGTTAAGAGCCTGCTGTGTGCCATGCACCATGCTAGCACTGGGGACAGGATGGACCCTGTCCTCATGACGCTTATAATCTACTGGAAATTGGACATTCATTAAATCATCACCAAGTAAATGCAGACTGATTCCCAGCTCACCGAGACACTTAACTACATGTGACTTTGGTAACAACAACAGGAAGCTGACAAACAAAAATGAGAATGACTTGACATGGAGAGCCAGTGTGAGCTGACTGAACGTAATGAGCTCATCTTTGCTTGTGAGAGCTCGTGACCTTGGGAAGGGAGAATGCTCCCAATGGTATATATTAAACGCCCAGCAGAGCCCCAGCACCTAGTTGATGCTCAATAGATTGCTTTCTCTCATGGGGGCACTTAATTAACAGGTGATGAGGCTGGGTGCAGTGGCTCACACCTGTAATCCCAGCACTTTGGGAGGCCAAGGCAGGAGGATAGCTTGAGCCCAGGAGTCTGTGACCAGCCTGGGCAACATAGCAAGACAGAAAGTTAAAAAATTAGCTGGGATAAGTAAGCTGGGTGCAGTGGCTCATGCCTGTAATCCCAGCATTTTGGGAGGCCTAGGCGGGCAGATCACCCAAGGTCAGGAGTTCGAGACCAGCCTAGCTAATATGGTGAAACCCTATCTCTACTAAAAATACAAAAAAGTAGCCAGGTATGGTGGCACATGCCTGTAGTCCCTGCTACTTGGGAGGCTGAGGCAGGAGAAACAGAATCGCTTGAGCCCGGGAGGCAGAGGTTGCAGTGTGCCGAGATCGTGCCACTGCACCGTAGCCTGGGAGATACAGTGAGACTCCGTCTAAAAAAAAAAATTTGCTGGGATAGTGAGACAAAAAATAGTGCGACAAAAAATTTTAAAATTATCTGGGCATGGTGCTGCACACCTGTAGTCCCAGCTACTTGGGACTTGCACTGGGAGGCTGAGGCAAGAGGATGGCTTGAGCCCAGGAGTTTGAGGCTGCAGTGAGCTATGATGATGCCACTGCATTCTAGCCTGGGTGACAGAGCAAGACCCTGTCTCAAAACAAACATGACGGGGCCCTCATGAATGCTTCATCAGGTAGAACGTGCTCTGTCTAATTTGTTGTAATCACTTTGCAGAGGGGTTCAGGGTCAACTTAGACCAGTGGTTGACACTGATCTGAAGGCCAAATCTGGCCCACCACCTGTTTTATAAATAAAGTTTTACTGAAACACAGACACACCTATTTGTTTACACCTTGTCCATGGAAGTCTGTATGGCCTGCAGAGCCTAAGATACACTATCTCGCCTTTTACAGAAAGTTTTTTTACCCCTAATTTAGAGGAGTCTTAACCTGAGATTCTTAGACAAGCTTAGAAGAGTGGTCTGAAAGTGTCCTGAAATTATACCACAAATTTGTATTTTGCAAGTAAACAACCCACTCCTTCCGTATTATTTTTAGAAAGGCCCTTTACCCCAAATGTCACACCAAGGCCTAGGTGGAAGTCTCTGGGCATGGGGCACAGGGCTCCATCTTGCCTCGGAGTTTTCATGGTGACAATGTGGTCAGAAAGCAAAGCACAGCAGAAAGACAGGCACAAATTTGGATCCTGACTTGGCCACACCATACCCACTAAGAAACCCCCAGACAAAGCACTTACATTTTACAAGCCTCAGTTTCCCATCGTCAAAGGGTGACAACATTCCCTGGAAGGCTCGGGGGAGCTGCTTCCCACCTGCTGGCCGGGACGCAGGGACTCTGCTCTGGAGGCAGAAAAGCGTCACCTGAAGCTACACGTCTGACTTTTCGGGCACCTGCAGCCCTTCTTCAGGGTCTGCACTAGGGCTGCCAGGGTGGCTATGCACAAGGTGGGGAGCCCAGGAAGTGAAGTCCCATGCCCTGCAGAGCATCCTCCACCAGTAACTGACAGGTGCTAAGTGTGACAGCCTGGCTGGGGACAACTATAGGCTGAAATTGCCTTTGCAGGACTTGGCCTGAGATGGTGCTTTCACTCGGCTTCCCCCCTGCTCCACCCTACCACTTCCGTTGCCTCCTCAGTCTCTCCTGGGGAGCACTTCATTTAAAAATTCTTGCGTTAGGGTCTGAGGACAGGTTCCACATCAGGAACCCCAGACATGAGGTTACCAAGATGCTGAAAGCTCCTGGCCTCCTTCTAAAGCATCAAACAAGAGATGAAATTATATCCCAATGAGATGCATGTGAACTTTCCACATTCTAGATGACTCCTTCCCAGGACCACCCTTTGCTAGTCTCTGGACAGAGCCTAAGTCCTGTTTAAAAGGGTCCTGTAGGGTTAAGCTAAGAATGATTTGAGTCCAAGTTGGGACCAAAAAGGGATGATGACACGGCTGAGAAGAATCACTGCTGCTCAGTTGGTCTTTGTTAAAAAAGGAATAAACCTGAAATGTCTGTGGCTCTGGGACAAAACCATACGTAGTATTGAAGAAAACAATATCCGTATTGACAGTCCAGAGCTGTGTTGTCTAATACAGTAGCCACCAGCCACATGTGGCTACTTAAATTTAAACTCCTTAAAATTAGATACATCAAGAATTCAGTTCCTCTGTTGCACTGGCCATATTTTAAGTGCTCAATAGCTACACGTGGTTAATGGCTACTATTTCGCACAGCACAGACCTAGATCATTTCCACCATCGCAGAAAGTGTATTGGGCCGTCCAGAGTGTTGGGAGGTGGGATGCTCGCTTCTCTTTCCAGAAAGGCAGCCAGGAGCCGTTTTCTTACCCTACTGAAAGCAAATGGAGACAGCCACCCGGATCCTGCCAGTGCTACCTACTTTCAAAGCACATTTTCCTTAGATTCTTTTATTTGATTCTCAGATCCCTCCCCCTCAAACAGGCAAGGCAGGTATCATTAGAACTATTTATAGATAAGGAAACTGAGGGTTCCGAAGGTCAAAGAAGCAAAGTCACAGAGCTGCGAGTAAAGTCACAGTCAGGGCTTGGGAGACCGCAGGAGGGAGACCCCCCCGCCCCCGGCAAGCCAACGCTCTGCTGAGCTGGAAACATGCCAGGTCATATTCCAACCCCACGCGGGGCCCCTCACTCCCTCTCTCTTTCAGCAGCCACGTGGCTTGTTGAGTGGAACACCTGAATCTAAAAAGTACTAAGTACTCACTATATCTTCCTGAAAATAACAAGCAGAGGGCTGCCCCGGCTCCAGCCTCCTCAATGGGCAGTTGGGCCACTGTGGTGAAACAGGGCCAGGCCCCAGGCCCACGAGAACTCCACCAGTGCAATATCCAAAGACAATTTCTGTGACGCTGGCTTGTCCAAGGATAGGGCACACCGAGACTTGGGCAGGTTTGGCAGCCAGCTCCTGCCTGGAAATTGAGTTCTCTGTCTGGACAAGCAGCCCAGTCTGAAGATCCGGGGCACGCAACCTGGGTTATGGCACTGTCATCGAAGCCCTTTGGACATCTGCAAGTCACTTCACCTCTCTGGACATCAAATGCCCATCTGCCCAATGGGAGTGGTGACCTTGGGCTAGGGCAGGGATCCTCAACATCGACATCGTGGACAATTTGGACTGGATAGTTCTTTATGGTTGGGGCTGTCCTGTGCACCATAGAATGCCTCGCAGCATCCCTGGCCTCTACCCACTACATGCCAGTAGCACCCCTCCCCCAGCTGCGATGACCAGATGTCCCCTGGGAAACTAAGAGAGCCACAGGGCTGGAAGATGGCCAGGGCTCTTTCCTGGCTTCTGCACTTGGTGGAGACTGATGCGTCCAACACAGGCACAGCCAACAGTGCCTGACTTGGCCTCCCAAGTGCACTGCACCAATCCCAGCCAATTGAAGGAGTTAAACTGGATGGCCTTCCAGCTGGGACATTCTGAGATTCCAAGCCAACTGCCTTCAGGATGACCCCTGGCTACTCAGAGGCTGTGCAGTGGAACTGTCTGTAACAGGGTCCAAGAAGAAGCCAAGGCATTATTTCCAAGGCATCCATAATTCTCTCTGCCAAGTCCAGAGACAATGGGCCTTTGCCACCCACGGTCCAGTTCATTCTAAATCTGAGAACAAGGAACCCATTCACTCTTGGGAGGGGCAGATGGTACAGGGATAGGGGGTAGGCCAACATCTCTTCCAGGAAATGGTGGCCTCTGGCCTTCTCTGATTGCTGGCAGGGATGACACAGAAACTTGGGAGCAGGGAGCAGGCGCTGCTTCTATGGCCTTATTTTTCTCTGGTGGAAGCAGGGGGCAAAAACCAATGGATGTTGCTCACTGACCCAGCTAGCAGAACCTCGCCATCTTTCCCAGGCAGAAGGCCCGACAACAGAGCTTTCCCAAAGGCCACTGGAGACCCACCCTTGCCTAAGTGGAGAGATGATGCTGCCCCCTTTGTGGAGAGGACTCCTTTGATAATGGAAGGAAGGTGTAGGTGAGCAGGGCAACTTTGACCTATTCCAGGCAGAACAGCTCCCAGTTAAAGTGCACGCTGCCAAACCCCCGGAAACACGAAATCCCACAATGTGAACCAGGAACTGCCTTTCCCTTCATAACAGATGCTATGATGGCGATTTACACAGAGTCACGGGCACCGTTGCTTATGTTCATGCAAAAGGCCACCCCTCTGGGCTGGGCCTGCTGTGCTGTCTCTGAGCCTTCGCTAGGGTTTGTTTGTTACTTGCCATCTGCTGGCAAATGAGCAAATGCTTAAGGTTTCAGAAAATTTTATGGAGGAAAATATTTATATTAAAGGATGTTCACTTGCTTAATAAAAACGTGATGATAAGAGTTGCTAAGCACTTGTCATGCACCTTGCCCAGGTGACATCTGATTTAAGTTTCCTGATCCATCAGGAGCTGTGGGTGTCACTGTCCCCCTTGACTGAAGTGAGAACAAGCTCAACGAAGAGCTTGTGGAGCTCTTCACAATCCCAATTGTGGAGTTGGGATTCTGGGACAATCTGACCCCAAAGTCCATCTTCTTTCTATCATGTCCCACTGCAAACCAGGCAGAGACCACTGCTACTAGATTTTTAGCAGCAGTGCCTTGGTCCAGCATAAAAGATTTTAACATTGCCTAGGGGGGCCATGGTGGGGGGGGCCTTGACCTCTGTCCTCTGGTCCCCGCCTTCTCCAGCCCTCTATCCATCCCTCCCTAGGGCAGACAGCAAGACTAAACTCAACCGAAGAGACTGTGATAGGTGAGCAAGACCAGAGAGGGCAAAGCTGGCCACACCCACACCTTGGATCATAGGAGGGAGGGAAAAGGGAATTAAACTTCTCGGCAAGGGAGAAATGTATATCATTTTCAGGACAAGTTCTTCCCCTTTAATTCCTTACAGTCATGAGCTCCCAGAGCACATTATTTCAAAATCCAGTGGACATTGAGCCCCTCAAGAACCCAGTCACTGCCACCCACTCTTTATTTTTCATGACAGCCGGCCATGCAGCTCACCATAATCGACTGTTCCATCACCTTACTTTGACAGGGACATGAATGGGGTCTCAGAGGTGAGGGCTGCGTCATACAGACAGGGTGACGCTTCAGAAACCAGCCACGTCCACCTGCTTTAGAAAACCAAAGTTACCAGAAGCAAGCGCCACAGCAGCTGAGGCCTTTGGGAAGGCACGGCTGGCTTGGCTCCTCACCAGGAAGTGAGGTGAGGTCTCGAAAGCTCTCTGGGAACTGACATTCCCAATTCTGGACTCTCCTGAACCATAAAATATAACCAATAACCTGGAAGGTTCTAGAAACATCCAGAAGCTGGTCAGTGGGGGAAAAAAACCCGAGGCCTAAGAGTTAGCTCAGGTGCTCCCTCCCCAGAGGCAACCATTGGAGGAGGTAACCGATTCCCATGTATCTTTCAAGATGATGTGTGTGTGTGTGTATATATGTATCCTGAGTGCGAGCACCCTGCACACGCCGGGATGCTATGACTGTGAGATGCAGTGCACATTCCACTTGTTACCTGTGGCAATGCTTTCACATCGGTGTGATGGGGGCCACCTTCTTTTTTTTACGAGCTGAATGGATGTACCACAATTTACCTCACCAGTTCAGGAGAGGCTGTTTTTCAGATGTAGGACTCCAACCCTTTATTGGTAATTTCCTAACCCAAAAAGCAGTTTGATGCCAAAACTAACTGAGTAGGAAAACCAGAGCCGAGTAGGAATGGGGTTCTTTGTGGTCTTGGTTCATCTCACTTAGTGTGAATGGCTACATATTTCACTAGAGAAATATCGTTGGGCACTGGACTGCCTGGTGGTGTTACTTCATCTATGGTCTATACATGGTACTACTTTGCTAAAATTTGAAATATTCCGATTTCCAGAACACACCCAGACAAGGCATGTACAGCCCTTTTCCAGTACTTCTGGTAGCTGGAGACGTGGAAAACCAGACATGATGGGCTCCTGTGGCCTTGGACCTTGGCCCAAATCCACTGTGGAGACAATTCAGCATCCCTCCCACCCCCCAGAGCCAACCCACAAGGGTAATGAGAACCCAGCATTGTACCCACGAGTGCCTGGCGAGGTGAGGAAGGGCTCGCCATGCACCCCAGAGAGCAGAGATTACTCCAGCGGTTCCGTGGCCCTACTCTTCCCCACCCGAAGCTCTTCTCCCACACGCAGCTGCCTCTTCTCTCCTTCTCTCCCTCCCTAGCCTCGTGCTGTCTGCAATCCAGGTTGAGAGCCCTGTGAGATGCCAATTTTTAAAAGACAATAGAGAAATCTGGATTTTTTTTTAAGTCTGGGTCTTGCTATGTTGTCCAGGCTGGTCAACTCCTGGCCTCAAGTGATCTTCCAGGCTTGGCCACCCAAAGCATTGAGATTCCAGGTGTGAGCCACCTTGCCTGGCCTAAGATAAGAAATATCTTTGATTTTAAATACCATTTCTTTTCTTTTTTTAAACACTGGGCGTGGCTCATTAGTGCAGTATCTAATGGCTGCCACTGCTGGACTTCTGAGGGGCAGTGGCCCAGGCTGTGGCCTCAGACATGGATTGATTTTAATCTATCATCTCTCTGGGAATAAAGGAGGGAAATGAAGCTGTCATCCTAAAAAATGGAAAGTAAAAAATAAATGCAGCCTTCTTAGGTCCTGGGGCTGTCCTCTGCCTCTCCCTGGCTTGCCCGGGCGTCTTACCCGAGGGTGGGCAGGAGGAAAGGTCCTATAGCTCCTGGCCCCGGACCCCGACCCCGCCCCGGCCCTATCGATGCTCTTCCCCACAAATTGATCAGTCCCATGCCTTCAAGTCCCAGCCAGATGCCAACTACTCTCATGTGTACAGCATCGGCCCCAGCACGTCCCCCAGCCCCCTGACTTCCATATCCAGCTGCGACTCAGTGTCTCCACTGGGGTGGTCCACAGGCCGGCTCTGGGTTCCCTGTCCAAAACCAACCTTCATCTTTCCCCTGCCCCTCTCCTCCCCCAATCCTCCATTCACCCAGCTGCTCAGTTCAGGAACCCGGGTCTTTCGGACAAGCCTTCCCTTAGCCCTCCCTCTGTTCAATCCAGCAGCAAGTCCCCTTCAAACGTGTCCTCCACAGCAGCCTCTGGGCCAGTCTCTCTGCCTGCCCTCCACGGTACCCAGGGGGTTCTTTGTAAAGTGAAGTGAGATCCTATTACATTCCCGCTCAGTGTCCTTCAAAGGCTTCTTACCAGAGATAGAAGAAAACCCAACCTTTTTATCATGGCCTTTGCGAAATATTTCTCCCATTTGGGTCACTCAAGTCTAAACCCTTGTAGGGAAGAATCTAGAAAGTTTCCAAGCAGTGACAGAACTGTCAGAGCCAGCACGCAGTGGGAACACTTCCAAGTGGGGATGGAGAAATTGTGAGACGTGGGTTTAAAAAAAGGAAGGAAGGAAGGAAGGAAGGAAGGAAAGAAGGAAGGAAGGAAGGGAGTCCTCTTACTTAATGGCTGCCCCTCTGACACGGCCGCACTTGAGAACCATCAGCCACCACCACCAGCTCGAGCTCACACTCCCGCCGATCCGTTCCCTTCGGAGGGATGGGAGGGATGAGCGGCTCTATGGACACGTCAGAGCCGGCTAATCCCACAGGGTTTAAGTGGCCCACAGAAAGCATCTCAGATTAGTTGAATAAAAAGATAAACTGCTTTGCTGCTTATAAGGACCAGAATGTTCTCAGAGATGGGAAGAAAATCCTTCATGTATTTCTGACTGTGAAGGAGTCCAGGGTTCCGGCCTGGGGTGGGGGCTGGAGGGAGGGGGCTTCGCCCAGCAATTGGTCTGTGGTTGAAGGCCACGTGGTGACAGCTGGCCTCTTCCTTGTGTGGAGTCGTTCAAGCTCTCTGAGTCTGTGCAGTGGGCTGAGTGGTGGGCTTTGTCTTGGTGGGAACATAAGTTTAGTGGAAATGGGGAAAAAAAGGAATGAAGGGAGAGGAAACGGAGGGAAATATTTTAAAATCTCAAAAGCAGGAAGATAAACCTGGTAGCTCTTAATGCCATTCGATTCTGCTATGTTTAGGCCAAGAACTTGAAGAGAACCCTGTGTGTGAAGGAGGGAGCCTCTCCTCACTTCTAAGAGGAACACATGACGGACACTGTTGGTGTCCACCCACAGGTTCCCTTCGCGGGGAGCCGATGATGCTTTGATGGGGGGCCTAGGAGGCTGCTCTTGGCCTCAAGGCAGAACTTCCTTTGTGAGGCTTCTCACTCCAGAGATACGGGGGGGTTCCCATGGAACATTCCAGCTGAAACCACGCCCTGGCTCATTCCTTCACTTTCCTGTCCTGCCTCCCTCGCTTCCTTACAGCTTCCTCCTGGGTACACCCCTGTCTCAGCTCAGCTTACTCGGCTCTGCCACTAGGGAACCAACCAAAGACAGGATGGCCAATGAAGTCTTGACACACATCAAGTCTTTAAAGACGCGGCCTAAATATGAGCAGCTGACCACATAAGATGACAAAAAAGTTCCAGTGAAATATTGACATTTGGCTGGGTGTGGTGGCTCAGGCCTGTAATCCTAGCACTTTGGGAGGCCGAGGCAAGCAGATCACTTGAGGTCAGGAGTTCAAGACCAGCCTGGACAACATGGCAAAACCCCATCTCTACTAAAAATACAAAAATTATTTTTAATTTTTGTATTTAAATGGTGGTGTGCACCTGTAATCCCAGCTACTTGGGAGGCTGAGGCACGAAAATTGCTTGAACCTGGGAGGTGGAGGTTGCAGTGAGCCAAGATTGCACCACTGCACTCCAGCGTGGGCAACAGAGCAAGACTCTCAAAAAAAAAAAAAAAAAAGAAAAAGAAAAAGAAAAAGAAATAATCGACATTCAAAAGCAAAGAGTAGAACAAAAGCCCTGATGAAGGACACAGACACTCTTGTCTTCCAGCCACTTAGAATGTCAGTAGCCACCAATGTGGAGTCCCTGGATCAACTCAATGTGCCACCTATTTCCTAAGTGTACCATGAGCAAAGCATTGTGCAATGGACTCTGTGGGGTGGGTTCAGGGATGATGAGGGCCCACTGTCTACCCTCCAGAGGCCTGCATGTTGGTGGGGTCATCAAAGACCACCAAAGACAATCGGCAATGCTACCTGCCCGCTCTCTGTGGGCTTGGCCTGGGTTTTGAATATTTTGCATCTCTCTGTTGTTGGCAGGTAGTAGGTGTTCAGTAAATGGTTCACAAGTGAATCTGGAATAGCCCAAAACTATCATACAGCAGTGAAACAGAACCATCAAAACAGACAGCTGTCGCTTTCCATGATAGCAACGGGGGTCACTGAATTTTCCAAAAATGGAAAGAATCAACTCTCCGCAGGGCACGAGGTTAGGACTTGAAGTCTGGCTGCTTGGAAAGGAGGCTTGAGGGCTAAGCAGTTGCTCAGCGGGTCTCTATTGGCTTATGGGGAGGGACAGTTCTCTGTTGTGTGAAACTGTCCCTGCAGTTGCATGACATTTCTCATCCCTGGCTCCTGCCCAGTAAATGCCGGTAGTGCTTACTCCCTAGTCACTGTGGCAACCAAAACCTAGACACCCCCATTTCCAAATGCATCCTAGGGGGTGTTTCTACCCCTGACTGAAAACCACTGGTGGGATAAAATCTGCTCAAGGTGAGAAAGGGAAGGAGAGCGAAGGGCGGGGCGGGGGGCAGTCCATGCATATATGTGTGTGCGCGTGCATGTGTGCGTGTGCATGTGTGTGTGCGTGTGTGTGCATGTGTATTGTGTGTGCATGCACGTGGGAGGAGTCACGTCAACTTGCAAAAAAGAGAGCATGACGGAGAGGGCTAGAGAGGGAGGGGAGGGAAAGGAGAAAGAACACCTATGATGAGAAGCCTCCCTGAGTGTTCCAGGACGCTTTGCATTTCCAGCACAGACGGAGCTTAGAATCTCCTCAGCCCAGCCATTCTCCTGGTGGAGTGAGAAGGCAAGTGGCAGCTCTGTCCCCGGGAGCCCCACAGACCAGCGAGAGCAAGCAGTGGGGAGGGGGAGGTGTCCCTGGCAGAGGAGCTTCTAGGAAGGACGTGGTGTTCACCACCCTGCCCTGCTTGGCAGAGGCCCCGGCCTGGACATCACAGTCTGGAAGCTTCCCAGACAGGCTGGCCTGAGACACTTGAACCTTTACTGGGCTCCTCCTCCAGGGGCCGAAGGGCAGCACAGATGCCACAGCCAGGTCACAGCCGGTGCTGACAAGCTGCAGGAAGGCCCTTGCCACAGGGCAACAGCTGCCGTCCCCGAGGGCTGCCTGACCATATTTAGACAGGAGCAGACGGAGAGGCAGCATAAATCAAGCCCCACAGCCTGGGCTGCCAGGGGGAACAAAACAAGGCAACGTCTTGGCACAATCTTTGAAATCAGTGGTTGCCACAGTGAGGAACCGAACACAGACACACACATGAGCGGGGAACTCGGCCTCCTTCCCATCTCCGTGAGATTCATTGTCCTACCTCGACTAACTCAGCTGCTCAGAAACCTTTAGATCTTCCAGAATCACAGCCAGACTCCTCTGCCCATCCACCCTGAGACAGTTCCCACTCCTGTTACCTCCCCTAAGTGGGACTGTACTGAGGTTCCCCAAAACCTCCTATACCACCCGTCTTCGTGAATGCCATTTCTTCTACCTGGAGCATCTCCTCCACCCACCCTTCCACCCCTCCCTATTCTGCTCTTCAGAGTCCTAACTTTCTCGGAGGCAGAGTTTAGTGCCACCTCCTCCAGGCAGCCATCCCTGATGGCTCACGGCCCATCTACAGCACTTGGTGCCCATTGAATTCCCTGCTGGCTGACAGCTTCTTATCCCCTCTTGCCTGGCTGGTGAGCTCCACCAGAGCAGGGAGCAGCTCTCACTCATCCTTGGCTGCTCCACCCAGCACCTGGTGCACAGGAGGTGCTCAGTACACACTAGCTGGGTCAATCAATGGCCTTGCTGGCAGATGGCCCCAGGGCCACCAAACTCTTAGCAAACACTTGTTGGCCTCACTTTCTCATCTTCCTTCACACTACATCTGGCACCTATCACCTCTCTCCCCCTCCATTGCTGCCCCAGTCCAGCCCACCACTTCTACCACCTTGACAACATCTATAGCTTCTTGACTGGTCTGTTGCCAGCCCTCTTACTACCCCCACCCCAATCTATTCTCCACTCAGATGCCAGTGATTGTCTTAAGAAGCAAATCTGTAAGTGTCATCCCTATGGTCAGAATCTCTTCAACAGTTTTCCATAGCACTTGAAAAAAAAACCCACCTCTGGCTGGGCGCAGTGGCTCAAGCCTATAATCCCAGAACTTTGGGAGGCCAAGGCGGGTGGATCACTTGAGGCTAGGAGCTCGACATCAGTCTGGCCAACATGGCGAAACCCTGTCTCTACTAAAAATACAAAAAAAAAATTAGCTGGGCATGATGGCGCACACCTGTAATCTCAACTATTCTGGAGGCTGAGGCATGAGAATCGATTGAACCCAGGAGGCAGAGGTTGCAGCGAGCGGAGATTGTGCCACTGCACTCCACCTTGGGCAACAGAGCGAGACTCTGTCTCAAAAACAAAAACAAAAAACCCACCTCTGTCCTATGTAAGCTATGGTTTATAAAGCCCTGCATGATTTTGGGACTAACCTCCCCAGTCTCATTTACACCACTGTCCCTCGTGGTCACTGTGCCCAGCTGTGTGACCTTCTCTGGGTTTCTCAAACCCTGATGGTTGTACCACAGGACCCTTGTATGTGCTGTTCCCTCTGCCTGGAATGCTATTCCTCGTCTTCAAGGGGCTAATTCCTTCTCCTCCTTCCAATATCAGCCAGCTCAAAGAGAGACCTTCCTGGGCATGCCTTCTCTATGGAAGGTAGGGCCCTCTCTGTAGTCTCTATTCCCGCCCCAGAATCATCCCTATATCTCCAGCTCCCCACCCTCTCCCACAGCATCTGGCCCATAGTCGGTGCCCAACAGATGTTCACTGAGTGAATAAATGACTGAACGGACCTCATGACCACCTGCAGTGACCTCCCGCTGGACACCCAGATTCCATTTCTTGGTTCTTAACTATGAAAATTAGAAGAGTTTTGGGCTGTGCACTTTTTTAGCAAAAACCAAGAGTGGCTCTTGCCTCCCAGCATATTCCACCTCTTTCTGATTTTCTGTTTCATTTGTCAGCACTGATTTCCTTAGGACACCCCTCACATGGTATTGCTTACAGACTCTGACTGTTGTTCTGTATCCACAGAAACAACCTCCCTCGATGGTCAGAGGGGCCTTGCCCTGGGCCAGGGCCTGGGCGGTAATGTGGAAGCCCAGGAGGCAGCTTGGGGACACGCCAGTCCTGGGACCCTGTGGGATGCAGGTGGGGCCGGCCCCACCTTCCCAGCCCAATCCAGCACTTCCTGACAGTGACGAAGCTCTCTCGACTTTGCACCAAGAAGCCCTGATGTGATAGTGCTCGTCTCCCACCCGGCAGATGCATAAACCATTCCCCTCCCCTTTTAATTGCACCAGTAGCCAGTCATTTACTGGCGGCCTCATCAAATCCCTGCTGGGATTGGAGCTGTTGCTCGGTGGGTTGGCTGGGAGATGAAATCAGATGGCCTCGTCCTGGCTCCAGCACAGCCCCCCACCCCCCAATCCCAGGCCCACTCCAGGGAAAAGGGTCCAGCTATCTTCTCTGTGCCCTGTCCTGTTCCCCTGGGACACCACCCATCAGAACCAGGCTGACTCAGAAGTACAGTAGGCTCCCATCCGGAACCCAACCATTCTCACATCCCCCCTGGTGCCACCTGGTCCCGGTGGCTGTCACCTGTCCCCCAAGTCACTGTGGCAGGCTTGTAATTGGTCTCCCTGCTCCTGCCCTGACCCCCACAGTCTCATCTCAGCACAGCAGCCAGACTGTCCAATAGGGAGTGAGTCAGATCGTTCCTGTCCTCAGCCCTACCTTACACGGGCTCCCCACTTCACACCAAGTCAAGAAACACCCTCTGTGGGCCTGTAGGCCCCACTCCATCTGCTTCTTCCATCCTTGTCTCCTGTCCCTGCACCCAACTTCACTCCAGGCACATAGGCCTCTTGCTGCTCCTCCACCCCAGGCCTCAGCCCTGGCTGTTCTCTCTGCTGGGACAGTCTCCCCAGGTGCCAGCCTGCATTGGTCCTCACCTCTGCCAGCCTCCACTCAAATGCCACCTTCTCTTCAGATTGCCACCTGACCCGACCCCAGCTTGTTCTGCTGCATGCTTCCTTTTTCCCATAGCACTTGCTGCCTCCAGCACACTGGATAGCTCACAGGGCGAGCATATCCATGGCTTTCTGGTCCCTCTGCCCCCTGCCAGCATATGAACTCAGGATCTATTTTGTTCCATAGTGTGTTGCAGGCTCCTAGTATACAGAAATGCTCAAGAAATGTTTGATCGAATAAAAGTCTGCCCCCCCAGCATTGCCCCTGCCTCCCGAGCCTCAGCTTCCGGCATCCCGGGGACTCTGCCTCTAAACCCCCGATCAGTGCACACACCTGTGACAGCACTGGGGGTCCCTGGTCATCTCTGGCCACACCCATGCTGCTCCCTGACCTTTGCTCATGCCATTGCCTACCCTGGGAGGCCAGCTCACCCTTCTGAGGCTGAGCTCATCTCTCCCCACCTTCCAGGCCTGCAGTGAGCTCTGCCTCCTCCCTGAAGCCTCCCTGGACTATTGAAGCTCACACCACCGATTGTCTTCCATGGCCCCCAGCCGAAGCAGCCATTTGTTTCAGAGCTGGCTGCTCCCTCCTCCTTCCTTCCACTCCACTCTGCAGCTTGCAGGTGCCAGGCCTAGAGGAGGGTTGAGGGAGGAGCGGGTAAGGGGCAGTGGGGGTGGATGTGGGGTGGATGCGTGCCCCGTCTGCTAATCGGTGAGCACTTCCGGTCCTCAGCTCCTTCCCTTGGCTCACAAGGTCCCAGCACAGTTTTTGGCTCTTCTCCTTCCCTCTGGTCCTCTGCTGGCTCAGTCCCCACCGTCTCTTCTCCCGCCCCACGCTCTCCCCAGTGATCTCTGATGGCTTTGGAGCCATAGCACTGGTGCCTCCACCCCACATCCTTGGGGCTAGCCCGGGCCTCTGTCCTCAACTCCAGAGGCACCAGCCAATGCCTCCTCTGCTGTCTCATGGCACCTCCAACACCTTGTGTCAAAGCCTGGGACTCGGGATCTCCGTGTGTCACATTCTTCCTCCGAGAGAAGCATCTGATCAGACACTGGCACCCAGCAGTCCTCCTCCCTCATACCATGTCTGGTCGGTCACTGAGTCCTGAAGGTTCTCAAACTCCCACCCTTCTAACCCCCCAGCACTGCCTGGCCCAAGCTGCCGTTCCCTGCTTGGAGACTAAGTCCAGAATCTGCAGGCTGCCGGGCTTGGCCCGCCCTCACCCCTCTGGCTCATCTCTCAGAGGACAGACCAAGCTCTCTGGCCTCCAACCTGCAGGTCCCTCTGTGGAAGCACAGCCCTTCTTCCCCTCCCCCACCCCCGCCTTCAGCTGAAGAATCGTCTCCCATCCCAGCCCAGCCAGCACCTCCTCCAGGACACCTGCCCTGGTCGGACACCTCTCCTCTCAGCCAGCCCCTCCCTGGGGATTGTTTAGCCTGCAATTCCTGCATGTTCTGCCCCCCCGCCCCCAAAGCTGTCCACAGGCATCTCAAACTCCACATGAGAAAAAACAGAACCCTAATCTTCCCCCGTGAACTCTCCCTGCGGGTTCACCATGTCTTCTCCACTGCGTCATCCTCAGTCTGTGACCACAATGTAGTGCTTGGCACACTCGGTGCTCTATAAATATTTGTTGAATGAATAAATGTTTGTGAGTGATTTACTGCTCCTTAAATATGTTATTTAGGTCTCCCCATGATAGGAGAACACTTGCTGAAATGCTGATGCACTTTTTTGAGTGGGAGAGAGAGGTGTGGACTCCTAGCTAGAGCCGCAGAGGGGAGAGAGGCATCCAGTGTGAGCAGGTGTCAGGTCACCCATGGCAGTCACAGCGGAAAAAGGTACTGCCCGTAGCAGATGCTGCTGGTGCCTTCCAGCCACATATATCTGCCCAGGAAAGTGACTCTGACGTTTCCTGGACCAGCTCTTAATTGTGCCTGGTGGGAGGCAGTGCATATATGCCCTGGCTCCTGCAGGATGGGGTAACTCTCAGGCATGTATGCACCATTTCCCAGAGCTCCTGGGGGAATTGAGCTGGGGTTATTGGCTTGACATAGCACCCTTTACTGGCTACTGTCCCTTCCCCGTTGAGTCCCCCCCACTCCCCTTTTGGTGTTTTCTGGGATCACCTCTCAATTAACCACTAGTACTTAAATCCTTGTCTCAGCATCTGTTCCTGGAGAAACCAAAACCGAGACATGGCCCCACATGCTCCCAGGCAAATGGCAGGCTCTTACAAAATGTAAGCCCCCTCCCTACTTCCTTTCTCTTCCAGAGTTGATCTTTCATCATTGTCATCCAGCCATGCATGCATTCATTTATGCAAACACTCAGCATGCACTTTCCATGTGTCCAGCCCTGTGCTGCCGCTGAGGACACAGAGGCATAAACAGTTCCTGTCCTCAGGGATCGGATCAGACACTTAATAGGTTAGACTGGTTGCTTTGTCCTGGACACAAGTGGGGCATCCTAGATGAATTTCATAATAAGATGAGCTAACTAACCTTGGCAGAGTGGCCACCCTGTACTGGACACTATTGTAAGCACTGAACATATTATTCCTTTTGACCCTCTCATCAGCCCGAGGAGGAAAAGGAGGTCTACACGAGGGCAAAGCTCCTTTCTGAGGCCACACAGCTACAGCATGGCACCTGGGTTCCAAATCACTGGAATTTGGGGAAAGAAAGTGCAGGTGTTAGCTGCTGAATCAGGACCGTGGGAATAAGCTTGCAAGTGATAAGTATCCTTGCTTCAAATTATGTCCCTTAGACATTCTTCCTCTCCCTCTTAATGATCAGTCACTTTGGGGAAACCAAGTCAACACTGAAGACCTCCAATCCTAGCACCCCCAGTTCTCAGGACCCTCATGCTCCATCCCTGCAGCCCCCTAAAGGCCAGCTGAAAGTTCTCTTCCCCAGAAATTATGCTTTCTAAGTCATTTATGTTACTTGATGATTTTCTAATTTGCCTTCATCGATAATATATAAAATGAGGGTAGTGACCTAAAACTGAACCCAACATGAAGCTGCTAAGAAAAGAAGAAGCCAAAAGTCCTTTGCACTCAGGGCCACACATTTTTCTCCACCTTTCCAGGTAGCATCCAAGAGGGAGCCAGGCCACTTACACAAGGCACAGTGGCTGTAGATTTTTTTAAAGACCAGTTTTTCAGAAGATGCTCATCTACTCTTGACACTACGGTAGCAAACCAATGCCTCCTCATGGTTCAACGAAATGAACATGTCCTCAAAGCACCCTTGCCTGAGACATGGCTCAGGGCATCTATTGTGCTTGGGTAACAGCAGAGGCAAAGAAAACAAGACCCAGATTCCAAAGACCTGGGTCTGGGTCCCACAGCCTTCCCTTGGTGGTGGCCTTGAGCAAGTCATTTGGCCCTTCCGAGTGTGAGTCACCTCAGGGTCAGGTGTGCTGGGAGAGATGGATGATTGGATGACAAGAAGCCAGCCTCTAGCCTCCAAGAGCCAGCATCAGGTGATACCCAAGGAATTCCTGGTTCCCCTCAAGGCCAGCATCTCTCCCACTCAAATGAGTTTGCCACTGCCCACTGCAGACACATGTGTGATTTCAACCACGGGACAGAGCTGGATGCAGCAATGGCAGGAGCCTCACTCTAGTCATCACTGCATCCTGGGGCCTCACATGCAGCATGACACAGAGAATTCAACAAACCTTTGGTAAACAAATTGCAGACGCTCCTCAGCCCTGAAGGTGAATGAGTCCACTTATATCCCCACACCCAGCAAAGACCCCTTGCAGACATCCACTTTAATATTTTCCCATGAACAGCAAAACCAAAACAATCAAAACCAATGACTGGGTTTCATGCCCTCAGTGTGCATGGCCAAGTCAAGTTCTGCAACTCAAGAAGAAGAAATGAAGAAGGAAAATAAGATACAAACTGATTAACTGATAAGGACCATATCTTCTTTATTTTCATCTCTACCCAGTGCATGAGACACAGCGAAAGGACTGAATGAAGGAATGAACAAATGAACAAATGACAGGGCATCAAGTCTTGGAGCCCACTGATGGGCAGAGTGGCCTACAAGACTTGAACCAACCTCACGTCGCCATGACCAACGTCTGCAATAATTGACAAGATCCTCTGGGCAGAGAAAGTTGTGCCCAAGAGAGAGGAAGGCCTTGAAGGGGGTGGGCAGACCAAGAAGGTGATACTGATCAGAAATAGCAAACGTCACAACAGCTACATTTATTAAGAACGATGTATGCCAAGCCCTGGGCTAACTAACTATCTCTATCTCAGTGAATATTCAAAACAACCCTACTGAGTAAGTGGTGGGCTGACTCCCATTTTACAGATCAGGAAGTTGAGGTTAGTCAAGTTAGGAGGCTTTCCCAAGGTCACAAGATTCTAACTAGGTGAGTCTCACTGTGGACCCTGCTGCTGGAGAGAGGAGGAGCAGGGAAAGGGATGGGAAGTTAGAGAATGCCCGGCACTATCAGGTCCCAGAGCCCAGAACCAGGGAGTGGGGCCTTGGTCAGGAGCAAAGGGTTGGCTGACCCTTCAGCAAACTCATGCCAAGGTGAATGTCAACTCACTGTTCCTGCATCACAGCCGATGCTGGGAATCGCAGAACAATGCCATCCTGAGACCAGAGTTCCAGGGGTGCCGGAGCTAGCCCTTGAGCCCAAAGGTGGAGACTTTTAGCCAGGATCACACTCCCCATCCTGCAGAATCTCCTGCCATTATGGGGCCACACCCTCCGAGCACCTGCCTCATGCTAGGTGGCAGGCTGACCCTACACACCCCCCCTCTCCATTCTGCCTGGAGACAGCGAGGAATGAGCCATCATCCCCACTAGCAGATCAGAAAACTGAGGCTTGGACTGCCTTGCTCACCTGCCTCTGAACACTCAGGTTCATATGAAATGTCCAGAACAGGCAAATCCATGGAGGCAGGCGGAAGATCAGTGGCTGCAGGGGATGGTAGGTATGGGTTTCTTTTAGGGGTGAGGAATATGATCTGGAATGAGACGGTGGTGATGGTTGCAAACATTGTGAATATACTGAAGACCTTTTACATTCTATGTTTTTAAATGGTCCAAATGGTGAATTCTACATTGTATGAATTTTACCTCAACAACAAAAAAATCTCTTTTTAAAAAAAAAGCACCCAGGAAGCATATGCCGGGCCTGGATGCGGCCTCTTGAAGACACACGTGTCCCTTTTTCCACCTCAATGTTCAGTCCAGACTCCACATAAGACACAGAACCCCTGGAGGGCAGGATTGAGTTTGGCCTAAACCCTGCAAACATATTAGTGGCCGTGTTGGCAGCAGGGGGCCACGGAGAAGGTGCACTGTCCTCCCCACCTCTTCGCCTGCAACTCCCCCAGTCTTTTGGGTCTAAGTTCCATCACACCTCACCTGTTTCTATTTTGATACAGGTCTCTTTGTGCCACTGGTTTTAGCCAAAGGTCTCAACCTTGATTCATGCGAGCATCACCTGGGGCAGCTTTAAACTCCCGTCTAGGGTGGGCCTGGGTATCAGGTATTTTTAAAGCCCCCAGGTGTTGTCAACAAGCAACCAGGGCTCAAGTGTCCAACTAGAGGCAGGAGTCCGAGGGCAGGGCTATGTTGAATTCACCTTTGTAGTTCCAGAACTTGCCATGGCACAACCTTGGTAAATGTTCAATAAATCAATAAGTAAAGGTTTGTTGAGTAAATTAAAATATGTATAAACTTGCAAGCTTTGATTATTTGCTGGACACAAATAAATAAACAGAAGACTGAAACAATTCCTTTTACTGCATTGGGAGAGGAAAATTCAGTACTTAAAAAAGATATGATCACTTTTTTTCTTTTTTTTTTTTTTGAGATGGAGTCTCACTCTGTCGCCCAGGCTGGAGTGCAGTGGTGCGATCTTGGCTCACCGCGACCTCCACCTCCAGGGTTCAAGCGATTCTCCTGCCTCAGACTCCCGAGTAGCTGAGATTACAGGTGTGCACCACCACAACCGGCTAAAGATCACTTTTTTAAAAGGCCAGTGATTACAGGTGTGCACCAACACAACTGGCTAAAGATCACTTTTTTAAAAGTCCAGCCATTCTAGAGGCTCTTACGGATCTCAAACTCATCTGGAGATAGGAGTCATGTTCATACCTGCATTGTGCTTTGTACAGAGGGGAATGCAAGGCAGAGTCAGCCCATTTTATGAATGAGGAAGCTGAGGCCAGTTTGGATAAGAACTTTACTCAAGCAAGGGTTATACAGTGACGAGAGATCTCATTTACTGTGAGTGGACAATGTTCCAGGGCTGGGCCAGGACCTCGCATGTGTGATTTGCACAACCCACTTTGGAGGACGGGAAAACTGAAGCTCAGAGAGGCTGAGTGACCAGCACACATCTGGAAAGAGCAAGAGCCTGGCCTGGCCTCCAGGCCCTCCTGCTTGCAGACCAGGCAAGTGGATCACAGGGTAGCAAAAGACGAGCATTCAACACCCCGAGGCCGGAATCAATGGCAACAGTGAGCTGGGCATGAACACAGCCCTTGAAGCAGGAGACATTCAAAGTGACATGGCCCGTGTTTGATGCCCACAGTCCCTCGTCACAGGCTCACACTGCGTCCAGCCAAGGGCTAGGGCAGCGGCATTCATGAGGTTTCATAAGGAGCCTGTCGCCTGCAGGGAAGGCGGGTCACGGGGACTGGCTTCACTTGCTGTGCCTGTCGCTCAGCTTTGCGACCCACCAGGCCTGGACCTCCTCTTTTGTTAGTCGGAAACTCATCACAACTTGGAGGAAACTCTGGTTTGCACCAGCAGCAGGGAATTCATTTGATGATGATGAAGCCTAGTTAAACCTTGGATTCTTGCGAATGTCCCAGAGCCTGGGTCCTTCTGATGGCAGCAGCTAAAACACACTGATGGTGGAGGTGGGGAAACTGAGCCACCGCCTTCCTTGCACCACCTGAGTCTGCTTCATCATCCCATTCATGAGATCACAGATATCAGGAGGACCAAGGAGAGGGGGCGCCAAGTGACATCTGGTGGTTTCTTCCACGCAGTCATTCCTCAAAACCTAGCAGCATTCTTGCTTCCGCTCTCCCCCTACAGCCACAGCCATCACTGAGTGAGTCCCTGCTGCAGAATGATCTTAACTTAGACCAGGGCGTGACACCTCCTCTTGCCTCCACCCCGGGTCCAGCCCACCACCACCATCTCTCCCTGCACCGTCACTCACCTGGCCCATGGCAACAGCCTCCTCACTGGGCTCCCAGCCTCCACTCTTCCCCTTCCTTCCACTCTCCAGAGTCAGTCTTTGTAAAGTGCACGTGAGGGCATGCCACACCCCCTACTCAAAACCCGCTGGCTTCTGGCTGCACTTCAGATAAAATCCAAACTCCTTCTCTAGCCTCCACGGCCCTGTGCGGTCCGGGCACTGCCTCCCTGTGGGCTCACCTCCTGCAGTCTTCCCTCGTAGCAGGCAGCAGCCACGCTGGCTCTTCACACAGCCAGAGTGCTTCTCCACACGAGGACCTTGCACATGCTGTTTCCTCTGATGAGAAAGCTCTTCCCCCAGATCTTCCTCCACCAGCTATTCCCTTTCGGTCAGCTCTCAGCTTAAATGGCATCTCAGGTCCACATAACCTAGGCAGCCCCCCAGTTACTCCTATCAAATCGTATGATTTTCTCTATCTCTGTAGCATGTTATCTTCCATTTTTCCTGTGATAGTTTTGGTTTGCTTATTTCCTATACCACCATCCCATGCCCCCTCCCGCGCACACACAGAGCAATCAATCTACAAGCTCTGTGACTGCAGGGCCCTTCTGTTCTGTCCACCACTAGATTCCCAGCACCTAGTACCTAGTGCCTGGCATATAGTAGATATTCAAAAATATCTGTAAGGTAAGTGAATTAGTAGCTACGGAGGACTCATGACATGCCAGGCACGTGCTAAATATCTGGGGCTATCACTGAGGACCCAGCAGACACTGGACAACTGTGTACGACTAACAAAGGATCAAGCATTGGTCAAGTCATTAATTACATATTTAAAAGGTGGAATAACTGCTACAAAAGAAAATGAAAAATTCAAAGTGAGTGCATGTATGTGTGTGTGTGCATGTATGTGTGTACATGTGCGTGCGTGTGCATGTACGCGTGTGCATGTATGTGTGTGCATGTGCACGTATGTGTGTGTGTGCGCATGTATGTGTGTGTGCATGTGGATGCAGGGCGGTATGGTTTCCAAATGTAAGCAACTCCTCTGACACTGCTCCATCAGGGGTGGTGTCTAATTCCCCACTGTTTCAATATGAGGCAGCCCTGGTCCCTTGATTCTAAAAAACAGAATGCAGTGGAAGTTGATGCTGGGTGACTTCTTCAACTGCAACATCAAAAGGGATACAGCTCCCATCAGCCTCTCAACCTTCAAATTCAGCCACCATGTTGTAAGGAAGCCCAGTTCACAAGGCGGCATCACATGGAGTGTTAGAGTGAACAGCTCCATCTGAGGACCCAATCTACAGCCAATATTGACCACAAGACATGGGAGAGGAAGCCTTCAAGGTGGCCCCAGCCCTGGCTGACAGACTATCGGTGCATGAAAGACCCCAAGCAGGGACCTCCAGGTGGAGCCAGTCAACTCCTGTAGCAGCAAGAGAAAGAAAATATGTTGGTGTTGTAGCTTTTGGAGTAGTTCGTTCTGCAGCCGTAAATGACCAGAACAGGGACTGGTGTGACATTTGTGGAAGTCAGGGAAGGTCTTCCTGAAGAAAGAAAGGAAATCTGAGCTGAGATCAGCATGAGTCAGGTTCTACTTCGAAGGGGAGGCTGGTGGACAGAAGGACTATACGTGCAAAGGCTCCAAGACAGGAAGGAGTGAGGCCCAGGGAAGGAAAGGAAAGGGGGGTCCCTGAAGCTGCCTCTCAGCACTGGAGGGAAGAGTTAGGCAGGGGCCACACTAGGAAGTAATCAGATAGCCTTGAATAACCTCCCTTCCTCTCCAGCTGGGCAGCCTAGAATAAGTAACTCACCCTCTCTGAACCTCTGAGCTCCGCATAAAAATTGGCAATAATACCACCTATTACAAAGAAGGGTTTGAGGATTAAATGAGATGAGGAGAGCAGAGCTTCTCTCCAACAGTACTGGAAACTAAGTATTGGCTTCTTTCTAGTGTCCTGGGTGGGTAAAAAGGAAGCATCTTAGAACTTCCACAGTCCCATTTGTCTCTTTCTCTGTTGAAACTTGGCCTTTGGCACATAGGAGAAGAACCAGGTGACCCTATTCCTGGCTCCACCACTGTTGTGTGACCTTTGAGGAGTCACTTAACCTCCTTCTGATCTTTCCAAGAACAAAATAAATGCCCCAATAAAATCTCTATCAGTGCTTTGAACTCCTTCAAGACAGGCACTATGGAAATGCAGGCTCACGCCTCTGTTCTGCCACAGCTATTTTTGGCCCCGTCAGCCTTGGAAGCAGGTCTCACAGAGGGCGTGTGTGTGCTTTGCTTGAGGGCTGGTACACATCTCCTTCCATGGCCTCCGCCATCTGAGTCACAGGCGGGGACAGGCAGGCCATGGCTGACATTTACAAAGCAAGCCAGGTCCTGGGCTCTGGTGGCTGCTGAAGGCTTTTTGTTCAGGCCACAAGCAGGCCTCTAGCTCTGCCAGGGTTCATGCCCACCCATGCCTTCCAGAAATACCTTCACCAGGGACACTCCGTTGACACTGAGGATCACATGCCTGGCAAGGGCTGCCCAGGAAGAGACACAGATGGGACTCTCTGAAAACCTTTTCTTTCCTGTTGAAGATGCAGGGGAGTCTACACCTCCTTCGAGAGCCCATCTCATCCTCAGAGTGTCTAATCTGATGCTCCTATCTCAGCAGAGATATGCTGGAACCCTGCAGAAGCAACTCCCAATCTGAAGGTTAGTGACGTACTCTCATTTCTACTGCTTGCATTAGAATTATTTATGAGCTGCCATTTATTGCGTGTTAACTGGGTTCCAGGCTCTGTGCTGTGTTAGTTGTAGGGCATCGAATCCTTCCAACCACCCATGTGCAGCAGGTAGGGTTGTTAACTCCATTCTACACATTTGGAAATTGGGGCTCCAAGCAGTTAAGGATTCCTTGCCCAAATCACTTAGCTAATGAACAAGGGTTGGACCTCAGGTCTAGAGGGCAGGAAGCCAGGCTCTGAGCCACTGCGCTACATAATACCACCTTTTGAGCACAAAGTTTCTGCCCAGGATGGCCTGGATAATTTCTAATCTTCATGACAATTCCTCTGCAGGTAGGAATCCTATGAGAAAACTGAGGCTCTGAGAGGTTGTGACATGGCCAGAGTCTGAGCTAGGAGTGAAAGGGCTGGGGCTGGCCCCAAAGCCCCTTGCTGAGATTGTCATTCTGTAGGGCACAGGTTCTCAAAGTGTGCTCCTACGACCAACAGCGTCAGCATCACCTGAGAAGGGAATTGAAAAGGAGGTCCTCGGGCCCCACCCCAGACCTACCGAGTCAGGAATTCTGGGGATGAGCTCCAGTGATCTGTGACTAAACAAGCTCTCCAGGCGCTTCCGATACAAGCTCAAGTTGGAGAACCCCTGGTCAAGTGCCCAGACTCAAAGTGAGGGTTGTGGGCAGAGCCTGAAAAACCCAAGGGCAGAAAGTGGAGATGCTGCTTGAGAACCTTCCGCTTCACCAGATCCCTTTCCTGCTCTTTCTCCAGTGGCAGGCAGGGCGCAGGGTAGGGCTGCTGGGAGCAGGGCACAGATCTGGGCCTGCCACAGAGGAATAGGAGGCCAAGCTGCCCTCTCCAGCAATGAAGTGGGGGAGGGAAGTCAGGACTCTCAAAAGATTCATGGTGGCTGGGCACGGTGGCTCACACCTGTAATCCCAGCACTTTGGGAGGCTGAGGTGGGCAGATCACCTGAGGTCAGGAGTTTGAGACCAGCCTGACCAACATGGTGAAATCCTCTCTAATAAAAATACAAAACTTAGCCACGTGTGGCGGCTCATGCCTGTAATCCCAGCTACTCGGGAAGCTGAGGCAGAAGAATCACTTGAACTCAGGAGGCAGAGATTGCAGTGAGCCGAGATCACAGCACCGCACTTCAGCCTGGGCGACAAAGAGAGACTCCGTCTCAAAAAAAAAGAAAAAAAATTCATAGTAAATTAGAACAAAACAAACACCCCCAAAATAAAGATAACAAAAAACAATTTGAAAAACCACTCTTGCCTTTGCCAGAAGAAGGGTGGCCCAGCAGTGGGGTGACCCGCTGTTCCAGTTTGTCCAGGACTGAGGGGTTTCCTGGGGCACAGGACCTTCGGGGCTAAAACCTAGAGAGGCCCGGGCCAGCCAGGACAAGCGGGTCACCCTGAGGGGCAGGGCAGCAGCAGGTGCTGTCTGGATGAAGAGCAATGCCTGCCTGGCCATGTGAAGGACGCCCTGCAAACGTTCCTGGTCATTACTTCTAGGGGGCACTTCACAGGCCTGCACGAATAGGTGTTTCTCTCTCCCCTCTTTCTCCCTTTATGCCAGACACACACACCAAAGCTCAACACACCTGTGGATCAATGTCACTTCAGCAGGGAGCCTCCTGCCTGATCCTTGGGCTGCTAATTCTGGCTGTCTGCTTTGGCCACTCCCTCTCCTTCGTGGCCTGTGCAGCCTCCCTCTGCTCCCACCTGTCCCATTCTACCTGGGAATTCTCCCACGTCTTCCCAAATCCGTCCTCCCTGCCCCTTTTGTAATTACGTATCCCCTTCCCAATAGCACCTCTTTATCCCCCAAGTCTGGCTTGCACTCACAGGCTGCTCTTCATCAGAACGCTTTCCACAGGACGATTACAGCAATGGATACCTGTCTAGTTTTCAAAAGTACTTCTCACTTTCAGGAACCCTCAACTCAACCCCATGGGGTGGGTGTGGCCCATGACCTATTTTATAGAGGAAGAAATTGAGGCTTAGGTTAACCGGCTCTCTTAAAATCACGAAGAGGAAAGAGCAGGGCTAGCACGCCAACATAGGCTAAAGAAAGGCTCATGGAATCGGCCTCTTATGCCAAGTCCTTGGCCTTTCATGACCTGGGCCCTGCTGATGTGGATAAGTCCCTGTGTGACTCTGTATCCCTCAGGATGCCCAACGCAGGGTTGGACCTAGAACAGGTGCCTGGCAAATGCTCGCCAGGTGAATGAGAGGCCCTTGTGAGTGGCAAGAATGCAAAGGACATCAGATGAGCAAATGGGACAAGGACTGGCACATGCCTTGAGCCAGTGAATCCAGAGAGATGGCAGGAAGGGACACTCCAGTGAACACCTTCTGCAAATGACAGTCCACTGGACTGTGAACTCCATGAGGGCAGGAGCTGTCTGCTGCTCACTGCTGGTTCCCGGGCCCTGGCACCATGCCCCACATTTGGAGCTCAGTGTGCACCTGTTGAGTGAGAGCTGAGGCTCCACAGCATTGAAGCCCTGTGCCCTCTGGGAGACATGAATTCCTTCAGGGTTATATAGCAGGCACTTGTTTTTTTTGTTTGTTTTGTTGTTTTTTGCTGTTGTTGTTGTTTTTGAGGCAGAGTTACGCTCTTATTGCCCAGGCTGGAGTGCAATGGTGCAATCTTGGCTCACTGCAACCTCCGCCTCCGTATTTTATGATTGGCAGAAGTTGTGGATGTGGCCGTAGCTCTGACATTTATTGGGCACTACTTGTGTGCAGGGTTCTGGGCTGAGCTCAAGGAGGACCAAGAGAATGAATAAATCACATTCTCCACCACTGGTCTAATCCACCTTCCATGCCGGAGGCACTCCATGGCTATGATAGACATTCCCTGCCCTCCTGGCCTGGTAGCCATGTTCTTATTTTTGGGTTTTAGCCCTTCTATTCGGATTTTCCTTTGGGAAACCACCTCTCCCTGAGCCTCTATCCACACATCCCAACTCCAGGGGTGGTCACATGGCCCGGGCCTGACCAACCAGCATACTCTATCCCATAAGCCACCATGATTGGTCCACAGGTGGGCACATGACCCAAGCTAGTCCAGCAAAAGTCAGCCTCAGGACTTCCCTCGGACTACTGGGAAACAGAAGGTCTCTTCCTAGGGATATTACTGCCTGTAAGAATGATGGAATGCTGGAGCCTGGAGCTACAGGAACTGAGCCAGCCTGAGAGAAAAGGCAACCCAGGAGAAATCAGGAGAGAGCGACAGAGCCAGAGACAGAAATCCAATACCGTCATCATTTGAGACCATGGATTCAGCAGATCTGCTGCCTGGATATCCTGATACGTGAGCCCACAAGCTAACATCTTTCTCCCTAGTTTTTGTATTGCTTAAACCACTTCAAGATGTGTTTTTGCTACTTGAAACAGAAAAAGTCCTGCCATACAGAGCTCTCCTCTCTTACTCTCCTCTCCCAAGAAGCACCTTCAGTCCCAAAACTCAACATGAGTTCTCTCTGTACTCAACCAAGCACTCTCCTCTAGCCTCCTCCCATCTCCGTAGCCCCCAGCCTGGTTTCAGGCCCTCTTGGATGGTCTGGGGTCTGAATGATCTCAAGAGACCCCCACCTGACTCCAGTCTGCCAGCTCAACCCCAATCCACTCCAATCCAACCCACACTGTCAAAACAGTTGATCTTTCTGAAACAGACAATATAGGCTCATGTCACTTCCCCACTTAACACCTTCGTAGGCTCATCACTGCCCAGAGCAGTTTCCTAAAGCACTGGGTCCATGTCCCTGCAGTTATGAGAGCTGATTTTAGATGGTATATGGACCCAGCACTCAAACACATTGAAACCTGTAATAAGAAACTTAAGCTCCTTTTGATTCACTTACAAACTTTCCAATTACTTTATAGAGAAGGTCTCAGCACTGTGCCACTATGGCTTTCACATCTCTCTACCGCTTACTTCTCTCCCTTTTTAACAAATAGAGAGAAAGTCTCAAGCTCAGAATCTTCCAGAGAAAGCTGGAATTTTAAAAGCTTGGTTTGCTTCCACTGCATTTATTATTATGGTCACCTTCCATTTATGCAAGTGGAACTAGTTTCTCATTTAGAGTAGTTTTGTAAAGTTAAGGAGATTAATTTGTATACACACAAAATGAGTTTATTTAAAGAAAAAAATAAGGCAAATAAGAGATGGTACTTGGATATGCGTGAATGTAGATCATTGTTTGGTAAACAATGACCCATAGGATGAAATGCGATCTGCTCAGCCAGGCACACGAGGCCCTTCTAGGTCCTCCTCCTTGGCCACCCTTTCAAGCCACTGAAGGGCTTGTGACTCTCAAGAGGAGTCTCACAGAGCCATACCTCCAAGCCTTTGTCCATGCGCTTCCTTCTGCCTGGATGCCCTTTTCCCCCAACCTGATTAGCAACCTGGAACAATCCCATTCATTCTTTTTTTTTGAGACGGAGTCTCACTCTGTGGCCCAGGCTGGAGTGCAGTGGCGCAATCTTGGTTCACTGCAACCTCCGCCTCCCGGGTTCAAGCAATTCTCCTGCCTCAGCCTCCGGAGCAGCTGGGATTACAGGCGCCTGCCACCAACGCCTGGCTAATTTTTATATTTTTAGTAGAGACGGGGTTTCACCATGTTGGCCAGGCTGGTCTCGAACTCCTGACCTCATGATCCACCCACCTCAGCCTCCCAAAGTGCTGGGATTACAGGCATGAGCCACTGTGCCCGACCAATCCCATTTATTCTTAAAGACCCCTGTTACTATTTACTGGGGCTACTGTTTTGCTTAACTATTCAGGTATTTCCAGTGTACCTGGCAAACCATTTCTGTGTTCTCTCAGGCCACTCTTTGTGGGTTGCTGACAGGATGGCCTTCCCTGGGAGGGCTGAGATTCCAGAGGGCCAGGACGGTCCTTCTCCTCTGTCTGACACAGATGCTCAGTGAGCACAAGAAGACCTGAAGGGATGCTAGCTGGGGGATGTGGATCATTAAATACAAACCGCTGGGAGACTACGTGCCGTGGGGCCCAAAATGTGGGAGAGTGAGGAATTCTAAAGGAAGGGAGAGGAGTGATCTCCAAGAGTAGGTGCAGGCCCAGGGATTCTTTCAGGAGAGAGGAGGCCAGTGAGCATCCCGGGATAGAAGGATTTGGCAGAGGCCTGGAGCAGAGGGCCTGGCAGGCCTAGGTTCTCAACTGTAACTTGCATTTGAATCACCTCAGAACCTGTAATTGTGACGATTCCCAAGTCTCACCCCAAAAACTCTGGCTCAGTGGGTTTGAAGTGGGCCCAAGAAGACGCATTTTAAAACAAATGCTTTGGGTTATGCTGAAGCAGGTCATTTGAGGGCCAGGCTTTGAGAAGGAATGGGCCACAGGGTGTCAGGGAAGGATGGAGATATATAGAGGCCTCACAGTCAAAATGCAGAAATTCACACAAATTGCAAAGATCCTCCAGAACATTGCATCACTGACTGGGGACCAAGAGGCTGGAAACGCAGCCTACCAGAGAACAAGCTTTGTGCCAAGGTTATTGAAAATACATCCCAAATAATTCCATGGAGATGTGTTTAATGAGGTAGATACCGACATGATCACGGGCATCCTATAGGTGGGAACTTGAATGAACCACGTGAAATACAGAACCTCCTTTGGAGAGACCTTATCAAGTAGCAATTGTAAACAGGGAACTTTACCATGTAGAGGTCAGGGCTGAGGCCATTTCTGGCTAAAGAAACGCTCCTTTGTTTGAACGACGGCGCAATCAAATTGTTCAGAGATGAAATCGTCCAAGGCAAACAAGTCACAGAGAGGTTTTAGCAGAATTTGGTGCACATAGCTGAATGGCATCTTGAAACTCTGCTCCCAGAGCACTGACTTTGGTTCTACCCTAACTGCCTCCTTAAATGTAAATTATAATAGAGAAATAGAACTGTGTGTTGGGGGAGGGGGGCTATTTAAGACCAGTCCCCAGCAGCTGCCCCCTTTAAAGATCTGGCCTTCGGAACTATCCAGGCCAAGTCACTCATCAAATGGAGATTGACTTTTATCTGATTAACTGATGGAGAAACATCCTTCTCCATCTTGCAGGAGCACGCTGTGGGAAAGGCGTTTTGCAGACTGCAGGGGAAAGTTGGGCCTTGGCTTCCCTCCTGCTTGGCCAGTGGAAAATTACCAAGGAGGCAGGGCTGCCCTCGGCCACACTCAGTGGATCTTCGTGGGCCTAGGAAAACACAAAGAGAAACCCGAAAATGGAGTGAGCCATTACTTACCTGGGGCGGAGAGGAGTCTGGGAGGTGGCGGGGGTGGGGGCGGCGGGGGCAGCGGGGGAGGGGGCCGGCACTGGCAGACGTGTCGGCAGCTGTCAGTCACTTTGGAGCAGGACTTCTGGGGCTCACCATGCGTCACCTGTACACATGGGCACACGTACCCAAGAGAGAGAGAAGACCATAAGGCAACTAGAAGCTGAAACAAGCCCAGGCCACCCCGTCCCCTGCCAGGCTGGGACTTGGGATTCCTTTCCAAGACCAAGGCAGGAAGAATCAACAGAAGTCGGATTGGTTCAAAGGGGACAATGTTGTTGGCGGTTGGCCTGGCTGGTTGGAGACCAAGGTTTTCTTCCTAGCTTTGCCAGGGACCCTGGGCAAGTGACCTGGATATGAATGAGAAGTAGACAAGAACTTGAAGGTTAACTGGTAGAATTTCCCCATTGTACAAACGAGTAAACTGAGGCCCAGGCAGAAGTAGCTGCCCAAGGGTCTCACATTTGGAGAGTGAGACCCTTTGCTTCCTTTGTAATCTAAGCCCAACCGCTTCTCCTGTCTTCCTTGCTACAGCCCAAGGCCAAGCCCTGGCCTTCTCTCCAGCCCTCGCTCCTGATGGCCTTGTCATGTCTACTCTGGGGCAAGGCCCCCCTCTCTTGGGTAGAAACCTCACCCAGAGAGGCCTCTACTCCTGTGTCCCACGTGACCAAAGGGAGCAGAGCAACCTGCTTGATGCTCTCCACTCAGCATCCAGGTGGTCTTGTGGGAAGGGCACCCCTCCAAACCACCTCCATCCCCCCAGAAAGACCCAGATGCCACCCCACCCCTCGTGGGATCATGTGGCCTACAAGGTCTGCAAGGGGCGATCCCTGACAACCTCTCCGGCCCCACCTCGTCCCATGCTCTCTCCCCATCTCTCTGCCCTCATTCTCTCCTTTCAGTTCCAGGCCCCCGGCCTCTGCAATTGCTGCTCCAGTGGTGGAAATGTTCTCCCATCCCTACCCTGCTACGCCCCTGACTCAGCTTGGCGATGACCTCACAGATGTGTCTCTGACCTCTTTATCCAGCCAGATCCTTTTGTATGGGCTCTCCTGGCACCAGGTTCCCCTCTAGGGGCAGAAAGCTACATTTGGATGTTACCTGGTTCATACCTATCTTCACCATGGCACTGTGAGCTCGCTGAGGGCAGAGCAGGCCTTGTTCCTTCTCTCTCACTATCATAAATCACCACTTAAGGGAATGCCCACCATTTGATAAATTTTTGGTGAATGAATGAATGAATATGAAAAACTGGGCCACAATCCACGCCTCTTGAACCTTGGCCTGGTGTTTTTCCAGCACCAATCTCAGCTTCCTCATGTGTCAACGAGAAGGGTAGCCCGAGTGAGCTGGGCTCCACCAGCAGTTCCCAGCCCTGGCTGTACCTTGGAATCTCCCTGGTGGTTTTAAAAAATACCCATGCCTGAGCCACACCGATTAAATCAAAATTTTGCAGGTGGAGCTGGGCCTGGGGATTTTGCTTATGCTTTCCAGGTTAAACTTCTTATGCAGAGCCAGCATGGGAACTGGGTAGATGGATTAGACTGACTGCCAGTGTCCCTCACTATACAGAGTGCCATAAATCCAAGAGTCTGGTGTTTCATGCCTGTCCCGGGGAACAAGCTGGTTTAAAAGCACAAAGAGTTGCCAGTCACCCTCCACCTCCTCGACAGCCACGGTTGATTTCTCTGTCATCTCTGAGCCACTGGAAACCAGAACTCCACTTTCCCTGCAACTAGCCATGTGTTGCCTGCCTTTGAATGCTGATCCAGCCCCTCTGTCACGTGGCAGGGAGAGCCCCCCGGGGCTGGGAGGCTCCCATCGCACCTGGAAGATGTGGAGAAGTAATGTGGGTAATGTCCGCTGGGGTGGCAGCGGGAAGTGAGCTGATTTACAGCCCCGGCTTAATATCTACCAGGCTAAGAGGCTCCTGCTCATCACCTTTTAATGTTTTTAAAAGGCCATTGACTGCGTTTCAAACCCTGGAAGGCAATCTTCTCTCCCACTGGGAAGAGCATGCCGTCTGATGGTGGCCTCTGCTCAATTATTTTACAGAAATGATTAACTCCTTACATGTCAGTGGGAAATCCACCGGCTTCTAGACCGGTGCCATTGTTAGACATCCCATCGTTGGGCCTGTGCCCCTCTAGATTCTGACCTTCTGAGACCCTGGGGTTTGCTAGAAAGCTTCATTCTCCTAATAGCTGGCCTCTGAGACCACTTCTCCAATGCACTCTACCAAGTGTGTGAACTTCAAGCAATACCATTGCCAGTGTAATTATTTTCTCAATCTCCAAGGTGCAATCTATGAGAGAGAGTTCAAGAGAAGCACGTTTGTTTAACCTGGCCCGACACAATGACCTATTTTTGTGAGAGGATATGAAGGCACAGATGTATAAGGGTGTTTAATGTGATGAAGCTCTAGGCAGAAAAATCAGGGCCAAATTTCAAGGCTGCAGGAGGAAGAAGTGAAGGAGCACACTGCATTTAAAAAACTGATAGTTCTCGCCTGTAATCCCAGCACTTTGGGAGGCCAAGGCGGGCGGATCACCTGAGGTCAGGAGTTCGAGACCAGCCTGGCCAACGTGATGAAACCCTGTCTCTACAAAAAAAAAATACAAAAATTAGCCAGGGTGGTGCACGCCTGTAGTCCCATCTACTCAGGATGCTGAGGCAGAGAATGACTTGAACCTGGAGGTCAAGGCTGCAGAGAGCCAAGATCATGCCACTGCACTCCAGCCTAGGCGACAGAGCAAAACTCCAGTCTCAAAAAAGAATAAGGCCGGGCGCAGTGGCTCACGCCTGTAATCCCAGCACTTTGGGAGGCCAAGGCAGGCGGATCACGAGGTCAGGAGATCGAGACCATCCTGGCTAACAGAGTGAAACCCTGTCTTTACTAAAAATACAGAAAAATTAGCCGGGCGTGGCGGTGGGCACCTGTAGTCCCAGCTACTCGGGAGGCTGAGGCAGGAGAATGGCGTGAACACGGGAGGCGGAGCTTGCAGTGAGCTGAGATCATGCTACCGCACTCCAGCCTGGGCGACAGAGCAAGACTCCGTCTCAAAAATAAATAAATAAATAAATAAATACATACATACATACATAAATACATAAATAAAATTGATAGCTTTGGCCAGGTGCGGAGGCTGACGCCGGTAATCCCAACACTTTGGGAGACTGAGGCGGGCGGATCATTTGAGCCCAGGGGTTCAACATCAGCCTGGGCAATAGAGTGAGACCTCATCTCTACAAATTTTTTTTTTTAATTAGCTGGGCATGGTGGCACATGCCTATAGACCCAGCTACTCCAGAGGCTGAGGTGGGAGGATTGCTTGAGCCCAGGAGGTTGAGGCTGCAGTGAGCTATTACAGTGCACCACACTCCAGCCTGGGCAACAGAGCGAGACCCTGCTTCAAAACAAAACAAAACAAAAAAATCAATGGTTCTCAGTCTCTTACATAAGGGCCTCTCTGAAATGTGAGCAGGCACAATTGCTTAGCCAACTGTTCTCACAAAAGGATCATGTCTGGTCCGTCCTTATGCCTGACGGCTGAGCCCCCACTGCAGTGTCCTGATAGTTTGGTCCAGTCCAAGCCTGTGGCGTCTGAGCCTGCCTCGACTCTGGGTTACTCAGACCCCATATCCACTTGCTAGCCTCTCTCCATCCTTCAAACCTATCTCTTGAACAGCCTTCTTGGGTGTTCATGCAAGAACAGGACTGAGATTTCTCTCTCTCCTTTTTTTGAGACAGGGTTTCGCTATGTTGACCAGACTGGTCTCAAATTTCTGGCTCAAGCAGTCCTCCTTCTTGGGCAAAACCATCCTAAACCCTCCCTCACCCCAAATTAGACTCACCTGCTCAATGCTGCTGCTTTATTCTGCAAACACTTCTGTCTGGGACATTTCCATGCTATTTTGCAATGTGTGTCTGTCTACACTAAGTTGTGAGTGTCTTAGGGCGGGCAGGTAGATGAGTACTTTATTAATCCTGAACAATCATGACTTTCTGAGCCCTACTATGTGTCCATCATGGGTTCAGGCTCCCACTTCGCCCTGGGCATAACCGGGAGAGATAGGTGATATTATCCACTCTTAACAGGTGGCTTGAAGGCTCAGCGAAGCTAAATGATGTACCACAGTTGCCCAAGGCCCAGCATTCAGTTGGCACAATGCCCACCAGTGGGGAAACACAGGATCTGTCCCATTCCCCAGTGCTGGTTCCACTTGGGGGTTCTGTTGATTGGCAGTGTTGTATTTAGACCAATAGAGAGGAAGCCTCGGGTGTCTGGAGCTTGTCCCAACACCTGGCGTTTGGTTTCTATCTTGGGGAATTTCAAAAGGAGAAGGAAGTTTCCCCTGAAGTAACATGCTCTTAGCTGGACTTCGTTAAGAAAGAGCAGAGGCCCAGAAAAGTCAGTGACTTGCCTAAAGCCCACAGAACGCAGGCTGGTTTCAGTACTTCCTGGGACCACTTCTTATTCCCATTTCACAATCGTCTGCCTTCCAGGCCCTATTCTGCAGCCAGAATCCTGTAAATGCTGTAGTCCTGAGAGTGGGCTGAGGCACAGGTATGTCCTGGAGTCCCCTGGATTTGGTACCTGTAGCAGAGGTCTGAGGGACACAGTGTTCCCAGCATCAGTTCCCTCTTCTCCAACCACCATCCTACTCCTGGCCAATCAGTGTCCTACCACCATCCTACTCCTGGCCAATCAGTGTCCTACCACCGTCCTACTCCTGGCCAATCAGTGCAGTTTTGGGTCCAGCAGACGTTGCCTCCTAAATCATTCTTGAATCCATCTATTCCTCTGTTTCCTTTGCCGCCACCTGAACCAGGCCACCATCAGGTCTCCAGTGGGCAGTACCTGCCTCTCATCTAGGATTGCCAGATAAAATATAAGACACCCTATTACATCTGAATTTCAGATAAACAACAAATAATTTTAAAGTATATCCCCAATATTATATGGGAAAGATGCTAGAAAAACAATTTGTAGTTCATTTGAAATTCAAAGTTAACTGAATGTCCTGTATTTTATTTGCTAAAGCTGGCCACCCTCCTCTTACCTACCTCTTTGCCCCTGCCTTACCTCCTCCCTGCATCCATCCTTCATGCAGGAATTGGACTGAGATGTCTCTCTTTTTTTTTGAGACATGGTTTTGCTGTGTTGTCCAGGCTGGTGTCGAATTCCTGGGCTCAAGCAATCCTCCTGCCTTGGCTTCCCGAAGTGTTGGGATTACAGGTGTGAGCCACTGCAACCAGCCTGGACTGAGATTTCTAAAATACCAACCTGAGATTGTGTCATCTGTTACTTAAAATCCTTTACTTAAAATGACATCCATAGCCCTCAGGATCAAGTCCAAACTGCAGGACACTATGTTAGTGGCTTACAACAGTGGCCTTACCTGGTGCTTCTTTCCCCTGGGTCTTCCAAAGTCCCTCTCTCCTCTGGCCTTGGGCTGTTCTGTCTGCCTGGACACCTCACCCTCATTTGCATCCTAACTTCTCATCCTTCATGTCTCAGCTGAAGCACCACACCATTGAGGCTTCTATGACTCTTGCCCCGGGTCCAAGCTGTTTGCTCTTGCTGAGCTCTCTTGATGATAATTACTTGTTTAATTAGCTCTACATTGCCAAACTATCAGTGCCACGAGGGAAGAGGCCACTAAGCCCCTTGCACTTAACAAAGGGCCTGGCATACAGTAGGCGCCCAATAAATGCTGCCGAATGAATCATCAAAGCTGCAGAGACTGACCATGGAAGGGGTTCAACATCACTTGGGTCTGGGGTGGCTCCTCATCAGCACACAGAGACCCATAAGGCCAGATAAGAGGCTGTCTCTCTAACTAGTACTTTAGGAGGGCAGCCACAAAGATGATGGCTTCTGGCATCTTTCATGGAGACAGGCCAGCACCACGGTAACTTGATGAGACATACTCCTGTCACACCTAATAAATTTGCCAGCCTGTCATCCTCTTCTCTTTCAAAAAAAAAAAAAAAAAAAGAATCATCTGGAAGTGAACTTAGAAGAACCCTAAATCACAAAAGCTCAAAATCTCAATTCCAGACACATTAAAGAACAGGGTGAAAGGCTAAGGAATGCTCCCACCAACTTTCTGGCAATTTAAATATCGTCTAACTTTAATGATTAAGTTTCTTATCAACTAGCAGCAGTCAGAGGCTTAAGGCTGATTGCAAGGTAAGAACCTGGTGCTTTGGGGGACCCCAGGTCTTTTGCCTCATCGACGATCCCATTAATCATAGGACTTTGTTATGTTGGCCTTGTCCTTCCAAATGTTCTTCTGGCAAAATGCTCATGGAAGGGCAGATAGCTCTGAGTTTGCTCTCCAGATTAGAGAAACTCCTATGACATGACAGATTTTATTTTCCCCACTTAAAGAGAAACACATGGCTTCGTGCATTTCCATTTTTCCTCTTCTCTCCTACGTTCCCTTGGATTTAGCTCTTTTGCTTAAAGCCAGATCCATTCATTCCAAAACCCCTTTCCCTTGATTTCCCTGTCCCTATCATTTGTAAATTAATTTTTCCAGAGCCTCAAGCCAAGATTTTACCCATTCTACTTGTCTGGAGGGTTCCTTTTTAAATTGATTTTTATGAAAATTGATTTGTATTGAGTGAGAGCATCTGAAATACACCCGCACACACACACACCCCTGCACACACACAGACACCCCTGCATACACACACACACACACCCCTGCTTGTGTAAGTACTGCCTGGCTGAAGGACACTTAAAAAACTGAACTGCTTTCACAAAATTATTTCTTCTGGGAGGAGTGCATGGTGCTTGGGGGTCTTCTGTTTAGATCCTACTAGCTTACACAGCAGAATTCTAGTCCTGGAGACTGACAACCTCACTACGTTGCTTCCCACCCCAGGTGAAGGTGTCTTATGGAAGAGAGAAAAGTGTAAACAAATGAATCTAAAAACGAAGTGAACTCAATATCTGAGGTTCAGCTAAAAGTTGAACAAGCGAAGCTGGTCCCAAGCCACTAAAGTGTTTAGAAGTGACAAAATCATGTTTCCTGAGGAGGCACAGCTGAGTTTAATAACTGCTGTTTCACACATTAGACAAAGCTGTCAATTCCAAAAGGAAAACAATTGTGAGACGGAGGCAAGCCAGAGAAGAGAGCAGAAGATGGGGCCTGGGAGTAGGGGGTGCTGAGCAGCGTCTGAACCTGGCTATCGATGGGCAGTCACCCAGGCCATCATCCAGGCAGGACTGACTGAGCAAGCTCTCGGCAGGGCCCCATCATTTGGGGCAGCTCATGGACCTCGGTAGACTGGCAAGTGGTCTTGCCCGCATCCCTTTTTTTCCTGGTCTGTCACCCCTACTAGTACAGAGCAACCATGTGAATTGTCCCCAAACCCCAAAATGCCATCAGGAGCACATGAGGCTACAAATACCCCAGAGTGGATCCTCAATGCCCAAAACAATGAAAATGTCCTCCAGAGCCTGCAGAAAAAATGTCAAACAGACCACGCAGTGATAAACAGAGTACCTGGTCAGCCAGGCAGAAGAACGGCATTGCTATTACTCCTATCAACAATGGCAGCAACCACTACTGGTTAATTTCATCATGGACCTGGCACTGCACTAAGTAATCCTTACATGCATTTATCTCATCAAGTACTTACAATAGTACAGTCAGGAAGAAGAAACTAACTCTCAGAGAGGGTAAGTGGGTTGCCTAAAGCCTCCCAGCTGGTGAGGGACAGAGCTGAAGCTCAAATTCCAGAGCTGACATCGAAGTCCACCTTGTCACCTCTCCACTGTACCAGTGACGATGCGCATTCTGGGGGGGACTAGGGACCACCCCATTGAAACCCCTCTCTGACCCTAAGAGGTAACTCCAGTTAGTGGCTGCCTGGCCTCTGCCCTGGGATTTAAGGGACCCAGGGTGAGAGATTCAACCCTGGGCAGTCCTGACAGATGGGCCACCATGCATTATCTGTCTACATCCTCAACTCTGATACCTATAAGAAACACGGCTGCCTTCCGTGTTGAAAACCAGTTTAAGAAAGCTAATTTGAAGTTCATCAGTGGTTCTGGTGAGAAAGAAATAATATATATCCTTGGGATCATTTTTCTTTGTAAGTTTGTTTCTTTGCTGAATTTCTGCCCTAGAATGTTATCATTGGAAGGTATTCTCTGAGCCCCTTTCCATTCCAAGGCCAGCCCGGTCCTGCAGGATTTAGGCCACAATCGAAGCCTCTCTTTGGAGTTTCTTATCTTTTCAGGGGTAGGGTATAGGGGACCGTAGCAGCTTTTCTTTTCCCAAGCTCTTCCGAGAACCAATCAGTGGGGTGGCTGCAAGAGGCCAGGGTCTCAGGAGGGAAGGGACAGCTCGCCCCTTACCCAGGAGGCCCTCCCAGCCAGTGCGCAGCCGGCGCGTCTCACCTGCACGAAGCCCCAGAGCGGGTGGAGCGCGCAGTGCAGCAGCAGCGAGGACCAGCAGCAGCCACGGCGCAGCACCAAGTCCCGGAGGAGCATCTCGGCCAGCGGCGCCCGCTCCTGGGGCGAACTGTCAGGAGAGCAAGGCTAGGGTCAGGCGGACACCGCGCAGGCACTTCCGCCGCCGCGCACCAATATACCTCCCAGCCCGGGTCGGACGGGCACGCCCCGCACCCAGGGGCACCCTAGTAAACCAAGCCTGCACTTACACTCCAGCTTACACCTTCACTGACTCTTCGTCAGTCCCAGAATTCACACTCTTCTTACGCACATCCCCAGAGCCCCGCGTGTACACTTTAGCTCCGCGCACAGCTCCAGAATACTGCGTGCATACCTTGGCCCCATGGACACCTCCAGAAACAGCCAAGCACACTTACTGCGCCCCATTAACCCCCATACAACTCACTCTCACTGTGAGCACACTTCAAACCCGGCGGGCACTACTCACCTGCGCGCACAACCACAGAAACAGCCGTGCACACACACTGATCCCCGTGCACACCCACCGACTCCTGCCTGCACCCTCGCTGACCCTGCATGCACGGCCCCAAGAAATCTCACGCTGCCTGCACCCACACTGCCCAGCCGGCCTCATTGCGCACACTGCAACATAGGCACCTCCGTGCGCTGCCCCTTTGCACGCCTCCGCCCAGCCCCGATCTCCCGCTCCCGGGCGTGGGTTCCCCCACGCCTCCATCTCCGCCCGCACCCTTCCAACGCCTCACGCTACCTTGCCTGGCGGCGGCCCCAGCCGACCCTGGGCTCGGGGAAAAGAGGTCCGCGTTCCCCCCGCGGCAGCTCTGTTTCCCAGCAGCCGGACAGCCCCCATTTAAAGCCAGCCGCCTCCCCAGTCCCCCGCCCTCTAGGCGGGGCCTCCGTCCTCACCTTGGCGGCTGCGCGGGCGCCCGGGGGCTTCACATGCCGGGGAGGAGCGCCCGGCGCTGGAGCAAAAGTTTGCGCGCCGGTTGGGCCTCCCGGGCCGCTGAGCAGAGGACCAGGAGCGGCGTCCTCGCACGGGGCGCAGGGCGCGGTGGCTCCGGACTGCGCCTAGCCGCGCGCGGGGCGGGAGGGGCGGCACCCCGCTCCCAGGGCCAGGGCTGGCCGCCGAGGCGGAGGCAGAGGGCGGGGAAAGTCTCCTCCACGCCGCCTGGAGCCGGCCGCGCGAGCCCTCCCCGGGCCCGCGTTGGCTCCCCGCCTTTCCTGGTGGCGCCGCGCGGCTGCCCGGGGCACTGGGGTGCCCGAGCTCTCTACTACCCTCACGCTGGCCCGCGAGAGGCAGCGGCGGGAGGCGCCGGCAGGGAGCTCCCGCTGGGGCAGCAAAGCCGTGGGTGGAGGCGAAATAAATAATCCACGAAAAAGGAAAACAGACGTGAGCCGAGCCAGAGCCTCTCCCGCCTCCCGCCCGGGGTTGCGCTCCCCCCGCCGCCGCCGCCAGCGCCGCTGCAGTGATTCCTCGTCTCCATCTAGCGAGGCTATTGTGTATTGGGCGCTTAATTATTTATTCACCCTGGAGGCCGAGGATTCCCACTTCCATGGGGTTTTGGCCCTTGCCTGCGCTTCCCCCAAGCCTCTCCCGAGGCTGCGGAAAGGTGGCGAGGACTGACTTGAGACCCTTTTTTGCGCTCCATCCTTGAGGACTCTCCCCGCCGCACTCCCCGCAGGCTCTCCCGGGCGCCGGGGCTGAAAGGTGCAGGCCGCCCCTCTCCCGGCCATGGGCCTTGTCCTCTCCTTTGTAGTCCCAGCAGCAGAAACTCTCTTGCAACACTAGGCTGCGGCTGGGAAGGAGTTGTGACGGCCCTGGGGAGAACATTTCTACCACTGCTCTTCCTCAACCATCTGCAAACTCCTCTGTTTGAGGCAAGATTATCAACAAGTCGGTTCTTCGGGAGGTAGCCTGGTTGCATCTCTTTCAGACAAGCTGTGCCTAGCAGCATCACAGGCATGGCGCGGCCTCTCTGCTCTTGTGGTGGAAGCACTTTGCAAGCGCTTTGACTGATGGGGGCGCCTTCCAGAAGGCCCTCAAGGCCTGGACAATCCTATTTTTAGGTTGGATGAGAGAACCAGGGGCTTAAGACACAGAGCTGAGGGTCAGATACTACAGTGCATGCATGGAAGAAACATTTACTGAGCACCTTTTCCCGGTATTTGGACACCCTTAAGCCACTCATGTAAACACACACTATAAACGCTGGTTTGCAGAGTATAAACTACCTTGCAAGCCAGCTTTCAGAACAACGTCTTAGCGGCCTCCTTCATGCCAGAGCGCCGCCCCGAGGCTGCAGATTGCACCTCAACCAGCAAGATGCAGGGACAAATGTGAATGAGACCTTGTTCCTTCCCCCCTAAGAATTCAGGGGCCTGTCAGGGAGATGGATAAAACCAACCATTCCACTGTGCACTGGCATGTCACACACAGCTGCCCCGAGAAAGGGGAAGACAGGAATGGAGGGCGGGTTGAGTAAAGGCTCCCAGGAGAGGGTGACTTCCTGGGAGTAGGGGAACATCTCAAGCATTGGTAACTCTTTGTGCAAAGAAATGGAGACATTTATTCAATCCTTCATTCCTTCATTCCATATGTAGCCTCCATGGGCACCTGCTGGGGGCCAGACAGAACTCTGGATGCTGGGTAGAAAAGGGAACAAGAGGATATCTCACTGGGGGTGGGATAGGATGGAGGGAGGATGGCAAGAAGATGAAGGGGTAGGGACTTCCTAGGTGACTCATCTACAGTTTGGAGAAATGGAGCAGCTATTGGTCAGCTGAGGTCAAAATAACACTGGATATTTTAATGCCTGTCCGGCTAAAACAAGTCGTGGTATTTTGCTCAGCACAATCTTTACATTTGACAACAGCTCCTGATGTTTACACATGGAGCTCATTGCCACTTACAAATGTTATTTACACCGCATTTTAATTCAGGTCTCACAACTCTTTGATGTAAGTGTAATTGCCCTGTGTGAACAGTTCAGAGACCTTTGTGCCTGAGCCAGAATCACACAGCGGCTCACTGGGGGTTCAGAAATACTAACCCCCAACTAGAGGCTCACGACGTTGGGAGAACTTAGGTAAGTTTTGTGCATTGGAAAACCTGCATTGTCTAATCTGGTCTTCAATATTGCTGTAGTGGACCTAATCTATGCACCTCTCGAGGGTCACCTGGTGTAGATTGCCCGATTCTGTCACTGTTCAGTGTGCCACTTGTAGCCTGCACGGACCTAGGGGGACTGAACAAAGCGGGGCGAACGTGGGAATAAAAGACAAGAGATAAAAGAGTGTATTTGGAAGAAGGGGTCAGGGGGCGCCTTGCCTCTACTGGACAAGGGCCCTGAGTTTTACACAGCTCTCCATATTTATTAGGCAAAAGAGATAGTGAGAAAGGGGAGGGGGTGTGATTGTCCAGTAATTGTCAATTGGTTCACAGCAGGCTTGTGAGGCTGCATCCTTTGAACAATAGGTGCTAGATTTCCCAATAGATAACTTCGAGGAGCCCGGCACCAAGGAGTGATGTCCCTCAGCAAACCTTTTGGTGGCAGGGCCTTGTGAGTTTGCCCTCATCCTGCATTCATGATAAACAGTTTGCTGTTTGATCATATAGCCTCCAGCAGAATGATGAGTTGGTTACGTCCCATGGGCCTTCAGCTCCCTGCAACCTGGCCCCACATCCTGCTGACGCCCCTGTGACCTCCCTTAGGGTGAAGACCAGGCTCTGTCACAGGCCTCTTATGCCATGAGCGGCCTAGAGAGAACATGGCTCTTCTCACCCTTTTCAATCAGTTGGTAACCCACACCACGGCCACATGAGGTCTGCCTACAGGGGCCAGATACATCTACTCAGAAATACAGGGGAGTTAAAGCTTGGGACACATTTTGACCAGTGAAGGACAAGAGGTGGAAGGGACCCAGCATATGGAGTGCAGTGGTTCCATTTGGCCTGTCGGCAGATGTCCAGCAGGTGCAACTGAGCAACTGGCTGTTTTTACTTCTGAGGATATGACCAGCTCAATAATGTACAACCTGGTGGCACACATCTATAGTCCTAGCTACTTGGGAGACTGAGGCAGGAGGATCCCTTGAGCCCAGGAGTTCAAGAACAGCCTGGGCAACATCACAAGACCCTATCTCACAAAAATGCACAACTTTCTATTAGCTTCCCTCCTGCCCTGCTTCACTTTTTGCCTTGTGTCTGTTGCCCTAGGATTTTATCCCTCAATAAAGTATTAGCAAGCAGCATTATTGCTTAATACTCTGTCTCCTAAGGAACAGGGACAGTTGTTCCTGTTCTGGAGGACAGCAACTGTGGTAGCAACTGAATGGAGGGACAGTTGCTACCACAAATTGTCCTAAAAAGTAGACCTTTAGGATGGAATGTTGGATTTGTCTTCTATCTACAATAGGGTCTCCACTGCTGGGCCATAGCTGGCATACAGTGATATTACAATTTCTAAAACTTCACCTGTGGCTAATTGGAATGAGATGCAGGTAGAAAATAAGGCTTTATGAGATCAAATGGCCATTGCATTTGGGGTTAAGTGGCTTTTTCTGATGGTATTGGAGGTATTGCAAGGAGAAAATGATAGACTCAGGGAAGCTATCTACCAGCGTAAGGCATGCTTTGTAATGAAAACTTTAAGGACGCTCCTGACATCTACAAGACATATTGCACTGAAAATTAAGCTTGGGGGCTCATTATAAGGGTGGCAGAGCTGAAAAGGAGACTAAATGTGCAGCCACATAGATGTCTTATGTCCAAGTCAGAGCTCTAATAAAGAAAGGATTGGAGCTGGTGACCTGGAATGGAAACTTTCGGGTAAACAAACCTGAAAATCTGGACCCCAATCTCCTTGAATCCTCTGAAAGGTAGAAGCAAGAAGAACAGAACAGCTCTTCTTGGCCTGGGGATGACAATGACCTCATTGAAGCAGGAAACTTGCAAGATAGTACTTGCTTTAATGACAACAGCCTACAGTAAATACGCGAGATGCCAGAACATTTTTTTGGCACAATAAGAAGAAAAGGACCAGAAGGCTCAGAGGTGTGAATATTAGACTCATAAGACCTGAGAATCCACCACTGGCCTATGTTCCCTGGGATGGCCCAGAGAATCTTCCCTTCATTGAAACAGAAAAAAGAAGTCCTAATGAGCCCATCAGCACCTTTGAGAAATTCAGTGGTGGCTGTCTTCTGAAGCCTGGGTTCAATGATGGGAGATGGTGGGGAAATGGACTCTCTTGGATCAGTGGCAATCAATGGAATGGCAAAGGCCAGGTGGCATAATGTCATGCCGGACAAAGTGGGCATAATTACCATAATGGGCAGCAAGGCCAGAGTGGCAACCAGGGTGCCTGGAGCCATAGGAATCTATGTTTTTTGTGTTTTTTTTTTTCTTTAGAGATGGAGTCTCGCTCTTTCGCCCAGGCGGGACTGCAGTGGTGCTATCTTGGCTCACTGCAAGCTCCGCTTCCCGGGTTCACGCCATTCTCCTGCCTCAGCCTCTCGAGTAGCTGGGATTACAGGTGCCCACCACCGCGCCCGGCTAATTTTTTGTATTTTTAGTACAGACGGGGTTTCACCGTGTTAACCAAGATGGTCTCAATCTCCTGACCTCGTGATCCGCCTACCTCGGCCTCCCAAAGTGCTGGGATTACCACCGCACCCAGCCAGGAATCTATGTTAATGACTGACAGATCATGATGTAATTGGGGGGGCGGGGAGAGAAATGGGGAGCTAACAGGGGTGTTGCTTGACTTGTATAAATATATAAACTTTTAAAATAAAGAGTGTAAGAGCAGAAAGATGACACCTACTGCAATGGAAATTATCTAAGGTTGTTCATAGTCCAGAGCCTATGATTAAAGGGGAGGCTGGATTTCTGAGGCATTAGGTCGGCCATGGACAGTGGCAACCCAGCATGTGATAGAAGTGGTATGTATAGGACGAGGCTCGAGCAGGTCTAGAAGGAACAGGAAAATTGCCTAAACAGCTGGTCCAGATTCTCATGTCACCCACCTCTGTTGAAGCTCTTCCTCAATATATATGTTTAGCCCCAAATGGGAGTTCCATATGATAGTCTGATGGAGGAGGAAAGCACCAGGGCCTCTTTTACACCCAGGTCAACGTGGTGTATTGGTGCTAGTTGGGAATAGATGACTGCTGTGTTACCTCCCATTCAAGGGTAGGAGAGGTGGCCCAAAGTGCAGACATACACTCTCCTGTGCGGGGTAAACGACTGGGCTAATCATTTAGGGACATGGAAAGAACAAAAATGAAAAGCCAGGGGCATGGAGGTCAAGTAAACAGTAAATGATGAATTCATGGGAGTGAGCACAAAGAGTATGGGGCTTTCTGCCTCGTGCTTGTCTCTCCAGAGAGCATCTGTTGCCAAGGAGGCTCCTACAGTCAGCCGGACGGGATGACCCAGCCCCTCTTTGGCCATCCTAGGGCTTCCCTGAGTGATGAGATGGTCTACTGAAGGCTCAGCTGTGACATCAGCTTAGAGACAAGAGCTGGTGGGGTTGGGGCACTGCTCTCCTGGATATAGTGTGAGTCAATAGATGTGTTTCTGATAGTTAGAATATACAAATCTAGGAACCAAGGAGTGGAAGTAGGATTGGCTCCTCTGTCCGACTGCCAGCAAGAAACCTGCAGAATCTGTGCTTCTTGTTCCTGCAAACTTAGACTTAGAAGAGTCAGAGGCCCTGGCTTATAGAGAGTAAAACTTCCACTAGTGAACACAGTAAGGGTTCTACTAAACTGGAAGCTGTGACTGTGACCTGGGTGCCTTGTGCTCCTCTTGCCAGCGGAGCAGCAGAGAAAGGAGGATTTGCTATACTGATGCACGATAGTACTTCATTACCATGAGGAGCAAGGGCTGGTGTTACATAGTGGATGCAGGGAAGAGTATGTCTTGTGCTCTGGATTGAAGTGTTTCCCCCAAAATGCATCATTGAAGTCCTACCCCCAACGTTAGGGGTTATTTAGAGATATTAGATATGTTTAGAGAGGGAGTCTTTAGGGGGTATTAAGGTTAAATGAGGTCATAAGCATGGTGCCCTATCCACTAGGATTGTTGTCCCTCTAAGAAGAGGAAGAGAGACCAGAGCTCTCTCCCTCTCTCTGGGTACCCAGAGGAAAAGCCATGTGAGGACAAAGCGGCTGTCCACAAGCCAGCAGGAGAATCCTTACCAGAAACTGGCCCTGCTGAACCTTGATCTAGAACGCTCAGCCTCCAGAACTGTGAGAAAATTGATTTCTGTTGGTTAAGCCACCCAGCTTGGGGTGTTTTGTTACAGCAGCCTGAGCTGACAAATACATCTGGTCGTCTGGGATTTGTGGGAGATTCTCTGCTCAGAGATAGCCGTGAACAAGCAATTACAACATCCGAAGACCCTCCAGGTGAGAACCTCAGACCCACTGAAGAGCTGGCCCTAGAAATCTAGAATGGGGCTGGGCATGGTGGCTCACACCTGTAATCCCAGCACTTTGGGAGGCCAAGGTGGGTGGATCACCTGAGGACAGGAGTTCGAGACCAGCCTGACCAACATGGAGAAACACTGTCTCTACTAAAAATACAAAATTAGCCGGGCGTGGTGGCACATGCCTGTAATCCCAGCTACTTGGGAGGATGAGGCAGTAGAATTGCTTGAACCCAGGAAGCGGAGGTTGCAGTGAGCCAAGATCATGCCATTGCCCTCCACCCTGGGCAACAAGAGCAAAACTCCGTCTCAAAAAAAAAAAAAAAAAAAGAAAAGAAAAGAAAAGAAAAAAAAAAGAAAGAAAGGAAGGTCAGAGTGGATAGAAGATGATGAGTGTCAATTATGGCCCTAGGACCAGCCACAGCAGTGGGACTCTAGCTTCCTTTGCTAATCTTTTTATGCCGTTTTAGGAAGTTGCAATTGATCACTTCAAAAATTGGACTTGCACCTTCACTCTCAAACTGATGGCATTTTGTTCTCAAGTTAGATCCAAATATCACAGGAGAATGGGGTGGGGGACTGTGAAAAGCACAAGGAGTGGACTGTACTGGGCCCCATCCATACATTTCCTGGGTTTACTTGGCCTTACCTGCTTCCCCTTCTGCTCAATGGAGAGGGCAGCCAGTGCCACCACTGTCCCATCTCCTAACGCCACTGTCTTTTGCAGCCTCCCCCAGGTAAGAGCTGAGCTTCAGCCCGGCCTCCATCATGTACACCATGAAAGGGGCCATGGCAGCAGCGGGGGCCAGGCCCAGATGACTGGAGTCATGGAGAACCTGCAGAATCTGTGCTTATCCCTGCAACCTCAGATTTAGAACAGTCAGAGGTCCTGGCTTGTAGACAGTACAACTCCCACTAATGAACACAGTAAGGATTCCACTCTACTGGAAGCTATGACTCTGACCCGAGCATCACAGAATCCTGACCTAGGACCTACCACCAACTGTATACTCAGAGGATTGAGTATACTCCCCACACCATGGGGAGGGGGTCTGGCTTGCCCAGTAGTTGTCAGTGGGGAGCAAGGACCATGACCTGAAAGTGGAGGAGGGTGTTAACTTCCTGTGGGATGAACTTTGATCAATGACAGGATCTGAAAAGATCTGGTGGATTATTTATCTCCCTTTCTCCATCCATATGGCTTACTGACATATGTCTTGTGTGACCGAACAACTGGCTGTGTTCCCTGGCAAAACTGTGGCCACTTCAGCACCGCACATGATGTGCTTTCCTTCCTTCCCTGCCTTCTTTCCTAATTTCCCCTGCTCTTTCTAACCTGGGATTGCACCCCTAAAATGTGCTGCTACATGAGCTTTGCTTCAGGCCCCCTTTTCTAGGGAACCCAGGCTTAGACAGGTTCTTAGAGGTTTCCTGGGCTCCAGAGGCTATGACCACATGCATCAGATGAAGTGGAACACCATGGCAACCAGGATATTTTATGCCCGAAACATCTGTATAACTGTGGATAATTGAAAGGGGAAGCTCCTTAAGAATCCAGATGGTTTTCCTTGGCCTCCACTTTTCCGTGAATACAGGTGGGTTCTAGGTGGGGAGAGTTTCATGCTGGTCGGGAGCATGGACTCTTGAGTCATAGTGCTTGGTTCTCACTAACTACACAATCTTCGGGGAATTTCCTAAACTTTGAGGCCTGACTCTTTTCCCCTTTCTATTAGGGATTAGAATAGTATTTATTAGATATAATTAGATCACAGAGTTCCTGGAAGGATTAGCTGAGATATTTCATATAAACACTTAGCCTGGCACAATATAACTGCTCACAGAAAAAAAAAAAGTCTATCTCTAAATATTTTGAAGGATAGAGGGGCAAAGATGCCTCTCTTTTACATGAGTACTAATTGGCTTCAAGGATCTTGATGAGCAAAACACAAAGAAAGTGACTAGTAAAGGAACACTTATTATTAAACCTTAAAGTTATGAAGGCTGATTTTTTTAAATGCTGCAAATAAACAGAGTTATTTTAAAAGACATTGGTATTATCCAATTTGTTCATTTCCTGAACTTGAATTAAAGTTACTTGTCAGTGCGCGTTTTGTAGGTCAGCTGTGAATCTGTCCAGACAGGATATCTTCCTTATTGACCAGGTGTGGGGGAGGGGGAACCCCAAGTCTCTTCTAGGATTCATCCAAGACGTCACTTGTCCTTCTGAGGTTTGTCCCTCACCTCCGTCAGTATTCTAAGAGCTGAGCAGGATTCATTACCTGGGGTTGTGTGGACAGATCTGCCTTGCCCCAAACTGTGAGTTAGTTCTTTCCCCAAGAATACTTTGGTCCAAATCTCTGAAGCTAGATATTTGGACAGGGAGGTGGGGGGCAGGGGAGTCAGAAAGAAGCCCAGATTTTTAACTTCCCTTTAAAACCATCCGTGTCTCCTCTGTCTTGCCATCCTTCCCGAAACCCTAAAAAAAGGACCAACATTTTGAAAAAACTTATCAAGTCTGGGCTTGCTTCGTGGCCACAGCCTGGTCGTTGCCATTTTCCTACGTCAAAAGAGAATCCAGATAGATCCGATCCAAGAGAGCATTTGGTGGAACTGCTTGGCTAGCCTCTCCTTTGGTCAGAACAGTCAAGTCCAAATGCCAGCCCAGCCGGGAGAGCCAGCTCCGTCTCCTCGATTCCGCCGAGCACCAACACACGCTGGGTCACGCAGAAGCTGTGGGAGGAAGGAGATGGGTCCAGCTCCCCAAGACCTCACCTTCTAATGGAGGAAGGAGAAACAGACCTAACCCAGAAAATGCCAATAGGGCCATTTCTCTTTCTTGGTGAAACCTCCCAGAAGTCCCAGCCTGGGCAACATGGCGAGACCCCGTCTCTACAAAAAATAAAAATAAAAAAATTAGCCAGGTGCAGTGATGTGTGCTTGGGAGGCAAAGGCAGGAGGATAGCTTGAGCCTGGGAGTTCAAGGCTGCAGTGAGCTACAGTCATGCCTGTACTCCAGCCTGGGTGACAGAATGAGACCCTGTTTCAAAAAAATTAAATTTAATTAAAAAAAAATCTTCCTGGACGACTCCCTAACACAGCACAGGAGCACCCAACCCTGGCACTCCAACCATTGCCCCGTCTACCTTGACCTGCAGTTCCCCGCTGGCACCCTACTGTTTCCCACCTCCCTGCCCTTGCTCCCCTCCCTAGATCCCCTTCCCCTCTTGTCATCTTGGCTAATTGCCACACAGCCATCCCAGACTCCCTTCTCTGGATCCTCCCCACCCCTCCATCATGGCACCTTATCACACTAGACTCTGTTATGACACCATAACATATTGTTGGCAGGGAGGTGGCAGGCTGTGGTGTTAGTAGAAAGAACTCTGATTTAGATGTCACTTGAATCTGGGTCCAATCTGGGACGTTCCCTTAACCTCTCTGAGACTCAGTGTCCTTGACTGTAAAATGAGGAGGCTGATATGTGCCTTGCTGGGCTGTAGTGGGAAGTATTAGAAGTATGTCAAACTTTGAGCCCAGCAGGTTGGGGGAAATCACGTCCACTTTATCTAATTGCACTTCTGTCTCCTTTCCTAACTGTGAGAGCACTGGGGTAGGGGCTTTTTAAATTTCTCTTTGAGTTCAGACATCTGGCAGCACCCAACGTGTAATAGGAGCTCCGTAAAGAATTGTGAGCAACTGCTGAAGTGTTATTAAATGAATAAGGCCAGTGCTACCGGACCTCTAGGGAAGGGTCCCCCTCACCTCTCCAACCCCACCTGCTCCATATCTGCTATTACTCCTCCTCTAGACTCCTTGCTATTTCTGAAACCCTCAAGCCTGAGTCTGCCTTGGGACCTCAGCCTGGGTGTTCCCTCCTCCTTGAATGCTTTTCCCCACAGATCAGCAGGGCCCTCTCCCTCCCTCTTTCAAGACTTGGCTCACAGGTCACTTTTTCAACAAGATCCACCCTGACCATTCTATTTAAAATCTCAGCCCCCACCACTGGCCCCATTCTCCTTACTTTATTTTATTTTTCTCTCTAGTACTTATTGCTTCCCAATTACATACTTAATTTTACTCATTTCCTTTGGTTATTATGAGTCTGCCCTCACTAGAATGTAAGCTCCATGAGGGCAGGGGCTTCAGGCCCCTTTGTTCATTGCCTGCAGAGGACGCTTTGCATTCCATGGCATATGCCCTCCCCCCACCTCGGTTTTGGTGGCAGCCATGATGGGCAGTTCCTCTGGAGTCCCCCACCCTAACCTCCTGCCGTGCCTTCTCTGCTCTTCTGCCTGAGAGCTGAGGAAACCCGCTTAGCAGGCGAAAGCAGAAATGTAGGAGGCGACACCTCCAGAGTAGTCTGAACAATAGGGCAGTATTGAGGGGCAGTTCTACGCCTCACTCTACACAGTGATTTGGGGGTCCCCCAAAGGGGACTGAGGTCCCATCACCCACAGCAGTAACTGGCTCCTTAACGCAAACTGACCTGGCCTCCCCTGCCCTGGCTTCTTCTCCCTTCTTCCTGCTTCTGGGCTCACCTCCCAAACAAATCACCTACACCAAAGTCCTTGTCTCATGCTCTGCTATTGGGAGAACCCAAACAAAAAGGCCAACCACCATACTCCAGGAGCCTAGGGCAGCGCCTGACCTACGGTGACCGCCTGGTACATATTTGTTGAAGGAATGAATGGAAATAGGGTAATTTACAAAGTTCTACATTTTGTGTCTTGCCTTGTGATTACATGTTTGAGTGGCTTTTTCATCACAGGGAGACCTTGCTGAACTCTGTGTCTTTTTGTTTACAATAGGATTTTCACGGAATGGCCTCTGCCTGGAAACCTGTCTGGCTCTGAGCTTTGTAGATATTTCAGGGAATGAGGGTTTTGCCATTTACTTTAGTCAGAAATGTCAGAAGCTTCCAGGAGCTTGAAGATCTGCTGCTCACACCAGCACTGAGCAGCCCAGCACACAGATTTTCTTTGTAACTTTTCCAGGAGCACGCCTTTCTCAGCGCCTGATGTAGAAGGATTCACTTAGCCGGACAGTCCCTGATTTATGGTTGCAATAACTTTGCTTATTTAGGCACTCAACAAACATGGAGAGAATGCAGATTCTGTGCCAGGCTGTGGGTACTGGGGATCAGAATTGCCTGAAACAGGGGCCCTGCCCATTCTTCACTAGCTCCAGTCCAGTGGGGAAGACAGAGAAGGAAAGAGCTGCTTATAATATGTATGGTGTGGGACAGAAGTGAGCACAGGCAGCAAGCACACCGGAAGAGCCCGATGCTTTCAGTGTCCTGGTGCGATTGTACTTCCTGCTTGAAGTTGACCAAACTTCAAGCAGGAGTAGGGAGGCTGATGTTGACCAAAGTTCAGCAGGAGTAGGGAGGCTGATGATTTAACACATTTTGCAGTTGTCACCTCCTGCCTTTGCATGTGCAGTTTCCTCTGTCTGGAAGACTTTGCCATCTGCCTTCTTGGCAAAGTCCTAGTCATCCTTCAAATCCAGCTCACATCACTCTGCCCAGGAAGCACCCCCTCCCCTAGCCCAACCCCACACCAAGCCAACCCCATCTCCTCTGCTCTGTGAGCAGTCTGTGTCTAGGCACTCGTACAGCTGCCTTTTTCAGCCTCCTGTGTGATTATGAAATCAGTGAGGAATTGGGAGGCTGATGATCTAAGAGAAAAATATGTTGACTCTGGCGTCAAACAGAGCTGGGTCTGAGTTACTCCTAGTACTGTTATTTCCTGGCTGTGTTCTTGGACACACCTGGAGGACAGAGCAGGAACATACAAGAGATGAGGCTGCAGGAGGGGAAGACTCCACCATAGTGGGCCTTGTGAGCCATCCTCAGAAGACATTTGGAATGATTCTGGGGGCAGAGGAGAGGCACCGAGCAGGTTGAAGCAAGAGAGTGGCATTGAGTATTTGTGTAAAGACCATGCTCGCAGTGTTGGGGAGGAGGGGTAGGGTGAAGCGGGTGTGATAGATAGAAGGCAGATGCGCTGAGTGCTGGCTGAGAGACTGGACTTGGAGTCACATGGTCTAGGTTTGAATGACAGCTTCTGTCTAGGCATATGATCTTGGGCAATCCACTTAAATCCCCTGGACCTCAGTTTCTCCATTTGTAAGATGGGAATAATAATGTTACTTGCTTTGCCTAGGAAGATCACAAGAGAACATAAATAGGAATGGGTTTTGTAAACTTTAAAATACCATGTAAATACCAGACATGATCCATAATGCCTAGAGGCTTAAACATGGTAGAAGTTTATTTCTCTCTCCGGTAAAAGGAAGTCTGGGGCTGGTGGGGTGCTTCATAGAACAGGGGTCAGGCTTTTTCTAGCTTGTCGATCTGCCATCCTCACCACATAGGGGTCTTTATACCTCATGGTCCAACATAGCTGCTCAAACTCCAGCCATCATATCCTCATGCCAGCTGGCAGAAAAAAGGAACAGAGAAAGGAAGGTCGATTCCTTCCTTTAAGAGCACTTTCTGCAAGTCTGAAATGACACTTTTGCTCACATCCTATTGGCCTGTGCACAGTTACACGACGACACCAAGCTACAAGGGAGGCTGTGAAACACATTTCCTATTCAGGGCAACCATGTGTCCAGCTTAAAATCAGAGGTCCCATTCCTAATGAATTACAGAGATGGATGCTGGGGACAACCAGACACCTAGCAATTTCTGTTGCATCTTTTAATGATTTGCACTGTGGAGCTTCAGTCATACTCCAAACAGAGACACTTGCCTCCTTACGGGGAGTTTTAAAAGGCCCATCCTGTTGACAAAATCATGATGAGCAAAGACAGAGAGCAGCCTAGTGGAGCTTAGGTCAAAGAGGCAGGGGGCTGAGGGCCCCACAGCAGCAGCTGGCCATGGTGGATCACTGGGAGAGAAGCAAAGGCTTTATACCAGCCTTCTGATGAGGACACTGAGCTCTGAGAGACAGGGGAAGAAACCCCTAATCAAGAAGCAGCCATCCCATGCAGACGGTGTGGGACCAGAAGACTCAGGACACACAAGGATGTCTCCCTGGAAGACCAGAGCCTTTCTCTCAGCCTCTCTGCAGATCCTTTGTGGATGGAACAGAAGGCTGGGACCAGACACCCCTAGACCTCCCCTGAACCCATGGTCCGTACCTGAGCATAGAGAATGTTTTTAAAGAGCCCCAGAGTAAATAATTCCATCTATGTATGTTTATTTCCAGGTTCTTAGAATGCATAGGTCCTACCAGGAGATAGAATTAAGATGCTGATACCTAGAGTAAGTAAATCAGCTGATCATAATGACTAATATTTATTGGCTGTTTACTAAGCGCCACGCTCTGTTCTAAAGATATAACACTATTAACTCCTTAAATCTTCATGGCAACCTTAGAAGGAAACTGTGATGATTGCCACCATTTTATAGATGAGGAAACAGGCCAAGGGAGGTGAGGCGGCGTGGCAGGCCCCGTGTTTGCCCCCTTGCTGCATCCACCCTTTGCCATGTGACTTGGCACTGCCCCTTCCTGTGCCTCGATTCTGGGCCCCTGGGCCCTGTGTTGGACCAATGGCATGTTGGTAGGTGTGATGCACACAGAGCTGGAGAGTGCTTGGGAGCTGGGTTTGCTTGTTTTTGCTTCTCTGTTCACGGCCATGTGAAGAATGTGCCCCAGCCAGCCTGCCAGAGGTGAAAGACACATAGAACGGGGTCGAGTTGCTCAGGTCATCCCAGCTGAGGCCACCCTAGCTCGGCCATGCACCAGCAGAACCTCAGACCTGTGGGCGAACCCAGCCAAGATCAGCAAAGCTGCTGAACCCACCCGCAACACCCTGCAGGTGCATGAGCAAGCACACCTGGACCAACAGAGCCTGCCTAGACCAAAGGGATCCCACCGACTTGTGAGCTAAGTAAATACGTCTCTTCATACACCACTGCAGTTTTGCAGCATGGTTGAAGCAGTAGATCACAGATGCAAGAGATGACATAACCTTCCAGCTAATCGTTGGTGTTCCATGATCTCAACCCAGGCAGTCTGACTGCAGAACCCACACTGTTAGACACTATTCTATGTTAGGAGTTGGCGACCTATGACCTGCAGGCCAAATCTAGCTTACCACCAGTTTTTATAGCCCATATCTAAGAAGGGTTATGACAGATGAATATTCTTTTGTTTGATGATGGAGAACATTATCTTTAAACCACAATTAGGCAAAATGCTATCCCATAAAAAAGAATTCCATTTTTCTCATTAGTAGACCTATATAATAAAATATTGTACTTAGTTATTATGTTTTAAATTTCATCAATAATAATTTATGGAAATTTGTTCTGTCTTGTTATGTAAGTGTCTGCATAATATCCTTGATTCTGCCTCTTGGCCTGCACAGCCTAAAATACTTACTATCTGGTCCTCTGCAGAACAAGTATGCTGACTCCTGCTCTTTTTGATGGGATATTTCATCTTTGAATTTTGTTCTCAAGCCAAGAAATGGAAGGAATCAGACTGTTAAGAGCTGGAAAGGCCCTCGGAGGTCTTCTAAACCAAACTCAGAAGCAGAATTTGACCCCAGACCATTGGTCCCTTGGCCTCCAGCTCTTCTGTTGCTCTCTAGAGAGTCTGATAACAGCTGGATCTGTCTAAAGGCCTCCACATCTTCAACTGGAGGGTTCTTGGATCCAAAGGTCTCCTCCCCTAGTCTCCCTTCCAAGAGCTCTCACTCATGTGAGCGTGGATGATTCACCATGTCTTACTCCAGCTCTGCCCCAAGCCATCTCACATGAATCTGTGCCGTGTGCCTCTGTGATAATTAAAAAATCTGAGCGTTTAAGACGATTTGTATTGGAGACGATGGAGAAATTCTCTCCTGAAGAGTTTCACAATCTGGCCTCATTAGAAAGGAGAAATGGAATGGGAGAATTAAAGAGAAAACTCATCTCTTCCCTGAGTGTGTTAATGAGCTGAGCCACAGGAGGCCATGTGTAAGTCGGGCTGCAGGCCGCTGTAAATTAAATTTATTACGTGCCAAGGGATTCTAATAAACATTACTTAAAAATAGCAATAGACAGTCATTTGTATTATGTCATGTGACCTGGTTATGGCGACACTTTTGTGCCTCTGCTATTAATCAGAGTTAGTTTGAGAGGCCGTCGGTAAATTCTTCTAGAGCTACTGGCACCTTCCACTTAATTAAGATTGCTCTGGGCCGGGCGCGGTGGCTCATGCCTGTAATCCCAGCACTTTGGGAGGCCGAGGCGGGCGGATCACGAGGTCAGGAGATCGAGACCATCCCGGCTAAAACGGTGAAACCCCGTCTCTACTAAAAATACAAAAAAAATTAGCCGGGCGTAGTGGCGGGCGCCTGTAGTCCCAGCTACTTGGGAGGCTGAGGCAGGAGAATGGCGTGAACCCGGGAGGCGGAGCTTGCAGTGAGCCGAGATCCCGCCACTGCACTCCAGCCTGGGCGACAGAGCGAGACTCCGTCTCAAAAAAAAAAAAAAAGATTGCTCTGGAAAAAAGCAGGGTGAGTCAAAAATAGTCATAGTGTATATCATTGCACCCTAGAGCCCCTCCTTGCTCATTAAGTGATGTTTATTAGACTTTCCAAGGGGGAAAAACCTAAAAGAAAAGTGTCACTTTGTTTAATAAAATCTCAGACCCTGGAAGGTGAGCATTGGAGGGCAATTTCTTAACGGGGAAGTTATCTCTGAGCGCCTTCTGGGAGAAAGTGGCGTTAATCACTGCTGGCCCCACTCCAGCCTCACGGGGGCGCTGCTTGCTCCATACGCCTGTGGCCCCAGGATGGACTAAGGTGCTTTCTCTTAGACCCTGTTAACATAGAATGGAATCTCGTTTACAGTGCTCAGAATTAGCTTTGGCAACTACCACATCTGAGCGTGTCATTCCCTCATTTAAACTCTCCTGGTTTGTTGCAGTCTGTGATCTAACCCCTGCCCGCTCTTACAGCTGTGTTCCCACTCCCCAACTGTCCACATGCACCCCTGACCCACCATAGAAGGAGATGCATTCTTCTTGGTGAGACCTTGGGATTTGGAATCAGACCTAAGTTTGAATCTTCGTCCTGTCATTTGTTAGCTGGGCAACCACAGGCAAATAATTGAACCTCTCACCTCCATTTTTTTATCTGCAGAATGGGGTTAGTTATCTCTGCCCCAAAATGTTGCTATGAGGATTATATGAAATGATCCATGTGAGGTCTGGGCACTTGGAAAAATTCTTCAGAAATGTTATTTATTTTTATTTTTTAGAGACAGGGTCTCACTATGTTGCCTAGGCTGCTCTGGAACTCTTGGGCCCAAGGGATCCTCCTGTCTTGGCCTCCCAAAGTACTGGGATCACAGGCATGGACCACTGCACCTGGCCTAGAAATGTTAAAAAAAGCAAAAAATCACAAACAAACAAACAAAGAAACACCAAATCCAGAAAGTTAGCTGGACATGGTGGTGTGCACTTGTAATCTCAACTACTCGGGAGGCCGAGATGGGAAGATCAGGGCTGCAGTGAGCCTGGATTGTGCCACTGCACTCCAGCCTGGGAAACAGTGAAACCCTGTCTCCACAAAAAAAAAAAAAAGAAAAAAAAAAGGAAAAAGAAAACAACAACAAAAAGCTGTAGCAGTAGTGCCTTAGCAACATTGTTTCATTTTATTTCTTTCAAGCACTTCCCTTGGACAAAACAACCTTACCCCTTATTTCCTCTCATTAATGAGTTTTCCTCCTTTGCATCTTTCAGCCCAAGCATCAATTTTCTGAGAAGACTTCCTGGACCCCTGTCTCATTTAGAGTCCCCTCTTCTGGGCTCCCGTCCTGTTCCATCCTGGGACACCATGCTCTTGCCCTCATCAATGCTCCCTAATTGCCGATGCCTTTGTCTGGGACTGCCAGGCAGAGGCTCAAGGTTTTTGAGGGCTGAGATCATGTCTGGTTTACCTTTGCTTCCCAGTGTCTGTTGCATATGAAGCGCTCAAAGTGTCTATTGAATAAAAGAAACAGCAGAGCATGGCATGAATCTAGAAAATGAGGCCTACGAGCAAGGTGGCTGAAGCTCACCGTCTTAGTTTGGGTCCCCCTGAAAGTAGAGCCTGAGGCAAGACACTGGGTGAAGGGAGTTTATTCTGAAGGTGAGAGAACAGGGAGAGAGACAGGCAAGGAGAAAAAAAGCAAGAACGAGTGCTTTCTTGAGCTGGCTATTGCTGTGGGCAGCTGGGCTTCAGTTACTCTGGGTGCCCCCAAGGAACTCTGGGAGGGGAGCCTAAGGCATGGATTCGCTGACTGCCATGCCGTTGCTAGGGGTTGTTGACCCCTCTGCACTCTGGGCTGCCCTACATTTGGGCCAAGCCTGCAGCAGGCAGGGAAGCCAAGATGTGGCTGGTCCTGGAGGTGGGACTCTGCCCGCAGGCTTGGGAGCTGTCTGCTATAGCTGCAGCTGACCTCAGAGGTGGCTGAGGGGATGTCAGGCAGACCCTAAAAGACCCAATGACATTTACTCATTTCCAGTTTGGGTTCCATTCCAGGTGCCTTTTGTGTCAACCTCAGTCTTACTTCATGTGGTAGGCACTTTTGTGGGGTCCCCCCAGTTTAGGAGAGTATGGTTGGACATCTGGATGCCTCTAAATCTGAAACTTAGAGACGGATGTGGCCTCTTCTCTTTGGCCGCCAATTCCACTTCCACCTTGGGAATGTTGCCTGTGGGAACCAGCCTCCAAGATGGCCCCAGTGATTTTTGCCTCCTGGTATTCATGCACTTGTGTAGTCTCCTCCTACACTGAGTCAGGGCTTGCCTGTGTCGCCAACAGAATGTGGTGGAGGTAACAGTGTCTGACTTCTAAGGCTAAGTCATAGGAGATATTGCATCTTGGCCTCTTGGAGATCTTACTCTGGGGGAAGCCAGCTGCCATGCCATGATAGCACACAGGCAGCTCCATGGAGAAGTCCCTGTGGAGGAAACCCAAGGCCCCCTGGGCCAACAGCCAATGCTGACTTGCCAGCCATGTGAGTGGTCTGCCTTAGATGACAGCCCCAGTAGATGTCTGCCTGCACCTTCATGAGAGACTCCAAGCAAGAACTGCTCCACTGAGCCCTTGCCTGATTCCTGACCCACAGAATCCATGAGCATAACAAATGGCTGTTTCATGCTACTATATTTTGATTTGCAGCCATAGTAACTAGAACACCCTATGCTTCTTGGAGGACCTCAGCTTCTCTCTAAAGGAATATGGCTTTTCTTATGTAGCTTTAACAAGTAACCATGACTCAACATGGACCTTCCCAACTGCAGCAAGAGACATACCTGTGATGTTTCCATGTGATCCCACCTTTTATAAAGGCTCAGAGGACAGTGTGAAGAGGTGAACTGGGGAAGCAGCTCAAGATGCTGGCAGTCACCAAGCCAATTAAAGTAAATGATTGATCAGTTATTCGGTGGAGTTCATCACCGCGAGTGGTCACATAGAGAATTCATGTCCTAACCTATGCAGGCTTGGCCATGAGGCTGACTGGGAACTCAGTCATGAACTTGAGGAAGGGGAGGAAACCCAAGCTGCACTGGCCTGCTGGGCTGGCCCCCAAAGGGCAGTTCCCAAAATCCACACCAGGCAGCCAGGTATTATTAGAATGAACCTGGAGCTGGTGTGGGCAGTGTTGGTGCCCAGGAGAATCTAACTTGGTAGGTAGACCTGGTGACCAGCAGCCTCAGCTCTGGAAGGCAGGCTGGATGCGGTCCTAGGTTCCGTCCATGAGGGACACAGTATTTAGTTGTCTGACTGGGGGCTCACAGTCTCTACCAGTGGACCGGTTTTCTAGGACTAAATCTTAATTCCCCAAACTAGTATAGGGATCTTGCCATACAAAATGACATATACCTATGAAAAGTGATCCAAATAGGGCCTGACACATGGTGAGCTCTTAATAAGGGTTAGCAATGATGGTGACGAGGAGGAGGAGGAGGAAGAGAAGGAAAAGGAAGAAGTGGGGGAGACCTGGCCAGTGCAATGAGGTTGGGGAAGAAGGGCCATGCAGCTCCCGGGTGCCATGCTCCAGGGCACACCATTCCTGGCCTGGGCCATAAGCGCAGTCATAGTTTCCACCTGCCAGTGGGTCTGCCTTGGCCAGGACTGGCTGAGCATCTGGGGTACAGCCCCCTTTCCTGGGAAGGTGACTGTTGGAGTGGGGAGAACTGGAAGCTGGGACTCCCACTCTCATGCATTATGAGAATGGATGGGACAAGGAAAAAAGAAGCCCAGAATTTACATCCAAGGAAGGGCTGACTCAGGATGAAACAGGCTGTGAACGTGGAGGAAGGACAGAGAGAGTAAGGCCTGGATCAAAATGAGGTTTTCCTAGGGGAGGAGAGCAAGAGGAGAGAGAGGGCTTAGATGACCAATGAAGTTCAAATGACAAGTCTGGTCTTAAATCCCTGCTCTTTTCAGAGGAAGAGAGTCAGTGTCTTTTATTTATTTATTTTTTTGTTAACAGAGTCTTAGTCTGTCACCCAGCCTGGAATGCAGTGGCATGAGCGCTGCTCTGCCCCTCAGGCTCAAGCCATCCTCCTGCCTCAGCCCCCTAAGTAGAACACCACCATGCCTGGCACATTTTTGTACTTTTTGTAGAGACGAAGTTTTGCCATGTTGCCCAGGTTGGTCTCGAACTCCTGAGCTCAAGTGATCCTTCCACCTAGGCCTCCCAAAACGTTGTGATTACAGGTGTGAGCCACTGCTCCCAGCTGGGGTGCTATGACTCAGCATGGTGGGAGCCTGATCCCTGGCAAATCGATTGTAGCTGGACTTATCTTGATCAACATACCCAAGCAGCTGAAAGTCAGCATTTTATCATGGAGAATTCCAAGAAAAGTTTCAGCGGGTTCTCTAACACTTCTCCAACTCTGAAGAGAACAGATCTTGAGCTCTCCTTTCCCAAAGTGTTTTATTTTGCTTTCCCAGGGGCAGTGGTGTCAAGGCTAGGGTTCCAAGTGGCTGCACGACCTGAGGCCTTTGTGGGTTCTTCCACTGGGAGCTGCTCCCGATCTGCACACCTGCCTCAGCTGACGGTGGGGTGGCACTCTGGAAGTGAAGGCATGTCAGCAACAAGGTGGGTGGGAAGCATCTCATGGGTCCAGCCAAGGCAGAAGAGGCAATGCATGGTTTTGTATTGCGGGATCTGGCCAGCAGCCCACAATGCAACGGGGCTCTCTCTTTGTTCCCAGGCGGATTGGCAGGTCGAGAAATAATAGACACACACAAGATAGTGAAAGCTGGGTCCAGGGGGGTCACCGCCTTCTGGTCCTGCAATGCCGCCAATGCACTGTATATGCCAGCATTTATTATTAAGTTTAGTGAGGGCAGGGATAGGTTAGTGAGGGATTTAGGGTCATTTGATTATGAGGTGAGATGGTCACATGGGGATGAAGTAATTCTTTAACATAACATCTGTATGCAGAAGTACAGTATACAGGGATAAGAATTTACAATGTAGTGTGTGCATCAGTAATTTCTAACAGAGCCTTAAAACAGAAACACAGTCTTTCCATAACCTATGATTAGCAAGGTATTAATCAGCAGTAACAGTTGCAGTATTAATCAGCAGTAACAGTTGCAGTAAAAGCTGGTTACAAACAATCCATAGAAACAGGAAGTGAAGCTAGACAACCGGTTAGATCAGAAACTCTCAGAAAGGAGTATGCCTTAACCCTAAAGAGGCCTAGAAGAGCCGTGGCAAAATGAGGGCATTTATAGCCCTATCTTATCCATATGAACAGGCAGCCCTCATGCGTCTGTTTATAGGCTCTTCACAAGGGTCGCATTCCATTCCCAGAGCTATGAACATCTGCTTTTCTGGGATAGGAATCTTGGTGATGTGAAACCTCCCTGACTGCACGTCCATTCATAGGCTCTCTGCAGGGGGAAGCACATCACATGCTGTTGGCTCATTCTGGCAGTCCAACCTGGCATTGTCTGTACACAATCCTGCATACAATTTTGTATTTACAATAATCAGGAGCATTTCATCTTCTATTCTGTAGCAATAGTTTCAGGGGGTCTCCCTACAGTTTTGGAGACAGTGAGACTAGTATCCTGGCTCTATAAATGCATAGCTCATATGATAGTCATTCACTCCTTAATTAGACAAATGTTTCTTGGCCTGCTGAGGGCCTGGCTTTGTGGTGGGCAATGGGAATAATACAAACAACAGCAGTTATTAAGCCCTTATGTACCACACATTTTATTGAGCCCTTGTGCCGTGCATTTTACATTTACTAACTCATTTAAACATATGGAACCAAGCAAGACATGGGTTGCTCACAGTGTAGATGGAAGGTCAGGGCAGAAAACAGGCAAGGACAATGCAGTGTATACAGCTTCAGGGTGGGATCTGTGGTATGAATATACTCCCTAAAATTCACATGCTAGAAACTAAATCCCAAATGCAACAATGCAGGGAGGTGGGGCCTCATGGGAGGTGTTTAGATCGTGAGGGCTCTGTCCTCATGAATGGATTAATGCCACTATAAAAAGGGCTTGTGGGAGTGAGTTCTTTTTCTCTTCTGCTCTTCTTCCATATGAAGACACAGTGTTCCTCCCCTCTGGAGGATGTGGCATTCAAGGTGCCATCTTGGAAGCAGAGAATATACACTCTTTAGACACCAGATGCTGATGCCTTGATCTTGGACTTCCCAGCCTTCAGAACTGTGAGAAAAAAAAAGTTTCTGTTCTTGTTAATTACCCAGTCCCAGATATTCTGTGACAGCAACACAAAAAAGAACTAAGACCTGGGGTTAAAGGCAAGGGAGCTGTGGGGCTCAGGAGGTCCCCTGAGTCAGCTCAAGGGGTGCAGCAGGCCAGGAAGATGATATCTTACCTCAACCAAATGGTAACCAGGAGTGAACCAGTCAGAGAAGGAGGCAGAGGATGGACACAGGTCTGGGGACAAGGGACAGCAGGTCCATTTGGAAGCTGCAGGTTACTGACCCTCTCAGGGGCTCAGGTCCTTTATGTGTGAACTGGCACTGATATTTACCACACAGCATTGTTTTGAGTACTGAAAGGAGATAATGTATGTCAGTGGCTGATGTGCGGTCTGGCTTCTGGCTCCCTCTGGCCCTCAACAAGTGACATCTGTCATTACAACTGTGGTGTTGACCCACCTCACTTCCTCCCAGATCTCCTTGATCACCCCACCCCCTTACCCATCCAGCACCTGTTAAGGTCACTCTGTCACATATAGTCATGTCCTATTTAAAAGAGCCATGAGATCCTTGGTGTGACAGATGGGGTCAGGACACCCATCCATGGAGGCAGAGAGCAGAGCTGAGTGCCATGAACAGTCAGCCAAAAAGGGTACTGAGCAAAGAGTCAGCAAGACTGGGCATTTTCCTACCATTCATGTGACTGTGGGTAAGTCCATCAGCTCCCTAAGCCTCCCTTTCCTCCCTTGTCAAATGAGAATGACAATACCTGTCTTTCAGGGTTGATGAGGATTAAATGGGACAGCATGCTTAATGCCTGGAATATCATAATCCTTCAATACACTAGTTTTTGCCTTTATCAGAATGATCCTCATCATCCTCACCATGACCAATATCTGCCTCAGAAGTTCACTGGAAAGAACGGTCAACTAGGATTTGAATACCTGAGTTACAGGGGAGTGAGAGGGTTGAGAACAATTTCAGATATGACAGCACTGGATGAGGAGAGAAGTCTAATGGCCACACAGGGTGTGCATGGTCTCACGGCAGGAATGGTGACTAATAATGAGACATTGATGCTGTGAAAATCAAATGTCAGTCGCTTATTAGGAGCAAAGCACAACTGCATTCACACAACGCCTAATACAAGCAATGCTTAATGCAGCGTAAGCTTTAATTATAACTAGTTTTACAGGACTGGTTGTAACTAGTTTTACAGGGCTAGAGCCACAGGGGACTCCAGGTTTGCGGTGAAACTCTACCAGGTTACAGACTGTAATAAATCGCGCTGTCTGTGTGATTTAGAGAAGGGTAGCTTCAGCCGTATGCAGTAAATGAGCATTGGGGACCTACTATGAGCCAGAGACACAGAGCTGAATATAACATGCCCCTGCTTTGTAGGATACATAGTCTAGCAGGGAAGAGTAGGAGTAAGATAGCACAATAATGTAGGGTTGAGAGGGAAGCCCAAGGTGTGGAGGGTCGCAGAAAAGGGGCAACCAACTCTAGATGTAGTTATCAGAAAGAGCTTCCTGTGGGAGACATGTTTCATGAGCCTAATTTCAAAAGCCAGTAGCAGCTACCTTTCAGTAAGCACCTACTATGAACAGGCTCCTCATGTGCATTATCTTGTTTGATGTCTATAACAATCCTGCAAGGTAGTTGCCATTGTCCCTGTAATATATGAGGGGAAATGATCCAAAGATGTTAATTTGCCTAAGGTCACACAAGTAAAGGGCAGAGAACCTGGGATTTGAACCTCTGTGTGCTCCATAGTTAAGTAAAAAAGAGTCAAAAAGAGCAGACCCAGAAATGACCCACATGTTGGAGTGTTGCAGTAGGCAGACAAGAACATAAAGAAGTTATTACATATATTTTCAGGGACTTAAACCAAAAGACGGTCGTATGGAGTAAACAGATGAGGAATCTCAGCAGAGAAATGGAAACAAAAAATCACGTTGTGATGGATGATACGTATATTTTGGTTTTCATCCATGATTCCTGGCTGTAAGCTCTTGTAAGCCTTGTTATTTCCTAAGTGACTACAGCAGTAAAAATATTTTTTGTTAAGATATTTGGTCTTTGTCCTTGGTTCCTGAAGTACCTCCTGAATGATAAAGGTGAAAGATAATCTTTTGCTATTTTCTATTTTTTTTCAAAAACGTCTGTTCTTATGTTAATGACATGATTTTTGGAAAACCCCTAGAAACCACAAGACGGGGGAACTGGTTGCAAGAGAAATGGCCATGTGCCTAGAGAAGTGTAATTTTTAGTTCCATCCCCCAACCTCTGGGGAGCAGAGAGGGGGCTGAAAATTAAGTTGATCACCAGTGGTCAATGATTCAATCAATCATGCCTATGTAATGAAGTCTCCATAAAACCCAAAAGGACAGGGATCGGAGAGGTTGCAAATAGCCAAATGCATGGGGGCTTACACATTCATGTGCCAGGAGGGTGGTGCACCCCAACTCCATGATGACGGAAGCTTCTGCACTCAGGGTCCATCCAGACCTCACCCTGTGTATTTTCTCTTCGTGCTGTTTATTTGTATATTTAAAAATATCCTTTGTAAATAAGGTAGTAAACGTAAGTATGTATTTCCCTGAGTTCTGTGAGCTGTAGCAAATTAATTTAACCCAAAGAAGAGGTTATGAGAATCCAGATTTATACCTGGTCAGTCAGAAGCACTGGCAAAAATAACCTGGGGCTTGTGATTGTCACTGGAAGTGTGAAGGGGTGGAGCAGCCTTGGGGACTTGAGCACTCAACCTACGGGATCTGATGCTATCTCCAGGTAGATAGTGTTGGAATTAAACTAGAAAACACTGGGCTGGTGTTTCCTTCAGAATTCATTGCTTGTTTGGTAGGTGGGGAAACATCCTCCAACATTTGGTCACAGAAGTATTCTGTGTTGTGTGAGAGCAGAGGAAAAACAGTTTGTGTGTTTTTTACTTTCTCATATGAATATTTTAGAACTGAAAAATACAAGAAATGAAATACATTCACTGGATGGGCTTAAGATCAGTTTGAAGGAGTCAATGAACTTGCAAACAGATCTTCAGAAATTACCCTATGTGAACAAGGGAGAAAATAATTTTAAAAAGAGCAATATCTGAGTGACCTCTGATCCAGTATCAAGTAGTATAATATACCTGTTGTCTTAGTTCATTTTTGCTACTATTACAGAATACATAGACTGGGTAGTTTATCATTTATTTCTCATGGCTCTGGAGTCTGGGAAGTAAAAGAATGAGGGGCTGGGATCTGGTGAGGGGCTTTTTGCTGTGCTATTCCATGGCAGAAGGTGGAAGGGTAAGAGAGTGTAACTGCCAAATGGGTTCATCTTGCCTGCTGCCCAGATAGAGCTGATTTAGCAAGACAGAAGAATTGCAATAGAGAAAGAGTTTAATTCACTTAGAGCTGGCTAAATGGGAGACTGGGGTTTTATTATTACTCAAATTAGCCTTTCTGAAAATTTGGAGGCTAGGGTTTTTCGAAAGTAGTTTGGTGGGCAAGGGGCTAGGGAATGGGTGCTGCTGACTGGTTGAAGATGCAATCATAGGGGTGTGAAAAATGGTCCTCATGAGGTAAGTCCACTTCCAGGTGGGGGCCATAGGACCAGTGGAGTCAAGAACCGTGGGTCTGGGAGGGGCCATCCAGTTGTCAGAAATGCAAAAGCCTGACATCTCAAAAGGCCAATCTTAGGTTCTACAATAGTGATGTTATTTACAGGAGTAATTGGGGAAGTTGCAAATCTTGTGACCTCCAGAATAGTGTCTGGATTATTATTATACATAACTACGAATTCGGGCCCCTCTCATCCTCCTAACCTGGTGGCCTTTCATTATTTTCCCAAAGGCAGTTTAATTGTTAGGAAAAGGCTGTTATTAAAACGACTAAACTATTCTAAAACTATTAAAACTATAAAATAAATTTCTCCTAAAGTTACCTTGACTCACACCCAGGACCTAAGGGCATTTTGGAGGCTAAAGATAAGACATTAAGTCAGATCTCTTTCACTGTCATAATTTTCTCATTGTTATAATTTTTGCAAAGGCAGCTTCAAGAGTATGTACGCATGTGAGAGAGCAAGGGAGAAAGAGAGAGCAAGAGGAATGCTTTCATAAAACAAATCTATTCTCAGAATAATGAACCCACTCCCTCAATAAAGACATTAATTTATTCATGAGGGAAGAGCTTCTTAAAGGTCTTACCTCTCAATACAATTGTGTTGGGGATTAAGTTTCCAAGACATGAACTTTGGGGGATATATTCAAACCATAACAGCTACACGTAGAGTCTCAGAAAGAAAGGAGAAATAAAACAGGACAGAAATATATTTGAAGAAATAATGGTTTAAAATTTCCCAAATTTGATGAAAAGCATTTCTCAATGGATCCAACAAGCTCAGTAAACCCTAGAAAACTGTACCTAAAAACATCATAGTCAAACTAAGGAGAAGTGTGAAGAATGAGATATACAGTAGTACAAAATTAATTCTAAGTGGACTGTAATGAGTTAACGGTGTATATTAGAATCCCTAGAATAACCAATAAAAATAATAAAAGAAGCATAGCTTGAAAATGAAATAGAGGAAATTAAATAGAATACTAAAAAGCCAATTAATGTAAAGGAAAGCAGGACAAGAGAAATAGAAAAACCAACAAACGAAAATCTGAGACAAATAGAAAAAAAAAATAGCAAGAGTGTAGGCTGAAACCCAACCATAACAATAATTATACTAAATGTAAATGGATGAAACACATCAATTAAAAAGCAGAGATTGTCAGACTGGATAAAATAGCAAGAGCCAACTATATCCTGTCTATAAAAGGTGCCATTTAACTATAAAGACACCTATTCATTTACTTTTAACTAAGATATAAAGTATGCAAATACTAAACAAAGGAAAGCTGAAATGTGACTGTATTAACATTGAACAAAATAGACTTCAGAACAAAGCCTATCGGGGCAAAAGAGGGACATTTCATATGATAAAGAGAAAGTCACAACAATAATAAATGTGTTGGCATATGATAACAGACTTCAAAGTGCATGAAGCAAAAATGGACAGAACTAGAAGAGAAGCAGACACATTCACAATCAGAGTTGGAGATTTTAATGCTTGTTTCTTAGTAACTGATAGTACAAAAAGACTTTGATCTGTGGCACTGGGGAACTTGGGCCTCTTGGAATGAACGTGAAATGAATAAACTATTATCATGACCCGTGTTTGTGGCAAACACTGTGCCAAATTTTCCTATCGGTAAGCATTCTTACCATGATCCTGTGTTATTTCATTTGGTCTTGCCTCATAGTTAATAGTGTCCCTATTCCACTTGAGGAAACTGAGCCTAAGAGAAACAAGGCAATTTGCCCCTGTTGCACAGCCGGGGGTGGGGGTGATAGAGACTAGACAGGAACCAAAATCTTTGTTTTGTGTTCTTTCCACCTCCCCTGATGCCCTGGGGCGTATAGCATTCACTTCTCTTCAAAGCTCTTACAATAGCCTCCAGTGGTCGTAGGGCAGGGATTTATTAATAAAATTTTTAGGCAGAAGCCCAGAAACATTAAGAAACTAATAACCAAAGTGGTCAGACTAGAAACCTTGCTGATGCCCTGGTTCATCTTCCTTTTCAAAGGAAGTTCTTTTTACCTTTCTCTTTTTTATTCCTCAATGACTTGGCCCAGAAACCATTATGTGCCAGGCACTAAGAAGCCCAGCTTGGGGTCCTCCTGGTGGAAGAGAAGTTCTCGTTCATTCCCTGCCATCTACCTGTCCTGCTCCTTGCTGCTCCCCGGTGCACATATATTTTTAATTTCAATTTTCTCTATTCAAAATCTGGGCATTTTTATTAAGCAGGATCTATATACAAAACAAAGAAAGAACTACTACTCCCATCACCAGAGACCAAAGAAATTAAAACAAAGTGGAGAATATAAAGTCCCAAGAGAAATTCCTTCTCAGCCCACACTTAGCCAGACACTATACTGCCACTCAAATTCTCATACACGTGCAACACACACATGCCTTGCACAAAATGCTCAACATATGCTCATAGACACAATCTCTTGCATGCTTGTTACGCACAGGCCTCCACATGTGGCAAACACCCAGGGGCGTGCCTGCACACACACATACACACACACACACATGTTCATACCCTCGAATGAGGGAAATATAGCCAGGATTTCTTCCAGCTTCAGAAAGACTGTGGGCTTGCTTGACTTCTACTCAACGAATTTTTGATGATGCCTTCACCAGCAGGAAAATAATGAATTATTTATCAAATTATTCAATAATTAATAAAAGTCATCACAAAAGGCTGGGCTGAGATATAGCTCTGCATAATTCCTCACTGCCACCCACATATGCTTATGTGTGTGTGTACATATATAAGAAATAGAGAGGCAGAGGTGACAGCTTAAACGAAGCCTCCTATTTAAATTAGCTTTAAAATACGCTGCTCCTGGCCCTGACTCAGTTTCTTGGCTTTTTGTTTCTTCACGCTATTGCCACTGTCAGGAAAACTAAGAGCCACAAAATTCCTCTCTGCAAGCTCCTTCCCCGCTTTGTTTCTGATGAGTTTTGTGCCCGTGATACCACTGAGATTTATCCCAGAGACTCTTTAAATGTGCACCAAAGAAAAATCTATAATAAGAGAAAAGACAGTTAGCTAATACACTATAAAAAAGGTTCACTCCAATGAGTCAAAGAAATGGAAAAGTTGTAAGCACAACAAGGAGATACTACCCTTTGCTTTAAAATTAGGATGGATGTTTAAAAAATACTAACATGGCAGTATTCTGGTGATGGTGCTTCCAGACGAAAACCCTCTCTCGTGGGTAGCTGGGGCAGCATAGGTTGGAACTACTGTTTTTGGGACACGATTTGACAATATGCTTGCAATATTTGTCACTAGTCTTTCAAATATTCATATCTCTGAATCTACACCTGCTTCCAGGACTCGATTCTGAAAAAAATAGCAAATACTTTTACTCAATATAAAGCTCAATATAAAAAGGCTTGACTTGCAAATATGTTCAGCATTGTTTACAGGAGGGACAGCTTGACTACACTGAGGCCTGGGATCCACAGCCTGACCACATGGGTGCCTCTGCTGCCCTCAAACCCTCCCACACTTCACTTTGTTCTCTACGCTGACAATTTCACCCTTTTCCTTCCGTCTCAGAACTTCCACATGTTTTCCCTGCTTCCCTCTCTCTGCTGGTAACTCTGCAGGAGTCAAATACCAAGTGGATGAAAATTCCCCCGTTGTCTCAGCCTCAAAGCAACCAGACAACCCACTCTGTGCCTAAACTCTTTGCCTTCCCTCCTATTACAGCAAGGAAAGGGTCCCTGTTGTGTACTGAGTGCCCCATCCCTTGTCTCAGCTATCAAGGACTTTGCAATTATCTCCACTCTCCTAACTCTTTGCTCCCTCCCTTTCTCCTGGATCATTCCCAGGAGGACACAAAAATGTTCTAGCGTCTCCAAACTTTAAAATGTCCTCCCCTGATCTCGTTTCCTCCTCTAGGGAGCACTCCATTTCTTTGCTACTCTTTAGGGCCAAAAATTCTGAATGCTCAACCGAGCTTTCTTTAAGTCTAGATTCACTGTCTATGGTACTTTAATTCAGTACCTCCTCCGACCGCCACCAACTCACTCCAGCCAAGCGTTGCACCCAGCATTTTGCTGAGCTGCAGGTGACCACAGCTGGTTGTTTCCCCCTTCTTGAAGTACCTTCTCCTCTTGGCCCTTCCTACTCCTCTGGCCTCCTCTCCCAGTCTCCTGATGCTGCTCTTCCTCTGCACAGCCTCTGCATGGCATCTCGGTCCCAGGATTCTCCTTGATCTTCATGCCTGGGCCCTACCTCATCTAACTCCTTCCCTTCTGAGGTGACCCCCACCCAGGCTCATGACCTTAGGCACCATCCCTATGCCAGTGACACCCAGATGGACAGCTCCTCTCAACCCCAGCTCCAGGCTTGGTTATTCCCCCAACTGCCCGGTGTTTCTAGAATGGATGTTGAGCGTCTCAAAGTTCCCATGGCAGAAGGAGCCTTTTTGATTACCATCCTCTCCCTGGATCTAATTGTGTCTGTGACAACGGCAACGTCCACCCGGTTGCTTATGCAAATTACTGTAGATTCCTCTCGCCCTTTTCCCTATTCCCTTATACTCTGTCTTCCCCAACAGGAGGAGCCATGGACCTCCCCTCCAGCATGCAGTGTGTGCCTGGGATGACTGCTGTCCCCTCTCCGCCAGCATCACTCTGGTCCTCATCCTTCGCCTGGACCACGGCCGCAACCTCCCGCCTGGGCCTCCTGCCCTCTACAATCGAATCCTCCTTATATGGTAGCCAGTGTGATCTTTAAACAGTGGAATTCAAATCCAGTAACTCTCTCCAACACCTCCCCAGCACTTGGACCAGAATCCAGACCCCTTGACCAGCACAGGAAGCTCCTATGATGCCCCCCGCCTGACCCTGCAAACTCAGCACACAAACTCTCTCGCTGTTACAGGAACCTGCCAAGTGGGTCCCCACTTTAGGACCTTCACACTGGCCTTTCCCTTGCTCTGGAATGGTCAGACAGCTGCCTCCTTCTGCTCATCACCTCCCAGTTTAACTTTCGCCTCCCCAAGAGGCCTTTCCTGATCTGACCACCCCACTCGAAGTAAACACCAAGTCACTGTTGATGACTTCACCCTATTTTTGTTACTTTTTAATACTTCACAGTACTGAATTTCAGATGTATTCCTCTCTAATATTTTTCTTTATTTTCTTTTATTTTATTTTAGAGACAGGGTCTCAGTCTGTCTCCCAGGCTACAGTGCAGTGGTGCAATTATGGCCACTGTAGCCTCTAGCTCCCAGGCTTAGGTGATCCTCCCACCTCAATCTCCTGAGTAGCTAGAACTAGGGGCATGCACCACTGCGCATTTTTTGTAGAGATGGGGTTTTGCCTTGGTATTGAACTTCTGGGCTCAAGTCAGCTTCCTGTCTTGGCCTCCCAAAGTGCTGGGATTACAGGCATGAGCCACTGCGCTGGGCCTGATATTTTTCTTATTTTTCTCTCTTTCTCTCAATCTCTCCATCATCCACCTACCATTTTAATTTTGAGCATAAACTTTATGAGAGCTTTGTCTGCTTTGTTTGCTGCTGTATACAGAACAATGCGGGCCTGTTCTTTTACGAGTGTCATTTAGTTCCTCTTTTGAAATTATTATTCTACATATATAACGATATATTTACGTATTTTACATATAATGTTTCTATATTATTAACAGCTTAAAAAGGCAATTAAAAGTCAACACTGGAGAAAAATTTCTCTGAGCATACGTTTTCTTTCCAGGATAATATCTGACACAAAAGTAGACCAAATTAAATCCAGAGCAACGTCAAATCATGGCCAAGAGCATAAGCCCTATGGTTACAATCAGGTCCCTCTTACTAGCTGTGTGACCTTGGATAAGTTACTTAGCTTCTCTGGGCCTCAGTCTCTTCATCTGTGACTTAAACCAAACAATAGCCCTTGCTTTATAATTTTTTTTTTTTTTTTTTTTTGAGACGGAGTCTCGCTCTGTCGCCCAGGCTGGAGTGCAGTGGTGTGATCTCGGCTCACTGCAAGCTCCGCCTCCTGGGTTCAGGCTATTCTCTTGCCTCAGCCTCCCAAGTAGCTGGGACTACAGGCGCCTGCAACCACGCCCGGTTAATTTTTTGTATTTTTAGTAGAGATGGGGTTTCACTGTGTTAGCCAGGACGGTCTCGATCTCCTGACCTCGTGATCCGCCCACCTCGGCCTCCCAAAGTGCTGGGATTATAGGCGTGAGCCACCGCGCCCAGCCTAGCCCTTGCTTTAAAGGATTGTTCTAATGACTGAAAGACATAATTCAGAACCCCTTTCACACAGTACCCGTCATATAATAGGCTCCATAAATGTTAGCTTTCTCTCTTAATGGTGAATTGAGGTAACTTTTCGAGGCATGTAGATAGTGAGTTGCTTTAACCAGAGCAGTTTTTCAGAAACTAAATCCATAAGTTAGCTTATGTTATAGAAAATATAACAGCTGCACATTATAGAAAATACCTCAAAGAGACTCAGATGAATTGGACATTGATTCATGTCTTCATTCATTCCACAAATCTCTGGCAGGTGCTCAAGGCATGCCAAGCCCTTGATATGACTAAGGGGAGCACAGATCCAGTGCTGCGCTCAGGGAACTTGCAGCCTGGCCTTGGAAGGACAGAGACTCCTGGCTCAAGCCTCTGCCCTCCTGGAGCTCCATCAGCCCTCCCCGCCCCTGCACCTTGGCTCAGGCTGTGCTTGCTACGTTGAAAGCCCCCTGCCCATCTCATGAGAGAAATCCTGTCCCCAAAGCTCAGCTGCTAGAGCTCTTCCCTGGTCCCCATCTCCCTGCCCCACCTCCCCGCTCCACCTCCTGCAGCTGGAACTGCTCTTTGTTTCTTGGGAGTGCTCATTGCCCTGCATCTGCTTCTCTGTCACGGCTGCGCAAACACTGTATTAGAGCTATTTATGTAGGTATCTGAGCTCCCCAGACACTTCTTGAGGCTGGGAATCCGCCTCATTCATGTCTATTGCCTCAACACTGCAGCACCACAGCTGGTGAAAACTTTGCACATAGTAGGTGCTCAACAAATATTAGAATTAGCTGTGGGGAGCAGAGAGGACACAGATCTGCCTAGGGGCAGGGGAACATCACCCCATCGAACTGAGGTGAAGAGATGGTGGCTTTGATCACCTGATGAGCTATGCCTGTTCTGCCCATAATTCCAACTCTGTTACAGAGCATCATTTGTATACCAGCCCCTGTGCTAGGCACTTTATATACATCGTTTTGTTTTATCTCCCAACACCTGGCAAGTATTCTTTTTTTCATTTTATGGTGAGGAAACTGATATGGTTTTGTTGTGTCCCCACCCAAATCTCATCTTGGATTTAGCTCCCATAATCCCCACAGGTCATGGGAGGGACTCAGTGGGAGGTAATTGAATTATGGGGGAAGGTCTTTCCCATGCTATTCTCATGATAGTTAATAAGTCTCATGAGATTTGATGGTTTTATAAAGGGGAGTTCCCCTACACAAGTTCTCTTGCCTGCCGCCATATAAGATGTGACTTTGCTCCTCATTTGCCTTTTGCCATGATTGTGAGGCCTCCCCAGCCATATGGAACTGTGAGTCAATTAAACCTCTTTCCTTTATAAATTACCCAGTCTCGGGTATGTCTTTATTAGCAGCATGAGAACACTCTAATACAGAAACTATGGCTCTGACCAGTAGAATAACTTGTCCCAAGTCACCAGTGAGTAACTGGAAGAACCAGGACCTGAAATCAACTGTCTTACTCCATCATGTCAGGCACTGTGTGTGCAAATGACTTTTTGTTTTTAATGAGGTGCAATTCACACAACATAACATTAACCATTTTAAAGTAACAATTTGGTGATATTTAATATATTTACAATGTGTGTAACCACCACCTCTATCTAGTTCCAAAATATTTTCATTACTCCAGAATAAAACCTTGTATGCATGCTCTCCTAGCCCCAGCTGTTAGTAACCCAGATTGCTTTCTACCTTTATGAATTTACCTATTCTGGACATTTCATATAAATGGAATCATACAATAATGACATTTTATGTGTGGACTCCTTCAGTTCACTTTCTAGTTTCACACACATTGTAGCATGTATGAGCACTTCATTCCTTTTTATGGGTGACTAATATGCCCTTGTGTGGCTACATCACATATTGTTTATCCATGAATCTGTCAATGAATACTCGTGTTGCTTCCACCTTCTGGCTACTATGAATAAGGCTGCTATGAATGTGTGCATCCTTGTATTTGTGTAAGCCTCTATTTTCAATTGTTTTGTGCATACACCTAAGAATTGAATTGCTGGGTCATGTGGAATTCTGTAATATGATTAACTTTTTGAGGAACCTACACCATTTCACATTCCCACCAGCAATGCACCAGGGTTTCAATTTCTCCACATCCTCACAAACTTGTCAAATGATGTTTCATTATTATTTTTTATAAAAAATTTTAAATATTTATGACCAGGCGTGGTGGCTTATACCTGTAATCCCAGCACTTTGAGGGGCCGAGGTGGGCGGATCATGAGGTCAGGAGTTTGAGACCAGCCTGGCCAACGTGTTGAAACCCCGTCTCTACTAAAAATACAAAAATTAGCCGGGCTTGGTGGCGGGTGCCTGTAATCTCAGTTACTCAGGAGGCTGAGGCAGGAGAGTCGCTTGAACCTGGGAGGCAGAGGTTGCAGTGAGCCAAGATCGCACCACTGCACTCCAGACTGGGCGATAGAGCAAAACTCCATCTCAAAAAAAATTTTTTAAAAATATTTATTAGATAGTGTTTTGCCGTGTTGCCCAGGCTGGTCTTGAGCTCAGGCAATCTGTCCTCCTAAGATTCCCAAAGTGTTGGGATTATAGGCACGAGCCACCACGCCTGGCCCACATGAAGTTTTATTCATGATCTCATTTAGTCTCTCAACAACCAGGTGCAGTGGATGTCATTAACCCACCTTACAGAGCAAGAGAAGTGAACTTGGAAAAGGGAGGGACTTGCCCCAGGTCACACAGCTGAGAAAGGGCAGATTCCAACCCAGACCCTCCAGGATCCCAGAGCTCTCTCGCACTACCCCCAGCCCATCTCTCGAGAAAGCCCTGTTGGAAAGCCAGCTCTGTCCTAGTGTGGTCAGACTCCCACCATTTGGGATGTCAAGTGCACCCACATAGCCCTTGCCTTTCACCATCAATGTTCCTGGCGGGGCTGAGCTGCTGGGGCTGGGGCAGTAGACAGGGGGAGATCAGCACGCAGGCTTAGGCCAGGGTGATCCATCCTCCGCCCCAGGGGCTTCTGTGGGGTGGTTTGGGAAGGAAACCCATTAAGGTGGAGGGGCAGTGACATCCACGCAGAGCAGGCAAGGCTCTCGGGTGGGCTTTGAACTGGTGGTGAACTGTCCCACTCAGGTTGGGAGACCTCTTTATGCACAGCAGGCCACTGGGATACTTGTCTCCTGGAGGGAGGGAGCCTCGCAGGTCTGGGGTTTTTAAGAGCCTGGGGCCTGGGGAACCTTAATAAGAGTAACTGTGTAGGGAGCACCCACTGTGCTGGGCATACCCACCGTGCTCAGGACCCTGGCACTGTGCTGGATGCTTCCTGCCCATTGTCTGATTCCATCCCCCAGAGAATGAACGAGGTGAGATCGTGCTCCCCATCTCCCATGTGGGAAAATGGGCTCAGGGAGGGGGTAGGTTTCTCAGGGTCCCACAGTAAGTGCCATGATGGAGATTTGAACCCACACAGGTTTCCGACCTCCCCTGGACAGCACCGCTTCCCCCGGACCCGGCTCCCTCATCACCTCCCCTTGTTGCTGCAGCTCTGAGTTTTCCTCAGAACCCTGAGCTGTGTGCCCAGGAAGCCAGCAGCCACAGGCACGCCCTGAAGGCAGGGGGCCCTCAGTCTCCAGCCCTGGCCCACAGTTCCATGGCTCTCTTCCTGCCTTCCTCGCTCCCAGAAAGGCCTCTGCTCTCCATGGCCGCCCCAGCCCAGGGACCCTCCCTGCTGGGACACAACGACTGCTCTGAGGAGCTGCCATCTGGCCTAAACCTTGCGCCCTGACTTTTCTTTGAGGGGTCTGCCTCCAGGGAGATGTGGGGGCAGTAGCGACCCCAGGGACCGTCTCCCTCCTGGCTGTGAAGGGCTGTGACCCCACAGCTCGGGGTGTGGGTGGTTAAGGGGTCCTCAGGCTTTGGGGCTGAGCTGACGCTGCTCCCAGGGAGCCCCAGCAGGGGAGAGGGAGCTGGGGCTTGGCCTCAGACCTGCATGGATTCCAATCCAGCCTCTGCCACGTGCCAGCCGGGTGATCGCAGGGCACGTGCTTTTGCCACGTTTGTCGTCTCACGGGGCTGCTGGGAGGATGAAGTGGGGGTGACGCCGGCCCCTCTGTGCTCCCACTTCCATCTGCTTGTCAGGCCCTTCTGCCACCCCGCGGGGGTCAGGGCTAATTACTCAGTCTTGCTGGTGGGGAAACTGAGGCGTGGAGAGGAGATGGAACCCGCCCGCGGTCTGGGAGACGCAACCTGCTGCTGGACTCCATGGCTGGCTTCTTGACCCGCTGCCCTGGTACACAGCAGGTGCTCAGAAGGGGGTGGGGTGGGGGGCGGAAAGGAGCCTCCAGGGTGTCCACCCCAGCGGACTGCGCCTCCCAACCAGGCTAGGTGCCTGCAGAGGCGCCCGGACGCTTGGAGGCGGTGGGCAGCACAGGGACCACTCCTCCAGGCTCCGCTGTTCGCCACCTGCAGGCTGCTGCTGCAATACCCTGTGGAGCCAGGCAGCTCCTGACTCAGCTGGCGCCGCCCGGGCTGCGTGGGAACTCCCCAGGGGGCCTCCCGACCCCAGGAGGGGGGCGCCCGCGGGGGGCGAGGATGTCACGCAGCCGCTCCCGGGGGGGTGGTGGAATGGGGACGTGGGTGAGGCCTCTTCCTGGGAGCCCGCAGTGCTGCCATCACGTAGGGGCGAGGGCGCTTGCAGCGTCAGATGGGGGGTGCACCCTCTGGAGTCTGAAAAGCAGTTCTTCTAGCTTCACAGACAGGAACCAACTGATCCTCTGGTCATCTTCAGGGAGCAGTTTCTATTGCGTCTTGCATACCTCCTAGAACAGGAGTATCACCACCTGTTCTGCTTGGGGCCAGCCCTGGAATTTAGAAGTTCTTTCTTGGATAAAGTCAGAGACTTCCTCTCTATGACTTCTCTCTCTCAGGTTTACTTCTGCCCTTGGGAGACACTGGCCTTTTATTTTATTTATTATTATTATTATTTCACTGTAGGAAGGTGGAGTTCTACTATGGAGACAGACCTGCCTTCAAATTCTGGCTTTCTTCCTTAACAGCACTCTGATGGACCCCATCCATGGGGTCTCATGTCTCTCAGCCTCCACCTTGTCACTTATAAAATGGGGATGAGAAGGACTCCTCCTTGTGCTGGTCATAAGGAGTGAGTGAGAAGACGAAAAACCCCTAGTGCAGAGTTTGGCACATAGTAGGTGCTCAAGAAATAGTGACTATTGTTCACATTGATTCTAATTTCTTTCCCACATAACAATCCCTTAAAGTATTTACAGTTCTCCAGTGCCCCCTAAATCTACTCCCCAGGTTAGATGCATTTCCCTCAACATGCTTGGTTTCTGGAACTTCCATTTTCCTGTTTTTCTCCTCTGGAAAGACTCATTTTGTTCATGTCATTCATTCATTCATTCATTTGTCCCACAAACATACGTGAATACCTGACATGCCTAGTGCCACCAAGAAGAAAATGACACCGAGCCAGGCACTGTGGAGCGTGCCTGTAATCCCAGCTACTCTGGAGGCTGAGTGGGGTGGGGAATCACTTGAGCCCAAGAGTTTGAGACCAGCCTGGGCAATAGAGCAAGACCTCATCCTCTGCATCCCCCAAAAAGAAGAAAATGACACAGACCCTGCTCACTGTCTAGAAAGGAAAATTGACATCAAAAATTGAAAGACAATATCTAAAGTATAAAACAACAGAGTCCAGAAGCATAGCTAGAAGCGGGATGATGGATCTAGAGAAACATGGCCAGGTGCTTGATCTCAAGGCGCCTATAAGGAAGTGACCTGGTCTGCAATGTTCCCCACGGTGACCACAGAGCAGGGGCTCAAAATGTGGCATGAATGTCTAATGGAGCACTGACCAGGCAGCAATAAAGAAAAGATCTAGACCGGGCACGGTGGCTCATGCCTGTAATCCCAGCACTTTGAGAAGCTGAGGCGGACGGATCATGAGGTCAGGAGATCGAGACCATCCTGGCTAACACGGTGAAACCCCGTCTCTATTAAAAATACAAAAAAATTTGCCGGGCGTGGTGGTGGGCGCCTGTAGTCCCAGCTACTTGGGAGGCTGAGGCAGGAGAATGGCATGAACCCAGGAGGTGGAGCTTGCAGTGAGCCAAGATCGCGCCACCGCACTCCAGCCTGGGCTACAGAACGAGACTCTGTCTCAAAAGAAAAAAAAAAGAAAGAAAAGAAAAGATCTAGAGAACTTAAAGAAAAAGGTGTTAATTTCTGAGATGTCTACAGCCCTGAAATGGATGTGGTTCTGTGTATAACCTGGAGCTACACACAGAATCCATCAATTTGTTCTGCAGCTTTCCAGTGTGAACCCAGGAGGTCACATTGCAAGACTCCTCAGCCATCTCAGCCCCAGCTTGCTTAGGAAACAGAGGCCAAGTTGGGGCCAGGCACTGAAGCTCACTTAAGTCAGCTGAAGTAAGAAGGGGCCAGTCACTCTGAGGACACAATGCTGTCTCACGGCACCACGACAGCTTGACAACATGATGGATGGATAGGAGATCGAAGAGGGCAGAGTCAGGGCAACCACACTTGACTGGGGAAGAGGTGGGGACTCCACACTCTTTGGAAGTGTGGAGAAAAAAAATGACATAAAACCAGGTGCTGTAGCACATGCCTGTAATCCCAGGTACTTAGGAGGCTGAGGCAGGCAGACCAGTTGAGCCCAAGAGTTTGAGACTAGGAACTGAAGTCCTTTATCTGCATGTCCCTTGAAGACCAGCTTATTAGGCTCCATATACATGGTGGGAAGCTGGCAGCCACAGCACCATGCTCACGTTTCACGGGGCTAGCCACCAACGCGAGGCAAAATAACTCCTTTTCAGTATCAACTACAAATTCCTAAGGAAGAAGCTGATTGGCTCAGCTTCATTCAAGTGCCCCCCCCCAGGCCCAGTCAACCATGGCCAGAGGCAATAAGTTACTTGGAATGAAAATATAATTTTAGCAGATACATTCATCATCAAGCTCTTACTATGTGCTAGACACAGGCATTTTGTCAGTTGCATCCTCCAACAAGCAGGTAAAATTCTCCTCCCCATTTTACAGATGAGGAAACTGAGGCTTGGGCAGGTTAAGTTACTAATCCAGAGATGTAAAGCTAGAATTTGAGGCTGAGCAGCCTGACTTCAGAGCTCACACTCTTAGCTGTCAATGTAGACTGCCTCCATGGCTGCAGTCCATTGCAACCACACAGAAGGGAGCAAGGAGGAAGTTTCCAGAAAAAAAGGGGGCCAGGAAGACAGGTGCATTAGTCGGGGTTCTCTAGATGGACAGAACTAATAGGATAGAGAGATATATATATAAAGGGGAGTTTATTAAGCATTAACTCACATGATTGCAAGGTCCCACAATAGGCCGTCTGCAAGCTGAGGAGCAAGGAGAGCCAGTCTGAGTCCCAAAACTGAAGGACTTGGAGTCCGATGTTCGAGGGCAGGAAGCATCCAGCATGGGAGAAAGATGTAGCCTGGGAGGCTAGGCCAGTCTAATCTTTTCACGTTTTTCTGCCTGCTTTATATTCTAGCCGAGCTGGCAGCTGATTAGATTGTGCCCACCCAGACTAAGGGTGGGTCTGCCTTTCCCAGCCCACTGACTCAAATGTTAATCTCCTTTGGCAACACCCTCACAGACACACCCAGGATCAATGCTTTGCATCCTTCAATCCAATCAAGTTGACACTCAGTATTAACCATCACAACAGGCCCGTAGTTAACCACTAACGCCACTCAGGGGATTAATTACGTTATTTTAATTTACACTCATATGGCACTCGATGTGGCCATGCACTGGTCTAACAACCCAAAAGATAAGTGCTATTACCATCCTGTTTTATAGATGAGGAAACTGAGGCATGGAGATATTAGGCCACTCAATGCAGCCGGGGCAGAGCTGGAATGAGATTCCAGGTCTCTTGAACTGAGCACTGGAATCCCTTTCCCTGCCACCAGGTTGTCTGTTAGGAGTGTGTGTGTGTGTGTGTGTGTGTGTGTGTGTGCGCGTGCATGTGCATCATATGTGTGCATATGTGTAAGCATCACAGTCACAACTATGGTGCTCAGCCCCACGTGAGTTTTCTTGGCAATTCCCTGCCCACTCGCCTGAGCCTACCCCTCTTACTCCTTCTGAGTTTGTTTTACTTTGTCATTAGCATGGCCTTGGGCTTTGAAAGCAAATTTCATTACAAAAATGACAGCTGGCAGCCCTCACAAATTCCTTTTCGCTTTGAAATGGATGATCCAGGGCTGTGACTAAGAAGGACCCTGTTTGCCTTGGTGTATGCACATGAGCAAGGCAGGTCCTGGTTCAGAGGGCATCCACACCCCCATCCCTAGCTTGGGTGCTGAAACCTCTGGCTAGGGCTCAGTTCTAAGTCTTGACATTGCTCCTAACTTCTGGGCCAACACTGAGTTGTGTTCACTCCGGAGCTAAACTGGAAGGTGCCATTTTGGATTTTATTATATCCTGATTCTGAGTCACAGCCCCAAAAGGCCTGATCAAGGAGTTGATCAGTCAGGAACTGTGATTTGCCCTCCTGCTGACAGTTGCAAACTTTATCACTTTGGTCAAGTCAGCTCACCTTCCTGAACCGCTGTTTGCTGATCTGGGAAAAGGGAAGAAGAAGAATAACTCCTTCTGGGGATCCTCAAAGGGCTCAAAGGAGAAAAGGCTGTGAAGGCGTGTGCTGCTGCAAAGAATAGCCGGCTATTAACATTACTGCCACCTCAGTCAAGTTTTCCAGGGGGACGGGGGTCATCAGCAGGGATAGTCCATGTGGCAGGCAGGTCAGGGTTGAGCCTGTACCAATGCCTCCCACAGGGAAGATTTGTCATGCCAGTACCTGAGCCTTGTCGTTCCTGTGTGCAGCTTTGGGAGTGAGGGACACTGCCTTCATTGTCAGTGCAGTAATCAGTAATAACAGAAAGGTTCCTGGTGGTCCCACAGCCCCGCCCAGCAGGTGGGTTTATTCCCCACCAATGTCCCCTTGAATTTCTCCCCTTGGCCTGTCAGTGGGCTTCCCTGGCCACAGTCTTTTGTTGGTCATTTAACAAAGATGGATTTCAGGGACCACGAAATATTGATTAAGTCACATCTCTAAATTACTCTGCTGTCTTCTACAAAACACTGGTGATGGTTTTTACGGGCAAGCTCCTGCAAACAGAGCTTTCCACTTCAGAGAACGGGCTTCATTCCCCTTCTAAACTCAGGGGTCAGCCTCTCATGTTGCTCAACAAATGTTGGATGCATGACGGATGGATGATGAAGGATGATGGATGGATGGATGGATGGATAGATGGATGGATGGATGGATAGATGGATGGATGGTGGATGGATGGATAGATGGATGGATGGATGAATGGATGGATGGATGGATGGTGGATGGATGGATAGATGGATGGATGGATGGATGGATGGATGGAAAGAAGGAGGTGTGGAGTGAGGGAGGAAAGGAGGGACAAAAGGAAGGAGAGAAAGATGATGGATGGATAGATGGAGGAAGGGAGGGATAAAAGGATGGATAGATGGAGATTCAATTCATGAAAGAGTACAGGTTCTGTTTTTCTTTGTTCTGGTCTTCAGGAAGAAACGTCACTTTTTTAAGTGTGCAGATATTAACTTAACAGATGTTTGTTGAGCATCTGCTATATGCTGGGTAAATGGGAGCATAGCAATAAATGAGACACCATTCCTGCCTTCGAGGAGCTTACTACAATCTTGTGGAAAAGAGGTTCAAGAGACAGAGAATTACAGTACAGTCTACCAAATTTAATTATAGAGGAGGACACATGATACATGGTCCCAGGGTTGCTCACTGGAGACACTGATCCAGCTGGAGGGGCATCAGAGAAATCTTCCTGGGGGAAGGGGAATCTACTGAAATTCATGAAGGGGTTTACAGATTGAAGCTTCACAAATTGTCTTGACTCAGCACTTAACATCTATATCCATTCTTGACTATACAGTTTTAAATCATGTTCTTGCTCTTTATTGTTTGTTTCTCTGTGTTTTATGAAGATGTTGATTCCCTTGGGACTTCTGTAGCGAATAAACTTGACCATTTTCTTTAACTACAATATTCCCCACCCCCCTGCATGCTGGCCTGAGAGTTGAGAAACCTGCTTTAAGTTCCAACTCTGCCATTGACCTGCTGTGTGGCCTTGGGCAAGGGGCTCTGCCTGCATGGGCTGGAGTTTCCTCATCTGTAAAATGACTCAGTGAGCCCTAAAGTCATTTCCACTTGCAGTCAAGCCTTACAGTGTGAAGCTGGTTAGTAAATGCAAGATCTGCCCCAGGGTTGCCAGTCAGTCTCACTCTGACTGGCAAAACAGCCTTTTTCCAAGTCACACTGGGCCTTTCTAATCCTGTAATCAACACAATACTTTATACGGCCTCAGGCTTGTGGCTCAACAGGGATGAACCAGGCCAGGGTGACAGGGACCCTTTCTTCCAATTGCTTTCAGGCAGCATTGAGATGTAAAAATCCTGTAGTGTAGAGTAGGGACAAGTCCATATGCACAGGTTCCACTGCTAATTTTGCTTTGACCCTGCAGAAACTCCTATACATTCCTTACACACGTCCCAGACATCACCTCCACTGGGAAGCCTTCCAGGATCACCTCTTGTCCACCCATGTAGCCACCCCCAGCATCACTCCCTTCTCTGCCTCCACCCATTGCAGGCTGACCTCCAGTCTGGCACTGTCACCCTCATCCACTCTCAGCCCCGTGGGTGCCAGGGCTGTTTCTTCTTCAACTCTATGTGCCCAGAGTCTGGCACGAGCACCAGGGTCTAACAGGGGCTTAGTAAAGTGGTGGAATGGTTGAAAGAACAAATGACCAAATGACCGAATGAATTAAATGATGACCCCTTTGCCCTCTAACTGGAAATCTATGCCGGACGCCCCTCTCTGAGCCTCACTTTCTTTGTGTGTATAGGATTTGACTGAATGGTCCAAGATCTTCTTTAGTTTTAATATTCTGTAGTTTTGGCCAGGCACGGTGGATCACACCTATAATCCCAGGACTTTGAGAGGCTAAGGTGGACGGATCACCTGAGGTCAGGAGTTCAAGACCATCCTGGCCAGCATGGTGAAACCCCGTCTCTACTAAAAATACAAAAATTAGCCAGGCATGGTGGCATGTGCCTGTGATCCCAGCTACTCGGGAGGCTGACGCAGGAGAATCACTTGAACCTGGGAGGCAGAGGTTGCAGTGAGCCGAGATTGCGCCACTGCACTCCAGCCTGGTTGACAGAGTGACACTCCATCTCAAAAAAAAAAAAAAAAAATCTACAGTTTGATTTAAATTTGTCAGGCTGGGATATCCCTAACCCCTGGCTATGCCCATCACCCCTCCTGTCACCCCCGCCATCCCCTCGCACAGACACCAGCTGCCCGGTATTTGGTGTCCCTGGCCTCTTGGGTTTAGTGAGGTAATTGTCACCGTGACTGTATTCCTTATTTCCCAGATGTCAGAGTGTGTATCTGTGTGTGTTTGAAGGGTGGGCAGGTTCCTGGAGAAGCCATCAGCTCTTCATGGGGAGGGACTTCCTTTTCCTTGTGTCTTCCTTGGCTCTGTGCCCTGCTCCAGATGGCCCTCACACCCTAGGCCTTGGGTTGGGCTCTGGAACAAGTGAAGACTGATAGGGGTTGGGAAGGGGAGTAGTTCCAAATGGCTCCAAGAAAACCAGGAGAGGCTTCCTGGAGGAGGCAGCATTTGAGATTGATCTTGAGGGAGGGAGGGAGGCCTGGAATGCACGGGTGGGGAGTATGCAGGTACTTCTTTAGGTACTGGGGAGCCACAGCAGACTTTTTGAACTGAGAAATGACTTGACCACAGCTGCAGTTTGGAAAGACCCATCTGGCATCAAGGTGAGGGTGGGCAGGAGCCAGCCTGGAAGAGGAGGAAACAGCAGCTGGGGAGCTGTTGCAGGGGGGTTAAGTGAAAAGCCTCAAGTGATAAGTTCGATTTTTTTCTCATTGTTTTTTTTAAGCAAATCTTGCCTGGCTGCCACAGGACCTGCTGGCTTAATAACTCCTGAGTTGAGGTTTGACAGGTGGATGCTAGGCTCATACACCTTCCTTGTTCTGCCAAGACCCAGCCTATTTCAGCAGAAAGGGAGTCAGTGCCAGGAGCTCTGGGGATATTGGACACCCGCCAAGGCCAGGAACTGCCAGGCTGCAGCGTGTGCCTTGTGGATCTGGATTTCATTTTGACACAAACCCCAGATCGTGCTGCTAAGGCTTGGACCCCACACCCATCTCTCTGTTTGTTGTCTCTGAGGAAACAGGAAGACTTTATGGTTCTGATGACATGTTGGCCTTGAGGAGGGGGGCATCTTCAGGAATCCCATGCCCAGATGGGATCTGTAATTGGACAGCTCTTGCCCAGGGAACATCCAAACCAACCACCAGTTCATCCTCAGCTGAAAGAAGAAGCCCTCCTCCACTCTCTTTCAGCCAACAGCTCCCTTGGAACTTTGGGGGAACTTAGGAAAGGACAGGAGAAGAATCCTGGGGCAAAGAATAATATAATGTCTTGCCCACGGTCAGTAACTTTCAGGAGACATCACTCCCAGAAAGCTCCTCAAAGCCTGCTGAGGACATCCCTATCCAGCAGCCTGAATTTCCAGGCCTTGCCAGCCCCTTCTTCCTTCTTTCAAAATAACTTATCCCACCAGGTTGCCCATGGCTCTGTTTTAACCCAGATGCAGACTTGCTTGCTTCTGCTGCCATGGGGGCCTGTGCAGGGCCCACCCGGTGTTGCCACATTGGGTCTTCTCACAGCTATCTCAGGAAGCAGACAAGGAGGTTGAGGCTCGAAGCAGTGCAGTGACTCTCCTGGGGCTTCTGGTGCCCTTAGAGAGGAGAGCTGGGGCTTGTGACTCAGGGGCGGGGTTCTTCCAGTCCTGTCCCTGCTATTTCCCTCCTTTCTGCTCCAGGAACTAGCGTGGAACTGCTGATCCCTTTTTGTGGAGGAATTGAAATGCCAATTGTGTAACAAAGCTAAGGAATTATTTCCAGGGATCACTGTTCTGCCCCGGAGGCTGCCATAATTCCCCATTGTGCTGGTGATTGTGAAGTCCTCAGCCTTGTCTTTTGGAGCTTTCAGGTAAGGTGTCCCATTCCCACACACATGCCTGGCTTCCTGTCCCACCAGCCATGCCCTGTCTGTCTGTCACAGGCCTGTACAAATGCCACTTCCTCCGGGACACTTTCAGAACCATTCCTGACAAAGCGATTTCCTTCTTGAATACCATTCCTATGCCACTGAGGTGAAGAACGCACTAAGCACACGCCACAGCCTTCTGCACGTTCCCTACAAGGCAGACGGGATGCGGATAAGAGAGGGGGCGCAGAGAGTGAAAATGGTGAGCCAGAGTAGAGCCATCTTTGTCCCAAACATCTCAGCACTCTGTGCCATGCAGCCAGCCCCCTGCCCTGCCTGGACTTCTGTTTCTTATCCTACCCCTCTGGCTTTAGGCTTATGACCTGAGTCTCCCACCTGGCCTCTTCCTTACCTGGGTGCCTTGTAATATACACCAGCTACTATGCTTTCCTCATACGATGCCATTTCATCTTCACAATAACCATAGGGTGGTAGATATCCCTAGTCCCATTTAACAGATGGGGAAACTGAGGCTCTGACAGGCCATTTGACTTGTCTATGGTGACTTGCCCAAAATCGCATAGCTAGAAGGACAGAACAAGAATTCATTCATTCATTCATATTTACTGAGTGCCTGATATGTGTTGAACAAAACACATTTGGTCCCTGCTGTCCTGAAACTGATCCAGAGCCTGGACTTGGACCCCGCAAGGGAGCGCAGGCTTCCAACCTGAGGCTGGGAGACAAAAGGACCACGTGCCTCCTTGAGCGTGACTCTGGCTTCTTCCAGTGAAATATGGAGATTCATGTTTCCTTTCTGTGTCGTGGACACCCAATCTGTCTTGTTTTCTGGCATTCAGGGCCACCAGTGGCTCGGGCTGCAATCCGTTGGAGTCATCCTTCCTTCTGTTTAATCTTTAAAATGAGAGCCGAAGCGCTGTTGATCACTTTCATGAGCTGCAGGAGATGATGGCAGCCTGATGGGGCTGTAATTTCCCAAGCTCCTCTCTTCTCTCCACTCCTGCAAATTGATGGGACAGGGCTATTTGCCTTCAGGGTCTGTAGGCTGTCATCCCGGTCATGCAGCCCCAGTCGGCTCCCGGTTGATTTCCTCTCAACCTCTCCAGTCAGAGCCTGCAGGGGCAGGAGCAGGTCCATAGAGGAAGCCAGTCTGGTGCCAGCCATGCCAAAAACCTCTGTGTGTGCCGGCATTACTGTGGCCCGGGGTGGGGGATCCCAGAGGAACACACTGGGCTCTCTGAGGGCTAATGCCTGGAGGAGGGGGAGACAGTGTTGGGAAGACTTGGGAGGGGATGTCACTGTGGTCCAGAAACTACTCTGCAGCTTTGCTGGAGGTGGGGAGAGAAATGAAGGATCACATCAGCAGTGAGTTTATGATGAGTCACACACTGTGCTAGCCCTTTCCAGGTGGCATCTCATTTCACCTCCATAACGACTGTATGAAGAAGACATTCCTGACTTCGTTTTACAGACAAGGAAACTGAGACAGAGGTCAAGCACCTTGCCCAACATCACATAGTCATTAAGCAGCAGGGCTGAGATTTAGACCCTGAGCTGAGATTCAGCCCATGATCCTTCCACTGTACTGGTAAGGTGGTCCAGAAGCTTGGGGCTAATTCACACATATCAAAGTCCCAAGAGACTGATGTACAAACCGGAAAGTGGGGTTATTGGTTTATGGAACTGATCTACTTTCTCCAGGACCTAGAATATTCCTGGCCATCATGTTTAAGTCATCCATTGGTTTTCACTAGGCACAAAAACAGAGGGAGCAAAGTTACTCATTCTTGGGAATTATTTCACTGAGGCTGCAAAAAAGCCTGGTGAATTCTCCCAATCCCCATGCATGAGGTTGTGTGCCTGAGGGCCCTGTAGTGGGTGGGTGGGTGGCTTTTGCCAGCTGCTGGAGGAACACTGATAAATCTCACTACCTTGGTTTCCTTTTTTTCTTCTTCTGTAGATTCCTTCTAGAACTCCATTCTGGTTATCAGTTGCTATATAGCAAAATAACCCAAAACTTAGTGACGCAAAATACCCATCATTGTTGCATGCACAAATTCTGTGGATCAGGAATTAGGGCACAGAGGAGATGGTTTGTCTCCATGATGTCTGGGGCCTCATGTAGGAAGACCCAAAGGGTGGGGCTGACTCAAATGGCTGTGATCTAGAATCATCTGGAAGCTTCTTCACTCATGCATCTTGTGCCTGGGCTGGGACACCTATTGGGATCTCTCTCTCTTTCTACAGGTCTCAGGGCCTCCATGTGGTATCACCACATGGCCTCACCAGCACTGTGACTTCGGGCTTCAGGGTATTTTGGCAAATAATGATGGCTCAGGGGTCCCAGAGCAAACAGTGAAAGATGCATGGCCTTCTCTGAGCCAGCCTCCAAAATTACATGATGTCACTTCTGCCCTACTGGATGGGATTAAAGCCATGGCAAGTCCACCCAGATTCCAGGTGAGAGAACATGCACCCTGTATTAGTCTGTTCTCATGCTGCTATGAAGAAATACCTGAGACTGGGTAATTTATAAAGAAAAGAGGTTTAATTGACTCACAGTCCTGCATGGCAGGGGAGGCTTCAGGGAACTTACAATCGTGGCAGAAGGGGAAGCAATCATGTCCTTCTTCACATGGTGGCAGGAGAGAGAAGTGCAGAGTGAAAGAGTGAAGCAGGGAAAAGTCCCTTATAAAACCATCAGATCTCCTAAGAGCTCACTCACTATCATTAGAACAGCATGGGGGAACTGCCCCCATGATCTAATCACCTCACATAAGGTCCCCCCCACAACATGTGGGGATTACAATTTGGATTACAATTCAAGATGAGATTTTGGGTGCAGACACAGCCAAACCATATCAGGCCCATCTCTTGAAGGGAAGAATGTCAAGGAATTTGCAGCCATGTTTCAAAACCTCTGCAATTACCTGCATCATTTGCACACTTTCTTCAGAAGAAACACAGCTGGACTTGTTCCTATGTGAATTTCCTTTTCAAGACCCAGCCTACCTTTCAAGATGATAGTTAATAAAAAAAAAAGTATCAATTATCAGACAGTTACTTTGGCCTAGTGACTGCACTAACTACTTCACGTGAGGAATGTGCTATGTCTTAGTCCATTCAAGCTCCTATAAGAAAATAACTTAAACTGGGTGGCTTGTAAACAACAAAAGTTTGTTTCTCACAGGCTGAAGGCTGAAGAAGTCCAAGATCAATGTGCCAGTAGATTTGATGTCGGGTGAGGGTCCCACTTTTGGGTTCGTAGACAGTGCCTTCTTACGGTGTCCTCACATGGCAGCAGGAGCAAGGCAGTTCTCCAGGGTCCCTTTCATAAGGGCACAAATATCATTCACAGGGGCTCCACCTCTATGACTTAATCACCTGCCAAAGGTCCCACCTCCTAATACCGTCACCTTATGGGGTGAAGATTTACATAGGAATGTCTAGGGGACACAAACATTCAGGCCATTGCATGCGCTCCTGTTCCCCATTTTACAGGTGAGAAGCCAAGGCTTCCAGCAGGTCAATAGGTTGCCCCAATCACTCAGCAAGGAAATGTCAGAGGGAAGAGCAATACCCAGAGCTCCTCATCTCCAGAGCCTACACCCTTAATGCCCTGTGCCCTGGCCCACCACGCTGCCTGTGAGTCTGCTGTGTCTGGTTTTATTGGCAGGACCTGGCTGTTTCCCGCAAGTCCTCCAACATCACTCAAGCTCCTGAATCTGTTAGAAGTTGTTTCCTCTCATTCTTACTCCCAGAAGGAAATCTTATCTCCATATTCTAGGGATACTCTCCTCTAGTGATGGCTACAACTGGTATACATTTGGCAGCTTACTAGATGGTTTCACTATAAAAAATGTATTATGGGGCTGGGCGCAGTGGCTCATGCCTGTAATCCCAGCACCTTGGGAGACCAAGGCGGGTGGATCACTTGAGGTCAGGAGTTCAATACCAGCCTGGCCAACATGAAGAAACCCTGTCTCTATGAAAAATATAAAAATTAGCCGAGCATGGTGGCGTGTGCTTATAATCCCAGCTACGTGGGAGACAGAGGCAGGAGAATCGCTTGAACCTGGGAGACAGAGGTTGGAGTGGGCCAAGATCGCACTGCTGTACTCCAGCCTGGGTGACAGAGTGAGATTCGGTCTCAAAAATTAAAAAAAAAAGCATTATGAAGCTGCAATAATTAAAATTGAGAGCAACTCAAATTTATTTTCATCTGAGAACTGAATAAACAAACTGTGATAGAGTCATATAATGAAATATTACTCAATGATGAAAAAGTATGAAATAGTGGTACTCACAACAGCGTGGGTGAACCTCAGATGCATTATGCCGAGAAAAACAAGCCTGACTCAAAAGCCTATATACCATAAACATACTGTAGGATTTCATTTATATAACATTCTGGAAGGTAAAACTATAGAGACAGAAAAAACTTCAGGACCTAGGGGTAGGAGTCAGCTATCAAAGAACTTGATAGACACAGTGGAATATTATTCAGCTGTAAAAGGAAGGGAATTCTGTCACATGTGACAACATGCGTGAGCCTCGAGGACATTATGCTAAGGGAAATTAGTCACAAAAGATAAATCTCATTTACATGAGGTATCTAAAGTAGTCAAATTCATAGAAACAGAAAGTAAAATGATAGTTTCCAGGGAGCTGGGGTGAGGGGGAAAAAGGGAGTGGTTTAATGACATAGAGTTTCAGGTCTGCAAGATAGAAGGTTCTGGAGATCTGTTGCACAACACTGTGAATATTCTCAACACTACGGAACTGTATGTTTGAAAATCAAAAAGGTGGCATATTTAATGGTGTGTGTTTTTTAAAAATCACAGTTTAAAATAAAAAAAATTAATTGAAAACAAAGACATGACAGAGTGTTTTTGTGGTGACAGAACTATTCTATATCTTGGTTATGGTGGTTTTCCAACTGTATGTGTTTGTCAAATTCGACCTGGCCACTAAGGCAGGAGAGTTTTGCTGTGTGTAAATTATACCTTGATAAAAGTGAATTTTAAAAAAGCAAAACCAGAAATGATCTGGTACAGGAATAGTCCACTCAAGCAATAATGTGTATTTCTCGAGTACTTGCTATGTGCCGGACACCATTCTAGGCACTAGTAGAACCAAGGCAACTTTCATGGAGTTTACATTTTTGTGAGAATGTAATAAAATGCAATGATCATACAGACTAATGGAATAAAAGAGATACTGGAGAAATAGACACACACACACATATATCCATATCTATCTATCTATCTATCTATCTATCTATCTATCTATCTATGCATCTATCTATCCATATCAGTTTAATAGAGGATAGAGGTGGCATCACAAATTATAGATGAAAGCAGGGCATGGTAGCTCACGCCTGTAATCTCAGCACTTTGGGAGGCCGAGGCAGGTGGATCACCTGAGGTCAGGGGTTCGAAACCAGCCTGGCCAACATGGCAAAACCCCATCTCTACTAAAATATGAAATTAGCTGGGCATGGTGGTGCATGCCTATAATCCCAGCTACTTGGGAAGCTGAGACAGGGGAATCGCTTGAACCTGGAAGGTGGAGGTTGCAGTGAGCCGAGAATGTGCCATTGCACTCTGGCCAGGTCAACAGGAGCGAAACTCTGTCTCAATAAATAAATAAATAAACACAAATTATAGATGAAAAATGGATTATTCCATTATTTCTAACTTTATGCTATATACCCAAACAAATTCCACATAAAGATTACGATGTAAAAAAAAACCTTTGTGTTGAAAATGTAAAAAACATAAAGAATAAAGAACATATAAATATTTACGTAATCTTGGCCTGGGGAAGAGCTTTCTAAGTATAAAATCAAAGGCAAATGCATAGAAGAAAAGAGTAATCGATTTGACCACATATAAATTGAGCCACCTGACATCAGAAACACTGTAAATAAAACTAAATGTCAAACCACTATGAGAAAATATTATTTGCAGCATGTATTGTAGAACAAGGATTAATATCCTTCATGCATAGTGTTATGAATTGAGAAGAAAAAGGCAAATAGTGTAATAAAAATGGTCAAAGGACATACAATCTGACACTTTAATTATTTTAGTTTTGTATTTCAACAATTTACAAAACAAGTAATAAATATAGTGGCCAAAAACATAGGAAACGTATCCAACATCACTAAAAATCAAAGAAATGCAAAGCAAATCAAAGTATAATTTTTTCCTGTCAAACTGAAAACAAAATTTAAAATCATAACCTTCAGTGTTATTGAGATTTAGGAACTGGCATTTCCATGGCCTGCTGGTGTCAGTGTAAGTTGATCGAGCCTTTCTGGAAGACAATGGAAGAATGCATATCAAAAGCCTTCAGGACAGTTGTTTATTTGTTGCCTCTCATCTTCATACCTCCTGCCCACACCATTTCTGTTCGGTAATGCAGGGGCTAGAAGTCTGCAAACTTCATTTTCCAGATACCTTGCTGGCTTCCAGTTTGCTAATGGGAGGCAATGGTGGAGATTGAATGGTGAGAGGAGGGGAGAAGGGACTCTGTTTTGATTTCTGACTGAGGTCTGCATCCCTCCAGCAGCAGCCATGCCACCTGCACCCCAAGCACCAGGCATGTGGTGCTGCCTCAGAGGTCAGTGCCCTCCTCTCAGATGTCTGAGCGTGGCCGCAGGCGCCCCCTGAGAGTTCCAAGCACAGATCTTGCAGTGTCCTGCCCTGAAGGTCTGAGCATGAGCCTTAGGGAGCCTCCTCCTTCACATGCCTAAGTTCTGGACGCTCCATGTCTTTTTTTCTTTTTTCCCCCAAACCTGGGAATGGCAGCTCCTTCTTGCAATTATTAATCTCTGGGTTACCTCTTCATCTTTTGCTTTCTATCTTGTCTCTTCTCTCTCTCTGTCTCTCACCCAGGCTGGAGTGTAGTGATGTGATCTTGGCTCACTGCAGCCTCGGCTTCCCAGGCTCAGGTGATCCTCTCGCCTCCTGAGTAGCTGGGACTACAGGCAAGCGCCACCACACCTGACTAATTTTGTTTTAAATTATTATTATTTTTAGTAGAGACTGGGTTTCACTATGTTGCCCAGGCTGGTCTCAAACTCCTGTACTCAAGCAATTCGCCTGCTTTGGCCTCCCAGAGTTCTGGGATTACAGGTGTGAGCCACGACACCCAGCCTACTTTGCATCTTCTCAACACCTGCACAGTCAATTCCGTATATTAAATCCTCTCTCTTTGAAAAGACCTCTGATTTTCCTTTTCCTGGCCAAATTCTGGCTGATGATACAGTCTGTATCTAGAAATTCTACTTCTAGGAACTTATTTTAAGAAAACAATCATGGATGTGTTAAAAAAAAATGTGACCTAATTTATTAATAGCAAAAATGTCAACCAAAATACCCTAAAAGCCTGACAATGTGAGTAAGTTTTGGGTTTGTGTCCCCCAAATGGATATGTTGAAGTTCTAACCTCTAAAGCTTCAGAATGTGAACTTATTTGGAATTAGAGTCACTGCAGACATAATTACTTAAGATGAGGTTGTACTAGAGTAGCATAGAACCTTAATCCAATATGACTAGTGTCCTTATAAGAATTGAAGAAGGCCAGGCACAGTGGCTCATGTCTGAAATCCCAGCACTTTGGGAGGCCAAGGCAGGAGGATTGCTTGAGACCAGGAGCTTCAGACCAGCGTGGGCAACATAGCAAAACCCCATCTCGACAAAAATACAAAAATTAGCCAGGCATCGTGGCGTGTGCCTGTAATCCCAGCTACTCAGGAGGCTGAGATGGGAGGATCACCTGAGGCTACAGTGAGCCATGATGGCGCCACTGCACTCCAGCCTGAGTGACAGAGTAAGACCCTGTCTCCCCTCCCTCTCACCCCCCCCCAAAAAAAAAAATTGGAGAAAGAAACACAGAGACACACAGAGAAGACAGTCACGAGATGATAGAGGCAGAGACTGAAATTATGCCGCCATGAGCCAAGGATGGCTGGCAACCCCAGAAGCTAGGGGAGTGACATGCTTGGAACAGATTCTCCTTTTGAGCCCCCAGAAGGAACCAATCCTTGATTTTGAACTGCTGGCCTCCAGAACTGCAAGAAAACGCATTTTTTTCTTTTGTAAGCCACCCAGTTTGCAGTGCTTTGTTATGGTAGCCCTAGAAAACTGATACAATGAGATGGGTTAAATAAATTATCCTATAGTCACATGATGGAAAACATAGCAATGATGAAAATACGAAACAATATTGTGGAAAAATGTATGATAATATCAAACGACGTTCATGACGTGTTATGGTAAAAAATAAGACTACACAATTTGAGCCCATTTTTGTAAATCAAAAAAAAAAACAAAACAAAACCACCTATATGGTGAACAACAACAACAACAAACTTGAAAGTTTACACCTCAAATCACAACAATAGTTACATGGGCAGGCGGGAAGTATTGTGCATGATTTCTATTTTCTTTCTTTTGATTATCTTTGTTTCTAAATTTTGTACACCGAGCACAGTTCATTTTTGAACATGGTTTTTTAAAAAGTGCTTTTAGTCTTAGCATTTTCTCTGATTCTTGCAAGGACCTTATGAGGGACTCAGCAGTTCTTGTTACACTTAATGTCCTATGGAGAAACTGAACCCCGCAGAGAGGGGTCAGGGAAAGGTACTTCCTTCCCATGCCATGATCAGAAGTTGAAAGAGAACTTGTTCAAATAAGAGTGGCAGCATTCCTTTCTCTCCTTGAGACCAAGCTCCATCCAGGACGTCTGGAGAGCAAACTGAGTAGATGTGAGTATCCATGATAAATTACCAAAGATGTCATGGGAGAAACCATATAAATCTCTTGGTTATTTTTAGCACCCTCTGTTTCCACTGACTAACTCCACAGGACCTTAGGCAGCTTCCCAGGGACACTATTTTGTTACTTATTTATAATTTATTTTACATTTATGTTGTATTTTTATAAGATTTTCAAACATACAAAAGTAGAGAGAAGAGTAAGCTGCCCTGAGCCCAGCACCCAGCTTCAACAACCATCAAAATTTTGCCATGCCAGCTTTATCCCTACCTTACCCTCAGTTTCCCCTAGAGTATTTCAAAGCAAATTGCAAACTTGATGTCATTGCACTCATAAATACTTCCATGTGCGTCTCAAAAAAGAGGGGAGTGTGTGGATATTTTCTTATTTAACCTCCATGTTATTATCACATCTAACAAAATTAATTATAATTCCCTAATATGGCCTGGTACTGAGTCCATAGTCAAATTTCTACTGGGGCCTTATTTGGGCTCACCTCATTGTCATAAACATCCAGCATTAAACCACGAAGGGGGTGGCGCTTCCCAAATCTCTGAGAGGTTTGTCTTGCTGACATTGCTCTTTCCTGGGGCATGGGGTTGAGTGATGGGTCTGTGATTGGAGAAAGGGCAGGTAGAAGATAGATGCTGCACAATTTGTAGAAAGAGAACTTCAAGAGAATGCTCTGACTCTGCTGTGTGACTTGAGCATGCTACTTATACTCTCTGTGCTGCTATTTCTGCTTCTATGAAGTGTGGAAAATAACCAAAGCCAGTGATTTACCTGTTTATCCACAGGCCCTTTTCCTGCCTTTCCCCATCATGTCTAGAGGGCAGCTTGAGGACCAGAGCTGTGCCCTGAGGACAGCCCTGGGAAGGGATGTGGAAGATCGGGGTTCTCGCTGATGTTGTTGGTCCGCTGAGCTTACCGACCCTGGGACCACCTGCCTTGGACTTCCTGTTTTGAGGTGCAAATGTGTTCTCCAATGGAAAAGAGTCAAAATCTGTAAAATGTTAGGTTTATTCTGAGCCAAATATGAGTGCCTGGGGCCCAAGACACAGAGTTAAGAGGTCCTGACAACATTTGCCCAAGGTTATTGGGTTACAGCTTGATTTTATACATTTTAGGGGGACAGAAATTACAGGCAGACATCAATCAATGCATGTAAGGTGTACATTGGTTCAGTTCAGAAAAGCAGGACAACTTGAAGCAGGGTGGGCAAGACGGTGGGCTTCCAGGCAGATTCCAGGTGGATTCAAAGGTTTCCCGATTGGCAGCTGGTTGAAGAAGTTGTTATTTAAAGACCTGGAATAAATAGAAAGGAGTGTCTGGGTTGATATAAGGGGTTGTGGAGAAAAGGTTTTAATTATGTAGATGAAGCCTCCAGGTAGCAGGCTTCAGAGAGAAATAGATGGTAAATGTCTCTTATCAGACTTTAAAATGTGTCAAACTCTTAGTTAAATCTCTCCCAGATCAGGAAAAGACCTGGAAAGGGAAGGAGATTCTCTAAAGAATGTAGATTTTCTGCTAAGAGACAGCTTTGTAAAGCTATTTTAAAATGCGTCAAATAAATGCTTTTTGGGGTAAAATACTTTGATTTTTTTCAGGGGCTGCTATTTGTCATGTGATGCTATACTAGAGCCAGGTTGGAATTTAGTATCTTTTTGGTACAAGGAGTCTGTTTTGTCAACCTTAAGATCTGTTAATGTTAATGCTGATCAGTTGTGCCTGAATTCCAAAAGGAGGAGGGTATAATGAGGTATGTCTGACTCCCACTTTCCATCATGGCCTAAACTAGTTTTTCAGGCTTATTTTGGAATGCCCTTGTCCAAGAGGAGGGATTCATTCAGTCATTTGGTGGGCTTAGAATTTTATTTTGGTTGGCAGTTCGCAGTTTAGCTAATCCAATGGAGGGCTTGGGTTATTACTTGCAGCCAAATGCGTTTGATGCATTCATTGAGGTAAGAGACTTTCAATCTCTATTAAGGTGGCCTCAAGCGGCTTAACCAGTAAGAGGGTCTCCCCTTCTCCCTTTCCCTAGACTTCATATTCATGTTTATATCAGCAGTCTGTGTGAGACTGAAGAAAGGGTGCTTTTGCTTACAAACAGAGCAGCAATGCAGCTTGAGAGCCGTTGACAGGAGACAAGCAGATGCCACCCCTAGGAGTGAAGAGCACCCAGGGCAGTGTGGGTAGGCAGAAAAGTGACTTCTCACACAGGTGTGGCCAGACTGTCACTCAAAGAATCTCTGGCACTTTGGGAGGCCGAGGCGGGCAGATCACTTGAGGTCAGGAGTTCAAGACAAGCCTTACCAAAATGGTGAAACCCTGTCTCTACTAAAAATTAACTGGGTGTGGTGGCGGGTGCCTGTAATCTCAGCTACTCTGGAGGCTGAGGCAGGAGAATTGCTTGAACCTGGGAGGCGAAGGCTGCAGTAAGCTGCGATTGTGCCACTGCACTCCAGCCTGGGCAAAAAACCGAGACTTTGTCTCAAAAACAAAACAAAACAAAACAAAACAAAACAAAACAAAACAAAACAAAACAAAAAAACCTCTGACATCTCCTCTTGTGAAGCCTGGGGTTGACACAGGGCCTATGATGGTTAATTTTATGTGTCAACTTGGCTGGGCCATGGTGCCCAGATAGTTGGCCAAACATTATTCTGGATAATTCTGGGAGGGTGTTTTTGGGTGAGATTTACATTTAAATGGGTGGACTTTGAATAAAGCAGACTGCCCTCCCTAATGTGCATGCTTTGGGGAGTGTGGAGGGGCATTCAATCAGCTGAAGGCCTGAGTAGCACAAAAGACTGATGTCCCCTAAGCAAGAGGGAATCCAGTAGCTGACAGCCTTTGGACTTGAACTACAGACTTGGCTTTTCTTGGATCTCTAGCCTGCCAGCCCACCCTGCAGATTTTGGACTAGACAGCCTCTGTAATCACATGAGCTAATTCCTTAAAATAGACCAATTTATACACACATCCTATCAATTCTCTTTTCCTTCTTCTTCTTTTTGAGACAGGGTCTTGCGCTGTTGTCCAAGCTGGAATGCAGTGGTGTGATAATGGCTCACAGCAGCCTCAAACTCCCGGGCTCAAGCAATTCTCCTGCCTAAGCCTTCTAAGTAGCTGGGACCACAGATGTGTGCCACCATGCCCAACTAATTTTTAAGGATTTTTTGTAGAGACAAAAGTCTGGCCATGTTGCCCAGGCTGGTCTCGAACTCCTGGCCCCAAGCTATTCTCCTGCCTCGGCTTCCCGAAGTGTTAGGATTATAGGCGTAAGCCACCATGCCTGGCCTGCTTCTGTTTTTCTGAAGAACCCTGACTAATACAGTGCCTATACTTGTAAAATTAAGTTGTTGTGATTCCATGGGTAAATCAAGGCAAAGACAGGCCCTGGCCCCTGAAATTATCAGAGTCAACTATGTTACAAACCTAACTTGGGTCCACCTTCCCGGTACAGCAAACCCAAATACTGACATGTGGATTCACAGAGAGAGAAAGTGAGGCACTGCAGGATGCCAAGCAAGGAGAATCGGGCAGCTAAATCTCGGGACCTGAACTCTCCTATGGCTTACCTGGAGGGGGTTTTAAAGGTGGGGAAGCAGCAGCTACCTGCAGTCATAAATCAGTACCGGGAGGCCATATATTGGTTTCACCTGAAAAGGTGGGACATCCTAAAGCAGGGACCCACAGGTCATAGGTGGACTCAAAGATTTTCTGATTTGCGATTGGTTCAGGGGGAGAAATTTTGTCTAAAAACTTGGGGTCAGCATAAAGAAATGTTGAGCCCTGGCCTGTGGATGTGACTTCCTCCAGCTCCCTAAGGAAGAAATTTAGAACAAAGAACAGCAGTCAGGGTTCATTCAGTCTTCAGCTCCCCCTTATCTGAGGTCTATGTGCCATCAGACAGCGGTTTCCATTTGATGGGGGTCTGGGTTTCTGAAAAACAACTCAGGGACATAAGTTAAGATGTTATCTTGGCCGGATGCGGTGGCTCACACCTGTAATCTCAGCACTTTGGGAGGTCATGGCGGGCAGATCACTTGAGCTCAGGAGTTTGAGATCAGCCTGGCAACATGGCAAAACCCCATCTCTTATAAAAATACAAAAATCAACTGGGCATGATGCCGCATGCCTGCAATCCCAGCTACTTGGGGAGCTGAGGTTAGAGAATTGCTTGAACCTGGGAGGCGGAGGTTGCAGTGAGCTGAGATCACACCACTGCACTCCAGCCTGGGTGACAGAGAGAGACTCTGTCTCAAAAAAGAAAAAAGAAAAGAAAAAAAAAGTTATCTTTAGTTTCCATAAGAAACTCTATTTGGTTTCCATAGGAAACCACCAAATATTTTGTGGGTCTAACTTTCTTGGCAATTATTTTAAACTATTATTACCTTTTTGCTTATCAGGCTGCTCATTCACTTCTCAAAGCTAGTGAGGTGCCTGGAATTTTCCTTGACGGAACTCAAGATTTTCCTTTATTTCAATGCTTAGGGTGGGGCAGGACTCTCGGGGGGGTCCCTGCTCTGTTTCAGCCAGGAGAGTACTTGGGGCTTGTCCTGGCTCTTCCCACTGGGCCACCTTGGTGTTTCCCAGAAGAAGGTGCTGGACAGCCAGCAGCCATCACCCAGGCATTGTGGGTATCTGGGGCCCGCAGGAGCCATGTGCCTGAGGATTCTCCTTGCCCAGGAACAGGGGACATGCAGGGTGAGGCTCCTCACCAAACCCCGACCAACTCTACTTTATGACTTGCTCCAACAGTGTTCTCTGACCATTTTACAGAAGGAAAGACTGAGGCTCAGAGAGCTTCTGCGTTATTCAAGGACACACAGCTGCTACGTGGCAGAGCTGGTGCAGAGTCGAGGTGTGCTGGCATCTAAAGATGATGTTTCCACTGTAAGTGCTGCCCCTAGGTATCTGGCTTTGTCAGTCTGGAGCAATTGCTTTAATTGGAGAGTTTAAGACAACAACAATAACAACAACAGCAACCTATAATTCATTGAGAAAAACTGAACTGCTGTAAGAATTAAATGTCTCCTTGTTTATACATGCTTTGAGAAAGAGCCCCCTTGTGTGTGAATATGATGTAGCAAATTACAAAGTCATAACTGATGCAAAGTAATAACTAAAGTATGATTCTGTGGCTCACCATGAATTTCTTAACCAGAGTTCATTAGCATATTTATTTATACATTCATTCCATGAGTATTTACGGAGTACCAACTGTATACTAGACACCATGCTAGACGCTGGGATTACAAAGATCAAAGCACAATTCTTGCTTTCAAATAGGCCTTATGGTGGGAAGACAGATCTGTGAGCAGATAATCCTAGCAGGGTCTGATATACATGAAGAGTAGTGTGGTCCTATAGGACAGCCTCATTTTATGGCTGTTGTGGAGTTTATCATTAATAGCAATATTTTTTTCCTCTCAAAAGTGTCCTCGTTTGGTTGTTAATTATATGGTCACTTTAACAATGAAAGAAGCATGCACCAAGTCCAGTGGCAAAAAAAAGGCAACGATTCTTTTCATGTCCTCCTGTGAGCTTTCACACAACACTGGGCTGGGCTGCCCTGTGCAAATGCCAGAGAAGCCACCGTCTGACAAATGAGACTTCATCATTGCATTTTTTTTGTTTCTTCTTTCTTTCTTGGTTTTTCTTTTTCTTTTTTCTTTGTGAGACAGAGTCTCACTCTTGTCACCCAGGCTGGAGTGCAGTGGCATGATCTCAGCTCACTGCAACCTCCGCCTCCCAGGTTCAAGCGATTCTCCTGCCTCAACCTCCTTAGTAGCTGGGATTACAGGCATGTGCCACCATGCCTGGCTAATTTTTGTATTTTTAGTAGGGACAGGGTTTTGTCCTGTTGGCCAGGCTGGTCTCGAACTCCTGACCTCAGGTGATCTGTCCTCCTCAACCTCCCAAAGTGCTGAGATTACAGGCCACCACGCCCAGCCAGTTTTTATTTTTCTAACTAAAATTTAGGCATTGCCCATAGTTCATAGAGTCGAATGCTACATTTCATTGAAACTAAGATGATATTGATTGTAAGATGCATTATTATTTTATATACAAGCAGGAAAGAAAAAAATGCTGCCAGTTGTAAGTTGCCACTGATGGTTAAAAAAATTAGTTTCCAAGATGCTAACATGTGAAAAATAGGTGTCTTAGAACCTATTGTGAAGTGAAGTGGTTCTATTGCGAAGTGAAGAATAGGTCTTAGAACCTATTGTGAAGTGAAGCTTGTTATGGAAATGGCAGTCCCCGACACCTCTCATCACCACTTCCAGGTCCCCAGAGAAAAGCACTTTGAACTATTCTGGCTGATTTTCCATCCATTGGTTGGTATCTGTTGTCCATATCATTAATTTCATGTGTATGTTGCTAATTCTTGATTTTTCCATTTCAGATGTTATCTGTTGACTTCTCCACGAGGAACATGAGGCTCTCTCTCTCTCTCTCTCATGCCTGTTCTCAGGTACATCTGCCACCCCACCCGACCTCGGCATGCTTCTCGTTCTTCTCAGTCTCTCAACAGAATTCCGTGATTATTGTGGTTATATCGTCATTCAGGCTCTACATTATTATGACTATGTTTGGCTATTTACAGCTGAATATAGAATAGTGTAGAAATAAATAGACTATAGAATAAAATAGAATGCTATAACTGTTTTCTTTTACTGCATAACACATTATTTTCCCTAAAATTAATAGCTCTTGATTTTGTTTTAATTTCAGAGTGCTTCTCTGTACTTAATCGGTAATGTGTCCCTAAGCTTCTTTTAATATGTTTGAATACATCGGATATTACATCAGTTTAACCTTCCTCTTGAAGCTTCTGGAGCCTTCTGTGTTGCTCCAGCCTGCACCAGTTGCTGTCCAGGTCTACTGGGCAGCCATTTTCCTGGGTCTCCTTTCACCAGCATCGCGGGCAGCTCCTTCACCCCCTCTGCTGTGTTGGGATGCTGGCTCCCTGGATCTCACCTCTTCCTCTTTCTTGCTTACTCTGTTGCTTTAGTGGAGCATAGTTTCCTGAGAAGGGATGCATAGGCGGTATGATAGTTATATACTACCGCCTGACAAATTACCCCGAAAGGTAGTGGCTTAAAACTACAAATCTGTGTAATCTCAGAAAGTTTCTGCACTTTAGGTTGTGGATCAGAGTCTCTCATGCGGTTGCAGTAAAGCTGCCAGCCAGAGCTGCAGTCAGCAGAAGGCTTGACATGGGGCTGAGGATATGTTTCCAAGATGGTCACTCATATGGCTGTTGACGGGAGATCTTCATTATTTGCTGGCTGTTGGTAGAAATTCTCTCAGTTTCTCATCACAGCAACCTTTCCTCGAGGCTGCTTGAGTGGTCTCACAACATGGCAGCTGGCTTCTCCCAGAGTTAGTTTTTGCTGCATCACAAGCTGAATTCGTTTCCTAGGCCCGCCATAACAGAGTACGACAAACTGGGTGGCTTAAAACAACAAGAATTAATTTTCTCACAGTTCTTGAGGCCAGAAGTCCAAAATCAAGGTGTCAGCAGGGTTGGTTCCTCCTGGAGCCTTTGAGGAAGAATCTGTTCCATGCCTCTGTCCTAGCTTGTGGCAGCTACTGGCAATCCCTGGCACTCCTTTGTTTGGAGAGGCACCACTCCTCCATCTTCACAAGGAGCTCTTCACTATGTTTCTTCTGTATCTATGTTTAAATTTCTCTTCTTATATGGACACCAATTGTTGAATTAGGCCCTACTCTAGTCCAGTATGATCTTAACCTGATTACCGCTGCAGAGACCCTGCTTCTAAATAAGGTCACATGCAAAGGTACCAGGTATTAGGGCTTGAATATATCTTTTGGGGAACACAATTCTGGCCAGTACATCTACCACAAGGGGTTTTTGTAAAAATTAAATTAAATACTATATGTTGGCAATTATTATTACTATCATCTTCTTACCACTGTGAGAATATTAATTTTTGTTTTTGTTTTTGTTTCTTTGTATAGTCGTTCTTCTATATAGTTCTTGTATAGTCTTTCACCCTCCCTGTATAGTCCTTGTTTTCTCCCACTTACTTTATCTGTTTGTTTTGGCCTCTGTTAAATGTCTGGTGACCACTGTCTGGCCACTCACACCTAAGAGTGGGGACTGACAAGCTGGTTGGTGCTTAGTGTTCAGGAATAGATCTTGTCCAAGGCAGGCTTTGCTTTGATTGGCCAAGTATTTCATCCAGGAACCCTGATATCTGTACCTACAGATATTTTCTTTCCAGCTTCTCAGATTCCCTATCCCTTACCTGGAAAAGGTTAATGCTAGTGGCCAGGATGCTCGGAGCCAGGCAGGCATAAAATCCAGGGATCTCTACCTTCACTATGCAAATTTTACCGAATTTGTCCTCGTGTTCTCCCTGGTGTCCCCAGTCCTACAACCTTCTATTTCATCCTCTTTGGAGAATAAACCTCCAGCCTTCTGTAAAGGTGGGGAAGATGGATCCCTCCTCCTCTTTTATAAATGCTGTCTTTATCCCACTTTCTAAAGTATCTGTGGTTGCCAGTGTTTCAGTCTTTGGGAAGGTCATTAGAATAAATTGGGTTGTTTCTTGGCTTTCTCTACTGCTGACGAAGGATTCCACTTTCTCGGATCTGCTAAATCAGTTAGCCCTCCTCCATCAACTTTTCAGATTCCAAACATTTGCTGCTTGTGCTTCCTTCTACGTTCTCTTTGTTTTTTGGGGGGTACAGCCTGGACAAAGGCTTAGAGGTTGAATGGCATAAAAACAGTGGCTTGTAATATGTGCTTAACATTGTTTAAGTACATCACATCTGTTTGCTCACTGAATCCCTACTCACTCCTATGGGAAAATGGGGACACAAAAGAACAAAAGAGGCAAACTAACTTGCATCAAGTGGCACAGTTAGGAAGAGGTCGCACCAGGATTGGAAGCCAGACAGCTTGGCTTGAAAGTCCACATTCTTAGCACCCTACCCCACTGCCACATGAAGTGTAGTCTACACAGGGGAGGAAGTCACTTCCTGGGGCCAAAATGTCTTCAAGAATGGACACTGTTTTAACGTGTAGAATATCCTTGTAGATAATATTTTCAAGACAAACATAAGTACAGGGAACATCCTCATGAACTTTCAGGTTACTCTTAGGAGTCTCACGAACAAAAGAACTCTTGTGTCCTGTGTGTCCCTCCAGGCTGAGATGTCAGTTCCTCGCATGAATGCTTTGGACTCAGCTGTGGGTGGGGACAGCCCTGCCCACCACTTCTCTGCAAGATGTGCAAGATTTACTCTTGGAGGCAAAGTGCCATCTTACCCACATGGCTCTCTTGGTTCCTTAGTGGTGGGGACTGTTTCCTCTATCTCCCTAGCCCCTAGCACAGTGCTTGACACACAGTAGGTGCTCCACAGATATTTGTTGAATGCATAGATTAATGGCGCTCCCTCCCCATCTCTTCTCTCCACTGGTGATCCCATAACCAGGCTGACTGCCCCCACTACAAGACCTCTTCTCATATGGTTTAGATTTGTGAACCTGCCCAAATCTCACGTTGAATGGTCATCCCGAGTGTTGGAGGAGGTGCCTGGTGGGAAGTGATTGGATCATGGGGACATTTTCTAACGGCTTAGCACCATCTCCCTAGTGCTGTGTTGTGATAGAGTTATCCTGAGATCTGCTTGTCTAAAAGTGTGTAGCACCTACCTCTGCGCCCCTTTTCCTTCTTCTCCGGCCATGTGAAGATATGTCTGCTTCCCCTTTCCCTTCCACCATGATTGTAAGTTTCCTGAGGCCTCCCCAGAAGCAGAAGTCTATACAGCCTGCAGCACCATGAGCCAATTAAGCCTCTCTTCTTTATAAATTATCCAGCTTCAGGTATTTCTTTTTAATAGTGTGAGAATGGACTAGTACACCACCTGATGCACACACATACTCAGCTGTTACCCAGGACAGCCAAGCCAAGTTGACTGGATCCTTAACCCGTTCCTTGGCTTCCAACCCTCTTGGCCTGGCCCCATTTCTGGCCCCCAGCTTGCTTCTTGGACATGAGGATGAAATGCAGCTTCTGCCTCTGAACGGCAGGCTCAGGTTTTAGCTCTCCCTGAGGCTAGTGGGGGATAGACTAGGTCTCATATTAAGGTACAGGCTGAGCCACTGTAACAAAGGGTCCCCAGATACAGTGGCTTATGTAAGATGAAGGTTTCTTCCTTTCTCATATAAGTCTGTAAATGCAGGCAGGCCTGGCAAACTATTGGTTTATCTTGAATGACTTGCTATAGTCAATGGCATGTGAGTGGAAGTGACAATGTTCCAGGAAAACCAGGCTGAAAGAGGCCTTGCAGGTTGCTGTTGCCCCTCCTGTTCTCCTGCTCTGCATCATAAGAAGCATCATCCCCAGTCAGCCTGCTGGTTCAAGGAAGGTGAGAGAAGTGGAGCAGACACAGACCAGAGCTGTAGCTCCAGCCACCCAGCTGAGCCCAGCCAGAACAGCAGACTCCCAGCCAGCCTGCAGACACAGTGGAATGAATGCTTCCTGTTTTCTGCCATGGAGATTTTGTTGTTATGACAGTGACAATCCAGGATGGGCAGGTGGTTCTGCTCCATGAAGTTGTCCATGGACCCAGGTTAGCATCCACCCCACCAGCCTAACACATAGCTCCCATCTGTCTAAGGCAGTGGTTCCAGCCACTGGGAAGGGAAAAACCAAACAAGTATGGAGCATGTGGACTGACTTAAGGAAATTGACAACACTTCTGCACATATCTCATAGGACTGAAGTTCATTACACAGCCACACCTAGCTGCAAGGAAGGTTGGGAAATACAGGCTTGTTCTGGGCTGAATTATGTCCCCCTCCAGATTCATATGTTGAAGTCCTGACCCCCAGCACCTCAGAATGTATTTGGAGACAGGATCCTTAAAGAGGTGATAAAGGTAAAATGAGACCATTAGGTTGGGCCCTAATCCAATGACTGCTGTCCTTATAAGAAGAGGAGATTAAGACACAGACATGCACAGAGGGAAGACCGTATGAAGACACAGGGAGAAGGCGGCCACCCGCAAGCCAAGGAGAGAGGCCTCAGAAGAAACCAGCCCTGCCAACACCTTGATCTTGGACTTCCAGCCTCCAGAACTGTGATAAAATAAATCTTTGTTGTTTAAACCACCCAGTCTGGGGTACTTTGTTATGGCAGCATGAGCAAACTAATATAGCCTATCCCTTGGCAGCCACGTTCCCAACTAAAACTAAAGAAAGAGAAGGGAAGAAGGGATAATGGGGGTGGCATCTGTCTCCCACAGATTCTCACTCGTGAACCTGAACTAGCACATCGCTTCCACCTTCCCAGTCTGGTAGGTCCCCAGCCCTTGTGATGTGGGAGCTCCAACGTGTACCTATTGGCTGCTTACCTAAATCAGAATTGTAATTCTCTACTTTTCATTGTATATATTTACAAACCTTCTAAGAGGTCCATAGGCTTCTCCAGGTTATGGTCAGGAATCTGTGGTGTGTTGTATCCTTCCTGGGCCATTGGCAGGCCAAGTGCTTCAGCATTGCTCACACTATCTTTAATTCAGTGCCAGAACTCCACTTACAGACGCCTTCATAATTCCACCTCCATTGTCTTGCAGCAGGATTGGGCAGAAAGCGAAGTTGAACTCTGATGCAGCTGCCACAGAGAGCCCAGCTGATCCCACTAGGGCTCTGGAGCTGGGATTGCCAGATGGGCGCTCCACATTGAGGCAGGGGCTTGGACCTTTGGCCCTCCACAGTGACAGGCCATAGAGGCGGATGTAGCATAAGTCAGTTTCCTTCCACTGAGGGCAGCTCCTGGGGAGGGGCCCCTTGGTGACCTGCTAGCAGTCAAAAGTCCCGGCAGCTGCAAGAATGAGTTCCTGTGCCCTGTGGTGGACTCCAGACACCATCGTAGCCACGCCAATTCCAGGTCTGACCGCCCTAGCTGACCTGTAATTTTCTTTGTGTTCTTCTCTGCACGCCTGTGCCGAGCTTTGGCCAATAGCTCCAAGAGACTTGCATGTAGATACTTTGGAATTTTGAGGTGAGGTGGGGTGGGCTAGGATGAGTCTCTCTTTTGAAAAGCAGATCCCTCTAAGTTTCTTCCGAAAGGATTCCTGCTGTTTGGAGCAGGGTGTGGATGCTGATGAGGGAGTGTAACATCTCCGAGAAGATTGGCCGTGCTCGGGGGTGCTGAGTGATGAGTACAAACCTCATTCCATGCTCCCCCTCAGGGAGACTGGACATCTATGCACTGGGCTCAGGGAAGGAATGGGGCAACAGGCTGTCTGCCAGCCAGAGCAGTCTAGGCAGAGGCTTTTGCTCTCTTCTTGGGCATCCCAGACACTCTGGGCTCTGCCATTTACTTCCACTTGAAGGCATTCTTAACCATCGCTGTGCCATGGGCCCCTGAACATTATGCGCTAAAGCCTATGGATCCCTTCTCAGAGTAATAAGTGCATAAAATAAAATACAGAACTGGCCGGGTGTGGTGGCTCATCCCTATAATCCCAGCACTTTGGGAGATTGAGGCAGGCGGATCACCCCAGATCAGGAGTTTGAGGCCAGCCTGGCCAACATGGTGAAACCCCATCTCTACTAAGAATACAAAAATTAGCCATGTGGTGGTAGGCACCTGCAGTCCCAGCCACTCAGGAGGCTGAGGCAGGAGAACCGCTGGAACCTGGGAGGCGGAGGTTGCAGTGAGCCGAGATCATGCCATTGCACTCCAGCCTAGGTGACACAGTGAGACTCTGTCTCAAAAAATAAAATAAAATACAGAACTTACAAAAGGTAAGTGCATAAAGTAAAATAAAATACAGAAACTTACAAAAAAACCAATTTTATTGGAATAGGTATGTAAAAGTGTTGTATTTAAACATATTTATAATATAGAAACACATGTGCTTCTTTTTCAGGTCAACAAGATAAGGCAGCAGGAATCCATATCTAACAGTAGCTAATATGATTGTAATATCAAAGTAGGGATGAACATAAATGGTATTCTGTGATATCTGTGACAATTATAAGGGGATCTAAAAATATTTATGATGTTTCTTGGGTTCAGAGTACTACTGATACTACTGTGCTTTGTTGCCTATGAGATAGCTTTCCCTATCCAAGTTCATAGACACCTCTGAATTCTATCTGCAGACCCCTTAGGGGTCTAGGTTCAGAACCCCTGTTTAGTGAATTCTGAGCCAGAAGAAGCTGAGTCAGCCTTGGAGCCAGGAGCTGGACTTTGCAGCCAGCAGCATCTCCTTGCACCTCTCGGCAGCTGCAGGGCTGGTGACTGGCAGGAGCAGTCACTTGGCATGCCTTACCATACGGCCTGGGATTGATAATTACTTGTGTATCCACCCATCCATCCCTCCATCTGTCCATCCATCCATGCATGCATTCACTCAACAAATGTTTATAGAGCATGACTCTGTGGGTTCCAGGCTGATGGAAGAGAAACACACAGAGAAATTACAGTCGAATATTGTGCTTAGAGAAACATGAACTGAGTGAGGCAGAAGCAAGGGTGGGGCTGGAGGGCACCCCAGGCAGAGGGGACAGAGTGTGCATGACCTGCAGGTGAGAAAGGGCCTGGTATGGCAGAGAAACAGCATGAGAATACAGTGTGGAAGTGGCGATTCTGGGGTAGATCATGAAGGGTGGTGCCAGTTAGGTTCGGGGGCACAGATTTCACCAGCCACTGAGGTTTTTAAACAAGGCAATGACACACTCAGCTTTACAGAGGCAGGGGTACAGATTGGAGAGGGGAAACACTGGAGAGCGGAACACTAGTTAGGAACTTTGGAACGGGCCAGGCAGGAGATGATGAGATCAGAACTTAGGTCTTGGCCAGTGATGGAATTCATGACCTCTAGGTCATGGGGGGAACCAGGGAGACTCCCCAGCTCTCTGAATTGGAAACTGGAGGCTGCTCACATCAGTAATCCAGACTCGGGACATGGGGACAGAGTAGGGAAGGGAAGGAGATAATGCATTTGGCTTTATGCAAACCCCTGTAGTATGCTGTGTGGCCATGTTGGGTTGGGAGCAGCCTCCCTGGGACTGGAGATTCAGGAATCATCCCTGAGTTTGAGTCTCATTTCCCTGAGGAGGGGAAGGAGGGGCAGCAAGTTGCCATGGGCCCCTTCCTTGATGTGCCTCTCAGTCCTGACCAATGTGTGGACAGGGCTGCAGATGGTTATGCCAAGCGTCCGCTGGGTAGGATGCTGAGTGTGAGTGGCTCATGGGGTGACATGCAGAGCAGAGCACAGCTCAGCTGTGAGTTATGGTCAGAGTTGGCCAAGCAGAATGTCATGCCGGTGCCGAAGGAATGTCCCGTGTTTACCGGGAACATGGGAGATAATGGCCTCATGAGTACGTAAGAGAGCACAGACAGCGCAGTGACGAATCCTGCTTAGCTGCGTCCCCAAGGATGACCAGCTGGACCGTGCGGCAGATGGGGGCCATGGAAGGCATTTGAGCAGCGAGAAGGCCAGTCATACTTGTGCTTTGGAAAGATCTCCATGGATAGTTACACATAGAAGGTGAATTGAGCTGGTCTGGTCCCGAGGAGAAGGGAACAGATGTTTGACCACTATGAACCTTATGGTACATCTTGCCTGGAGCCAAAACTGAGACAGGTTGAGCCGCAAGGAACAAAGATACAAATAGATCTGCTGTGGAGGGGACTTGACTGTTTCCCAAGAAGTCCCTTGGGACTGCTCTTTGCTGGAACAGGTGCAAATCCAAGGAATTAAAAGGAGGTGGTGGCTTGTGGGTTGAGTCAGCATTAATGCCAGTGAAATACAGCCTTTGACGTCACTCAGTTGATCTTGCATCTTGAAAGCTCCTATAAAACCAGAAAATTAATGGCAAATCATCTAAAAACAGCTCAGTAGCTCTCAGAGCTTTGTGTCAGCCTTGTCCTCCGGAAGCCAAGCTGTAGCTGTGGTAGTGACCACTGATGCATGGGCTCAGCTTTCCAGAAGCAGGGAGCGGTGCAGGAACATTGCTCCTTCAGTGGCCTCTGCTCCGCTGCGTGGTTGATGTATTTCTCAGGTCTTCCTCATAGGGGCGACTGAATGTGTTTGTGCCGCAGATTAAGTGTCTTCCTCCAGGGAGTTTGTCCTCTGGCACTGGCAGACGCATCGCCTGCTGAGAGAGGAAGTGTGTTTGGGCCAACTTCAGGAGGAGCTTTGGAATCTGCTGGGCTCCTCATTTCATAACAAGCCCGAGCTTCTCTGGGTTTCAGTTGGGGGGGCACTGCCAATAGGGAAAAACAGACAGACAGAGAGAGACCCAAGAAGGAAAGAGACAGAGACACAGAGAAGCAAGGGTGGGGGCTAGAGGGCACCCCAGGCAGAGGGGACAGCTTGTGCATGACCTGAAGGTGAGAAAGGGCCTGGTATGGCAGAGAAACAGTGTGAGAATACAGTGTGGAAGTGATGAGTCTAGGGGGGATCATGAAGGGTGGTGCAAGTCAAGTTCAGGGACACTGATTTCATCAGCCACTGAGGTTTTCAAACAAGGCAATGACTCGCTCAGCTTTACAGAGGCAGGGGTACCTCTCTTTGGGTCTCTGTCTCTAATTTATTATTCCTCTGTCTCTGTAGTTCTATCCCTCTCTGTCTGCGTCTGTCTTTATGCTGGTCTTTACTTTGCCTCTCTCTTCGCACTGAGTTCTCTCTCTCGCTCTCTCTTTTTCTCTCGCTCCCTGTGCATGTGTGTGTGTGTGTGTGTGTTATGTGTATGTCTGTCTGTGTGTGTATGTGTGTGTCTGTGTGCTTCCCTGCTCTTTCTGGGTCTGTCTTTCTATGTCCTTCTGTCTGCCTGCCTCTCTCTTATTTCTAAGCCCTGGTATCTGTTTCCCTCTGAATCTTGCTGTCAGCACATGTCGAAGTGCTGAGTTTTTGCTGCTGCTGGTGGTGGTGGGCACATTAATTGGGAAACCCTAGAGCCCCCTCTTGGAGGTTCACAACACGTACCGTTGCCTGTCAGAAGCACTGAAGCCCTGTGGAAAACAACCTTTTTTGTTCTTGTTTAACTCTGTGCTTTCCATCTTGTTTGGCCACAGAATTATTTTCCCCCCAAACCACCTTACTCGCATCCTGTGGAATCATCCTTAGCAGCATTGGCCGATGGGGATTCTGCCCTGTGTGTGGGCTCTGCTCCCCGTTTCTGTCTGTCTAGCCTTTCTTTTTCTTCCTGCTTCTCTGTATCTCTGTCTCTTTCCTTCTTGGGTCTCTCTGTGTCTCTCTGTTTTTCTTCTCCATCTCTCTTTCTTTCTGTCTCTCTGCGTGGTCTCTCTGATTCTTGCTTCCCTATCCCTCTTTCTCTTTCTCTCTCTCATTTCCCCTGAAGCCAGGGTACTGTAGGGGTTCTCCGGCATTCCAGGGGTCCCGGCGCTGGGAGGCGAGGTGTTGAGCTGTGTGGCTTGGAGCGAGGCGGGAGTGGAGGGAACTTTTCCGTCAGGAGAGTAAGTGAACCAGAGGACGGTGCCGCAGCCACCGAGTGGTCTTCCAAGGCCCGGGTGAGAGGTGCGGCTGGAGGGATGTGGCCAGCCCTGCTGCAGGACGGGAGAAGTGCCTGAACCCCGCTGACCACCACAGCTACCACCAGGGATCAGCCCCCGGGCCACATCAGCTGAGGACTGCTATGAACATAAATTAAAAGGAGAGAGGCGTGAAAAGGGGCTTTGAAAGTACTCTGTCATTTGGTCTTCCTGTCTGTATTTTTCCTTCTTCTCTCTCATTTGTTTGCTCTATCAACTCCTCTCCTTATCTTCTGCCTGAGGCCCTACTTTCCTTCTCTTGATCTTCTGAGCAAGAGGCTAACTTCTGAGTGTGTTTTCACAGTAAGGTCTGGCGTTTGTTCGATGCTTTAGATGGCACACCAATAACCTTTATACACACTGATGTGGCCACACAGTGAGTGAGCAGTCCTGCTCCCATTTCACAGATGAGAAAACGAAGACCCAGAGGGAGGTTAAGGGACTTGTCAATATCGCATAGGAATAACAAAGCCCAGGCCTGCCAATGCCAGTCCTCCTTTGGGCTGCCCCATGGTGCCCGTGAACTCCTCTAGGGCATGGCCTTTATTACTGATGTGCCACTTTACAGTCCTTCCTCCCTGTTCAGGTCAGTGCTGATATGACTTCTGGCCAGGACTCCTCCTCAGCTGACACCAGAGCACCTCGGGTTTCTTGGGCTCACTTGGTTCCGGCTTCCCGAATTCCCATGCTGCATCAGAGCAGCAACTGGCAGAGACAGGGAGCTTGTACCTGGGCCCTGGCAAGTCCTTTGCTGATCTGTCTTCTTTTTCTCCAACCTTCGCTCGGTTATGCCAGGAGGAGCTGGAGTGAAGGAACTGGCCCTGATAAAAATCTTTTTGGATCCTGGAACACTGACCGTCAGCGACTTTGGCGGCAGATGAATTTCCAGTCCTGTCTTACATAAGGAAACGAGAAGTTCATATTTCCCAACATACCAGAAAACCATTCCTCAGCCGTCACCTGCCATCAGTAGGGGCAAAATGAGGACCAGTGGGTGGAGCAGGACAGGACTGGAGGAAGGGCTCACAGTAGGCTGGGCCAGTGGATTCCAACAGTTAATGGCTGTGAGGCTCTGGCAAGAACTGGCGCCGAGCCAGGCACAGGGAACATATGATCTCACTTAATCCTCACAGCTGCCCTGGAAGGGAGGTCTGCTGTTCCCACTCTAGAAGAGGAACCTGAAGTTTGGATCCCATATCCAGAAAGCCCCAAAACCGAGAGTGTCTGACGCCAACCCTTATCACGAAGCAACCCTGCCTTGGGAGGTGATGGCTCTCTGTTACGGGGGCTCAGTGAGCTCTTGCTGGGTGCTGTATGAATGGTAACCGTGACTCTGGTCTCAGGGTCTTGAAGACTCTGACCACTCTCAGACCACCCGCATGGCCAGTGCCCAGGCCCTGCTGTACCATTGGCTGTGGGGAGACAAGAAATAACCTGGCATTTCAGCAAGGGTCAGAAGGTGCCACCCGAGAAAGGAAATTGAATGACTAGGACATAGCATTGAAAGGTTGTTTGTCAGGGAAGATCGAGGAAAGCCTCAATGCCCATCAAGAAATGTCTAGATGAAAAAACAATAGCTCAGCAGCTCAAAACCCTAGGGATCTCTCTGAGACTGACAGGGAGAATAGTCCAAGAAACATCATTTTGTGACAAAAAGCAAGCTGCAGAATAAGATGTGCAATGGGATATCATATATGTGAAGAGATACACACAAAACACAAAGCCTCCTATTTCCACATGTAGTTATACATGCATGGCAATGCATAGCAAGAGGTCTGGAAGGAGACACCCCAGACTGACAAAGCGGTGTCCTCCAGGGGAAGGCCAGGAACAAAATGGGAGCCTTGGCATAGGGTGATGGTGGAGGGTATGGTAAAGGAGTTCCTTTGATTGATTTATACTGTTTGAATTGCTTACAGCAAAAATACATTATGTCCTCCTTAGGTAATTAAAAATAAATACATAAGTAAACGAAAAGAAAGTGCAAATCTGCTTTGTGGATCATAAATACATGGAGTGGTGACTTGATCTGATTAATTGATGAACTCAGCCAATAAATATTACAGAGAGAATGTCCTCTGGAACAGGCCTTATGCTAGGGGTGGAACTGCAGAAATGAAAGATGGAGACTCCGATCCCAAGGAGCTTAGAATCCAGTGAGGAAGGTAAACGGCAAACCCAGAGTGAATATCCTAGGAACTGTGACAGCCCAGGGAATCACATAATCTAGCTGGCCTGGAAGATTCCTGGAGTCTATGTCTAAAAGGTGACATTTGAGTGGGGATCTGAAGGATGATGTATGTCCCCAAATTCATGTGTTAGGAACTCAATTCCCAGTGTAACAGTATGGGGAGCTGTGACCTTTGGGAGATGATTGAGTCATGAGGCTCCAGCCTCATAAATGTGATTAGGTGCCCTTATAAAAGGGCTTGACAGAGGGAGTTTGCCCCCCTTTCACTCCTTCCATTCCCTCCACCATGTGAGAACACAGTGTCCCTCCCTTCCAGAGGATGCAGACACAAGGCACCATCTGGAAGCGCAGAGCAGCCCTCGCCAGACACCAAACCTGCTGGCGCCTTGATCTTGGACTTTCCAGCCTCCAGAACTGGAAGAAAATGAACTTCTGTTCTTTATAAAGGACCCAGTCTCAGGGGTCTTGTTATAGCAGAACTGATGGATGAGACAGATGAGTAGCAGCCTGACTTGGAGATGGGGAACACGTCCTGGCAGATGGAGCAGCAAGAGTTGCTATTGCCTGGCAGCAAGTCCAGAGCTGCCTCCAGTGGGCATGGCCAGGCCTCCCATCCAGCTCTCCTTCCTCCTGGAGCTGACATCTGGGTGACAACGTCCACCTTGAGATCCGTGAAGACACTCAGATTCTAGTCTGACTCTGTTCCCTCCGCCACGTAATCTCTCTGATCCTGTTTCCCATCTGGAAGAGTCAGGAGGGGGTTAATTCCTGCCCTGCCAAGTTTCTAGGATTATCATGAAGATCAAGTGGGATAATGCCTAGAAAAGAGTTTCATAAACCAAGAAGCACCAAACAAATATTATTTAGATTGCAGTCTTGCTTCTAGAAGCCGAGCCAGTTGCCTAAACAGAAAAATTAAATTTACGAAGAGGATCTGAACTTTCCCTCTCATATCCCCAGGCCTCCATTAACCATGGAGAGGCAAAACCTTCTTGGTCTATCTCCTTCTAGAGAGGTGATGGGTGCAGGAGAGAAAGAGGGGAGGGTGTGAAATAAGGAGGAGATGGCTTCATCACAGCCATGGATCGTGAGGACAGTTGTTCTTTCCAGCTAGTCTGTGTGTGGGGTCAGGCCAGGCTCAGACCCAGCTATGAAGTCACCAAATAGGATTTTCTTTGCTCTCAGATTTGGCTGTTTTCCTTTTTTTTAACATCTTGCCAAGGAAACCAGCTCTTGGAAGATTCTGCACTACTTCCACCCTGCAGAGAAGGGTCTGGGTCTTTTTCTCAGGTGCCCCCAGTGCTTACGTGGCTGTCATCCCCTCTGGTCCTCCGTACCCTGGGATGCAAGCAGGAATGCCACTCAGAGCTCCAGGGGCCTTTACCAAGGATCAGACTATCAGGTGAAGGGAGGAGAGTTGACCAGCATGGAGCAGATAGGGGTGGTATTTAGTAGGAATGGTGGTATGGCATTCTAAGACTGCTGAGCTTGTCCAACTTAGCTCATTATGGATTTCCATTCACAGAGTCTAAGGAGTGGTCCCTAAAACCTATAAACAATGCTATCATCCTAGAGAGCAACCGACAGTGGTCTGAGTGGGACTGTCAAGCTTGAGTGTGCCTGCCCTTCGTGTACAATGTTAGCCTAAGAAACTCAGGTTTGTAATTTGTCAAGAAAAAATTGGAAGGCAGTTGAGGAAAAATCTATCATAAGCTAAAGCCTTGGCAGTTGTATCCAGCTGAAGGTACCAGGGAGCAGGTGTGGATGGTAGGAAACTGAGACAAAGATCCAAATACCTGGGGCCCTAGCTCATGGTCTGAGGGTGTGGGGCAGGGATACAGACCTGTAACAAAACAGGATGGATGTTGTAATAGCAGATGTGTTCAAGGGTCTCCAAGACAACCCTCAGGTTTGATGATTTGCTAGAGGGACTCACACAACTGAGAAAAGTTGCTGTATTCATGGTTATGCTTTATAACAGTGGAACGACATAGATTAAAACCAGAAAAGGGAGAGGGTGCATAGGGTGGAGGCCAGGAGAGAGCAGGGACAAGCTTCCAGTTGCTGTCCTCCAGGGGAGTTTTACAGACAATGCTTAATTCATCTAGGAGCAATGTGACACCACACATGGAGAGCTACCAACAACGGAAGCTCCTGAGCCTCTGTGTCCTGAGCTTTTACTGAGGGTTGGTCGTGTAGGCATGGCTGACCACCTGCATGGCTGACATTACTTAGTCCCCAGCCCCTTCAGAGGTCAAACAGACACGTGTGGCTAGAGGCCTGCACCAGCAATCTCATTGTTAGCATGGACTATCTGGCATAGGCCCTGTATTAGTAAGGGTTCTCTAGAGGGACAGAACTAATGGAATATATATATATATACTCCCATATATATATGGGAGTTTATTAAGCATTAACTCACATGATTACAAGGTCCACAATAGGCCATCTACAGGCTGAGGAGGAAGAAGAGCCAGTCTGAGTCCCAAAACTGGAGGACTTGGAGTCTGATGTTCAAGGGCAGGAAGCATCAAGCACAGGAGAAAGATGTAGGCTGGGAGGCTAGGCTGGTCTAGTCTTTTCACGTTTTTCTGCCCGCTTTATATTCTAGCCAAGCTGGCAGCTGATTAGATTGTGCCCACTCAGATTAAGTGTGGCTCTGCCTTTCCCAGCCCACCAACTCAAATATTAATCTCCTTTGGCAACACCCTCACAGACACACCCAGGATCAATACTTTGCATCCTTCGATCCAATCAAATTGACACTCAGTATTAACCATCACAGGCCCAAAGACACTATTATCAGGCAAGATATTCTAAAGGCTTAGAGGTTATCTCCTAGGAGCTGGCCCGGGGACAGATATCTCTTTGGAATGCATAGGGTGTGGATAATCCAGGTCTGCTGAGCCAACACTTTACTGCACAGCAAAACTCCAGAGAACTCATGAGGAGCCTGATTTATTTGTGATTGTGGGTAAAACTAGGTGGGAAGAGTGGGCAGGAGAGTAACCGGCCTACCTAGTATGATGTCTATAGTGTAATGTCTGGAAGGAGAAGGTTATTTACCCAGAACCTGGACAACATGAAACTGAGGGAAGACTGGGAGCAGAAAAAGCAACTGGGAAGGCCAAAGCTCATCCATTCATGGAGAGAAGGTTCAGTTGGTCAAATGTTGCACAAAGAGGTTGTGTAAGATGAGGGGCAACCAGACGGGGGCTAAGCAGCACAGTACAGGTGGCCATCAGTGGCCCTTGGCATGGAGAGCTGGTTGCCAGGGTGGGGCTCCAGCCCAGAGACAAAGCAAGCTGGAGGAGATCATCAGTCAAATAAGAGTGGCTGAAGGAACCAGAAGCATTTCACAAAAGGACAAGAAGGAAAGTCTCCTCTTATGTGTTTAAATGTCTCCTCTTTTCTTCTTGTCTCTAAGGCCATAACTCAGAAATTAAAATAAGACTTTGTCGTTTCCCGAGATGTGAGATGACACTGGGGAAAGCAGGGTACCCTCAAAAGAGACCTAGGGCCCCATTATTTTTTAAAAAGGCAAGGGGCCTGTGTTGGACCACCTCTGCTGGTTCTAGCTGGTCATGGCAAAGAGGGAGCTGATGGAATGAGACAGGACTGGTACAAAGGAATACAACCAGGAGGGAGGTTTTGGCCCACGTAGAAAATTACTTACTAACAACTAGAACTTCTAAAGATAGGCAGGCTGCCTTGCCTGGTAGTGAGCTTCCTGTCATTGGAATATGCAAGGTGGCTGGGTGGCCACCTGCCAGTGATGCTGTGGAAGGAATTCTTGCTCTAGGAGGGAGAATGAACTAAAAGGAGCCATTCTTCCTATACTCTCCCCAGGTGACCTCATCTAGTCCTGCATTAAAAACCTCTTCTATGTTCAAAACTCACCAATTAAAAACTCCAAACCAGATCACTCCCCTTGGCTCCGGGACCTTGTCAATCTCCTCTACTGACTGTCCTGTACCTAGGAAATGCCTGGCACATAGGTGTTCAGTCAATGTTTTTGAACAATTGGGTGAACCTCAGCCCTCTCACTTTTCTCCTCCCTTGGTTTTGCACAATTACCACTTTGGGCAAGCAACCTTCCTTCTGTGAAAAATGGCCCTATGAGTCTTACACCAGCTGTGCCAACTTCACCGTTCCCCACTACTTACTTCTACCCCACCCCTAGAAGTACTAAGGACCTACGGTGGATAATCTGTGTTGCTTACCCTTGTTCAGTGCCCTGCCATGTTGCATGCCTGTCACCCTCTCCCCGACCCTGTGAGTTTCTGGAGATAGAGGGTTGGGTATGTATTACTGCATACCTGACACTTTGCCCAGGCACTGGCATAGAGCAGGTGCTCAGAACCTGAGTATTGCAGCAGGGTTTCTTAGCTCCTATCTTAGGTGGAGCTTCCCCTCCCCATGCCTTCCACGAGTAGAGTATGTATTAATGAACTAGCTCTTCCAATGCTAGGAAATCTATTTCACTTTAATGAAATCCAATTAGTGCCTCCACTGTGGAGCCCTGGGCTCTTTCAGACTAGAAGATGCTGAACGAGAGGATGCCTTTTCCTGTAACCCAGATGTGTCTTTCCCGCCTCCATCTCCCTTCCAGGAACAACACTGCCATTTTTCAGCTTCTTTTATCTCCAAATGTACATCTGTTTCCAACATTTCCCTGTCTCAGGATTCTTTGAGTGTTACTCTGCAGAATAACTTGAGGACGGTATTCTTTCACTTTTCATCCACTTACTCATTCTCCTGTCCACCCACATATCCACTCACTCACCCTTCTTCTGAACACTCATTCATTTACCCACCTGCTCTCCCAGAGACACATTCCCAGCCGGGTGCGGTGGCTCATGCCTGTAATCCCAGCACTTTGGTAGGCCGAGGAGGGAGGATCACGAAGTCAGGAGATCAAGACCATCCTGGCCAACATGGTGAAACCCAATCTCTACTAAAAATACAAAAATTAGCTGGGTGTGGTGGCCTGCACCTGTAATCCCAGCTACTCAGGAGGCTGAGGCAGGAGAATCCCTTGAACCTGGGAGGCAGAGATTGCAGTGAGCCAAGATCGCACCACTGCACTCCAGCCTGGCAACAGAGAGACACTCTGTCTCAAAAAAAGAAAAAAGACACATTCCCCCAATCATCTCTTCACCCGTCAAACCACCCACCATCTATCCATCTCTTTATCTACTCATCCATCCATCAATCCATCTGTCCATTTATCCACTTATCCATGCATCCATCCATGCATCTCTCCTCCCATCCTTCCACCCATCCACTCCTGAACCCTTCCATCCATCTGTCCATCATCCATCCAGCCATGCATCCATCCATTCATTCAGGCAAACACACCCAATAAACATTTCTTTGAGAGCCTACCTTATGTGAAGTCCTCTGCCTGGGACTAAGGAAACTAATGAACAAGATTCAATTACTCCCCTGGAGAAGCTTCCAGTCTAATAAGGGAAAACTGACACACAGTGTGTGGTTAAGAGTATGAGCTCTTGCATTAGAAAAACCTGGGGTAAAATACCAGCTCTACTACTTAGCAGCTCAAGAACATGGACAGATTGCTTAACTTCTTTGTGTCTCAGTTTCCTTGTGGCAAGTAATACTCAACTCATGAGTAATTGTTGTGATAATTAAATGGAATAATTCATGTAAAGTGTTTAACCCTAATCCTGGCATATATTAGGTGCTGCACAAGTGATCAATAACATTGTTACTTATAATATTATTCATTGCTTATGATATTATAGTATTATTAATTCCCTCATATGCTAATTATGGGATTTGATTGCTTATGAATTTCATAATTAATTTACACACTCAATGATATTTGTTGAGTATCTACTGCATATCCTATCCTGTGCCAAGCTCTGTGCTCTTTTGGAGATTAGAATCTTATTGTGCAGATGAGACACATACACTAGAAATAGCTCAATAGTAATGATAACCACAAGAATAACTATAATAATAATGATAGCTAATGTTTATTGAGAGCTTATTATATGCCAGGTATTGTTACAAATATTTTACATAGATGAACCGATTTCACGTTCATAACAATTTTGAGACAGCACCTATTATTTGCCCAATTTTACAGATGAGAAAATCAGGAAAAGGACAGGTTGGGTGTCTTACCCAATGTCACAGAGCTGGTATGTGGATGAGTTGGGATTTGAATGACATTATCTAAGTTCAACAAAACAGGGCTCAGTCAGAATGTCATAGTAATGTGCAGAGGGAGGTTCCTGCAGGCAAACTGCACGGAGAAGGTGAACACACGGAGAAATAACTTCCTCATGGAGAGGGGCATTTGATATACTCCTTCCCACATGTGGGCTGTGGACAGGCTGCAACAGATTCATTGTTCTCAAGCCCCAGCCAGACCCACCGAATCAAAGCAATGAGGGAAGAACCCAGGAATGTGAATTCTAAGCATAAGCTACCATTTGCTAAAGCTTGAAAAACACTGCTCTAATGTTGAAAGTAGAGTCTCATCCCCAACTTCACCACCCACCTACTCCCTCTATGAAGTCAAGCATATCATTTAGCTTATCTGGGACTCAGTTTCCCTTATAGAAATTAGGGATAGTAATATTTGCCTCTTGGCACTGTTATAAAAAATGAACTAATATGTGTACCAAGCTTAGCCCATGGCTGGATAGTGGCAGGAGAGAGAATACAATGCTTGGGTCTTGGGTGCAGGAGGTAACCCGCCTTCCATCAGGTGGAAGGAAGTGTCCTCTGCAGTGGTAGAAGGGGAGTCAAGGGCAAGAACAGGTGCTTTCAGAGTCTGAGGATCCACGGTGGGCTTTGTGTTGAATTCACTGCACTTACCTTGGTTTCCAGCCCTTCAACGTAACTGCTGAAACTTAAGCACTCACACTTGTTCATCTGGGAGACTTACACAATGGCTTGGTTCTTGAGAATGTTCTTCCAGAATGACTACTTGTGGTAAGTGGCAACGTGCGCTTAGGATCTGATAGGAGCTCTTTGCTCACACCACCCTGGAACCTACATGTCATCTGTGGCTGGTTCCCAGAAGCACCAGCTTGCCATGCACATTCCTAGTGAGAATGGAAAAATCCTAAGCCCTGCAACCAACTGAATGGACACCCTCTTGACCAAAAGTGATGCAGCACTAGCAAGTCCCAAAATTGGGGCTTAGCTCAGAAGGGTTCTTGGCTTCACCCAGGAGGGAACTCGGGGGAGCCAGTGGTGTTAGACAGCAACTTTTATCGAAGAGGCAGTGCACAGAGGTATTGCTCCTTGCACAGCCGGGCTACCCCCTGGGTAGCGTACCCAGAATCACAGCTAAGAGACAGTTCTCCAGTCATATTTATATGTGCTTTTAATTATATACAAATTAGGGGGCAGATTATGCAAACATTTCTAGAAATAGGATGATAACTTCTGGGTCATCAGGTTGTTGCCATGGAAAGGGGCAGTAACTTCTGGATGTTACCATGGCAATGGTAAACTGACATGGCACATGAGTGGGCTTGGCTTATGAAAAGCTGCTTCTGACCCATCCCTGTTTTAGCTAGTCCTCAATTTTGTCCAGTGTCCTAGCCCCGCCTCCATAGTCGAGTCCTGCCTCCTGAGTTGAGTCCCACCTTCTACCTCAAAAGGATCTCAGAGAAACCCTAAAAACTGAGCTCCTAGTCCTGACATGCCTCATTCTCCCCCATCCCTTTTGTGGCTTAGACACAACAACTGACCAGCATGAATGTTAACACAGAGACCAAAAGACTGACAGAATGGACTCGTTGTGGCAATAAGATAACAAATTATAAACCAGACCTAAGCCCATGCCAGGTGAGGGTTAAGTCATGAACCCCTACGGTCACAGAATAAACTATATTCCAATAGTCACACGTTTCCCCCTTTTTTTCTTCAGCAGCTAAACAAGCACTGGCTTGAAATAAGCAATATGGAAGGAACGGCAGCTCACCCACCAGCAGACACTGACTGAGCACCCAGTTCCACCAGGCTGAACTGCAGCTTTGATTAGACAAGAGACTGATTTGTCCTGATAAGAGACAAATGGACCAACCATGGACTCGTTTTGGTCAGTTTACAGAGGCTGTGCACCAACTGCCTTCATGTCTCTGCTTTATCTTTTAACACACAGGGCCTAATTTCAATGCATGTAAATGTTGCCTTCACCCCAAAGTGAACATAAGATGCATGTAACATGCATGCTTGTTTGGTACACATGCATCAGAAGCCCCTTTGTGAATATTCATAGCTCCTCCTATAGCCTATTGAATATCTATATTTGGACACCTTCAGCATAAATCCCTGTCTCATCCTTTTCTCCCTTGAAATGCCTGCCTTTGGGGCTACTGGATGCTGCACTTCCCAGTCTTCGAGATGACCAGCCCACAGGATATAACCCTTTATAAGAAATAAAGTCCCTGGCAGGTGTGGTGGCTAATACCTGTAATCCCAGCAGTTTAGGAGGCTGAGGTGGGAGGATCACTTGAGCCCAGGAGTTTGAGATCAGCCTGGGCAACAAAGTGAGACCCTGTCTCTACAAAAAATCAAAAAATGAGCCAGGCATGGTGGTGCATGCCTGTGGTCCTAGCTACAAGGAAGGCTGAGGCAGGAGGATCACTTGAGCCCAAGAGGTCAAGGCTGCAGTGAGCTATGTTTGTGCCATGGCACTCCAGCCTGTGTGACAGAGTAAGACCCCTCTTAAAAAGAAAGAAAGATGAAAGACAGAAAGGAGGGAGAGAGAAAGAAAGAAAGAAAGAAAGAAAGAAAGAAAGAAAGAAAGAAAGAAAGAAAGAAGAAAGAAAGAGGGGAAGGAAGGAAGGAAAGAAGGAAGGAAAGAAGGAAGGAAGGAAGGGAAGATTCCTTTCTAAATTGATAACTTTGTGATTTTTCAGTTGACACTAGAAAAGCCTTTTCACTCCCTTGTGGCTTTGTAAATAGCAGGCAGTGGTGTTTTAGGATGCAGCACCTGCTTCTGCTGGGTGAGTGATGAGGTCTTTCTAGCAAAAGGGCTCTCTCTGTCTCTCTCATGATCAAGGGTCACTGTAACAGCTGATAGATGAAAATTTATCCATTTGTCGCCGTGAATGTCTCTGTGAGTGAAGAGCTCGCTGATCTGCCAGCAACTCCTGGTAGTCTGTCATTGTATTTTGACTGAGACTGGGCGAGGGCGGCTTTTGGCAGGTGTCTGGCCAAGCGAGGGCACTCCGTGGTGGCATTTGAAGCTTGAGTCAGTCTGAATTTGAAGCTTGAGTCAGTCTGAATTTCGTCAGGGAAGAAGAGCTGCTGTAAGCGATAGTGGCATACAGGGTATAATGGAGGAGATGAGGCTTACTGAATGAGGGAGGAGTTGGGGGCAGAAACAGCCATTGACCCCTGAGCCTGAAGCCTGAGCCTCAAACCCCAGCTCAGTGCAGTAACCAACTGTGGAGTACCCAGAGCTCAGGCACTTCTGGTAGGTGATTAAGTCATGAGGGCTCTGTCCTCATGAATGAGATTAGATGCCCTTATAAAAGGACTTGAAGGAAGGAGTTTGCCCCTCTTGTCCTTCTGCCTTCTGCCGTGTGAGGACACAGCACCCCTCCCCTCTGGAGGATGCAGCTTCAAGGTGCTAACCTGGAAGCAGAGAGCAGCCCTTACCAGACAACAGAATCTGCCTGTGCCTTGATCTTGGACTTCCCAGCCTCCAGAACTGTGAGAAATAAACTTCTGTTCTTCATAAATGGCCCAGTCTCAGGTGTTTCATTACAGCAGCACAAAATGGGCTAAGACATCATCTCACAGTTCTGGAGGCCAGAAGCCTGAGAACCAGGTGTGGGCAGGTTTGCTTCCTTCTGAGGCTGTTAGGGAGCATCTGTGCCAGGCCCCTCTCTCAGCTTCTGGCCATCTTTTGCGTTCCTTGGCTTGTGGAAGCATCACCTGATCTCTGCCTTCACTGTCACATGGCTGTGTGTGTGTGTGTGTGTGTGTGTGTGTGTGTCCAAAAGTCCTCTTTTTAAAAGGACATCAGTTATACTGAATTAAAGGCCCACTCTATTCCAATAAGACCTCATTTTTAAAATTTTGTTTTTTTAATTGATATGTACTATTTTACATAGTTATAGGGGTTGTCATTATATTTTATTTTATTGTAATTAGACCTCATCTTAACTAATTACATCTACAAGAAATCTATTCCCAAACAAGGTTACATTCTGGTACTAGGGGGTAGGACTTATGAATTTTGGAGGGGACACAATTTAACCCATAAAAGAAGGGGATTTGGGGAAACATTGCTCTTAGCTTTAAATGGGTGTAGTGGTGACAAGATGACAACGGACAACCCCAGAGCTGGCAGGGATGTCTCCCCATTGAAGCCTTCATTCGCTCCTGCACTCATTCATGGGATGTGTACTGAGCACTTACTACGTGTCAGGCTCTCTGTTTCATAGTTGAGATGCAAAGGTGAGTTCGGCCTTTTCCCTTCAAGTGTCCTGGGGGTGAGCTGGCAAGTCAACCAATAAATTATAATTGGTGGCAGAGCATTTGTGGGCACACAGAGGGACAGCTTGCTTGGAGACCAGCGATGGTGTCCCTGAGGAGGGGCCTGGCAAAAGGAGCTGGAGCAGAGGGCACAGAGAAGGGAGGAAGGGCACTCCAGGTAGAGCCACTGCCCTGTCCTGGGATGGTACATCCTGCAGGCCAACTCCTGTGGAGGGCACAGGAGGTGGGGGGAGCACAGGGCTTCAGAGTAGAGGGCACACCTGGGTATGATCCCTGACCCCCAGTCCCCTGCCGAAGACGAGGTGGGAAGACGGGACTTTTACACACACACCCACCACCCTGGGCTGCTCCCTGCATCTCCACATTTTAAAGATGGGAAAGCTGAGGCTTAGGATGGAAGTGACTTGAGAGAGGTGGCCTGCAAGTGCAGATGGCCAAGACGAGTGGCCAGCAAGTGCAGATGGCCAAGACGAGTCATTCAGGCCCCTCTGGCTTGGCAGGGGTGGGGGTCAGTTATGCCGAAGCCCTATCTCCTTTCATAGTGTGGATATGTTCAGAGCTAGCCACCCTCTACTCTGGATCTACAAGCTCTGCCTAGGTGGTTCTCTTCTGCCACCATGGGAGTCTCACCTTGGTCCCCAGCACCTGGCTCAGCATCTGGCCTAGCAAACTGTGGATGCTCAGAATTGGTGAAAACCAACAACAAGAACGCAGTTGCCTTAACCACAGCCTCGCATCTTGCTGCTGTCATCAGGGAGTTCACAGGACCTTGCTTGTGTTCGGCAGGCCTTCTCAAATATTTTTGAATCCCTAGCTCTCATACTTGTACAACTTAGAACAAATTTATAACTCCCATCTTATCGTCTGGACAACAGGTAAGGCAGGGAGGAGGGGGTTCTCTCAATGCTGCAGACAAGGACATGAGTCTAGAAAGGAAAGTCCCTTGTCTGAGAACAGGCCTGCAGGACTCTCGGGGAGGCAGCCAGGGTCCTCTGCCCTGAAGCCACGGTCAGTGCTAGGGCCCAGGCAGGTGAGGTCAGGATCCCGTTGAGTGGGGTAGGGGTAGGGAGAAAGCTGTGTCACTGGTTGAGTGGCCAGTGCATTGGGTTTTTCCATAAACAATTTACTTGTAACAAAACCTCAGCCAGGGGTAGGAGGGGAAATGCACAGGGCAAGAAGGATGGGACAGGAGCTCAACAGAAAAATGCAGGAAGCCCAGACTCTGGAGGAAGCAGTGTGGATGCCCTGGGGCATGCAGAACTGTTGGGGCATAAGAGGTTTGGGCATAGGAGGTTTGCAGAGCTGTGAAGGACACAGGAGAGGTGTACAGAGCTGAGGGGGGCACAGGAGGGGAGTTCAGAGCTGTGGGGGGTACAGGAGAGGAGTACAGAGCTGAGGGGAACACAGGAGTGCAGAGCTGGGGGGGCCCAGGAGGGGTGCATAGCCCTGAGGGGGGCATAGGAGGGGTATACAGAGCTCAGGGGGGCACAGGAGGAGTGTGTAGAGCTGAGGGGGGCACAGGAGGAGTGTACAGAGCTGAGGGGTACAGGAGGGTACAGATCTATGGGGGGTACAGGGAGGTGCAGAGCTGAGAGGGTTTCAAGAGAGGTGCAGAGCCAAGGGGGCACAGGGGTGGATGAACAGGGCAGTGTTAAAATGCACAGCAGACAAGCCTCCTGCAATTGGACTGTGGTGAGGAGGAGGCTAGGGAGGCAGTGGGGATGACCCTGAGGTCTGTGTAGGGTGTAGGGTTTTATTGACTGCCTGGGGGCCTGCTGGCGGCGAGATCTGGAGGGTGAGTAGAGGGTTTCATTCTGGACATGTCACATTTGAGAGCCTGACATTTCACTTGGAATTCTTCTCTGCTAACACTCCTTTACTATCTGCCACCCTCCTTCTGTAACCCACAGACAAAGTGCAGACTCCTGGGGGTACCCGAAAAGATTTCCACACAGAGCCGGGCTACATGCACTCTAGGACAGCTCGGGGTTGAAATGTACTCAGCAAGGGCCAGGGAGCCTCCTTAAGGAAAGGAAACAAAATTATGAATAGAGAGTTGGATATGATTAAACCTCAAAGGGAAGGACTCCACATGAGTGAGGGGCTGAAGTTTGAGCAGTGCCAGCCAGCTCTGCCCCCTCCTGAGGCTGGCGGGGCCACCACCACTGTTATTGAGCCTTTTGCTCACCCTCCAGGCCTTTGCTTGGCCATTCCCTTGGCCTAGAATGCCCTCTTCATCTCTTCTTCCCTGGCTCTCGTTTCCTCAGCCTTTAAGATTCCAGCCTGGACTTTGTCTCCCAGGGTACCTTCTTCTACTCTCAAGATGGTGAAAGCTCCTGATATGGTTTGACTGTGTCCCCACCCAAATTTCATCTTGAATTGTAACTCCTACAATTCCTACTTGTCCTGGGAGGAACCTGCTTGGAGGTGATTGGATTATGGGGGCAGGTCCTTCCTGTGCTGTTCTCATGATACTGAAGGAGTCTCATGAGATCTGATGGTTTTAAAAATGGGAGTTCCCTGCACAAGCTCTCTCTCTTTGCCTGCCGCCATCCATGTAAGATGTGACTTGCTCCTCCTTACCTTCTGCCATGATTGTGAGGCCTCCCCAGCCATGTGGAACTGTAAGTCCAATTAAACCTCTTTCTTTTGTAAATTGCCCAGTCTTGGGTATGTCTTTATCAGCAGTGTGAAAACTGCTGATACTGTGACTAACAGAGCTCCCCTCTGGCTCCCACAGCCCCCAGGGCTCTCTTCCCTCCCAGCTCCTCTCACTGTTTTCCTGTGTGTCCCCTCTTCTTAAAAAGGGGAGGAGGGGGCTACATTTCAGTAGCTCCCAAGCCCAGGGGTGGGGCCCCAACACTAGCAGATGATGCTTAATTCAGGTGGGTTGAGTGAGTGAGTTGGTCCCACCCCTTACTCCCAGGGGGTTTGTAGCAGCCAGCAGGGCTGCCCTCCCTGGTCAGTGAGGTGCAGGGCCTGGGGTGACCTGAGCCTCAGAGACCAGCCACAGCTGCCAGTCCCTGCCCCATGAGAGTGACAGTCCACTGAGACTTTTCTTCCCAAGGTCAGGCTTGGGGACTTGGCAAAGTTGAATTGTTGCTATGGTGGGGGTAGAGGGTAGGAGCCTTTAGTGATCTGAGGGAGTAGCTGGGACTCTACTCAGAGCTAACCCAACAACATAGATAGGGAGACCTGGTTCAAGCCATCTTCTGCCATGTGACCTTGGGGAGGTCACTTAGCTGTCTCATCTGTACTTGCAGGGTAATGTGAACCACTGTCCTGTTGAGACAGTTCATGGAGATGACAATAACAAAGGCTCTTGGTGACTCACAAAGGTTTCTACAAATTCAAAAGCTAATTCAAGAGTTCACGCTTCAAGGCCAAGCATGACAGCTTATGCCTGTAATCCCAGCACTTTGGGAGGTTGAAGTGGGAGAACTGCTTGAGGCCAGGAGTTCAAGACCAGCCTGGGCAACATAGCGAGACCCTATCTCTATAAAAGTAATTTTTGTTTTTCAAAAAGTTCATTTTCTAAAGGGTTTGGCAAAATGAAACTTTCGAGAGGCAAAAAAAATGAGCAAAGGATTCTGCTAATATTTTAAAACTCATTTTAAAAATATGTTCCATGTAAAGAGAGAGAATTGGAGAGCTGCTTAATTTTTCAAAAGGGCTCCTACATAAGCAATCTCACCCATCACCTCCCAGAGCCCTGGAGGGCTTAGTTATCCCTGTTTTATAGATGAGGAAACTGAGGCTCAGAACTGCAGTGTGACTTCCTCCAGCTTTAGACCCAGAGGTGGAGTCCAAGCCTGTTGGCTTGGATTCAGGTCACATGGCATCCTTGTGGGTAGTGATGGAGAAAGGGGGAGTAACAATGGGGTACCACTCTGTTCTATCATGTTCTAACCTACAAATGAGGCAGGAGAATAGGGTCTAGAGGCAGGGAACCCAAGGTCATTTCACACTGACTTCCTAGAACTAAATTGAAAGGAAAACCCTAACTTTCCACTCCTAAGTAACAAAAGGACCAGAGGCTACTCCCTTTACAAGCCCCCACCTTTTCTGTGAGGCAGATGGAAAATTGAAAATACCTCTGATTGGTTGCTTTTTGCAACCAATCAGACCTTTGCCTAGGAGTGTAACTTTGTAACTTCACTTCAGCCTCTAATTAGTTGCAGACAGACAGATTGCGAACCAAGTCTTCATTTGCATAGAAGTGCAACTTTGTAACTTCACTTTAGCCTCTGATTGGTGGCTTTCTGCAACCAATCAGATGTTTGCATGGGAGTATGACCTGTGTAACTTCACCGATTGCGGGTCACCATTTCATTTACGTGAGGTGAACACCAAGTGGCCAGTGGGAGACCTCTAGGGGGTATTTTGACCCAAGAAGATTCTGTATCTGGGGCTCCTGAGCCTCTGCTTAGCCCGCTCCCTCATGGTGGAGTGTACTTTCACTTTCAATAAATCTCTGCTATTGTTGCTTCATTCTTTCCTTGCTTTTCTGTGCCTTTTGTCCGATTCTTTGTTCAAAATGCCAAGAACCTGGACAACTTGCAGTCAAGACCCTCTACCGGTAACACAAATGCCTACCAGGCTGTTTTGCTCAGTGCTGGGACAAGTGCCAGGGCCTGGGCCTGCCTGGTGGACGAAACGTATCCTTGCCCTCAACAGGCTCAGTCACAGGCAGAGAGAGTGTGAGGAGACAGAAAGGAGAGAAGAAACTAAGTCCCCAAGGGGAAAGGCAGGAACCTGGGTGTCCTCAGGCTCACAGAGCCAGGGCCTGGCCCCTAAAGGGCATTGGTACTTTCTGGGAAAGGAGCAGGAACATCTATAGGTGACAATGGCTGGCACAGCAGGTGCACACATTTGGGCCCAGTCTATCTCAGGACACTCAGGTGGAAGGCAGAAGGGCAGGCCCGAATTCTTCCTTTCCTCATTAGGAACTGTCTTCACTGAAATCTTCCCCATCCCTCAAAGCCCACCAATGCCTCCTCCTGTAATGGCACCAGATTAATCTGGTTCAACTTTGTGTAATGAAACAGTGAGTTGTTTTTAAACTGCCATGGATCCCCAGGTTGAAGGTCACATAACCTGAGAATGTCCAGATGAACCAAGGGTGGAAGCTAAGTGCTCAGGCCAAGGAATAGGACTGAATTAAGCAGCGGACACCACAAGGCGGGATCCAGAATCCAGTGAGATCAAGCCCTCGTGTCACCCCATGGCAGGATCCAGTCATATCATTTCTCCCAGCATCACCTTATCGCAAGATCCAATCAGATCATTCCTCACTACTCTCTCACTATAAAATCTCCCCCAACCACCAGCTTGGGGAGACAGATTTAAGCTTGACTCTCGTCTCCTTGCTTGGTAGCTTTATGTATTGATCTGTTTTCATGCTGCTGATAAAGACATACACAAGGCTGGATAATTTACAAAGAAAAAGAGGTTTAATGGACTCACAGTTCCACATGGCTGTGGAGGCCTCACAATCATGGTGGAAGGCGAAAGGCACGTCTTACGTCGCGGCAGACAAGAGAGAATGACAACCAAGTGAAAGGGGGTTCCCCTTATAAAACCGTCAGATCTCATGAGACTTATTCACTACCACCAGAACAGTATGGGGGGAACTGCCCCCATGATTCAATGATTTCCCACTGGGTCCCTCCCACAACACATGGGAACTATGGGAGCTATAATTGAAGATAAGATTTGGATGGGGACACAGCCATATCCTATCACCTTGCAATCAACTTTTTTCTTTCCAAAAATCCAGTGCTTCAGTGTTGGGCTTTCCCTTGCACGAGGCAAACCAGACCATTTGTTGCTTGTTGACACTCCCCCAAGCAGCATTCCCAGGTTCCCTGCTGGCAAGACCCACCCTTCTTCCAGTTCCTAGGGCAGGCCATTTGTGCCTTTTAAGGCTTGAACTCCAGCCTGCATGGCATTGCCTCCCTACAGGTCTCTAAGCCAATTCTGGAGGGAGGTTATCTGTGTGATTCCGCTCCTCCAGCTGCACCTCCAATTCTTTATTGGAGTGGACCTTTCTTGAGCTTCTATGTGGCACTTGACCAGCTGCTCTCCAAAGATCATCTTTAATGCCCGGAGCTCTGTCCGTTTTGCAGATGTGGTGATATTGTGCACCGTTCAGATCCCAGGCTTTGAAATCAGAGTCCTGGGATAAGCCTCATCTCCAGGTGGATGGGCAAGGGCAGGTGGCCTTGCACTGGTCACAGAGCCCGAGTCTCCTCATCTTTGGTGGGGCAACATAAGTGCCCACTTCCTAGGCACTGTGAGGGCTGAGATGAGGTGCCTGGCATACAGACCACAGGCCATCAGCAGTAACTATGACTGTTGTCGGGAACTGGGGCTCCGAGTAGGTGGTGATAAAGGCATATTCAGCGGATGGATTCATGACTCTGCAGATGTGTCTTAGCCTTGAGCAAACTTCTTGCAGCTGGAAGGAGGTGGGTGTCAGGGGAAACATTTTCCTCCCTGAGAAAACTTGATGATACTAATTGGAATTCAGATGGTGCTAAGCTGCTAGGCTTGGGGGAGGCAGGCACGAAGTCATCCGCCTTCTTGTTTAAAGTGAGTTGTAATTCTCCAGGGGTTGAGAAACCAGGCGCTTCACTCCAGCAGGGAAATAGGCACGTGGGTTGGTGGAGCCGGGCCAGCTGAACACCCCTGCCTAATTGGTGTCCCTCTGCTAATCAATACCTGTGAGGGAGGTGGACGGGACCCTGGGGGTCCAGGAGTTGCTGCTGGGAGCCTGGCACAGTGCTGGGTCCCTGGGGAAAAACAGGAACCTCTACTCTTGGGGCTGTGAGGAGGACACATGAACCAGCCCCCTCCAGCTCCAGTTATGATCAGAGATGAACAGAATTCTGCCCAGAGGTGCCCTTCTCTCCCCAGCAGTAAAGAATGAGGATCCTAGTAGCTAGCGCAATTTTGAAAATGCGTTTGGGCATGAGGCGTGATGGGAAAAGGTTAACCACTTTCCAGCACAATATGGATGTGGGGGTTGTGAGTGAGGGGAGGCGTGATCCTTCCTAAGAATGGGAAACAGTCTTTCCTCTAAAGGATTAAACTAAACTCAAGATCTGTCTTGGAACAGGAGGGCTTCCCTGGTGGGACCAGCCTTGCCTGGGGGACCTCATTCGTACTCATGCCTGGCCTGGGCCCTCCACCCACCCTCAGGAGCCTGCATGATGCTGCAGGGGCCAATAGGCCAGGACCCTTCTGCTCATGGGATGCTGAAAGCAAGCCCCTGAGCCACCTGGGTTAGCAGAGGAGAATCGAGCAGCACCTGGTCAGGGTGGGCGCTTGACTCTGGGTGAGTCCGCCCTGCTAGGGACCCCCCCAGGCCAGGAAAAATGTGGGGGATCTACACTGAAGGAGGCTTCTGAGATCCCAAAGCCCAGAGCTCCCTCTCATGGCCCCTGAAACTTCCGGGTATCTCTGGGAGACTTAGAAACATCTATTCCCAGGGTCTGGCCCATACTTGAGGTCCAAAGTCTCAGGGAAAGCCCAGGACAGCCCCCAGGGCTTCTGTGGCCCCTGCCTAAGACATATCCCATCTAGTTGCTTGTCCCTATTTCTGTGGTGAGGAAGGTCCTCTATGGGCAGGCCACTTGGTTCAGTTTGTGGCAACAGGTTTTGAGCACGTGATATATGCCAGACCCTTGGAGTGGACAAGGCTTGAGGTGACAAGAACCTCAGGTGCTGTGGGTAGAGCCCAGAGGAGGGAGGGGCCCTAACGCTGCCTGGGGTGGCACCTGTAAGTACCCTCACGATAAGGGCAGGCTTCTTCTTGTCCTTCAAAGTCAGGGTCCAGATTCCCAAGCCTCAGGAATCACTGGTGCCCAGTGCAGACAGCGGAGCTTGCTGAGAGGTCCCGTTCTGTGAAACGATCCAGTTACCTGTCTGCCCACTACTTGGCTGCATCTGGGAGCTTGCTCAATGCAAACAAATAAAGCTCTGATTGGGGGAAATTCCAGCAGGATAGAAAGTCTCCGGCTGCTCTGCCCTTTCCTCACACTGTGACCTTGAGTCAATCCCTGGGCCTCAGTTTCCCCAAGACTGTTTTGAGAAAGTGAAACTAGCTGTGCCCAACTCAAGCCTTTCAAAAAAGTGCTTCTGGGCCAGGGCATTTTTGTCTCTTCCAGGACCCTCAGGGGCTCATTTGCATTCTTGGAATAAAAATGTTGACTGTACTTCATGCCCAGCCGCACATTTAAATGCTTATGCAAGGTTTATTTTGGAGAAGCAACTCTCTGGAATGCTGGCAGGGCGTGAGCCTCCGCCTCCCCTGGGAGAGGCAATCAGCCCCCAACCGAGGCAGGAGCTGAGGAGGGGCAGAGCCTCTTGGCCCCAGGGGAGGCACAGTCCAATGAGAGCCTCACCCCAGGGGCTGTCGCGAGGCTGTTGGGAAATGTCTCATTTTTATATGTAAATAAATCATTTCCAGAGATTGCTCTGATCGCAGCAGGCTGCTGCTAAAATGTTTTAAGTGGGTCCTTTGCCACTGTAAACTTTGTTAAGGATTATTATTGAGTTTGGTTTTTTGTTTTTTTTTCCTGTTGATTTCACTGAATCACCAACTCCTGGGACTCTAGCATGTCCTGCCATTGTACCCTGTTTGCACACCTCTGTGGACGGAGAGCTCACCTCCTCCAGGCTGCCCATTCTGTGGTTGGATGCACCAGGGACTGCCAGAAACAGCTTCTTTCTGAGTGAGCTGGAATTGGAACTCTTTTCCTGTAGCTTTCCTTGCTGGATCATGAACCACGCCTTGCTCTGGCCCCACAGAACACACTTGTTCTCTCTTCTCTCTGTCACACTCTGTGTATCGGACCAGGACTTCCATCTCCTTTGCCAAAGCTTGCAACATCCTCCGTCACCTGGCCCTGGCCCTTCTGCATCCTCAGCTGCTCACACCCTTACTTACCATGCTCCAACCCATTGGCTGTTGTGTCCCTCAGGTATACCTAGCAGGGTTTCCCCTGGGGCCTCTGGCAGGATGCTCCTTCTCCAGGTTTCCTTCTCGAGGATCCCAGCTCAAATGTCGCTTCCTTAGAGAGGCCCTCCCTGGGATCCTAGGTAAAGGGCCCCCCAACCTCATCCCTCTTGATCATGGTGTCTTATGTTCCTTCAGAGCCTGTGACACTACTTGCTTCTAATACAGCACAATATAATATTTACTGACTTACATGTTGCTGCCTGGATAATTAGAATGTAAGTGCCTTGAAGATGGGTCTTTTTCTTTGGATTAGTCCGTTCTCTCATTGCTGTGAAGAAATACCTGAGACTGCATAATTTATAAAGAAAAGAGGTTTAATTGACTCATGGTTCTGCAGGCTGTACAGGAAGCATGACGTTGGCATCTGCTTGGCTTCTGAGGAGGCCTCAGGAAACATGGCTGGGAGCTAGAGGAAGAGAGAGGGGAGGTGCCACACACTTTAAAACAACCAGATCTCTCGAGAACTCTATCATGAAAACAGAACCAAAGGGGGAAATCCACCTCCGTGATCCAGTCACCTCCCACCAGGCCCCCCCTCCAACATTAGGAATTACAATTTGACATGAGATTTGGGTGGGGACACAGACCCAAACGGTGTCAGCCTTGCTTCCTGCTGTAATCCCAGGACCAATAAATTCACATTCTAGGAATGTGGTGCCTACCTTCTCAGAGCCTCCTTGCCATGATTCTCTGCAAAATACAGGTTCTTGTCCCTCATTCATGGCTTTCTCTCTGGACACTTCCCCTTAGTCCACATCAGGCATGTGCAGACTCACTTAGCAGCAGAAGCTGTTTCTTAAAAAAATTCTTACCCAGAGGACCAATATATAAAATAGCTGAAGGTGATGTGGCTGAATGGGGGGAAGGAAAGAAAGGTCTCCTGAGCCCTCAGCCCCCTGGCTCTCAGTGTAGTCCCTGAGGCACCTGCAGAGATGTCTGTTTCCTGTCTGCCTGTGCTCATGGCCCCTTTGTCTAGTGACAGTGCCTGATTTTCCTCTGGGGACTCCCCCTCACCCATTTGTAGATAGGGACTTCATCCACCAGGCCCAACCAGTCTGCCAGTGCCACATCCTGGCCATAATGATTGATTCAGGAAGGGCCTGGGACCCAGGATGGTCCAAAGAGTCTGGCCTTGGAAACTGTCCTGGATGCGCTGAAGCAGAAGTTTGCTGGACTGATTGGGCTTAAACCAGTGTCTTTGTTTTTTGTACCTTATAACAGAATACTTGAAACTGGGTAATTTATTTTTAAAAAGGAATGTATTAGTCCATTTTCATACTGCTGATAAAGACATACCTGAGAGTGGGTAATTTATAAAGGAAAGAGGTTTAATGGACTCATAGTTCTGCATGGCTGGGGAGGCCTCATAACCATGGCGGAAGATGAAGAAGAGCAAACATGGCAGCCGGCAAAGAGAGAGTTTGTGCAGGGAAACTCCCATTTATAAAACCATCAGATCTTGTGAGACTTATTCACTATCCTGACAATAACATGGGAAAGGCCCACCCCATGATTCAATTACCTTCCGCCAGGTCCCTCCTACGACACACGGGAATTGTGGGAGCTACAATTCAAGATGAGATTTGGGTGGGGACACAGCCAAACCATATCAAGGAATTTATTTCTAACAATTATGGAAGCTGAGAAGTCCCAGGTGGAGGGGCCACATCTGGTGAGGGCTTTCTTGCTGGTGGGGGCATCTTTGCAGAGTCCCAAGATGGTGCAGGGCATCACATGACGAGGGGGCTGTGCATGCTAGCTCAGGCCTCTCCTCATTTCTTTACAGAGCCGCCAGTTCCACTCCCTCAATAATCCAATAATCCATTAATTCATCAATAGGTTAATCCATTCATCAGGGCAGAGACCTCAGGGCCCAATCACCTCTGAAAGGTCCCAGTTCTCAGTATTGTCACATTGGAGATCAAACTTCAACGTGAGTTTTGGAGGGGACAAACTTCCAAGCCATCGCAGCCAGGATCTGCACCCTCCTGAGAGCAAAACCCAAACCAAGCACGGCAGACTCAAGAGATGGAGAGAAGGCAGGCAGTCCTGGTAACATCGTCAGGACCCCTGGATCTGGCCATATCCCAAATCCTGAACTTTACAATGACCTGAGACAAGAGTTGTGCCTACTTTGCTTAAGCCTGTTTGAGCTGGGCTTTCTCTCACTTCTAACTGAAAGAATCCTTACTGTGACACTAAGGTACATAGAACATGGTTTGAAAGCCACTGCCGTATATCCTCCAAAAGTTGGGCAGAATGCATTTGATGTTTTTGTTTCTGCTAGTTTGTTTTCATAGGTAATAATAATGATAATAGTAATTAAAACTTTCATTTCTTTAGTAAAAGATTTGATGAAAAGCTTTCATCAAATTTTCAACATAATACCATGAAAAATAACTCTACTTCTGTCCTGTAGTTGACTATACTGAAGGAAAGTGGGGTTGAGGGATTTGCCCAAAGTCACCGTATTAATAAATATGGCAAGACTTTTCTGGAATTTATGGCAAATATGATAGAAACAGATGAATATCTTAATTGCACAAAGAACTTACATAAATTGCTAGACAAAACAAAATTTAAAAAACAAATACAGAGCAATGTCTCTGTAGATTAATGAGTAAGGAATATGAACAGAAAATTCAGAAAAGAAGTCATTCAAAAAGTAAATAATAAATGGAAAAAATTACTCACCAATAATTTGAGAAATTCAAATTGAAAAAAAGATACTATTTGTCTCATTTTAAAAATGTGCAAAGATTAAAACAAACACCAAATGCTGGCCTGGATGCAGAACAATTGATACCCTTTCACAATATTGATAGTAATGTAAATTAATGCAATTCTTTTTTTTTTTTTTTTTTTTTTTTTTTTTTTTTTTTGTAGAGACGTGGCCTTGCTATGTTGCCCAGGCTGGTCTTGAACTCCTGGTTTCAAGTGATCCTTTTGCCTTGGCCTCCCAAAGTGCTGGGTTTACAGGCATCAGCCATCACACCCTGATGCTCAAAAACATCATACGAAGCTTTTGAAAAGCTATTTGGCAAAAACATATTTAAAACAGGGGTTGGCAAATGTTTTCTGAAAAGGGCCAGATAAGTAAATATGTTCAGCTTATTGAACCATATTGCCTGTGTGCAATATGTACTCAACCTGCTATTGTGGCAAGAAACAGCCATAGGCAATGTGTAAGTGAATGAGTGTAGCTATGTTCCAAGAAAGCTTTACTTATAAAGATTTATTTATTGCCCCAAAAGCCATGATTTGCCAACTCCTGGTTTTAACCATTAAATTATTATGAAAATGATGATTATATATAAAAAAAGTACCTACATGAAAGCACACTTAGAATATAAAGTTAAGTGAATAGTAGGTACCCAATTGTATAAAATCACAACCATGAAAATCCCTAGGCACAGACACATATGAAAGAAAGAAAACATGTCTCTCTCTCTCTTTTTTTTTTTTTTTTTTTTTTTTTTGAGACAGAGTTTTGCTCCTGTTGCCCAGGCTGGAGTACAATGGTGCGATCTTGGCTCACCACAACTTCCGCCTCCTGGGTTCAAGTGATTCTCCTACAAATGTATCGCAAAGAACTCCCGCACCGTTCCCTGAAGGAGACAAAGTTTCTCCAGAGGCCAGCTCATTCCAGAGGTACGGATGGCTGGTTCTTCTCTCCACTTAATTTTAAAAAATATATGTTCTTTCTTATGAAAAAAAGAATCCGTTTCTAGAGAATTCTACGAATGGTGAGTCACACTCTGGAGTGCCACTTCCATGAATGCCGAGTGATCAGTGGAGGTGGCTCACACGCCAGGGCTCACTGGAGCCACCCTCACTCCTGACACATTCCCTCATTTCCTGCTTCTTCCATTCATGTCTGTCTTTGTCTCACTTAATTTTTGCCCCAAATCTTATCATCTTACAGAACTGAAGCTCTTTGAAATTCAGCTTCTATGAAGACTCTGCAAGCCCCAAAGTGTTTAACCAAGACCTTTACCTGGGAAAGAGAATCCGGACTCAGCCCTCTGCAGGCTGTTGAAGCTCAAGCCACCACCATGCCAACTTCCACAATGATTCCACCAACACAAGTCAAGCACTGCCACCACCATGAGAAACACAATCCAGCAACTGTAACAAAACCCACAACAGCCAACACATCCCCCACAGCTGCAAATACAACCCTAACCCTACAACCACAGCAGTGATCACAACTCCAGTGATTATCACAACAAACCCAATAACCACACCAACTCCAACAACCACAGCTACAGCTCCCAAAATAACCACAGACCACAGCAACCTGACGCAATTTTAACAACAGCCACAATCATAACCACAACAGCTCCAATAACCACTGCAACAACCACAGTAGCAGGCATTTGTTGATCACCTCTTATAAGCCAGGTCCTCCACCAAGTGCTTGTCATATATTATCTCACATAGCCTTCCAGCTGCCCCAGGAAGTAGACAGATATACATGCATGCTTTATTTATTTTTATTTTTATTTTTAAAAGATAGACTTCTATTTTTCAGAAAAGTTTTAGATTTACAGAAAATTGAGGAGACAGTAGATAGAGTTCCTATAGGCCCCCTCCCTCCCACTCTCAGTTTTCCCTATTATTAACATCTTGCATTAGTGGGGTACATTTGCTAAGATTGATGAAACCATCTCGATGCATTATTATTAACTAAAATCCATAGTTTATGCGAGGGTACAGATTCCGGGGGCTTTGATGAATGCTTAATGGCATGTATCTGCATCAGAGTGGCATACAGAATAGTTCCATTGCCCTGAAATTCCTGCTTTCCACCTATTCATCCTTCCTCCCTTCTGTCACCCCCAAACTCCTGACAACCACTAGCCTTGACAATATTTTTATAGTTTTGTCATATAGTTGGAATCACACAGTATGTAGCCTTTTCACACTGGCTTATTCACAATGTAATATGCATTTAAGATCCCTCCATGTCTTTTCTTGGCTTGACAGCTCATTTTTTTTATTGCTGAATAATATTCCCTTGTACAGATGTACCACAGTTTATTCATTCACCTTTTGAAGTCTATCTTGATTGCCTCTAGTTTTGGGAAATTATGAATAAAGCTGCTATAAACATTTATGTGCAGGGTTTTGCATGGACATTTTTTTACCTTATTTGGGTAATTACCTAGGAATACAATTGCTGGATCATGTGTTTCAGCTAAACATAAACAAAGACGATGTTTAGTTTTGCAAGAGAGACAACAAATGAAACTGTCTTCCAACGTGACTGTACCATTTTGCATTTCCACCAGAAATGAATGAGAGTTCCTGTTGCTCTGTTTTCTTGACAGTGTTTGGTTATGTCAATGTTCCAGATTTTGGCCATTCTAATAGTAGTGTCATTTCCTTGTTGTTTTAATTTTCAGTTTCCTGATGACATATGCTTATTTGCAATCTGTGTATCTTCTTTGGTGAGGTGTCTGTTCAGATCTTTTGCCCATCTTTTAACTGAGTTGTTTTCTTATTGTTGACTTTTAAGAGGTCTTTGTATATTTTGCATATAAGTCCTTTATCCGATATGTGTTTTACAAATGTTTTCTCCCAATCTGTAGCTTGTCTTTTCTCTTAATACTGTTTTTTGCAAATCAGAAAATTTTAAGGAAGTTCAACTTACCAATTTTTTCATTTGATGGGTTATACTTTTGGTATTGTATCTAAAAACTCATCATCAAACCCAGTGTCACCTACGTTATTGTCTAGAAGTTTTATTGTTTTGTGTTTTACATTACGTGCACACTCCATTTTGAGTTACTCTTTCTTTTTTTTTTTCGAGATGGAGTCTTGCTTTGTTGCCCAGGCTGGAGTGCAGTGGTACGATCTCGGCTCACTGCAACCCCTGCCTCCTGGGTTCAAGCGGTTCTCCTTCCTCAGCTTCTTGAATAGCTGGGACCACAGGTGGATGCTAGCACACCCAGCTAATTTTTTTTTTTTTTAATTTTTAGTAGAGACGGGGTTTCACCATGTTGGCCAGGCTGGTCTTAAACTCCTGATGATCTGCCCGCCTTGGCCTCCCAAAGTGCTGGGGTTACAGGCATGAGCCACTGCACCCGGCCCATTTTGAGTAATTTTTTATGAGAGGTGTAAAATCAGAGTTAATTTTTATGAAAGGTGTGAAGTCATGTCTAGATTAAATTTTGTTTGCATGTGGATGTCCAGTTGTTTCAGCACCATTTGTTGAAAAGATAATTCTTTCTTCATTGAATTGCCTTTGCTCCTTTGTCAAAGATCAGTTGACTATATTTACATGGGTCTACTACTGGGCTCTGTATTCATTCCACTGATCTGTTTGTCTATTCTTTCAACCAACACTACACTGCCTTGATAATTGTAGCTTTATAGTAAGTCTTAAAATCAGGTAGTGTGAGTCCTCTGACTTTGTTCTTCTTCAATATTGTGTTGACTATTCTGGGTCTTTCCCTATAAACTTTAGATCCAGTTTGTTGATATCCAGAAAATAACTTGCTGAGATTTCTACTGGGATTGCATTGAATCTATAGATCAAGTTGGGTAAATGTACCTTTCAACTAATGAAAACACTAAGGCTCAGAGACGCAAATTGACTTGCCTAAGGTCAGCGTAATTAACACCCATATTTCCTTGATTCTAACAGAAACATTTTATGGTCTCTAAAATGGAGGTACATCGTACAGTTGATGCTGACAGGTGACAGTCATAACAAAGTTGTCATTGCCATACATGCATATTAAAATTTGCACAATGTGGGCAGTGGCTTTGGAAAGAAAATCCCAGAGACAAAAGTGGGGCAGCCCTTTAAGAAATGGTGCACCACCAATGCCCTTGATGGCCCAGAACCAGTTCCATGTGGGCAAATGTGGACACTGATGCCATGGAAGCTAAACAGTTCAGAAGAGAAGGACTCTTGAGCATGGAGTTCTGGGAGCAACTGAGCTGATTTATTAGTTGATATCTCCCTCTTTGTGTATGCACAAAAGTGATAGAGGATTTTTTAAAACCCTCAAAATCCTAAATTGAAACAAGTTTAAAAAACAGCTCTTTTGCCAAATATAAAATAAAAATATAAAGTGATAGGAAGCCCTGTGTCATGGTTTACAGGTCTAGTTTGTGTCATCACTTAAGGCTGTGGTTTATTCTCTCTCCCTTACTCCCTGCTTCCCTCCCTCCCTCTGTCCCTCCCTCTCTCCCTTCCTTTCTTCCTTCCTTCCTTTCTTTCCAGGGTCTTGCTGTGTCACCCAAGCTGGAGTGCAGTGGCATCGTGAACATGGCTCATGGCAGCCTCAACCTCCTGGACTCAAGTGATCTTCTGATCCTCCTGCCTCAGCCTCCTGTGTAGCTGGGACCACAGTCTCATGCCACTATGTCTGGCTAATTTTTTTTTTTTTTTGTAGAGGTGGGGGTCTTACTTCGTTGCCCAGGCTGGTCTCAAACCCCTGGGCTCAAGCGATCCTCCTGCATAGGCTTCCCCAAGTGCTGGGATTACCGGTGTGAACCACTGCACCTGGCCTGTTTATTCTTTCTTAGTGAGACTTAAAATAACAGTGCATCTTAAAATTGATGTACAGTAAACAGCTGCATCAGTCAGCCTCCTGGGAGAAATCCCATGGCATACATGAAAGAGGTCATGAGTTTAAAAGGGGAATATTTACAGAGGTGTGAGTCGGTTGAGGGAAGCCAACAAGGGATGGCACAGTGTCACAGCGCTGGTGACGTCCTGAAGGGCAAGGAGGAAGAGGGGTTACAAAACCTGGAGAGAGGCTGCAGGAAAGGGCAGGCTGTCAGGAGCTGCAGTCTTTGCTAGGAAAAGGTCCAGGGGAATAAATAAATAGCCAACCTCAGTCTCAAGGTACCCTCTGATCTTGTGCCTACATCTACTATTGTGGGAACTCACTGGGAACCAGGGGTCCAGGAGTCCTTGAATGGCGTCCGCAGAGACCAGAGAACAGCGTGGAGGGTCGGGGTGGGTCTAGGGGGAAAATGGAAACTGCCTGTGAGCACGGAGCCAGGATCCTGGTGTGCTGCCTCTGTGCACCTAACCGTAGTACTGTGCACTTAGGTCCTCGGGGAAGGGCAGTTGACCAGGTAGACAGGGCATCCTGAGCTCCATGCCTATTTGAGAAAGCCACTAGTTCTCCACAATCAGTGGACTCATGTGCCCCAATCCCATTCACGTGGCCAGGTCCAGCCTTTGGCAGCTGTTCCCGCCTCTCCCCCTCTCTCCTAAGCACGTGATTTATAATGTGGAACCCTGTGTGGGGAGAAATGAAGTGTCTGCTACAGCCAAAACTTGGCTCCAGGAAGGCAGATATCAACTCACACACCCGATGATGGACAGCGGGACCTCGTGGTGCAGCGTGTTTACAGCTTACAAGGGTGAGTTGTGCGTATTTCGAACTTGGCCCGGACGCCTACTTGCCCAATCAGCTTGTTGGGCGGTGTCTCTTCTGATTTAGAGCTCTGGATCTGCCAATTTGATTTCTGAAGCTAACTCTTAGGTTTGCCAAGTCTGCAGCAGGTCTGGGCTCACAGGATCTATGCACCGCAGAGCTAGGTCACCATTCTAGCCCCCCAGCCAGAAACTACAGATGAGGAGCTGAGACTGAGAAAGGGAAGGTGCTGGCCCCAGGTCACAGCACATGAGGGAGAACGAAACCCCTGGGGGCTGTGGTCTGTTGCCTGTGTTCAGGGCTCAGCTTGGCCTTAGGTCCTTAGGCAAAGGACCTAAATCTTGTCCTCAGTTTCCTGGTCTGCAAAGTGTGGGTGATAATAATACCTACCTCACAGGGTGGTTGTGAGAATCAAATCAGCTATGAGCCAGAGGGGCGGTGAGCAACTTTGAGCAGTACCTGGAGCTGTCTCATGTCCATGACCACAGTGAGCTAGCCCAGAGTATGCCCTCAGTGTTTGTTGAGTGACTTCATTAGTGTGAAGGGCTTCATGGACTGTCACGTGTGGAGGACATGCTGCTGGTTATGTTCATTAGTGCTCCGTAACAGGGCTGGTCCCTTGAAAGCCAGGAATCCCACCAACCCTGTCCATGGGCTGGAGGGCCTCCTTGATGAAGAATGTCCTGTCAGCTTTCCTTAGTGACAAATCCAGACTTCCTACTCACGTGATTTAAGGGAGATAATGATGGTTTGAGCAAGAACCACCCAGCTGTCAGGTGCTGTGGTGTGCAGCCGACCCACCCTGGACACTTATTGCTTGTCTGGTAGTCGAGGCACTTATGAAGCCCTGGGTCTCGAGAATCAGCCCCTGTAGGAATGAGGCCCCTGGGGCTTTGGGGAGGATGGGATTTGGATGAGCCCAGCAGCATCTCTGCTCTGCAGCACAGAAGCACAAGGAAAATTCTCAGCTCCTGGGGCTGATCTGGGAGGAGCCCAGAAAGGCCACATGGCCCTCTCGGTGCTGCTGCAATTTCCAGAGACAAATGATTCTGGCAATAAGAACTCAGAAGTTGGACAAGGCCTCAGAATGGCTCGTCCTGGCCGCTTTATGGAGAAAGAGACAGAGGCCCAGTGAGTAGAGGGGCTGGCCATGTAACACCACAGGCCAGCCTAGAACTCAGGTCCTCCTGTTCTCCCCAATCACATTCTGGGGAGAGGGTCCAGGTTCCAGGAAGTAGGCACTCCAGATGCTGTCATGGAGCAGGGAGGATGTTCTCAGCACAGGGGCTGCTCTGCAAGACTCCATCTAGTTTAAAGGGATGGCTGTGCCTCAAACAATGCAGTACGTAGCCTGTGCAACTGTACACAGCAGCCCTAGTTGGAATCCACATAAAAGAGATGATGCCGACAGTGTCAAGGGCATGTCCAGAAGTGACCCATATGCAGTAGAGATGTCCCCAGGTCCTTGTTAGCTGGCTTTTTCCTTAAGGAATGGGGATACTACCCAGTTAGTCAACTTCAGAAAGTCCATAGTGGAAGGGCCTTTGGAGGCCTCCTCCTCTGGACTCTTTACGACATAAATAAGGAAACTGGGGCTGAAAGAAGAGCAGGGACTTATCCACAATCACACGTTGAGTTGGTCTCACTTTCTCTTCACCAGCTCTGCTGAGGACCCCGCTATGACTCTGGATGTTTCCATGAGCTGGCTGTGGTCTCACTCACACTGGGGCCACCTGTCACCCCACACTCCTGGCCGCCTGTCCACCTCTGCACCCCTCCTCTTCCATCCATTCTGCATGCCCTTGCTGAGGAAACTTTCCCCAATACCAACATCCTAACATTTCTCCGGCTCCTCTTGCCAGTTCATTCTCCTTCCTGCTGCTCCGGATTCCTCTTCTAAGGGCCGTCTGGAAGCTCCAGTCACCCCCGCACAAGCCGTCAGAGCCTCTCACGCCCTGACGCCTTTGCTGTCCTGCAGGCTTCCCCCTCCCCCGTTCCTCCTGGTACCCCAGCCTTTCCAGCCAGCCTGGTTGCCATATGACCCGTGGCCCATCTGCTCCTGATGTGAACCTGTGTCCCACGGATCCTGAATCCTGAATACCATAGTCACCTGGCATTGCCTTCCACTTCTACTCCCTCTTCCTCTGCCCCGGCCCCTGGGCTTCACCCAGGGGATAGTAATGGTCACTGTCTGGCCTCTGTGTCCCCAGTCTCTGCCCTTGTGGAGTTGAAAAGCCTTCAAAGACCCTTGTGGGTTTCTATGAGAAATCCAAACCTCTGCGTGGCTTAAGAGGCTTGTTCAGGTCTAGGGCCAGGCCATGCTGAACTCTCTCACCCCGTCGCTCGTCACTGCTCCCCTCTCTCCAGCTATATCCAAATGTGTGTCATTCTCATCAAGCTTTTGCAGGCTCTGTCCCTTCCACACTCTGCTCACATTTCCCAGAGCCCCCTCTCCTCTCCTTCACCTGCTCTTTACCCCGAAACACTCAGTTCAAATGCCCCCTTCTCCAAAAGGCATTCCCAAAAACACCCTGGGCGATTTTAATACCTGAAGCGCCAAGAATCTCAACCTTTTCCACCGTCCCAAGGCAGTCACAGGAGGACACATGTCCATGGGCTGGGCCGGGTTTTTGGCATGGTTGCTCTAACTCCTCACCTAGAACATTCTAGGAAGCCTGTCATGTCAGTAAGGCTGATGTATGTATAGGAATAACCTGACTTCCACTTTGATTTGTAGAGTGAATCATGGACGTCAGTCTTGGAGCAGTGCCCGGGCACACCTGCTTTGCTGGGAAACTCACGGTGGATTGCAGCCCCCTGGGGGGTGCCACACCCCACTGTTCCGCCACCACTTTCCAGGCAGGGTTGTAACTGATTGCATGTCAGCCTCCTGCTGGGCTGTTAGCCCCGGTGTGTGAGGCATCCTGGTGACGTTCCTTCTGCTCTTTTGGTGGAGGCAGTTGTGGTGGGGTGGGGATAGCACTGCGCTAGGGCCAAGGGTCCCCATGGCTTCTCCCCTTGGGATGGCAGAGGGAGGGAGAGGCCCGCTCAGGGACCCGCTCACTCTAGACCTTCTGTTTCTGACTCTGGAGGGATGGGCCCAGAGCTGTGCTTGTTAACAAGCTCACAGCGGGCTGGGCATGGTGGCTTACTCCTGTAATCTCAGCACCTTGGGAGTCCGAGGCAGGGGGATTGCTTGAATCTAGGAGTTCAAGACAATCCTGGGCAACATAGAGAGATCCCATCTCTACAAAAAATGTAAAAACTAGCTGGGTGTGGTGGCGTTTGCCTGTGGTCCTAGCTACTCGGGAGGCTGAGGTGGGAGGATCACTTGAACCCCAGAGGTCAAGGCTGCAGTGAGCCATGATTGCATTGCATCACTGTACTTCAGCCTGGGCAACAGAGTAAGACACTGTCTCAAAAAAAAAAAAAAAATCCAGGGGAGTTGGGATCTGGCATTCTGGCATTTGGGAACTTTTGGGTCGCCATTCCCACAAGGCTTCACGTCCATCATTGCATAACTCTGCGGCAGAGCAAGTGGCTATGGATACACCTGTTCACAGGTAAGGGAGGCTCAGAGATGGGGGTCTTGCTAGAGGCAGCACAGTTAGGCTATGTGGCATCTGAAAAGACACACCCGAGCCTCTCTCCCCAGTACCCCTGCGTTTCTGCTCCTGCACCCCTGAAATTTGAAGACCTGAATGTTCACTATTGCACGGACTAAATTTACAGCGGGGAGCAGACGGGGGAGGTGGGGAGCGGACTCTGAGTTCTCTCCATTATGTTGCAGGCCCTGGAAGTTGAGCCGGGCTGTTTGGATTATGAAGCCAGAGTCGGCAAGGCCTGGGCCACCTGGTGGCTACTCTGGGAACTGCAGGCAGGTACCCAGGAAGCAACAACAGGCCTGTTGTGGACCCCTATTCTGCACGGGAGGCAAAGGCCACTCTGCTTGTTATGATGACTGAACAACTGCACAGAGGCACCAATGCCCATTTGAGGAGCTGGCTCCTTTTGATTCAGGTTTAGAAATCTAAAGTCTCCGAGTCCGGCCTGGCTGGGCTCCAGGCAAGTTGGGGCTCTTCTGGACCTGTTTCCCGTCTGCTGGTGAAGAGGCTGGATTTAATCTCTGGGGAGCCTGCTTGGCTCTGAAAGTCTTCTATGGCATGAGTAGGGACAACTGATGACAATTCAACACAGCAAATTCTTGTTCAAGTCCGAGTTTCGGGATTTGGGGAGGGGTCCTGCACACCTTGAGCTTGGAAATGTGCTACCCCACCTCCTGGGGAAAGAAAAAAGACGGGCTGAAATGAGCCCAGTTCTCCTCTTGGACTCTCGTGCTCGCCAGGCGTTTTTCAAAGATGTTCAAATGAAAGCATAATTGAAAAATGAGGCTGTAACTCCGGGAGAAGGGGTGGCAGGCCCAGGGCTGCTGACTTAATCACGCCGCCTAATGTCATTACCTCTGTGTTAATAACCGGTGCGGCGGCCGCAGGGAAGGAGCCCTTCACTGTGGCTCAGACACTTTCCAGCTGACGGGGCTTTTCTTCTTCTGCTGTTTTTCACTGCAAACAAATGCCTTTCTCCATTCCAGAGAATTCCCTGGAGTGAGGTAAACATATGAGTGCAAATGGGCTTTTTCTTCTTCTTTCTGAAATTCTTGAGCAGGAAAAAGATGTGCAGGGCTGTATCCTGGGACAAGGGATGGCCGGTGCTCAGCAAAGTCCCAGAGACCAGCCCTTCCCCTCCCATCAGCAAGGCCCAGAGACCAGCCCTTTCCCCTCCCATGAGCAAGGCCCAGAGACCAGCCCTTTCCCCTCTCATCAGCAAGGCCCAGAGACCAGCCCCTTTCCCCTCCCATGAGCAAGGCCCAGAGACCAGCCCTTCCCCTCCCATCAGCAAGGCCCAGAGACCAGCCCCTTTCCCCTCCCAGGCTGGGAGACAGGAGACCCAGAGCTCACCTCGGGGATGCGCGCCTTTCTCTCTCTCCTCTTTCTCTCCTCACTCTCAAGGAAACGCTCTCGTGTCCCCTTCCTTCCCCTCAATCATCCCCTCCTCTCCCTTCCCCTCCTTTTTACCAAAAACTCACTGGACAGTGGCACCATCCAGACCAGAAAAGCAAAGGCTGGGGGACTGCTCTGGGCTCCACCCTCCCCCAAATGCTGGGCTCTTCTGGGCTCCAGCCCAGCCTTTGCCTCCTTTTCATTTTGGGAAATTTGACAAATGCAGAAAAATCCTAAAAGGAAAATGACAACACCCCATATCTCCACTGCTCTGAATTAACCACTGTTAATATGAGACATTAATATATACTTATATGTGGCATTTTCACTTCTAGACATTTTTTAAGGAAAAACCACTCTCTTCTTTATTATTAAACAGGATACATGCACATTTTAAGGAAGTCAAACGATCAGAAAAGTAAAGGGAACCAACCACCGCCACTGATTCCCACCACCCAGAATTTGCCGCTGCTATTTTGGTGTCTTTGCTGGTAGTCATTTTGCTATGTGCAAATTAAAGAAATGAGACAAATAGCATATACATCTATTCTCTTTTAAAAATTAGAGTTCTACAACACAATTAGAATCCCCTTTGTCCACACACTTTATTCTCGTGAGCCCGAGAAAACCACTGCTCTCAGGCTGTGGCTGCCCTTGGAGCCCATTGTAAGCACATTTACACACAAGTATGAATCCAGAGAAAACACGAGGTGTCATTTTGTGCTTTGTTTCTATCATGCCCTATCATTTTCAACTTGCTTTGTCCTCTTAATCTGTTCTGAGCTCTATTTTCACTGCTCCCTACATACTGCATTCTCCCACTCTCCTCCCCTCCCCCTCCCCTCCTCATGGGGCTGCCTCCTCTCTTGTCCTTCCCTCATGGCCCTGGGTGGAGAACATGCCTGCTGCCACCCAGGCCCACCTCTGAGCTGCTCCGCCTCCCAGCTGCTCCGCCTCCCAGCTGCTCCGCCTCTGGCCTGCGTTCTCCTTTAGTGCTCATCTGCTTCCGCTATCATATTATGAGCCAATTATCTGTTCTTCTCTTGGGGTTACAATCACCGCCTCTCTGTTCTTGGTACCTAGCCCAGTGGTGCTCATTAAATGTTTATTAATGAATGTGAATTAAGCCACTTTAATTGAGCTGCTGCCAAACCTGGATTTGCCTGCATACCTCCAGGGACAAGGGGCTCACTACCTAGATTCAGGTAGCAGCAGTGGGCTATCCAGCTGTGGCAGGCGGGGATCTCTAGCAAGGGTGTGCTTCCAGCTTGGCACACGTACTGCGGGGTGGAGAGGGCAGGTACACTGGAGTGAGACTTGTGTAGGGGGTTGAATTGTGTCCCCTAGAAAGATAAGCTGAAGCCCTAATGCCAGTACCGTGAATGTGACTTTACTTGAAAATAAATGCAATGAAGTTAAGGTGAGGTCATAAAGGATTAGGGTGGGCCTTACGTTCTTTACAAGAGAAAGGAAAGAAATTTGGATACAAAGACACAGACTATGTCTGGATGCAGGCAGAGAGTGGAGTCACTGCAGCTCTAAGCCAAGGAAGGCAGAGAATTGCTGGCAACCATCAGAGGCTAGAAGAGAGGCAAGGAAAAATTTTCCTCTAGAGCCTCCGGAGAGAGCTTGGCCCTGCTCACACCTTGATTTTGGTCTTCTGGCTTTCAAAACTGGGAGAGAATAAATTTGTCATACGTGGTTATGGCGGGCCTAGGAAACGAATTCAGCTTGTGATGCCACAAAAACTAACTGATGCAGCCACTGATGGGTTACATGTGACCTGAACAGGGCCAATGAGACTGTGCGGGACTGCCAGCTGCTCCCCAAAAGCCACTTCTCTTCTTCCTGAGCAGATGGCCAAGCTCAGCGTGGCCATGTGACTGGGGCCAACTTAATGGTTCGTGTAGGAGGCGGAGGGGCCGCAGCTGGGAAGAAGTGGGCAAGTCACTGTCTGCTTTTCTTTTCCCTTCCACAGGCTGGTTGCATGTGCCATGGCCTGGGGCAGGAGCAGCAAACCGAGGCCTGCAGGACAAGTGTGGCCTGTGGTCCTGTTTTTGCCCAACCCACAAGTTAAGAACGGTTATTCCGTTTTGTTTGTTTTTTGAAATATAGCTTCACTCTTTTGCCCAGGCTGGAGCGAAGTGACGAGATCTTGGCTCACTGCAACCTCCACCCGCCGGGTTCAAGCGATTCTCCTGCCTCAGCCTCCCAAGTAGCTGGGATTACAGGTGCTCACCACCACGTCCAGCTAATTTTTGTATTTTTAGTAGAGACAGAGTTTCACCATGTTGGCCAGGCTGGTCTCGAACTCCTAACCTCGGGTGATCCACCCACCTCAGCCTTCCAAAGTGCTGGGATGACAGCGTGAGCCACCACACCTGGCCAAGAATGGTTTTTACATTTTTAAAGTATTGTGAAAGAAGAAAGAAAGAAAGAAAGAGAGAAAGAAAGGAAGGAAGGAAGGGGAAAGAAAAAAGAGAAAGAAGAAAGAAAGAAAAAGAAGAAAAAGAAAGAAAGAAAAAAGAAAGAAAGAAAGAAAGAAAGAAAGAAAGAAAGAAAGAAAGAAAGACTGTGACAGAGACCCTCAAAGCCGAAAATGTTGACTCTCTGGCTCTTTCCAGGAAAAGTCTGCAGACTCCTGCCCTAGGGGACAGTGAACCACAAGACGGAATGAGTCAGGTCCTTGAGCAACCACATGGAGAAATGACCAGAAAGGCCCACCACTGATATTACATGACAGCAAAATGCAGTGTTATAGTCTGAGCTGTTACAGCAGAATTTGAGGTCTATTTGTCATAGCAACTTAGCCTTGCCTAACTAGTACAGAGACAAAGTGAGATTTTCACTTAGACTTCTGGAAAAGAGATTATTTTTGCCACCTACATCTATACCCTGAAACTAGGCAGGCACAAAACTGGTTGCCCATCCCGCTACAAGTGAATCCTGGGACGTAAGCCTGCAGAGGGAAGGCGTGTGGAAGAATTAGAGAGCAAACTGATTCCAATGACATTGTTTGAACCCTGGAGCCAGCTGTACCTGCAGCTGACCCTACCTTCTCAGCTTACAAGAGCCACTGACTTCTCTCTTTTACGTAAGACAGTTTGAAATTGTTTCTGTTACATTCAAACAAAAATATTCCTAACCTAGTTTGGTATTATGAGAGCAATAACTTTAAATCTGCTATCACTCATTCAGAAAAAGAATACATCATTCACAGACTTTGGTGTTTTAAGTGCTAGCTCTCATTGATACAATGAATGAGATAAGATGAGACACATCTCCTAACAAATAGAAATTCACAGGGTGTGCTGAAGGCTATGGCTTGGCACAGCTGCTCTGGAACCACAACACTGACTTCAGGAGCAAGAGATGAGAGTCGGAGATACCACTTAAGAGTCTGTCTTTATGCAGCTGATCAAAGTGACAAGCTCATTCACAGCCTAATGTGGCCTGATGGCTAAAATAAATGAAGGGGGAAAAGCAAGCGTGGAGCTGTGGTCAGACTGCGTGTGCCCCCGTTTGTGTACAAACAAGTGTCCTTAAGACGGGAGGCATCAGGGAATGTCTATACCACTGCTTGGAGCTACCCAGACCATCTTTGGAAGGAGACACCAGGAACTGGAAACAGTGGCTGCTTCCAGGAGGGTCCCTGGAGGCTGGGGCTGGGGAGGGAGTGGGACTCTTTTTACTATCCATTCTTTTGCATCTTGACAGAATGGAGCTGGGGCAAATGCATGTTGTGACTCTCCCCAGCCATGGGGGCAGATGGAGGCCCCAGAGGCAACAGGAGGCCCAGGGTTTGGGATCTGAGACTTGTGTTTAACCCATGACCATGAATGACCACCCAGAAATGAACCAGTGCGGGCCGCCTCTCAGGCATCTCAGCTCATATGAGGACAAGTCCCACTGCTGGGGTCAGAGAGGCCAGGGCTTCTCACTAAGTCAGACGCGACCCAGAAAGACCAAAATGTCCTTGATCGAGAAGCTGAAAATAGTTGCTGTGACTCATCACACATGATGGACATGTCCTGTGGCCCCAGCAGGGCCTCTGGGTTGTGTCCCCAGCTCCTGTGTGGCCCCTGTTCAGGAGGCTAGGGAGCGACAGGGGGCAGAGCCAGAGGACGGGCTGTCCTGCGCCTTCACCTCAGGGCTGCCCTGGACGTCCATCCTCCAGGCGGGAGCTCCTGCTCAGACGCTGTTGTAGAAGAGGTGCCGCCGTCCTCTGCAGGGGAGGCAGCTGCCCATGGCCTCTCAGTTTCCTGCATCTTCTGGAGACAGAGGCTGAGCTGCTCTGTGCCCCGTTCAGTCCACTTGTGAGGCAGGCTCCGGTGCTGAGGCTCAGCCTTTTGAGAACAGGAGGCCTGGCTCTTTGGAAGTGGCGGGGGTGAGGAGTGCAGACTGACAGGTGAATGCTGGGTTCCTTACAGACCATAACAGGGCCACAAGAAAAGGCCAAACAATGTCCAGGCCAGGCTGTGTGCAGAAGCAGGGTTCATAAGGAGGGAGGGTGGGGCCTTCATGCCTGCCTCAGCTCCCCTTCCACATGACGGTCCCTGGGGGCTGTGTCCCCCACAGGCATTTCCTTCAATCTCCAATGGGTCCTCTTCCACCCGGAACTGCTGCTTGCCCCATCTCAGAGCCCACCAGCTCAATCCCCCCTCACTGGGCCGGGCCTCGCTTCTCTGCCCAGGATATGGAAGAGACTAACAAAGTCTCTTCCAAGGATGACCCATACCTTTGCCTACCCTTGAACTCAAAATCCTCTGCAGGCTTGAGCATGAAAAGCCATCACCATCCTCACTCCCTGGGACTAGCCCCCCATCCCTGCCTGCTCCTCTGGCAGGGGCACCTCGGGAGAACCAATTTCCCCAGGCCCACCCCATCAGGATGTCAGGTGGGACTGGGCCAGCTGACATCAGGAGTGACTACCTGACACTCCACTGCCCATCTTCCACTCCCACCACATTAAGTACCAGGGCACACAGTAGGTGCTCAGTTTGAGCTGCTGTTAAAAAACTACTGGCTGACATCAACTGAGCGCTTACTGAGGCTGGAAGCACTGTGTGGCCTTCTGCGTGGGCCACAGTGCGCGGACCTCTGAGCTTTGAGCCAAGCCCAAGCCCTGCAAAGTACCCAGGAGGAAGGGCTCTACCTCACTGGCTGGGTGACCCTGGACCAGGCCTCCATCTCTGCACCACAGTCTCCCATCTGGAAAACAATGCATCAGGAGGATTTTCCTAAGATGCACAGTCATGAAAAGGCATTCTTTAGCCACCACTGCGGTACTGACCTGTCCCACACCTGAGTCTGCACCTGAGCGTTTGCTAGGGAAAGGCTCTCCATCCTGAGTCCATGAGAATTTGGGTGCTGGCTGTCTCTGATTGTCAAGCTCCTCTCCCGAAATGGCAACTCCCTCTGTCTGCCTGAAACGTGTACAAACACACTGCGGTACCAAGATGAAGCTGGGTGAGCTTAACTTGCTGTTCGCTTAACTTGCTTCTCAAGGGGGCCCGAGGGTGGTGATGACATCAGGGCAGGGCTTGTGATCTTAGGGCCACTGTAGGAAGAGGCATTCCCAGCTTCTAGGGAGGGAGAGGGAGGAGGGGACTATTACAGAATGGTGAAAAGCCAGAGGGAAGCCCTCGGGGCTGTGGGAGCACCGAGGGGTTCATCAATCCTGGACTGGGGGGTTGGTCTAGAGTGTTTGCTGGAGTGAGCGATACTTAGACTGGGTCTTGAGGGATGAGTAGGAGTTTGCCAGAAATGAAGTAGGGGTATAGCTGTAGGTGGAGGGCATGACACTTACAAAGGTGGAAAAATGAAGGACAGTGTGGGGACTCCCGGGACATAGAGTGGACTCTCTGGCCATGTATGTCTGTCCCTGCTCTCTGGACAACTTCAGAGAACTGGCATATGGGCTGGGAGTGGGGGTGGTGGACGGAGGTGAGGCTGGAGGGGCCAGGAGCACCGTCTTTCTTCTCTTCCCGGGGTTGGTCCACCTGCCCCCAGCTGCAGACAAGCCCCATACTAGGCCTGAGGCCCAAAGGTCACCTTGCTCAGGAATCTGTCTGCCATAATGAAGGAGCCGCTACTCCCTCCCCTGACTCCATCTCCTTCTGCTGCCTCAGTTCCATGCTCTGCCCCATCTCGCCAGATTCCTGCGGCAACCCTGCACTGGTTCCCAGCTTCAACCAAACCCCACCCTCCACATGGCCCTGGACGACCTTCTTCGTGCATCCTTCACTTGTGAAGAGCCCCTCAAGGAGGCGGCATCACCTTCAGGATGTGATGGACGCACTCACAGGCAGGAGGGGAGGCAGGTGGGACCAGACCCTAATGCTCCAGGAGACAGGGACAGTTCAAATCAAGGGCACCTAGGACCTCTGTGATGCCAGATCCCAGGCTGTGGCTGCACCTGACCCCACAGCAGCGTCAGCCAAGCTTGATCCCACCCTGCTCCTGAGGCTGCTTCTCCACTTGATTGCTGGACACAGGGGGCTCTCCTGGTTTCACTCCTTGTTCTCTTTCACTTCCTCCTCCACATGCATGTTGTCTGCAGCAGGAATGAGTCCTGGCCCTTTCTTGTCCCTCCTCTCTGGGGCAATCTTCTAACAGTGGAGGGAGTCAGCCTAACCGACTCCATTTTGCCTCTGCCCTCATAGTAAAACCTTTTAGGTAAAACTTAAGCAACCCATGGCTCACGGGCCTTATGCGGCCTGGGAGGCTTTGAACGCAGACCAACACAAATTCATAAACTTTCTTAAAACATTATTAGATTTTTTTTGCGACCTTTTAAAGATCTTCAGCTATCACTTGTTTTTTTTGTTGTTGTTGTTTTTGTTTTTTTGAGACAGAGTCTTGCTCTGGCACCAGGCTGGAGTGCAGTGGCGTGATCTCGGCTCACTGCAACCCCCACCTCCTGGGTTCAAGCAATTCTCCAGCCTCAGCCTCCTGAGTTGGGATTACAGGCATGTGCCATCACACCCAGCTAATTTTTTGTATTTTTAGTAGAGACGGGTTTCACCATGTTGGCCAGGATGGTCTTGATCTCCTGACCTCGTGATCCACCCGCCTTGGCCTCCCAAAGTGCTGGGATTACAGGCATGAGCCACCGTGCCCGGCTTCAGCTATCATTTGTGTTCGTGTATTTTATACGTGGCCAAAGACAATTCTTCTTTCAGTGTGGCTCAGGGAAGCCAAAAGATTGGACACCCCTGCTTTAGGTTAAAAACTTCTGCTGGCAGGGCATGGTGGCTCACGCCTGTAATCCCAGCACTTCGTGAGGCCGAGGCAGCAGATCACGAGGTCAGGAGATTGAGACCATCCTGGCTAACACGGTGAAACCCCGTCTCTTCTAAAAAAATACAAAAAATTAGCCAGGCTTGGTGGAAGGTGCCTGTTGTAGTCCCAGCTACTCGGGAAGCTGAGGCAGGAGAATGGCGTGAACAACCCAGGAAGTGGAGCTTGCAGTGAGTGGAGATCACGCCACTGCACTCCAGCCTGGGTGACAGAGTGAGACTCCGTCTCAAAAAAAAAAAAAAAAAGAAAAGCTTCTGCTTAGCTTTGCATGTAGGCTAGCTAATTACTTGCAGTTCAACTTTAAGAAAATAATGATAACAGCCCCTTTCCAAAACTAACTCCCGAGGAGATAAGGACGTGTACACACGAGGAATAGTATTTCGTTAAAGATTTATAGGAACACTGTGGCCTGACCTACTTCATCTGAACTGAAGTCAACTGACCAAGAACAAAGATGTTTCACAACCTCCTCAGACCCTTGCTCACACCCACATGGCTGTGGTCGTCGGTCACTTCTTGACCTCAACTCCCTCCTCTTCCCTTCTTGACATTAAAGGGAGCCTGAAGTTCCTACTAACTTAAGAAGGTTCTTTAGAACACTAGTCCACCATCTTCTCTGTTTGCTGGCTCTCTGAGTGAAGTCGCTTTCCTTACCCCAACACCTTGTCTCTCAACTTACTGGACTTACTGGCTGTTGGGCGATGACTGGTATGAGCTTGAACTCAGCTAGACTCTCATCCTGGCTTCAGATGCCTACACACTGCGGACTCCCACACCTGACCTCTCTCCGAGGATCCAAACTCAAATTTCTTTTTCTTTTCTATTTATTTATTTAATTATTTATTTATTTATTTTTTGAGATGGAGTCTTGCTCTGTCACCCAGGCTGGAGTGCAGTGGTGCAATCTTGGCTCACTGCAACCTCTGCCTCCCAGGTTCAAGCAATCCTCCCACCTCAGCCTCCCAAGTAGCTGGGATTATAGGCACGCGCCATCACGCCCCGCTAATTTTTGTATATTTTGTAGAGACAGAGTTTTGCCCAGGCTGGTCTCGAACTCCTGAGCTCAAGCTATCCTCCCACCTCAGCCTCCCAAAGTGCTGGGATGACAGGTGTGAGCCGCGGCGCCTGGCCCACACTCAGATTTCTAACTGCCTTCGTGACCCTGCACGTGCACTGCTAATTGGCACCTCTGATTTCTGGTGACCAGAACGGAACTTTGGATTCCTTCCCCGAAGCTGGCCTCTCCCACAGCCCCTGTTTCCTCAGAAAACAGCCCTTCTGTTTACCTAGTGGCTCGGGTCAAAACTGAGGGGTTACCTTTGATTTCTCCCTCTCTTGAAAGCCCCACACTCACCCTTGTCCAGGGAGCTCTACCTGTAAGGGCCTCACCCTCATGCCAGGCTCCAGCTTGACATTCAGGTCTCAGCTGAAGTGTCCCCAGGGCCTCCCCGACCTGTCCATGGCCCTGTTGAATCCTCTGCCTGGGGCCCATCGCTGCCGGAAGCTCTGTTTGCTTAGTTAGTGTCTGTGCCTCCCCCACAGTGGAATGATCTGGGGCCTTCCTGGGGTCCTGCCACATCCCCACCTCCAGGAGATGACCCGGCACTGAGCAGGTACTCCAGGTGGGTTTGCTGTGGAGCAGGTGGAGGGTCCAGGAGTGCTCAGGACTGGGAAGGGGACACTGCTTTGGAGGAGCAGGGAAAAGAGCTCAGGCAGAGAGAATGAGGGTGGGCGGTAGAGGGGACCAGTGGGGGAGGCCACATGCCAGACCCCCGGGGCTGATGCTGCTGCAGCCCTCAGAGCACCCTCTTGGAATGCTGTCTTCGACTCTAGCCTTTGCTTTCACCGTGGCCACAAGCCTCCTGTGCCACCACACACTCACATTCTGATTGAAGCCCCTCTCTTCACCATCTCGGAAAGCAGCACTGCCGATGACCTCTCTGCACGTGTGGACTGGCTAAAGTCCTTTGCCACGCCTCCTAATGCTGCAACTTAATCATCTGTGTCTCGGTCTCACTCGCTCTTGGGGTGCATCCTCCCTGGGGTCCTGAGAGCCCAGCTTCCCCACCCATGTCAACATGAAACCATTGACCAGCTCCTCCCGGGGGCTCCAGACTCTGCAGTTGGAAGAGGCAAAAGTGCCCTCTGCTGGCCACTGGCTGGCTCCCTGCACCCCAGAGCAACAATCAGGAGTTGAGAGATGAGAAGCCAAGCTCAGCCCTTGTCCCTAACCCTTCTTGTCCTCCCCAACCCCACCCATCACCCGCCCTGTGTTCCCCCAAGTGCACATCTCCCCTCCTGGAACCCTCCTCTTCAAATCTTCCCTCTTGTTCTTCCACTGGTTCATCCACACCCAATCTACACCCCATCCACACCCCCATCATCTGTAAGACTCAAGTTAGTGTCACTTCCTCCAGGAAGCCTCCCCAGACTTCATCCAGGGGAACTGGCCTCGCCTGCCTTCTACTCTTGCCGTCCTTATGAGGACACTCCTCACAGTTTCTGCCACTGCACGGTCCTCATCTGTCCATCTGCCTCTCCCTGCAGGCGACTGCACTCCCTGGGGATGGGGACAATGGCCCTGATGTCCTCAACACCCAACCTAGAGCTGTGCAGGGCAGAGGCTCGCACGGAAAATGTTTGCTGAATGAAGTCAACTGACTTCGGAGGTTCTGAGCAGGACTTCTCTGAGGTGGGTGCCCTGGAGCAAAATACAATATACATATTGGGGAACAAAAACAATATACATAAATATGTGCTCATTAAGAAACATTTCAAACAACAGAAAAGTTTACAAACTAAAAAATGCAACCCTTTTCAATTGTTTCCCAGCCTACAACCTTTCATAAATCACTGCTATTCTCAGTGTGGGGTGTGTTTGTCCCAAACGTTCCCAAGCATTCCCTTTGACTTTATTTTACCTTTCTTCTTTTTTGTTTTTAACATAAATGGGGTGATACAGTACCTATAATTGTATCCCTTTTTTTCATGAAAAGATCCATCTTGAGGTCCTTCTAAGTCAGCAACTGTAGGTTTATGTCATTCTTTTTAGTGGCTGCAAAGCATACCGTACCCAAGTTCTGCCACAGTGTCTAAATCCGAGGCTTGTCAATTATATCTCAGTAAAGCTGGGGATAAATGCTAGGTGTTTGGTTTTTTGATTTGGTGGCTTTTTATTTTACTGTTTTTTGCAGTTGCAAACAACATTTCTGCAAACATCTTCATGCCCGACTCTTTGTGTCCATGTGCACATATTTCTCTAGAATTGACTCTTAGAAGTGGAAATGTTGAGTCTGAAAGCATATCTATTTCACATTCTAATGATACTAGCAAACTCCCTCCAAAAAATGGGTACCAATTGACACTCGCATCAACAATGCATACATGTCTGTTTTTTTCCACATTCTTGACAGCGTTGGGTGTTATTAGATGTAAAATTTTTTTGACACATCTAATCATCGCAACCTTCAAATCCGGCTTAACTCTGATTAAAGCGGGTATTTCCAGAAGCCCTCAGAGAACAGAGCTTCGGAAAGGGTGCATGGTAGAGAGATGAGCCTCTAGCCTCCCAGAGCAGCAGCTGGTAGCTCCACTTCCTTTTCCTTGTCCAGGGAAGGAAAGTCTCTCCCAAAACTCTTGGTCCTGGAGTCATAGCCCAAGCCCCTCAGCAGTTCCCTCAGGAGCAGAGGGTCTCCTGGGTCAACCAGAATCCCCACCGAGGTGGATTTGCTTCTGGCAACATCTCCAGTCTGAATGTGATCCCAGGCGATACTTAAGGAAGCAGCTCCCTCCTGTTCTCTGAAAAATGCCGTCTGCAAGGGAGAATATGCATTTGGGAGAACTGGAGAATTACAAAGGCGGTTATGCACAGTGAGCCCAGGAGAATATGAAACAAAGTGTATGTCCTGCAAGAACCACAGGTTTTGGAGATGTTAAGAGTGGCCTGCTGGGCCCACAGAAGGGGCTGCTGGAGCATCAGAGGGGCTCACCTCTTATTCCACTCCCTCCCCCCACGACCCTAGACAAGAAGGAATCTATTTGGAGAATGACACTTGGAAAGAGCTTGCCATTTGTGTTGCCTAAAAAGATATAGAGAAAGGAGCAACGGGGCATTTCCAACATTCAAACAGTGTCCCATTCATCCCAGATTCCGAGGTCCTCCTGGTCAGCACATGGGAGGTGCGGGGGCAGATGGCCCACAGACACCAGGATTGTGTTTGCAGACTTTAATCTCCTAAGAGCCCAGGGATGGCCTCCAGGGCTTGCTGGCTTGCCTGCCTTCCTGTTTTTATCCTAATAGGCCTTATACAAAGACTTTAAAATGACTCATGGAAAAACCCAAGCTAGGGAAGAGGGCTGGAGTCAGCCACCAAGTGGAGGATGGTGGGAGGCCCACAGGGACGCTCATCAGTGACCCAGGAACCTGAGTGGTCTCAAAAATGCATCTGCAGGAAGGTCAGGACAGGGAAAGTGGGTGCTGGGGGACACAGAATGAACGCTTATTGGAGAACGTCCTGGGAAAGAGAAAAACACCGGTGCTAAAATACATCCCCGAGATGGGCATGGTATTTAATTTCCAACCTGCTTCCATTTGTATGTACTCAGACATTCTTTCCTCCTATGAGGAAGGCAGAGTGGGTTTTATTAGCCCTATTTACTGATGCCCAGAGAAGGGGTGTCCTCCCAGGTAGCACCCCTGACCCAGAGGCAAGGCTCCTCCTCCCAGTTTCTTAGGAACTTGTGGGCCTTATTTGCCTGGCCAACTATTCTGCATCCTTTACGGCTCAAATCTGCCACCAGAGCTGTCCCCAAGGCCTCTACTATCAGCCCTTCTGCTTGTGTCCAACTAACACTCCGAGCCATGTCCTGTCATTGTGTGCTGTAACTCTGTCATCTTCGGGCTACACAGTAGGTAAACTCCTCTCCCACCTCCTCCACCTCCCCTGGCCTGGCCTCTCCCACCCGGCGTGGCTGAGCAGAAGTGTGTGGAATAGCTGGATGGGAGTGTCAGTAGATGCTAAGGGACAACTAGACATGTCACTGCAACCCTGAAGCCAAAGTAAGCCAGGGTGCCTCAAATGTGCACCACCTGCCTGGCAAAACCACTGTGGGGTTCTGAGGATCCCAGTTCTACTCAGGAAAAGGAGAAAGACAATCCTGGGATCCAGGTGGAGGGTGGAGGTAGAGAAGGAAAAGGAGCCGGAGTCTGGAATGCCTCAGAGGTGCTGGCACAGGGAGGGAAGGGGCAGGGCGGGGGCTACTGGCCTAGGCGCCTTCAAGAACGGACGGAAAGGCTTCTTTCACCGGAAGCACAGAGGCCCCGAGCAATTCCAAGGGCTCCCTCTCGTGGCCATTTGAGGCCAAAGCTGAGTGTTCAGGTGAATCCTGCATTTTCCTCTGTTAGCCAAGGGTGCAGAAAATGGGTTCAGAAGAGAGAGGAGGAGCACTGGTCTTGGAGTCAGGATTCATGTCCTGACCATGCCACTAATTCACCAGGTTGCTTTGGGCAAACCACTCCACCTCTCAGCCTCAGTTTCCTCACCTGGTTAATGAAGTGGTCTACCTGGCACCATGGCTCATGCCTGTAGTCCCAAAGCTTTTGAGGCCAAGGCAGAAGGATCATTTAAGGCCAGGAGGTTGAGACTAGCCTGGGCAACATATCAAGATCCTGTCTCTACAAAAAAAAATGTTTATGTAATCCCAGCACTTTGGGAGGCCGAGGTGGGTGGATCACGAGGTCAGGAGTTTGAGACCAGCCTGGCCAATATGGTGAAACCGCATCTCTACTAAACAATACAAAAAAAAAAAATTAGCCAGGTGTGGTTGCACATGCCTGTAGTCCCAGCTATTTAGGAGGCTGAAGCATGAGAATCACTTGAACCTGGGAGGCAGAGGTTGCAGTGAGCCAAGATCATGCCACTGCACTCCAGCCTGGGCAACAGAGTGAGACTCCATCTCAAAAACAAAAAAAATGTTTAGAATTAGCCAGCATGGTGGGGCGCATCTGTAATCCCCACTACTCAGGAGAATGAGGTGGGAGAATTGCCTGAGCCCAGGATTTCGAGGTTGCAGTGAGCCATGATCATGCCACAGCACTCCAACCTGGGTAACAGACTAAGACACTGTCTAAAAACAACAAACTAAGAGGGTTGGATGAGATGAATGGCTCTCACAAATGAGAGTCCTGAGATAAACACTCTGCACATGTTTCTGTAGCCTGTCCCAATGACATGGCAGGACTTTGGCTTTGAGATGATAGTGACATTGATGGGTTGTTTCTGTGCTTAGCTCCGTAGCACAGGCCAGCTCTGGGCTGAGCCCTCCACATGTGATGGCAGGCAGGTGCCACACACAGAGGAAGAGGCTGAGGGTCAGAGAGGTTACATGACTTACCCTTGGCCACTCAGTTGGTGAGTGGCAGAACTGGGACCTGAAGCCAGGTTTATGGCTCCAGAGCTCCCCAGTCTCCTCGCCCATGGTGTTTCTCATGGTTTCTAAGGTCCTTTTCATCTCCAACTATCTGTGATTCAAGGTGTCTGACGAAGAAAAGAGATTCACAGGAGAGAGTAGGGTCTTGGCAGGTAGATAAGATAGGAACCAAAGAGACAGTTGACAGGACAGTCAGGCCTAGAGCAACCTCATAGACGAAAAGCACGGTCTTTACAGGAGAAGAAATTATGACCACCACTCAATTAGCCATCAAAACTATGTTTTCTGGGCCACCAAGGAGCACAAGAAAGGGCCCCATTGTCCGAAAACATGTTGAACTAAAATATCATCAGACTTTTAAAATAAACTTTGCAACTGCCCACACCAAACTTGCTGTCTCTGAGCAGCCTGGAAGTTCTCGAATATCCATCCATTTATCCATCTGTCCAACCATCCATCCATCCACACATCCATTTATCCACCCACCCATCTCCCCATGCCTCCATCCATCCACCCATCCATTCAATTGCCCACCTATCTACTTATCCATCCAACCTGTCCATTCAGTCATCCACTTCCCCATCCATCCATCCACCCACCCATTTCCCCATCTTTCCATCCATCCATCCATCCATCCATTTACCCATCCATCCAACCCTGAAGCCAAAGTAAGCGAGGGTGCCCCCTCGCTTACTTTGTGCACCCTCATCTACCCATCCATTCATCCATATGTCTGTCCATCAAACATTGCTGAGCCCTGAGCTACTGGTGCCTTATTCTCAAGAGCTCCTAATTGGATATTATTGGATATTATATGTCTCAGACATGTAGGGCAAAAAATGCAGAAATGTGTTGCATTAATTATCTATTGCAACAGATTGCTTAGCAGCTTGAAACAACAAGCTTGGATTACCTCACACAGTATCTGTGGGTCAGGAGTCTGGGAGTGGCTGAGCTAGGCTCAAGGTCTTTCATGAGGTTGAAGTTAAGATATTGACTGGGAATGGAGGATGTGCTTCCAGAATACTTGCTTATATGGCTACTGACAGGAGACCTCAATTCTCCACTGGCTTTTGGCCCAAGTCCTCTCAGCTCCTCATCACATGGGCCTCTCCTCAGGGCTCCTTGAGCATCCCCACAACATGGCAGCTGGCTTCCCCTAGAGCTGATCCAAGAGATTAAGGAGGAAGCTGCTGAGCCTCTTATGACCTCATCTCTGAAGTCACAGATGGTCACTTCATATCATTCTATTCACTAGAAGAGTGACTAAATCCAGACCACACTAAGGGGAGGAGTATTAGGCTCCACTTCTTAAAGGGATGAGTATCACAGAGCTTTCGACATACTTTAAAATCATCGCATGTGTGGAAGGTGCTGAGATAGAGTGTGAAGGATACTGAGAGGCAAGAGGGAGAACGTGGTCAATTCTACCTAGAATAATAGAGGGAGTCAGAGAAGTAAAGTTCTAACGAGGTGATAACGAATGAGCTGAGTTCTGTCCTAGACCTGGAATGTGACCTTAAACAACCCACCATCCCTTCCTGGGTCTCTGTGTTGTGGAAATAAATTGGGACCACCCAAAGGAGATCAAACAGAGGCCATTTATTGTGTGCTTGGTATGGCAAGGGAATGGGCCACTGTCACTTGCATTTGACAGAGACTCCCAGGCAGGCAGGGTGAGGGGAAGCATCATAGTGAAAAGGGGGAGGCCTCAGGTGTGCCCTGACTGGAGGTTGTTGCATGGGGAAGCGGGAGGTGGCTAGCTGGAAGCCCGACATCTTATGTGATTGCATTAGGAGCATATTTGGCTTTCTTTCATGGGTGTTGAGTTGGAAGCAGTAGTCAACAATAGGGAAGCTGACCAGGATTGACAGAGCCCTGACCATTCTGGGCCCATTGCCACAGAGGTTTGGTTTGGCTTCATGTGCTGCTTGCTGCAGAAATTGTGGGCCAAGGTTCTCTTTTCCTACACAGGCAGGCCATTGTCTGTTTGTACTTTGGGCTTTCGGGGTCCTCCCCTGAAAATCAAAGGTTGGTTGGCTGAGCTCTGAGGTCCTGCCCAGCCCTGACATTCTGAGGATCTGGCTTCTTCACCTGGAAATGAGGTGTACAGAGATGGAGATGTACTGGATGGAAAAAGGACTGGCTAGTCTGAGGGGTGGCCATGCCAGAGGTGAGGCCTTGTGGACAAACTGGAGATGAAAGACAGGGAGATGCCTCGAATGGACCCTCTTTCCTGCGGGTACTCCCAGGAGTTTCCAATTCTCAGCATCCCAGCATCTTTGACTCTGGACATGGAAGGTTACAGGTCACCTCAGGCAACTTCCCCAGTGCACACACTGATGCTTAAATCTGCATTACTATCTTCTCCCCAACTGTCAGTCTTATTCTTGCTCGATTACCTCTGGAGACAGCAAGCTCACTCTCAGTGGAGACAGGGGTGTGGCCCATCTGGTCTGGCACATGAGGTGGCTTCCAAGATGGCTGGTACATGTGCTGTGCTCAGCCCCTGAGCACTCATCCCACCACATCCTCCCCAGGCTGACCCTGCCCTTCCCTCTTACCCCGTGCAACAGCGGCTGAGGATTTGCCTCAGGAAGGACCCTGGCAAAAAGAGAGGGGAAGGTTAGAAGGGAACCCAGCCTTTTCCAATGCCACCTCCATAGGGAAGCCTTTTTATCAGATTAGCAATGGTCTGGAGGAAACGGGACACAGGACTGGTAAATTTTGACATGGAAATGGAGATGAGGAAAAACCTGTAAGTGCTCTTCAACTGTTATGTCTTTGCTATGACAGCACAGACCTCCTAGTGTCCCCATCTCATCTGATGGTCACCATCATCCTGAAGGGCATGGCAGGGTCCCTCCTCCCAGGTCCCCCCTCTTAGGGTGTGACTCCACCACCTGCCTGCTTGCCCAAGCCTGCAAGTCTCCCTGAACTTTTCTTCTCCTTTGTGCCCCCATTTCTGACCCTATAAAGTCTATTTCCTAATGGGCACAGAAACCCATCCTTCCTGTCCCTCCCCGGCCACTGTAGTGCAATAGTCATGCCCAGAGGCTGAGGCTCAACAACCTGGGCGCAAATCATGGCACTGACATGAATAAGTTGTGAGGCCTCTGGTGCCCGATCCCCCCTTGTTAAGCCCATCTCTCATCCTCATAGCGTCCCTTCCCCACCATCCAGCAGGATGAAGCCCACCCCACCCTCCCTTCCTCTGTCCCAGCCTCTGCCCCATCAGCCTATCCTCCAGGTTCTATCACACCCAGTAGCCCACACAGAGGTCGGTGAGCAGAGGACTCTTTAGCCCAGCTCTTAATGAAGGAGATGGAGGGGTGGGGGCTTGGGAAATAAATATACCAAACAACTCAATGACACAGGCCTTTTCTGCATGGAATTAAATTCACATGCAGATGGAGGCAGTAGCCCTGTAGGTGGACTGCTGGGGTTTGTGTCTGGCTCTGCCATTTACTAGCTGTGACCTTCAACAAGTCACTTCCCCAGTCTGTACCTTAGCTTCCTCATCTTAAGATGGGCTGCTAATAGTATCTACTCATGGGTTGTAAGACAGATAGCCCTTCCCAATGCAGGTGGACACCATCCATTCTGTTCAGGGCCTGCATAGAACAGAAAGATGGAGGGAGAGTGAGTTTGCTTTCTGCCTGTGACTGCTTGAGCTGGGACATCGATCTTCTGCCCTCAATGTTCCTGGCACTCAGGCCTTCAGATCTGAACTGGAATCTCCACAGTGGGCTTTACTGGGTCTCCAGCTTGCAGACAGTGAATTGTGGGACTTCTCCAGCTTCACAATCACGTGAGCCAATTCCTTCTAATAAATCTCCTCGTATGTGTGTGAGCTGTTGGTTCTGTTTCTCTGGAGAACTCTGATTAATACACCACATGCTTAGAATAGTGGCTGGCACATAGTAGGTACTCAATGAGTATTAGCAAATATTACTATCTTACCTGGTTCCATAAATACTCTCCCACTGAAAAGGTGTTCCTTTGTGTCTCACCTTGGAAGTGACAAGGCCACCAAACCCAATCCTTGCATGTTTCTCCAGGAGGCCTCTCTGGTCTTGTCTGGTGTCCATGAGCCCAGTTGCACCAGGGACTCCAAGGCCAGGCCTGTGGGGTGCTGAGACAACTGGCCTCTTAGTGCTGAGTGGGCGCCAGGGTCCCTCTGATGGCTGCCACCTGCAGCCACCTCTAGGCCCCTGCTGGCCAGGAGGTATGGGAAGCTCTGGGTGCACACCAGTTTCGGGGATGAGGCTGGGATCAGGGAAAAAAGTATGTCTGCTTGTCTGGTAGGGTCTGCCTCCCAACTCCACATGACTCAGTTTAATTCAGTTAATTCCCAAAGCACTTCTGAGCCCCTACTCTGAGCCAGTTGGACTGTCAGGGCCCCAGAAATAAACCAGACCCAGTCCCTGTTTTTAAGATATTCCGCAGAGCCTCGATCTTTCTGCAGATGGACTTCAGGGGTTTAAGAGGGGGACTGCCGCCCCAGCCCACCCAAGTCACAACCACAGCTGATCCCTCCAACTCATCTCACATTTTGGTCTTCAGTGAGACAGTTGCTTAAAAGAAAAATTTGCTTTTTTCTTTTTCTTTTTTTTTTTGAACAGCCTTGGAAATAGGGCTCATATTAAACGTGGCCTTGATGTATGCGTTTAATTTTGACAGTGAATGAGGGAGTGAGAGGAAAGAGGGCAGCCCAGGTAGAGGAAACAGCTTGAGCAAAGGTGTGGCTGTATGTTTCTCAGAGGGGAAGGAGGGACATTTACTGAAGATTTGCCCAGAGCCGAGTGTGAGTGAGCACCCAGATATTCAGCTCTCATGAGAGTCCTGCAAAGAGTATGCTATTATCCTCATTGACTGATGAGGCTCAGAGAGGCAAAGTAAAGGTCAGGGCATAGGCTTGGGAATCACACCCAGCTGGGAGATTTCCAGCACACATGCGCTTTCTACTGCCAGAGGCTACTTGAGGGGAGGCAGAGTTCCAAGCAGGTTTCATGCTGGGTGTGGCCAAGACAGACTCCAGTTGCTGGGCTTGAGTTAGCATGGCTCCCAGATGTTAGAGCAGGCTCACTTGGCAGAGTTGGGCTAGCAGGGAGGGCTTGGGGCTGTCATCATTCACGGCCACATGGACACGGCTCAACCATTTATAATTAGAGTTATAACTTAAAACAATCAACAAAAAAGACTTGGTAAGTACCTTCACCTCCCAGCATACACCCATCACATCTATTATTGCCACAAAGAATTCGTGACCAAAGGAAGCTGGTTCAGAAGCCCAGCCCTGTGTTAAGGTCCCGTGGGGTCTGAGCAATGTGAAAATACCCTGGGAACAGATAGATCTCTTCTGTGTCCTCCCAAGGCCTCTGGAGTTCCTAGGATAGTCATCTTATAAAGTGGTTGGTGGGAAATAAGCCATGAAAACAATAGAAACGTGATAGGTAGGTAAGTAGATAGACAAGGGGATTGGATGGATGGATGGATGAATAGATGATAGATAGATAGATAGATAGATAGATAGATAGATAGATAGATAGATAGAACACAGATAGGAAGGGAGGGGGCCAGACTGGGAGTTGGCAAGGATAATGCCCCACAGTCCTGCCTAGCTGGACAGGACCAGGGCCAGCTAGGAGCAGGGAATGGACCGAGATGAGGCAGAGCTGCCACTGTCAGAACCAAAGGCCCAGAGGCTGCTCTGTGCAGGGGCTTCATCATCCCCCAAATACAGGGTTTGAATGTACAGCTAACTTCCCCAGGCAGAGATCTTGCTTTGATCAAAGCTGTAAGCCCAGAAAGTGCTGGCACATAGTAGGTGCTCAAGGCACACTTTTGAGTGAATGTGTGGAAAGGCTTGCCCACATCCTAACTGGACTTCGTAGGCAAACCGTCCTCCCAGCTGCCCCAGGCCTGGAAGAAGCAGTATGTGTGCCCCAACTTGAAGGGCAGGTGGTATCAGTAGCACTGGCTGTGGGGCCTGAGGATCCAGTGCAAGGCCTGACTTTGCTATTAACTGAGAGTTCAGTTCACCTTATACAACAGCCCTCTGAGGTGGACACCACTATCCCCATTTTACAGACAAGGAAACTGGGACCTCAAGAGATCAAGCCATTTGCCCAAGGTCACAGAATGTGGCAGTCGTAAAACATGGCCCCTCCAGAAACATTTTTAAAAGAAACAAAGAAAAAGAATTTAAAAAAAAACAAAAGAAAAAAACATGGCTCCAAAGTTCTTTGACCTTCCTCCCATTGAGAGATGCGGTCTACATCCTTACTCTTGAGTCTGGGCTCTGTGACTGCTTGGCTAAGAGAATACTACAGAAGTGATGTGGTGCTGGTTTTGGTTTCTAGGCCACAGTCATAAGAAACTAGCAGGCTCCACTTCCTGTCTCTTGAGATGTTTACATTTGGAACCCAGCCGCCATGCTGTGAGGAAGCCAGGAAGCCACAAGGAGAGGTCACTGGAGCTGTGCCTGCAACAGTCCAGCTCAGGCCACAGCCAGCAGCCAGCATCAAGGCCCAGACATGAGTGAGGAGGACTTTGAGATGGCTCCAGTCCCGGCTGTCAAATCACCCCCGGTCTTTGAGTCTTTCCAGCCCCAGACATTGCAGATGGAGATATGTGGCTCTCACTGCCCTTTCTGAATTCCTGACCCATGAGTACCGCTGAGTTCAGGGAGGTTGCTACAGCAATAGTGACAGGGGCACACATCTGACAGCAGTGGGGCCATGGCTGGAAAACAGGTCCTGCTGACACCAGAACCCATCTCTTCTCCACTGCCTCAGTTTACCTGGAGCATCTGCATTTCAGATGCACTGCCTGAGGTGATGGGGCCCTTGAGGGGTGATTGGGCCAAGCCTAGGAGGTTCATAAATAACACTCCCAGCTGCTCCGTGGGCTGGCGCATCTGTGTAGGGCTGGCCCCTAGGAAGAGACAGATGTGAAGTGTCACGGAGCTCCCTGAGCTCAGATGGGCGTGGATTCTGATCTCAGGTCTGCCAATTCCTAGCTGCATGAACTTGGGCAGGTCACTCTGTGCCTCAGCTTCCTCCTCTGTACAGCGGGGTTACGAAGAAGGACCCGATAGCCCTGTCGGTGTGTGAGATTGAGGCCCTGTGTGCCTCTGTGAACTGAATGTTATCAAAGCTCTTATTGGGGCTTAAAAGTCTCAGAGCATCAGCTTAGGATGGGCCAGCATTCAATGGGAGGGTCACAGGCCCCAGGGCAGGGCTGTACGGGAGGGGGAGATCCAGGCGAGGTCCGAGGTCCGAGGTCCTGAGTAGAATGCTCTCCTGCACTGTACCAGGGAGCTCTGTGCGGGAGTCAGAAGCCTGCGTCCTAGCATGGAGCTAGGGTGTTTCTGGGGACTGTGACCATTCACGATAGGACTCAACCTCCTTGGGGAGAGACCTGGCAAGGGACCTGCCAAGACCCTGGCTCCATGGCAAGAGAAACTGAGACAGGGGCCAAGAGGCGTGGGCTGAGCCAGTGCCCAGGAGTGTAGGAAGCTCTCATTCATTGACAGTGTATTTCCTGTGCACGTCTGGGTGTGAGGCTCTGTTCTAGGCATAGGGATACAGCAAGAAACAAGAACCCAAGTCCCTGCCCCTGTGGGACCTGTGCTGTGGTGGGCAGACAGGCAATGAATGCAATCAATACCCAGAGATCTCATGTACCCAGCGCCAGGGAGAGGAAGAAAGCAGAGAAAGAGGTGAGGTTGGAGAGTGGGAAGCCCGCACTAGCGAGTGAGTTGAAAAAAGACAGAAAAGCTGGGGAGGGTGAGCCGTGCAAGTATCCAAGGCAGGAGCTGGCAACATTTTTCCCTAAAGGACCAGACTATAAATACTTGAGGCTTTGTGTGCACTCTGGGGTCAGTCACAACCCTCAACTCCACTGTTGTAGGGCAAAAGCAGCATAGACAATATGTCTATGGCTGTGTTCCAATAAAACTGGCCTGGCTGTGTTCCAATAAAACTTTATTTACACAAACACGTGGCAAGCCTATCAATGCAACCACTCAGCTAAGGGAAGAGAATTCCAGGAAGAGGGAACAGCAAGTGCAAAGGCCCTTGGGTGGGAGTGAGCCTAGTGCCTGAGGAACAGCAAGAAAATGGATGTGGCTGGTGAAGGATGACCAGTGGATAAGGTTAGAAAAATAACTGGCAATGGAACAGGGAATGGGGAGAGAAGAGGCTCTTGCTTGACTTGGCCCTGTTCAGGGCTCATCCAGGGACCCTCACCCTGGGGATGTGGCTACAGACCCAACTCTAAGGTCCACTGAATACACCTGAACTCACATCCACTGCCATGCTTCTTGCTCTGGGGAGGATTGGCTGAGATCTGTTGAAACATCAGCAAGAATTCTCACCCTGGGAGTGGTCTACAGCCCTCCAGCCCACGTCTTCCCAGTCTTCTCCTTTATCTATATGCTTGTTACCAGTGGAGGGTCTTGACTATAAGTTGTCCAGGTTCTTGGCATTTTGAACAAAGAATTGGACAAAATGCACAAACAAAACAACAAAAGAATGAAGCAATGATTTACTGAAATCAAAGTACATAGTGGGAGCATACTTGAGCAAGTGGCTCAAGAGCACTGGTTGCAAATCTTCTAGGGTTTATGTACCCTCTAGAGGTTTCCCATTGGGTATACAGAGTTACACCCTATGTAAATAAAGACTTGGCCCATGACCAGTCTGATTGGTGACAGGAGGTGACCGATCAGAGGTACTTTACATTTTACATGTGCAACACAGTGGGAAAACGGGTAGGGTTTGCAAAGGGAGTAGCCTCTAATCCTTGTTACTTGGGTGTGGAAAGATGGTGTTTTCCTTTTGATTCAGTTCTAGGAGGTCCGTGTGAATTGCCTTTGGGTCCCTGCCTCCAGACCCTATTCTCCTGCCTCACGCTCTTCCTCCCAGTCTCCCCTCCTCCCCAGACCAGCAGAGCTAAAACAACCCCTATTCATCCTTTAGCCTGCTGAAAGTGACCCCAGCCCGGGAGCTGGGCACTGTTTCCACCAAGCTTATCAGATGAGGAGTGTGAGGCCCACACAGATGAAATCACTGCCCAGATGAGCGAGGCAGGAACGAAATGCAATTGTCTGACTCCTAAGGTGTGTGAGTGACCTCTGTGGGTGACAAACACGCTTCAAGGGCTTTGCCATGTGCCAGGCACTGGAATGCCATCCAAGGGGCCAACGTTGGTCTAGGAGAGCTCACCTTGGTGCTAGGGTGGAGGTATGGGGGGCCGCAGCGCTCACAGCAGTAACTCTTCATAGTCCCAGCACGCCCCACCAGGACCAAGTCAGGGAGCACGGGAATGGAATGCTGAGGCAGGTGAAAATGGCCCTTTTGCTGATGATGCAAATGCCCCTTTCCTGAGAGATGATGGCATATTCAGAGAAATTTGAAAAAGTCTGTTATGGGCTAGATTTGGGCTACAGACAGAGTTGTGATCAGAGGCCAGGAACTAAATGATAGATGCCGATGAAGAGTCTTCTATTACTCAAGTAGGACAGGTGCTCCAGGTGGCTGGGGTGGGGGCTGGGAATATGTAAGGCAAGAGGGCACAATGCCCACCGCCAACCCCACCTTCCCCTAAGGGCACTGTAGACACTGGCTGAGCCCAAACCCCAGCTCCTCTGCCACTAGGGGAGAGTTCTATCTCCCTGGTCCTAGTTTCTGAATCTGTCAAATGGGAAGAACAATACCCATCTCGGGTTTTATTGACTCATTTTGACTCATTGGTTTGTTTGTTTGATGAGGATTAAATGAGATGACAAATATCTAACTCTTGGGGCATTGCAGTATTCAGTGCAAGTTAGACCCCTGCCCCATCACTTTTCCCTTGGAAGCTCCCATCCCAGGAGGCAAGGGATCCTCTCTGACGACGAAGGTGTGCTGTTTGTGCAACATACCTGAGGGACAGTGTGGCTGGAGGGGTGGGAGCCAGGCACTGAGGATGCACTTGCTGTTTACAGATTGTTTTATGACTGGCTGTTGGAGCTCCTAAAATGGCTCAGGAGCCAACCAACCATTTTACTCTATGTTCTGATTTGTTTATTCATTCATTCATTCAGTCAGTCAGTCATTAAGCATGTATTATGTGCCTACTGCATGCAAAGATACATGGGGGATTCAACCTTTCTACTTAACCTTATCTCACCTCACTCCCTGCAGCGAACTCTCTTCGCCGCTGCACTGAGCTTCTCACTGTCTCCGCTCTCCAAAATGCCTAACACTCTCCGTCTCAGTGCCTTGACTCAAGGTATGGCTGTAGCCATCACTGCTGCCTCTCACCCCTGAAACAAAGCAGCATGTTAGAAGGATTTGGGTTCAGAGTCAGGAGGTAAGGATTCAAATCTTGGCTCTGTCTCTCACTAGCTGTTAAGGTCTTTAGTCTACCTGAGCCCCAGTTTCCTCATCTGCCAGATGGGAATGACATTAGGATCTATCACAGAAGGTTGTTGTGAGAATAAATACTATGAGATGTGTAAGATATCTATTATGGCTAAGTCAGTGCCTGGCCTGGAGTTGAAACTTAGTAACAAATGTCTGTTGAATGGACCTGATGAATTCTGGCCTGGGAGGTGGGAAACTTGAATCTTGGTCACAGGAATATGTGCTTGAATAAGTCACTGCTTTTCTCAAGGGGCTCCAATCCCTTGATTAAAATGGCAGGCTTGGATCACCAGAATGCCAAGTATTGACATCCCTGGCTTCCCATCCTGTGATTCTGACCTGGATCCAGGGACACTTGGCACACAGCCGGCTTCATCTCCATCCTCCCTCAGGGAAGACATCACTAGTAGATCAGAGTGTTCTGTCTACTGAGCCCTTGGAATCTCTCCACAGGGCACCTGCCAGTCATCGCCAATCAAACCCGAGATGACAGTTGAGATCAAACAGACTTTTCATTCCTGGTTGGTGCCTGGGAGAGTGACGAGGCCTATCAGTACTGGAGGACACAGTCAAGGTGATGGGTGTGTGGGGGTGGGGGAGCGTGCAGAGCAGGGGCGTGAATGTGGGGCGGTGGTCCATCTGGGATGCCCCGCAGGGCAGAGACACCACTACCATGTCACTTTTGTCCCACCAGCCCTTCTTTACAGCTTCACCTGAGCAGCCATTATATCCAGCCCAGGGGAGAGGCAAAGGCAAGGGAAGGGCACCGACTATGAACCAGGAGATTGATGTGTTTGTTGAGTTTTCATGGCTGATGTCTTAATCCTCATTATCAACCCTGCCAGGGAACTGCCCTTAGCTACACTTCAAGGGTGAGGAATAGGAGGCTCAGAGCTTACTGATCATGATGATTAATCATAAAATCACAGTAATTGGCTTGGGTTGCACTTCAGCTTCACCCCTTTTGGCTGTGGGGTCTTCGTCAAGTCACTTAGTCAACCTGTGCCTCAGTGTCCTCATTTGTAAAGTAGGCGTAATAGCAATATCCACCTCATTATGAAGGAGTTAATACAGAAGAAGTTTTTGAAACATTATTAGCATTTAATAAGAGGTGAGTAAACTATTTTCAAGGCTGTTGGCATGGATTTCGTATTCATTTTGCTACCCCCAGCACTTCAGAGAATGTCCTGTACATAGTAGGTGTCCACTAAATGCTTTAGAACCACTTGGTGAGCATTATTGACTCCCCAGGGAAGTCCCACGTGGGTCTTCTTGTTGCCGAGAAAGTCCCACATAGGTCTTTCTCGTTGCCAAAGAGGACATCTCAAAGAAAATAACAAAAATATACTGAGCCAAAGAAAAATGCAAACACAACATATCAAAATTTGTGAGATGCGGCCAAAGCAGTGCTGAGAGGAAATTTTATAGCACTAAGAGGCCTACATTAGAAAACAAGAAAGATCTCAATCAATGATCAAAGCCATGCCCTCAGAAAAAGAAAAGTGAAATAAGCCCAAAGCAAGAAGAAGAAAGGAAGTAATAAAGATAAAAGCAGAAGTCAATGATATTGAAAACAGAAAAAGAAATAAAAATAAAAAATAAAAAATAAAAAAAGAGCTGGTTCTTTAAACAGATCAATCAAATTAACAAGCTTCTAGCAAGGCTGACCAAAAGAGAGAAGACATAGATTATGATATTAGAAGTGAAATGCAGTCAGGTGTGGTGGCTCATACCTGTAATCCCAGCACTTTTGGAGGCTGAGATGGGAGGATAGCTTGAGCTCAGGGGTTTGAGACCAGCCTGGGAAAAACAGTAAGACCTCCTCTCTACAAAAAATTTTTAAAAATTAGCTGGATGTGTTGGCGTGAACCTGTAGTCTCAGCTACTTGGGACGCTGAGGTGGGAGGATTGCTTGAGTCCAGGAGGTCAAGACACCGCAGTGTGCCACAATTGTGCCACTGCACTGCAGTGACAGAGCAAGACCTTGTCTCAAAAAAAGAAGAAAGAAAGAAAGAGAGAGAGGAAGGAAGGAAGGAAGGAAAGAAGGAAAGAAGGAAGAAAGGGAGGGAGGGAGGAAAAGACAGAAAAGCAGGCTAAAATAGTAAATGTTATGATGTTATATCTTAGCATAGTACAAATTGTAAATAGGCTAAAGAAAAAAACACATGATCATATAAATTGATGCAAAAAATTCATCTGACAAAATTTAACATCCATTCACGACAAGAACTCCCAGAAAATTAGGAATAGAAGAAAGTATCCTCAACTTGATAAAGAGGATCTACAAAATTCCCACAGCTACATCATATCCCATGGTGAAAGACCAAAAGCTTTTCCCCTAAAATCAGGAACAAGACACAGAGGTCTGTTTGCACCACTCTTCTTCAACATAGAACTCTTTGCCTGAACCCCATCCCTCCTGAGACTCCACATGGTGAAGATGGGCTGAGCTCTCCTCTTTTCCTGGGGCTTGAGTCCTCAGACTCACCAGCTCTAACCCCACTCATTCATATCCCTTTCAAGAATGCACAGGGGAGTGTAAGTGGGCTTACCTGATTTTATGATGTTGAATCTGCTCAGATTTATACTAGGAAAAACCAAATCATTTGCCAAATATAAGTAGCACCGACTTGTGGCACGCTATCATATAGCACTGTATCACGATAGCACCATATCAATACCCATGTGTGCAGCACAGAGGTCAAGCATTGATGATGTAATTCAACCAGGAAACTGAGGCCCAGAGAGGGTGAGTGACTACCTCAAGATCACACAGCCAGGTAGGGGCAGAGTTCAAAGATCTTATCTCTGAAGCCCGTCTCCCTTTCATGGTACAATAATATGGTTGAAAGCACTTCCAACGTGGGACTTGATCACATTGATAGTGGTCTCTGTCACTGGAGGTGGACTGCAGCCAGGGGTGCTGGGGCTGGCTGAGCCGGCCTGTGACTACTCTGGGGCATTACAAGGTCTCTGCCTCCTCTGAGGGCACAGCCACACCAGGCAACTTCACCAGCACAGGAAGCCCTCGGCCTGCCAGCCAGAGGGGTTGGCTTTGACCTGGTGCCTCCTGTTCCCAGGAAGCAAGAAGCACGTCCACTCTGATTATAGCTGACAGCCTGCCGTGGGCTGGTCTTTGATAGAAATGCTGCCATTATGTAAGAGGTTACATAAATCATCTTGTGATGTCTGCGTCGCATGTCCACAGAGGCGCTGCCAGGCCACTCTGTCCTCCGCGTGGCCTTTGTTATGTTCCCCGAGCTGGTGTGGTCGGTCGGGCCTAACTCTCCAGGGCAGGGGTGGCTGGGAAGAGTCTGTAGCCCTGGGCTAGCAAGGCCCCTGGGAGGGAGATGGGGCCCTCATATTGGTTCACAGTTGTCGGTGGGAGCAGCATCTTAGGATCACTCCCACCCTAGCTTTGTCATTTACTGCCCATGGGACCTTCAGCAAGTCTCCTAGCCCAATTTGTGCCTCAACTTCCTCATCCATTAAAGAGAGTAACCGTGGCAACTGGGAAGAACAAATGACAATATATGACACATATTTCCATCAAGTAGGACTTTACACTCATATGATGAGGTGTGAGAAACAGCACAGGGTGGCTGGCAGAGCAGAGCTCCCTCCCAGGTGCTTCTCCTACCTGGCTCTGCCTGGCTTTGCCTTGGATGAATCTCTTCCCCTCTCTGGGCCTCTCTGTCTTCATCTCTAAAATGAGAAGTCAGCCCATCTTTTGGGACTGAATTTTCTGTAGAGGTGTGAAAATGTAAAATCTCCTTTAACATTTATTTTTGGCAATTTAAAACATTACCAAACATGTACCAACAAACAGATACATTTAAACGCATTTTAACTCACAAGGTGACACGCTAGGCTGCTGACTGGTGAACTTGGGCAGTCAGGTTAACTCCTGTGGGGACCAGGTAATAGTTTCTCCAGGGACTCCTTTCATTTGATGACCATCCTAAGATCATAAGAGAAGCTTTTTTAGGCTGGGCGTGGTAGCTGAAAGCTGTAATCCCAGCACTTTGGGAGGCTGAGGCAGGCGGATCACCTGAGGTCAGGATTTTGAGACCAGCCTGGCCAACATGGTGAAACCCTGTCTCTACTAAAAATACAAAAATTAGCCAGGGGTGGTGGCACACGTCTGTAATCCCAGCTACTCAGGAGGCTGAGGCAGGAGAATCACTTGAACCTGGGAAGCAGAGGTTGCAGTGAGCCGAGATCGCACCATTGCACTAGAGCCTGGGTGACAGAGCGAGACTCTATCTCAAAAAATAAATTAATTAAAAGATAAACTTTTTTAGAAAGTTGACATCTCAACTGCTTCTCTCTCTAAACCAAGATTTTGTAAATGTTCTGCAACCAAAACAAAGTATGGCTGATGGCTGATGTGAGACCATAATCCATATCTCCTGATTTCAAAGTTTTATATCATCAGAACAGACTCCTTGTTCTAATGCATTGTTTGCAAATAAGTAGAAGGTATGCATTTGAGCATGGAAAATAAATTTGTACTCATAGCCCATAGTTGTCATGGTTTTACATGTTGAATCTCCACATTTTTTTTTTTTGAGATGAAGTCTCACTCTTGTCCCCCAGGCTGGAGTGCAATGGCACAATCTCAGCTCACTGCAACATCTGCCTCCTGGGTTCAAATGATTCTCCTGCCTCAGCCTCCCGAGTAGCTGGGATTACAGGCACCCGCCACCACACCTAGCTAATTTTTGTGTTTTTAGTAGAGACGGGGTTTCACCATGTTGGCCAGGCTGGTCTCGAACTCCTGACCTCAGGTGATCCATCCGTGTCGGCCTCCCAAAGTGCTGGGATTACAGGCGTGAGCCACTGCGCCCGGCTGAATCTCCACATATTTTTAAATGGGCATCTCTGCTTCAAAGCAATTTGAAAACCCACTGCCCCAGATGAGCTCCTTGGGTCCCTAAGGCTTGGCCTGTGCATGCCCTGCCAGATGCCTCTTCTCACTTGCAGCTCCAGTCTACACATGTGCTGGCTGAATCCTATAAGTAGATGGTGTCTGTTGACATCCAGAGGTTCTGGAGGGGTGGCTCCCAGGAGACTGCTAGGTAGTTGTTCTGCTTCACTGATGAGTGGGCAGGAGACAAACGTTTACTTATCAAGATAAAGCAGGGAATGCCACCTCCACACCCTCTGGTCCCTGCACACAGTAGGTGTTGAATGGAGTTGATGCAAAGCTGGGAGTCCCTGCTGCAGGGTCAGCACAGTGGACTGTCGGGAAACCAAGGCAGCAACAACCGGTTGGGAAGGGTCCATCAGCGGCCCAGCTTATCCAAGTTCAGGGCAGTTGAAGCCAGCACAGCTCATGTGCCTTTAACAGAGCTTTACAGAACTCGGGCTCTGGTGCTGGGCGATGCAGTCGGAAAGAAGCGCTTCCAGCTTTCATGTGCCATAGTCCTGTAGGATTACAGACAATTCGTTGTCATGTAAGCCATAGCAACCACAAGCATCCTTCACTCAGGCCTGCTGTGTGCTGAGTCCATTCAAGTCACAGGAGATACAGAGACAGAAAGCTGTGAAAGAACTCCCTTCCCTTCTGGAGCTCACCTGGATGGGGCAAACAATAAACAGACAAAATTTAAAAAAATAAGACAGGAAGCAGCTGTTTACGGTTCACAGGAAAAATCCTGCTCATTGGAATGGGCAAAGTATTTAATTCTTAAAACATTTAGTAAGAAGCTACTCTGTGCCAGGCTCTAGTAGGAGTCAGATTACAAAGGGCCTTCTGCATTTAGCTAAGGAGGTTAGACTTCATCTTTGACTCTAGGAACACAGGGATGGGAGAGGGCGTTATTAACAATGCTAGGAGTTGGCGGAAGGCATCCTGGAGGAGGGGGTGTTTGAGCTGGGCCTTTAAGAATGGCTGAGAGGACAGGGTTGGCTGAGTTGGGCCCAAGAATCAGGTTTGAGGCTTCTGTGGGTGTGTCACCAACTGTAAATGGGAAAAATAATCCCCTCTCTGCCCAGACCCAGGACAATAATGAGAGAACACTGGGAGAGTCTTATGACTGGTGTGATTACTGCTGTCTTTCCACCTGCCTATATGGCCAATCAGAAAACACAGAGGAGCCTTCCCTTGTGTGGGTCAGAGGCATCCAGAGGCCTGGCCTCAAGCCACAGTTGCCTCCTCTCCCTGCTCCTGACTTCCCAAAGCTGCAGCTCCCATATTCCTGAGTTGGGAAGGTCCAACATTGTGCTAGAAGAGTGGAACCCAGGACGCATGGAGAAAATCTGGTCTTCCTGGCCGGCAGCGCTTAGGCAGCATCTGGTGCTCACGGGAGCTCCAGGAGGCAATGTGGCCAGGCAGATCCAACTCAGCCTTTGGACACAGACGGGCCTGGCTTCAAGTTCAAGCTCTGCTGGTTAACAGCTGTGAAGCCTTGGGAAAGTAACTCAACCTCACTTCATTTGTCAGGGCAACCACAACACTACCCTCACGGAGCTGCCCCGAGGGTCAGGTGAGGTCTTCATGTGGTTGTGGAATACGGCTCTTGGCACATGCTGGGTGTCCACAAAGAATCCATTTTCTTCCACTTTTCTCTCCCTTTCCTTTCTCTCTTCCCTCTTTTCTTCCTTCTCTGTTTCCTCAAAAAGTGTTTGGTGGAAGAACAGCCCACATTAAGAGCTTTGGAAAGACTTTCGTAAGACACCAACTCACCTCCCACGGAGTCCACGGGCCTGGTGGGGAGGCTTACTACTGGCTAAGAAAGGAGAGACAGCTTCATGAGCGGGCAGTGCAGAATGGGCCAGCAGGGCTGCAGGTGCCGTGGGATCTCAAGGAAGCTGGGAGCTGAGCTGAGTGGCTCTAAAATGTCTTGATGCCCTTAGAAGAGAGAAGATCTTCTGGAGAGAGGAATGATGCAGCCCCCACAAATCACAGAAGGCCTGGGGAGAAAAGGGCGAGCACAGCAAAGCAGGTGGTTACGTAGTCAGATGCCAGCTGCTGGAGAGGTTCAAACTGTTGGCTGTGCACACCAGCCTCACACAGTAGGCAGCAGGGAGCTGGCCCTGGTGGCCACAGGCCCTCAGGGCGCTCTCTTCAGCCACGCGTGCCAGATGTTTTGGAGCAGAAAGGATGTTTCCTGCTTGTACCAGTCAGGGTGGGCTGGGACGTGCTGCAGAAACACATAGCCCTCAAATCTCTGGCACTTAAAATGATGATGGTTTGGCTCTCACCCATGCAAAGGTTGCCGCAGGCAGGAGCAACCCTCCAGGGCACGTAGTGGCCAACAATCTAGGATGCGTCAGTCCAGCGGCACTTCCATCTCGGTCCACACTTCCCCGACCCCGCAGCAGGGTAGGGGCATGGAGAATACAGTGCTGGCTTTCAAGGCCTAAATTGAGTCACAGCTTGTCAGCACCGGGCCATCTCCTCCAAACCCTTCATTTTGCCTGTAAGGACCCTCAGGCCAGGGGTAGGGGAGATGGCTTGGAGTCAGGCCACAGCAGCTGTCTATTGGCCAGTGGGAAGGAGCAGGGCCATCACTTCTGGATGGAGGCCCTGGCTCTGCCCTGCCAATGCCCCCAGTCTGGGTAGGGAGACTCCAGGGAGGAGTCCTGCAACCTAAGATGCCAAATCTTAGGTTGTAGTACAGAGGTGTGGGTTGGCGCACAGGCCACCAGCCATCTGGCTGGTGAGGGAGACAGGAGGAGAAGGCAGTAGAAGGGGAAGAGAAAAGGAAGGGGAAGGAGAGGAGGAGGGAAGAGGAGGCTGAGTCTGGGCAGAAAAATGATGAGGCGTGAAAGGGGCCCGTGAGCTGGGCTGGCACGGAGGCACGACCATTAGCATTTCCCAGGCGGCCGCCCTCGCCTTCAGCCTCACCTTCCCTCTGGCCAGTTGGTGGGCAGGGCCAACAGCGGCTCTGGGCTCCCTTGCTTGCTCAGAGTGGCCCTGCTTGCAGCCCCGCCGGCGTTGGCACGGTGACAGTAGCCAAGTGTGCAAACTTGTCCCATTGTCCGCAGGCCAGGGGGAGCCATGGAAACTGGCTAATATGACACAGGAAAATGTTTGCTGATGGCAATTCTATGGGCTTTGTCCACCTCTTTCTCCATCATGACGACTCGATTTAAGTCCCTAACTGTTTGACTACAAATGCAAGGGGACCGTGCAACGCCAACCTTTTGTCCGGCTGCGCTGAATGGGCAATTCAGGCTTTGTGCAGCTCAATTGAGGAAGCAAACATAAAGACAAGATTCCTGAGAGCTCCAGCTCCCTTCCCATGGATATCCCAGCACCTCGTTAGAGAGTCCTTCCTCGGCCACCTTTTCCGACAGGCATCAGCGCACCTCCTGACCTTGAAGGCCCTCCATCCCCGATCCCTGGGGGATCCTGGCAGGGAGGGTGGTGGGGGTGGCAGGGGGAGACAGAGAGAGAGACAGAGAGACAGGAGAAGAGAGAGTGAGAGCGAGAGAGCCACTCAACACTCAAGGACAGCGGGAAAAGCAGCCCGCCCCGGCTTACCCCGTCCGATTGTCTGTCCGCACTGGAGCATGGCAGCTGTAGGCCTGGAGTCTTTGGGGGAGGTTTGCAAGCCTGTCTCCACTAGGCCCAGCCCCTTCTCAATCCTGGACATTTTAAACACACACACACACACACACACACACACACCCCACCCCCTTGAGAAACCAGGGAACTGAGGTCAAGGGGAGGAGGGGGGTGGAGGCTGAGGAGAGTGGGGCTGAAGGGTAGAAATTTACCGGGAAATGATTGCATTTGGGAGCTGTCTTTTTTGTGATGGTCCCCATGGTGACAATTTGTGACGGCAAAGAATGTGGGAACGGGGCGCCGCCGCCTGATTGGGATGCTTTGTATCTGGAGAGGCGCTCCTGATTGGCCTGAGGGGCCCCCCAGCTCCGGGGAGTTGTCCTCCATTCAGCCCACTCAAGGGTTGCACAACTGCTTCCAGCCGGACGGAGCTCGGCCGGCTGCGCCGGGGCCTGTCCCAGGTCTGCAGTGGGGAACCTGCCGGGCCACGTTGGTGGGGCCTGGGCCGCACCTTCGGTCAGTGTGGAGGCCCGGTGGCTCTGGCCCGACTGGGTGGCGGGTGTGGGGGCAGGCTGGGGCCTGGGGGAGGGGCGAGGTGCCGTGGGTGGCGGCCGAGGAGGCATGAAATTGCTGCAGATGCTTCTTCGGGGGAATCCCTGCTGCCCGCAGCCTGAGATCAGCCCGCAAGGCAGGTCTCGATTAAGTGCCAGACAGGGGTCCTGCCTGGTCCTGCGTGAGAGCTGGGGGTGGAGCGTGGGGACTGAGGAGGGGGGCTGGTGCTCCTCGTGCTGGGGGCAGGAGTGGTGGGAGGGGGAGGCTACCACCAGGGAGGAAGGGGGCTTGGCCTTGCTTTAAAGAGGAACAGTTGCCTCAGCTCAGAGAATAAACACCTCGCTGGCAAGTTGCACACGTTGGCAGCGTGGTGTGTGGGAGATGGGGCAGGCTGGGAGTGTGTGCCAGCCCCAGCAATGCCACCTGTAGCTGGGTCACCTTGGGCGACTTGCTTGACCTTTCTGAGCCTTGGCTGCAAGAAGGGGCACCAGACCCAAGCAGGCTGGGCGAGGCTCTGCTGGTGCCTGCCGCATCCCAGGTGTGCAGGAAGTGCTCAGCCACTTGCACCCACATCCCTCTACCCAGGACTCTGTTTAGGGCTGAGAGGTGCTGGGGTGGGGAGACTGTTTGTAGACAGGTGCTGTGGTCTTTTGGGAGGGCTGGGTGTGGTTGCTTGGAGAGACTCCGATGGCCTGTTTTGTCCCCCAGGTCAGCTCGGTGCCCTTCCTTGGAGCTGCCGGCCACCAGCAGAGCCTACCCTCTTCATGGAAAGCCTCGTGCAGTGGCCCCCTGGTGATGGCATCCGACAGTGATGTGAAGATGCTGCTGAACTTCGTGAACCTGGCGTCCAGCGACATCAAGGCAGCCCTGGATAAGTCCGCACCCTGCCGCCGCTCCGTGGACCATCGCAAGTACCTGCAGAAGCAGCTCAAGCGCTTCTCCCAGAAGTATTCCCGGCTCCCGCGGGGCCTTCCTGGCAGAGCTGCTGAGCCCTACCTGAAAAGGGGGTCTGAGGACCGGCCCAGGAGGCTGCTCCTGGATTTGGGCCCTGATTCCAGCCCCGGCGGGGGTGGGGGCTGCAAGGAGAAGGTGCTGAGGAACCCCTACAGGGAGGAATGTCTTGCTAAGGAGCAGCTCCCACAGAGGCAGCATCCAGAAGCTGCCCAGCCTGGCCAGGTGCCCATGAGGAAAAGACAGCTGCCCGCTTCCTTCTGGGAAGAGCCAAGGCCCACCCACAGCTACCATGTGGGGCTGGAGGGGGGACTGGGCCCCAGGGAGGGACCTCCCTATGAGGGTAAGAAAAATTGCAAGGGCTTGGAGCCCCTGGGACCTGAGACTACCCTGGTGTCCATGTCTCCAAGGGCCCTGGCTGAAAAGGAGCCGCTCAAGATGCCTGGGGTCTCCTTGGTGGGCCGCGTCAATGCCTGGAGTTGCTGCCCCTTCCAGTACCATGGACAGCCCATCTATCCGGGCCCCCTGGGGGCACTGCCTCAGAGTCCTGTCCCCAGCCTGGGCCTTTGGAGGAAGAGCCCAGCCTTTCCCGGGGAGCTGGCGCACCTCTGCAAGGATGTGGACGGCCTGGGGCAGAAGGTGTGCAGGCCCGTGGTGCTGAAACCCATCCCCACCAAGCCAGCCGTGCCCCCACCCATCTTCAATGTCTTTGGCTACCTCTAGCCACGCGGAGAGGGCCTCAGCCCCCACCTCTGGCCTGCAGGAGTGTCGAGGTCCCCGAGGCGCTCTCCTGTGAGGAGGTGGCTGGGCCACAGTGTGGCCTCTTCCGTTTGTGTGCGCATGGGAGTGGAGGGCAGGATTGGGGCAGGGCTCCTCAGGCAGTGACCCTTCAGCCTTGCAGCCTTGGAAGCTGGGAGGCTGGACCTGGTTGGCCCCTCCCCAGGCAGGCCAGGGCCCAGCAGCTTGTCCCGCTGTCCCTGTGCAGACCATAGGTACTGGGATGTTGCCCTTCCTTGCCTTGCAGTCACCCCAGAAGCCAGAGAGACGCATCTGTTTACCTGCCACCCACTCTGCGAGCCAATCTCAGTTGTTGTTCTTGTTCTTCTTGTTCTTTGTAAATATTGAGAAAGTTAAAAGAATAAAGACATTTCTTTTGGAGTTTCCATATCTTGGGTGTCATGAAGTTGAATGAGCCCCACCCAGGCTGAGGGCTGCTGGCAGAGGTGGCTGGTTTCAGGGAGGCCAGGAGCGGCTGAAACCTCTGAGATATCCGGGAATGGGCGCTGGGGGCCAAGATCTTGGTTCAAAGGAAGGAGGGTGAGGAGGGGAGCGGAGGAGCCACTAGGGAAGGACATGCTGGCGTGGACCCCCAAGGGGGTCCAACGTGCTCTGGAGAATAGGTGCTGGAACCAGGGGAGGTGGGGCTGCAGTATCAGCGCCGCCCTGTGCTGTGCGGCCAGACGCTTCCTCTGGGGGTCTCCTTGCCCCACCTGCAGGACAGTGAGATGAGAATGGGTCTCTCTGCAGTGTCTTCTGCTCTGTGTACAGCCGCAGGGCAGCCTCTGTGCCAAGGTGGTTGTGCCCAACTCTGGTCAGAGGGAAAATCAGGCCAAACAGGAGTTTGGTCCCTGTGGACAAAACAGGGGGCTTGACCAAATTGTTTCTCTTGTAAGCATGGTCTTGGAGTCTATGTCCATGGGGAAAATAAATCAATTTAAAAAATAATAGCGAATTCCCCTAAACCTCGTTCTCTCTGGCACATACAAAAGGATCCTCTCTAGCTAATTCAGACTCCAGGTTACCTGCTGATGGGTCTCTCCCCGGGCCTGGCACACACCAGGTGCCCCATCAATGGAATAATGAGGCCTCTGCCTGTGACAGTGCAGAGGGGAGCATTGGTGGCAGGAAGTGGCTCTGGATTTTGCCGTTAGTGTCCTACTAGCAAAGCTACCTGAGGGGCCTCCACCTGCACACAGGCCCAGATTTTCTCTGCTGCTGTGGACGTGGCTCCACGGCTGAGAGAGGGTGGGCCTGCTGGCCTGCCGAGCTGCTTATTTTATCAGAACACAGTTTCCACAACTAAGAAGGGTGCAGCAGGCCAGTCCCGGCTGGGGACTACGGTGCTCTCATCAACAGCGTGATGCTGGACAAGTTAATCCTCACTCTGTGCCTCAGTCTCCTCATCTCTACAATGGGGGACTAGGAAACAGGTGCAACGACCTCTTCTTCACCCCAGGCAAGTGTTGGCTGGTTGCAGGATCCCTTCTTTGGAGTCCAGACATGGCCTCTGATTCTTCCTCATTAACACAGGATGCAGGATCCATGGTCACCAAGGGCCCCTCCTACTTGCCTTGTTTTACTCCAGGATTCCCCTGGCCTGGGGAGTCCCCTGGAGGGGCAGCCCCAGCCCCAGGAAGCCAGCCAGTGGTTTCTGTCCAATGGCCTCTGAAGACTTCAGAGCCACAGAAACAGGCATGGCCTGGGCAGAGCTGTTCAGAGTCATTATCTGGCCATGGGATGAGGACAGTCCTCAACCTAGACCCTCAGCCTCAGACTGCTCTGGTCTTAAAGAGCAGCAAGGGGCTGGGGGGTGGGGTACCCTCCTCTGCCCTCTGTGTGGCATCATGCAGGCCCTCTGGATCCATGTCGATGAGCCTCAGCTCCCTGCAAACTGCATAGCAGCGGTTTAAATGCCTGCATCCTAGCCTGCCATCTATCAGCTGTGCAATCTTGGGAAAGTTACTTAACCTCTCCGTGCTGAAATTTCCTCATTTGAAGAATGTGATTGATAACAGACCTGCTGTATAGGCTGTTGTGAGGCCAATGTGAGTGCTCGGCCCACTGTGCTACCCAGATGCTCAAAAGCTTCACCAACCACAAGTCGCCTCTTGTAGTTATCTGGCGGTGTCTGTAGGTCCTGTCACGCTGACATTTTAATACCGTTTATGGGCTGTGCTGCCCAGGGAATAATGTGCCTGGACCACCCAACCAACCGCACCTGCTAGAGAGGACCTGAGCTCCAGAGGCACGTCTTAGTCTTAGACTAAGATATCTTAGTCTTTGGGGAGAAAGCTCTGGTCTCTCTGATAAGACTGGCCTGTCCCTGCTCACAGCCCCAGGGGGTACCTGATGATCCATCCATTCAAAAGTTGGGAAGCAGAAACCTCTACTAAGACATGGCCTGACAGAAGCCCCTGGCAACATGATGCCCCCACGTGGAAGCGAGGTAGGCAGAACACATGCATTTAGGAAAGCTTTGGTATTAAAAATCAGTTTTAAATCCCGCTGCAGTAACAACAGCAGATACTCCCCTAACCACAAAGTGAACGGCGCCGGTTCAAAGTAAAACCCAGAGCCAGTCCAGGCACACCTCCCCCTACCCCTTCACCATCCCCGACACCCACCGCTGGGTCAAACAGGCTCCTGTTCACAAAGGGGAATCTGTGCCAGACTTTCAGGGCTGTGTCTACTATGCTGTGAGACGTCCCTGAGGCTGCAAACCTCTTGGGGCTGGGTAGGTGCGGCTGCAGGAGGGGCCCACTTCTACAGAGGGAGGTGGCTGTAAAGTGCTCTACGCAGGAGTGATGGTCAAAATACATAATGAATGGCACAATGTGAGCACTGACCAACTGGAACCAACCCATTGGAGCAGTCCCAGGCCAGGAATGAACCCCTTAGCTGCTGGGTTGTGGGAAGATGGGGGCAGGGACCTGAGGAGGCCAAGGCTGGGCATGGCGCTTGGGGGGAGGGGTCCTGAGCAGTGTTTGACTAAGTGGCATGGACGCATGTACATTAATATTCTAAGAACCCAAATGTAGCACTAGTGTGTCCCAGGCCAGGAGGTGCCACATCCTGCAAATGGTGACTATAGAGAAAACAGTGGCTGAACCCCTCCCCTACACCTCCCACTCACCCCTTCGGCCTCACCTCCCCCAGAGTGGCACCTCCCTCAGACCAGCACACTGCCCTGCCCAGTGCCCGGGTCTCTGGGCTGGGAGATTTGTGGCTGCTGCCATAGGACTGTTTGGGACATAATGCGGCCCAGGAGATGCTGTAGGTTAAGAGTCTGCCCAAGACGCATCTCAGTACACACACACGAAACAACTCACACACTGGCCCTGCGTGCCTCATTCCATCACCACCTGCCACCCCTCGGGTCAGTTTGACCAGCAGTCACCCGAGATGCAAATGCCCTCCCTTTGGCTTCTGGGTGAGCAAAGGCGTTCTTCCATCAGAGTCATGTGGGGTTTCAGAGTCAGCTCCCCTGGGAGCTGAACCCTCCTTGGCAATTTACCCTCTGGGCTCTCAGTGTTGGGCATCCCCCAGTGGGGGAGAGTGCAGGTTTCCTTTGGGGCTTTCTTAGGATCCCCGCAGGTTCTGCCTGGTATACAGCAAGGCCGCATGGGACTGTGGCCCAGCACTGTTGAGCTGGAACCCCAGGGACTTGCTGTGTGTGCCCAGGCAAGTCCCTTCCCCTCTCTGGGCCAGTTTCTCATTTGTACCACGAAGGGGTGGGCAAGACCTGGTTGAGCCCCCTTTGACCTGTGGCCATAAAGTGCTGCTTGGAAGACTTTTTCTCTGGGAGTTACTGATTCCATAGAAGCCCAGTGTGTCTTTAGCCGGGCACAGTGTCATGCCCCTATAGTCCCAGCTACTTGGGAGGCTGAGGTGGGAGGATCACCTGAGCCCAGGAGGCGGAGGTTGCAATGAGCCAAGATCATGCCAGTGTATGTCAGCCTGGGTAGCAAAGTGAGACTCTGCCTCGAAAAAAAAAAAAGAAACCCAGCGTGTCAGAGCCGGCAAGGCCACCAGGGGCCATCATGTCTCACTATACAGATGAGGAAACTGAGGCCCCAGAGATGTAAGCCAATGGCAGAGCTGAGCCTGGAACCAGTGCTCCCCTCCACCAATCTAGCTGCTTACTTTCCAAAGGCCAGAAACTACCTTTGACCTTGTTTAAGACACTACTAGATCCTGGGGCTGGCCTAGTACAGACTCTCGGCCAGGTGGCCTGCTCCGGTGTTGCTGCAGAGTAGCCTGGACTCAGCGGCTTCATTCACACTTGTAAAGGGAGTGGTGATGAGTTACCGCAGCTTCCATGGAAATAGGGCATTCTACCTCTCAGCCCTCGGGGCCTGGAGAGACCCCCCAGAGTGCCACGTGGTGGCGAGCCTTAACTCTGCCCTGCACCACCTGAAAACAGGATGACAATTCCTGCTCTACTCAATCCACAGGGCCACATGAAGACAGAGGGAGGCACGCAGGGGCCAGAGCTCTGTGCACTCTCAGGCTTGGTGCCTTTGCAAGGGCTGACCATGGCCATCACTCTAGCACCATTGCTCACAGTGGCCAGTATTTAATTTTTTTTTCCTAGTTTCTCAACAACCAGCAAAACAGGGGTGAGCAGCGTGTGAAAACAGAGTGCCAGGAAACATGTATAAGACAACCCCAGGTGTCGGGAGACATGTGGGCCCTGAGACTGTGATGGAGTGCCTGTTTCCATGGTGATTGAACCAGGAGAGGAAAACCCATTGGGCCATCATCCGGTCTTGCCTGGGGAGTGAAGGACACAGCCTCTTGGGTCTTTCAGGAGCCCAAAGGTGACACGTTCAGGGGTCCTTGTGCCCCGTCCCCACATCTGCCTCGCTCCCGCTACTGCCAGGAGCAAGGCTGAGGACCTCAGGCTTCAGGGAGTCTGATGAGAGGGACTTCACTGGGCAGGTGTCACATGTGTAACATTTATTATATTAATACTTAACAAAGCCCTCCAAGACCCAGGCTCCCCCTACCCCCTACCTTGGGCCACGTCTTCATCTTAGTCTTTGGAGAGAAAGCTCTGAAGTCAAGTGGTGAGTTTTCCAGAACAAGTGGAGGGGCACAGGGAAGGCTCTGAGCACCACCTTCCCCAGAACACCTCAAGCTCTGCCCTGGCCCCAGGAATAGAGGTTTCTGCCATTCCTGAAGGTAGAGAAGGTCTGGGATCTGCTCATCAGTTTGTAAACAAATGATTCTTCTCCTTGACACATTCTGTTCTCTGCTCTGGCCAAAGCTCTGGGCCCTGAGACCCAGTGAGATCCTGGTAGCTGTCCAGGCTGAGAGGGAGGCAGCCTGCAGCCTCGTCTGTCACCAGGTCCCCTTGGAGTTGGGAACACCGACGTCCTGAGACTTAGTAAGAAGAGTCTGAGGGGCTACTCCTCTCTCCCCGTGGCCCCAGTTACTGGGTGTTCTCGTATTTCAGGTATCTAATCAGCCTGCCTGGGAGCGGCAAGGTGTCTAGGAGTTTTATACGGTATTTCCCAATGGCCTTTCGAACCCGCAGTCGGCAAAGGTGAGCCAGAGGTCTTGGAGGTTCTGAAAAAAGGAGGGAAAGACAGAGGCTGATTTGTCATTTGCAATAAGCAAAGGGATTGCATCTGTGACCCCAGCCTATGGGAGGTGCCCAGCTGATGTGGCTGGGTAAGAGAGGGAGTGCCTGCTGCTGGTCACCCCAGTCCCTGCCAACTAAAGAGATCCAGCAAGCCACCTTCCCATTGTTCACCCCTCATTGATCTGCACAGCCCACGCAGTGCACAGCGTGGTTAGCACACCCATTTCACAGGTGCGGAAACCGAGGCTTAGCAAGGTTCTGAGCCTTGCCCAGGATCCCTCCTGGGACTAGTGGTGGTGTCTCCCTCCTCTTGAGCCTCTTCCTCTTCACACACAGCCTGGGCCCCCAAACACAGCCTTAGCAATGGGGTCAGAGGGTTTGACCACTTAAGTGCCCCTACATGTGGAATTCAACTTGGAGCTCCCAGTGGTGCTGAGAGGCCAGGATAAGGGGGCAGAGACTGACAGCTCGCCTCGAGCTCCAGAATCCCACCTGGCTGCCTCCCCCAGGAGCCACGTAGTGGAGTTTTCTGAGCTGGGGAGTGGGTAGAGGTAAGAGCAGGGATGAACGCATCCAGTAACGGAGTAATTAAAGGGCTTGTAGAATCACAGAATGTCATTCATTCATTCATTCATTCATTCACCAGGCGAATGCTGAGCCCCTCTGTTGCACCTAGCTCTGTGCTTGGGCCAGATATGCAGAGGTGCCTGCCCAGAGGCTCTAGTGGAGGCTTCCACAAGAGACGGTGCCCTCTGAGTGAGGTCCTGGGGGAGGGGCAGGAATTTCCAGGTACGGAAGGGGGACAGGGGCATTCTAAGCAGGGAAAACAGCAAGTGGCAAGGCAAGGAAGTCATGCAAGCCTGGGGCTGGAGGGGCAGGTGGGATGTGGAGCAAGGGCGGAGGGCCAGGCGGCTGCAGCGTTGCCTAGCGAAGCATTCACACACCCATCACTGTGTTTCTGACACTTCCACTGCCCTCTGAGTTCACTGCCTTCTGAGCTCAGATTTTTCTACCACATAGTACGCCAAAGAGCAGGGAAGCATCATTCCTGTTGCCCGGGCAGCTTGCCTGGTTAGTTCCTATTACTATCTCCTAAATGCTGTGGTCTGGATAAAAAATAATGTGGTTACCTTGTACACAGAAGGTCTTGAATATATATTCATTTAATGGCTGAATTGGAATAATTAATTACAGGCATTGAGGCCAGTTAGGACACTTTTTTAATAGTCCAGAAAATAGATGGGGAAACCCTTAGGTAACAAGCTTAGAACATAACCTCCCCTCTGGGAAACTCAGCACAGGCTGCTGGTGAGCAGAGGACACGGAACCATGAGGGCTGGGCTGGCCAATCCATGGGCTCTGGGTAGTTCCTTCCCAGAATAAGGATGTCAATGTTGTAGCATTAAACAAACAAGCTCGTGGGGACTGTCTTGCAGGTGGAAAGTGGGCTTTAAAGTAACCCAAATAGATATTGGTTAAGAACGATTGGTTTTACTGGCTAACAAATGCGTACTCCACACTAAGGTCTCTGCAGGGATTTCCCTGGGGCATGGTTTAGTTGTGGGGGACCACCCTTCTCTAAGGAAGGCAGGAGAAGGTGACAGAATGGGTAGGACTGATACCTAGGCATAGACTGCTCCACCCTCTAGTGGCCAAGGATCGTGGTGACAGCAACTAATTATTCATTAGTTCCCTGAAGGTTTATCATGCGTCTAGAGTTAAGCCCTGAGTGAATGGGCAAGCTGACGCCTCCCTCCTCCATCACTGCCCCAGAAACTTTATCAAAGGCTTCAATTCAAGTGGCTTCCAGGCACCTGTGCCAATGAAAAATCCTACAGCACATTTGGGTTCACAGGGGTGTGGGGATCAAGGAGGAATGTGGTGAGTCAGAGTTGGGGCACAGGGGTGGGCCCCCCGAGGCTGCACAGTCCCACCTGGGGACAGGAGCAGTAGTGGTGGAATGACAATGACCTGCTGCAGGTCAGCCTCCTTGTAAACACTTGGCCAGGGCAGGACTGTGCCCTCAGAGCCAGAGAAAGCCCTAGGGTAGCTAGAATGCCACTGCACAGATACCCATTTCTGTCACCTGTGGCATCCTGTTTGCCCAGGTGAGCTCCAAAAATGCCTAAGAGGGATTCTGGCTTCCTCAGCCTGACTTAGCCAGGCAGCCCCATCTACTCTGCACACATCAGAGGGACAGTGGCCGAACTCCACTTCACTGTGCCTGGCACAGTTCAGGCGGGTCCAGCTGAAAGGAGCTGGACAACGAGCCTGCCCAGGCCCCTCTGTTCAGGTGGGGAGAGGCCTCACCCAGCAAGGCCCTGGCAAGGCTGGCTCCAGGGTTCAGGGGCCTGTCTCCCACACCAGGGTGTTCTGTGCACCAACAGCCTTGGTGTCACCTGGGAGCCTGTTGAAATGCAGACTCCCCGGCCCCGCCCCAGACCTGCGGAATCAGAAGCTGCATTTTTAACAGGACACTCAGGTGCTTCATGTGCACTTTAGTTTGAGACATCCTAGACCACCATCCTCCCCTCTCCCCTCCTACAATGCCTCTTGGTGGCCCCAAATCATTCACAACCTACCCTGAAGGTCCCGGTACCCCTCAGGGAGCTGTAGCTGTTTAAAACATCATGGAAAGATGTAGCGGAGAGACTCTGGGGTTGGTCAAACCTGGGTTTTAATCCCAGCTCTGCCACTAACTAACTGTGACTTTGGCCCAGGTGGCACAGCTCTCTGAGAGGCAGATTCCTCATGTTTCATCCAAGGAGTTACAGAGCCTGGCAAGCAGCAGGTGCTCACAGGGTTAGGAACAGTCGCACTCCCTGAGGCCTGGGACTCTGAGTCAGGCAGGGAGATCTGCCAGCCTTGGCAGCAGCAGCAAGTCCCTACCTGCCTTCTCCTTGATGACGGCCCAGTCCTCAAAGCTGTCGATGTGTTCCTTCAGCCGCGAGCAGAGCTGCACGTTGCCCACGTAGTCCAGGAGGACATCGATGATGGGCCCCGCCCAGCGGCTCACCTCTGGGGCAGATACGAACTCACAGAACTGAAAGAGAACATGCCGGGACCAAGAAGTGAGTTCATCCCACCTGCAAGAGCCTGCGGCCAGGGACGGCAGCGGATGTGTCCAAGCACAGACACTGTGCACACCCAGGCTAGGATCCCCTGAACCATGTCCCCTCAACACAGGCTTCTGCTGCCCAAAGTGGAAGACGGGCAACTTGAGCAAGTCACATCACCTCTGAGCCTCAATTTCCCTATCTATAAAATAGGTATATGAAACCAACTCCAAGGGGATTTAACATGAGAATTAGGTAATATGAACATAAACTTTGCACACAGTAGGCAGCCCATGAATGATCGCCATTAACCATTAAAACAATGAGCTCCAGGAGAGGAGTGTGTCTAACTTCCTTTTAAGTTCTGACTTTTTTTTTTTTTTTTTTTTTTTTTGAGACAGAGTCTCGCTCTGTGCCCAGGCTGGAGTGCAGTGGCGCGATCTCGGCTCACTGCAAGCTCTGCCTCCTGGGTGCACGTCATTCTCCTGCCTTAGCCTCCCGAGCACCTGGGACTACAGGCGCCGGCCACCACACTTGGCTAATTTTTTTGTATTTTTAGTTAAGACGGGGTTTCACCGTGTTAGCCAGGATGGTCTCGATCTCCTGACCTCGTGATCCGCCGGCCTCGGCCTCCCAAAGTGTTGGGATTACAGGCGTGAGCCACCGCGCCCGGCCAAGTTCTGACTTTTAAAGTAACAACATGGACGTGTCCTGCCTCTGGGTCGCTGGCTTTCTGCTTCTGACCTGACCCTACACCAGCCTGCTCTTGACATGCCTTTCCGGATCGTGCTTGTTTCACATCGCATTCCAGGTGTAGGTTTGCTGGAGGTGACGAGCCTCTTAGTTTGGCAGAGTTCTCCGCTCCATCATTGGTTCCTTAAATTCCCCAACGCAGTGGACCACAAGAAGGATTTCACCGTTCCAATGCACCACTAAGTTCTGCGGCCTCTTAAGTGTGCTAACCACCGGTTCCGCTGCCTCCAAAGTGAGCTAACCCCTAGTTCCCTCCAAAGCTCCCTCCAAAGCGCCCTAAGCGCTAACCCACGCTACCCAGGACGCAGGTTAACCACCGTGCTCTGCTGCCTCCAAAGCTGGCCCCACTTCCCCCGAAGGGTGTTAATCACTAGTCCACGCTGCTCCCAAGGAGCGCGAACCACCCGGCCCCGCCCGCCTCCCATGCGCGCGCGCGTCCCTGGGCCACACCCAAAAGGCGTGCTCCCCACCGCCAGCGTGCGCTGCCCACCTGCACCACGCTGGGCTCCTTGTCGGCCGCGGGCGCGTCGTTGAACCTGCTGGAGGGCTGCGGGGCCGGCGGGTGCGGGCCGTTGCCGTAGAGGCATGAGAAGCAGGGCTCGCCGTCGCAGCCCAGGTCCATGAGGAACTTGAGCAGCGACAGGCACTTCATGGCGAACATGATGGTGGCGGGGAAGGCGGTGGGGTGCGTGGCGATATAGGCGTCGATGTTCGCGCCGTGGTCCAGCAGCAGCTGCATTGTGCGCAGGCAGCCGTGGCGGATGGCCACGAGCAAGGGGCTGATGACGTCGCGGTTGGGGTCGGCGCCGTGTTGCAGCAGCAGCTCGGTGGCGTACACGTTGTTGTTGACCACCGCGAAGTACAGCGCGGAGCTGCGCCGGTCTTCGTAGAGGCGCGCGCGCTCGGGGGCCAGCGGCGTGTTCACGTCGAAGCGCGCGCTCAGCAGCGCCTCCAGCACCTCGTCGTGGTTGCGCTCGGCCGCCAGGTGCAGCGGACTGACGCCGCTACGGCGTATGCGCGTGCGGCTGGTCACCGGCAGCAGCATCTGCACGATCCTGCCGGGTCGAGGGGCGGGCGCGGGTGAGGGGAGGGTCGGGGTGTGGACGGGTAGGGCCGGCCCCGCCAGCAGGAGAGCTCGGGCGCCAGGCTCGGCTGGTCGCCCTGACCGCGGGCTGCGACGCGGATCCCACCGGCAGGGGGCGCCGCGGGTCAACCATTCTCACCCCACTGGGCAGGGTGGGTCGGCTGCCGTCTCCGCTTTACAGATAAGGAAACTGAAGCTCAGAGAGCTTCAGCCACCCTCCCAAAGTCACATAGCCAGTAAGGGGCAGAGCTGGGCTTCAGACCCAGAACCCTTGGCCTCCGAAGTCTGAGTTCTTAAAAACCTCAGCCAGACTGCACTAGGGTTTCAAGAAGCTCCCACTAATTTATTTCAGGCTAAGCGCTGTTGCCCATTGCCAGCTCAGTTATTTGGAGGAATTGCCTGGAAGGCCCCCAAACCCAATGAATGTCCAACCTCCTCCCTGCAGGAGGCAGTAGAGCCTAGTGGCGAAGTTTGGAGCCAGACCCTGCTCTCTCTGGGGGAGGACGGACAGGGACAGCCAGATCCCAGAGCCCACCGTGTGCCAGGAGGCTCCTAAAGGCTTTACAAGTGCGATTGGGTTTAATCTTTACAATAACCCCTAAAGCAAGGCTCATCATTCCCATTTTGCAGATGAGAAGAGTCAAGACTCTGAGAGATTAAGGGGCTTGCCCAGTCATACAGTCAGAATAGGGGAACCAGGGTGTGTGCCCTCCTCTGACTCCAGGGCTGAGCTGTCCCTATCTTGCTGTCCTGGGACCCCAGTGGAGCCACGAGATCCTGAGGACAAAAGGGGACAAATGTGTTTGGCCCCAACTAATTTGGCCCCAACTACTACTGCCCCAGGCCCCAACCAGCCCATTGTGACCATGAGGTCACTTACACTCCTCTCCTGTCAGTCTCAACGCCTCCTCCCCGAAGGCTGACGCTAGCTTCTCCCAGTCTCTCTGCCTCACCTTCTGGGTGTGGAGAACTTGGTCAGCCACTGCGGAAGCCTGAGCTCCCTGCAACCACCAGTTCCTCTCTTCCCTAAAACACGAGCACTGATCTCAGCACTTTACCTCTATTCATCTGTGAAATCCTCCCAGTAGCCCTCTGAAGTGAGTACTGTAATATCCTCATTTCAGAGATGAGGAGACATAAGCCCAGAGAAGGTATGTGACTCCTCCAAGGATACACAGCCAGTAAGTGATGGAGCCAGGATTTGAACCCAGGCAGTCTGACCCCAAAGCTACACTCTTAACAATGCCCCTACCTCTTGTGTAGCAGTCAGGGTGACAGTTAATATATCCCGGGGTTTTGCAGTCTTCATAATGTGTTAACTTGCCTGCCCATTTTACCTTCACTTCAGCCCTGGGTGGGAGTGGCCGGAGCAGGCCTGTGGCCTTCTTTTTAACAGATGTGGCTCAGAGAGCCGAAGTGACTAATCAGGGGTCATAAGACAATTCTGGGGGCTCAACCCCAGGACTCTTTACCCCTTCTCTTGGCTCTCTTCTCCTACAGCCCTGCCACCTGCAAGAACAAGCTCCTGCACCAATATGATTCCAGACCCTAATCCATCCAATCCCTGCTGACAGGTGACCTCACAGCCTCCTGTGGGACTCCAAGGAGGTGGCCATTACAGGGGGTGGGGCGGTGGGGGAAGGGGAGAGAAGCAGGTGCCACCAGGCCCATTCCCACGCCTCTGGCCTCCTGGCACACAGGCTTCCTGGAAATCTGATGCCAGCGACCTCCTGCTGGGATCTCAGTGGAAAGTATTATGATTGTTAGTGATGCTGTGTTTGGCTAAAATCTGACTCTAAAACCTCAAAAGGAAATTCACACACCCGGGGGGCTAATTGCCTCCTAATTTCTATTTGTGTAGGCACAGGAGGCCTGACTTTGCTCTGCAGAGGTGCTGGTCAAAGGCAGGCCTGGGCCTCACCCTGGATGGCGGCCACGGCCAACAAATGCTCTGCTAACAGCTGTAACGTGCCCAAGAACGGGAAAGAACAGTGAGAGGGGCTGCCCCGGGGCCGCTGGACAGATGGGGCTGGTATCTCTGGCAGGTCACAGCTGGTCTCCGGCAGTTCTCCACGAACCAAGGGAAAGTGGCAGAAATGTGGGAACTTGAGCATTGTCTCAGTTATGTGGTGAATCATCTTACTGCGGCAGGACTCTGCCAATCAGAAAGTGAATGTGTAACGCCGGACAGGCTCTGGAGATCAGTGCGTCCAGCTTTCCCATTTTACACAGAGTAAACCTGAAGCCCAGGCTTGGGGTGGGGAACAGAGTGAGGTTGGACAGAAGGTGGGTGGTGCACAAGAGCAAAATACAGGTCTCTGGATGTCCAGGGCCAAGCCTTCTACGATGCCCCTCTCCTCCCAACTATGGGAGCGGCCACGTTGGTAGCCCCACTGCACATCATCACTCCTCTTCCCAGCCCATTTTGTGGGGCAGAGGACAGGAGGACAAGGGGGTGACCCCACCAAACAGTCTGACTCTTCCCACTTCTCCCACAGGCACGTTTTGGATTCTCAGAGTATAATTGCTCAAGCGGCACCTCATGAAGAGGAACAAAGGTGACTATTGTCTGATAGAGCCGTAGGTGTCTGGAAGAATGGCCCCCTACCCCTTCCTTGTCCCCTCCCCAATGCAGAGGCCACAACTACCAGCTTAGCCTTTCCTGTCTGGGCCCTGAGACCGGAGCAGATCCAGCTCAGGGTCATTCCAGGAAGACCCAGTGCAGCAGTGTGGCAGGTGCTGAGCTGTCTCTGACCTTGGACCTCATTCCGAATCACTGGGCTCTTGTCTTGTTCCTAGGACCCACCAGTATCTGAAGCCTGACATCCTTGCCCCAGGTCTGGGCTCCCACTCCAGGATTCTAGTTTCCTCAGAGCAGCAGCCTTGCCATACCACCTGGCCCTGGCTCTGATGTCCTTCCTGAATCTAGCCCAACAGCAGGGGAATGGGCAGAGAGCTTTGAGCCAACGCAAGCTGTCCTTAGCTAGAGAGGGGCCCAGCATGGGCAGTGGGGAAACTGGGAGGCTCAGAGTCAGGGGTACATGGGTTACACACCAGCTCTACCCTTCAGCACTGGGCCAGCGCAAGCATGTCACTTAACCTCTCTGAACCGCACCTAAAGCAGAGGGGTAATTAATTGTAATAATAGTGATGATGATGATGATGATGATGATGGTGATAGCTATAGCTACCCTTTATTGAGCTCCAGTGGGTTGCTGTGAGCACTTTACCCCTTACCTTCTTAAGTCATAATTGTGCTAATATTGCTGAGCGCTTACTGTGTGCCAGGTACCATTTAAAGTGGTCCTCACATTTGTTTACTTCATTTAATCCTAGCATGACCCTCAGAGCTAAGAACTTAATCTCATTTACTCATTTACTCATAACAATCCGGCAAGGTAGGACTGCTTACAACCCCAGGTCCAGGTTACAAAGCACAATGTAATGATCTTTCACCAAGGCTGCTTCTGAGTATAAATGAGATCTTTCCCATGAATCTGATTGGCCCGTAGTCGGCAGTGAATGAACAATGCTCTTGGTATCTTGACCACCACCACAACTGCAGCCTACTGCCCCTGCTACCCTAAACACAGAGGCATTCTGGATCACCAGGTCACTGTGCTTTGACCCTTGTCAGTGTTCAATGTAAATTTGGATGGAGGGCCGGGCGCGGTGGCTCACGCCTGTAATCGGAGCACTTTGGGAGGCTGAGGCGGGTGGATCAGTTGAGCTCAGGAGTTCGAGACCAGCCCGGGCAACATGATGAAACCCGGTCTCTACTAAAATACAAAAATTAGCCAGGCACAGTGGTGGACACCTGTAATCCCAGCTACTTGGGAGGCTGAGGAAGGAGAATCACTTGAACCCAGGAGGCAGAGGTTGCAGCGAGCCAAGATTGTGCCACTGCACTCCAGCTTGGGTGACAGAGAGTCGGTCTCAAAAACAAACAAACAACAACAAAAACATTGGCTGGAGGATTGACATGGGAACCAGTTGCCCACAGACGGCTCCATTGCCAACACTTCTGAGCTTCACTGTGCCACCCTGACTTGTTTTCTATGAAGTCTTGAGCTCTGAGCCTCAGTTTCTCTTTTAACTAATGGGGATATTAACTTGCTTGTCAGTGTGCTTTATAAGCTGCTTTTTAATTTAATGTGTTAAGTGTTCTCTATTTTGCCTTATTCTAGGAAGAATTTCAAGTGGCTTGCAAAGATTGATAAAATACAGCAAAAGTGTTATATGTTGGAACTAAAAGAGAAGGAATATTTAAAAACGAGGGAGGCAGAAGTAAGGCCCAGAATGCAAGTCTGTGTTTTCTGTTGGCCACAGAAGAGGCTCTAAGATCCTGATTCTCTACCCAGGCTGCACAGTAAAATCTCCCGGGCAGCTCTTAGACACCTTGAAGCCTCAGCCACGGCCCAGACCAGCGGCAGCGCCATCTCGTCAGGTGGGGCCCAGGCATCAGGGTTTCTGGTGCAGCCAAGGTTGGACACTACTGTTTTGGGTGCTATTCTTGGGGCATCTGCTCTGCGCTAACTCACACAGTTTCTTAATACGTCTATCTTTGGTGTTGATCTTTGATTTCATACGGTGGCTTTGCTAAACTGGAAATGAACAACAGGAAAATGCGTGTCTTGGAGGTGACTGCGACATCGGGACTTTAGGGCTCCTTTCTCAGCACACCCGCATGTCACCCCTTGCGGTTAAGTGTGCTGACGAGAAGACACCATCTGGCAAACAGCCTTCGGCTCCTGGTGCTGCCTTCCATGCCTGGGACGGATGGCCAGGGTGTGTTGGCAGGTGGCAGAGTGTGGAATGCCTATGGAATGTCACATCAAATCCCCGAGCAGAGGGCCTTTAATGCTGTATGCCCAGGGAGGGAGTGATGAGCTCGGGGCTTGCTGGCCATGGGCTCTGCCTGGTGGCAGAAGCTGCTGGGAACCAGGCTTTAACCCTTTGTTGCTTAGCCCTAAAAAGTGGCCCAGGCCCCTCTGAGCCTTGGGGGACAGAGGGAAATGGGGCCCGGGGGTGGAGGTTGAATAACCAGGGAATTCGCCCTGGGAATCCACGTGAATCCAAGGTAGATGAGTTTACAGGAACATCAGCCATGGACACAGTGTTCCAGGCAGGACGCGCCTTACTCTCTGATCATCCGCAAGGCCACCTAGTGCCCCTTCAGCTTCTCCTCCAGCTGGGGCCAGACTGCCAACACCTCTGGGTTCACTTGAAGGCAGCCCAGATGAAGGTCCCAGCCCTGCCGCTATCTCAAAAATCACTTCCATATCTGACCTTGGCTTCCTTCTCTGTAAAACCAGGGCCTGAATTAGATCAATGGTCCCTGCAGCTATAGACAGGCTGTATCTGATTTGCTCAGGGAGCTTTTCAAAGAGACAGTGGGGCTCCTTCTCTCCTGGAGATTCTGATTCACCGGATCTGATATGGCATTTTAAAAATAGCCCAGAGGGACATGGATGTGCAGGCTAGAATTGGGGGGCAGTGGGCCAGGAGATTTCCAAAGTGCACCCACTTCCCGTGTGTTCACTCTGGATCTCTCTGGGGTCAGGCTCAAGGTAAACTGTGTTTGCCCAACTCTGACTGATGCCCGATGATTTGTGGAACTCAAGAGAAAGGAGCCGTCTTGTCCATGCCCACTGCCTGGCTTGAGCTGCTGTCTGAACCGCTCAATCATGGAATGCACTCTCCCTAAGTAAGAGTGGGTGAGCATAGGACGCCTGAGCACACACTGGGTGCAGGCGCTCTGCTAGGTGCTTTTTTCCATTCTATATCCGTACGTATCCATTTTACTGGTCCTCCGACAACCCCATGAGGCGGGTGTAACCATTTCCCATTTTATAAATGAGGAAAATGAGGCTCAGCAAGGTTAAGCAACTTTCCCAATGGCCTCAGCAGGGATTCACACCCAGATCTGTCAGCCTTGTGGACAGCTGTGCTGTCCAGAAAAGGCTGGGTCTCCTCTGTGTATGTACTGGGGGGTGTGGGGAGTGGGGAGGGCATCTTTGGGTGGTCTTGGTGCAGGCAACCTGCACAGAAGGGGCTGGAGCTTTAAGGGGCGGCTCTGAAGCCTTGAGTCTTCATTTCAGTCTTTGGAATGTCACTTTGACCCCATTTCCCTCTGCCTTAGTGAAGACAACAAACATGCCCCAATACACGCAGTCTGTGCTTCTCACTCTCCTGCCTGTCTGGAAGATTCGGGTGTGTTTCCCCAAGTGTCATCAGGGTACATGAGATGGGATTTTAAATGAAATGTTTTTAAAATTGATTGTAAATGGATAACATACTAGTGTGATAAATGTTTCCTCTTCAAAATAAATTCATTGTAAGTAAAAACATTATTTAAAGGAAAAATTACTAAACGATGAGAGTATAGATATTTAAAATCAGGAAGAAAATCTGTGAATGGACAGTTTGGGAAGCACTGTCCAGCAAAAAGGGTCAGATGCTGGGGTTTAAGTCCTAGCCCTGGGGACGGGGCTTTCAAGGGGCAAATCTCTTAACTACCAGAGTCTTCGTTTCCTGTCCTGTAAAATGAAAATCCGGGTTGACCCGCATACCCGCAGCACAGTGTGAGGCTCACATGGGAGGCAGATGAGTCACACTCTGGAAATGACCAAGCCCTGTCCATCCTTCAAGGGCAGCTGGAGCTTCACCTCTGCGGCCCAGGCTTCCCCATGTAGCAGTGCTGCTGGGAATGCTTAAAAACTGGCTCAAGCAAGGGCAGAGAAGGGGGAAAGGACTCTGGTTTGTAGCATTTGCCTATTTCCCCATGTAAATATTCCCCCATGGCCAATTTTAAGCTATCAATGTGAGGTCAGTAAACACAGAGTTGGGAAGAGGTGTGCAGTCGGTTCCTGAGAACAGGCACGAGCTGGCTCTAGCACACCTCTGCCTCTAGCCCCGGCTCGTCTGTCTCCACAGGAGCCATGCAGCTCTTCGGCATGCTCTTTCATGATGTCATGAATTCACATGTCTGTGCTTCTTCCCTTCCTCCAGATTGCTCCTTGGGAACTTAAGCCTCTCTCTTCTCACTCAGAGTATCTAGCACTTAGTAATTGCTCAATAACTGCTAGTTCTTATCATTGGTGCTATTTGTGTTATTGTAGGTTTTCCTTGCATGCTTGCTAATTGCCTGGGAGGTTATCCTTGCATTCCTGTACTCCCGGAAATATTCATTAGCTCAGACTCATATCTGCCCCCCAGGATAGAATTCCTGTAGCTGTGACCTTTGGAGCAGGTGAGTACCTGCCGCCTATGAGCTGTGTGACCTTGGGCAAGTCACTCAACCTCTCTGTGTCTTAGCTTCCTCATCTAAACAACAGAGATAATAATATCCACCTCAGTGAGCTGTTAAGCAGATTAAATAAGTTTCTGATGTGAAGTACTGGTAAGCGCTGCATAAGGGTTTGCTGTTATTATTTCAGTTGCTGTTGTTACAGGCATTCACTCCATGTTGCTAACTGCTAAGGGGTTTCCCTCCTTTCCATGGGAAAGGTGATGTCCATTCTGACCTCTCCTGGGCCTCCCTAATCCTGTGGGTGGGACATTCAGGGCAGGCCCACCCCTCCAATCCCCTACTCCCAGTGTGGGCCTCGGGAGAGCTGCCTGGGTGCTGGCGGAGCCTGGGCTGACCTGTAGTTGCCCTTCTTGGAGGCGATGTGCAGCGGGAGCAAGCCGTCCTTGTTGGTCTTGTTGGCGTCGGCACCCTGTGACAGCAGAAACTCCACCACCTCCTCATGCTCATTCTTGCAGGCCTCGTAGAGGGCAGACGCGTTGTCGCTGGCCTGCGTGTTGATGTCAGCACCTGGGGAAGGAGAAGAGATCAGCAAGTGGCCAAGTGACCGGGAAGTTGCTGTCCTCAATGTAACGCCACCGCGTGGTGGGCCTGCTGTGCTAACCACGGTAATGCACGGGACCTTTAACAACGACCCTTAGGAAGGAGGAGTCTACCTGGGGCTACCCCCAGCTTCTTTCAACAACATCAAGACCTAGGGGCCTGGCCAGGCGTGGCTCATGCCTGTAATCCCAGCACTTTGGGAGGCTGAGGCAGGCGGATCACCTGAGGTCAGGAGTTCGAGACCAGCCCGGCCAACATGGTGAAACCCTGTCTTTACTAAAAATACAAAAATTAGCTGGGCATGGTGGTGGGCGCCAGTAATCCCAGCTACTCGGGAGGCTGAGGCAGGAGAATCGCTTGAACCCAGGAGGTGGAGGTTGCAGTGAGCCGAGACTGCACCATTGCACTCCAGCCTGGGCAACAAGAGTGAAACTCCGCCTGGAAAAAAAAAAAAAAAAAAAAAAAGACCCAGGGGCCTGCCAGCCCGAACAGAGGCCTCTGAGAGGCTACAAGCAGCCACGATGATGCTGGTTTTTCCTGAGCACCTACTACGTGCTGAACATCGTGCTTTCCACAGGCTATATCTGAATCCACAGTGGGTGGTCACCTTGTGAGGTCAGTACTGCTCTTATCTCCAGATTACAGATGGGGACAGTGAAGCACAGAACACCTAGACCACTTGCCTCAGACCACCCATTTCATAAAGATGGAGCCAAACTTGAACCCAGATGGTCTGATGGCAGAGGCCATGGTGGATATTCTGATGGTAGAGGCCATGCTCTTAACCCTCACTCCATGTAAGAGGGCCTGGGCTCTGCCCTGAGAGAGGCCTCACAGGTCTAGGAGGGCACAGAGCCCCTAATAAAGGAAAACCCCAATAACATTATTAATTGCAATTTGCTATTAATATTGCTATTATTATTGCTAATGTTACCATGCTATTAATATTGATCCTTACTGCTATCAATAACTTCTAGCTCTTATCACTAGTGCTCCTTGTGCTAGGTATTCCCTGCATGCTTGCTAATTGCTAATTCTCTGCCTTTCACTTCAAGGAATAAGAGAATTACTTTCTGTCTCCTCCCAAGAAAATACTAGGCCAGGTGCAATGGCTCACACTTGTAATCCCAGCACTTTGGGAGGCCAAGGCGGGCAGATCACTTGAGCTCAGGAATTCAAGACTAGCCTGGGTAACCTAATGAGACTCTGTTCTCTACACCTACTGAGTAGCCCCTGGCCGGGCATGGTGGCACATGCCTGTAGTTCCAGCTACTTGGAAGGCTGAGGTGCAAGGATTACTTGAGCCCAGGAGGTTGATATAGGCGGCAGTGAGCCGGGATCACACCACTGCACTCCAGCCTGGACAACAAAGTGAGACCCTGTTCCCAAAACAAAAACAAAACAAAACCCAGAAAACATTAATCCATGCTGCTAGAAGGAGGAATCAGGCCTGGTGACAATCTGCCTTCAGCTCAGTCTTCTACACCTGCTTCATCTCCTCGGGCAGGGGGTGAGGGGGAGAACTGATGTGCACACAGCTTTCTCTGCAGAAAGAGAATTCAGCAGTCCTTCCTTGTTCTGGAAGGACATGGAACTAAGATGCTTGAAGATGTCAGTGGGGCTAAAATCAAAAGCATCTGCTAACCACAGGTCATCTCTCTAAGCATGTTGCTGATCTCAGGCTTTCTGGTAATTTATTATTTTTGATGATGGTGTGACCAGTTTCTGATCCAGCGGAAACAGCACAGGCTTTGGCGACAGATGAGAATCAGCTGAGGCATCTGTTTCATGGCTCACAAGCTCTGCAGTCTCAGAAAGCCTTTAGGAGCCTCGGTTTTCTCATCTGTTGACCAGGGATAATAGTACCTACCCCTCGGGGTTACTGCAGGGAGTAAACAAAATAGTGTAAGCACATCTCTCAGCGCAGTGCCTGCCACAGGGAAGCTGCTCAGCAAATGCCAGTTGCTCAGGATGGAAGGAGCTGGGCAGAGGCCTTCGTCCTGCCTCCGGCCTGAGGGAGAGCCAGTGAGCCGCCCTAACCCTCTGTTGGGCTCTCAGAGGCAGGTGCCCTGGAGAGCCTGGACCCTACCAGCAAAGCCGCCTGCTTGCACAAGAAAAATATTTGGGTTGGAAAATGGACTCAGCCCACAAAGTGAACACACCCTGACTCAGAGTGTCGGTGGGAGACCTGGACAGATGTTTGGAGTTATTGAGGTCACCCTTGCCTGCTGAGCATGCTGTCCGTCACCAGGACCCCCGGCCTGGGCTCCCAGGACCCTGCCTGTGCCCCTTTGTTCTTACGCTGGGCAGTCCAGATTTGTTCCTGGCTGCACGGAAGGGCCTGCACCTATGTTCCCCACTGCTCAGGCGCGTGCTGAGTGCATGGATGCTTACCTGGGCAGAGTCCCGTGCTGCCGACTCTCACAGGGTAGGGTGGCTGGCAGAGCACAAAGCATGTGCAGTTTGGAGTCAGATGGCAGTGGGTCAGCATCCAGGCTTGGACTGTGACCAATTAGTTAACCTCTCTGAACCTCAGTCTCTTCATCTATAAAATGGGACGAGCATACTACCTACCACATGGGGCTACGGGGAAAGCTCCATTGCCCCGATCTGTGTTCACACTTAGCAAGTCCTCAACAGATTCCTACAGTTCAGCCTCAGCGTCTGGATTACCTCTGGCTTCTCTGTTGCTAGAGAGAGGGTTACTTCCCGTGGAGAGAGAAAAGAAATCAAAGGCATTCTTGGGGAAGATCAGGATATAATGTTCTGAAACCAAAAGCAAGTCTGCCATGTCTCGTGGTCTTTTGCTACTGGGCCATCATAATGCAGGCCGTATTGTGTTATTTTCTCCCATTAAGATATTTCACAGGCAAAGAGGGCAAAGAGCTGGGTTCAAGTCCCAGCTCTGCCACTAATTTGCTGTGTGACCTTGGACAAATCACTTTCCCATCCTGGTCCTTGAGTTCATCACCCATAAAAGGGGGAGGTGATCTAAATGTTGCTTGAGGTTCCTTCTGGCCCTGAAGTGTGATGTGGTGGAAAGAGAAGCGGTTGGGGTGTCAGGAGACCAAGAGTCTAGCTAGTTCTACAATTAATTTGCTATAGGACTATAGATAAGTCACTTCCTCACTCTGTGCCTCAGACTCCTCGTTTGTAAAATGAAAATGTTGGACTAGATTATAAATGGCAAATAGGTGGTCCGTGGGCCAGACCCCCCCATATTTGTTCTAATGGCAGATGTCACTAGTGGATCCCGACGCTCTTCCCACTGAGCCTGGACACAGCCTCAGCATCTTTCTCAACACAGCACTCTAGGAGGAAACTCTCACTCCATCAGTGTGCGCACAAGATGACCCCTAACTCGCCTTCCCTTAGAGCTGACCTCTGACATCCTTCCCGTGTGCCCTTTGGGGACTCCATGACCTAGGGACCCTTAGCCACTCACCGTACTTGGCTAAGAACCTCAAGGCCTCCAACTGTCCACTCTGGGCGGCCACGAACAAGGGGGTGATGCCGTAGGCGTTCTTGGATTCCACCTTGGCTCCTCCGCTCACCAGGATCTGCATGACCTCCAGGTCATTGCGAGACACAGACTCGTGCAGAGCGGTCCAGCCGCGGTTGCAGCGGTGGTTGGTGTCTGCATTGTGCTGCACCAGAATCTTCACGGCCTCCGCGTTCTTGCGCTCGCAGGCTGTGCTCAGGGGGAAGCAGGGATGGTCAGCAGGGCCTGGCAGGAACTGGCCAGCAGAGACTGCATTCATTCGCCTGTCCATTCACTCATCCACTCATTCAGCTTTCCACTGCATGTGTATTAAGTTCCAATCCCTGCATTGAACCTGGGATAGGCGACTAAAAGTAATACTGATACTAACATTAGCAAGAATACTTGCTGATTCATATGCCTAGTACTGGTTCTGTGCCAGGCTCTCTGTTCTAAGCACATTTTACAGGATTAACTAATTTAATCCTCCCAAATCCCCTTAAAGGATGTAGTGATGTTATCCCCTTTCACAGATAAGGAAGGTGAGGCACAGAGAGGGTAAGTGGCTTGCCCAAAGTCACACAGATACTAAGTGGCAGAACTGGAATTCAAACCCTGGTAGTCAGGCTGAAGGTCTCTGTCCCCTGGGATGTCCCAGGATGTCCCTATCATTTCCCCTTCCAGTGGTACCTGCTTCAGTCCTCCACATTACCAAGGCTGGAAGAATCTTTCTAGATGAGGAGTCAGCGGTGTCATAATCCTGCTGAACTTCCCCCTGCTCCAGCAAAGGCTACTAATTTAGTTCAGGGTAAAATGCACGTTGTGAGTACAGCTCCTCAAGTCTTTCTTGACCTGCTCTAACCTCCTTTATAAGCCTCATCTCTCTCTAGACCCCAAACGTGCCCTTGGCTCTGGCCCCAGAGTTCTCACCAGGAGCTGCAGGTGGTATTGGAGTCACCTGGGCACTTTTCCAAATTAACCAGCCCTGGAAGCTTCTCTGTGTCCGTGTCAGTGGGAGGAGGAGTGAGGAATGGGTCAGGGAGACTGGCAGCAGGGGGAGGAGGGCTGCCTGTGTACTGTTTCAAATAGAACCATAGGCCAAGCCTTCTACCTCTCTAAGCCTTGACTTTCTCATCTGTAAAATGGAGAGAATAAAACCTTCTTGAGCAGATGCTATGGGAGTGAGACTGTGTGTAAGGCATGAGCATAGTGCTTGGCACATAGTAGGTGTGCTTGCAAGACCAGGGCCAAGCTCTGGCTGTGGGCTGCCCAGCTTCCTGGGCACTCCCTTTGGACAGCTGAGGTTCCAGGTGATAGCCATGGCGCCCTGGCAGGCACGGATTCCAGGGAAGACACTTCCATGGTGGGTCTGCAGCGGATCCAGTGACCTACTACTCAGTTCCTGCTGCCCAAGCTGTTCCAAGCACTGGATAGACACATGGGAAATCAGGGATATCTGTAATTTTTCCAAGTACAAAGGCCTGATCATTTGTAAGACCCCAGCTGATTGCTTCAGCATGTAGGCATGGACAGGATGCTTTAGAATGTAGTAGTTGAGGGCAGTGTGACATCCACCTCCCTGAGTTTAAACCACTGGGGTACCCCTTGCAAGCTGTGTGATCCTGGGCGACCCATTTAATGTCTTGGTGCCTTAGGTCCTCATATGTGAAAGGGGATACCAGCAGTGCCTACTTCATGTGCAGATGGACATGAGGGGTCCATAAGAGAACGGTGCCTGGCACATACTAAACACTCAATCAATGCTAGCTATTGTGATTATTTAGACTTTGACTCTGGGTACTGCTAGGGCAGCCAACAAATGTCCATGGATGATGTACTGAGTAAGCCAGGAGGCCTTGTTTTTCTTAAACAAATGTCCCAGAGGTACATGCTCTCGCATACCTTCATGCCTTTGCCTGTGCGGTTCCCGCTGCTTGGCCAGCAGGTGATTCCTCCTCTGTGGTTCAGCTCAGGCACCCCTCCTCTGGGTGCCCCTCCCCCATGCTCCCACAATGCCTCCTGCCAAGCCCTTTCCTGCTCTCTGTGTGTGGGTGCCTACAGGGCTGGGAGGGTGCACAGGTTGGACTATAGCTTTTCAGCTCCAAGCCCTCAGTGTCCCTCAGCATCCTGGCCCATGGGATGCAGTTGGAAAATGTTGGTAAAATACATGCAGGAATGAATGATTCAGTTACATAAATTGTGCATTTGAGCAGGGCCACGTTGGGGGTTATGCACTTAACGGGAGCAACATTCCCTGTTGCTCACCCAGCTTCTGGATTCTTCCGCAGGAAAGCTCACTCCGGGGTGGGGACCTCACCTTTGTAGAGCGGTGTCTCTCGGGATTTGTTGGAGATGTCCGGCTCTGCCCCTGCTTGGAGCAGTGACAGGAGACAGTCCAGGTGGCCCCTGCACGTTGCCAAGTAAACGGCTGTTTCCTCCTGCAGGGTGCGCTGGTCGATGGTCCCTGGGTACGCTAGGGAGGGCCCACCGGGAAATTCATGTAGGAGAAAGATACTCAGCCCCGCAACACAGAGGCTTTCCCGATTGCCTCCCAATTTCAAGAACAATGTATGACATCCTCTGAAATTTACCAACTACAGACTGCATTCATCTGGCCCTTTCACAGGGCCATTTTAGCTTCCTGGTCGTACACGTCCAAGCTCAGATGCCACGTCCTCTGAGAAGCCTTCCCTAATGGAGCCCCTCCCTCTTCGAATACTCCTGTCCTTTCCTCGAACTCACACCAGCCATTGCTGGAAACCCACTGTTACATGCCATGGTTTCTTGGAGTGTCGGGGGCCGTGTGGGGTCTGTGCTGCTTCAGGGCAGAGGTGACACCTGCCTGCAGGAGTTGCCCTTCTGAACCTGGCTCAGTAGGAAGACAGGGCTCAGAGAGGAGGCACGGCTGTCCCGCGGTCCCACAGCAGGTGGGGGATAGCCTTGGCCGGGCACAGGCACAGCTGCAGTATTTTTCACACCAAATCAGCCCCTGGGACATTCTGGAACAAGTTGGCAGTGGTTCTTCTAAAAGTCAGCCCTCCCTCATTCCTTTTCTAGGAATTAGGCTCTCCTGTCCTTGGAGGCCTGGAGAGGTGGCAGCAGGGGGTGGGGACAACTCATTTCCCCTCTCGTAACTCCATGACTAACTGACAAATGAAAGTGACAGCCTTGCCTGCCCTTCTCCCAAGATGATTGTGGGCAAAGAACATGAAGCCCCAGGAGCGGCAGCCCTTCCCCTAGTCCCTTTCCCACCTCTTGCCACCGTCAGAGCCCAGCCCTCACCTCGCTGCAGGACTTTCAGGCAGCCCACCTGGCCATAGTATGCGGCCTCGTGCAGCGGCAGCCAGCCCTCCTTGTTGGGCTCTGCGAGATTCTTCCCTTCCTTGATCATGGTCTTCAAGGCCTCTTCATCGCCATCCTTGATGGCCTTTATCAAGGGGTCCGCAGGCCTGTGAGAGGAAGGAGTGGGTCAGTCCTCAAGGTCAGGCCAAGGCCAGGCCAGGGGGCCTCTCTCTCAGGAGTGCTGGCAGTGGAGTCACTCGGTCCTCGTCCCTGCTGGTTCCAGGATGAGCACTCAGCCCCCTGCAGCCCAGTGGCTGCAAGAGGACTGGGGGATCCCTCCATCTCTGTGGCTTTCCATGGCTGCCGGGAATGTTATACCAAAACCAATTCTACCAAGAGGATTCAGGCACACAATGCCAGCCTCCTAGAGGGTGGCTAACCACCCACATGTGAGGCACTTGTGATAATTAAATGCTTTCCCTGAGTATAGCACTCTAGCATTTACCAGGCACGCCCATCTCGGGGGCCCCCTCTTAACCCTGAGCATATCTCTGGGGTCTTCCAACTCCTCTCCTTGCCCTGTCGCTTATTCCTACTCCCAGTACATCCAGCTGCAGAAAAAAAATATATACTGGAAGGATTAATAAATTTGAAGCCTTCACAGTTTAAAACTTCTGAATGTCAAAAAGATTTGAGGGCTAAAGTGAAGCCGTTCCTTGCTTGGCTTGTTAAAGTCCCTTTGTTCATTCATTGCTTCCTTCCTTCCTTCATTCATTCACTGAGCTCCCTACCTCATCCTTGGAGAGTCCGTGAGAACCACGATGTCTATGCCTCTCAGATCCACTTTTGGGGAGGCTTCTGCATCAATAGTCCCATTTCCCAGATGGAGAAGGTGAGGCTGGAGGCAGGCCTCATTCCCAGGACACCCACGCCATGTTGGGCTAGGATGGGCTCTGGGCGGTCTCTGCCACCAGCCCCTGCACTCTCCCAGCCACTTCCTCCAGCGTGAGCAGCACTTCCTCCTGACTCTCAGACTCTGTGGTTATTAATGGTGTCAGAGCACAGATGCCGGTGAAGCAACAGACCCAGCAAGGACGATGGGAAACTGATCAGATAAGTCCTGAGGTCCCCATCAGCACCGTCACTGCCACCTTGACGAGTTCCACTTAGGAACAGCCAGAGCAGCCCCTGTCAGCATCAGGAAAAGCCCAGTGGGGGTATGTGCCCCCCTTTTCCTGGAGTGTCTCCAAAGGGACCCCAGCTGAAGTGGAAGGGAGGAGGGCTGGCTTTTCTCGTGGCCTTGGCGAGCAGGGCGTGGTGCAGTGTCGTGAGAACACTTTCAGGACCTGCCGCCCAGCTTGGGTCTCTCCAGCTGTGATGCAAGGACCCTGGAGCCCTCAGCCCACATATTCACAGCTTCTCCATGACCTCAGGCAAAGTCCCCGCCCTATGAGTGGGGGAGGGTTCTGGGGGTGTCAGGCCATCAGAGTAGTAAGCTGGACGGGACCCTAGAGGTCACGTTGCCCTCTCCAGCCGTGTCCTGCAGAGAAGGGAGACTCAGAGGGGACAGCGACTCTCAGGCAGTCATGCAGGAGGTGGCAGTAGCTGAGACCAGCTCTGGGTCTCCCTTTTCCAGATTGTCAACCACTCCACACACCCACCACACCAAGGAAGTGGAGGGCGACAGGATTTGAAAAAGGCTGGGAAGGAGAAAGAAAATATTGGCCAATTGCCTCCTCCCTTCTCTACAACGTAACTGAGTGAGGAAATGCAGTTCCAGTGATAGGGTCCCTCTTTTGCTTTTGGCTGCTTCCGGGGTCACTATTCCAGGGGTACAGAGAGGGGAGGGAGGCAGAATTATTTTCTAAGGAGCGCATTAGCCCTGCCCCCTGGTGCCAGGCAAACAGAGCCCCTGCAGCTTAGATTATTTCTGGATTTTAGCACCTGGCACTTCACAAATAAGGGCAAATAAACAAAACAAAGGCTGTGGGTGTGGGCATTTTGGATGTACCCACAGCGATGGCATGGGGGAAAGTGAGACTGGGACAAACAGAAGGGTGCAGCCAACTCATCAAGTTCAACTCCAAGCTCTCCTGGGCCTCTGGGGTTCTAAGGCCATCTCCCCAATTTCCCTCGTGCTGGGTCCCCAGTTTCAGAGCCCCATGGGGCTCCTCCAGCACTCAGGTCCCATGCTGGGGGCATCTGAGGGGGGGATCACCAGCATGCCTGGCTGGAAGTTCCTTGAGGACTGAAGTCTGTGGCCACCAAGCCCATCTCAGCAGGAGCAGTGGGGCCCCAGGGGGGCACCCCTAGAAGGAGCGTGCCTGGCAGGTGCCTCCATAGTGCCCTCTGCCCTCCTGGGGGCTGTGGGCCTGCTTCCCACCCTCCCTGCCATCCCAGTTAGCGGAGTGAACTTGGATGGTCCTGGGGCCAGACAGGAGTCACTTACGCCAGCTGGGAGGTCTTGAACAAGCTGCTGCTGTATTTCTGCATGACCCCTTGGAACAAGCCCATTGGGGCCCGGGCCGGCGAACTCTCAGGAGGTGCAGTGGACCTGGAGGGTGCAGAGCAGGAGTGAAAGAGGGAAAAGTACTCTGCATAGGAGAAGCGGGTCATGGCTTCAGGCAGGAATGAGGATGGAGGGAGAGCCAGGGAGAGACTGACTGACAGACACAGGGCTCTGAACCAAAGCAGATGGCCGGGTCCTCTGTGTGCTGGACACAGCTGCTGTGTCTCCGGATTATTTTTGGCCCTTGGAGGAAGCCCTGGGAGATTTAAATGACCATATAAGACAACAATGAGGTTAACCTCACCCCACCCCCCGGTCCCCCTCCCCAGCCAACCACGAAAGAGGCAGATAGGAAGCAAGGTGACATTCTTCACCCAGGAGGATGTGAGCCGTGGTCGGCAGGTCCCAGGATGAAAGGGGCTCAGGCTCACTGCTGGCCAGGCAGATCCCTGCGGGGCTGGATGAGAGATTCATGGCAAAGCAGAGGATAGGGGAGCAAAGCTGAGAAGCCAAGCTGTACCTGTGCCCCCCACGCCCACCTGCCAGCTCATTAGGGGATCTTGTCCCAGGGGTAGGAGCAGACACTATAGTAACCTCTATAGTGTTATTATAGGATGCATGAGGAAGGGCGTCGGAACCAGGGCTGCAGTCAGACAGACACAGGTTCACATCTGGGCTCTGGCACTCCTTGGCTGTGTGACGTGAGACAGGTTGACCTTTTCTGTGCCTTAGTCCCCGCTCCTGCAAGGTGGCATGAAAACAGCCTGTGCTCGAGGGCCGGTGAGGCCTGAGTAAGTGAATGGTGTGAGGAGCTTAGTGGAGTGTGAGGCACAGAGGGTGTTCCACATGTACTCACTCTTCATTTTATCATCATTTTGCCTCTCTAGGCCTCAGTTTTCCCGACCCACCAGGCTCCTGTGAGGGTGGAAGAGCCGGAAGGAGGTGGGATGGCCGCTCCACAAATCTGAGTTGGCCTGGGGTTGTCGTGAGAACAGGGTATATGGCCCCTACTGACACCACCCCCAGTAGGTCAGGCCTGGCACTCTCGACACCCCAGTGGCCCGGGCCTTTCACCACACTCTTCTGGGGGGGATTGGGGAGGACTCTGCTACCAGTGACTCACACCCTGTGGGGCATGGGGTAATTATGACCCTGAGAAGCACCCACACTCTTTCTGGCTAGGCCAGAGCCTACAGATTCTGTGGGTACACCCCAGCAAGGCCAGAGCCTGGTAGAGAGGAGCAAGGGTGGCAGGAGGAGGGGAACCTGCTCACCCCTCTGCTTCATGCTCTCAGGGCTGCCTGCAGGCCTGGCTGCCTTCCTCATCCTCGCCGCTGTCACGCCCTCCCACCTGCCTTCTCCCATCCCCTGCTTCTGGCCTTCTACTGACCCGCACTGGGGTGGGCAGGACACCGCCTGCATGTGTCCTCATTTATCCACATCCATCAACCGTAGATGGGGGTGCCTTTTACAGATGAGGACAGGGAGGCTGTGAGAGGGGACTTAACTGTGCAGGGTCACCTTCAGCATGACAGCGAGTGGAGCAGAGGTTCAGACTACCACTGTCCGCCCAGCTCCTGATGCCACCCTGTCCTCTGAAGGCCTGGCCTCTTCCTGCCTTTTCGTCCTCTCTCCAGCTCTCCGACCTCCACACTGACTGTCCCTGTGACTTTGGACAAGCCCCATCCCCGCTCTGTGCCTCAGTTTCCTTATTTGCAAAATGGAGAAGTGGGACCAGGACCAGACTGGGGATGTCCACACTGTTTCTGTAGCTGTGGAGAGATTCAGTGTCCAACAGATCCCAGAGCCAAGGCCCCTCCTCAGCCCTGACAGCTGCTGGGTTCAGTGTCCTTTGCATTAGTGCCTGGTCCTGAGAAGGAGAGACAGCCGGCAGGTGGAGGCAGCCTGGGGCCAGGCTCACCTCAGCTGTCTCCAGCCCTGTCGTCTTGATGAGGCCCTGGGCTTCCACCTCCCAGGATCCTTGGGTCACGGCCACCCTCATACTTAGTGCATGTGTGGCCTCCAGTTACCTGCCATTGTTAGAATGTTTTTAGCAGGATAATAAAGCACTGGGAAAAAGCCCACTGCACCATCTAAACGAGGACCTGTCTCTGCATAGTAATGGCAGCAGCAATGGTGGCCGGGATGTTGAGGTTGATGGAGGTGGAGGGAGCTGGTGATGATGACAGTTTCTAACAACTGTGCAGGGCAAATGTTCACAAAGTCATGCCGAGCCTCTCCTCATTTCCATTCTCCTGCCACCATTGATGGAAGCAGCGGGTGTGCTGTTCCCATTTTGCAGATGAGGAAACAGACAGACTGAGTTCCATTCAACAAAGAGTTCCCAGCTCTGGCTCAGTCCCAGGCCCACTCTGGGTGGTGATGCAGCTCATTAAAATTTATCTTTTTGTGGATCCTGAGGATATTTGGAAGTCAGCAGAGAGGGAGACAAGGCCACACACAGCCACAGAGTCACAGAGGACGGGCTGAGATCGGGGCAGAAGGGCTCATTCTGGGAGCACTGAGATCCGAGTGCATCCACTGGCTTTGGGGCTGGCAACTGGGCAAGGCGACCGCTCAGAGTTACTGAGTCGTGAGTCTCAGGGCTGGCTGGGGAGCCAGGGCCCCTGGCTGGGTTTCGTGCTCTCGCCAATCAAGGCTGGAGGCCCCATTTCCCCTCGGGCCCCAAGCAGGGGAATTCCCAACAGAGCAAACCTCCTGGGCTGAGTCATCACAGGCGAGAGGAGCCTGGCCTCGGCAGGATGTGGGTGTAGGTCATGCCCTGGAAGAGCCCCAGGTAGGGCCTCTGTCCTTTGTGTGTCACTGGGCAGGTTCTGGGGTGGAGAATGTGTCACCGTCACCTGACCCTGGAGTCCAGCTTGTCATGAATTCAGGCACGGTCAGCCTCAGTGAGAGCAGAGAATGGGCTGGCAGGACAGTGCTCCTAGCCTCTCGGTGAGTCAATGGATGGCTGCTCTGTCTGAGTTAGTAAGAAGCCCAGGTCAGCCCCAGGGAGGCAGTGATTGGGCTGGGCCTGGCTGAATGCAGGGGGCAGGTAGGCACCTTAATAGAGGAGGGAGCTAACAAAATCGATTCCGCCCCACGCCCGCCAACATGTCACCAGTCCACCCCACACCCGCCACTGTGCCATGAGTCTACCCCACGCCCACCCCATGCCACGAGTCCACCCCACGCCCACCACTGTGCCGTGAGACACATGTGACTCATTGAGCACTTGTTATAACAGGCACATTGCACCAAGCATCTCATTTAATTCCCCAGTCCACTTGGTGAAGGAGATGTAATTGGCTTCCTTTGCAAATGAGAGAACTGAGGCTCAAAGAGGCTTGCTTCCTCTAGTCTGCTTGATGAACTCCTATTCATCCTGCAAAGCCTACTTCCTTGACTAAGTGAATTGACCTTTTCCAGGGTCCCTCTGTAACTGAGGAAGCTGTGCTCTCCCTGCTGTGTCATCAGGTAGTTCTGGGCCTTCACCCTCATTAGACTGTGATCTTAGGGAGAGCAGGACCCAGCCCTGATTCACAACCTGGCATATCATAAGTGCAGAGTAAGTGTGGGTGGCTTGATTTGAATTGTTTGAAGCTGTGCACACAACAGCCTCAGCCAGTTCCTGCTTCATGTTTTCCTCCTTTGTCTTCTCAGAAATGTATCTTAAATGAAATGCAGAGGTTTAAAGATTAGGAAGACCCAGCCTCCTGGACTCACTCTGGCTGGTCCATTCATGGAAACCTTGGGCTCTGCACTTCATGGGTTCATGGACCCCACTTCTCCATGGAACAGGAAGCTAGGTCTGTCCCTTTGGGGTCCCTTAGGGGACCAAAGCTTGGCAAATGATCCTCATTTGATCCTCATCAAATTCTGTGCCTTACGTTGAGGTGAGACAGAAGCAAATTGGGAAATGGTTTTTAACAGAATTCTGTTTTCTTTGGGATACTGATCTTTCATTTCTAAGATCCAGAAGACTCAGTGGACTCCATTTTGGTCACAATATAATAATGATCAATTGCATTGCTAGAGCTTTTTATTGGTTTCAAAGGTATTTATTTGTTTAAAAACATTTATTAGGTAGCTACAATGATCCAGGCTCTAAGCTGGGCACTGGAGATAAATAAATAAATAAATAAATAAATAAATAAATAAACAGTATCAGCTCAGCTCTCTGTCCCCTAGGAGGTCACAGTCTAGTTGGGAACACTCTCAGGAGGGTGTCCCAGGAAGACCCAAGAAGCTTGTCTGTGAAGCAGAGGCCATCATGAGATTGGTGCTGGAGCACTCAGACAGGGCCGGGGAGGTCAATACGAGCTGCAAGATGTGGGAAGGCTCCAACGCCCACCTCATCTTATTTGCTTTTCACAGGAATACTGCAAGGGGAGCACAGCATGTTTTTGTTGTTGCTGTTATAAAGATGAGGCCACTGGGGCTCAGATAGGGTTAGCCACCCACCTAAGGTTGCACAGCCAGTAAGTGTAGAGGAAGAATTTGAATCTCTAGACCTACTTCTCTTTCCACTCTGCTGCCTTTCCATCTATTCCTTTATTCACCCATTCACTCATTCACAGATAGCCATGTGGTGCCTGCCACAGGTCAGACACAGCGCTTCACTGGAGGCGTAGGTTAATGGCAGAAGCAGAGAAATAAATAAGAATTGTAAGTCAAGGTGAAGGCCACAGAGGAAACAGCCATGAGAGCAAGTAAGAGGTGAAAAACCAGCTGGCCCGGGAGAGTGGTCAGGGCAGGACTGGCTGAGGAGGTGATGCTTAATCTCAGACCTGAAGATGAGAAGGAGCTGCTATGTGGATTGCCTGGGGACAAGGGTGACATCCTATTGCTAAACTTGCTGTGAATTTATTTGGACAGATAAAAGTGAACAAGGACTGTCTCGGGTCCTGCATCCACTGTAATGCGTGTCTGGGTGTGAGGGCACAAGTGCGTGTGTGCCGTGTGAATTTGGGGACCCTGGGCCTCTGTGAGTGGGAGACGGACGTAATGAGGTCAAAACTTCACCTCAAGGTGGGGTAGGGGAAGGAAACAGAGGCCTTCACAGCATCAGCAGAGCCTGGTGAAGTGTCTGAACTTCAGAGCGGGACAGACTTTGGTTCCATGCCTGGCCCTGCTGTGGGCATGTTTTGTCGTCTGTAAAATGGGCACAGAAGCAATCCACTTTGGGTGGCTTTTGTAAACATTAAGTGAATTAATGTGTGGCAGGCACATGGGAGGTGCTCAATGTGCATTTGGGGGGAGAAGAATTTCATTAAACATTCTTTTTTTTTTTTTTTTTTTTTTTTTGAGATGGAGTCTCGCTCTGTCGCCCAGGCTGGAGTGCAGTGGCGGGATCTCGGCTCACTGCAAGCTCCGCCTCCCGGGTTCACACCATTCTCCTGCCTCAGCTTCCCAAGTAGCTGGGACTACAGGCGCCCGCCACTACGCCCGGCTAATTTTTTGTATTTTTAGTAGAGACGGGGTTTCACCGTTTTAGCCGGGATGGTCTCGATCTCCCGACCTCGTGATCCGCCTAAACATTCTATCTAAGGGGTTTTTCTTCCCAGCAGGGCCCAAGCCCAGCCTCCTTCCAGAGGCGAAGGCGCAGAACCGAACCTAGGAGGTTTCAGGTCACTCCTAGAGTAACAAGATGCAGGTTGACCCTCCTCTGCTATATTGCTTGTGGGGCTGGACCTCAGATGAGGGCTGCTCGACCTGGGAGAAATGGTCTCAATTCTCTAGGAGAGCTTTTTCCGCAGGAAGCTGAATAAATGTTCATGGCCCACTGTGGGCCTCCATTTCCTTACCCTCCAGATGAAGGCAGAGTCAGGGTCTGGATGCCGAGGGCCCACTTCTTTCTAATGTGTCCAAGCATCCCTGGGACTCCTGAGGGGGCTCCTATGCTGGGGAGAAGGCTGCAGACACCTGAGGGGACGTGCTGGCTTCATGCAGCAGGCCCTGTCTTCAGAGGAAGGATGCCCTATCTCTATCTGACCCCCTCCTGAGGAAGAGGAACTTGTGGCCTGTCTTCCGCTGAACCGGCCAGAACAGGAACCAGGGCCACCTTGAGCATGAGCCAAGATGAACCCAGTCCTTGGCTTCAGGTTTCTGTTTCTCAGATTGGGTTTCAGAATGGAACGTCCTCGGGGGCAGCTTAGTAACCTGGAGTCTTCGTACTCTTTCCGGCTGCCCAAAGTAGCTGCCTGCCTTCCCCTTTAAAAGGGGCTCCTCAGCTCTGGGCCTCTGCCCAGCCAGCCTGACAGAGATGGTCCAGCCTCGGCAAGGGCAAAGTCACTTAGGGGACAGGGCTGAGATGCACCATCACCCACCTTCATCCCCTGTCAACTGTGACTGCACATCGGAAAAAGTCTGTTTGTTGTTGTTGTTATTTGAGAAGGAAGCTGAGGTTTTCAGAGGTTAAGTGACTTGCCTGAGGTCACGCAGGGAGCCAGCTGGCTGCTGTACACAATGAGATTTGTGGCCTATGCCTCAAAGTAACACCAACACAATTGTCACAGCAATTCCCATGCCCTGCCATTCATGCCCAAACACACTTGACCTTGGCTGGGGACGGGGGTGAGGAGCAAAAGCAATTTTATGGCTTATAGAGGTCTTTTCCAAATGCATTTTGAGATCAATCACCGCTCTGCTTAATCACCTCTCTAGCTCCCACCTCCTACAAAGGAGGTGTCGTCTAGATCTGCACCGTCTGATAAGGTAGTCATTGGCCACATGTGCTAGGGAGCGCTTGAAACGTGGCCAGTCTGAATCAAGATGGGCTGTGAGTGTAAAATACACACTGGATTTCAAAGACTTGATGGGCAAAAAGAAATGGTAACAATCTGATTCATAATTTTATATTGATGGAAATATAAGTCTCTTGGTGGAAATGGTGATACTTCAGATGTGAACTATCAATGAAAATTAATTTCACCTGTTTCTCTTTACTTTTTTGGCTGTTGGAACCTTTAAAATTGCATCCGTGCATTGCAGTTGTGGGTGGTGTCATATCTGGATGGCGCTGCTTTAGAAAGTCCTGTGACTGAGAGGATGAGGTGGGGCTGAGAGTGGGGAGCCAGAAGAAGGAGACAGGATGGCTCTGCTGGGCAGACATCCCTTGCTCACCAGATATGTTTTTCAAGGGAGGCTGTGTTGTAAGATAGGGAGCCAGGCAGCTCTGATCTCGGCAGCATTATCTACTGGCTATGTGACCTCGGGCCTCTTTTTCAGCCCTGAGCTTCAGTCTCCTCTTTTAAATGGGTCTATAACCCAGAGCCCACTGAGAGGGTCCTTAAGCGGATGAAAGGAGGCAGAGTGTGTATAGCACCCACTTCAGTACCTGGCACAGCCAGAGCTTGGTAAGTTCAGATAACAAATGTAAATGGGAAAGGTGTGAAAAGCAACCTAGAGACCAGGATACCGTGGTTTTGGATTAACAGCATTAGGGATCTACAGTCTGTGGATGTCCTGGATGGCCCCACTTCCCTCATCAGCCTCGCCTTGCTCACCTGGTCCATGGGTAGAAATGGGCAGGTTGGCGGTTGGTACATGCAGACGCGGTGGCCTCAGCAGTGGTTGGGCCCCTTGTCTTGTCCGCTAGGCTCTGCTCGATGGCCATCTGCACCAGTTCATCCTCGCTCAGGCTGCTGTACAGGCTGTACTCCTCCTGCCCAATGGTACACTGGCTGCCCCGAGTGCTGATCTGCGTGGCCATCCTCCTCCACCTCTCACCCTGGCCTCCAGAACAGACACCCAGTGGGGAGGAGGGAACAGCAAATCAGAAAACCCTGTGAGGAAACCAAAACCATCCTGGTCACGAACAGTTTTGCAGGATAGCTATATTTACCCTCAGGGAAGGGTATGCATTTCACTGACAGTAACACATTCATTTCTAAATTTATTCATTGGTCACATGACCCACCTAACCACCTATCCATCTATATATCCATCCATCCATCCACTCATCTATTCATTTACCCACCAGCCCATCTCACCATCCATCCATTTATGCATCCTCCCATACATCCATCTACCCACCGAGCTATATATTATCTACCTTCCCATCCATCCACCCCTCTATACATATATTCAACTATCCAACTACCCACTCAACCACCCTCCATCTATCCTCCTATCCATCCATCTGTCTACTCATCTGACCATTTATCTGTCTATTCTCTCAGCACTACTCATCATTCATCCATCCATTCATCTTTCTATCCGTCCAACCATCCATCCAACTGTCCTCCCATCCCTCCATTATCCTATCTGTCCACCCAGCCATCCATTTATTCATGCATCATCACATCCACCCACCATACATCCATCTATCCAATCATCCACTCATCCATTGTTTATTTTTCCATTCCAGATAACCTATCTATCCATGTATTTATGCTCACTTGTTGAGCACCCACTCTGTGTCAGGCACTCTTCTAAGCACTGAGGATACAACGATGATTCCAACAGACAAAAATCCTTGCCCTCATGGAGCTTACACAGGATTGCATACCAGTTACCAAGAGCATAGATCCTGGCATTTCTCCATTTCTTTGCACTGTGATGGGCCTGAGAATACCAGAGATGAATCAGACACAGACCCATTACTTCAAATCACATGATCTAGTTAAAATCAGTCATTAAAATAACGTCCCATGTTAATTCCAGTGACTCTTTTCTTAAAAATGCCTCAAAGAGTAATAGACTCCAGTTGGGTGCCAATGCTTTAAGAATATGAAGTGGAATCAACTAAGCTTGATTTTCATTCTGGCTGGCTGACTCACACTGTGTGGGTCAATGGTTCTTGGTCCTGGCTGAACATTGAATCACATGGCCCTCTAAAAAATACCCCGAATACCAGTGCATTACTTTGATTTGTTCAGCAAATATTCACTCCCTTTCCCTAAAGGCAGATCTTTCCCCACCCTTCCCTGTTGATATGGGTCTCAATATGCATGACTTGCCCTGGCCTGTGAGGGCTGATGGACATGCGTCAAGGATACACATGACAAGTATGTACACTGGGGTTTGCTCTTGCTCCTCTGCCATCACCAAGAGAAGAGCTTCCCACTGGAGCTTGCTGCCCCTCAGCCTAGGCCCCAGAGAGAACACACCCGGGCACCTGAGCCCAACCTCCTCAGAGGAGCCTTCTCCTTCTTCAAGGCCCAGGGCAAGTGCCCCTCTTCTGGGAAGCCGACCCAGATCCTTCTGGGAAGAGGAACTTCTCCTGAGCTGTGGTCAGTAGTTCATGGGTGGACTTGACCCTGGATCCTCTTTCCAAGGCCAGCACCTTATGTGAGGAGGTCAAAGTTCACTGCATGGCTGGCCAAACAGCTCCATTTTCATAGGGTGTGGCAGATCCTGCGGATAGTCCCCTCAATGGCCATTTCCCCCATCTTCCCTGATAGCAGAACCTGGCTTTGTCTAGGCAACAGGGTGCCCTGTCCCATGGATGAGTCATGACTGCTTCAAGCCAGGTGGGACAATCTCACCGCCTCAGCTGGTGACAAGTCCAGGGGTGGGACTGTAGCCTAGTTTTATCCAAAGAGTTATAACAGAAAATCTGCTGGGGTGCTCCTATGGAAGACTTTCCTTTCTAATAAAAGAGAGAGTAGTGAACAAAATGATTCCTTTCCCCAACCTCTGCTTAGTGCTTGGAGGACTTGATGCTTGGAGTGGCAGCAGCCATCTTGTGACCATGAGGGGGACAGTGAATGACAGGTTGATACAATGAGTTTGGCATAATGAATAATAGTTTTTCTGGGTCCTTCATTATGTTGCAGAACTGCTGAACCAATGCTGGGTCCGCCCACCCTAGCCTACTTGTTAGGTACTGAAGATTCTTGTGGTTTAGCCAATGTTAGTTGGGTTTTCTCTTATAGGCAGTCAAATCATCTTAACGAATGTCTCTCAGGCCTGGCTGAGAGTCTTGAAAACATGTCAAGGACCTGGTTCAGCCCTGAATCAATGAACTCAAAGCCTCAGGGCTGGGACCCAGGGAATGCAATGCTAGAGGCTTCTCTGGTGATGTTAGTGTGTGGCCAGAGTTGAGAACCCCTGCTCAATGAGATTAATATGTCAGGTGGCCAGTCTGTGGTCCACACTAGAGGAGGGGAAGGGTCATGACCTCACAATCATTTTATGCCCGATGCTTGGAGTGCTGTTATTTACAGCAGTAGCAGCAGTTTTATTTATTGTGAAAGGAGCCCAGGACAGGGAACCAAGGGACTTGGGTTTCTGTCCCAAGTCAGCCATGAGCGCCTCTCTTCCTCTCTTGTGTCCTCAGTTTTTCCATCTGTTAAATGGCAGGGTAGACTAGAGCCTGTCCTCTGGCCCTTGTACTGGCAGGAGGTACCTGTGCAGCTGGGTGGAGCCCCCATCTCCAGCTGGCCCAGGCCTGGCTTCCCACTCCTTTGTTGCTTCTCTGAGGCTGGGGTCCCTGCCAGGTCTGAGTTGGCCCAGGTCTGCCTTCAGTGGCGGGGGGAAGGGGCTCTGCCCAGTGAGGTATGACACCCTTCTCTTCTCTAAAGCTGGTCTGGCTTTACATACCCCACCGCCTGGTGCAAGGTAGGGGCTCAGTGCACATGGTGCTGAACTAGCAGGAAGTGCTGGTGCCCAGGACCTGGCCTGGCATCCTGGTGCCACCATCTAAAGGTGTCTGCTCAAAGCCAGGGCACAAGGGGGAAGAGCACTGCACTAAGAGTCATAGGCTGAGCTATAATTGCCCTGCTAAGGCCAAAGTGCTTTGTGACCTCAGCTAAGTCCCTGTCCTACTCTGGGCCTCAGTTTCCTCATTGCAAAAGGACGATTTGGGGCTGGAAGTTTTCCGCAGATTTTTCAGTTCTAAAGAGTCTGCAACTCAGCGAGACGTTTGGTTTGGCTCTGTGCTATTAAACCTCAAATTCTCTGTCCCTGGGGATCCCCTATGGCCGTGTCGACAAAAAGAGGTTAGTATTGGCCATGGGGGAACAGAAAACCCGGGGGGAGTGGAGGGATCTTGAGTCTGGAGGTCAGGACCCCTAAGTCTACTTTCAATTCTGCAACTTACTAGCTATATGACCTGGGGCAGGTCACTTCCCCTTTTCTGGGCCTCAGTTCCTTTATTAATAAAAATGGGAAGGAGATAAGCTACTTCGCTATGCTGTAGAAGCATATGTGAGCTAAGATGTGTAGGCAGCTTGTAAGGGGTAACATGATTATTTCGTGGGGACCCCTCATCATCTCCAGGCAGCTGCTGGCCCTGCAGCCTGGTATGGGCCAGAGACTCATAGACAGCACATGGCTGCAGTGGCCCTTCCCTGACCATGTGCCTTCCTGGAGGCGAAGGCAGCCAGGTAATGGTCACCCAGAATCACCAATCCCGAAGCTAATTCCAGACTTACCAGGCCCTTCCCAAGCCTCTCCCATGGGTTGACACCACTCAGAGACTTTACATTGGCCAATTATCCATGTCATTACCTCACACAGCCCTGGAAGGTAGGAAGATTTTCACTGAATTAACTTAATTCCTCTACAGCCCCTCTCCTTCCAAAAGGACCCTGATGCGCATACGTTATTGGTCCCATTCTACAGATGAGGCAGGTAAGGTTTAGAGCGGGAGGGGAAGGGTTTATAGGAGGAGAGACATATAGAAAGCTGGGATTTGAAGCCTGATCTTCCAACCTCAAATCCAATGCTCTTTCTGGCAATTCCAGGAACACTGACCCAAGCAACTGACACACACATGGGTTTGGAGCAGATCTGTCCTCATCCAGCTGCAGCCAGCTATCCTCCCAGCTGCCCAGCACCCCCTGGCCTATATCTGTGCCCTGGGCACCATACCAGCCTCTTTGCCTGCTGCATGGAGGGTACACGCAGAGGGAGGAGAAGGGTTTAACCTTGACAGGACCTTGAGAAAGTCTACTCCTTGGACTACCTGCTAGAGGCCTGTCTCCCTAGAAAGTCTGGAAACTTCTGAGGAGCAGGACTATGTCATACTCGTAACCCCAGGACCTAACCCAAGGCTGGGTACACAAAAGGTATTTAATAAATGCTAGATGGACAGGTGAATGATAGGACCACAACAGTGCTCAAACCCTTGGAAGCACAGCTGTTATGGAGTTTACTTGAGAGAGAGGGACTCTGCCTTTGAAGAGGCAAATTTCCTACCCCACTGTGGACCCACATATCTCTTGCTTTTCCCACTGAGGTCCTCAGCCTTCAAGGGTTCTTGGGTAAGTTACCCACCTTTATGGGTAAAATGGATAAAATGCACAAAATGGAGATATTAGCCAGTGTTATTATGGGGTTGGTGGTAGAGTCAAAAGGGTTCATGTGTGTACAGGCTCAGCTGTGGGTCTGGCTGTTAGTAAGTGTGCAATGCACGGGCCGCTTCAGGACAGGAAACTCCCTGTCCCTGAACGGATGCAGTCGTAGGCTGGTGACAGCTGTCAGGGATGCTATGGCGGCGTCTCCTGGGGGACAGGTGGTGCTGCTCAGCCCTGGCACGAGGGGGAAGTTATGAAGCAGCGTGTGGAGCCAGCCTGACTGAGTTCACATCCCAGCTTTGCTGGTTGTTAGCCGGGAGAGCCTCTGGAATAGTAGTTTCTCCATCTGTAAAATGGACAAGGTCAGAGCACCTATCTCTTGGGAGAGGGCATTGATTCGGGTGATGCCTTGCCCCTCTTTGGACCTCAGTTTCCCCTTGTCATGAAGATGCTGCCCAGCTTGATTTCTGAGACCTCTGTCTGGGGGTTGGGCGGCCTTCTGGGCCTAAGTCTTGGAGGGAGGCCAGCAGCCTCAAGGGACACTCTGGGAGGCTGATTGGAATCAAAAATAGCCCTTTCCCAAGGAAAGCAGGAGTCTAATAGGCCTTGCCCAGCCATCAGGGAGGCTTCCTGGTAGAGGGAGGGGCCAGTCCAAGGCCAGTGTGGAGCAAGGGAGGCCTGGCCCCGCAGGGCCTTCAGGAGTGCCTCTCCTGCCCTCTTTGCAGAACCCCAAACATTGGTTCTTGAGAAGCCCCATCTTTCCCCAGGTGACATCTGTAAAGTGGCTGTGACAGGGTTACTTAGGTTAATCCACGTAAATTACTCAGGCAAATCCACTCAGAGCAGTACCTGGTTCATTCACAGCCGGCTCTCTTCTAAGTTGGGCCTTAGTCTCCACATCTGTGAAATGGGAAAAGAGACATGGACCCTGGCAGGGTTATAGTGAGGACCAAAATTGCATTTAAAAAGTGGTCTTTTCCTCCTAGTACCTTCCCCTCTCTACCAACCCAGGTTTGCAGACAGCCAGGGTCTGCCCGGGAACTGGCGGTGGATGGGGTGGGTCTATGTGGTTGTTTGAGGGGCTGGGGTGGGAGGTGGTCACTCTCCAGATGTCTTAGCAGAAAACTGGGGGCTAGAGGAGACACAGCTGGGAAGGCGGGGCCAAGAAGGAGGCTGGCAGCCATCCTCCACCACACCAAGCTCCACCAGAGGCTTGGGTCATGCCAGGGACTTGGGTCGGACATGTGAGGCTGCACAAGCCACTTAGCATCCTTGGCTGTGTTTGTGGATGGAGCTGCTCGTCAGCCTACCCTGCCCTGAAGGTGCCCTTCCAGAAACAGCTCCAGCATCTCCTCTACCAGGAAGCCTCCCTGATGGCTGAGAGTCCTCTGCTGCCTCCAAGGGCCCCCTTCACATTCTACTGCTTGGACTGCCTGCTATGGTCCTGTCTCTCTAGAAAGTCTAGAAACTTCTGAGGAGCAGGACTATGTCGCACTCATGTTGTAACCCCAGGAACTAACCCAAAGTCAGGTACACAATAGGTATTGAATAAATGCTGGACAGACGGGTGAATGAACGATAGGATCATGACAGTGCTTCAAGCCCTTGGAAGCACAGCTGTTATGGAGAAGTTTACTGCACAGTGGTAGACGGTGGCACGGCCCGAGTGCCCCACTGCCTATACTCAACCCTAGCTCTGCCACCTCCTGGCCACGTGATGTGAAGCAGGTTACTCGGTGCCTCACTTTGCTCATCTATAAAATGAAGATATTAATGGCATCCTGCCTGTGGAGGTGTTGTCAGGTGAAATTAGGTGACAGGTATAAATGTGGAGCACCTGGCACACAGCCGGTGGCCCCTAAAAATCTGCTCGTGTTATTCCACAGGTCCCAAGATGCTGCGATTCTCTGCCGTGATCCCAGAAAGTGGGTGAAACAGCCTAAACCTGTTCCTGCTGGGAGGATGCTACCTGAAACTCGTGCCCAGCTGGCGGTTCTCTAGGAGGCTCCATCCAAGGGATTTGAATTCCCACAAGCTCTCCTCCATTTAACAAGATTGAGAGTGAAAGTGAAAATGAGCCCCAAGCCCAGCCTTCGCGTGACAGCTGTGGTCAAAACTGCCGCTGTGACTGTCAGCTCCCCGGGCTGTGCGCAGAGCCTGCCGGGTGGTCCCAAGGGTCAATCATGGGGCTGGAGCTTGGGGAGGAAGGGGATCTCCACGCCCTCCCCCGAAGCCAGCTTGGGTGCAGGATGGATTCTGCACACTCCTTTCAAATTCCCCACTCTCCAGGAACCCTCCTGTCCCCCTGCCCTCTCTGCTCACATCATCTGCTGCCCTAGACTTTGGAGGCTTGAATTTCTGCACGAGGTGACTGCCAACAAATGACAAGAGCAGCCATTTAGTGAGCACGTAATTCATTTAATGGTGCTGAACACAGAGCAAGTGCTGCATGAGTATTTTGGTTAGGGTTCACTTGTACCTTTTAGGTTTAGCTCTTATGCAAAGCCTGTGGTTCAGATCCATGTGTCACCCTCAGGTCACTACGTCCCACTGCAGCAGGTATGGGGAGAATCATAACCATAACACCTTCCCTTGCAGTGAATTTCTCTCTCATATTTGTCTTTAGTTTGAACCACATAATAAATCTATAAGCGTATTATAGTTCCTATTCTATAGATGAGGAGACTGAGGCACACTAAGGGAAAAAGTGACAAGGAAGAGACTAGAGGCTACATCTGATTTTACACCAAGTATTCATCCCACACAATGAATAGCAACCACCGGATGTTTTTCAAGATTTGAGTGAAGGCCAGAATCAAACTGAAGACTATGTGTGTGTGTGTATGTGTGTTCATATTCAAAAACACTACATACACGCTACATGTATTATATATATTATATAATATACACACATAATAACATATAACATATAAGTATATAATAGGTAATTATATATTTTTATATTAATAATATAATATATATTATATATATAATATACACACATATACATACTTTCTATAAATCTACTCCAAAAGCTTCAAGGTCTCCCAAATATCACATGACCCGTAGCTAAGGCAATCCTGAAACCTGGCTGCTTGGGCTAGCCTGGGGACACACGAGGAGTCAGGAACTGGGCTGTTCCTTGGCACCCAGGGCGCTCGACCTCCTTCCTTGCAATGCTCTCTCCTTCTGCCAAAACTTATCTTTCTGATCTGCCTTTCCCCCCAGGATCCAGGGTGGTCCTAGGAAACCCAAGGAAACGCTTCCAGCTGGAGTGCTCGGAGGTGTAGGACATTGTTCTCTTCCCTTCCCGGGTCCTGTTGTTTTAGAACCTAATCAATAAAAATTAAGCTGGTGCCTGTGGGTCCTTGTCCTGTCTCCATCCAGGCCACTTTCATAGGTTGCCTCATTTTACTTTTTCAGTACTAGGGAGAAGAGTGGTCTTCCCATGGCGCGGATGAGGAGACTAAGGCCTGGAATGTATGTGGTACAGAGGTTGAGACCACGTCAGCCTGCGCCGTCTTCATCAGGCCCTCTGACACAACATTAAGGGCATGGCAAGGAGTCAGTTGCTCCGTGACCCTAAACCTCATCCCTCTGGAGGCTTCATCTCTGCTCTGGCTAAGAAATGCTCTGACCTTGGTAAGGAAGGGGGGATGGAATCCCAGCCACCTTGCCCTTGACCCCTATGAGTGGCCAAGTCGTAGCCAGGGTGGGCCTTTGGCCATGGGGGCAGTGCTCTCAAGCCTCTGGCTGCCCTGGGGCCTGGTGTCTAGGGCCTCACAGCTGCTAGGAGTTTGAGCCTTTGCTCAGACCCACACCATCAGCTAAGGAAAGCACCCACAAAGGCCAAGCTTCCAGTTTACCCCCAGCCACCACCACCACCGGCTGCGTCATCTCAGACCTTTTGATGCTGATTTCAAGCTCCCGGCTTTCGGGTGCCAGGGCCTTGGGGCTTCCAAGGCTGGGCTGGGGCTGCTGGAGGTGACTCAAGAGGTGTGCTCAGGGCTGCAGGCCCCAGCTGACTCCACAAGACAGGGCTCTTCTCTTTGTATGGAGTAGGGGTGTGACTGCCCCTACATAACCCTGTAGGAGGTGACAACCAGGGATTTGAACCTGTCCAAAGCTGGCTCTGCTCCCACGCCAGCAGACACTCTGTGCCCATTGTATAGAGGAGGAGACTGAGGCTGCATCTGAAATGGAGCGCCTCTTGCTGATCCAAATCTTGGTGAATCTCTCCCGAAGAGTCTAAGACCCTAACGAAAAGTCTTGGTAATTTATTTACTTATTGATGTACATTGAGGATGCCACTCCAAAAAGAGAGCAAGAATGATGGTGAGAGGAAGAGAGGGAAGAAGGAAAAACACAGGAAAAACCTCCCTGTAGAAGGTTTTTTGAATGTGGAAAGTGCCCTGTTGCAATGATGAGCATCCATTCTGCACAGGACATGCCCACTACCTGCGGCAGTGCCCACACCACCAGCTAAGAAAAGCACCCACAAAAGTCAAGCTTCCAGTTTACTTCTTTGGGCCCCTGAGCTATTGAGTCTCCAGGCCCATGGGTGACCTTCGTCTCCACCTCCTGAGTGAAGGGCCCTTCTGCTGCCTCCTGGCCCTGCCAGAGGCTGGCCCCTCCCCGCATCTGTGTGGCTCAGACACTCACAGCTCAGGACACAGGATTCCAGGCCCCTGACCCATATTCTGCCCAGGCACTACCAATGCCAGGATCTGCCATCTGTGCCAGTGACCAAAGGTGGGGGTGACAGGGGTGGACGGGGCTGGTCAGTCCACCTCTGAGCCTCCCCAGCACCCCTGCCCTAGCACAGCCCGCCTAGCCCTGTTCTGTCCTTTGGGCAGACAAAGACGGCGGACCCTCACCTTGGTTCCTTAGTGGCAGAAGACACAGGGGGTTCTGGAGGCTTTAACTCCAGGCAGCAGAGCGGGAAGGCTCAGGCAGGGCAGGGGGAATCCTCCATAGCCCCTCCTCACCTGCAGGGCTGGCTGGAAATCTTTTAAGTTAGATCTCACCCAAATCGGCGAGGTTCTTTTTCCTTTTTTATCCTCTCTCCTCTGAGTTCCCCTGACCCCGCCTCCATTTAAATCTTTCTCTTCTCTTTTCTCTGCTTTCCTCTCTCCTTTTTTACTCCTCTATGTCCCATTCTTTTTAAAAAACAGATAGTTTAGGAATTTCAATTTACCTTTATTTCAGCACCACCTCCCCAAAAACATTCCTCCCAACCACAAAGCTCTTAATAACTTCATTTATATTCCTGGGCGTTAATTATTCCAAACAATGGTGCTAAGGAAAGAGAACCACAGACACAAGCCACTCCTGTGACAGCTGGCTCCTGTGGGCAGCCTGATCCTCTGCAGCGCAGAAATGGAAGGACACTGGGCAGGCCCAGAGATATTTTTGTGCCTCCTTTGGGAAGGCTCTTTGGATCTAGCCTGTCCACAATATACGGGCACCTTATGATGCCTTGAGTGTGCCAGAGACATTTCCCCTGGGTGCACGATGGTCCTGTTTACCACTGCCACAGTACCTTGAGAGGCCACAGGACGCTGTGGCTTTGAATGTGGACCTTGCAGACCAAAAGGTCAGATTCCTGACTCCAACACTTGCAGCCGTCCAGCCTTAAGCAAGACTTTTAAGCTCTCATAACCTGTTTCCAGACCTGAAAATGGGAGTAACGATCACCTGTAACTCATGGTAGCCTTGACCGAAGTCAGTGAGAGAAATCTGCACACAAGCTTGGGCCAGTGCTCAACAAAGGCTTGCTGGTATGGCCTGTGTTGTTGTTCACTGTGAGGTCACCGTGCGTGGGTTAGACAGTGTCCCCCACCCCCGCCACCACAAGGCACTCATGACCCGGCCTGTTTGTGCAAGAACAGATGATGCAAACCAGCATGGCACCCAGCGGAGCTGCTGCCAGCTTCTTGGGGACGCTGTGCAGCACATGGGCCTGCCACCAGCTGTCAGGACCCGTCCAACTGTTTTGGAAGTGCCTCGAGCATCTGCCACTGTCTGCCTCATGGTGCTTCTGCCCAGGCAGAGGTCAGGGCTGTGGCGGGGGTGCTGGCCCCAGCTGGCTCTGCCTGCGTCCCTCTGAGCCCCCTCAAGCCCTCGCCTCACGAAACAAGCTTATCTTCAGAAGAGCATTCCTGTCCTGTGCAGGGGCTCAGCTTCTGCCCTGCTTCAGGCCTTCCTCATTTACCTGCCCTCCCTAGGAGTCACCAGCCTCCTTGCCTCCTCATTCCAGTGCATACCCCTGGCTTCCCGAAGAGCCACCGAAGCCAAATCTCACATCCTCCAAGGGGAATGGGCCACTGAAATGAAAATGATTCTCCACCTAGAGGCACCAGAAACCAAGTCATGTTTCTGGGCCTCCACCTCTGGGGCCTGAGATGTGAACACACGGGTGGGAGTGTAGGTGCCTGGCTGTGTCCCTTCATATCCCAGATGCTCAATGCATGTGGCTATGTGCATGCCGTCCTCTGCTCAAAAACTCTCAGAAAGTGTTCCAACTTCTTGCTTGGCCTGGAAGGATGTGCCTCTCCCTCTGGCCTCCCCTTCTAGCCTCACCCCCATTTTTCACATGCAGAACCCTTTGCCAGAGCCACATTTCACTTTCCATCATCACCCCAGGTCCCTTGACTTCCCTGCCTTTGCCCAAGCTGCTCCTCCACCTGGAGGTCTCTGTTTCCACCCTGAGGCATCCCACCCATCCTTTCAAAGGCCATGGCCTCCTTAAATGTGTCATGCATATGCGTGTGCACACACATGCATGGTATTCTTGCATCCCTGCATTCCACAGCTTTGTTGGATCTCACATAAATAACATTCCTCCATTTCCTCTCCTAATCCCCAAACAGTTGAAAGCAGAGCACATGGCACCTTGGCTGCTATGGTCTCCCACAATACCGTGCATGCCTAGGCACTCTGCAACAGCTACATTAAATTAACTCCCACTCATGAAAACCTCTATCTGTGCGCCTGGCCTGAAAGCATTTCTGAAAGTCACTTGTCTGACACAGATACCGCCCAAGACCTACAGACCCAACAATAGCATCATTGATAAGTCCTTTTGCATTTCCATTTTTAGAAGTGCACAGCAGAGTGATATTCTGAGCCAGAGTCCTCCAGAAGAATGGGTAAGTACATGCAAATTGCTGAGTCTCTGTTCATTGCATCCAAAACGAAAGTCACCAGCGTGCTGTATAACTCAAGAAAATACGAGAGAGAGGGAAAAGCAACATCACAGTTTGACTACAAGCGGTTTCCAGTAAGTACTGCAGCCGAAAATCCCCACCAGCCAAAGAATCTTTTGCAAGATCTGTATAAGAAAGTTGAAAGCATGCATTACCTGTTAGGCTCTGAAACAAGGGTACAATTCAGGGGTAATACAAAGGATTTTCTTGAAAGTGTCTTAATTCAGAACATGCTCCCCGAGTTTTCCTTCTGCCCTGGCCCCAAGCTTCTGGCTGCTCTGCCAGGCAGTTCTGAAACGCTGTCCTTTGAAGCAGGGAGTTTATTTTGGGGCCACCGCATGACCAACGTTGACAAGCCAAACTATAAGATGTTATACATCTCAGATTTCCTGTTTGGAGGTTGCACTGAGGAAGCTGCAATCCTGCCTTCCGTTCCTCCGGGTGCATCGAATACAGACTCTCACTTCAGAGAGGATCCCGGAGCTTTGGCCCTCACGTGATGTCATCATTTGTGATCCTTGACATGGAGGCCATATATGGGTATGTTTCTGGAACTACCCAGGGGAGAGCCAGACAGGAGAGAGATGCAGTGGGTCAGAGACAGAGGCAGGGAACGAGGACGAGGAGACGCATAGTTGGGAGACAAAGAGTGAGGAGCAAGGGAGGAGGAAGAAAGGGGAAGAGGAGAAGTAAAGGCAACAAAGGAGGGAAGGCAAGACAGCAGGAAGGAAGAGGATGGAGTGAAAGAGAAGGGAAGAAGGGGAGAGAGGAGATGAAGGAGTTGACGTAAAAGGGCTTTGGAGAAATCAAGGTTTGGTGCTGAGCTTGTGGCAGCATTTGGGGATAGCAGGTGTCTGGCTGCTGGATACTGTGGGGTGGGGCTGGGGATACAAAGGGCCAGGGTACAAATGAGCCAACAAACAAACACAGAGGCATGCGGGCAAGCCCTGGGCAGAGATATACAACAGAAGAGAGCCCTTCCTCCTGGTCTAGGGAAGAACGTCCCATTTCTGGAATAGGTCAAATGTCAAAGACAACACATACACAGCCACATGCACTGAGCATCCGGGATGTGACAGGACATGGCCAGGCACCTACTCTCCCACCCGTGTGTTCACATCTCATGCCTCAGAGTTAGGGGTCCAGAAACATGACTTGGTCTGTTCCTCTAAGGGGAGAATCATTTTTGTTTCAGTGGCCCATTCCCCTTGGAGGATGTGGATTTATGATGGCCACAGCATGATTTCTCACTGATTCAAACTCAGGAAACCTCAGGATGCCTTTACACGCACTTCGAATATTCCACAAGGAAATACATCTCAGTATACAAGGTGCCACGGGGTTGAGTCAAGGTTCTGGAGGTCTGACTGGTGCTAAAGATGGGAAGGACACCAGTGGTCCCCAGGCAGTCCCCCAGCTTCCCTGGTACCTGCCAAATTGCTCATCACCCCAGCTGGGTCAGTCTTCCCAGGCCACTGTGGCTGGGTGGCCCTCAAAGTTAGCTCAAGTTCAGCCCCTTCCAGACCCATGTGCTATGGAGGGAGTGTAGGAGAAGGGCAGAGAAGGGGCTGTCAGATTCTTTTTACTTTTTGGAGACTCTGCTACCCAGTAGGATGTTCCCCGAGAGACGTCTCTGTGGGACGGCTCCCCGAGGCCGGGCTGCTTTCCTGGGCTCCTTGCTGGAGGCAAAACACAGGTTCCTCTACTTCCTGCCCACCACCTGCCCCTTCCCAATCTGACCTGGAAGGTGGGCTGTGGCCAGGCCAGGCCCCTCCTAGGTTGCCCTCTGCCTCATGGGCATGCACACATGCACACACACACACACACATACACACCCCAAACTCCATCCAAGATGTGTCTATTCCTTCCCTCCCCTTGAATATGGGGTGGCCTAGTGATGGACTTAACAATAGAATGCAGTGGAAATGATGTCCTGAGACTTCCAAGGCTAGGTCATGAGATGCTTTGTAGCTGCCATGTTGTGAGGAAGTCCAAGCAAGCAACACCCAGGGCCCCCAGAGCATCTAGCACCAGGCAGAGGGGTGAAGACACCCTCTCGGAGGTGGATCCTTCACCTGCAGCTGCCACAGCTAATGCCACGTGGAGCAGAGACAAACCACCCACAACTTCCTGACCCATAAACCACAAGCTATGATAAAAGGATTGTTTCGTGCCACTGGGGATTGAGGTAGTTTGATATGTAGTAATAATCAACCCAGACACTCACCAAATATTCACTGCGGTCTCAGCTGCATGCTCCTCAGCTCTCGTGTGCTACCCGTGAACTTTTTTCTGACTTTCCACTTGTCTTTGTTTCCATTTAAAAGAAGAAAAACAGATTCAAACTAAATTTTTTTTTACCTCACTCTTTACAAAAGAATGTAGTCCCAAGTCATTTCCCAGTTCTTGGGTTTATCAGACCAGAAGCTCCTTTTGGCTGAGATTCTGTCTTACAGGGGAATTGTGGTCCCTCTAACTGGAGGGACTCTTGGCTATCCTGGTGTTCAGAGCCCTCATTTACTAGTTCAGGCCCCAAGAGGTTCTGTGCCTTCTCTGAGATCACCTGGCAATTTGGGGGCAGAATAATTCACACATTGAAAGCCATGCCAGTGGGAACCATGCCCCATGGGATCAGACGCTGATGTCCTAAAGCACAGACACTCTCCTGACAAAGGCAGGGACAGCGTTCAAGCATCTGACTCGAGCCTGTGGAGGGCAGGCAGTGTGACCCAGAGGAAAGAGAACTGTGCTGGGATCTGGCCCTAGCTGCTCATTAGAATCATATTACACTTACCTATGCCTGCCCCACCCCAGAGATTCTGATTTAAATAATCTGTGTCGAGGCCCAAACAGGACTGATTTTTAAAAACTTTTTATTAAAGTTCAGTATACCCACAAAAAAGTGCAACTTTCACATATGTACAGCCCAGTACATTTTCACAGACTGGACACACCCAACATCTGAATATTACAAGCACCTCAAGAGCTCCCACCACCCACCACCTCCTGCCAGGGGTGACCACTCTCCTGACTGCTAGCAGGACAGGTTCCTTTGAACTTCATGTGAATGAAATCATTGCGTCTCGTTTCATTTAACAACACATTGCGAGACCTGCCCATATTGTTTCATGGAGTTGTAGATTGTTATTTTAATTGCTGTGTAGTATTCCATGCTATGAATATATCACAATTTATTCATTCTACTGTTGATGGACATCTGGGTGGTTCCCAGTTTTGGGCGATGATGAAGAGTGTAGCTATGAACATTCTAGTACATGTCTTTTGGTAAATATTCATACTCCTTTCTCTTGGGTATACACCTAGGATGGGGATCACTGGGTCAGAGTTTAGGTCTTCTTTCAACTTGAGTGAAACTGTCACATGGCTTTCCAAAGTTGTGTCAGTTTGCACTCCCATCAACCAGGCATAAGAGTTCCAGTCACTCTATATCCTTACCAACAATTGGTAGATTCCATCTTTTTTCTTTTTTTTTTTGAGATGGAGTCCTGCTCTGTTGCCCAGGCTGAAGCGCAGTGGTGAGATCTCGACTCACTGCAACCTCCACCTTCTGGATTCAAGCGATTCTCTTGCCTCGGCCTCCCAAGTAGCTAGGATTACAGGTGCCCACCACCACGCCCAGCTATTTTTTTTGTATTTTTAGTAGAGATGGGGTTTCACCATGTTGGCCAGGCTGGTATCGAACTCCTGACCTCAGGTGATCTGCCCGCTTCAGCCTCCCAAAGTGCTGGGATTACAGACGCGAGCCACCGCACCCAGCCTCCATCTTTTTTCATATTATCTATTTTGATGGGCATCCGTGGCATCTTGTTGCAGTTTTAATCTGCACACCCCTGATGACAAATTACGGTGAGCATTTGAGCAGCCCTGGCCTCAGTGATCTCTGGAGCCTTTCCGGGGTCCCTAACTTTGCACAAGGCCCACCAGCTACCCTGGGAACAGCCCTCCAGGGAGGGTTTTTGTGGGGAAACAAAGGGAATAGAAGGGGAATAAAAATGCAGAGGCAGAAACTATGCAACTGATCAACCTGCAAGGGAGTGGGAAGAAGAATGTGGCCACCACAGGAAAGCCCCAGGACTCACACCTGGAACCAAGGTGGGTTTCACTCTCCCAAGCCTAACTAGAACCTGCCCTCCCTTACTCTACCCCCTCACCTGGCATTATCCTCCCTGCTGACCTATTCTATATTTATCTCCCATATGTGCATTGCCTGTTTCTTCCATCTAGAATACTTTGTCCTTCTGTTCACTGCTGTGTGTCGGTGTCTATAGCAGTGCCTGGCACATAAGAGATGCCCATTCCATAACTGTTGGACATGTGTGCCCACACTCAAGCCCACAGTCCCTGAGGCAGAATTGGGAAGGGCCTTGGTTCTGCCTGCCAACCCGAGCCTGGCCGGTGGCTACAAAGACACACACACACTTTAGGTCTCTCCCTTCCAGACATCCCTCTCTGTTTATGTCAGCCTGAATGCCCAGGAATAAAGGGGTGCATGTATGTATTGGAGAGGCCATTTGCAGGGCCCTATACCTAGTCGGGTCTAGGGGGAACCAAGACCAGCACATGTTTCTGTGACAGTGACACCTCTTCCAGAAGGAGGGAAGGAGAGTGGAGGAGGAAGAGCCAGCCAAGAGCCCCCGGGAGCTGAGCTGTGAGTCAACGCCAAGTCCTGGGCGGACTCCAGCCCAGCAATGGAACATCATCCGCTAAAATAAGCACCCCTGCGATCCTGGCGTCCTGGCTCCCAGCCCTGGCTGCCTCTTGCTGTCAGTTTATTTTGGTTTCAAGTAACCAAGCTGAAGATGGACAGACAAGAGTCTGATCCTCACCCTGGGCGGTGTTCTGAAGGGGGATGGGCAGAGGGCAGACTGCAGGGCATGGGGGAGGCCAGACAAAGGCCCCAAGTCCTGGGAGGGAGGAAGGAGCATCCATGGAAGGGGAGGAGAGGATCCAGGGAAAGAGTGAGACGTCCTCTCTTCCTTCTTCAAAATGGGCCTTTGCTCTGGAGCAATCAGGAACCAGCTCCCAGCTTACCTGCCAGCTCAGAGGGCCAAGCCAGGTCCCAGGGAGAGAAGACAGTGTTCCCCATTTATCGAGAGCAGAGCAAGGGCAGAAGCCACATGCCTCGGATGGGAGAGAAGGGGCAGGGCAGCCTTCCAGCCTATGGCACTCTACCTGTAGGGGGACACCCACTAAGGTGAGGATCCATTATCCAGCAATGTCCCCTAGGGACCGGTGAAGGGCTGCCCGCAGTTGGCTCAGGGTGGCAATGGAGGCCTCCCCTCCTGTGTCTCCTGCTGTGCCCAGGCCCCACTAGGCCTAACCCTGGCCCTGTTCTCTCCAACACCCACATGCATGTAGTGGGGGCACCAGTGGGATCTCATAAGCGTGTCACCCAAGTTAGCAGTTCTGAGGAGCAAAGTCCATTGCGGGACACTGGGCTGTTTGCAGCTGGCTGGGGGTTTCCTTCAGGCAAGAGTAGCTAAGAGAGAAGAGTGGGACAAAAAGAATGGGCAGAGCTATGACCTCAGCCTTCCTTGCAAGCCCCTGCTGTAAACCCCAACCCCTCATACAAATCTCCAGCCATCCTTGACTGGTAAGCTGCCTGATTTAGCCACTATCCCTTGACTGGTAAGCTGTCTGATTTAGCCACTATCCCTTGACTGGTAAGCTGCCTGATTTAGCCACTATCCCTTGACTGGTAAGCTGTCTGATTTAGCCACTGTGCCTGCCCATTCCAGCCCTTAGTAAGGACCTCTCCACAGCAGAAGCCCTGGCCTGTGAAGCCCAGGACTGTCTCTCATGAATACCTTGCCCCTGGTGGGAGTGCCTACTTGGTCCTGGGCTTCCCGCTTGGGAGTGCGCTTGGTAAGCCCGGTGCAGATGGTGTCTTCCTTGTTGAAGATGCCACCCATGTGCAATCCAAGTTAGCACCGCCCCATCTAGTTTCTAGTCCAGGCACTGGAGTCAGATGATCCCAGTCCATTCCTTGAATGCTGTGGGCCCCCAGCTATAGCCCTGCAACTCTCTGGATTCAGCTTCCTCTTCTGAAACTGGGGGAGTGATGACTCTCTCCCACGGTTGTTAGGGGGATTAAATGAGATCCCAGGACTCCGTAGGAGATACCCACTAATCATACCTCTTCCTCCCCACCTGCTGTCTTCAGGCCTTAAGCTGCACTTTCCTGGAGGCCACTGGCTCTATTGTCTAGCCAAGTCACTTGGCCCCTCCAGGGCTCAATCTCATCCTGTCTGAATCACCCTTGGGAACTCAGGGACAAAATTAAACCCTGAGTGGCCCACAGGCCCAAGTTAGCTGCTGGGAACAGGTTTTCCATGAGCTGGAGCTCTCTGGTGCCCTTTGGCTGGGGGGAAAGGCCTCTCCCACACCAGTCTAGAGTGCAGCAGCCCAGCCTCCTTCGCCAGGGATGCGCTGTGGCTGGGTCGGACCCTACATGTCCTGCTGGATGCAACAGCTCCGGGCCATGTGGGCAGAGCTGAGGTCAGACCAGTCTCCTCCAGCACTAACTGTGATTGGCAGTTGGGAAGGAGGGTGCCTCGTGGACACAGTCCCTGGCTCAGCCATTCTACAGCCTGAGCTCGCAGGGAGCAAAACGATTCACCTGCTCCAGACAGGCAGCTGTTACCCATTTGGCACCTGTAGTGGTGGGGGGTGCCTCCAGCTGGAGGGTAACTGCTCTGAGCTTCACTTTTCACCCTAGGCCTTGCTCCCCAGGTGTACTAGTCTATTCTCATGCTTCTATGAAGGAATACCCAAGACTGGGTAATTTATAAAGGAAAGAGGTTTAATTGACTCACAGTTCCGCATGGCTGGGGAGACCTCAGGAAACTTACAATCATGATGGAAAGTAAAGGGGAAGCAAAGACCCTCTTCACATGATGGCAGGAGAGAGAATGAGTGCCCAGCGAAGAAAGAAGCCCTTTATAAAACAATCAGATCTCGTGAGAACTAGCTCACTATCATGAGAACAGGACAGAGGAAACCGCTCCATGATTGAATTATCTCCACCCCGTCCCTCCCATGACATGTGGGGATTATGGGAACTACAATTCAAGATGAGAGTTGGGTGGGGACACAGCCAAACCATATCACCAGGGAATCCCAAGTGACTAGTGATGAGCATCGCAGAGGTGTCAGCCAGACCCTTGGTGAGGAAGGCCGGCATTCTGGGTGGGAGTCAGGGCTGAGATGCAGGGTTGGCTCAAGGGTCCTGATGACCTGAGGCTGGGCCATCTCTCCTTTTCCGTGCAGGTAGAAAGGGATGGGGCAGGCAACGCCCATTTACCAGCCCTCTCCTGGGATCTGGGCACTCGCACGGCCATCCTGCGAGGGAGGCTTTATCATCCTGATGTTACGGATGAGGAGCTGAGACCCTCATGGGACTTGCCCGAACTCGGTGATGGTGGGATCTCCATCCACACAGCCTCCGTCCACACAGCCTCGGTCCTGCAGAGGACTGAAAGATCAGAACAGCCAGGAATGTCAGACCTGGGAGCTCCTTGCAGTTCATGTTCCAACATCCTTTTCCTGAGGAAAGGGGAAGCGAATCTGGAGAATAAGAGGGGCTTGTCAGGCCTTTGTAGGAGCCATGACTTCCAGAAACCCACGGAGTGCTTTTCCATAGCTTCCTCCCATGATAATCTCATCATGCCATAGACCTTAAACCCAGGTTGTGGGGCACATTGGCAGGAACCTCACCACACTGGAGAAGGATGAGCCCAGACAGCAGGCTGGACTTTCTCATGGGCACATTCAAGATGCCTGCTACCCCCCGGAGACTCCCAGAAGTGCCTAGGGGTGAGGAGGTTGTGGTTTGCAATGGATCACAAGCCCCAGCAAGGATCCAGGGGCTTCAAGCCCAGGCATCTCGGGTGTCAGTGTCATTGTGCCTCATTGTTCCCAACCACAGGAGGTCAGGCTGGGGGCCACTCCCAGCACAGACTTGCTGGTAATGTGACTGCCCCAGATCCCTCTTCAGAACCCAGTGGCTAAGAGCCTAGAGTCTGAAGTCATCTGCCAGCTCAACCACTTGCTAGCTGTGTGACCGTAGAAAGTCTATTTAACTCTCTGCCTTGGCTTCCTGATATACATTGCAGGGAGGAGGAGAATAATATTATCCATAGCTCACAGGAAGTTTGCAAAGATTAAATTATATGACGTAGTACCCCAAGCATTCTGTGTATATATATGTGTGTGTATATATATGTATACACTCATATATATACAATTGCGTATATATTAATACAATATATACATAAGATATGTTATCATATATAATTTATATATAGTATTCATATATTTATATATCCGTATATGTATGTTCATATTCATATATGTATATATCCCTTAGAATAAAGACTTATAAATGTTAGAGGTTGTTATTAGCTTAAACTTCCTGACAGAGACAGAGGGGATGGTGGTTGGCTGGAGACAGTGGTTCTTCATTGGGGACAATTCCTGAAGACATTTTGGGTTGCCACAACTTGGGGGAAAGGGGAGGATGCTCTTGGCATCTAGTGGGCAGAGGCCAGGGGTGCTGCCAAACATCCTACAATGCACCAGGCAGGACCCATGCCTGCCCGCCCCCCGCCCCATGGAATTAGGGCCCAAATGTCCACAGTGCCATGGGGAGGAAGCCTGGCTGAAGAGCAGGGGCAGTGGAAAGTGGCTCTTAGGGAGTAGAACGGGGCATGGGCCAAGCTGACAAAGGAGTAGGTTTGGATTTCGGGAATAGCTGCCACCAGGAGAACTGAGTGGATTTCCACCGCCTTGTGACTGTTATATAATGGGATGATTCACTGAATGGGGCTCGTAAACCCGCTCTGAAGGCCACCAGCAGGGGGACACGTGGCTGTGGTTTGAGCAGCACAGAAAGAACAGCCATAGTGACCATGTGCAGGTTGGGGTCCTCCTTTAAGCAGGAAAGGGGAGCCCTAGGCAGGTCTCAGCCCTGCTTGTAGCTGGTGCATTCAGACACACACACACACACACACACACACACACACACAGATGGTGCTTAGCTGACAGCACACCACACACGCATAGTTTACATTCTTTAAGTGAAGAGGTGGATTTAACCCACCAGTTAGTATGACAGTGGACAAATGAACTAGTCTTTTTTTGAGACAGACTCTTGCTCTGTTGCCCAAGCTGGAGTGCAGTGGTGCGATCTTGGCTCAATGCAACCTCTGCCTCCCAGGTTCAAGCGATTCTCCTGCCTCAGCCTCCTGAGTATCTGGGATTACAGGCATCTGCCACCACACCCAGCTAATTTTTGTATTTTTAGTAGAGACGGGATTTCACCATCTTGGCCAGGCTGGTCTCAAACACCTGACCTCAGGTAATCTGCCTGCCTTAGCCTCCCCCAGAGTCCTGAGATTACAGGCATGAGCCACCGCACCCAGCCGAACTAGTCTTCTAAAAATAGTGAGTACCTACCTGTTGAAGTCTCCTGTTTTCTACAAATACAACACTCCATCTCTTTCTTGGAGCACATGTGTGCAGGTGTGTGTGTGGTTGCCCCAGTGTACACGTATGAGCACATGTGAGATGTGTAAACTAACAACTCTACAGGCATGTGAGGCACCTCACATGTTGGAAAGGACTTGAGCCTAACCACCAGTGTGCTGCTCTTCACCCTTCTGGAAAGTTCTGACCCTATGCAAACCTTTCCCCTCTCCAGAGCCCTGAGAAATTGAGGAAGGGAGTGGACTGTGGAGCTCTTAGGAATACAGGCCCTTCCACACTCTGAGTGCCTCTGAAACCAGATGAGCAACTGAAAGTTGCTGCATCCACCAATCTTTTTTCTCTGAGAATAAAAATTCTAATCATAAGTCAGTTGGAATTTAAATCAAGCATACCTAAATATTTTCAAAAACAGAAATAAAAGATGGGATAATTATTTTGGAAGAGTTTGTGAATCCTGGGATGCAACCTCCTGTTCCACATCATTTCAAAATAATTGGTTGTTGGATAAAATTCAGCCTCTGGGCATGGTGGCTCACGCCTAATCCCAGCACTTTGGGAGGCCGAGGCAGGAGGAGTTTGAGACCAGCCTGAGCAACCTGGTGAAACTCCATCTCTACAAAAAGCATACAAAAATTAGCCAGGCATGGTGGCATGCACCTGTAGTCCCAGCTACTCAGGAGGCTGAAGTGGGAGGATCACTTGAACCCAGGAGGCAGAGGTTGCAGTGAGCTGAAATTGTGCCACTGCACCCCAGCCTGGGTGACAAAGTGAGACCCTGTCTCAAAAAAAAAAAAAAAAAAAAGAATTCATTTAACAAACATGTTTGCTGCCAACCTTTGTGCAGACAGGTACTCTCATACACACTCGTGCACATGCATGGTCTTGTACGCACCTGGTAAGGTGACCTTCCAGGAAGCTCAGGGCCCCCTGATATGAGCTGACACTGGGTGAGGAAGGTGAGGGCATGAAAAGAAAGGGCGTTTGATATTGATATTTCTCGTGGTCCAAAGTGGCCATCTCCCCTTCACAGCTAAAAGATGGAAGCACAGAGACTTGAAAATATGTTTCTAGGTTCAGTCCGTTAATGCAGTGTCCAGATTTCTTTCTGTCTTTCCTTGCCCTTTCTCCCTTACTTCCCACTTTTCCTGGTGCCACTGAAGCCAGCCACATCCCCTCCAAACTGCACTGTCATAGCTCCTGGCCTGGCCCCTGAAGAGCGTGTGACCTGGGCAGTCACATCGACAGCCAGGGCTGTGCCCTGAGGGTGGATACACTGCAGCCCACAGGGCACTGCCAGCCCCGGGCTCTTGGGACGAGTGCTGACTGGATGCTAGTGCAGGGCCTGCCCGTGGCCCTCCTGGTGTTCCAGCTGGCCTCTCTGTCTTTGCCCTGCCCTCAGGGCCTCTGGGTTTATATTTCACAGCACTGCCTGGCCCAGTGGGATCAAATGTCTGCCGTGCCACACGTCCCAGGAAAGGACTGCAGAGGCCTTCAGATGATCTCCACGCTGCAGTACCCAGAGGTCTGGTTTCTGACCCAGGTGCCTGTCCAACCCAAGGGCTGCCGTGCATTGCCTTTTGGGAAAGCCTGGCCTGGAGAGAATCAAAGCAGGTGACTGCATTTTGCCAGATCTTCTTGGTAGGGCCTCTGCGGCCTGTGTGGTCAGCCCCAGACGACTTGCGCAGCCTCCTCTTCCTCGTGGCTCTGCCTCTGCCCCACCGTCTGTCCATCTGTGTCTGGCCTGTTGAACCCTTTTGGGCTTGGAATGCCCTCTCCCTTGGGCCGTCTGGGCCCTGGGAGTGGCTGGCGTGGGGTTGGTGTGGGCACTGGGCCAGCAGCCTGGCTCCCTTCCTCTTCCCTCCACTCTCTGGAGGCGGGCAGCCCCAGGTCCTCACCTGTGACGCAGGAGTCAGGACTGCAGCAGCTTCCTAACGGGCGGGAGTGAGGCTTCAAAGAGGTAACACTCCAGCAAGTCCGTGACAGGGGCTGCAGGAGACGAGTGCCCAGAAAGTGGAACTATTATTATTTTTATCCTCAAGGCACAAATTAAATGCCATGAGCCCTGCTAAGTGCCAGAAGCAGTGTCAGCTCCTGGAATATAGACTTCCTACCCACAGGAGGTACAGCCTCAGGGAGGACAGCGCGGGAGGGAGGTGGGAAGGAGGGAGTGGGGGAGGGGAGGGGCCAGGGAGAAACAGTAGGGAGGTGGGGCATCTGGAAGGAGGAGTGAGAGGAGGGGTGAGGCCAGAGAGGAGAAGAGGGGTGGGGCCGGAGAGGAGAGGAGGGGATGAAAGGAGGGGATGGGAGGAAGGGGGTGGAAGGAGGGGTGAAGGTCAGGGAGGAAAAGTGAGTGGTAGGGGAGTCTAGAAGGAGGAGTTGGAGGAGGGGTGGGGCCAGAGAGGAGGGAATGGGAGGAGGGTATGGGAGAGGGGATGAGAGAGGGGATAAGAGAGGGGATGAGAGAGGGGATGGAAGGAGGGGATGGGAGGAAAGGATGGAGGAGGGGATGGGAGGAGGAAATGGGAGGAAGGATGGAAGGAGGGGAAGGGAGGAGCAGATGGGAGGAGGGAGAGGAGGGCATGGGAGAGAGGACAAGAGAGGGGATGAGAGAGGGGATGGGAAGAGTAGATGGGAGGAGCAGATGGGAGGAGAGGATGGGAGGAGGAGATGGGAGGAGGGGATGGGAGACAAGATGGGAGGAGGGGATTGGATAGGGGATGGGAGGAGGGGATGGGAGACGGGGTGGGAGAGGAGATGGGAGAGGGGATGGGAGGAGGGGATGGGAGAGGGGGTGGGAGGAGGGGATAGGAGAGGATGGGAGAGGGAATCGGAGGAGGGGTTGAGAGAGGGGATGGGAGGAGGGGATGGGTGGAGGGGATAGGACGAGGGGATAGGAGGAGGGGTTGGGAGAGGGGCGGAAGGAGGGGATGGGAGAGGGGATAGGAGAGGGGTTGGGAGAGGGGTGGAAGGAGGGGTTGGGAGAGGGAATGGGAGAAGGGGATGGGAGGAGAGCATGGGAGAAGGGATGGGAGGAAGGGATGGGAGAGGGCATGGGAGGAGGGGATGGGAGGAGGGGATGGAAGGAGGAGATGGGACGAGGGGATGGGAGACGGGATGGGAGCAGGGATTGGAGGAGGGAATGGGAGGAGGGGATGGGAGAGAGGATGGGAGACAGCAACAGCAGAGCCTTAAACCAAGCACTTCTGAGTGCGGGACGCTGTGTGCCTGCAGATCCATGAGATCCTGATACAAAGAGATTGTGTAAACTGCAATGTTTGGGGTCCATGCGAGAGATGGTGAGAGAGGGCAGGGGAGTCTCAATGAACACATGGGTAAATAGCACCCACCTTATGTAAAGTCAGGCCTCATCCTCCAGCCAGAGTTACTGAGATGCTTGACAGCTGCCGCAGACCCTAGGGAGTTAGATTGGCTATCCTCAAAATGGCCAGCCATCCCTTTAACGCTGTCCCAGACACCTGGCTCCCAGGTCAGAGGCATTGCAGCCCAGGACCCAGGATAAGAAGCACAGACTGTATGAAAATTTCGGGCTGCTCTGTGATGCAGTGACATCCAGCACTGGGTTGGATGTCAGAACACACCACTTGCCTCAGTTGTCCAGTCCCATGCCTCTCCCTAGAGCAGATGCTGCTCAGAGCGTGGTGCTCCTATACATGCAGGAGCCATCAGTGGCCCTGGCATGCTCAGTGGGGCACATGGATGGCCTTTCTCCTCCACACCCTTCCTAGGAAGCCATCAGGATTTCATCCAGATGCAATGATTCTCCTGGCTTTGGGATACTTAGAATTGAAAGAGGTCAAATAATAGCCTTCAAACTCACATTGACCTTGTTCCTCATGCCCACCTGGGTCCCCAGGGCCCCCAAGATCAAAACCCAAGATCAAGACTCATTCTTAGTGAGTCTTGTAGGTCTTAGAGGGTCTTTGCTGAACCAGCCCCGATGTGCTGTAGGTTAGAAGCCTGGGAGGGCTCCACTGGGTTCTTTTCTTTGGGTCCCATTAGGCTGAAGTCAAGGTCGGGCCTCTTATCTGGAGGCCCTGGGGAAGAATCTACATTCAAACTTACTCAGGTGGTTGGCAGTGTTCAGTTCCTTGCAGCCGCAGGCCTGAGATCCCTGTTTCCTTTCTGACTGCTGGTCGGGCCTGTTCTTAGCTCCTAGTGGCTTCTCTGGTCTTTGCCCTATGACCCCTGCCATCTCAGCAATGAGAACCTCTGTTCTCTATTCCCATTGAATCCCTCTCACCCATTCAATCTCTTACTTCCTCTTCTACCAGCCACAGAGAAAATGCTCTGCTTTAAAGGGCTTGTGTAATCAGTTAGACCCGTGGGTAATCTTCCTAGTTCAAGGTCAATTGATTGGTAAACAACATCTGCAAAATCCCCATTGTCATGAAAGGTGACATGATCATAGATGTGACTGCTCACCACATTCACAGCCCCAGGGACTAAGGGGAATCCTGGGGGCTTCTTAGATCTGTTTCTTTCCTAGACCATCTCGAGTCTGTTTCCTTCTCGGCTTTCAGAGTACCACTCTCCTGGTCTTCCTCCTTCTTCACTTCACCTCCTACTTGACCTCGTTAGCCGTGTTCTCCTACCACCATTAAGAACATCAGGAATCCATAAAAAATGATAAGAAAGAGGGCTGGTCCAGGCCACCCAGGGATCTGGCAGAAGCCACCCCAGCCTGGAGTGGACTGAGCCACTCTCAGTTCCTGCTCCAGGCCAGCCTATTTTCCAGGAGCTGGGGACATCTCCTTCCAAGCCCAGTAGATGGAATGACTGCCCAAGGTCAGGTAGTCCCATGGGAGATTTTGGGAAGCTCCGATTCACCCTCTAGTGGACTGTGAGGGGGCAGCTCTGACAGATTGGGGTGCACATTGGGGTGGGTGAGCCAGAATTGGCCCTTTCTCCAGCTTGGCTGGAGAGCATTCAGGAGAGGCCTGGCCTTTGGGGCAGAAAAAGGCCACAGATGCTAGATCTGGGAGTGGTCCTGCACCAGGCATGATAATAGTGACAATAGTGATGTCTTTTGAGCACTTTCTTTGGGCTAGATGCTGAATGCTTTACGTATACCAGCTAATTTCATCTCCACAGCAACCCCAGGAGGTAGGTAATATTGCTAATCTCATTTCATGGAGGAAGAAACTGAGGCTAGGTGAGGGTGAGGGACTTGCCCAAGGCCAGGCAGCTCATGACTGATGAGAGCTGCCAAGGGGTGCCTGACCTGCCATTAGTGTTCTTTTCATGCTGAAGCACGACTCTATCAACCTTCATGCCAACATTAAGAAAGTGGTTTTAATAGGAAGAGACTTTCTGTGTGGGAAGTTGTTAAACTAGGACTGAGGCAGGGGACACCGGAAGAAACTTATTTGGATTCAATACAAGAAAGGGCAGATGTTCTAGTGGTCACAGTGACCCAGAGGTGGATGAGGAGGCTACCGTGGGAGGGGATGAGCTGCCCATCACTGAATATATGAAGTGAAGAGGCCATTCTCATTTACTGAGATCCTAGTATGACAGACACTGTGCTGAGTGCCTTACCTATGTCATCATTAGGCCCTCACAGCTCCATCACATAGGCAATGTTGTTGTCCCCCACTTACAGACGAGGACACAGAGGCTCAAAGAGATTGAGTGATTCATGATGGCTACACAGGTGGTTGGTGCGAGAATCGTGACTCAAACCCAAAGCCGTGCATCTCCGAAGCTCTGTCTGTATGCATACATCTATCGAGCGCCTGCTGTGGGTCCAGTACTATTCTTCTAGACACGGAGACTCCAGCAGGGACAATTCGGTCCCAGTCCTTGACCTCATGCAGATCACATTCCAGTGGGGAGGGAGAAAATCCACAGGAAGGAGTGCTAAAATAGAGCCACACAGGGGTGAGGTCATCAAGGGTAAGCTGCGGTTGCGGTACCTGAGATGGTCAGGGAAGGCCACTCTGAGGAGGAGCTGGGATCTGGAAGACCAGAGGGAAAGAGTGCTATGAAGAGCTTGGAGACTTGTGCTCCAGGCCGAGGGAACCACAGGTGCAAAGGCCCTGCGGCCAGGAAGGAGAACAGAAAAGCCACTGTGAGAGGAATAGGCAAGGAGGAGCCAGGGCATCTGGAGCCTCATCAGCCAGAATGTGAACTTCATCTGTCATGTTTTAAAGTGGTGGTGTGCTGTAGCCAGCTCAGACCAGCTCATAAGAGCCAGTGTTAAGTCTTCAGGCATTTTGCAAACAGGTTGTTAAATTGTGAGTAGCTTGAAATCAGCCATGGCGGGCGGATTGACACCACAGAAACTGATGAATGCCATACATCTTGGCTTTTCTCCCATTCACTGTTGACCTGAACATCACTGGTTTTGGCAGGGAAATGCGGAGATCTGGTTTTCGCTTTAAGACGAGCTCTCTCTGGCTGCCAGGTGGAGAGTGGCCCGCAGGGGACAGGAGCAGAAGGAACAGCAGGGAAGGCCAGTGCTTGCTCCAGGTGGGACCAACATGGGCCAGCGAAGAGAAGTGAAGAGATTCCAGAGACTTTGGAGGCAGAGCTCACAGCCTTGCCGGGCCAACCCCCACCAAGAGATTCATAGCAGGAGGTGACAAGGTGGCATGGAGGGGCATGACTTGAACCCAGGCCTGCAGGGTCCCTAAATTCATTCTGTGCCCCACACCTCAGTGATTCTTCCTAGGAAGGTGATGGTTCTGGGACAGAAGAAAACAGTTGATGATGCCCTGGCTGCCCCTCAGCCCTGGTTCCCTCTGGTCAGAGCAGCCCCTTCCCACACTGCCTCTTGGGAGGGCATCTCCTCTGAGCTATTCCAGGGAGGTGAGGGGTGGCAGGATGTCAGTGTCATAGACACCGGAAGGCCCAGAACTCCACTGTGGCCCCTCGGACCATGACCAGAGCCTCCATCCTCCACCACGGGAAGGCCCTGTCTTGGGAGAACTGAGCTGGAGACAGCCTTACAGTGTCCTAGGACCTGCTTGGGTGATTCCCCAGCTCTGGGACCTGGAGCTTTTCCTGGTGCAGAGCAAGGATGAGGGTAGGGGCACAGGGAAGTGGGTGCTGGGCCAGGCTGAGGGCCTCAGAGGAGGTGGGGCCCCAGCACAGCTTCCTGGGCCCAGGATGCCCTGGGTTTTCCTCTTGTGCTAGAAATGGAAGGAGGGGATAGAGGTAGACTGCTGAGATTCTGTCTCAACGGGGGAGGAGCTACGTCGTGCCAGGTCTTAGTAAAATTCTGGCCGAATCAATAGGCCAAGTTTGTCTCCCTTGCACCCTCTCACCTCTTCCCACCAGAGCCACCTTTGCCAGCCAACCCCAGCAACCTCTGCTGAAGCTCCTGTGCTCTTGCATTAGGGGATCAGCCCATTGTGATCCTCTGGAGGGGGAGAGAAGAGGTGGGCAGGAAACAAAACTAACGCCCATCGAATACCTACGACGGGTCAGCTCTGGGCTGCTTGCTTTCCTAAAGGGTCAGAACAGATACTCTCTTAAAGAGTTGTACCAGTTTAAAAGTTTCCGCTTTTCCCTGCCCCTAAGACATAAAATGTTCGTTCATATCTTTCTAGACTTTCTCCTATGCACACATGGGTTAACTCTACAAAAACGAGAAGATGCTAAGTGTTGTACGTGGACTATCTCGTTTAATCCCTGGGTGCTATTACCCACACTTTGCCTTTCAGGAAACTGAAACTCAGAGAGGTCAGTACTTTTCCTGAGGCCACACAGCTGGTAGCCCTGCCTCAACCCGCAGCCCCACTCTGCATCCTGAGCGTCAATGGCTGAGGAAGGGCCGGCCTTGGCCCTGTTTAGGGGCATTTGGGGCTGTAGAGCAGATGGGGTGAATTCTGCAGAAGGCCTGATCAGGCCCTTCCTTCTGCTGTGCCTGGTGACCCAAGCCTGGGGGCAGATTCCAGCCCCAGGAGTCCTTGTTAAGGTTTTTGAAAAGGGGTCCTATTGCCATTTAATTGCAGCTCTGTCCTTGTAGCAGGTTCCCAGCTCCCAAGATTCCCAGCTGCCTGTAACAGACAGACTTGCCTTGGATTTCTCTTGTCCAAGGCCCAGGGGGTAGAGGCTAGTCTGGGAGGTGAGAGACCTGCGCCCCTCACCGCTGTGGAACCTTGGCAGCTCCTGTCTCTCTGCCTTGATCATTTCTTTTCTTCTTAAGTTCCTTTCACCCTCCATGTAAGTGCTTGAGTCTTCCCCTAATTAGGGAAGGGTGGGGTCTGCTGGTTGAGTGAGGCTGGGGAAGGGGGAGGAAGAAGAGGAAGAGCCAGGGCGGTGAAGAGGGGTCTGAGGCAGGCCTGTGGGTTTTAAGGAGCAGGATGGAGAATAACTACATCTGGAATCCCTGGACCTGGGTCCACATCCCAGCGTGGGTCGTATGCAGTTATGCAGGATCTGTACTCGCAAGAGTCCACATTTGGCTTTATCTTCTGCTATTGCATCTTGAAGTTCTTAATAATTTTTGTGCAAGGAGCCCAGCATTTTCATTTTGTACTGAGCCCCACAAACTGTGTAGCCAGCCCTGTTACCTTGTATTAACTGTGTACCCTTGGGCAAGTTACTTCGCCTCATAGACTCAGTTTTCTCATCTGCAAAATGGAGCAGTGCTACCACCACCCTAGAGGACCGTTCTGAGAATGAAACGAGAGACTCCCAGTAAAGAGTCAGGCAGTGGCAAATCCGTGATAGGACTCAATCCCTGGTGCTTGTGACAGTCACTCTTTAGGGGCCTGGGTGGGAGAAACGGCTCCCAAGGAGCTGCAGCCTCTCCCAGCCTTGTCTGTGTGTTCTCTCAGTGCCTATGGGACACTTCAGGCCAAAAATGAAATTGTCACTGGAAAACAAATAGTGCCACCATCCCCACTCCAAACCTACCTGCCCACCCCCACCTATGGGGTCAAGTGGTTTACAGCCTTGAACTTCTAGGAAGAAAAGTCCTGGAATTTTTGAGCGTGGGAAGGGACGAGGGTCTGGCGAGCCTTCTCCAGCATCTGCTTCCGGCCAGAGGAGGGTCAGTGGTCTGACTGTCCCCAGTGAAGGTCCCATAACCAGAGGTGCTAATGGAGTCTTCCCCAAGAACAGCCTCCCGCTGTGGGACCCCCTATCCATCACTTTCAAGGTCCTAACCACTCAACCTCCCAGATGGTTCTGGATCTTGACTTTCTGGATTAATATCAAAACTATTTTGGGCAAGTTACTTAGCCTCTCTGGGCCTCAGCTTTGCCCTCTGTGAAATAACAGCTTTGACGTCGGTGTGTCATGAAGATGAATGAACCCCTGCATGGAAGTGCTTAGACCTGAGCCACACAGACATGAGTCACTCCCGCTGCCACGCTGCCAGCCTCACCGCCACTCTGAGCCAGACAGCATGCTCAGAAATGCTCTGACCATTTCTGAGTGGGCAGAGATGATGATGAAGCTGCCTCCTCCCTAAGCAGGCTGCTTTCTGAACCAGCTTCGGCTCTCACCCTGTGACTCCTTCCAGAACTTGTTGGAAGCCAGCACTTACTGAAAGTTCCCAGGCATCACGGTGGCCAGGAACTGAAGACTTGGGGGTGATGGGGTTGTACCAGTTATAGGGCTGCGAGGGAAACAAGGCCCCTACAGAATGGTACCCTGGACCTATCCGGAGCTGGGGATGCAGCCCAGTTGTCCCTGAGCCTCCTCAGCCTGTTGTCCCTGAGCCTCCATGGAGGAGCACCTGTGGGTTCTGTTGCTCAGCTGTCCCGATTCCTTGGGAACAGCGCCAGGGTTTGCACTGGGAAACTTCCGGGCCCCAATGCGGGCTCTTAGGATATGACTGTCAGTCAAGCCAAGGGGTGGGCACATGGCCCAGGCTCAGCCAATTGGGCACCCTCTCTTGATTCTTGAGAATGGAGAGGATGATGAAAAGGGGTTGGGAAGGATTCATTCTGGGGGCGCCTCCCTGAGTTCCTGCCGCATGGATCTCCAGGGCTGCCCTGAGCCCCTGTCCTCTCTGGATTTTCAGCTTTTCTTCTGATTCTGCACCTCCCTACAGCCTCCCATGCATCTCTCCTTGCCCAGAGTAGCCCGGACAGTCTCTGCTGCTGGCTGATACCCTTTGACTCCTGCCAACAGCTTCACCAGCCACGGTCCAAACCACTCCCACCCTGATCGCCCCCTTCTGCTTTGAAGGCGCTGCCTACGGTTTGCGCAGGATGTGCAAGCTGTTCCGTGCCTCCGAACCTTTGTCCCTGCCATTCCTTCTGCCAGAATGCCCTTCCCACCTTCTCCTTTCATTCTTATCCTCGTGAAACACCTCGGACACTGCTGACTCTGGGGGACTCCCCCACCCCTCCTTGAACTGGGCTGACTCCTTCTCTGGGCAACCCCAGCCCCTGAGCTCCTCTCCCTCTGCATCCACGTCCCCCACACCTGCATCCACCTCCCTCCTGAGTCTGAACCCAAGGCCAGAGCAAGGACCCTTCACCTTCATTCTCAGTCGGTGCTCAGCACATAAGCGAGGGGCTCTAGGACCATGGAGAGGCAGCCCTGGGCACCTGTCAGGGACTCCTGGGCTGGCTGGGGCTGATCTCACTGCCTGCTGGTAAGGGGTTGTGAGGGGGATGAGTCCAAACCCCTGCCCCTGCCCCTGAGCCCAGCCCCGACCCTGGCCCCAGCCCGAGCCTTTGATCCAGATCTTGCTCCAGCCGTGCCCCAACTCCAGCCACAGACCTGAACCCCCAGCCCTTGCTCTGCCCCTGCAGAGACCCCCGCCCTCCCTCATTCCTGGCCCCCACTCTGGCTCAGGCCCTGCCCTGGCTCCTGCCTCCTTCACCCTCTCTGGGGACCTTCCCCACCCACAACGTTCCTCCCAGTGGAGCCCACACTGAGCTGTGGCTTCCCAGGAGCCATCTGAGGTTGCCCAGCTCTGAGCCAATGGAAGCCTTTGAGGGGGAAGGCCAGGCCAGCCGGCAGGGTGGTGCGTGTGGTGGGGGTGGGGTGTCAGGGTGGGCAAGAGGCCCAGCCCTCCCCACCCCACCTTCCCCGGTGGCACAGGTCCAGTGGCTCCAACAGGAGGTTCACCGCCAAGCTGTAGGCAGGGGCAGTTCCCAGACATGGGTCCTTCAGCTTGCTCCCACCCCCTGCACGGAACCAGGCCTGGTCCTGAGCCATGGGTGGGGCTGAGCCTTGGGGGGGCTGATGGAGAAATGCCTGAGCTGCAGCCACCAAAATCAGGTGGGATGGGGTCAAGGGAGAGTCCCGGGACAGGTCAATTGGAACTGGGCAGCACATAAAGCAGACCAGCCTTGACAGAAAGGACAAAAATAGCCCAAGTCTCACATGGGGTTGCCAGTGCCCTTTCTCCCCATCTTCTTGGGAACGGGACTGGGAGTTGGGGGTGGGAGGTTTTAGGACCATGGAGAATCTGGCCCTCCACCCACAGGTGGATCCTGCAATGGACACATCATAAGGACAGAAGCCAGCATTGTGATGTCACAGCCTGGCTGTGGCTTTGTGCTCCTGGAGCTGTAGGTGAGTCAGCTAGGCCCCTTCCTCCTCCAGTGCCTGTCTACCTATGTTTGATGCTTGGGGCTAGAAAGACTGACCTTGTAGCCCCTCACCTTCTCTCCCCAATGCACTGGGCTGGTTCAGCAGCTGACCAATGAGGGTCATGCTTGCATACTGGCCTTGGGTGAGTGGCTCAGGAACAGTTTGCAAGACCGTGTTGAAGCTACTTGTAACTAGACCATTTTCCCAGCTTGACCATGAGCTTCTTCAAGGCATCTCTTCTCAGTCTCCACTGTAGCTCTGTAAGACCTGTATGAGCTCAGAGCATGTAATGTTGGTTAAGTGAATAAATGCATGGATGGGGGGTGGGTGGGCAGAGATGATGATGAAGCTGCCTCCTCCTTAAGCAGGCTGTTTTCTGAACCAACTCTGGCTCTGACCCTATGACTTCTTCCATCATTTATTTGAAGCCAGCACTTGTTGAAAGTTCCCAGGCATCTTGGTGGCCAGGAACTGAAGACTTGGGGGTGATGGGGCTGTACCAGTTATAGGGCCGCAAGTGAAACAAGGCCCCTGCAGAATGGCACCCTCAACCTCTCCAGAGCTGGGGATGCAGCCCGAAGACCTTGGACTTGGGATTTAATGAGCCCTGGGTCCTCATCCAGTCCTGCCAGATGACCTTAAGCTGCTCACAGCCCCTTTCTGAACCTCTGTCTCCTTTTCTGTGAGGTGGGGATGCTAACCCTGGCTTCCAAGGATCTGAAGAGGAAGCTGCGGCTGTGACTGTCCCTTTTCGGTCTGTCTTCATCCTGCCTGACTCACGGGTCTCCTGTCCTCCTGCATAGCTTGCGGTGGTGAGGTGATGGCAGCCATGGACACAGGCCAGAGAGCTGACCCAAGCAATCCTGGTGACAAGGAAGGGGACCTTCAAGGGCTGTGGCAGGAACTCTACCAGCTCCAGGCTAAGTATGTGTTGTCCCACCCCTGCCCCAGCCCCAGCCCCAGTGCTTCCCCAGTGGGCTAAGTGGCTGGACTTAGCAAACATGTCCCCGAGGAGGCCAGGACAGGGGGTGGATGAGGAGGGCAGTGTGGCTTGGAAGCAAATGGGCGGGGTGGGGCTGAGCAACAGCTGTGACGGGAGAGAGAAGAGGTGTGGCTATTGCCCTTTGGCCTGAGATCTTGGGCCAGTCCCGGGCCCTCTGCAGGCTGAGCCTCTACATCAGGAAGGAGGACTGTGGGTGACCATCCGTCTGCACCTGTCCACTCGGCCCCTCTAAGGCCAGTCTACGAGGTTGCCGCCTTGACTCTTAGTGGTGACCCTGGGTCCTCACCCCATGGGGATGGGAGGTTGGGGAGATAAGACATTTCAGGCTACCCACAAAAGCCTGAATTCGATGCAAAAGGATGTGTCTATGCAAAGTTTTATGAAGAAAAGAGCTGACCCAACAGATTCAGAGGCCTTCCTGATCCCAATACGGTTTAGCACTGTCACGGCTCACAGGGCCCCACGTGGTATCTGTGGGAAGGATGATGTTGTCCTGCACTTTTCAGAATCATACGGATGAGAGAGGGAGGGCCCAGAGAAGCAGAGGGGCTTGCCCTGGGCCACTCAGAAACCCCCAGCACAGCCCCTGTTGGACAGTCAGAGTGGCTTGGGAGCTTGGCCAGCTGGCCAGGCCAAGCCCCACTCTGGTCTCTGCCCTTGACTGCTGACCTTGGCTGGGTCCAGAGCAGGTGACCTGTTGGTGACTTGCTTAGGGATTCCCCAAAGAGTCAAGTATGGTCAGGCAATAGCACGTGGCCGCCTCCCCTCTGGGGGCTGGTGGGGCCCCCACCTCTGATGGAGTGCCCCCAAGGCACTGGGAGCCCCACGCATGACCCTGGCCAGCAGCTCACATCATCCCTGCTGTAGATGGGCAACCCGGGCACAGAGAGGTGAAGCAGCTGGCCCCACGTCACCAGCTAATAGGGGCCGGCCTGTCTCCTGAGATGGCAGCCACCTGCACAGCCTCCAGGGGAGGCACTGAAGACTCTGGCCAGAAAGGCTCAGCCTTCATTCTCCCCCAGATACCTTCTTTGCTGCCTGGGAGATGCTGCTATGGGCGTTTATTTGATCTGCTTGTGGCTCAGTTTGCTCAGCAGTGAAATGAAGGTGCAGAGACTCCTAAGTCTATGGCCAACTGATAAAGTGGTACGTGGCCGGCCCAGTGCACGTCCAAGCAGGAGATCACAGAGGGTGGTCCAGGTTCATTCACAGGGGGTCCTGCGTGACCTGGGAGCCTCCAGGCCATGTTCCTGCATCTGGCTCTACAGGCAGAAGAAGCTCAAGAGAGAAGTCGAGAAGCACAAGCTTTTTGAAGACTATCTGATTAAGGTCCTTGAGAAAATCCCCGAGGGTATGTACACAGCTTCCTCGGAAAGCCCTTTCTCTCCACAGCCACCTACTGGCTGCAGGACTGCGACACCGTGTGTGGCCTCATGGAGCCACGAGCTGCTCATCTACAGAATGGGAATCCACAAAGGCCAACCCCACAGTAGTGGGGAAGGGCTCAGGCAGCCGAGTCTGACTGCTTGGTCCCAACTCCAGCTCCACTGTCGCTAACAGTGTGGCCTCTGGCAAGTTCTCAAGGCCTTGATTTTCTTATCTGTACAATGGGAACAGCAATAATTATGTGGACTAGATGAAGTCATCCTTTATAAGCACAGCACAGGGCCCCACATTTAGCTAGTACCTGGTAAACGTTGGCCATTATTATTATTATTTTGTTTGTCTTTGGTTTTGTGTTTTTGTGTTGCTATTATTAACTAAGAGTATAAGGACATCTGAGATGAGGTTTTCTGTGTTGTTTTATGAGTACTGGAAACTCATTGGAAAAGGGAAGGGGAGTCACACATATTTATTGTTATCATTATTATTTCAACACCATCAATAATAATTATTACCATTTATTAAATATGTACCCTGTGCTAAGCTCTTTAGCAAATCTTTTTTACCCCTCCTATGAGCTTTGCACTACTGTGTCACTCAGGCTCAGAGAGGGTAACGAACTTGCCCAGGGTCACCCAGTCAGGAAGTGGTGGCACTGGGCTCAGACTCTGGTCCGTCTGACTTCATAGCCACTGTACTAAGTGCTAGAATGAGAGGAGCTATGGAAACTCCAAAAACTCTGCCTTGGAGATCAGGGAAGGCTTCCTGGAGGAGGCGACCTCTCATGGGGCTCAAATGGGTGCAGCAAAGGAGAATGACCCTCAGGCAGAGGGAGGGACACAAATGTAGGCAGGAGCCATAGGGCTGCGAGGTGGGTTTAGGGGTGGTGAGCTCCGGGCTGCTGGGCGATGTGGCTGGGAGGCTGGGGATATATACTGAGTACTGAGCCAAGGAGGAGTCAGGGCTGCAGGTCAAGCATGGGGCTTGCGGCAGACCCAGCACCCAGTGCTGCTTGTGGTTTGGGACCTTCCTAATTCAGCAATTCTGCCCTGTTCAACCCATCCAAAATGCATAACCACCAGGACTTGGCACTTGCTCGCTCAGGACAGGAACAATTCCTATCCCCCTCTCAGGCTGCTCCAAGCAGCAACATCTCCTTGAGGGCAGTCTCCCGCCTCGCTCGGTGGTCTTGATCCAGAATCCCTGTCTCAGTCTCTGGCTGAACTTTCCAAGGTTGAGGATTCCCTTGAAGTGGAGGGGGCGGGAGGGCGGGGGGGCGGGTGTGGATGGCAAGCCCGGGACCATCCTACTGTCTGGGGTCATCCTACTGTCATGGACTGTCTGGCACCTCTCAATTTTGTGGCCCCAGCTGGAATTCCTGGCCACCCTGTTGGCATGGCCCACTGCAGGGGCACCCACCCATCCCGCCATGGCGCTGTCTCCGTAGGCTGCACGGGATGGGAGGAGCCGGAGGAGGTGCTGGTGGAGGCCACGGTGAAGCACTACGGGAAGCTCTTCACAGCCAGCCAGGACACGCAGAAGCGCCTCGAGGCCTTCTGCCAGATGATCCAGGCTGTCCACCGGAGCCTGGAGTCTCTGGAGGAGGACCACAGGGCTCTCATGTTGGTAACAGCTGCTTGAAGTCTGCTCCATTCCCCGTGGCCCAGGGAGCTGGGGGCGTGGGGCCCCCTTTCCTGCATAGCCCTGGGGAAGGCCTAGAGGGAGCAGCGGCGTAATGCTGGGGGGCCCTCGGTGGGGCTGTCGCTCCTGAGCCGCCTTCCATATCCCCTTCCTCTCCCCTCTGCTGCCTGAGGCTCAGCTCGTGCCTAACGTTGTTCTGCGTGGTAGAAAAGCCATGTGTCCTGGATGCAGAGGGACTGGAGCTCGGCTCCCAGCTCAGCCACTGACTAGCTGTGTGACTAGTTTGTAGCCTCTCTGAGCCTCAGTTTCTGCATCTGTCAAGTGGGGGCAACACACCCTAGTTGCTAGCGTCCTTGCGAGGCACCAAACACAAACTGCCTCAAAGTAAGTGCCAGAGACATCATTTCCCTTCCCTTCCTTTGTAGTTATCGCATAATAAATAGGACTTCCGCTGGGAGGGATGGGCACTCCAGGTGGAAGAGCCTGCCCTGACAAAGGCGTGGCATCATGAAGATTCATGCTGCCACTGGGACCGGGGACTTCGGGATCCCAGAGGAAGGATGACCAGCCGGTTGGTTCACTGCAAAGGGTTGCTGCGTAGTTTTGGAGAGAGCATCTGCCCCCTAGTGGCAGCGCTGCAAGCCTGCACCACGTTGTACCATTTCTTTGGAGAATGGAATTCATGGATGGGCTGGGCACTGCGTGAAGCACTTTACATGCTTTATCTCACTTAAATATCACGCCAGCACCTCTAGGTAGGTGCTACTATTCCAAGGGCTGGGACTAGGGAAAGGCAAGTCCAGCCATGCTATTCTTCCCATTTTCGAGGGGAGGAAAGTAAGCCTCAGAGAAGCGGGGCCACGGGGGTATGTCCTGCGTCTGTCTTTCTCTCTCTCTTTCTTTCTTTCCCTCTCTCTCTCGCCCCCTCTCTCTCTTTCTTTCTTTCCTTCTTTCTTTCATTTTTTTGGGAGACAGGGTTTCACTCTGTCGCCCAGGCTGGAGTACAGTGGAGTGATCTCGGCTTACTGCAGCCTCCGCCTCCCAGGCTCCAGCGATTTTCCTGCCTCTGCCTTCCGAGTAGCTGGGATTACAGGCGTGTGCCACCACACCTGGCCTGTTCTGTATCTTTCAAATTCCTATCCCACAGGGCCTGGCCAGGGGCATGTATTAGTTCCTTCTCATGCTGCTAATAAAGAAACACCTGAGACTGGGTAATTTATAAAGAAAAAGGGGGCCAGGTATGGTGGCTCACTCCTGTAATCTCAGCACTTTGGGAGGCCAAAGCGGGCAGATCATTCGAGGTCAGGAGTTCAAGACCAGCCTGGCCAACATGGTGAAACCCCATCTCTACTAAAAATACAAAAATTAGCCAGGCATGGTGGTGTGCGCCTATAATCTCAGCTAATTAGGAGGTTGAAGCAGGAGAATCACTTGAACCCAGGAGGCGGAGGTCGCAGTAAGCCAAGATTGTTCCGCTGCACTCCAGCCTGGGCAAAAAGAGTGAGACTGTCTCAAAAAAAAAAAAAAAACAAAATTATAAAGAAAAAGAGGTTTAATGGACTCGCAGTTCTACATGGCTCGGGTGACCTGACAATCATGGTGGAAGGTGAAGGAGGAGCAAAGGCACATCTTACCTGGTGGCAGGCAAGAGAACTTGTGTAGGGGAACTCCCCTTTATAAAATTATCAGGAACTGGGGCTCAGGTAAACTCCATCAGCCTGGACACGCCCTTTTCTGCATCTCTGGTGCCTTGAATGGCCCCAGCCACCCACAAGTATTCCTTCCTCCTATCCTGTCATTGCACAGACCACCCTGGGGACTCAGACCAGGGCATATGCCCTGGAGGGTTTGTTGTACCAAGATGGCCCATTCCCTCTGCCCCAGAGCCTCAAGATCCGGCTGTGTCAGCTGCAGAAGAAGTGCTACCGCAAGCAGGAGCAGTGGTGGCAGCTGAAGCACAGCATCACTTACCAGAAGGACATTGACTTTGACACACACACCAGCAGCAGCTATAATGTGAGTCCAGTCTTTCAGCCTGGGGGTGGGGTTAGGGGTGGGGAAGGGGAAGCTGATGTCTCCATCATCAATCCCAAAACACACAGACACATACGCACGCAGACACACACACACAGAGCCAGACACATAGACACACAGGCACACACACAGCCAGACACACACACCCACAGACATAGTCACAGCCAGACACATAGACACACAGACACAACCAGACATATAGACAGACCCAGCCAGACACATACACACAAATGCACAGACACACACAGACACACACACAGACATGCAAACACACGCACAGACACACAGACACATACACACACAAAGACACATGCAGAGACATACATAGAGACAGACACACACACAGACAGACCCACACCACTTTCTTCTCCTTGGTGACAGTTTGCTTTCAAAGGGCCTCTCTTTGAGGGGTCCGATGTTACTTCACAGATGGGAAAACTGAGGCCACAGATATTTCAGGACAGAGCTCTGCCAAGAACCAGAGCCGGGATCCACCGGCCCAGTCCCAGGGCTTGGTGTTGTGCCGAGCTCTTAGTCCTTGTATAATGTTTGTGGTTAATAATAAGATAACGGTGTTTAAGTGAGTGGTTGTTATGTACTGTCTTCAGTAAGGCTGGTGTCTCTCTGATCAGAGAGTCTGACCTGGAGTAGGTGTTCTTAAATATTGGTGAATTTTACCCACACTCATTTTACAAATGAGAAAAATGAGGCTCAGAAAGAACAAGTCATGGCCAAAGTCCATGGCCATGAATTCCAGGGATTCCAGAATTCAGCTCTTGCACTGCCCCTTACTGGCCTTGGGAGTGTGGTCTGGTCACCCCTGGACCCCGGTTCCTCGCCATAAACGGAGGCAACAGTCTATGTTCTTCTGGCCTCCGGGACTGCGGGAGGACAGTTAGGACCATGGCTTGGGCACAGGGCTGCGCTGGGCACACCTTCCCTGCACAGGATGAGGTCATGGAGTGAGTGTGAGACCTGCTCAGGTCCAGACTGACTGGGCCTCGAGGGATCTGAGTTTGGAAGACGAGGCTTGGGGGCTATTGGCTGCTGACCTCCAGCCAAGGCAAGGGGCTTAGGGAGGGAGCTGGGTGGGTCACAGTCTACAGAGCCCCTTTGAGGTCTCTCTCTCTAAGCTGCTGCAGCAGACCAGGATCCTGGAGGTCTGAAGTCCAGGGCCCCACTCCATGCCCCTTCCCAGTCCTCTGCTTCTAACGAGGTGTGGACCCCGATGCCTCCAGCCAGGAAGCCCTTCTGAAAGGAGTTAGTCCAACCTGCCTCTTTGCAGAGGAGGCTGCTCAGGCTCTGACGTAGGGAGGAACTCAACCGAGCCCCGCAGGAGAGGAATATAGACCATGATGAGAAGGACACTCCCAGTGTCCCAGCTCTGTCCACGACACTTCGCTGGCTGGAGTGAGCCAGGGCAGGGGCAGGGGATGCTGGGAGAGAGCCTGAGCCACCACCTCCTCCTTCTCTTTCCTGCAGGATCAGCTGCTCGGCTACATGCAAATGACCATCACCAACATGGCCCGGCAGTGCTGCCCCTCTGCCCACGGCGTGCCCAAGAGCATGGATCTCTTCTCCAAGCTCGATCTGATTAAGGTAAGGATAGACAGATGGCTGCGGGGCTCCTGACTGCCCCAGGCAAGACTCCAACTTGAGCTAGTCCTGCTCCTTAGCCCAGGCTGCATTTGTGTTTAGCCCCCCATCAGCTCTTCTTTCCATAGCTACATTGGTGCCTGGTGCAGTAAGGTCCTAAGGTCTCTATTAGTCTACAAACTTGAGCACCCACTAGGTGAAGGGTCAGTGTAGAAGGTGCATAGAGGAACTTCCCACCTGGTCTTCATATGTAGCTCCACACTGACACATCACACACAGGCACACGCACACACACAGTACACACCCATCAACATCCATGTGTGCTTTCTGCACACCCACACATGAGACATACACAGACACACCTGCAAATAAGCACACAAACATCAACTTGCACGCACGAAGATACAAACAGGTATGATCACACTTACACATATGAGAACGCTGGCAGCGGGCATTTCAGTGACTGAGGGAGCCTCTTGCACAGGGTCCTCACCTTAAACTTCACACTGTCAGTCCACTGGGCTTCTTTCCTCACCGCCCCCATCAGTCAGGATGCTGTTACTGCAGTAACAGAAAACGTGATCAGATTGGCTTTGATTGACAACACAGCATGTCTTTTTAAAATAATAACTTTATTGAGATATAATTCACATACCATAACATTTAGCCCTTACAATTATGCATGTCCGTGTTTTCAGTATAGTCAAAATTGCACAGCCATTACCCCTCTCTAATTCCAGAACATTTCATCACCCCCAAAAAGATACATTTAGCGTCTGGCTGCTTTCATTTAGCGTCTGGCTGCTTTCATTTAGCATAATGTTTTCAAGGTTCATCCATGTCCCAGCACGAATCAGTGCTTTATTTTTATAGCTGAATAGTCCATGGTATGGGCGTATTTATATGGATAGAACTTTTGTTTATCCATTCATCAGTTGACGGACATCTGGATTGTTACATTCCTTAGGTATTATGAATATTACTGCTAAGAACATTTGTGTACACATTTTTATGCAGAGATATGTTTTCACTTCTCTTTGGTACGTACCTAGGAGTGCAATTGCTGGGTCATCTCTTAACTCTATGTTTAACATTCGAAGAACTGCCAAACTCTTTTCCAAAGTGGCTGCACCATTTACCATCCCCATGATCAATGTACGAGGGTTCCAATTTCTCCACATCCTTGCCAACATTTGCTATTGTCAACTTTTTCTAATTTAGCCCTCCTAATGGGTGTGAAGTGGCATCTCATTGTGGTTTTGATTTGCACTTCTCTGATGACTAATGATGTTGAGTATCTTTTCATGTGCTTATTGGCCATGTGTATCTCTCCTTTGGAGAAATGTCTATTCAAATTATTTGCCCATTAAAAAATTTGATTATTTGTATTTTTTTTTTTTTTGAGACAGAGTCTCACTCTCTTGCCCAGGCTGGAGTGCAATGGCACTTCTCGCTCGGCTCACTGCAACCTCTGCCTCCCGGGTTCAAGCAATTGTCTTGCCTCAGCCTCCCAAGTAGCTGGGACTACAAGGCATGCACCACCATACACGGCTAAGTTTTGTATTTCTATTAGAGACGGGGTTTCACCATGTTGGCCAGGCTGGTCTCGAACTCCTGACCTCAAGTGATCCACCCGCCTCGGCCTCCCAAAGTGCTGAGATTATAGGTATGAGCCACTGTTCCCGGCCTATTTGTCTTTTTTTAGTTGAGTTGTAAGAATTCTTTTTGCATTCTGGATACAGGTCCCTTATCAAATATATGATTGCAAATATTTTCTATCTTGCATGTTATCTTTTTACTATCTTGATGAAGCACAGAAGTTTTGAATTTTTATGGAATCCAATTTGTTTGTTTGTATTTTTGCTTGTTTGTTTGAGACAGGGTCTCAGTCTATCACCCAGGCTGGAGTGCAGTGGCGCCATCTTGGCTCACTGCAACCTCCGCCTCCTGGGTTCAAGCGATTCTCCTGACTCAGCCTCCCCAGTAGCTGGGACTACAGGCATGCGCCACCACACCTGGCTAATTTTTGTATTTTTTGGTAGAGACAGGGTTTCACCAAGTTGGCCAGGCTGGTCTTCAACTCTGACCTCAAGTGATCCACCTGCCTCGGCCTCCCAAATTGCTAAGATTACAGATGTGAGCCACTGCATCCGGCCGAGAATCCAACAGTTTTACTTTGGGTATGTGTATGTATTTGTCCTTTAGGAGTCATATCTAAAAAGCCATTACCTAATCCAGGGTCATGAAGATTTACACCTGTTTCTTGTGAGAAGTTTATAGTTTTTGCTCTACTGTTTAGGTCTGTGGTTCATTTTCAGTTGATTTTTTAATATAGTGTAAGGTAGGGGTCCAATTTCATTATTTCGCATGAGGATATTCAGTTGTCCTGATACCATTTGTTTAAAAAGTTCTATTTTTCCCCTTTGAGTTTTCTCAGGACCCTTGTCAAAAATCAATTGACCGTAATATGAAAAGTTTATTTCTGGATTCTTGATTCTATTCCATTCATCGCTACGCCTGTTTTTATGCCAGTACCATACTGTCTTTATTACTGTGGCTTTGTAATAAATATTAAAATTGAGAAGTGTGAGTCTTCCAACTTTGTTCTTTTCTGAGGTCATTTGGCTCCTCTACCAGGGCACATCTTGTGTCATGAGTGGAAGTTTGGTGCCTGGGTGGGTTTCAGGCATGGTGTGATCCTAGGCTCAGAGGCATCATCAAAGACCCATCCTTTCCATACTCTCCTGTCTTCTACCTTTAGCACTGACTTCATCCTAAGTCAGAACTTGCTTACCTCATTTGAGGCAGGTTCCGTGCAGATATCCAAACACGGGATACTTAGCTCCCCAGGAACCCTGAGGGGCAGGTCTCTTCCCTAGTGTCCAGTGCAACAGTCAGCAGTGAGCAAGCCTGTGGCTCAGTTCAGAAGGACTTCTCCAGGAGCCTCACAGGCAGTACCGAGGCTGCTGCATGGCACAACTCAGTGGGCACCATTCAGTTGAAGTCTGTGTAATTGGCATCCCTAGTTATATACAACTTGGAACTTATTCATATTGCAAAGAAATGAGATTTCTGAGTAAGGACATGTTTGTCTAAATAGTCACAGTGTATTAATTTCATCTTCTTCCCAAGAAAAGGGAAGAAATTATGTGGTGATGTCACAGGGTCCCAAGCAACAATCAGATTGGGCCTCTGGATTGACATCTGTCAGTCACTCAGCCAACATGAATTGAGCCACCTGAATATGCTCAGCATTCTGCTAGGCAACAGGAGATGGAGGCCCATCTGGTCCTTAAGAAACGAATGCCCTTCAGAGAGGGAGGCTGGGGACAGTCAGGGTGGGCTTCTTGGAAGAGGCAGTGAGAAGAGGCAGGCAACCACTTTCAGGAAGTCACACCAGGATCTGGACTCCTAGTCATCCAGCTCTGTCACTCCTGGCTGTGCCACATCAGACAAGTCACCTAACCTCTCTGAGCCTCTGTTTGCTCATTTACCCAGTGGCATTGATACCACATCCTTTGCAGGGCGCTTGTGAGAGTTAAAGGAGAAGTAGGTCAGCCTTTGATGATGCTTTGGTACCTAGAAAGCAGCGTCCAGAGGCCAAAACACTGTCAGGTGAGAGATTTATTTTCCCTCCCAGGAGTTCATGTTGGACAAAATGGAGACTGTAAGACTGATCGCACTGCTCACGGAACCCAAAGTGTGCTGGTCATGGGACAGCTTCGGGGACCAGTGGCTCAGAAGACACCCCAAACCCTTCAGGAAATGTCCAAGGAGGCGGGTTTCCACCCCCAGGACCCCCTTTCCCAGCCCCCATGCTTCAGAGTGCTCCGGCCTGTACTGACCAGCCTGCGCCTTGCAGGCCCCATGGCATCACGACCTCTCCTTACCTGCCTGCCTCCTTTTCTCACCACCAACATCTCTAAGCCAGTGGGAGAGAGTCTGGGGGCATTGAGGGGGTGGTCAGGGTCCTGGGCTCAGCTAGGGTTGGGGGTGCTGCTCCCCATCCTGGGGGATTGGCAGGGATCCAGGTAAGGCCTGCCTGGGATCCGGGAGAGAGAGGCAGGTTCCCGAGTTGGGGGCAGCAGCCAGGCTGGAAGATCCTGGGCTGAAGACTCCCTCCTGGGAGCCGGGGCTACATCTCTCACTTTCATGGTGGGTTCCTGAGACTGAGGAGCTTTGGACGGATGCTTGGCTGTTGGGAATGTCCCAGTCACAGGACACTGTAAAGAGCCACCAGGGCCATGGGATCGATGGGAGTTCACCTTGCCCACAGCAGTCTGCAGAGCTAATGGGGGTGCTGAATGTGTAGGGGGCATCTCATCACTTTCTTCCAGAAGTTGAGTACCAGGTTGGTACCTTCTGCCCATCCTGCAGGTGTCTGAGCTGCCTGAAATGGTTGGTACTCTCAGGGAGACCTTGGCAAGGCAAGGTCCCTCTCTGGGCTGGTTTTTCTACCTGTAAAATTGGGAGAGAGTGTCGGACACAGTGGCTCACACCTATAATCCCAAGCACCTTGGGAGGCAGAGGCAGGAGGATCACTTGAGCCCAGGAGTTCAAGACCAGCTTGGGCAACATAGGGAGAGCCTGTCTCTATAAAAAATGAAACAATTAGCCAGACATGGTGGCACACACCTGTGATTCCAGCTACTTAGGAGGCTGAGGTGGGAGGATCACTTGAGCCTGGGAGGTCAAGGCTGCAGTGAGCCGTGATTGTGCCACTGCACTCCAGTGTGGGTGACAGAGCGAGACCCTGTCTTTAAAAAAAACAGGGGTGGTGGTGAGAGGATATTTAAGCCTCCCACTCCAGTCTGACATTCTAGGTCAAGTTTGGAAAAGCCAGGTCTGCACAGAAGGCACTTGCTTGCTTTCGTTGTGCCACTGGGGTAAAATCATTCTAGCAACCACCACAGCCCCAAAAATAATTCAGCTCTAGAGGTCAGCTGCTGTTAATTTATCTAGGTAAAGGCAGAAAGTTAAGAGCAGCTGCTGAGCTGTGAACAGTGGTGAGTCAGCACATGAACTTTCAAAGGGGAGTTTTAGAAAAGAAAAGATGCTGACTGTCAGCCAAGAACCTCGAAAGCCCGCTTGACTCCAGGTGCTGCTGGGAGAGGGTGGGGGATAAGTCAGGCTTGGCCAGGGAGTTAAATAGGAAAGATACACGGAAGAAGGAAGGCTGATTGTGGCCAGGTTTTAAGAGTAGTAGAGTTATATTTTGGGGTGTTTGTTTGTTTGTTTGTTGTCGTTGTTTTTGAGACTGAGCCTTGCTCTGTGACCCAGGCTAGAGTGTAGTGGCACAATCTCTGCTCACTGCAACCTCCACCTCCCGGGTTTAAGCGATTCTCCTGCCTCAGCCTCCCAAGTAACTGGGACTACAGGCGCGTGCCACCATGCCTGGCTAATTTTTATATTTTTAATAGAGATGGGGTTTCACCATGTTGGCCAGGCTGGTCTTGAACTCCTGACCTCAGGTGATCCGCCCGCCTTGGCCTCCCAAAGTGCTGGGATTACAGGCATGAGCCACTGTGCCCAGTGAGTAGTGTAGTTTTTAAAAGGAGAGCCAGGAGGGAGCCGCTGTTCCGAGTTTCTTGTCTCATAGACCTTCACAGGAAAGAGGGCACCTCAGGTAGGGTTTGAGTGGGATCTCAGAAGGAAGAGGCTGCACTAAAGAAAAGGGACAGAAACGCCGGAGTAGGGACTTGCATTTTGGCTGGAGCATGCGGAACCCCCTGAGCAGTCTGAGAAGGTGGCTGGGGGACCACGTGGGGCCCCAAACACCAGGCTGAGGTTTAGACTCCATCAAGGGCGGTGCAAGGGGAGCCTCACACACTCATGCCTCTCTGTTCTCTGTCTTTCCCACTCTTTCCAAAGCAAGCTAAAGTATCCCATTAATCTTCCCCAGTGCAGAGGATTAAGCTGGTGGCTCTCAGGTTTGAACACGCATCAGGAGGCCCTGTATCAATGCAGAGTGTGGACCCACCTCCAGAGCTTCCAGGCCCTAGAATCTGCATTTCTAACAAGTCCCCAGATGTGGCAGATGCTGCTGGTCCTGGGGTTACATTTTGAAAACCACTGCTTTAGAGTAATGGCAAATCCTACATGCTGAAGCCAGGCACTGCTCCACTGTAACCACCAACTACCCCTGCCTGGACTTCGGAATTCCCTCTGCACGATGGGGCTGGACCGGGCATTCCAGGAGGGCTGCCCTAATCCTGTCTGACCTCCCGGGAGGTGCTGGAGAGAGCACCACCTTCTACGCCCAGGGTGAAGTTCTGTGGCTTGTTGACTGTGCCTTCGAGGGCTCTATGTCATTCTGTCCCCTATCACCTGCCTGCTGTGCACCTGTCGTGCTTGATCTAGCTCAGACATTTTGTCACACTCCTTGGGGAGGAGCGGGATTGGAACAGTTGCTTGGCGTGGCAATGGCCTGGCCACCAGTCGACATTTGCAGCCAGCATCTGGGTACCTTGGGAGCTCCCAGCCTCCCCTGGGCAGGGCTGGGGCCGTGAATTGGACACGGCATTGCGCTTAACAGCGCGGCTACCTCAGGCTGCTGGTAAGTACCAGAATGCTGTTTCTCCTTTCTTGGCTTTTTGTCTTACAGAAAGCTCGCTCCCCCATGACCCTGCACCTTCAAAGCACTTTTCTCATAGGTTCTATATTAGCTGGAGAAAAACCTTCAAGGGCATTTGGAGAAAAAATAAAAAGCACTAGTTCAGGTACCTTACGAAATGTCATTTCATTTGACCTTCCAACTGGACCGTGGGATCCCAAGACACCAACAGTCCCGGGCTTGGACATTTTGAGACCAAGAGCTCATTACCTGCCAGTGAATCCCAGCTTTAAGCAACTTCAAGCATGAGAAAATTCTTCCCACAGACTATCCTGGAAGAATTGGATTATTGCCAAATGGCTGGTGCTGGGGAAGTTGGCTCTTGGGAGGGGGGAATTGGATTGTGTTCTTTTTCAAATTGTGCCCTATCATTCTTTTGAGCAGTGGTTTTCAAACTTTAGTGTTCACTGAAACCACATGTGAGACTTGCTAAAAATGGAGAGAACTGTGGCTTCCTCTTAGAGACTCTGTTTCTAGGGCGAGGCCCCAGAAATCTGGATTTTTAGCATTCTCCCCGGGTGATTCCAACACAGACAGCTCTGAAATCATAGTCAGAGAAACACTGGGCATCTGAATGTCTCTTTCTTTTCCTTCCTTTTCCTCTTCCTCTTCCCTCCCTTCCCTTCCCTTCCCCTCCTCCCCTTTCCTCCCCTCCCCTCCCCTCCCCTTTACTCCCCTCCCCTTTCCTCCTCTCCCCTCCCCTCCCCTTTCCTCCTCTCCCCTCCCCTCCCCTTCTCTTACCTTCCTCTCCCCTCCCCTCCCCTTCCTTTACCTTCCTCTCCCGTCCCCTTCCCCTCCCTTCCCCTTCCTCTCCCCTCCCCTCCCCTTCCTCTCCCCTTCCTCTCCCCTCCCCTCCCTTTCCCTTCCCTTCCTCTCTTTCTTTCTCTCTTTTTCTTTCTTTCGACAGAGCCTCACTCTGTAGCCCAGGCTGTAGTGCAGTGGCGTAATCTCAGCTCACTGCAACCTCCTCTTCCTGGGTTCCAGCAAGTCTCTTGCCTCAGCCTCCTGAGTAGCTGGGATTATAAGCACCTGCTACCATGCCTGGCTAATTGTTGTGTTTTTAGTAGAGACAGGGTTTCACCATGTTGGTCAGGCTGGTCTTGAACTCCTGACCTCAAGTGATCTGCCCGCCTCGGCCTCCCAAAGTGCTACTATTATAGGTGTGAGCCACCGTGCCCAGTCCTGAATGTCAAAAAGAAGAAAACTTGGTCCATATTCACCTGGTCTTCAATAGGGAAGGACTTTGAAAGCATGGAAACGACAGGAGTAACACCCAAAAACAATCTGACAATATAAAAGTTACAAATACGCCTGGTGCAGTGGCTCACACCTGTAATCCCAGCACTTTGGGAGGCCGAGACAGGTGGATCACCTGAGTTCAGGAGATCGAGACCAGCCTGGCCAACATGGCGAAACCCTGTCTCTACTAAAAATACAAAAACTTAGTCAGGCATGGTGGCAGGCGCCTGTAATCCCAGCTACTCAGAAGGCTGAGGCAGGAGAATCACTTGAACCCAGGAGGTGGAGGTTGCAGTGAGCTGAGATTGCACCACTGCACTCCAGCCTGGGTGACAGAGTGAGACTCTGTCTCAAAAAAAAAAAAAAAAAGTTACAAATACATCTACTTCAGAGTGCATCAAAATATCAAAAGACAATAAGCTGGGGGGAAATGGTGAGGAATCTGGGAAAGGATCAATGTTTTTGATATTTATATCAATGTTTTTGATACTTATGAAGTAAAGAAAGAAAAAAAAAATTGACACCAGTTGCTCATATTCAGCAAACCACGAAATAAAATGGCCTATAAACATAAAAATATTTCAACCATACAATTATTGCCTATCAAAATAAAGCAACAGACAAATGCTTTTAAGATGGGCTCACTGTAGAATTGTTTGTATAAACTCCCTGGAAAGCAATTTGCTAAGAGGTCTTGAGAGGCTTAAAAAATGTTTATGTCCTTCAGCTCAGTATGGTCAGCCCTCTGTATACACGGATTCCACACCTTTGGATTCAACCAACCGCAGATCAAAAATATTCAGAAAAAAATCCCATCTCTACTAAAAATATACAAAACTTTATCTAAGCATGGTGGCGTGCGCCTGTAATCCCAGCTACTTGGGAGGCTGAGGCAGGAGAATCGCTCATGAGGGAGGAAGAGGTTGCAGTGAGCCGAGATAGTGGGCAACAAGAGTGAAACTCCATCTCAAAGAAAAAAAAAAAGCCGGGCGTGATGGCTCACGCCTGTAATCCCAGCACTTTGGGAGGCCTAGGAGGGTGAATCACCTGAGGTCAGGAGTTCGAGACCAGCCAGTCCAACATGGCAAAGCCCCGTCTCTACTAAAAGTACAAAAATTAGCTGGGCATGGCGGTGCGCACCTGTTATCTTAGCTACTCGGGAGGCTGAGGCAGGAGAATTGTTTGAACCCAGGAGGCGGAGGTTGCGATGAGCCAAGATGGCGCCACTGCACTCCAGCCTGGACAACAGAGCAAGACTTTGTCTCAAAAAAAAAAAAAAAAAAGAAAAATTCAGGAAAAAAAGAAAAACATTAAAAATTAAAATTACAACAATTAAAAATAACACAAAATTTTAAAAATACAGTACAACAACTATACAGCATCATAGTATTAGGTATTAAAAGTAATCTAGAGATGATTTAAAGTATATGAGGGGATGTGCATAAAATTCTACACCATTTTATATCAGGGACTTGAGTATCTGAGGATTTTGATATGTGTTGGGGGAGTCCTGAAACCAATCCCCCACAGACACTGAGGGACAACTGAAATTCCAGCTCAGGAACTTCTGTCAATAGCACCGAGCTATTATTTGGTTGAAAGTGATAGAAAGCACAACTCAGTTTAGGAGACAAATGAAACGCATTGGCCTCTGAAACTGAAAAGAGCAGGGATTCTTGCTGGAGGCACAGTTAATCAGGAGTACAATGTCAGCAGAATCCAGTCTCTTTGATTCTGAGATTGATCGCCCAGGTCTTGGCTTTATTCTCAGGCTCAGTGTAAACAAGACGCTTCCAGCAACCTCAGGATTGCCAGCACCCTCTGAAGCAGAAGTCAGAGAAGAGAGAATGCCTCTTCCTAGCTACTCCTTGGCCAGTCTCAGGATTCACTCTGATTAGATCACCTTGGGTCATGCACCTCTTTTTAGACAACCGTTAATTAGCCGGGACTAGGCACTGTGTCATTCCTGAACTAATCTCTGTAATGAGGGGGATTCCATCCTCTGGATGGCCAGGCCTGGGCCCAATTTTTGAGATTTAGTGAGATGGAATACCTTTCGTGGCTAGAGGCCATTCCCCGGGAGCCAGTGATGGATGCCACATGAACTACATGGACTCAAACTAGGTGAGGGGCGGTTCCCCCAAAGGGAAATCAGGGCACTGACTCACTGAATTCAGAGGGAGGTTGGACTTGGTACTGGGCAAACAGAAGCAAGAAATGCCCATGACAGATGCCAACAAAGTTTCTGCACAAAGATGTTCATCACATTGTTATAGTAGCCCCAACTGGAACACCCTAAGAATCCTAGAAGAAGAGATTAATGAATTATGCCAAAACATGTTAAGATTCTGCAGCCATTAGCATATTTTCAAAAATATTTAATGTTAGAAAAATGTACAAGGTATAAAGCTAAGTGAAAACAGAAACCAAGAAGGAGTTTTAAAAAGGTAGAATAGAAACTCAATTTAGTAAAAATTGTACATATATAAGAGTAGAAGGAAATCTACTAAAACAATGTTCTAAGCAGGAGGATCAAGACCCTTGGGGAGAGCAGCATATATTAGACCCACCTAGTGTAGTAGACAAAGTGATCAGCCCCAGTAGTGTACATCCACACTCTTGCCAGGCCTCCTGGTGGACAGAACAGTCATCCCCATCTCTTGACTTGGGTTGGCTGTGTGCTTTGGCCCATAAAATATCAGTGGATTATGACACGGAGGCTTAAAACATAATTGTGTAGTGCACTTACCACCCGTGAGCTCACCCATGAAGAGAACCTGCCTCAGGGAGCCCCCCTCTTTCCAGGAGGATGAGAGTCATGTGGTGCAGAGATGGACCCAACCTGCAGCTGGGATGCACCTAAATCAGTCAATCCTCAGCCAACCCACAGACTCATGAGTGAGAGACAAATGCTTCTTCTACCTGCAAGCCAGGGCAAGTTTGAGGTAGCTTGTTACACAGCATGATAGCAATAGCTGCCTGAGACACCTGCACACTTGTTCAAATTCTGTGTTTTCTCCAACCTAAGCATCACCCCTTGTGGGAAACCAGGCCATCCAAGGGCATGGATCCTGTGTCTCAGGAATGCTGGGATGCATAAAAGTGGAGAAGAGCTCTGCCGTGTTAACAGTGGTTATCTCCAGATTGTAGGATTTTTTTATTTTCTTCTTTATACTTTTGTGTATTTTCCAAAGTTTCTGTGATTAACACGTTTTTTTATAACCAGAAAGACTGTATTAAAAAATTAGAAACCAACTCTTCTTGGCACCTCACCAATCCTCACCCTTGGTGTCCCCAAGAACAAGAGGAATTGTCAAATCCTTCACCCACATAACTGTCTTCAAGTCTCTGGAGAAAGGTACTTGGCGCTCCACATATTGGGTTTTCTCAAAGTTCATTAACTCTAGTTCTTGTATGAGCACCTGCCCTGACACCGCCACCACTGCCTACTGCTCTCTGAAGGGGTCCCCTTTGGTCTCTAACTTTAAATCTTGGCGTCCCAACCTGAGTCCTATTCTCCAGGTAAGGAGGCTGGCCAGACAGGGATTGCAGGAAATATCTTGGAGAGGCTTCCCTGCCATGGCCTCAGCTGAAAAGGTGCTGGGCATTCCAGCTCCACTCCCACCCCCTTCACTGGGGGCCAGATGCCCGGCCCAGCCCTGCTCTTGGCTCAGGAGCAGCCAGGCCACTTGGGAGGCCTGTGCTCCCAGGCTGTAAGTGCCAGTCTGGCCAAAGCCACTCCATGGGAATGTCTCAAACATCTCCAAACCTGGGGGTTCCTCCATTTCCCTTGACTGGAGTCTCCAGAAGGTGCTGGCACTGTTGCCGTGCCCTTTGCTGCCAAAACTTGCTCAGCCCTCACTGGCGGCTGCTGGACTTTCTGTAGGACTCAGTCATGCATGGGATGCTGCATTCACAGATCCAAGAGAGGGAGCCTCATCCCCACCTGCTCTCCAGCACCATGAACAGTGCACATGCTGAGGGCAGGAGCCCTGTGTCCTTTATCTCCAACTCCCTGTGCCTACCGGGGGGCTGGCACAAAGCAGGTGGTGCTCGGTGTTGAAGGAACAGGTGCGTGTGTGCATGAACAAGGGAGTTAGGTTCCTCACGGGGTACCAGAATGCTGCTTACTGGCTACCGTGCATCCCTGAGTTGTCCCCGCAACCTGTGAGCCAGAAAGTTTTTCCTAATCCCCTTTTATAGGAGGAAACTGCAGCTCAGTGTGAAAATGTGCCTTGTCTGAGGCTACACAGACAGTCAGTGGTTGAGCCTGGACATGAATTCAAGTGCATTGGGCTCCAAATTGAACCACTGTCACTGTCACAGGACAGTTCAGTAGTAAAGGAACTGTAAGAACAAGAGCTCACGTGTGGGATGCTTGCTGGATGCTAAGCTCATTACAGCTTAGGCAGCTTTCCCTGCAGGAGTGTTTATCCCATTGTACAGATGAGGCTCAGACAGTTTAAAAGCTTTCCCAAGGTCACATAGCCATCATGTCTGCCTCCTTTCAGAGTTAGAGCTCTCAGCCACTATAGGCTGAAGGGAGCATGATAGTGAATCGTGATCTAGAGGCAGATTGGATGGCTCAAGCGCAAATGGAAGACAGCCCACAGACAGAATCAAGGGATGAGTGTGTTATTGTGTATCCCTGCCCAGGTGTGGTCTGAGGACCACATCGTGGGCATCCCCTGAGAGCTTGTGAGAAAGGCCGAATCTGCATTCAAGTGAGGTCCCCAGGCGATCCGTGTGCGCAGTAAGGGTTGCAAGCGCTGGTCTGATTTGCTCTGAGGTGGGTCTGAGTCTAGCATTGCCTTCCAGTGAGAAAGTGACTCTTGTGGACAGCTGGCATCATCCAAGGCTTCTGCTGCAGGGGCTGTGACCCAAGAGACATGAAGACCCTGGCCAGCCAACCTTCGACCCCCAGCTTGCACTGGTGTGGACACACACTCAAGCTGCAGGACACAGGGCGGGATAAGCCCCAGTCCTGAGCGTGCTTTTGGGGAGTTTCCTTCTGCCCTGATGGCCATTTTTCCCATCCCTCTCTTCCCTGGCCACTTCCTGTCTCACCTCCTCCATGAAGCCTTGCGAGTTGTCCCGGCCCTAGGCAGAGACAGCAGAGCTCTCCCTGGGCTTCCAGCCTCTCCCACAGGCTCCTGAGAGCACCTGCCTTGTTACAGTCATCACTTAGTTGTTTCCACTCTTCTCTTCCCCACTGGAAGGAGAAGTTCTCAAGAGGAAAAGCTTTGTCTTAACCACATACCCAGAGCCCAGTGTGAAGCCCAGTCCAGAACAAGCCCTCGGTAAATCTGTGTTGTACATCCTCATGTCCTCAGAACACGTGATGAATGAATGAAATTCTCAAGAATAGGAGTAAATCTCTAAGTGAACATTTTAAGAAAGGTGTAGAAGTCAAAAGTGAGGGATATTTAAGGGGGGGCAGAAGAATATCAGCTACAACTTGGTCTTCGGGATCGACTGTGTCCTGTGCACAGGGCACCACACCACCTCGCGGGATGAGCTGCCTCTCTAGCACCCATTGGAGGAGCCCTGCGCAGCCGGCCAAGTGCCCATGAGTTTTCTAGGGGAATTACTGGGGGAAGAGTTCCCTCGCCCAGCCTCCACAGCATCATAAATCACAGGAATTCTGTCACCTGTCACCCTAGGCTGCTGCCAAGGAATCTGGAGGGAGAAGACTCATGAGCCAAGGCGAGGATGGCATCTGTCTCCCGGGAGCCAGCAGGACTTATCCTGGGCTGAGTGCAGCCAAACAGGCCCATGGGGCCCTTTCAAGTCCCTCAGACTCCCTGGCCCTACTGACCTTTAACATGGAATTGGGATGGGAAGGGCTAGAAAAACAGGATGGGCACCCTAGGGCGGTGTGTTTGTGTGTGTGTGCGTGCATTTAAATTACTGTCTGTTCCTAGATTATTCACGGTGGCTGGATAGATTATCACCAATTCTAGAGAATGGATTTGGGAAGATTTGACTAAAAATAAGATCTCATGATAGCTACAAAATTGGCTGATGAGGGGGTGAGGTCGAGAGCTCTCTAACTTTCTTTTCTTTCACATAGAGCAGTGTAGCACATCACTGAAAGGATTTCAAGGCTGGGCGCGGTGGCTCACGCCTGTAATCCCAGCACTTTGGGAGGCTGAGGCAGGTGGGTCACGAGGTCAGGAGATCGAGACCATCCTGGCTAACACAGTGAAACCCCGTCTCTACTAAAAAAAAAGTACAAAAAATTAGCCGGGTGTGGTGGCGGGCGCCTGTAGTCCCAGCTACTGGGGAGGCCGAGGCAGGAGAATGGCGTGAACCCGGGAGGCAGAGCTTGCAGTGAGCTGAGCTCGCGCCACTGCACTCCAGCCTGGGCGACAGAGCGAGACTCCGTCTCAAAAATACAAAAAAATTTTAAAAAAAATTTCAAAAAGTTGATATAAGACCTCTAACAATTTAAATGTTTCTGTCACATCCTGCACTGGATATGGTGTGAGGGGTCCTCCATCATTATTTGTTTCTGCATGATTGATTTCAATTTTTCTATTTCCTATGAGCACCCATAAGAAATTATGTTAGGCAAGATGCTGCTATCTAGAAGATGAACAAACTTTAATTTTCTTCCAGCAAATACCATAAAGGTGAGAATTGCGAGAGTCGAAAAGCCAGTTTGACAGGAACAAGTGGTCAGCCTGGGAAAGGCAGGTGCTTTCAAGGGCAACCAACACTGATGCCTGGGCTCAGAGGGAGACAGTAATTAGCTCAAGGTCACACAGCAAACAGGCAGCAGAACCCAAGTCTGGCTGACCTTAAGGCTGGGATGCTTTTCCTGATCAAAGCTTCTCAGACTTTCCCCCAACATCCCTAACGGCAAAGGAGAGTGAACTCGGACCTGCAGGGCACTGGCGCGGAGGCCAGAGGGGAAGCACAGGATTTCTTTGCAGTTTCATCAGAAAATTTTATATAAGTGAATTTGCATTCTATTTCATAATGCGTTGCTCTGGTACAAAAATTATGTTTTGTCCTTGTAACAATCTCACAGTAAAATAAGTTATCCAGGAAGCTGCACCTCAAGTCCCACCTGGCAGAGCTCGGAGACCCGGGACCTCTAGGGAGTAGCTGCCCTCACCCCACACAAGCCTCCACTATCTGTAAACACAGGCTCCTGTTTCAAGAAGTTTTTACCAACCACTCCAAGCCCAAGTTTTTCTGAGCTTTGCTCTCCAGGGGCCTGGAGCATTTCTCGAAATCACAAAGCCTCGAACTTTTCCATTTTTTATGTTCTGGGAGATGTTATTTGGGGAATTCCCTCAGGCACTGCGCTCTGCTCCGTCTAATGGAAGCTGAGCTGCGCTGGTGTCGGGTTGCCCCATCCAGCCAGCCAGGTGGGCCCCCACTCTCCTGCAGCTCCACATCCAGCCCACCACCAAGCCCTGTCCATGTCCCCTCCTGCTCTTGGACCTTTTTCCACTTTTCCCCATCTCTGTGCCCCACCTGGACTTGACCACGCCCATCTCTGGCCTGGACCACTACAGCGGCCTCCTTCCTGGTTTTCTGCTTCCACTCTTGCCCTCTCAAACCCATTCTCCTCACAGCAGCCCCAGCAATTCCTCAAATAAACAAATTCAGTCATGCCCACCCTCCCTCTTGCCCCTTCCATGGCTCCCTATTGCCCACATGTCAACCCATTTTCCAACGCCTACAAAGCCTGCATGGCCTTGGCCACCTCTCCAGCCTGATATGAAGCACTCGCTTTTCCCCTTTATTCCTGTGCTCCAGCCAGACTGGCCCCTCCCAGTTGCTAGAATTCACCAGGCTCCTTTTCAGGAGGTTCACTGATGCTGTCCTAGCTAACTGTATTGTTGTCCCTTTAGCCCTTGCCTACTCCCACTCATTTATTCAGGGCATTTTTCCTGAGTGCCTGCTACGTGCCTGGCACTGTGCTAGGTACTCAGTGTACTGTGGTGACCTAGTTCTTGCCCTCTTGGAGCTTATTATCTAACAGGTGGAGAGTTACACGGGAATAATCACGAACTGTGAGAAATGCTAGGATGGGAAATAGCAAAGTGCAAAGGAAGAGACTATCAGGGTGGGGACAGGGAAGAGGACAAATGAAGCCTCTTCCAACTCATCCTTAGACCTCAGCTCAAAACTCACCTCCTCTGAGACGCCTCCCCTCCCCGCTAGACAGGCCAGGCCCTTGCTCATCTGCTCTACAGTTCCCTATTCTCTTCTTCCCCAGCACTTGCCATAATTTGCAATTAGACATTGATTTGTGCAACTAGAGCAGTGGGGAGGAATGTGCTGTAGAATACCTACTCTGCCTCCAGTGGGAGCTTGGGGAGGTGTCCCCATCCCCAAGGCTGTGTTCATCCACACAATCATCTAGAGATGTATCATTAACCCGTGCCATAGAGGAACTGACTGAGGCTGGGAACAAGAGAGGCGGTGTGAGTCATCTACTGCTGCCTAACAAATTATTCCAAAGCTTAGCAAAACAATGACCATTTATTATCTTATTCCTATGGGCCAGGGATCTGGTCATGGCTGAGAAGGGTCCTTTGGCTCTGGGTCTTTCCAGAGGCTTTGATCAAACTGTTAGCCAGGGCTGCAGTCTCACCTGAAGGATCGACCAGGGAGAATCAGCTCCCAATTTCACTCACACAGCCATTGGCAGATGAGGTTCCTCCCTGGCTGTTTGACTGAAGGCCTCAGTTCTTTGCCAGCTGTTGGTGGGGGGATCTCCCTCAGCTCCTGGCCCTGTGGATCTTTCCATAGAGCAGTTCCTAACATAGCAATTGAGGGAGTGAGGGTGAGCCAGCAAGCTGGAAGCCACAGGCTTTGGGAATCCTAATCTCAGAAATGACAGCCCATCACTTTGCTGTGCTGTATTGGTTACAAGCAAGCCACCAGGTCCAGCCCACACGCAAAGGAAAAGATTACCCAAGGGCTTGAACACAGGAGATAGAGGGGGCGGGTAGTCACTGGGAACCATTTAGAGGCTACCGATCACAGAGGTCACATAATCTTCCCAAGGTCTCGTCGCTAGAATGTGCTCCAGCTGCCTTTGGGAGCTGGGCTCTCTGTGCCCACCACAGGGAGCAAGGACAGGGCAGAAACAGGCAGCTTTCTCCAAGCCTGGGGACCTCCTGCTGCTGGTCTTGGCCTTTCTGAAAACCACAGCAAATGCACCTTCTCCCATAGAAACTAGAGATGGTTTCCTGCCCAGCCCAGGAGGCTGAACGGGTTACAAGCATTTGCCATGTGAGCTGAAAAACGCTAGCTTTCAAAACCCAGGCCCTGCGGAACCCACAAAGGGGTGAGTGGCTGGAAAACGGGCCCATCTATTACCCTCCTGGGGCTGTGTGTAAACTGAAGAGGGCGTTATGCCATGGTCCTAACCCAGCCTTACAAAATGACTTCTCCTCCCGATTTTCTTGCCTTACACTTGAAAAGCCATTCATGCCTCCTCTGGTGCCCTCTCTGGGGGTTCAAGAAATCCCACAGTTCTTTTGTTTCTCCTCTCAAAAACGAACTCACTATATATCCTGTATCCCTGGGCTGGTGGAAAATTAACTCTCAGTTATTTGGGGGAACTCCCTCCCCATCTTCACCCCCAACCCCATTGGGGTGGCATAGTCCGGGGCAACTTAGTGCAGAACAATTGGAGGTTATTTCCCCAGGAGAATGTAAGCTGAGTGACAGCAGCGACTTTCGTCAGTTTCATGCAATGATGTGCAGTGGGTGCCTGGCACATAGTTGATGTCCAGTAACTCTTTGCGGAATGTTGAATGAATGCGTTTTGCCTTGTTGCTACACCCCTCACCCAAAACATGCTCCTAAGGGAAGGACAAAGGAGTCTCCGCCAGGCTAGGGGCCCGAGTTCCCTTACGCAATACAGGCTTGTCCTCTCAGGATCCAACATGTGACTTGTGAGTGAGGAGTCACTGTACTGCACTACGAGTCTCTTCTGTCCTAGGACACCTGCTTCTACCCTTCCTGGATTCCAGAAACTTCTCCCTACTCAGCCAGATCCACCTCCCCATTCCCTAATCCCCCCAATCCCACTGTTCTTCCTAGAAAGATCCTCTTTTCTCAAAAACAAAAGCCTCTTTCTCACCTTTGCCCTTGGGGGTGGGAGCCAGGACAGCCATTGGCTCCAGGGCCAGCCCCCAGCTCTGCTCCCTGGGACTGGGGCAAGGGAGGAGTGAGGGGAGGGCTAATTCTAGCTCTTCTTTTTGATCTTTCCCAGCAGTGAAACAACACCTGAATTTGTATCTCAACAAGTTTTCCAGCTCAAGGTTGCAGGAGGAGAGTGCTGACACCCAGCAGAGGAAACTCAAAGTCTGAGCCTGCACTCTGCATGGAGGTGAAGTGCTTTACTTCCTGGGGGCCTGGTCTTCCTACCAAGCACCCTTCCCGCAGCTGGTGGGGTGGGGAAGGCGTTGTCAAGTGAATAAAATAGCACAGTGTAACCAGCATCAGGAAAATGGCCGCTCTTGCCAGCATGGGTGTGGCTGCCTGAAATGCTTCCATCATAGCTTCATTCCATTGATCTAGGGAAACGGCAGAAAACCCCCTTCTCAGGCACCCAGACACCATCCTTGGTGGGGCTCCTCCCTGTAACATGCAAATCTATACCAGCTAACAGAAGCCGTGAGTCTCAGGCCTCGTGGTGACCTTGTCCCCTTTAGGGTTAGTCACACCAGGAGGAAGGAGACTCAGGCCCCGACTAGCCACCAAGCAAAGCCCACATTTGTTAGGCACTTACTGAATGCCAAGTACAATGTTAGTGCTTTTCACGATCATCTCATGTAATCTTTGAGATAGGAATGAACACTCCCACTTTACAGGTGAGGAAACCGAGGCCCAGAGAGGTATGACTTGCTCAAGGAGTAATGCCATGGGAAGGGTGACATGAACATACTTGACTCCGCTGCCCACACTCATAATTACCATGGCCTCCTGCTCCCTCCAAATCCCAATAGCAAGGGATCAGCACCAAAGGAGGACAGACATGGTGGGGAAATTCAAAGGGATTCATGACCATCTGGGCAATCCGGGAAGGCCTCATGGACAATGACCCAGGATTTGAAAGACAGGTGGTATCTGACAAGTGGGCATTCCAGAAGGAGCAAAGGTACAGAGAGGTGTGAAAGCACAAGGAAGTTTCCAGGCCCTCAAAGCCATCCCTATAAGCTCATGTATTATCGGACAAGTGGGGAAGTCAGGGAGAGAAGGTGAGAAAGGTGGGCTGGGGCTCCATTGCAAAGAGTGGGATGACGTCAACCCCGGAGAGCTCTCTGGGTCTGACCAGGCTGAGAAGGGCCAGACCGTGAGTGGCATGGGCAGCAGAACCCAGCCCTCAAATCTTGGGCATCTAGTACCCAGGTACACAGGTCCTTTGCTGGAAGACAGGACACCCAAAGCCTCCTGCTTCTCTGGACTTGTGAAGCCCCAGCTGCCATTCCCCGATCCCTCCACCCAGACACCTGGACAACAGGGAGAAGGGGTGCAGGAAGGTTGGAGCAAATTCATTCCAGACAGAACACACGGATCCCCTGCCATGGGCGGCCCCTAACGACGCTGTCTGCATTTTCGATGCAGACCCAGCTTGAAAACCCACTGAACCCTTCTGCAACTTTTTTCCTTCTAACCAGGCTTTAGAGAGCTTACGAGGAATCTTGATTAGTTAGACTAAGGAAATTACATTTTCCCTGCGAATTGAGCTAAATTTGAGGAAATATTCTGTTACGCATGCACTGAGATTCTTGTAAGATTGTGTGTGTGTGTGTGTGTTTAAAGCCTTCATTACTACAAATATTAAAACAAAACAAAACAAAACATTTTTAACCACCCAGATTGTCCAACCCTCTCACTGAGTGAGGAACCAGAAGACCAGAGAGGGCCTGGGCATTGCCTGGGGTCACACAGCAGTGAGTGGCAGAGCCCAAGGGCCCAGAATTCCTCATGGACTCCAGCCCAGTGCTCCTTCCACACTCCCATGCTGGCTTGGTTTGGAACTGCTGGGGCCTGAAGAAGGGCAGAGAGTGAGCCCAGGACTCGGGGCTTAGTGCAGCCAAACTTGAGGGCTCATCAAAGCCTTGGCTGAAAAGACTCTTCACCCATACCCCTCACTCAGACACCATGGAACCTGGCTCAGTCATTCCTCCACAGAGGGAAGCTAACACGCCTTGGAATGAGCACTGGTTGGGGAGTCAGGAGTCCAGGGATCCAGCCCAGCCAGGCCACTTCTTAGCTCAGCAGCACTGGGCTGCTCCTGTCACCTCTCTGGCTTCCTTGGCGGTTAAAAAAAAAAAAAGAGCGAGAAACCCCCCGAAAACAAATGGGGGTCAGGGGCGGAGGCAGGTAACACAGCCCCTGTAGTCACATGCAGAGTGAATTCGAAACCAGCTCTGGAGTCACACTGCCTGGGACTGAATCCCACTTCAGTGCTATGTGACTAAGGCAAGGAACGTAAACTCTCTGTACATGTTTCCTCATCTGTGAAACAGGGATAATAATAACAGGACCTACCCCCTTAAACCAGTTGTGAGGAAATTAAGTAAGATAATTCTGTATATGTGGAGAGTTCAGGATAGCGCCTGATACATAGTAGGTGTTCTGCATAACTGTGTAAATAACTGTAAAAAATTACCTGCTATTGTTACTGCTCCTTGAGCCTCCATTGACCTCACACTCCCTGCCCAGGACATGATACATGCTTGGAAGACTCAGATGTCTGTATGCCCAGAGCCTAGCCCAGTACCTGGGACTTACGTAGTAAGAGTGGGGCGCGGGGGGCGGGGGCGGGGGGCAGCAGCAGGAAGGGGAATTGCTCAATACACGCTCCTGGAAATATTAATTTTTTGAAGTGGATGCATGCAATGCACTGAGCCCCCCTCCCCTACAAACTCTCCCTCCCACACCCAAGCAGCTCCTCCAGGACTCAAGGGCTGGTGAATGAATCTTTGAATGATAAATATTCCTATTTTGATGTCCATTAATAATGAGCTTGTAGGCAAGATGAGTCATCTAGACCTGGTTCACGGATATCCCTACAATTCCAGAGCCACAGAGTCAACGATCCTGGACATTCATTCATTCAACAAACATTAACTGGGTGCGTGGCAACCTACTGATTCATGAGTTGGAAGAGGATAAAATATTATATAGAAGCCATACTTAATGTTATTGGACACGTGTTCCCTAAGCGCCTATCCTCTGATCTTGTGCAAACTATACTTATGTGACCTTGTTTATGAATTAATGACGGCCAGCTAATCCTTCAGAAGACTCCAATTTTAGGTTTGCGCAAAAGCCCTTCAGCCTTTACAAACGAGGACCTGTCTTTCTGGGTTGAGCTAACTCCTCTGCTAGTTAAAAGCTTTCCTGTGTCTTTAAAAGGGGGAGGCATCCTATCAAATGGACCCTAACGCATAGGCTGAAGGCACGTGAAGTCCCACCCACTTTCTATGACGTCCCGCGTCCCGGCTTCTGATTGCCCGCCTGAGACGTCAATCGCAGGGCGTGTGTCTTGCTGGGACACAGTGGAGGTCTAACCTTTGGTTTGCGGAGCGGTCGGGTGTATTCTCCGCCGCCCCCACGCCCTCGAGGTCCCCGCCACCGAACCAGCGGCGGAGCCCGCCCGCGCCTCCCGCGGCATTCCCGCACCGGATCGCTCCTCGCTGGGGCGGGACCTGGCCTGGCGGCTCTGGTCACTATGGTCAGTGATCGTGGGGGATCGCGAAGGGGGAGCGGGCAGGGGGCGCGGTGGGCGGGGTCGCTGCCGGAGCGGGTGCACCCGCGGGACGGGGGTCGGACGCGAGGCTCAGCCCCCAGCTCGCCCCCGCCGCTTTCCGACCCCCTGAAATACGGAGTCCGGACGGATACTGAGGGCCAAGTCGCGCCCCCCTGTACCCCGTGGATGTGCAGCTGAGGAGGTCCAGCTCGGCCCCGAGCCCCCGCCCCCAGCGTGTCCGCCCCAGGTGGCCCGGGGCGCCGCCTCGACGGCGCTGGGTGGGCGCCCTCGACGGAAGCAGGGACAGGGAGGCTGCAGCACTACGGGTCGCCTCCTCTTTGTTAAGTAGCCCCCCAGTCAGCAGTCCACGGCCCCACCCACCCGACGGCTCGGCCGTCAAAGACCTCCTGGCCCCTGCCCCAACCCCAAGGGAGGATCTAGGGGTTGCACGGGGCACCAGGTCGTCTGCTCCGTGGGCGACTAGACCGTCTCCATCTTTGGAGTCAGGACCCACCTAGAGAGGATGCCTCAAGTTGTGAGGCGCATGAGTTAGGGGTCGGGGAAAAGAAAATACTCAGGAATCCCTGATGGAGAGCCTTGTCTGCGCAGAACGAGGCCCAGAGACCCTCTGAGCCAGGCTAACCCTGGGCTTGGGCAGGTGGGGAAACTGAGGCCAGACAGGGCAGGGCTGGTACTGATTGTGGTGGACCTGGGGCTTGAACCCAGGCTCTGGACTCTCAGTTCAGTGCTCTTTGTGTTACATCGGCTCACCTTCCAGGTTGCCGTGGGGTCAGGCATCCTGCAGGGGACTGGGTGGCATGGCTGCCTAAGACCCTTCAACCCTGAGCAGGGGGAGCCTGTGGAGTGAGGGCTGGGTGGCTTGAGTCGGGGCCACACAGCCCCAGGTTCAAGTCTCACTTCCACCTGTTGGAAAGCGAAGAGGCTTTGGTTGGTCCGCTCTCCCCCTCAGCACCGTTTTGCACATCTGTGTCATGGGAACCATGTGATATGATTAGCTGGAGCTTTTCCTGTGACAACAGAGTCCTGGAAATGGGTGTGCACAGATGCCTGGTTCTTCAAGCTTAGCCTCCTCTCTCCTATGACTGGGCAGGAAAATGGGTCACCACGGCAGCATGCTGCCGGGCTGGGGCATGGGTCAAAGCCTGGTCATGGCCTGGCACGATCTGGGTGTGGCATAGGCAGCCAGGGCACTCGAGCTGGGACTGTCCTTGCCAAGCCAGCCTGCTGCCTGGGGCATAGCTGGGGGCCTCTGGAGCATCTGGAAGCACCAGCTTCCTGCTTCCACTTGGTGCCCAAGGGTTTACCTGGTTGAGCTGCTCCTGGAAGGCAGCCCAGGTGTTTCTGCATCACCCACCAGGGAGTGGTGGAGCTGGGGTAATGATGGGCTTAGCCACCCGGGAGCTGGAGGCTGGCATGCCCTCTGGCCACCACTCGGCAGCTGAGAGCACAGCAGAGGCGGTAGCTGCTCTTTGTGCCATGCAGTGAGGCCGCTCACTCTGCTCCCTATCTGCCCTGACTCAGGAGACTGGAAGTTAGATGGCAGATGGGGTCCAAAGCCCTCACCCCTCACCGGGGGCTTGGGTGCCTTGGCGAAGGATGAAGTGGTTAACCCACTAAAATATGACGTCTGTCTGGTAATCACAGGGGTGGAGGCCATGCAGGGTCTTTTCCCTTCCCTGCACATGGCATTTATTGAGCACCTACTGCATGCGGGGACCATACTGGGCCCTGTGCTGCATGGTGGGTTTTTATGTTGAACTTGCATTGTGTGGATGGTGGTGACAGAAGGAATATCCTTGGAAAATACAGCATCTTCTTTACTTTCCTGTTTCTACATCACTGGGCTAAGCTTGAGGAAGGGCGCCCCGTGGAAGACACAAAGACACTTGGGAAGGTAGGGGTGAGACAAGGACCAGACCTCTGGCAGGGACTGCAAATAGCTAGGGTTCTCGTGCACTCAAGGTGCATTTCATGTTTGACGAATGAATGAGTCAGACATAAGCAGGAAAACCGCAGGGTCCTATTGTGCTTTGTTCTGTTATTTGTCAAACAGGCCCCCAGTGGGCACCTTTGTCAGGCCTGTGCTGGGCACTGTGACACTGATGAGAAAGACAAGGTGCCTGCCCGCTGTAGGAGCTCACTGCCTGCTGGCCAAGACAGCTGGACACAAGCAGTGTCTGAGCTACAGGTCATGCCTAAGAGGCCTAAGGACATTGGGAACACAGTGAGAGGTCAATATGCTCTGAGGGAGTGGGGGTGTTGGAAGGTTCTGCAGAGGAGGTCTTTTGAGCTGAGTTGAAGGATGTATATGAGTGTTCAAGAAGGATTTGGGAAGGGCACATTCCTTTTGGCGGGTGCGGGGGGACAGTGGGCTATCAGGCCTTGAAGCATGGTCAAGAATAGGGGATTTTGGCAAAGGTGAACAGCCTCTGAAGATGCAAGGAGATTGAGGGAGGCAGGGAAATTGAGTCTAGAAAATTTGGTGGGGTCAGGATGTTCTGTGCAGGGCCTCACTTGCTGTGCTGTGGGGTTTGGGTTTTATTCCACCAATGAGGGGGAAACCATAACATAATTTTGACAAGTAAGAGATGGTTGACTTGGACGACCTCTCTGACGATGAAGTGGACACAGGGTTGGAGGTAGCCAGGCTGGAGTCAGAGCCTGGCTAGTCCCATGCATGCATCTGTCTATTCATTCATGCAGTGTGTGAGCTTCCCAGGCTGCCATAACAAAGTACCACAAACTGGTGTAGAGCAACAGAAATGGATTCTTACAGTGCTGGAGGCTGGAAGCTCCAGATCAAGGTGTCAGCAGGGCCATGCTCCCTCTGAAGGCGCTAGGGAAGGTTCTGTTCCAGGCCTCCCTCCAAGCTTCTGGTAGCTCCTTGGCTTGTGGTTGCAGAACTTTGATCTTCACGTGGTGTTCTTCCTGTATGCCGGTCTGTGTCCTAATTTCCTCTTTTTATAAGGACACCAGTCGTATTGAATTAGAGGCCCACCCTACTCCAGTATGACCTCATCTCAGCTAATTACATCTGCAATGACCCTATTTCCAAATAAGATCCCATTCTAAGGTACCAAGGATTAGGTATTCAACATATGAATTTTGGTGGGGGGACACAGTTCAACCCATAACACTCCGTATACATTTCTGGAGCATGGCTGTGTGCCAGGCACTGAGGAGCCAGCACTGACAGGCAGACAAAGTCCCTGCCCCCATGGAATTGGCATTCCAGTGGAGGGAGCCGGGCAGCATGCGGGTAAACAGGCGAGCCTATGAGATCATGCCATGAAGAAATAAAGGTGAGAGGGATGGGGTGGGGCATGGGAAGGCCTCTCTGAGGAGGTGATGCCACCTGCATCTTGGGAAAGGCAGAGGAAGAATCCAGGTCAAAGGAGCAGCCGTGCAAAGGCCCTGGGGTGAGAGTGTGTCTTGTGAAGGAACACAGAGAGGGCCACATGGGGTCAGACATGGGAGGTCGTTGTCAAAAGATTGAGTCTTGGCCTAAGTGAGGGAGTCCACTGGAGGGCATGGGGGAAGGGCGTGCCCTTGCTGGTTAAGCAGCTTGTATTGGCTGCTTGTGGAGAATGGGCTGGGATGGGGGCAGGAGTGGAAACCAGGAGGTCCTTGGGCAGATGTTGGTGCAGCCTCCCTGGGGGGAGATGATGGCAGCTTGGACCAATGGGGAGGTCGGGGAGAGAGGAGTGGAGAAGCACTTCTGGGTCTTGGCATCAGCTCTGCTTGGATGGGGAGCTGGAGAAGCCTGTCGGGGGTGGGGGGCGAGGTGGGCAGGAGAGCAGTCAGGGACACGCTAATTCAGTAATGTTCTCAGACTTCTGAGCAGGAGTGGCTGTGGAGTCAGAGCTCTAGGGAGAGGTCAGGCCCGGAGAGGAAGATCTGAGGGCCTGTTGGGAGGATGCTGTATGAGTCTAGGCATAAGATAAGAGGGAAGGCCCGGGCCCAGGTCAGGGTCTCTGCAAAGCCAGCTAATAACTGACCCGGGGGGGAAGCCTCAGTGCAGGGTCTTGTCACTTTTCTTAGTGGAGCAGCAGAGAAGGGACATGTAGCAGGCTGAACAATGGCCCCAATGATGTCCACGTCCTAATCCCCACAACCTGTGACTATGTTACCGTGGCGAGAGGGACTTGGCAGGTGGGATTCCGTTAAGGATACTGAGTTATCCAGGTAGGCGCGATGACGTAATCACAAGTGTCCTTATGAGAGCAAGGCAGAGTGATGGGGAGGGTGGGGGCCGGTGTGTAAGCCGGGAAACCCGGGAGCCTCTAGAAACGGAAGACAAGAAAATAGATTCTCCTCTAGAGCCCACAGAAGGAACACCACTCTGTCGCCATCTTGCTTTAGGCCAGCAACACTCCTTTCGGACTTGTGGCCTCCAGCACTGTCAGATCGCACATTTGTGTTGTTTTGAGACACTAAGTTTGTGCTCCTTTGTTACAGCAGCCACAGGAAACTCAGGGCACTCGGCTGCCCCCAAATCCATGGCTTCCAAACGATTATCATCGCTCACCTCATCAATACAAAAACTCTGAGGCCAGGCACTCATACCTGTAATCCCAGCATTTTGGGAGGCCAAGGTGGGAGGATTGCTTGAGCCCAGGAGTTTGAGACCAGCCTGGGCAACACAGTGAGATCCCATCTCAGAAAAAAAAAAAAAAGAAAAAGAAAACAATGTTGAGCACTGCATGCATACATATGTCACATATCATACCCCTGAGTACACATCTGAAGGGATATTTCCTTCCAGCCCCTGGAGCAGTCCATAGTGCTGGGCCCATGGCTGCGGGCTGCTTGAGGAGTCCTTAGGTAATGTGGGCAGGTTTCAGGTACATACAGAGGCTTGGGAGGGAAAACCAGAAGACAGTGGGGACTCGTACTTTCCCTAAATTTGGAGGTGGGGCTCGGTACATGGATTAGGGATGGGGTATCAGGGGCAACCTCTCCAGCGTCATGGTGGGAGTTTTATACCCTGGCTCTTTAATCTCAGCTGGCGTTCCAGGGATGTAGGAGGAAGGACCAGCAGACAGCTGTAGTGCTGGCTCCCACCAAAGACTCAAAGCCAGTCTGAACACAAAGCCCACGTCCTTGCGCTTTCTGCTAGTTCCCAGGGTTACTGGGGAAAAGCAGTGATTGAAGAACATCCTTTTCTCACTTTGAAATATATTCCTCCACGCAAGCTGCTAAATCTGTTTCCAAGCCACAGTGCTATCTGACTTAATTAATTAGCATCTATTTGCAAACCAGCAATTAAAGGGCTAAAGTCCTTTTAGGTGGCCTAATTAGGTCTGACAGGACATTGTCAGATGTGGCCTGTCCTTTCTCCATAACATCCTAGAAATTTTCAGCCATGGTTTTAAAAGCAATCACGAATGAGAGTCAGCCAGGTCAAGCATCATGCCTGATTTATGGGCTAGTAAATTGAGGGTGTGCCTGGGGTTCTTCCGGGAGCTTGAGTCTCTGGTCTTGCCAGGGGTGTGGCCAGAGCCCTGCTAGTGGGGAGTGGCAGGGGACCAACTTCGGCGGACTTGGGTCATTCTGGAGGTGCCAGGTGGGGACTTGAAGGGCCAAAGCGAGAATCCCCTTGTCCCCAGGTCCCCCAATAATTACATCTGGGACCACTGGTGCGCTGGAGCTAGCCCAAGGTTCCATCACCTGCAGATGGAGGTAGCCCACCTGCGAGACATTTGTAAGCAGGGGTAGCTCTTAAATAGTGTGGAGTAAAGGGAAAAAAATATCCAGAATATCTATAGAATAGTATTATGCAAACTTAAAATGCATGCATACTTACAAGTCTGTATTTTTTAAAAAGACAAATGCATTTCATTTATAAGAGGTACCTAGAGTAGTCAAATTCATTAGAGACAGAAAAGTAGAAAGGTGGTCGCCAGAGACTGGGGGCAAGGGGATGGGGAGTTAGTGTTTAATGAGTAGAGATTCATCATAAGTACACGGAAGAAAAAAAATGGGTATGGGAGTTTCAGTTTGGGATGATTAAAAGCTTTGGGATGGGTGGGGGCGAGGGTTGCACTGTTGTGTGAATGTACTTAAGGCCACTGAACTGTGTACTTAAAAGTGGTTAAAATAATAAATTTCAGGTTATGTATGTTTTACCATAATTATAATAAAAAACAAATATATCTAGAAAGACATGCCATAGAGACTACCCATAGGGGCATGGGGGCATGGAGGAATGGAAATAGGGATCAGGGACAAAGGAGAACAAAACCTGAAAAAATTCCTTCCTGAGGCTGATGCCCACAGTGTGTCCTGAAGGTGTGGTGAGCTCAGCTCTTAGCAGATGGGAGGGCTCCGAACTGCTATGTAGTATTTTCTTCTTTTTGGAAATGAAGTCTGTTGCCCAGGCTGGAGTGCAGTGGTGCGGTCACGGCTCACTGCAACCTCTGCTGCCTGGGTTCAAGTGAGTCTCCTGCCTTGGCCTCCCAAGTAGCTGGGACTACAGGTGCCCACCACCACACCCGGCTCATTTTTGTATTTTTAGTGGAGACGGAGTTTTGCCATGTTGGCCAGGATGGTCTTGAACTCCTGACCTCGTGATCCGCCCGCCTCAGCCTCCCAAAGTGCTAGGATTACAGAGGTGAGCCACCGAGCCCGGCCCTATGTAATATTTTTCCTTAACTTGGCTCTTTTAAAGAGCTTAAGTAGATTTGTCAAAAATGCAAATTTTATGTTAATAGAGCAAGTGGAAACCTAACTTGACTTTCCTGGCATAGGTGCCACCCCCGTTCCTAATCCACCTTTAAATATTCCTCATTTTAACTGTTGATGGCAGTTTTCTGCATTGAAGTACTTATTTCTGCATGTTGAAGATTAATTCCTTAAATCCATTCCACTCCTCCATTGATTACCTCCTCAGACACCCTGCAGAGGAAATGTAGCTGATTTTGTGTCCTCCTTCTGCCATTTTGGTTTTGGTTTCGGGCAGTCCAAGCACAAGCAGTGTTAACTATAGTTGTTCTACTTTTTGATCTATGATTTAAAAAGACCCAAGCCATCATTTTAAGTCAGCTGTCTGTATAAACAACAAGGCTTTTATACAGTATAAACAAATTGTTAGATAAATAACGGGACTTTGGAATGAAGTCAGAGGGTGCGTGAGTGGGAACGAATTGGGCAGAGCAGGTGCGCTTGTTTTTCAGTATTACCTGTTTGTCCTCTTACCATCCACACAAGGCAGCAGAGGGAGAGCTTTCATTCTGAAATGTATAGAATCCTATGAATATTTGCTGTATTAGCACGCAGTATGAGGGCCAAATTAATTGTACAACTAGCAATTGTTATTATGCTAGTAATGTCAATCTTTCATGATTTAGAATAGACCAAAACATGTTAACTTTTTATAAATTTGCCTTTGAAGTCAATAAATCTGGCTTGGTTTAAGTTAAAAGAAAAAACACAAATGAAAATGGAATGATTTTAAGCTGTAAGTCAGAGGCCTGCCCACTCTTGAGAAGAGAGACTAGCAAAGTAGAAAGGAGTTCAAGGTATGCTAGAGACTGTCTTTCTCCTTGATGCGATCAGAAGGCTTGAAGGAAGTGGAACGGCAAATCACTTTCCTTCCAGATATCACTGATGTATTTTACCACCGTGTCTGGATATTGCCTGTAAATCGTGTCCTGTTCCACCTGTGATGAGCACGTCTTGGGCTAGAAAATGCTGTTGTGGACACTGAGCCCCCAGGATCAGGAGCTGGATGGAGAACTTTCCTGGGTGAGGCCTCAGGGGCAGGAGGTGGGGACCTGGCCTGTTGATAAGAAGGCCCTAGGCTGCCCTGTGTGGAATGTTCCTTTGTGTTTAGCAGCCTTGGTCCCTCAAGACCTCTGTGCTCTGCCTGCCTAGCAGTTTGGCATGGTAGAATTTCCATGGGCTTCAGAGTCAGATAGATCTGCCTAAAATTACTTCTTAGCACAGGGCACCTGACCTTGTCAGTAGAATGGGTATAATACCCATCTCAGGAGGTGGTCTTGAGGATTAAGTGAGATAATGGGGACGTGTCAGCCTCTCTCCCTGAGCCTAGCACATAGTATTTGCACAATAATGGCACCTGTTATCACTTCAGACCTCTTGGGCCTAGGGTAGCAGATTGCCAGATCATCTTCCATGTGTTGACTTTCAGCCTCACGCTCGCAGGATGGCTGCTGTGGACATTGCATCTGCATTGACGGTGGGAAGGAGTAGAACGTTCCATCTCTGTTCCTTTTATCCAAAACCAAAAGCTTCCCCAGAAGTCCCCAGCAGACTTTTCATGGGTCCAGCTGGCCAACCCCAGCTACCTGGCTGCCCATAGCTGCAAGGGAGGCTAGGAAAATGGGAAAGAGGTAGGATTGTTGTGACCTACCCAGTCATTTTTCATCATGTTGTGGGATTCCATTAGTGAGGAGGAAATGGGTCACAGCTGATGAGACAGAAGCCCTTGGCACCTGCCCCCAAGTGTTGTCTGATTCCTCCTGATGGCTTTCCTGTTGCTTTGCCAGCCCACGCTATGATGTCAGGGCAGAAGGAAGGAAGGAGCCTGGGGCTGGATTAATTTCGCAAAGAAGGGTCGGTACAGAGTGGAAGCTTCTGGAAGCAAAATCCAGAATCCCTTCTTCCCACCCCCCAAGTGTTTGCATGCCCTGTTTCTTCTTTCCTCTTTTGGAAACATTCTTCATCCAGTTCTTTTTTTTTTCTTTTCTTTTTTTTTTTTTTTTTTTTTGAGACAGAGTCTCGCTCTGTCACCCAGGCTGGAGTGCAGTGGTGCAATCTTGGCTCACTACAACCTCTGCCTCCCCGGTTTAAGAAATTCTCTACCTCAGCCTCCTGAGTAGCTGGGATTACGGGCATGTGCCACCATGCCCAGCTAATTTTTTTGTATTTTTAGTAGAGACGAGGTTTCGCCATCTTGGACAGGCTGGTCTTGAACTCCCAACCTCGTGATCCACCTGCCTTGGCCTCCCAAAGTGCTGGTATTACAAGCATGAGCCACCGTGCCTGGCCCATCCAGTTCTTTAGGACAATGAATTCATCCTCTATTCTTAAGCTATCTTCTGGGAAGTTGCCCTGAATCCCCCATGTCGGGGGGAGATCATGTTTGGTGCCACCAGAAAGGGCGAAACAGAATAAAGTGTAAGTTCAAGGGAGAGCACAAGCCTGACTCAGATGAGGTGGGGAGATCAGGGAGGCTTCATGGAGGAGGTAGCTTTTATTCATTTGTTTGAAAAATATCTCACCCCCTTCTCCGTGCCAGGCCCTGGGTGAATGGAAGATGGCAGACAGTATGACAAGCTGTCATTCCAGGCCCCCCAAAAACACCCCTGCCCAGTCCCAGCTTCTCTCCTGACCTGATACTGGACACAGGATCAGGGCCAGATGGAAGTTTGCCATCTGTCCCATGTGGAGACAGAAGCAACAAAAGTCATTTAGGCCTCATTATCTAATCTCATGGCCCAGCTTTCTGCTTCTGTGGGCTGAGCTTTGGAAAAAGCTAATCATCAAAAATCCGGATGTATTTCTTCAGGTGGAGAAAGGGGTTTGTAGCATCAGAGGGCTCCTCTCTGAGCAGGATGGTATTGGGTTGAGATCATTATCTAGTCAGTGATGAGGCTGAGAGGCTACCAGGGAAGGCCACTGTGGCCGGTGTGACATGAAAAAGGCCAGTTACAACTGGGTGTCAACAATGATGGTGATAAATGAATGGAAAACTAGATTACTATTTACAAAAATCCCAATTAACAGTGACCATCCACAGTGCTCTATTGCATAAAAATGGTCTCCCTGGGTTGTGTGCAGGAGCCAGCCTCATTTATTTTAAGCTGTAAACTATAAGTGGCTTTAACACCATGTCTCTCACAGTATGTTCATGCTGCAATCAAAGCGGCTCTGGGTGGGTTGGAGGCTAGAGTTGCATCTCCTGCTTGTTTGAGCCCTGCTGACAAGATAGCACAAGGCGGAGACCAGGCCCACGGGGAGTTGGCTGCTAGAACGTGTCTCCTGCAGTTTCCTTCACCCTGAAGCTTCCTTTTGCAGTTGCCTCCTCTCTGTCCGCCAATTTCTTCTCTGGCCTGGAGAGATCCTGCCTGTAGGAGGCTTGTCTTTCTGGGTTGGAATTGACCTAGACCCAGAGCTGGGCTGTAGTGTAAACTTTCGCCGGTAGGTGGTGCATGAAGATGCCCTCCTGCCCTGTGCTCCCCGAGCTCAGATCTCTGACACCTTCTCTGGCATCTCCATGTACCAGTGCCACACACTGCGGCCTCTTCTGGTGACCTTATCACCCCCTATCTTGATTGTTTTTCCCTGTAGACTGTGAGCCTTGTGGGTGAGGGAGTGCTAGACGTCCTTCCTTCTGTATTTCCAGCATGTGACACAGTGCTGGGCATGTGGATGTTCAGGAATTGTTGGATGAGTAAAAGAATGAATGAACGAATGAATGAATGCATGAATGAGAGAAGAGGGATGGAAGGAGACAAAGGGCCTTATCCTCCAGCATGAAGGTTCGTTAAGTTTGAGGTACACATTCTGTGAAATGAATCAGGCTTCCAGTAAAAAGATGAGTTTCCTTATAACCAGGGCTATCTCTTCACGATGGCCCCGACCCTGACTATCCCTGTTCTGGAAATGCGGTGATCCCAACGGGCGTCTAGGATGCTGGTAACATACTCCCAGCATGAGAAGGTGGGAAGGTCTCATTCATTGTTGTCTGTAACCGGCAGTTCAGAGGCCACCAGCTCGGGGAGTCCCGTCCGTTGCTTTTGAAATTGTCACAGCATTTCTTCCTTCCCTATCTTTCAGAGTGAAACATCTTTCAACCTAATATCAGAAAAATGTGACATTCTATCCATTCTTCGGGACCATCCTGAAAACAGGATTTACCGGAGGAAAATCGAGGTGAGGCAGAGGGCAGGGAGAAGAGCATCCGAAACTAAACAGGCTGGAGTTGGGAGTGTAATGGTGATGCCTCTTTGAAGGCCGATAGTTTGGGCCAGGTTCCTGGGCAAATGAAAGGATTCCTAGGATATTTTGATGTTGGACATTTGCCTTAGCGATAAATCCTTTCATTCCAAAAAAAAAAAAAGGATTTTTTTTTGTTGAAAAGTTTAGCACTATCCTAATGTTTTATTTACTCACCAATACTTCATTACAACTCTGTGAGGTAAGTACTTTTATTACCCCCATTTTACAGCTGAGGAAACTGAGGCACACAAATTAAGTGGTGGCCATTTAGTTCATGAGTGGCCAAGCTAGGATTTAAACCCAGGCAGCTGAGTCTCAAGCCACATTCATAACTGCTGTGCTGGGAGACCTCTTGGAGGGAAAGTTTACGCCAGTGAGGCTAAAGGGATTTGTGGGAAGGCTGCAGGGATCGCTCATGGAGCACTCACCCGTGGATGGCAGGAGGAGCTGGGTGCCCACTCTGTCCCTCTGGTAGGAGGCCCTGGCCGCTCTCTGCACTCTGCAGGTCTTCCTCTCGCTGCAGGACAGGCTTGCTCTGGCACTGGCCCCACAGGCCCTTCCCTTCAAGTTCCTCTCAGACACGCAGCACCGTTGCTGGGCCTCATTACTTATCCTCAGAGACTCTGATAGGTCCAGCTTGGGTCAGATGTCCATCAGCAGCCAGGGGTAGTGGTGTGGGCATCATGTGATCCGAACGCCGCTGCGGGGCACTTCCAGGGAAGGAGCTGGGCTCTGCAGCCCACTGACTTTTGTGTCCCCCAGAGCCCTCCTGGGAGATGAGCCAGGGGCTCCAGAGAGTGCCTGCCTCCCCACTGCCAGCTGGCCTCAGGTGGGCCCAAGTCGGCTCTGAGCCTTCTCATGGCTATGGGGGGAACAGGAACTCCAAGACCCCTTGAAAACCATCCTCTGCTGTCAAAATGCTGCTTATAGTCCCATGAGGCAGGAAAGGGGATTCCAGGCCAGTTCAGAGGGACACCTACTTACTGCTAGGAGTGGAGCTGGAGCCCACCCCTCCCGCCCCTGCTCACACATGCAACCCCCTACCCCCTACTTCTGCCAGCTCCCGATTCTCAGTGCTGCTCCCCCAGGAAGGCTTCCCCAACTTCCAAAATCCAGTGCAATGCCAGTGCCCCGTGGCACCCAGCCAGGCACTCCTGTCCCCTCACAATGCCACTGTCTAATTATCCATCTTCCCTCCCGGACCGTAGGCTGCCTGGGGGCAGGGACGGACACACAGGACAATGCAGTGTATTTTTATATCAGGGGAATGAACGAGGGTGGGAGGCTGAGGGGATAGCAGCCTGAAGGGAGGGAGCAGACATTTCCTGGGAGAGATGGGGGGCACCTGGCCAGTCCCAGTGCCCAAACCACACAGAGCCGTTGTTGGTGCAAATGCCCACATTTCTTTCTGTCCCCCTCAGGAACTCAGCAAAAGGTTCACCGCCATCCGCAAGACCAAAGGGGATGGGAACTGCTTCTACAGGGCCTTGGGCTATTCCTACCTGGAGTCCCTGCTGGGGAAGAGCAGGGAGATCTTCAAGTGAGTGCCGGGGCCCCTTGGCCTGTCAGGGCTGTGTTCTCTGTGCTAGGTCAGCCTCAAGTCTCTCGGAGGTTTTCGTTACACTCAGGCTGGTTAACCCAGAGAATGAGCTGAAGAGCTGCCTGGCAGAGGCGTTTGATGTTGGGGGTGCCCAGCTGCCTGCTGTGGTGAAGTTGGGGGCAGCCAAGGGGTGGAGGATGGAATCTGTGACCTCCCAGATGCTTTCCAGCCTCTGCTTCCACCACAGGCCTGGGTCAGCCCAGGTGAGTCGCAGGGAGCAGGTACTTCGTGACCCACTCTGAAAAGAAAAGAAAAGACAAACAAAAAGAAGCTTTGCCCCGGTGTTCTGCATAATTCCTGTTGACCTTGGTGTGGAGTGTGTGTGACCCAGGCATTCAGCTGGCTGGGCCTGTCCCTGAGGTTCATGCTGGAGAAGGTCTGTGTCCAGAGCTGCCCCTGTCATCTCGGCTAGTTCAGGGCTTCTCATATCTGAAGTTTGTACAAGGCGCCTGGTTCTCTAGTCCATAGCAAGAAAAAAAAAAGCAAAGACAAACAAACCCCTGAGACCTGGCTTGGACCCGAATTCCTGTCCAGTGGGAGCAGGGCAGAGCAGGGACTGCTTTTGTCACTGGCTCCCAGGAGATGCTGATGCTGCTGGGCCTCAAACCACGCTTTGAGGAGCAAGGAGCTAAGAGACCCACCTGGCTCTTAACCTTTGGGGGTCTCAGAGCCCTTAGAGGCTTTGGTGAGGGCCATGGGCCCTCCTCATCTGAGACCCGCACCGACATGCTCTCTGGAAACAGTACGGGGGGCAGTGGGTCCCAGAGCACTTCTTTGGCTGAGGCAGGTTTCTCAACGGCGGCATGACTGACGTTTTGGGCCAGATCATGCTCACGGTGGGGGCTGTCCTATGCATTGTAGGCCTATTAACAGCATCCCTGGCCCCCTACCCGTGACATAGTAGTAGTAACCCCCTCCCCAAGTCATGACAATCAAAACTGCCTGCAGACACTGCCAAAAACCTCTTTCGGTGGAAAAAAGTCGACCCTATCTGGTTGAGAACTACTAGGTTAAGGCCATCGTCTCCTGTTCAAAATATAGATGATCTCAAAGAGGGTAGAAGTTGAGCCATCTGTTCCTTGGCTGAACCATTCAGATTGTTTTGCCAGTGACAGACTGGCAGAGCCCCTTTTGATGGAGAGTCAGCTATCTCAAGCCATTCCCCTCCCCAACTTTCTCACAGCCCTGTGGGGACCAACACAGCACAGTGCAGGGATTATGACCCCAACTTCATTTCCCCACGACCCATGTCCCCTGGAGTTGTGCCATGCAGCAGCCCTGGGCTCTGAGGCCAGACCTCACTCTCTTGCTTACTTGCTGTGCGACCTTGGGCAAGTGACCTGATCTCTCTGATCCTGTTTTCATGCCTGTGGAAGGTGGACATTATAACACACTTCAGGGGGCTATTGTGAGGACTCAGTGGGTGATGCTGGCTAAGCCCAGCGCCTGCATTTCTCTCTGCACCAGCCCACGTGCTCTGTTTACCTTCACTCCGTCCTGTCTCCCCACTCCAGTCAGCACACACGGGTGCCATGCTCAGACCCTTCTCTAGGCTGTGGGGATACTGCAGTGAACAAGAGAGACAAAATCCCTGCCTTGTGGGGCTTGCGTCCTAATGGTAGAAGATGCACAGTACATGAGTATCACGTTTGAGGTGTCGGATGGTGATAAGTATTGTGGGAAAAATCAGGCAGGAAGGAGGCCGAGGAGTGCAAGGTCTGGGGTTGGCAGTTTCAAGCAGGGTTGGAGAGGTAAGGGCGGCAGGGCACATAGGGCCTTGGGCCTTTCTAAGGACCTTGGCTTTCAGCCTGAAGGACACGGGAGCCACCGAGGGATTGCGCAGCACGGGGGACCTGCCCTGCTGGCTGCTGTGTGCAGGACAGACGGGGGCGGAGACACAGCCAGGGAGATGTGGTCGGGGAGAGATCCAGAGGGGAGATGGCTGTGGCATGAGCAGGTGGATGCAGTGGGCATGGCAAGAAGTGGGCAGGTCTAGACACCTGTGAAGGTGGCGAAAGGATTCGTGCCCGACTCACATGTTGGACATGGCAGAGTCAAGAATGGCTCCCAGAGGTTTGGCCTGAGAGTTAGCAGGATGGAGAAGCCGTTTGCTGCAAAGGAGGGCTGAGGAATATCAGGAGCTGTGTTTTGCGATGCTGTCTGAAATGTCCGGGAGCCATAGAGTAGGGGTGTCTGGTGGGCAGTGGAGGTATAAGGCTGGCGTTCAGCAGGCAGGCCGGGGCACACAGGTGATAAGTCAAACCAAAAGGCTGCATGAGACCACCAGCATTTTTTCTTTCTTTTTTTAAAATATTTTCCTTCTCTCTTTATTTTTTCTTAAGAGATGGGTCTTCCTATGTTGCCTAGGCTGGCCTCGAACTCTTGGGCTCAGGCGGTCCTCCCTCCTCAGCCTGCATCTTCTTAACACAAAAACCGAGACCATGTCACTCCCAAGCTTGAAATATGCCCCTGACCTCTAGGAGCAGTGGAAACCCCTGACACCAACGCCCTCCACACCAGGCCCCTGCCTCTCCTGCCCCGTTGCCTACCCACCCTGAGTTCTAGGCACAGGGACTCACTTATCCTACACACACCAGAGCTTGCAGGCATGACATGCCGCCTGACGCTGCCTGGGCCTAGGTAGCCCTGCTTCTGACCCGGCTGTGGGTTCCTTGGGCCCCAGGCAGGCTGCTTCACTCACTCCTCTGTAGCTCCTTTCCCCAGTTGAACAGTGGCCATAGCCCTGTCACGGACATTAAGTGATTGACTCGTGAGCACTTGGAACACTGACCTGGGGTGTTCCGTGCTAGCTCTTAGCGTCAGCGTCATGCATCCTCCACAAGCCACTGTCTCCCTGTGTGCAGTGAGCCCAGAGCCACCCAGGCAGACACTTGTTCTCTGCTCAGTGCTGCTGCAGGGCTGGAGCAAGCGTGTTGCAGCAGTATGCTTGTTCCAGCCCTGTATCTTGCATACTTGCTCTAGAAGTATGCGAAGTACTTGTGTGTGCCAGAGGCTTGGAGAACACGCGCCGCCTCTGAGGGCAGCCACTGTTACTACCACATCTGATGAGCAAACAGAGCCTCATAGAGGTCAAATGACTTGCCAGAGGTCCCACACAGGCTTGTGTGCAGCCCCAGCGGTCTGAACTTGCACCCCCTCCAAGCCCCAGTGCTATCCTTCTCCCTATCCCTGGCTTGCCTCTCGGGGGTGCATGTCCTGGCCTGGGGGCTTGCCCCCTTCTGACAGAGCCTACGACTGCATGCTGCTTATCTCCGTGCCCCAGTGCCTGGCACAGAGGGGCCCACAAGTCACTGGCGAGGAATGAATGTGGAATGAGGCAGAGGTTTGGGGGTGGGAGGGGGGGCAGGAGAGCTGGGAGCAGAGCAGTGCACTTCATGGCCATGCAGGGACAGAGTGGCTAGAAGAGGGTGCCGGCCCTTGGAGCAGCCCTGGAGGACTGCAGCTGCTTCCTGGAGCTGCTTCTAGTACTCTGGCCATGGGCCACCTAGCCGCAGCTGAAGACTGAACAGGGGGTGCTGATGAGGGTGGCTCCTGAGTGAGAGGCGTTAGCCAGCACTGACCATCAGATCCTTGCCCTGGCCAGGAGGGGAAACCTAGGCAGCAGGTACCACTGCAGTGGAGGCCTCGTCCTCCCAGGCAGCTCTCCGTTCGCCCTCAGCACCCCTGCAGTCAAGGCGTCATCACCATCCACACTTGCGCCAAAGTGGAGCTTATGGCCAAAAGCCACAGGGGGACTTGACAGGGCTGGAGGGGACTGCGGCTAGAAGCCAGCACAGGCTCCATCCCTCCAATCCAGGCACCTCACCCTGCAATCAGGACAAACTAGTCCTGGCCCAGGCAGGACTGTTAGATATGCCAGGACCAGGCAGGGGCAAGCGGCATCTAGGCAAATACTCCTCCTTCTGAGTTAGGAGACCAGCTTCCCGTCCACACCCACCACCTTCTCCCTCCTCACTGCCCCCTGTCCTCCTACAAGGCACCAGGCTTTTCTGGAGCACAGCACCTTCTGAGGTGGCCCAGGCCTCTGTATTCCCTTGTGAACCTTCTGCCTCCTGGGTGCTGTCAGAGCCTCATCTCCGTTCCCAGGCAAAGTGAGGGGCTGGAGAACTAGGTGTGGCCTTAGTGTTCTGCGCCTGCCAGCTGGTCACCCAGGGCCGCTCACCTGGTCCTTGTGGGAGGCAGCCCTTCCTCCATACCTCGTTGCTGCCACTAAACTTGGGAGTGTCCTGGAGCCAGGGCCAGGCCCAGGCCTGGGTTTCTTGCCATACCCCCTGAGGGCACCAGGACAGGTCCCAGAAAGGGGCTGCGCCATGAGGGGGCCTGCAGTAGGTGCAGAGAGTAACAACCCAGCATGCGCAGAGCAAGGGCCTGTGGAGTGGGTCCCCAAGGGTAACTTGGTGCTGGCAGATGCTTAACAGCCGGCTGTGGGCGTGCGGGAGGCCTGATGTGTGTTGTCAGCCGATTGCTGTGGTGTCAGTATTCAATATTATCATGACTGAGTCAAGCTGCCCTCATGAGGTCACTGAGTAGGGAGTTGGAAAAGATGCAAAATCACACACGCCCTTGTCGTATCGTCTTTCCACCATGCACACACACACAATGCAGCTCAGCCACCAGGGCCCGGCAGGGCCAGGGTGGAGATGTGCACGGTGCATGTGGCTGTGTGTTGGGGGCAGGGGCGGGAGGTTCTGCGGCTGGACTAGAGATGAGGTTGGTGGGCGCAGTGGGTTGAGAGGGGGACGCACAGTTGCCAATCACAGCACTCTCGCTGTGTTTCCCTGTAAACACTCAGTCTTCCCCCTCTGTAGGTTCAAAGAACGCGTACTGCAGACCCCAAATGACCTTCTGGCTGCTGGCTTTGAGGAGCACAAGTTCAGAAACTTCTTCAATGCTGTGAGTTCACCTGGTCCCTCCTTCCACACTGGCAGAGCAGACAGGAGTGGGCACTGGCTGGAGCCCCTACACAGCCCACAGCTCTGCTCCTCCTGGCTGGGGAAGGACAGAGGGTTCCTTCCTGCTTGTGGGGGTGTGTGGGCACAGGGAGCCCTCACCCTATTCCCTCACCCTATTCCATCTCCACCTCATGCCTCCCTATCCAATTAGTGAAGGGGCGGGATCGAGGACTCTCAGACGCTTGCCACTCTGAGTGTGCACGTGAGAATCCAAACCCAGGTAGTCATGGTGGGGAGACCCAACTGCCGCTCCCAAACATGCCTCTGGACTAGTGTACAAACTGCAAAGTCTTGCTAACCCTGGGTTACTTAGCTTAGGCAGAATCTCAGACTGATTTTCTAACTCAACCTGAGAATCTACAAATGAAAATGCACGTGAGGGCTTCACGCGAAGGGAGGGAGCGGAGGGAGAATGCAGAGGGAGGGCTGGGGCTTGCTTGGCCTCCCTAGCTGAGGGCCGGGCGGGCGCAGTTTTACAGTGTGGTGGAACTGGTAGAGAAGGATGGCTCAGTGTCCAGCCTGCTGAAGGTGTTCAACGACCAGAGTGCCTCGGACCACATCGTGCAGTTCCTGCGCCTGCTCACGTCGGCCTTCATCAGGAACCGAGCAGACTTCTTCCGGCACTTCATTGATGAGGAGATGGACATCAAAGACTTCTGCACTCACGTAGGTGCTTGGGGTCTCAGCCCCAGCCCTGGGCTCTGCTCCTGTGGCCCTGTCCTGCAGACTTCAGCACCCATCCGTAGCCAAGGGACTCGGGTGTCACGACTGCCCTTGCAATTCAAACAGAGCTAGGTCAGCAAGCTGCAGACAGGTCCCACCTGAGCTGCCTGAGCTGTGTGGCCTGAGGCAAGTCACTTCCCCTCTCTGGAGATTTCCCATCTGAAAAATAAGGGATTTGGACTGGCCTGTTTACAAAACCACAGTCATAGTCCAAGAGTCACATTTGCTTGACGTGTTTATGATGCATGGTATTTACCAGAAAGAGTTGCCGATATTTAAAAATTAGGCACTTTTCATATGAATATTTGGATTTCTGCTGGAAAGTAAGAAGTACAGCCCCCAGGTCCTTGCTCTTGCAGGGCAGTCTCAGCAGGCACTAAGCAGCAGCTGCCCTCTCTATGTAGGACATACGCCTGCTTGCCACCGCCTCTGCTTCTTCCATCGTCTCTGCAGCACCCGGACTCGCACCCTCACTCACCAGCCTAGCCTCTGTAAACACTTAAGCTTGAAAGGCACCCCTGGATGACAGGGTGCCTTTTATCTCTAAGATTCTTTGATGCCCAACCTGAAAAATGTCTGCCCCCCGTTTCCAGATCCCTCTAAATTAGTAGCCTGCTGTCAGGTGTAACTACAAGGTCTAGAATGGAAAAGATTCAGGTTCGATTCTTGCAATTGTAGCGATTTCTAGCTATGCTGCCTCTCAATGAGGCTGTTTCCCGTGTGGCATGAGAACGTCCATACCCAACTCATGGGATGTTGTGAAGATGACGTCCCAGCACAGAGGCTGTGACCATGACCCTGAGAGCCAGAGCTGAACTCACTTGTCCTCTGCCAGGCCTCCCTCCTAAGCTGGCTTGTTTTCATTTTGGCCCCTGCAGGAAGTAGAGCCCATGGCCACGGAGTGTGACCACATCCAGATCACGGCGTTGTCGCAGGCCCTGAGCATTGCCCTGCAAGTGGAGTACGTGGACGAGATGGATACCGCCCTGAACCACCACGTGTTCCCTGAGGCCGCCACCCCTTCCGTTTACCTGCTCTATAAAACATCCCACTACAACATCCTTTATGCAGCCGATAAACATTGATTAATTTTAGGCCATGCAGTGGAACCTGTCACCTAATGGGACTGCATTCTGAATGGAACATTCCGGCTCTTCAATTTTTTAAGCAATTTAGACTGTAGCAAGAAAATGTGCAGCCTTTTGGGCAAAGCCCCTGGGAACGAGGCCTATCCACTATGGACTATGGTAACTTGGTAGGATTTTTAGTATTTATTTTAATGGAGGGACAAATGCTTTCTAACTGGGCCCCCGACTCCGCACCCCAGTTCGCAGTGAGGCCCTGGGTGGGTCACCTGCCCTCTCTGGACTTGTTTCTTCAACTGGAGGAGGTCCCTGCCTATGCTGACATTCCATTGTAGAAAAATGGGGCCTCTGGTGTCTCTTTACCAGGGGCAGTGCCTCTCTGCGGGGGAGGAAAAGCTCAAGGTTAGCTGTCTTAACCCAAGTGACTTACCAGGCCTACAAAAGAGTCCAGTCCAGTCACTTGTTGGACTGGGCTCTGACAGATGGCCTATTGAGGTCAACTTGAATGTGAGGGCTACGGTGTGGTTTCAAACATTCATGATGGATGTATTTTCCTACCCCTAACTTAAGGAGAAAAAAAAAAAGACTTCCTTTTTTTGCCAAAGTCCAGAAAGGGGCCTTTAGCCTTTAGTAGGAGCTCAAATTGTTGGGGCCCCTCTACCTCTCTCAGGGCTAGAACTGCCTGACTCTTGGTGGACGAGCCCTTCAGGGTTCTGCTTTCAGCCCCACCTGGACAGAGGCTTACAAGACTAGGGTCTGGACCAGAATCTGTGTATTTCTGTCTGGGACCAGGAAGCCGCAGCTGTCCCATCATCCCCAGCAAATCCTAGAAGTGGAGTCTGGATACTTCAAGGATAGAAGTGTTGGCACGCACAGCCATGGACCCAGCTGAGCAGAGCAGACGCTTTGCAGGCTGCCCCTGGCTTCTTCCTCCCTTTCCCGCTTCTGCTCTCTTTATGGACTGGTCAGAGGGTAGGTGGGAAAGAACAGACAAGCCATGGGAAGTTGGCAGTGGGGAGATTTCCACTGTGGAAACCGCCTGGGAATTCCGGCCAGCAGCTTCCTCCTTCAGCCACCTGGCCATACCCCTTAAATAAGCCCCTCACCTTGCTGCCTCAGGACCTTCAAGATTCCATCTGTGGGCTGGCCGGCAAGATGGCACCAGTGGGGACCCACACCCTGGCTGGGCAGAGGTGCTGCTAGCAACCTCTCTTCCTCTATAAGAGGAAATGGAAAATGCAGGGTGTGGAATTGCCCTTTGGGGTCCTTCCTTAATTGAAGGCCACCTTCTCACAGGTTTCATTCTGCAGGGATTTACTGGAATCTATTGGTGCTGCTGCATGAGTCTGCTGACAACCTGACTGCACAAGGACTGGGTAGCAGACTCCTCAGAGTCCTCTTGACACAAATGTCAGATTTGTGTCACTCTTCTGCCTTCGTGAAAAGCCAATAGCACTCTCAGATATCAGGGGATTTTAGTTCCAAGCAGGGACCCTGGTTTCCATACTGCCCTCAGCTGGAGTTTGGATCCAAAGGCTCTGGCTAAGTCATTATGTCACTTTTTCACAGGAATGTAAATTTGACTGTCACCTCTGAATTTGTTCAGTGTCCCACCATGGTCTATGAGAAGTACACTGGAAGCGTGGGGGGAACACATGACATGATTTGTGAATATCATCATCTTTGCCAGACAAGTCTCCAGGGGATCCCTGTTTCCCAACTGAAAGGTGTGAACGGACACACACACAGCCTGGATGACGCCTTGGCTGTTCTAAGGGGCTGTAAGGTGGGCTCTGGGCCTTCCAGCTAGGCTCTCAAGCACAGCAGAAGCCTCACTGGGCTGCTATGTCTCTGTATTTGTGGCTTGTGTGGTAGCCTCAGAAGCAGAGCTGTTTGGCAGACTGGCTGGAGAAATTCCCTCTAGGAGACTTGCCTGTGCTGTGCTTCCAGGTCACAGAGCCCCCCGGAAACTCACAGGGGCCCTCTTCCCAGAAAAGAATCTATTCTATCACTTCAGAATCAGGACACTCAAGCTCTGGCAGAGGAAGGCCAAGTTACTTTCATGGTCTTACCCTCTGCTTTTCCCCTTTTTGCAAAAAACCACTGGCCAAATCCGAACCATTGCCCTTGTTTCCCCCACGTTCTCTCTCAGATCTTTGTCTCGAAGGGAAAACATAGTGGATGAAAAGGTGTGGCAGGCTTTGGCACCTTGTTAAAATTTCTAGTCATCTGTGGATGTTACCTTGCTTGTCCACAGCAGCCAGTCACCCTGGCCAGTCCCACTTCCTGGATAATTCTCTACCCTCACCCCACAGAGCCATCTCTCTCCAGACCAAAAGCTGGAAGGAGAGTTGCTTTGAGAGCTTGTTTTTACAACTGCATGTTTATTATGATACTTTCTCTCCAAAGGAAACTTTTAAATCAATGGGAACAATTAGCAACAGAAAGAGCACAGTCCCTGCTTTTGACTGGGTTCCTATTTTAAGCACAAATGAGAGCTCTGGAGCCAGAATGCCAGGGTTCTAACTTCAGCATTCACTTACTAGCTGTATGATCTTGGCCAAGTCACTTCACCTCCCTGAGCCCCAATTCCCAAGTTTGTGAAATGGCAACAATACCTATGTGTCACTGGATTATTGGTTAAAACAGAATGAGATTCCTTGTGTGAAAATAGCTATTATACCTGACACACTCATCGTATGGGCTCTGCAAAGGGATATTCCCCAACCTGTCCTTCCTGACAGGAAGCATAGGGCACTGCAGATGGGGAAGCATGTCACCTTGGCAGTGACTCGGTGGCTTCCCAAGCAGGAGTGTCAGGGGAACCATGAGAGAGAGTCTAGGAGCAAACACATCACCACCCTGAGCAGATACAGGAGTGGGGAGGGGGCTGTAACTCAGTGAGTGGCTTCCAGGGGCCCCAGGCCCTGCTGGATGTGGGCCAAGCCCTACAGCTTCCCTAGGCAGTAAGTAAAAACATTCTCCTAGCATTAAAATGGTTTCCATAACTACTTTTGTCCTGGCTTCTTAATACTGGGTACCTGGCATGCAGCCAAGAACTCTGCTTTTCCGTGGTGCTTATGTATTAAGTAGATTAGCTGGGGAGGGATATTCCTTGTTTAATGGCAGATCCAGGACACTCCGGAAGCTCTGCCCACCAACTTCACCTTACCAGGCGAGAGTAGCACTGCTTGGAAGGCTGCTCCTGCCTTTTAAAGCCTGTCTACGTATTAGCTCCTCCACCAAGGAAAAGAATTTGCTGTTAGATGGCTAGGGCAGGACACGGACAGTCATCAGGGGATCTATGTTTGGCTTATGGCAAGTGGCTTCACTCCCACGGCTCAGGTGCCATTAGGGGATATTAAGCCCGCTTACTAACCCCACTGACCACCACTGCATCATTTGGAAAATGGAGAGTCTCCCTGCCATTCTCTGATAGCTGTCAGTCAGGAGCTGACCTCACAGACGGGCAATTTCCCCTCCTATTCCGGTCACTGGTGACACTGGGGGATGGGAGGCCATTCCTTGGCAACACTTCTGAGACTGAAGTAGTTTTCTGAACTTGTCCTGGGCCCAGAAGGAAGATACTAATCCCACCTCTGCTACTTGGCTGCTGTGTGGCCCTGGGCAAGTCTCAATCACTGGGTGTCTATATGCTCAAGTACAAAAAACACTAATAAAGACTTATAGATGGGCACAGTGGCTCACACCTGTAATCTCAGTACTTTGGGAGGCTGAGGCAAGAGGATCACTTGAGGGCAGGAGTTTTGAGACCAGCCTACGCCAACATAGTGAGACCCCATCTCTACTAAAAAAAAAAAATTCAGCCAGGTGTGGTGGTGTGTGCCTGTAGTCCCAGCTACTTGGGAGGCTGAGGCGGGAGGACTGCCTGGGCCCAGGAGTGTGAGGTTGCAGTGAGCTGTGATTGTGCCATTGCACTCCAACCTGGGCAATGGAGCAAGACCCTGTCTCAAAAAAAAAAGAAAATTATTTCTCAGGACCTTCAAGACTAAATGCTAATTAGATAAAAGTGCCAACCATGAGGCTGAGAGAGGCTAGCTACTTAGATCTTGGGGTATCTTGGTCCCTTTGTGTATCCTCTTCAATTCCCTAGCACCCCTTGAACTAAACAGCTGTATTGTATTGTGCCCCGACGAATACCTGTTTGGAAGCCAGACAGCTGTGCAGAAATCATCTATGCTTCTCCCATGGTTGTGGGAGTTGTGGATACTCACCTACACTGATCCAGACAAAGCTGGGGCAGCATCAGGAAGTCCCTAGTTCCCTGAGCACATATTTATACCAGGCTGACCAAGCCTTGAGTTCCTCTTCTCCCAAGGAGCTCAGCTAAGGGAACACAGCATGGCAAGTGCTATGAAGAGGGTAAGCACGGGACACTAAGGGAGCCCCAGGAGAAGCACTGCTTCCCCTTAGAGGCTCAGGACTAGAGGACCCATGGCAGTGCTCCAGGATGGAGAAGGCCAAAAGGCAATCCAGACCGAGGGAAAAGCCTATTCTGCACAAAGGCTCAGGACAAGAGAAGGGGTGCATGGAACCGTGGGCAGGAGCCTGCTCTGTCAAACAGGAGGGAGTGGAGACAAGGCTGGGGCTAGATCCTGAGGGCTTCACACGCCAGACCTAGCGACTGTTACTGTTGGCTCTGTGATGTGAGGGAAGCCTGAAGACAGCAACCTCATCCCTGCCCACCTCCCACGGTGGCTCAGACAATACCCAGGAGAGTGGAGAGAGCTAAGGAGCTATTAGGGTGCTGCTCTGGGTAAAGCAGGAACATGCACCTCTTGAACATTCCAGCCTCTTGCTCCATTCACACTGTCCAATCTTGGCCTGCAGCCAGAGGCCTGACACTATTCCTGTCCTTTCAAGGGCTTAGCACTGTGCTGGCCCAGGAGAATCACTAAGTTAATAATGAAACAAACTACACCACCACCCCCATCTTCTATCTAAAAAAAAAAAAAAAAAATCAGGATGACACAATGGCTCTGACCATTGTTTTTAATTTATGAAATCAAGTTTAACACACAAGAAGCCTATAAACACTGCAATACAGAAAAATTAAGCTGCTGCATTGAATTCTTACTCCAAAACAATGCAAATCTGCATGAGGTCTCTCCCGCTATGGGTGTGAGTGGAAGAGAGGGAGACTTTTTTACCTGGGGTTGGTGGTGGAGTGAAACACAAGGGTGGGAGAGGTTTTGCAAATAGCCAGAGAACAGAAACCAATGTGCAGTCACTGACACACTTGACCAGTTAATTTGCACTTGTACTTGGCTGTGGCTGTTCCGGCTGTGGCTCCTTCGGCTTCTTTGTCTTCTTCTTCTTCTGCTTGGAGAGACAGCTCAAAGCAGACTCGCTCTTACTTGGGGCAGACACAAGCAGGGGCGGCTTGCCAGACTGAGTGGGATACTTGGTTTTCTGGCTCTCCGTAAACAGTGGCTGGGACAGCAGGTGGCGCAGCTCCTTCTTCAGAACCTTCATCTGCTTTTGTCTCCGACGTTCTTCTTGCTGGTCAGCTTTTCCTCCTTGAAACACAATACAAAAACGATCCTATTTACTATGGTTTGTAGAAACATTTTGTTTCCCTTGATGGGTAACACAGTGAAAAATGTTTTAGAACTACTTTAGGGAGGCAGGGTTCAAAAGTTCTCTGAAGAAGCTAGTGGTGGCTTGGCAGGGGCTGTAAATGGATAACGTCTAACCATTTGCAGGGGATACACAGGACCGCTCTGTCCTTTTTTACTCCATAAAAATCCTCCAAGACTGGAATTATCTTTACAGATGAGGCAACTCAGGGTTAGAGAAGTCACCTGGCTCACATCACAGAGCCAGTCATCAGACAGAGCCCAGAACCCAAGTCTCCTGACTGAAGATCACTTTTCTTCCTATGACCCACCCACTTACTGCCCACCTGGGGTTTGGTGAGTTCACAATTACAACCCCCACCTCCCTGCCGCCCCAGGAGACACTGAATGCTTCTTTGTAGCCCAGCTCTCCTATGCCTTGCCACCAGTGCTGTGACTGCACATGGAGAAGCTGGCAGAGCCAAAAGGTTCCACCTCAGTCTGTCCTCAGGAAGGGAAGCCAGGGCCTCCACATCTTCGGCCCAAGCCCCAACCCTGAGCCACCAGAAATAGCTCACTGTCATCAAGCCCACTGGTTTGGCTCCTGGCTTCCATGCTGAGCAGACAGCAGTTAAGTCTGCCTCTGAATTTGCTGACTTGGGCACCGAGGTGTCAACATCTCTGCTGAGCTGCATACTTGGTGGTGTGGAAGGAGCATGGAGTTCTAGATTTGGTTCTACCACTTTTTAGACCAGGAGTTTTCTCAAGCAGGGACCGGGCAGATTCATCCCTGAAGCCTCAGCCTGTGGTCACATATAGAGTAGCAGCTCTGGAAATGCCTTGTGACAGAGCTGTTTCCCTGCACAAACTGCCTCTGCTGTGGTATCTAGTTTCCATATGTAAAAGAAGAGTACTTCCTGCTGTGTTCATGTCATGAAAGTGGAGAAGATCAAATGAGATAATGGCATGGAAGTGCTTTGTCAGCTTGGAAGGCAGGTGTAGTAGGAACCATAATGACAAATAACTTAAAATGTAATACTTTCTATTTGCCAGGCAATGCTATAAGCACTTAACATTTTTTAACTCAATCAGTCTTCACAACAATCCCATGAAGTAGGTAGTTGACTACTTCCATTTTATGGAGGAGAAAGCTGAGAACACAACAGAGGTTAAATAACTTGACTCAGTCACATAGTTAAGGCAATGAGCCGGCATTCTAACACAGGCAGCCTGGCCAGAGAGCCTGCTCCCTTCCTCACTGTACTCCACTGCCTGTCCATGTAAGAGGAGGCAGCTGAGGGCACAAGACAGAGACAGAGGAAACAAAGACTGACCGAGGGCAGTAGGCTCACCTGGGACCAGGGCCTGTTAGCAAAGAGGGGGAAGGACGCCTTGCTGATTTTGACAAGACCCACAGTAGTAGAGATGGTTCCAACAAAGCAAAAGTTAAAGAGAGATTTCAACTTCCTCAATTCCCATCCCGCCCAAGGGCTTACCCTTATACATGTCTTCTTCCAGCTCAATCTCCAGGGCAGCTGCTGCCTGCTCAATCCAAGAGTTGTGCAGGCAAGCCTGGAAGTTCCGATACTCAGATTTCTCAATCTGTCGAGCTAAACGGATTCGCTCCTGGGGGGAAGTAACAGAAAATATTCATCTGAAATAGAGTTCAGGCCTCTGGGAAGCAAAGTCTCACTTGAGTTGTGTTTGTGTGTTTAAGGCAGGTATCACTCTGCTGCCCAGGCTGGAGAGCAGTGGCATGATCATGGCTCACTGCAGCCTCAACCTCCTTGGATCAAGCAATCCTCCCACCTCAGCCTCCCAAGCAGCTGGGAGGCACCACCATGCCTAGGTAATTTCTTTTTTTTTTTTTTTTTTTTTTTTTTTTTCGTAAAGACAGGGTCTCAACTGTGTTGTCTAGGCTGGTCTTGAACTCCTGTGCTCAAGCAATCTTTCCACTTCAGCCTCCTAAAGTGTTGGGATTACAGGCGTGAGCCACCGTGCCCAGCAAGTAGTGTTTTTAAAAAGCTCTTGAGCCGGGCATGGTGGCTCACACCTGTAATCCTAGCACTCTGGGAGGCCAAGGCGGGCGGATCACCTGAGGTCAGGAGTTCAAGACCAGCCTGACCAACATGGAGAAACCCCGTCTCTACTAAAAATACAAAATTAGCTGGGCATGGTGGCGCATGCCTGTAATCCCAGCTACTTGGGAGGCTGAGGCAGGAGAATCACTTGAACCCGGGAGGCGAAGGTTGTGGTGAGCCAAGATTGTGCCACTGCACTCCAGTCTGGGCAACATGAGCAAAGCTCCGTCTCAAAAAAAAATTAAAAATTAAAAATTAAAAATAAATAAATAAAAAGCTCTTGAGATCAGTGGTGAGATGCAGTTCAGTTCCTGTTGAAATGCATTTATTGCTTCCTGATAAAAGTCCAGTGGGCAACCATTACCCGTCTGTGTGTACACATCTAAACACAACTGCCAGCTTTCCCAACAATCAACCTGAACAGCCACATCCTTTGAAAACCCTTACTGGTTTGACTGCCAACCTATAGGTAACCAAAGTGAAGTCTTTACGCAGATGCCACAGCTTGCTTCCACAGCTGAGCTAAGATAAAACATTTCAACTCTCCCTCTAGAGGGTTTTGGGGTTACAGTGCAGTGGCAAAATGAGAAGGATCTTGTGATGTGGGGAAAGAAACCAAGGGAAGCCTGGGTGGCTCCTAATCCTCCTTACTAATGGGAATTCTCTATGATTTCCACTTTTCCATCCTTATCTCCACCCTATTTCCCCACACAGCTAATATTCCTTTTGAGCCAGAGAAGCCAACATTCCTTGAACTGTGCCATGGTTTTGCTCCCTCAATTCCTGGAATTCCACCTCCTCTGTACCCTTCCACATCTTTGCCAGCAGGAAGCTGGGATAGAACCTCTTCTCCTCCCAATGTAACCATATGCCCAGTAATTCCATACTGCTCCACTGTACCTGAACTTTATTCACAGCTGGCAAACCTCTGGGAAGGAGAACCCACCCCACTTTGGTCACTAATACAGTGTCCCATGGTAAGCGGCACCTACCTGGGGAATGCCTGCTGAGTTAAAACCCAAAAGACAGAATTTACTGGCACCTGCTCCAGGGATGTGCCAAACCTGTAGCATCTGCCTCAGCAGGAAACACTAACCACACTGTCTACAACCCTCTGACAGGATATCCAGACAGCCATGACCACTGCACTGTCTGGTGAGGAGGGGGGACTTCAGGGCCAGAGAAGGAAGAAATGGTTCAGGGAGAAAATGCCTCCCACCTTCAGTCACTCCCCTTTTCTCCCTTTTCCCAGGTATGTTGCTCTCAATCCTTTCTACAAGTCTCCTTGTTCAGCTGTTGGCAGAACCATTCCTTAGTTTTCAAGGGTTATGCTGCCAGAGTCCCACAGCAAGGTGCTCTGCAAGGGAGCAGCACAATCCCTTCATTAGCACTGGGGTTTTAACTGCTTTCTACCTTGACCACATCCATGTATTTTGTCTGCACGGGGAACAGTGGGATATCCTCATCTTTCTTGAGCGTTTTGTAAATCTTCTTAAAGTTGATCACATCCTCAGGCCCAATGAGCATCAGACTGAGGCCTTCATTGGTAGCTCGAGCAGTTCGACCACTTCGGTGGACATAAATCTCCGAGGTACGTGGGACCTGCCACAGGAAGAACTGGGAGATCAATACATGGCCACTGCCAAACACTGGTCCTCTCCTCAGGGCCACATCCCCAAACCAGACCCTCCTACCTCCCAGCCAGGCAGGTAGAAACTTCTGCAGCATTGTAGAGCAATCTAGCCCTCCTCTCTTAGTCCCACATTCAAAATGTTCCCAGGTTTAGCCCATTCACTGTGTAGGCTCTTCCCTCCCATGCCCCTGACCCTGGTTCAGGTCCTCAGGACCATGCAGCCAGACCACAGCAGTCACTTCTTATCCAGGATTTAAGCAGCCCAGCTCCACAGACCATGTTAATCCCTGGGTTATACGGTCTCTACTCCTATATATATTTTATCCATAGATAATGTGGCATGGTTGCTAACACACCCACTGAGCCCCTGGCACACACCATTAATCAAGCACAACAGTCTTCTCCACTGGGCCCAGATAACATCTAGGTATCCTTTTCAATACAGTACTTTAAGTAGCCACTATGAACTGTTCATAAGAGTTCTAGAAATGAGATTTGCCTTTCTTTACTTACAGGATAAAGGCCCAACTCTTCAACCTGACACTCAGCGCCTTTAGTGACTTGCCCTCAACTTACCCCTCCAGCCTCAGCAACTATTCCTTTCCCAACACATACCCTCTTCTCACTGTGAGCCAAGTGCCCCTGAACACTGCCCATTTCTTTGCTCCTTCCTTTAATGCCTCTATATGTCCAAATCCTCTTCACCCTTAAATGCCAGGCATGTTTTTAGAAAGTACTTTCCAACCTCCCAAACTAGAAGTTACCTCTCTCTTCCATTGTATTTTGTAATTTTCTAATACCTTCTGCCTTAAATTATGGCTGTGGTCATCTCACCTCCTCTGCTGGATCCAATACTTCTTAGGGGCTGGGACTGTATTTGATTCATCTTGACTCCACAAAGGTTGACCCAGCTCCTTCCCCAAAAAAGGGAAGACTATAGAGATTTGCTAAACCAAAATTAGCACCTGTGATACAGTGAAATATGTATTTGCTCTTCATCCTGTTTCCTGGCAAAGGAATCTCAAAAGTAATGTCTTTTTGTATACTAATGACAAACTATTGACTGATGGCTGATAGCCCCCCAGGTAGTTTCAGGATGGGGGCTGGTCACCAGAAAGGCCAAGGCAGGATTAGAAGGTTGGGACTTGCAGCACTACTTCCTAAAGGCCAATGGCTTAATTAATCATCTTACCCAATGAAGTCTCCATAAATATTCCTAAAGGACAGAGTTTGGAGAACTTTTGAATAAGCTGAATATGTGGACATTCCTGGAGGGTGGTGTACCCAGGAGGGGCATGGCAACTCCATGCTCCTTCCCCTGTACCTCAGCCTATACATCTCCCCATCTATATTCTTTGTAATATCCTCTATAATAAACTGGTAAATGTGTTTCTTTTAGTTCTGAGAGCTGCTGTAGCAAATTAATTGAACCCAAAGCGGGGGGTCATGAGAACCCCAACTTGAAGCTGGTTGGTCAGAAGTTCCAGAGGCCCTGACTTATCGACTGGTTGCGGGGAGGAGGGACATCTTGTGGGATCTGAGGCTATCTCCAGGAAGACAGCATCAGAAAATGAAACTAAATTAGAGGACACCCAGCTGGTGGCTGCTGCTTGATATGTGGTGAAAAACGCCCACACATTTGGTTACAGAAGTCTTCTATGTTGATTGTTGTTGTGAAGTGAGAGAATGGGAAAAAGCACTGTGAGTTTGTTGTTTCTCTGAAACAGCAGCCTAAAAGATTTTTAAAAGCACAAAGAGGAATTAAAGAGGAAAAATGATAATGCCATACCAGCTACCATTTATTGAGTACTTACACTGTGCTACCGGCTTCATCAGCATCAGCTCAATTTAATTCTCAGGATAACCCTATGGGGTAGCTAGTTGTTACTTCCAGTTTACAAACAATGACACTGAAACCAGAGGTACTAAATAACTTGCCTAAAGCTAACCAACTATGAAGCAGCAGACTGGGGATTCAAAGCCTGGCAGTCTGGCTCCGGTGCCCATACTCCTAACCAAAATTTTATGCTGATATTCACTAGATGCACACACTAATATTACTGCTACTATCAATGGCAGTTAACATGAGTAAGTGCTTGCAATGTGCCAGGTGGCTTCTTAAGCTCTTTATACTTAGTAACTTATTTTACCTCAGTAAGAACCCTAAGAAGCAGGTACTCACTGCCATTTAATACATGAGAAAACTGAGATACAGAGAGATTACATGACTTGTTCAAGGTTACACAGCTGGGATTTGAGCCCAGAGAGATCTAAACTACCACACTCTTCTATTAATACTTCTCTACATCAGGGTAACCAATTACATGCTTAACTTATGCCCATTTCACAGAAAAAACTAAGACTCTAACCTGACAATATCAAGTAGCTTGGAGAGAAGGGCTACTTGACATGAGACAAAGCAAGGTTTTCTGGAGACCAAATCTCAGCAGTGTTGCAAAAGTGGGAGTAGTGGGCACTCGATGCCAGTGGTATTCTCTGATGCAAGAGCCTTGGAACCAACAATTCCTCCTCCCTCCCCCAACCTTTGCCTTAAAAATTCCCCATTCAGTGCAGGCAGATGCCTATAAATTTTCAGATGCCCCTACCTGGTAATGGATGACATGCTGGACTTTAGGAATATCCAGACCCCGAGCTGCCACATCTGTTGCCAAGAGAACACAGCTGGGGTAGAGAGAGAAAGCTTATTAATAATAACTAACAGCTATCTTTAATCAAATTCTTACCAACTGCTGAGCATCCTAAACATTACAGTCCTTACCAATACTCTGTAAGATATCACTTGTATACCCTTTTACAGAAAAACTGAGGCTCGGAGAGATTAACTTCCCAAGCTATCTACATGGCTATTCAGCTGTGGAGTCTGGATCCAAATTTGGGACTCATTGACCCCAACCAACATGCCATACTCTGCAATGATAAAGACTCCCTTCAGTGAGTTAAATGAGGCCATACATATTCTGGGTCAGTGACTCCTCTCCTAGCACCCTCTCATTTACTTCCTCCCAGTGGCACACAGACTTCCTTGCTCTTCCCCAAACAAACCAAGCATGCTCTCACCTCCAAGCCTTTGCACTTGCTACTCCTTAAGGCCTTAAAGGGTCTTGCCTCAGATGTCCATATGACTCACTTCATTACTTTCTTCAGCTCTCTGCTCAATTCTCACTTCATCAGAGACTGACCACACATACCCAATCTCTTTTCTCCAACCCCTGCTCGACTTACTTCTTAGGATCACTTGGCAGACTGTGGGCTTACTTTGCAATTTATTATCTCCCTCTACTAGAATGTAAGCTTCATGAGAGCAAGGACTTTGCATTACTCACTGCTGTTATTACCACCACAGAGAACAACATCTGGTTCATGGTAAGCACTTGATAAATGTGTTGGATGATGTTTCTCAATGTGTGGTTCATGGAAAGTCAAAAGTACTTGAGGTGCTTCAAAACATAAGACTCTGGCCCTTCAGGGTCCTCACTCCCTGCATGTCTGAGCTGAGGCCGGGAAATGCAATGCAAATCCTAGTTTGTAAAACATTAAACTACTGCTCTGGATCAAGGTCAGCAAACTTTTTCTGTAAAGAGCCAGAGAGCATTTCCAGCTTTGTGAACCACACAGTCTCTATGGCAACTATTCAACTCTGCCGCAAAAGAGGATATTGACAATACATAAATGGGTCTTGCTGTGTTCCAGTAAAACGTCTACTAAAAAAACAGGCAGCAGCCAGGTGTGATGGCATGCACTGGTAGTCCTAGCTACTTAGGAGGCTAAGGTGGGATTGCTTGAGCCCGTGAGTTCAAGTCTAACCTGGGCAACATAGCAAGACCCCATCTTAGAAAAAAAAAGGGCAGCAAGCAAGATTTGGCACGAGGCCTATAGTTTGCCAAGCCTTGTTCTAAGCTAATCTCAGTAAACCACTGATACTACTTACCAATTTTTAAAAACCAGTAAATCAAACACTTGTTCTAGAAACTAATTACCCCATGACCTGACAAAACACTGGCAAAAGACACTTTGTAGTCTGCCTCAACTTTCCAGGCCCTCATCTTGACAATCTGCACCCCATTCCCTGAGCATCAGTCTGGTCCAAAGGCAGATGGACAAAGACATCAGGAATAAGAAATAGCATGGGCTCTGAGGTCCGACAGGCTTGTCTGAGGCCCAGCTCTACCACTTCCAGGCAGAGAAACCTTGGGCACACTGATCAGCTTTTCTAGACCTCATTTTTCCATCTATAAATGAGAATAGTGATAATGGTAATAAGTAGTAAAGGGACTAGAAATTATTAAAGCTAACATTTAGCAATATATACATACTATGTGCTAGAGACTGTTCTAAACACTTTACACGCATGAATTTACAATCAATCTTCATAACAACCCTAGAATGGGTTCTATTATTATCCAAATAATGAGAAAATTAAAGTACAGAGAAATTAAATAACTTGACCACCTAAGGAGTGACAGAACTAGGATTTGATTTCAGGCATTCTGGTTCCAGGATCTGTGCTCTTAACCATGAATCTATTCTGCTTCCTCTTAAGGATGTTAGGAGAGTAACTGAATGTGATTCTGAATCTAAAGTGCCAGCACAGGACCTAATCTATTGTCTATACATTCAATATTATGTATTGTCACCTATATTCATTAGTATTGAAGTTTCTGTATGGCATTTAACTGCAACCAAATTCACTAAATGACAGTAACCTTGCCAAATGCTGTGCAAAAAAAAAAAAAGGCTACCTACTACTGAGACAAGGCCCCTATGACAGAAGGTGGCTTTTCTACCATTTCCCCACCATCCTGACCCCTTTTACCCCAGTAACTAACTAGAGGTTAAGCCTCTGGGGACAGTCCTAACTTACTCTTCCAGACGGGCAAACTGCTCCAGGTTTCTGAGCCTCTGCTTCTGGTGCATACAGGCATGCAGGGTCAAGGGCATGATATCAAGGACTTTGAGGAGCCCAGAGAGGCGTTTGATGCAGGAGATACTGTTGGCAAACACTAAGCTGCGGCCTGGATACTGCATCAGGAAGTAGTACAAGTAGAAGTCTTTCTCATCAGTCTCACAATGGATCTTGGTCTCTGTTAGCGTCTCCACCGTGGCCTCATTCCTTGTGAGGTCAATGACCTTGGGCTTGCCCCTCATGCCAATTTTCTGCATAAGGAGGTCAAGTTTGGCTGTTTTATCCATTTTCTTGGTGTGCTTCTTATGAAGGATTCGAGCAGGAGCCTGATGCACCAGGGTGAGTGTGGCAGAAAAAACAAGCGTTTGTCTCTTTGGGTTGTATTGGGAGTCATTGAGCATCTCTAGCAGCTGTGAGAGCTCAGCAAAATGGCCTTTCTCAACCATCCGGTCAGCCTCATCCACTACCAGGCACCTGCAGATCCAGAGAGACCCATATCATTGGTCAGCAGCGGGTTAAGAGGAATCATCTATAGCACACCCTACACTCATCCTAAACACACACACACACACACGTACACACCCCACTACCACCACCACCATCAGGCCCTCAACTAATCTCCCTCATGCACTCTTGGCTTTCTAAAGGCCAGGGTCTGGATGATACCACACCATAGCATTCTGCGATGAGAAGAAGGCATTGCCCACACCATGTCACCTAAGGCTCATTTCAGAAAAGGCAGTGAGGGGGAAAAGAGAAGTGCCATCTATTACCTGAGCTGCCGAAGGTTCCTCAAATGATAATGCTTTTCTTTAATTAATTCCCACAGCCGGCCTGGAGTAGCAACCACAATCTCAGGACGACGGTTCAGCATCCTCTGCTGTTTCTGCGTGGACATTCCACCAACCAAAATAGCAGTTTTAATTCCTATGGGACAGAAAACATAAGGGACACTTATTCAATCTGGGTGATCATTTTCTTACATGGCTGACACAGGCACCCCAGATTAGCAGAGACAGACATCAGCACAGTGTAATGCCCTAGAGCATTGCTAAAAGAGCAGGCCTGGCCAGACTGTTGACGCCACTCCTAGAGGGCTTACCAAGTCTTCTGTGATCTGAGCTCTACTTCTTCAGCCTCATTTCTTTTCTACTCCCTCCCCTCCAACCACACCAAAGGGGCTGAATTTGAACCCAGGTATGCTTACCTCCAAAGCTCTGGGAAAACGGAGCACTGGGGCACCATAATGCTGGGAGGAATATGACCTGCAGCTGTGCTACACCTCTCCTAGGAAGCCCTTCCATTCCCTCAGTTAGAATTATTCTGAAAGGTCCACTAATGCCCTGTTGTTTTCGTCTCTGGTGCAGAAATTCTCATAGTATCATGTGGGTAAAGGGCTTAGCAATAGTAACAACTTGGTAATTAATTGCTGCTTTCATTATAAAATTAAGATTCCCAGAGTGAAGCCCTTCCCAGAGTGAATTCCCTGAGAGAATTAAATCCTAATAGCTTAGAGCAGGGATCAGCCAACTTTTTCTGAAAGGGTCACTAGTGAACATTACTGACCTCATAGGCCAGATGGTCTCTGTCACAACTATTAACTCTACTCAACTTCACCTTTGTAGTACAAAACCAACCACAGACAATATAAAACCAAATGGGTGTGGGTGTGTTCCGGCAAAACTTTATTTATAAAACCAGACAGTTTGCTAATCCCTGCCCTGAGCATCTACTGTATCCAATAAATTTCCTATGCATCCACAATGGCACCAACCATGTATTATCCTTGAGGGAACTGAAAAAATGTCACTATATCAATTTTCTGTAGGGCTTAATTGTCTGGCTTATAGATGAGAGTGGCTTACCCTAGAGGGCAGGAGCCACAGCTCATTCATCTTTACCAACGAGCATTTGGGATTTACCTAGAAAATATTTATTAAATGGAACTAAACCTCACCTGTAAACCTGGCCACAGCATCAATGTGCTGTTTGACCTGGACGGCCAGCTCTCGAGTGGGAGTCAGAACCAGTCCAAGCAGAGGACGCTTTGGATATGCCTTACAGGTGGCGCTTTTGTCATCCAACTCCTGTTTTAGATTTCCAGTCTGCTCTTTATCAAGATTTTCCTCCTCATTCTCATTCTGTTTGGGAACAGGTTTCTCCCTGATCAGGGAAGAAGGCCCTTCACCAGCATCATCGTCACCAAAGAGCAACGCCTGGTCTGAGACAGTGCCTCCAGTCTTGGCTCTGGCCTCGGCTGCAATATCACTGGGCAGTGCTTCACTCTCAATTACAGTATCGTCAGGCAATGCATCAGACTCAGCTTCAGCCTTGCCTGGTGATCTAGTCTCAGCTCCGGCCTCAGTTCTGGTCTCTCCAGGTGGTGCTTCGGTGTTACTTGGAGGAGGGGCAGCATTCCTCTTCTGCCACTGCAACACCGCATGAATCATTGGGATGGCAAAGGCAAGAGTTTTCCCACTTCCTTAAAAGTAAAAAAACAAAACAAAGTAAAAACAGTGTGAATCAACAGATGAACATACTTTAGTCTGGAATTCATTCTTTTGCATAGAATAAGGTAGCCAAGTGCCACCCTGACCGACCCAAAGCTCCTCCACTCTACACAGATTTCCCCAGAAGGAACCAGAAGGCACATGTAAATTAGAACCCGAGGAAAAGTATGGCAGGCTAGCACTGAGGTCTTAGGTCACCAGTAACGAATTACAAATGTCCAAGAAATGAAACAATAAAGAGAGAAAGGGCAAGTTTTGGGTGTATGTGTTGTTTCTGTGAGGAGCAGGAAACAGTAATCCATACAATACTTTCCCAAGACTTTTCTTTGGTGAGAAAGGAGTAAAAGAAAATTTTCTTAAGTTTTCAGAAAATGTAAATATAAAACTTTTGTCTATGCCTGAACATTTTCAAACTGGCCTTTGAATGTACACAGAGTCCAAATCATCTGGGTGGTCAAAACAAAACATCTCAGGCTGAGAATTTAAAGAAGTTCCAAAGTGATAATGCCCTAGGCAGAAGCCAATAAATGCTTTCTCAAGGGAGAAACCATTACCATACATCTCCAAAAATTTTCACAATTTTCAAAGGAAATAAGCAGCTCTCAGTAAAAAATAACCACACACACAAAAATAAGATACTATAAGGAAAAAAGAGAGCAAAAACAGACACATGAAACTTTTGATAAGAAGAACAGCAGACTTATCAGAAACAATGAAAAGCCAGAAGACAGTGTAGCAATATTTTTTATTTGAATGCCTAAAAATAAAACCCTGACAATCTATAACCCTACACCCACTCAAAACAAAATGTGAAATAAAGACTTTAGGCATATAAAAGCTGAAATAATTCACCAGCAGCAAATGTAAGCTATCAGAAATATTAGTCTTTCATGCAATAGCAAAGATAACATAAAATGAAAATCTGGATGTACCCAAAGAAATAAAGAGCAACCGAAACAGTAACTACGTAGGTAAATATTTAAAAACTTCTTTTTATGGCCAGGCATGGTGGCTCATGCCTGTAATCCCAACACTTGGGGAGGTCTAGGCGGGAGGATCAAGACCAGCCTGGGCAACATAGTGAGACTCCCATCTTTAAAAAAATTTGCCAGGCATGGTGGCACACTCCTGTAGTCTTCGAAACTTGGGAGGCTGAGGCAGGAGGATTGCTTGAGCATGGGAGTTTGAGGCTGCAGTGAGCCATGATCGTGCCACTGCACTCCAGCATGGGTGACAGAGGGAGATACTGTCTCTAAAAACAAACAAAAAAACAAAACCCCTTATTTTTCTTATTTAAACATCTTTAAAAATAATTGTTTAAAGCAAATATAATAAAAATGTATTCTAGAATCTCTAACACATATGAAGTATACAACAAAAAGCACAAAGGAGGGGAGAAATGGAAAATACTCTTGTAAGGTTCTTACATTGTATGCGAAGTAGTAAATTACTTGAGGGTAAACTATAATAAAAGATATATACTATAAACCCCAAAGCAATCACTAAAAAGACGTTAAGAATTATAGCTAATAAGACAACAAAAAAGATAAAATGGTATCTATGCATATATATGTATTATAGTCCCTGTCCCTAATTCTTGACACAGAGCTTCTAAGAGCCTTGTAACTTTCTCAGTGACAGGGGCATCTTTTGTTGAAATATTTGGTCTTAGTCCTCTGTTGCTGATATAAAACCTTGTGATACCTTAAAAATATCTGTAGTAGTAAGAGCATCTTTTTGCATGTTAATAAGATGACTAGTGGCTGGAGTCCCTAGACAGCTTCAGGATGGGGGATGGAACTTTCAGCTGCCTCTCCCCACCAACCTCCAGGGAGGGAAGAGGGACTGGAGACTGAGCTCAGTCACTAACAACCAATGATTTAATCAATTATCAATCATGCCTATGCAATGGAACCTCCACAAAATCTCTAAACGATGGAGTTCGGATAGATTCCAGGGTGGTGTACCCAGGGACCATGAAAACTCCATGCCCTACCTCTCCTGACTTCCAACCCCGCCCCATACCTTGCCCTAGTCATCTCATCCATCTGGCTGTTTCTCAGTTACATCTTTTATAATAAATTGTTAAATACAAGTAAAGTGTTTCCCTGAATTCTGTCAGGCATAGCAAAGTGCTGAACCTGAGGAAGGTGTTGTGGGAATACCCAATTTGTAGCCAAGCTGACCAGAAGTACCATTATTTGTGATTAGCATCATTAATGGGGGCAACCTTGTGGGACTGAGCCCTTAACCTGTAAGGAATGACACTAGCTCCAGGTAGATAGTGTCTGAATTGAACAGAATTGTAGGATAACCAGTTGGTGTCCACAGAGTTGCAGAGCTGGTTGTGAGTGTGGGAAAAACCCACACATTTGATGCCAAGAGTGTTCTGTGGGTAGAAAATCTTTTTTTTTTTTTTGAGACACAGTCTTGCTCTGTCGCCAGGCTGGAGTACAGTGGTACAATCTCAGCTCACTGCAACCTCCACCTCCAGGTTCAAGCGATTCTCCTGCCTCAGCCTCCCAAGTAGCTGGGACTACAGGCATCTGCCACCACACCCAAGTAACTTTTGATTTTTTTTTTTAGTAGAGATGCAGTTTCACCATGTTGGCCAGGATGGTCTCTATCTCTTCACCTCGTGATCCACCTGCCCTGGCCTCCCAAAGTGCTGGGATTACAGGTGTGAGCCACTGCACCCGGCGTATGGGTAGATCTTAATAGTATCTCTCTCTCTGACACACACACACACACACACAAATTCAGTGCCAAAGAAGGAAACAAAGAAGAGCTGGGACTAATAGAAAAGTAACAGATTTAAACCTAACCACTGATGCTGCTCCCGGGATCACTGCAGACAGGAGGGAGGACTAGATTGCAACTCCTGAAAGAGCAGCAAGGGGAGGCTTGCATTGTGAGTTTTAGCTCCAGATTGACTGCAAGAACAAACCAGTAATCCTGAGAGGAACCACAGACCCTCTGAAGGAACTGGACTGCTCCAGCAGGACCCAGGAGACCCCCAAATACCGTGAGTGCCCCAACTGTGGAGAGGAGGGAGGCTCTCCTCTCCCAAACACACACCCCCACTAGAGAAGGTGAAGGTCTGTTTGCAGGAGAAGTTTCTGACTTTACCTGGAGCTGAGTCAAGTTAGAGAGCTGAGCGAAATACAGGGGTAGAAGAAGCAGCAGAAAGGCCCTGGGAGCTCGCTGGGTCCCCAAGCAGCCCATTCCTGCCTGGCACCACAGGGATCCACTGGGAGGGTGGCCACAGGAGCTGGGGGCAAAACTCCACAGAAAGAAGGCATTCTCTAGCCAAATTCTGTAACAATTTGATTTAACAATCTGAACAGGACCAGAAGCCTCCTGGCCAGAACTCGGGGGAGGGCACGAATCCAGACTTCACAGGTAGGGGAAGAACTAAAGCCCCTTTTCTTTCAGAGCTGGGAAGCAGATAACCTTGGGCAAGTTTTCAAGCCCTCCTCCCGGAAACAGACTGGGGCTGTTGGGGAGGACACGGTGGGAGTAAGACTGCCCTTCGGTTTGTGAGGGAGCTGGGTGAGGCCCATGACTGCTGGCTTTCCCCCATTTCCCTGACAACCTGCATGACTCACCAGAGGCAGCCATAATCCTCCTAGGTACACAACTCCAGTGACCTGGGAATCTAACCCCCATCCCCCACAACACCCACAACAAGACCCACCCAAGGAGAGTCAGAGCAGGCGTAGACCTGCCCCCACATGATGGTCCTTCCCTATCCACCCTGGTAGCAGAAGACAAAGGGCATATAATCTTGGGAGTTCTAGGGCCCTACCCACTGCTGGTCCCTCTCCATACTATAGCTGATGCTTTCTGGAAAGTGCCACCTCCTGGCAGGAGGCCAACTAACACAAAAACAGAGCATTAAACTACCAAAGCTAAGCACCCTCACAGAGTCCAACACACCCTCAGCCATCTCCACCGGAACAGGCGCTGGTATCCGTGGCTGAGAGCCCCATAGACGGTTAACATCACAGGACTCTGTGCAGACAACTCCCAGTACCAGCCCAGAGCCGGGTAGATTTGCTGGGTGGCTAGACCCAGAAGACAGACAACAATCACTGCAGTTTGGCTCACAGGAAGCCACATCCATAGGAAAAGGGGGAGTACTACATCAAGGGAACACTCCATGAGACAAAAGAATCTGAACAACAGCCTTCAGCCCTAGACCTTCCCTCTGAAACAGCCTACCCAAATGAGAAGGAACCAGAAAACCAACCCTGGTAATATGACAAAACAAGGCTCTTCAACAGCCCCCAACAAAAAATCATACTAGTTCACCAGCAATGGATCCAAACCAAGAAGAAATCCCTGATTTACCTGAAAGAGAATTCAGGAGGTTAGTTATTAAGCTAATCAGGGAGGGACCAGAGAAAGATAAAGTCTCAATGCAAGGAAATCCAAAAAATGATACAAGAAGTGGAGGGAGAAATATTAAAGGAAATACATAAAGAGAAAACAATAAAAAATTCAGGAAACTCTAGACATACTTTTAGAAATGTGAAATGCTGGGGAAAGTCTCAGCAATAGAACTGAACAAGTAGAAGAAAGAAATTCAGAGCTCAAAGACAAGATCTTCAAATTAACCCAATCCAAGAAAGACAAAGAAAAAAGAATAAGAAAAAATGAACAAAGGCTCTAAGAAGTCTGGGATTATGTTAAATGACCAAACCTAATAATCGGTGTACCTGAGGAAGGAGAGAATGCTAAAAGCTTGGAAAACATATTTGGAGGAATAATTGAGGAAAACTTCTCCAGCCTTGCTAGAGACCTAGATATCCAAATACAAGAAGCACAAAGAACACCTGGGAAATTCACTGCAAAAAGATCTTCACCTAGGCACACTGTCATTAGGTTATACAAAGTTAAGACAAAGGAAAGAATTTTAAGAGCTGTGAGACAGAAGCACCAGATAACCTATAAAGGAAAACCTATCAGATTAACAGTAGACATCTCAGGAGAAACCCTACAAGCTAGAAGGGACTGGGGCCCTATCTTCAACCTCCTCAAACAAAACAATCTTCAGCCAAGAATTTTGTATCCAGCAAAACTAAGCATCATATATGAAGGAAAGATACAATTGTTTTCAGATAAACAAATGTAGAGACAATTTGCCATTACCAAGCCACCACTACAAGAACTGCTAAAAGGAGCTCTAAATCTTGAAACAAACCCTGGAGACGTATTAAAACAGAACAACCTCTTTAAAGTATAAAGTAAAAATCACACAGGATGCAGACATACAAGTTAAAAAGCAAAAACAAAAAAACAAAACTAAAGTACACAGGCAACAAAGAGCATGAGGAACGCAAGGGTACCTCACATTTCAATACTAACATTGAATGGAAATGGTCTAAATGCTCCACTTAAAAGATAAAGAACTGCAGAATGGATGCAGAACTCATCAACCAACTATCTGCTGCCTTCAGGAGACTCATCTAACACATAAGGACTCACATAAACTTAAAGTAAAGGGGTGGAAAAAGGCATTTAATGCAAATGGACACCAAAAGCAAGTAGGGGTAGCTATTCTTATATCAGACAAAACAAACTTTAAAGCAACAATGGTTAAAACAGACAAAGAGGAACATTATATAATGGTAAAAGGCCTTGTCCAACAGGAAAATATCAAAATCCTAAACATATATGCACCTAACACTGGAGCTCACCAATTTACGAAACAATTACTAACAGACCTAAGAAATGAGACAGACAGCAACACAATAATAGTGGGGGACTTCAATACTCCACTGACAGCACTAGACAGATCATCAAGACAGAAAGTCAACAAGGAAACAATCGATTTAAACTATACCTTGGAACAAATGGACTTAACAGATATATACAGAACATTTCATCCAACAACTGCAGAATATACTTCTATTCAACAGCACATGGAACTTTCTCCAAGATAGACCATATGATAGGCCATAAAATGAGCCTCAATAAATTTAAGAAAATTGAAATTATATCAAGCACTCTCTCAGACCACAGTGGAATAAAACTGGAAATCAACTCCAAAAGGAACCTTCAAAACCATGCAAATACATGAAAATTAAATAACCTGCTCCTGAATGAGCATTGGGTCAAAAACAAAATCAGTTTGTAAATTTAAAAATTCTTCAAACTGAATGACAATAATGACACAACGTATCAAAACCTCTAGGATACAGCAAAGGCAGCACTAAGAGGAAAGTTCATAGCCCTAAATGGCTACATCGAAAAGTCTGAAAGAGCACAAACAGACAATCTAAGGTCACATCTCAAGGAGCTAGAGAAACAAGAACAAACCAAACCCAAACCCAGCAGAAGAAAGGAAATAGCCAAGATCAGAGCAGAACTAAATGAAATTGAAACAAACAAACAAAAAAACAAAAGATAAACAAAACAAAAAGCTAGTTCTTTGAAAAGATAAATAAAATTGACAGACCATTAGCAAGATTAACCAAGAAAAGAAGAGAGAAAATCAAAATAACCTCACTATAAAACAAAACAGGAGATATTACAACTGAAACCACTGAAATAAGAAAGATCATTCAAGGCTACTATGAACACCTTTACACAGATAAACTAGGAAACCTAGAAAAGATGGATAAATTCCTGGAAAAAAAACCCTCCTAGCTTAAGTCAGGAAGAATGAGATACCCTGAACAGACCAATAACAAGCAGCAAGATTGAAATGGTAATTAGAAAATTACCAACAAAAAAAAGTCCAGAACCAGACGGATTTGCAACAGAATTCTACCAGACATTCAAAGAACTGGTCCCAATCCTTTTGACACTATTCTACGAGATGGAGAAAGAAGGAACCCTCCCTAATTCATTCTATGAAGCCAGCATCACCCTAATACCAAAACCAGGAAAGGACACAACCAAAAAAGAAAACTACAGACCAATATCCCTGATGAACATAGATCCTAAAATCCTTAACAAAATACTAGCTAACCAAATCCAACAACATATCAAAAAGATAACCCACCATGATCAAGTGGGTTTCATGCCAGGGATGCAGGGATGGTTTAACATATGCAAGTCAATAAATGTGGTATACCACATAAGCAGAGTTAAAAACCAAAATCACATGATCTCAATAGATGGAGAAAAAGCATTAGACAAAATCCAGCATCCCTTTACAATTAAAATTCTCAGCAAAATTGGCATACAAGGGACACACCTTAATGTAATAAAAGCCTTCTATGACAAACCCACAGTCAACATAATACTGAATGGGGAAAAGGTGAAAGCATTCCCTCTGAGAACTGGAACAAGACAAGGATGCCCACCTACTCTTACCACTCCTCTTCAACATCGTCCTGGAAGTCCTAGCCAGAGCAATAAGACAAGAGAAAAAAAATAAAGGGCATCCAAATCAGTAAAGAGGAAGTCAAACTGGCACTGTTTGCTGATGATATGATCATTTACCTTGAAAATCCTAAGGACTCCTCCAGAAAGCTCCTAAAACTGATAAACAATTCAGCAAAGTTTCCGGATACAAGATTAACGTACACAAATCAGTAGCTCTTTTATACACCAACAGCGACCAAGTGGAGAATCAAATCAAGAACTCAATCCCTTTTAAAATGGTTGCAAAAAAAAAAAATACTTAGGAATATGCCTAACAAAGGAGTCAAAAGACGTCCACAAGGAAAACTACAAAACACTGCTGAAAGAAATCACAGACAACAGAAACAAATGGAAACACATCCCACGCTCATGGATGGGTAAAATCAATATTGTGAAAATGACTGTTGCCAAAAGCAATCTACAAATTCAATGCAATCTCATCAAAATACCACCATCATTCTTCACAGAATTAGAAAAAACAATTCTAAAATTCATATGGAACCAAAAAAGAGCCTGCATAGCCAAAACAAGACTAAGCAAAAAGAACAAATCTGGAGGCATCACACTACCTGATTTCAAACTATACTATAAGCCCATAGTCACCAAAACAGAGTGATACTGGTATAAAAATCGGCACAAAGACCAATGGAACAGAATAGAGAACCCAGAAATAAACCCAAATACTTACAGCCAACTGATCTTCAACAAAGCAAACAAAAACCTAAAGTGGGGAAAGGACATTGTTTTCAACAAATGGTGCCGGGATAACTGGCTAGCCACCTGTAGGAGAATGAAACTGGATCCTCATCTCTCACCTTATACAAAAATCCACTCAAGATGGATTAAGGACTTAAACCTAAGACCTGAAACTATAAAAATTCCAGAAAATTAACATTGGACAAACCCTTCTGGACATTGGCTTAGGCAAGGATTTCATGACCAAGAACCCAAAAGCAAATGCAATAAAAACAAAGATAAATATCTGGGACCTAATTAAACTAAAGAGCTTCTGTACAGCAAAAGGAACAGTCAGCAAACTAAATAGACAACCCATACAGTGGCAGAAAATCTTCACAATCTATACATCTGACAAAGGACTAATATCCAGAATCTACAGCAAACTCAAACAAATCAGTAAGAAAAAAAAATCCCATCAAAAAGTGGGTTAACAACATAAATAGACAATTATCAAAAGAAGATACACAAATGGCCAACAAACATGAAAAAATGCTCAACATCACTAATGATCAGGGAAATGCAAAGCAAAACCACAATGTGATACCACCTTACTCCTGCAAGAATGGCCATAATCAAAAAATCAAAAAACAGTAGATGTTGGCAGCCAGGCACGGTTGCTCATGCCTGTAATCCCAGCACTTCCGGAGGTTGAGGTGGGCAGATCACCTGAGGTCAGGAGTTCAAGACCAGCCTGGCCAACATGGTGAAACCCCATGTCTACTAAAAATACAAAAATTAGTCGGGCATGGTGGCAGGCACCTGTAATCCCAGCTACTTAAGGAGGCTGAAGCAGGAGAATCACTTGAACCTGGGAAGCGGAGGTTGCAGTGAGCCAAGATTGTGCCACTGCACCCCAGCCTGGGCAACAGAGTGAGCCTTTGACTTAAAAAAAGAAAAAAAGCCGGGCACAGTGGCTCACACCTGTAATCCCAGCACTTTGGGAGGCCGAGATGGGCGGATCACCCGAGGTCGGGAGTTTGAGACCAGCCTGACTAACATGGAGAAACCACGTCTCTACTAAAAATACAAAATTAGCTGGGTATGGTGGCGCATGCCTGTAATCCCAGCTACTCGGGAGGCTGAGGCAGGAGAATCACTTGAACCCGGGAGGCAGAGGTTGCAGTGAGCCGAGATTGCGCCATTGCACTCCAGCCTGGGCAACAAGAGCGAAACTCCATCTCAAAAAAAAAACAATGTTGGCATGGATGTGGTGAACAAGGAACACTTCTATGTCCTGGTGGGAAAGCAAACTAGTATAGCCACTATGGAAAACAGCGTGGAGATTCCTTAAAGAACTAAAAGTAGAACTACCATTTGATCAAGCAATCCCACTACTGGGTATCTACCCAGAGGAAAAGAAGTCATTATACAAAAAAGATACTTTCACACATAATTTTATAGCAGCACAATTCACAACTGCAAAATCATGGAACCAACCCAAATGCCCATCAATCAACGAGTAGATAAAGAAACTGTGGTATATACAGGATGGAATACTATGCAGCCATAAAAAGGAATGGATTAACAGCATTTGCAGTGACCTGGATGAGACTGGAGACTATTATTCTAAGTGAGGTAACTCAGGAATGGAAAACCAAACATCGTATGTTATCACTGATATGCAGGACTAAGTTATGAGGATGCAAAAGCATAAGAATGATACAATGGACTCCGGGTACTTGGGGGGAAGAATGAAAGAGGGGCAAGGGATGAAATACTACAAATATGGTGTAGCGTATATTGCTCGGGTGATAGGTGCACCAAAATCTCACAAATCACCACTAAACTGGCACAGTGGCTCACGCCTGTAATCCCAACACTTTGGGAGGCCGAGGTGGGCAGATTACTTGAGTTCAGGAGTTCAAGACCAACCTGGCCAACGTGGTGAAACCCTGTCTCTACTAAAAATGCAAAAAGTAGCCGGGCATGGTGGCACATGCCTGTAGTTCAGCTACTTGGGAGGCTGAGGAAGGAGGATGGCTTGATCCCAGAAGGTGGAGATTGCAGTGAGCTGAGATAGCACTACTGCACTCCAGCCAGGGTGACAAAGCAAGACTCCGTCTCAAAAAACAAACAAACAAAAAAACTTGCTCATGTAACCAAATACCACTTGTACACCAATAACTTATGGAAAAATTTAAAAAAATTAAAAATAAACATCTAAACATAGAAAAGGAAAAAAAAATTTAAAATAAAAAACAGAAATGTGAAAAAAATAAATAAATCAGGTATGCTATCAGTCAAAAAATAAATAAGTAAACCCACCATTATCAATAATCATTAAACGTAAATAATCTCAGTAACTCAATTAATTTTCTTTTCTTTTTTTTTTTTTTTTTGAGATAGAGTCTCACTCTGTCACCCAGGATGGAGTGCAGTGGCACAATCTCAGCTCACTGCAACCTCCGCCCCCTGGGTTCAAGCAATTCTTGTGGCTCAGCCCCCCAAGCAGCTGGGACTACAGGCACATGCCACCACGCCTGGCTATTTTTTTGTATTTTTAGTAGAGACAGTTTCGCCATGTTGGCCAGGCTGGTTTTGAACTCCTGGCCTCAAGTGATCCACATGCCTTGGCCTCCCAAAGTGCTGGGATTACAGATGTGAGCCACCATGCCTGGCTTCAATAATTCAACTCAAAGACACGAACTGTCTGATTAAACAGCAAGACCCATTTATATGCTGCCTATAAGAAATTCACATTAAATATAAATAAGGGAAAGTAATAGTATTGAAAAACACATACCATGCTAACCCCTTAATCAATAAAGCTGGACTGGCTGCATCAATACCAAAGGACATTTTAGAACAAAAAAAAATTACTAAGGATAAAGGGGGCCATTTCATAACGATAACAAGCCAATTCATTTAGAGGATATAATAATAATCTAATATTTTAATCCATAAAACATGTATTCACATAAACTGATTGTCAGAATACATGAAACAAAAACTAATAGAACTGCAAGTAGAAAACAGTCACTCAAGAAAAAAATAAGTGGCCGGGTGTGGCGGCTCATGCTTGTAATCCCAGAACTTTGGGAGGCCGAGGCGAGCAGATCACGAGGTCAGGAAATTGAGACCATCCTGGTTAACACGGTGAAACCCTGTCTCTACTAAAAATACAAAAAATTAGCCGGGCATGGTGGTGGGCACCTGTAGTCCCAGCTACCTGGGACGCTGGGGCAGGAGAATGGTGTGAACCCAGGAGGCAGAGCTTGCAGTGAGCTGAGATCGCACCACTGCACTCCAGCCTGGGCAACAGACCGAGACTCCATCTCAAAAAAAAAAAAAAAGAAAAAAATAAGTAACACAAATATCTCTAATCTATTAAACAAAGTAAATTTGTAGTCAAAAATCTTCCTACAAAGACAAGTGCAGGCTCAGATGAATTCTACCAAAAATTTAAGTTGGGTATAAAATGTCAATCCTGTATAAATTCTTTCAGAAAACTGAACAGAATACTTCAGAAATCATTCTGAAGCTACATTACTGATTCCAACACCAAAACATTACAAGAAAACTACAACTATCCCATGAACATAAGTTCAAAAATTCTCAACAAAATTTTAGCAAATCAAATCCAACAAAATATAATTAGAATAGTATATTGTGACCAAGTTCAGTTTATCCCAGGAATGTAAGTCTAATTTCATAATTGAAAATCAATGTCATTCACCACATTGGCAGACTAAAAATGAAAAACCACCTATTTCAATATATGCAGTAAAAAAGCATTTGAAAAATATCCAACATCCAACCCTGATAAAACCTCTCAGCAAATGAGAAATCAAAGAGAACTTCCACAACGTGATAAAAAGCACCTACAAAAAACCTACAGCTAAGATCAGACTTAATGGTGAAAGACTAAATGTTTTCCCCAGAAGATCAAACACAAAGCAATAATGCCCACTTTACCACTACAATTCAAAATTCTGCTAAAGGTGTTAGCCACTGCAATACAACAAGAAAAACAAAAGGCATCCAAGACTGGATAATGATCATCTTTGCAGAAAATACCATGGAATCCTCAGAAAACTACTTGGTGGAACTAAGTTGCAGGACACAAGATCAATATACAAAAATCCATCATATTTCTACTTATTGGCGACAAACAATCGGAAATAAAAAATTTTAAATTACCATTTACAATAGAATCAAAAATATAAAATGCTTAAGGATAAATCTAACATAAGATGTGAAAAATCTATATACTGAAAATTTTAAAACATTGCTAAGAAAAGTTAAAGATCTAAAGAAATGGAGAGATACCATATTCATAGACTGGAAAATTAAATATTGTTAAGACGTCATCTATCCTCAATTTGCTCTGTAATCAACAGAATCCCAATCCAGATATCAGCTTACTTTTTTTGTAGAAACTGATATAACGGATTCTAAAATCCATATGGAAGGGCAAAGGCCTACAACAGTCAAAATAACTTTTAAAAAGAACAAAGTTAGAGGACTCATACTACCTGATTTTAAGACTTATTATAAAGCTATTATAACCAAGAGAATAAGAAACTGACATAAAGACTAGACAAACAGATCAATGGAAAACAAAAAGACTCCAGAGAAAGACCCACACCTATATGGTCACAGACTTTCAACAAAGATGCAAAGTCAACTCAGTGGAGAAAGAATAGTTTTTCTACAAATGGTGCTGAAATAATTAGCCATATGCAGAAAAACCCACAAACTTTGATCCATACTTCTCACTCTAAATAAAAGTTAACTCAATAAGGATCAGAGACCAAAACATAAAACCTAAGACTATTAACACTTCTAGAACAAAACACAGGAGAAATCTTTGTGATCTTGAATTAGGCAAAAGGTTCTTAGATAAAACACCAACGGCACCAAAAGCATAAATTCATAAAAGACAAGGCTAATTTGGATTTCATCAAAATAAAGACTTTCTGCTCTTTGAAAAACACTGTTAAGAGAACGAAAAGATAAGCCACAAACTGGGAGAAAAATTTGCAAATCTCACATCTGATAAAGGACATGTATCTAGAATACACAATGAACTCCCAAAACTCTACAACAGAACATCCCTATTTTAAAAATGGGCAAAATAATCAAACAGACAAATAAGCATATGCTAAAATGCTCTACATTGCTAGTCACTAGGGAAATGCAAATTCAAATGACAAGGAAATAATAGTAAAATTTTAAAAGTCTAAAATAAAATTAAAGACTGAGCATACCTAGTTATTGACAAGAATATGGACCAACTTGAACTCATACCACCTAGTGACAACGTAAAATGGTATAATCACTTTGGAAAACTCTTTAAAAGTTACATTTACCACAAGACCTAGCCATTCCACACCTAGGTATTTATCCAATAGAAATTAAAGCACATATCCATACAAAGACTGGTACAATAGTATTTACAATAACTATATTTGTAATAGCCAAAAACAAGAAAAAGCACAAATGTCCATCAATAGATGAACAAACTGCTCTACCCACACATTGGAATACTATTCATCACTAAAAAGGAATGAACTGCTAGTAATTGTAATAACATGGCGTAATCTCAAATTATGCTGAGTCAAAGACTCAGATACCACCCCCTCCAGTACATATTATATGATTTCATTATATAAAATTCTAGAAAACGCAAATTAGGCCGGGGACAGTGGCTCACACCTGTAATCCCAGCACTTTGGGAGGCCGAAGCAGGCAGGTCATGAGGGCAGGAGTTTGCGACCAGCCTGACCAACATAGTGAAACCCCGTCTCTGCTAAAAATACAAAAATTAGCCAGATGTGGTGGCAAGTGCCTGTAATCCCAGCTATTCGGGAAGCTGAGGCAGGAGAATCACTTGAACCCAGGAGGCGGAGGTTGCAGTGAGCCGAGATTGGGCCACTGCACTCCAGCCTGGGTGACAGAGCGAGACTCCGTCTCAAAAAAAAAAAAAAAAAGAAAGCAAGAAAATGCAAATTAATCTATAGTGATAGAAAGCCTATCAGTGGTTGCCTGAGGAGGAACAAGAACTGAGGGAGGGAGGGAGGGACAACAAAAAAAACCCAGGGTATCTTTTTGGGGGTAATGGATATACAGTTGACCCTTTAACACAAATTTGAAGGTAGGGGTCCACTTATACACAGAATTTCTTCCACCTCAGCCACCCTGAGACAGCAAGACCAACCCCTCCTCTTTCTACTCAGCCTACTGAAAGTCAAGATGAAGATGAACACATTTATGATGATCCACTTCCATTTAATGAATAGTAAATATATTTTCTGTTCCTTACAATTTTCTTAATAACATTTTTTCTCTAGCTTATGTTACTGTAAGAATAAAGTATATAATACAAAATATGTGCTAATAGACTGCTTATGTTATCTGTAAGGCATCCAGCCAATAATAGGCTATTAGCGTTTAAGTTTGGGGGGAGTTCAAAATTATACATGGATTTTCGACTGCACAGGGGACCAATGCCCCTAATCCCCACATTAAGGGTCTATTTATTATTGCATGGGCAGTGGTCTGTTCACAGCCCCAGATGGATGACTTATCCAAGTCGTTTTGAATTCTGGACTTGTAGATTCACAACCTGACAGGAACTGTGGTATACATCCAAATGTCAATCTCTGGCCACAACGGCTCATATAAACCTTGTTTCTGCCTTCCACGGACTTACTTCCAGGACTCTGCTGCACATACCAAAGCAGTGTAGCAGAATGCTTAACAACACACAGAACTAGCCTGGAATCCATACACTACCATTTCAGTTGTGTAATTTTAGGGAAGCTGTCTATGCTCTGTGAGGCTGAGTTTTCTCATCTGTAACATGGGAATAATGGTACTTACCCCAGGGTGGTTGTGACAACCGATTTCATCAACATAAAGCACTTAACACAGTGCATGACACATCTTAAATGCTCAGTAAATGTTCTAAGTTATTATCTCCATTCCCCTTTCCTGTAGTTCCTCACTCTTCCATCTATATGACTGCCACAGAACATCATCCTGAGTTTCCTGACCACTGTTCCAGAAACCCAAAGCACGTGTCTACTGAACACTTAAAATGTAGTTACTCTAAAATGACATGTGCTGCAAGTTTAAAACACACCAGATTTTGAAAATTTAGTAAAAAAAAAAAAAAGAACATAAAATATCTCACTAGTTTTTAACTTTTAAAAAATGTGACTCCTAGTAAATTTTAAATTACTTATGTGTTTCACATTATACAGTCACCCTTCTGTAACCGTGGGTTCTGCATCTGTGGATCGACAATATTCGGGGGGGTAAAAAAAAAAAAACTGTATCTGTACTAAACACTGTACAGACTTTTCTTGTCATTATTCCCTAAACAATACGGTGTAACAATTTACATAAGACCTATGTTGTATGAGATATTATAAGTAATCGAGAGATGATTTAAAATATACAGGAGGATGTGCCTATATAGGTTATATGTAAGCACTACACCATTTTATATCAGAGACTTGAGCATCCCTGGATTTTGGTATCCAAGGGAGGTCCTGGAACCAATCCTCCATGGATATCAAGAGATGACTATATGTATTTCTAATGGACACTGCTGGTCTAAACAGACCAATAGTTCCAGGCAGTACTAGTTCCTCCCCCAAGTCAGCAGTCTAGTCTATCCAGCAAAGTCAACCTGTCATTGCTTCCAAAAGTCTCGCAGGAACCTCAAACACAGCATAGTCCTAACACTTCATAGCTGAATCTGTTTACAAAATCCACCCAATGACTACCCACCACACTCAAATCCTTCCAATGACAAGAAACTCATCAACTCCCAAAGCAGCAACCCTTTTCACCTTTGCACAACTCCTGAGAATTAGACAGTTCTTCCCTATACTCATGAAGATCTACCTCTCCAAAGGGCTGATCTTAGCCTTGCCTTACCCCTTTGAGCTATTTAGAAAAGGCTCAAGAACAGCAGAAACTACGATTTGCAGACCACTTCCAATGTACAGTGTAAGCTTTAGTTTACTGTGGCATTTAACCCTCACAGCAATGCAAGAGGTAGAAACTGTTATCTCCATTTGGTTGATAATGGGGTCTACAGAGCTGAGAGAGATAAAAGTGATCTGGCTAGGATACCATTCAAGAAGAGCATATTTCAAACCAGAGGGGCTGACTTCTAAACACCTTTATTCAGCGTTGCTTTTGTGGTTATGTTCTTCAACATTCTTCTCTCTCCCAATTATCTGGCCTATTAGCAGCTATGGGCTCAATCCAGAAGCAATCCTGCTTTGGCCAGAGTTGCCCTTACCTGTCTCAGCAGCCCCAAGGATGTCCAGTTTGTCACGGATGGCAGGTGCCAAGGTCAGGGCTTGGATTGGTGTGGGTGCAGAGAAGCCTAGAAAGCTGAGTGCTCGGAGAACCGGCCTGGGAACAAACAGGTCCTTCCAAGCTGACACATCTGCTTTCTGATCATGAACTTCAGGAATCCATGTCTTCGCTTTTTTGGGCACCTTGGCAGCAGTGCTCTGAGAAGGCTCCAACCCTTTTTTCCCTTTATTTTTCTTCTTTTTTGGAGCAGTTTGGACCAGGTTTTCTGATGTCATCTCCCCAGCCTCCGGATCATCACAAACCATGTCATCTCCCTGGGCCTCCAGCTCAGGATCTTTCACTTCAAATTCTTTCTGGGTACTGGTTCCTTCAGTTGCTACATTTTTACTTTTCTTCAACTTGATCTTTTTCTTTGGTGAGCTAGACTTTCCCTCCTCCTCCTCCTCTTCTTCTGAAACAGCTTGTGCCTTTCTCTTGGGTGCTTCCTTTGAGAAGAGACTGGAGGGATTCTTGGCAGGGGAGACCAACTGGTAATCTGTCAATTCCTCAAAGCACACCAAGTCATCCATCTGTCCATCTGCAAACATATTTGGGTCAATCTTCACTTCCTTCCATTTTCCCACAACTTTGATTCCCTTTGTCTGAAATTTGCCACAGCTTGACTGCTTTGGCCTTGATTTTGTGTCCTTCAACTTCATGGTTGCTGAAAAGGAGATACATGTTCTATTAGGTTGGTGTCTGAGAAGCAGAGGGTTCTGATGTAACAAATATTTTCTAAGCAACTAGGCCCTACAAAGAACTGAGGATACAAAGATGGCTATCACACAGTTGCTCCCACCTAGAGAAGAACAAAGAATACCACAGAACAGACAGCTTTGCCTGGAACACAGGGTACACATGTGATGGAACAAAGACATATGAGCTAGACCTGGTTTGAATTCCAAATCCAACACTTACTGCCTGTGTGACCTTGGATAGTGCCACCCACTCCTCTCTGAACTTCAGTGCTCTCATCTATAAAAAGGGGGGAGGGTACCTAACAATATCTAAGTTGTACATTTTATGTAAATAAAGAAAATTATGTAAAGCACGGAGGATGAAACCTGCCACACCTAAGTCGTTCTGAAGGCAGAGTAAGAATCTCAGGGGTTTTTCTTGTGGGGGCAGGAGGGGTGAGCTTTATTAAAAGCGTACTGCGCTTGCTTCCTTCTCAAGCCTTGCCTGAGAGAGCAAATGCCTGCTCCACCATCCTTTCCTTTGCCAAGCGTCTTAAAACCCATCCAGTTTCTTCATCATATTTTAAGTGGCTTAATGGCCATTTAGGCCCAACTCGTTTGGGTGGAACTCGATCCAGGTTTTTCCTTTTCAGAAAGGCCAAGAAAGATAACAGATTCCGTGAAAAAGACCAAGGTAAACTTTGGTTCAAATCCAGATCCACCACTTGTCAGCTGTGGCTCTGCGGTGGACGTATTAATCTCTGAGTCTCTTATTTCCCAGTCTGCACAATGGGAAAAACGAGGACATCTGTCCCACAGAATCCTTATACGCCACTACGAAAAAGTGACGCACGTCAAAAAAAACCGCTGAGCATGGCGCCCGGCGAGGAGAGCACGTTCGCACACAGTGCCCGCCGGACCCGCTGCGCCACGGCAAAAAAACAAAAAACAAACAAAAAAAAACACAAAGAAACACGCGGGGTTCAACAAGGAGAGGGCGAGGGGTGCCACGCGAACCGGGCGAGGACACGGAGAGCGCCAGGCAGAGTAGAAGGGCCTCTGTCTCCTCGTGACGCCGGTCCCGCGCGGCCCTCTCGCTTTGTCTCAGGCACGAACGCGCGCACGAAACCGAGAAACCGAGAAGCCGAGAAGCCAAGGCCGTCAGGCTCTGATGACCGGACAAGGAGCCCAAGGCGCGGGGACCGTGGCACGCAGCTCGGTTGGACGGCTTGGGCCGGCGGCCGCCCTCTCTGGACCCGGGAACCCACCGGCCCAGAGCGACCCGCGATAGGAACCCGGGTTCCTGGCCTCAGCCCCTCTCCAGAGTCGGCTCCAACCCCGCTCGTTTTGGTACTCACCGTGTGGAGACGCCACCGCAGCTCCGTCAGTCGCGAGTGAAGAACCTCAGAAACCGCCGCTGTACCTCAGCTGCAGCAGCAACTGCAGTTCCGGGGCGGGACCTCCACGCACGTACTCGTGCGCGCTGGGGAGGAAGTCCCGCCCCTATGGCAAACTCAGCTACCTGATTGGCTGCCTCGCGGACCGCAGCAGTGCCGGCGGGAGAGCTGGCTTGGGGCGCTGGCACCTCCTCTTACAGCTTTACTCCTGCCAGCTTGGGAAAAGGCCGGAGAAGGTGAAATTCTGTGTGCTCCCTCCGGCGAGAGACTTTGTCAGCTCCCGCACAGTAACGTAAGTTTTCTTGTATTCTTAGTGTAGTTTCGTTACCGGAAAGGGGTCTCGATCCAGACCCCAAGAGAGGGTTCTTGGATCTTGCACAGGAAAGAATTCAGGGTGAGTCCGCATAGCAAAGCAAAAGCAAGTTTATTAAGTACTTTACTCCGTAGACAGAGTAGGGCGTTCCCGAAGGTAAGAGGACGAACGCGTCCATCCTAGGTACAATGCTCGTACCTAGATCATAGGGAGATGTGCTCTGCTACAAGGGTGACGTGTGATGAGTGTTCCTTGTATTGTAATTGTTTTGGGGCGCCATGAGCTGTGCCCATATAAGATACAAACGTAATTGATAAATGTTGTGTGTGTTCAGACTAATCCACTGACAGGCCGTTCTTCCTTCTCTCTCCCTTTCCTTGGGTCTCTATTCCCTGAGACACAACAGTGTTGAAATTAGGTCAATTAATAACCCTACAATGGGCCTCTAAGTGTTCAAGTGAAAGAAAGAGTCGCACATCTCTCACTTTAACTCAAAAGCTAGAAATGGTTAAGCTTAGTGAGGAAGGGATGTCAAAAGGCAAGATAGGCTGAAAGCTAGGCTGAAAGTTTGCACCAAAAAGTTAGCCAGTTTGTGAATGCAAAGGAAAAGTTACTGAAGGAAATTAAACATTTTACTCTAATGAACACATGAATGATATGAAAGCGAAACAGTTTATTGCTGATTTGGAGAAAATTTTAGTGGTTTGGATAGAAAATAAAACCGGCTACAGCATCCCCTAAACCCAAAACCGAATCCAAAGCAAGGCCCTGATTCTCTTCTATTCTATGATGACTGAGAGAGGTGAGGAAGCTATAGAAGTTTGAAGCTAGAAGAGATTATTTCATGAGGTTTAAGGAAAGAAGCCGTCTCCAGAACATGAAAGTGTAAGATGAGGCAGCAAATGCTGATGGAGAAGCTGCAGCAAGTTATCCCCAAGATCTAGGTAAGATCGTTGATGAAGGTGGCCACTGAACAGCAAGTAGTCAATGTAGACAAAACAGCCTTCTATTGGAAGAAGACGCCATCAAGGACTTTCATAGCTAGAGAGGTCAATGTCTGGCCTCAAAGGCCAAGCTCACTCTTTTGTTAGAGGCTAATGCAGCTAGTGACTTTGGATTGAAGCCAGTGCTTGTTTACCATTCTATTATAAAAATCTTAGGTCTCTTAAGAATTACGCTAAATATAATCTGCCTGTGCTCTGTAAGTAGAACAACAAAGCCTGGATGACAGCACAACTGTTCATAGCATGGTTTACTGAATATTTTAAGCCCACTGTTGAGGCCTACTGCTCAGAAAAAAGGATTTCTCTCAAAGTATTATTGCTCATTGAAAATGTGCATAGTCACACGAGAGCTCTAATGGAGATGTATAAGGAGATGAATGTTGTTTTCATGTCTGTGAACACAAGATCCATTCTTCAGCCCATGGATCAAGAAGTAATTTTGCATTTCAAGTTTTATTACTTAAGATACATTTCGTAAGGCTATGGCTGCCATAGAGAGTTATTCCTCTGATGGATCTGGGCAAAGTATATTGAAAACCTTCTGGAAAGGGTTCACTATTTTAGATATCATTAAGAACATTTGTGATTCATGGGAAGATGTCAAAATATCAAAATTAACAAGAGTTCGGAAGAAGTTGACTCCAGTTCTCATTGATGACTTTGAGAGGTTCAAGACTTCAGTGAAGGAGGTAACTGCAGATGTGGTTGGAAATAGCAAGAAAACTAAAATTACAAGCGGAGCCTGAAGATATGACTGAATTGTGGCAATCTCGTGAGAAACTTGAATGGATGAACAGTTCCTTCTAATGTATGACCAAAGAAAGTGGTTTCTTGAGATACAATCTACTCCTGGTGAAGATGCTGGGAACACTGTTGAAATGACAATGAAGGATTTAGAATATTTCGTAAACTTAGTTGATAAAGCAGTGGCAGGGTTTGAGAGGATTGACTACAATTTTGAACATTCTACTGTGGATAAAATGCTACCAATTAGCATCACATGCTACTGAGAAATCTTTCATGAAAGGAAGAGTCAATCCATGCAGCAAACTTCATTGTTGTGTTATTTTAAGAAATTGCCACAGCACCTCACCTTTCAGCAACCACCACCCTAATCAATCAGCTGGTTTCAGAAAAAAAGAAAAGTATATTATGGCAGAGGGGGACACAGTCAAAATGTTAATAATTGGTGAATTATTGGTGCTAGAGTAAGGGTACGTGAGTGTTCATTGTACTATTCTTTCAACTTTTTTGAGGTTTAAAACTTTTCAAAATAAAGAGTTGAGTAAATTGTTTTGATTTAAAAATTATGAATTAAAAAGAAATTGGTTTAAGCCAGGTGTGGTGGCACATCCCTGTAGTCCCAGCTATCCAGGAGGCTGAAGAGGGAGGATCGCTTGGGCTCTGGAGTGTGAGTCCAGCATGGACAACATAGCAAGACATCATCTTTAAAAAAAGAAAAAGAAAGAAGGAAAGAAAGAGAGTCAATTTTAATTTTTAAAAATGGGGGAGGGGGAGATGTCAACCAAAAGCAAAATGATGGCAAAGTTTCCATTATAGTAGTGGAAACATAGGTATTTTTTTTCCTTCTTCTCAATATTCTAATTTTAAAAAATAGTAAGAATAAACTATTTTAATGTTATTCTTATTTCAAAGATGAAAAAACAGATGCAGGAAGATTAATTTGCCAGAGTCATACAGCTAATGTTACAGAGCTCAGACCTGACTTGGAGATCTGTGACTTTAACTGGGTGCAGTGGCTCACACCTGTAATTCCAGCACTTTGGGAGGCCCAGGCGGGTGGATCGCTTGAGCTCAGGAGTTCAAGATCAGCCCAGGCGACATGGTGAAACCCCGTCTCTACAAAAAATGCAAAAATTAACCAGGCTTGGTGGCATGCGCCCTTAGTCCCAGCTACTTAGGGGGCTGAAGTGGGAGGATTGCTTGAGCCCAAGAGGTCAAGGCTGCAGTGAGCCATGTTCATGCTGCTGCGGGATAATTAAGAAACCAAAGGGACCGAGGGGTTGAGGAGGAATTATTTAATTATTTAGGTGCACAAACCCAGTCAGATTAACATCCAAAGGACTGAGCCCTGAACAAAGAGTCAAGCTACCTTTTAAACATTTCGTGGGGCAGGGGGAGATTTGTGCAGTGGGAAGCATATTACAGAAGCGAGAAACAAAGACAGTTATTCAATTGAGACATGGCATTACATTATATCTTACTTTTCAAGGAACAACACGTTTTACGACTTGAGAGTATCTGTCTAGTGACCTTGCAGCTGCACAGCTAGAGAAACAGAGTCTTCACAATGCCTGGGAAAGGGAGAGATAAGGCTCACTAGCCTCAGAAAGAAAAACAGGCAGTTAATTTTAAAGGACTCCAGCCCTTTCTCTTCCTCAAGGGAAATTGGGTTTTTTTACATACAACCGAGTTTTTGCTTACACAGTTTTTAATTTCTTTTAATTCCTGTTCCAATGCCAGTATACTCAGCCTGAGTGACAAAGCAAGACCCTGTGTGGGGGAAAAAAAAAAGTAATCAAGATCAAGAAACCCTATAAGGAATGTGTCCCAGTTTCCAAGGGACCCATGCAGAAGCCTCCATTGCCAGTGGCTGAAGTGGGAGTACTTATGAATGTGTTGATTGACTTTCCAAAAAGACTGAAGGGTAGATGTGGGCTGAGGGGAACCAAGAATGCATATGGAGAAGTTGGAACAGTTGAGCTCATATATTTCCCAGCAAGAAAATGGCTCATCTAGCCAGGTAGGGCATCTAGAAGGGTGGGGGAATCAGATTGCCTGGAGTCAGGTCTGAGCTCTGTAACATTAGCTGTGTGACTCTGGCAGATTACTTACTCTTCCTGCATGTTTCCTCATCTGTAAAATGAGAATAATATGGTTGAGAAGACTAAACGTAAATGCATGTAAACTTCTTGCTGCAGTGCCTGGCACATGGTGAGCTCAATTGACCTTAGCAATTCCTTTTGTCATCACACATTTCTTTATAAGCATACACATACCTTTCATATAGTATAAATATGAAAAGGTGATAAGTTGGGGGAAAACACATTTCGGCGAAACATCCCACAGTGTTAAGTAGTTGTTTTAAGGTGATGGAACTGAGTGTAATTTTTTCTTTTCAATATTTCAATTTTAATGTGATTATTTTAATTATATATATTATATGGAGGTATAATTAGTGTACAATAAAATGCAGAGTGCAGCTTTTCAGTTCAATGAATTGTAACATTTCCATATCATCATATAAGTATTGCACAAAACAACATAAAGAACATTTCCACCACCCCAGAAAATTCATTCATCCCCATTTCCAGTTAGTTTTTATCCCTACCCAGAACACAAATATATTTTAATTTAAAAATTAATTGGCAACTATTTCTTAAATGGGAGCCATTTTGGTATTTTCATTTATTGTAAAAGTGACTTATGCCTGAGGCATTGTAATTCATCTAGCACCAAAAAACATACGTATGTATAAGCATTCTACATGGGTGATATAGTTTGGATATTTGTCCCCACCCAAATCTCATAGTTGAATTGTAATCCCCAATGCTGGAGTTGGGGTCTGGTGGGAGGTGTTTGGATCATGGGGGCAGATGCCTCATGAATGGCTTGGGCCATCTGCTTCATAATAAGTGAGCTCTCACTCTGAGTTCATGTGAGATCTGGTGGTTTAAAAGTGTGTGGCGCCTCCCCTCAATTCTCTCTGACTCTTGTTTTCACCATCTCATGTGCCTGCCCCCCTTCCACCTTCTGCCATGATCGTAAGCTTCCTGAGGCCTACCTAGAAGCTGAGCAGATGTCAGCAGCATGCTTCTTGTAAAGCCTGTGGAACTGTGTGCCAGTTAAACCTCTTTTTTAGATAAATTACCCAGTCTCAGATATTTCTTTATAGCAATACAAGAATTGCCTAATATAATGAGGTCTTCCTTTACCAGTGTTTTGTAAGTTGCCTCTTTCACTCAACAATATCTAATGAACCATTCCCCATTGCCAATAAATATTAATCTATAACCAGGGACGGATCCATTCTATTTAGGACCTGAAGCTTACATAATTGGTGGGGCAGAGAGCTTAAAAAAAGAGAGTTATAATACAAAATACCAGTAACACTATAATGTCACCCCAAACCAGGGGAAGTATGGCAGAGGGAAGCCAGATTGGAAAGCAATTACAAGACAACAGCCCTAATCAATTACTCTTAGAAGAACTTTTGCAAATAATAATAATAACAACAAAGTGAGCAATGGCTAGAGCTGCTCTTAGGGTCTTGGAAGGAGCCAGTGCAAGTGAGGGTCCCTGAACTCAGGCTTCTTTTGCTTCGAGGTAAACCCATTTCTGCTTCTATCATCAGTAGCTACATATAATTATTTATATAGGAGTATAAAATTTTATTTATTCAATTTTTGTTACTTCCCACTTTTGCTGTGTCAACCTAAATAACAAACAGAGAGAAGCCCTCTAAAAGAAAATGACATTTGAGAATACGGCATTGCAGTGGGAAAATTCATGCCATAGTAAACTATGTACATATTCAAGGATGTAAAGGAAGACAAAGGTTTTTAAAGGAAAAATGAAGACAATTATGTAATTGTTTTGAAGCCAGATTAGAAAGCAATTAAAAGACAACAGCCTTAATCAATTACTCTTAGAATAACTTACTTTTACAAATAATAATAATAACAACATGTTTGGCTATAAGGATTAACAGCAAGGGTGACACCAGTCTGAGGTTGGGCAGGTAGTTTCTGGGCAGATGTGCTCACGGAAGTATTTTTTGTGTAAGGTTGTGATGGCCTTTGTGCAAGATTGCAATTTTTGCAGATGATAGTTTTGTTCTCAGGCATACAAAAGCGTGAAAACCCTCTCTTCATGGATTTTCCCTAGCTCTATTTGTCAGAGTTTGGGTGTGTTTTTTGTTATTTTTATTTTTATTTTTGTTTTGTTTTGAGACGGAGTCTCACTCTGTCACGCAGGCTGGAGTGCAGTGGCGCATCTCGGCTCACTGCGAGCTCCGCCTCCCAGGCTTCACGCCATTCTCCTGCCTCAGCCTCCCGAGTAGCTGGGATTACAGGCACTCGCCACCACACCCAGCTAATTTTTTCTATTTTTAGTAGAGATGGTGTTTCACCGTGTTAGCCAGGATGGTCTCGATCTCCTGACCTCGTGATCTGCCCGCCTCGGCCTCCCAAAGTGCTGGGATTACAGGCATGAGCCACCGTGCCCAGCCGATTGTCGTTTTTTTTTTTAACACAAGCAACTCCATTTTGACTCTGACTGCTTTTATAGTTGTCATCAAAAACACGGTGATCATCATTCATGTGCAGATATTTGTGCACATCTCTGATTCTTTTCTTGTGATGAATTCCAAGAAGTAAAATTTCTAAACCAAATAAGCTTTCACTACATGCTGTCAAATAAAGTATGGGTTAGAACACGCCATACCCAGCAGTGAATGAGGATCACTACTCCTTTCCTCATGCAAACACTGCATGTTCCAGTTATTTGCTTCCTGAGGCAGATTATAAGGATGTAGTCACTCAGCTCTGTTTCACGCTCTGCTGTGAACCCTCAAGGATGGAAAGTTAATGACTCTATTCCCCTGGCTTCCCCATATGCCAGTTCTGCAAATGACCTGAATTGTGCCAAGCTGACTCCCCTGTGCAAGGATGTGAAGGTGGAAGGGACACAGGGGCTGTGCTTCGGCTTCTTCTACTGCCAAGCATTGTAGTAGGGACTTGTTTTTTTGCAGTAGCAGAAGCAGAGTCCCAGGATCCATTTCTTACGTTACTATGCGAGATGCAGAAGGTAAGTTTTCATTTTACTGGCATAGATGCCCCAGAGCCAACAGGTGTGGCAGTGGCTTCCCGATATCCCAGTTTCGTGATCATGGCACTGGCTGAAGCATTCTTGGTGGCCCACTTTTAGGGTGGAGCCACATTCTGGGGTTGGGGCATTCCTGGAACATCAGCTTAGACCCTCCTCCTCCAATCCTGGAACAATCTTTTTTTTTTTTTTTTTGGAGACAGAGTCTTGCTCTGTCGCCCAGGTTGGAGTGCAGTGACACGATCTCAGCTCACTGCAAGCTCCACCCCCTGGAACAATCTTATAGTCACCTAATTCCCTGTGTCAAAACCCACTCTGCTTAAGTTGGCTGGAGTGACTTCTGTTATCTGCAGCTGAACTCTGACTAATAGATGCATGTGACACACATACAAAATGTTACCTCCTTTAAATCTTTTACTATTAGTAAGATTGACCATCTTTTTAAGTGTCTATTAGTCATGCGTAATTCTGTCTTGGGGAGCTGTCTCCTAGTCTTCGGAGTTCCTTGTTAAAGGCAGTTCCTTTTAAAAATTGATTCATAAGGAAAACTCTCTTTGAGTTGGGGATACTAATCGTGCAAAAGTATTATTTTGTTTGGTTTGTTTTCCCCTCAGTATGTCACTTGTCTCTTAACCTTCATGATAAATCCATTTTTCACCACGAGGGACTTTGTTCATGGTGTTTTTTTGTTTGTTTTGTTATTTTGTTATTTTTATTTTTAGAGAGAGTGTTTTGCTCTGTTGGCTAGGCTGGAGTGCAGTGGTTGGGTCATGGCTCACTGCAGCTGTTACTGGATAGAGGTCCCGATGCATATCCTAAGAGAAGGTTCTTGGATATCATGCAAGAAAGAATTTCAGGTGAATCCATAAAGCAAGAGCAAGTTTATTAACAAAGTAAGGGAATAAAAGAATGGCCATTCCATAGTCAGAATAGCAGCTTGAGCTGCTTGAATGATAATACTTATAGTTATTTCTTGATTATATGCTAAACAAGTGGTGGATTATTAATGAGTTTTTGAGGTGGGCAATTCCTGGAACTGAGGGTTCCTCCCCCTTTCAGACCATATAGGGTAACTTCTTGATGTTGCCATGGCGTTTATAAATGGTCATGGTGCTGCTGGGAGTGTCTTGTAGCATGCTAATGCATTATAATTAGTATATAATGAGCAATGAGGATGACCAGAGGTCACTCTCATCACCGTCTTGGTTTTGGTGGGTTTGGGCTGTCTTCTTTACTGCATGCTATTTTATCAGCATGGTCTTTGTGAACTGTATCGTGTGCCTATCTCCTGTCTCATCCTGTGACTAAGAATGCGTAACCTCCTGGGAATGCAGCCTAGTAGGTCTCAGCCTTATTTTACCCAGCTCTTATTCAAGATGGAGTCACTCTGGTTCAAATGCTTCTGACATATTTACCCCCTCCCTTTTACAAGGAAACCCTTAAGCCTAAGGGTTGTAGAAGTATGTAGATCCATCTTCTGTAATTTCTTCAGACTGAATAGGGGCGATGATATTCCTGCCTAACTATTAGGGTCTCTTGTATTCAGGGTAGAGTGGAGCTCAGTCAGAAAGTGTCGGTATGGCAAGGACCATTCATAACTCTTGAGTTCCGACAAAAGGTGATATCTGGAAGATTAGTAAGTGTTCAATTTAAGAAAACATTGAGTAAGCTCATCCTACATTTCTATACAAAGAGTACAACAGCAACATATTCCACAACAGTAAAGTAAAATAAGCAAAATTATCCCAAGTAAACTGAATAAGAAGGCTTTCCAGGAACTGGGCAATTGTTGGAACCAAGCTGATATGGGGGTCTCTAGCTGATTCCAATATGTGCCCAAATTAGAATATTGATCCAGATTTTTACATTACCCATCCCTCTTGTTTCTTCTGAGCTGCAGCCAGAGATCACCGATTGGTTCACAGGAATAAGCAGGGTCAGTCTAAATTGCAGAAAAAAACTCAAAAACAACTGATGAGACTAGAATTTAATAACTGGTGTACCACAGTTTTTGAAACCTAATTTTTCTCTCTCCAGTCCTCATTTTAGTATAAAACAAATCATAATTTGACAGATTTGGTTTATTATACCTGGCCTGATTATTTGTATAAAGTGCAGCAAGAATGATTATTTTTCACATAGGCTTTTTAAATTGACTTTGGTGGAACTTTGTTCCATGAAAGGAATCTCAGATAAGACATTTTTAAAGCTGAGGCCAGCCATGGGTTGGTAGCAGATACCTACGAGTTTGGGTAAATTCCTCTCCTTAAGAGGTTTCAAGATAACTTGGGGCTCTTGGGCCTGTCAGAAAGTGACATTCTTTGGTCAGGAACCCTGTACAGTGACTGTGTAGGCAAGATACGAGGCTAGTTTTCCCAAGGGGCTTTTATTGGCTCTATAAGTCAAGTTTGATTCCTTAAGGGAAAGCACATCATTACAGTCAAAGCCTTGGTAAAATAACCGATGTCTCCAATTGCATCCAATTGCAAAATGAAATGGATTCTTATTGTACTTATGCAGATAACTATATTGCCATAAATTAAGAATATGCAGTTTCCAAATTCTGGAGAAATCAGGTAGAGAGAAGCAAATATACTCCAAATTTTGTTCACAGTAGTATACTTTACTCAATTATCAAAAGTTGTAAATAGCTCAAAATAAAAATTTTTTTGGCTCTGTAAAAGATCAGGAAAAAGTCAGAAAGATTGGTTCAGACTTCTGTTAGTTTAGTTCATGCGCTTAATTCCTGTTCTGTCTGATGCTCATGAACATTTCAGCTCTCCATGAAAGTCCTGAAAGATTTTTTCTAACATCACAATGTCCAAAGTTATCAGAAACCTGCATCCAAGAGCATCTGTCAAAGTCCTATAGCTGATTAAGGGTCACCTTTTAAAGAGGATCAAAACAAGGTAACAGTTGCCTGTGGATGACAAAAAGTTTTAGGACAGCCGCTATTATAGCCACAATTGGCTAGAAATTGTGGTTACTTCTATGGCATACAACAATTTTACATAACAATTATAACTATTAGTAGCATACACTAAGTCATATCATGATTATAGGAGTTTCCCATAATTTTAGAACACATACCAATAACTTAGTTATACAAATACAGCCAAGAAAGCCAAACACCCAACCATTTCATATTTAACCATGCTTCCTATATGATTTTTATACCAAATAAGGCAAATATGTCATTTTTGGACTTGAGGAGACCTAGTATCTAAAAGATTAATTAGGAGGTCAGAAGAAGACATAATTTATAATTTGATTTTGGAAATTTTGCCAAATATCAGAGGTTTAAAACACTTGATATTATAAAATCAAATCCCAGGTCACCATAAGTCATTTACTTAGCTGAAACAATAACTCAGAATTTTTTAAAAGGCAAAAAACCTTTACTCATTAATAGAGGGAAGATTTAGCTTTCCAAACAATCTCTTTCCTTTCCCTTCTTTTGTCTATAGCTTATTCAAAAGGCAAACAAAAATCTTTTTTTTTTTAATATAACATGAAAATCAGCTGGGTGTGGTGGCTCACACCTGTAATCCCAGCACTTTGGGAGGCCAAGGCAGGTGGATCACCTGAGGTTAGGAGTTTGAGACCAGCCTGAGCAACATGGTGAAACCCTGTCTCTACTAAAAATACAAAAAAATTAGCCACGCATGGTGGCGGGTGCCTGTAATCCCAGCTACTTGGGAGGCTGAGTCAGGAGAATCGCTTGAACCTGGGCAGTGGAGGTTGCAGTGAGCCGAGATTGCACCACTGCACTCTAGCCTGGGTGACAGAGTGAGACTGTGTCTCAAAAAAATAAAAAAAAAAAAAGAAAGAAAATCTTAAGAGAGAAAGCCAGATTTCACCCTTTGCGTTAGTGTACTATTGATATCAAATTCAATCCTTAATAAAACCTGGCCGTGCGCTCTGGCTCACGTCTGTAATCCCAGCACTTTGGGAGGCTGAGGTGGGCGGATCACGAGGTCAGGAGTTTGAGACCAGCCAGATCAACATGGTGCAACCCCGTCTCTACTAAAAATACAAAAATTAGCCAGCTGGGTGGTGCGCTTTTGTAATCCCAGCTACTCAGGAGGCTGAGGCAGGAGAATTGCTTGAACCCGGGAGGTGGAGGATGCAGTGAGCCAAGATTGCACCACTGCACTCCAGTCTGGGCAACAGAGCGAGACTCCATCTCAAAAACAAAACAAAACAAAACAAAAAAAACTTTACAGACAAATCAATCTTAATCAGTTTGTCTATGAGGCAAGATTCTCATAAACCTTTTATAACCCTTTACAAATTCTTGTTAAAGAGAAGATCAGTGCTCTAAGAAAAACTCTGTTGTGCTTTTATTCCAATGTTCAATTTACAGAAAAACTGAAGAATACCTGATATGGTTTAGCTGTGTCCCCACCCAAATCTCTTCTTGAATTGTAGCTCCCATAATTCTGATGTGTTGTGGGAGGGACCCAGTGGGAGATAATTGAATCACCGGGATGATTTCCCCCATGCTGTTCTCGTGGTAGTAAGTCTCATGAGATCTGATGATTTTATAAGGGGTTTCCCTTTATGCTTCGCTTTTCATTTGCTCTTTGCCAGCCACCCTCCTGGGTTCAAGCGATTCTCCTGCCCCTGCCTCCCAAGTAGCTGGGACTACAGGCGCACACCACCATGCCCAGCTAACTTTTGTATTTTTAGTAGAGATGGGGTTTCACCATGTTGGCCAGGAAAATCTAATTCCAACACATCCCAATACCAGGAGCATTACTTTTCCCCTCAAAATGCCCTTCTTGGAGATGTGAGGAATTCAAAATCCTCCTTTTCATCAAAATTTTTGACTGCATTTCTTTTCTTTTTTTTTTTTTTTTTGAGATGGAGTCTTGCTCTGTCACCCAGGCTGGAGTGCAGTGGCATCATCTCAGCTCATTGCAAGCTCTGCCTCCTGGGTTCACGCCATTCTCCTGCCTCAGCCTCCCGAGTAGCTGGGACTACAGACACCCGCCACCATGCCCGGCTAATTTTTTTTTTTGTATTTTTAGTAGAGACGGGGTTTCACTGTGTTAGCCAGGATGGTCTCGATCTCCTGACCTCGTGATCCGCCCGCCTCAGCCTTCCAAATTGTTGGGATTACAGGCTTGAGCCACAACGCCCGGCCCTGACTGCATTTCTTATGAACTTCATTTTGTATGGAGAACATCCCTCCATCCCACATAGAAGATTTATAGTATGAAACATTCTACACTAGCTGACAAATGGCATGGAGCCCTACTCCCATATTTGTGATAAGCAGGAAGTCAGCATGGATTGGTGGCTAACAGCATGATCTCTGACCAGGGGCCCTGGTTGAAATCCTTAGAGCTGTGGCCTTGAGGCAAGTTAATGAACCTTGATGTGCCTTAGTTTGGTGACAAATAGGGAGTTAGTAGATATGTACTATTGTTTTTTGCATTTGCTTGTTTCTGTCCTTTTCCCCTACTGGAACAAATTTCATGAAATAAGGATGTGTCTATCTTTTTCTCTTGAGTCAGTGCTCAGGAGCTTGGTAAATATGTTTTGAATGAAAGAATGAGTGAAGAGAAAAAAAAGGAAAGTGAGAGTCTCAGTGTGAAGTCTGCGGAGAGAGGAATACAGAAAATTAAAGAAGTGACAGAATCGGGGTGGGAAAGGCCCTCTGCTTGGGATATCCTCTAATGTCCTGGAAATGAGGCTGTGTCCCTTTTGCAAGACAAGGAAAGGAGGGAAAATGAGCCCTGCACCCCAACCCCAGTCCTGCAACGATGCTTGACCAAACTTGGGTTTGAGGCCCAATTTAGGAATGTTAGAGTCCTTCCAAAGATTCAGGGGGTTAGAGGTCCCTCTCAGTAAAGTCTCTCTTGGTTAAAAATGGATTTGGCACTACGAGGTATTAACTGCTACTCTCTTTGGGTTAATCTGCCTCGCACTCTTTGCTGATGGCTGTGGGTGGCAGGATTGAGCATGTACAGGATCATGGGACATTGGGAGCTTTTTTCTCTCTAAAGGCGGAAACTTGAGAGCTGATCCCTTCAGGATGACAAGTGGCCGCCTGAATTTTTGAGTCAGTGTTGCTGCAACGGGTGGGTCTTTCTCTGGCCTCCCTGAGCTCTTCACCTTCTCCACCCTGCCGTTTCCTTGCACAGTCCTGTTTAGTTTTGGAACAACACTCCCAAATAATTCAGCAAAAGACTTTGCTGATAAAGCAGCATGATGTAAAGAAGTCAGCCCAAATCCACCAAAACCTAGATGGTGACGGAAGTGACCTCCATCACTCTAGGAATTGTCCACCCCTTTCCCAGAAAACTCGTGAATGAGCCATCCCTTGTTTAGCATATAATCAATATAATACTGTAAGTATTATCAGTCGAGCGGCCCAAGCTGCTGCTTTGCTCTCACTTCACTCTGGATTTGGCTTGAAGTCTTCCTGTGTGAGGTCCAAGCACCCTCTCTTGGAGTCTGGATTGGGACCCCTTTCCAGTAATATACTCCTGGTGAACCATGAAAGGACGATATTGAGGAGACCCCTGAACTAAAGGAAATAGACCGCAACACCAATTGGCTGACTTTGGGTAAGTGGTGGGGTACATTTTACCTGGGTAAAGGATGAGAATGGGTTAGAAGTCCAACTTAGGGGAATTAGAGTCTCTCCTAAGATAGAGCGAGTTAAAGGCCCCTCTTAATAAAAGGCAAGGATGCACAAAGGCACACTTAAAAAAAATTTAGAGACAGGATCTCACTGTGTTGCCCGGGCTGGAGTGCAGTGGCATGATCACAGCTCACTGCAGCCTCGACTTCCTAGGTACAAGCAATTCTCCAGTTTCAGCCTCACAAGTAGCTGGGACTGCAGGTATACATGACAGCACTTGGCTAATTTTTAGAGACTTTTTTAGAGATGAGGGTCTTGGTATATTGCCCAGGCTGGTCTGGAACTCCTGGCCTCAAGTGATCGTCTTGTCTTAGCCTCCCAAGTAACTGGGATTATAGGTGCCAGCCACCGTTCCAAGCCTTAGGCACACTCTTTATCCATATTTCTTTTTATGAAATACTCAATGTCTACTTGATCTCCGGTCTGGGCCTAGCATTAAGGGAGGCAGCAATGAATGACTCCTGACTCGTGTTAGTCAGTTTTACATTTCTATCAAGGAATACCTGAAGCTGGGTAATTTATAAAGAAAAGAGGTTTATTTGGCATGGTTCTGTAGGTTATACAAGCATGGCACCAACGTCTGCTCAGCTTCTGGTGAGGCCTCAGGAAGCTTTTACTAATGCAGAAGTTGAAGGGGGAGCAGGTGTGTCATATGGCAAGAGAGGGAGCAGGAGTGAGAGGAGGAGGTACCAGCCTCCTTTAAACAACCAGCTCTTGCATGAACAAACAGAGTGCGAATTTGTTCATTACCATGGGGAGGGCACCAAGCCACCATGAGGGATTTTCCCCCATGACCTGAGCACCTCCCACCAAGCTCCACCACCAACATTGAAGATCACATTTCAATATGAGATTTGGAGGGGACAAACATCCAAACCATAGCAGTCCTTGATTTTAAAGAGCTCTGAATCCAGCAGAGGAGATAGAGAACAATGTTGCATTGTGGGAAATTCTGTGGCAGAAAGAATATAGTGGACTCACATTTGAGAGCATAAGTGGGGGTATAGTTGCTCAAGCGAGATTGGGAATGTGTGGCCAGGGAAGTCTTCCTGGAGAATATGTAAGATGATGAGGTCCTGAAAATTTTCCTGAATCTAGCATGCAAAGGATCAGAGGCCTAAAAGAGCAGGGAATGACTTCTATTTGTCCCCCAGGACAGAAACGTAGCTGGATATTGGCAACAATAAGTTTAGGGCGAGGCAGAAGCCAGTTCATGGAGGACTTGCTTATCCCATGGGCCATACAAGGCTGTTGAGGGGTTTTAGGCAGATGGATGGGTAAACACCATGACTTTTCCCTGTACCACAGCAGCCAGTAGATACGTCTCCATTCAGTGTTTTATATCCCTGATGCTTGGGTTGCTTCCATCTCTTAGCTATTGTGAATAATGCTGCTACGAACATGGGTGTATAAATATCTATTCAAGACTATGCTTTCAGCCGGGTGCAGTGGCTCACACCTGTAATCCCAGCACTTTGGGAGGCCAGGGTGGGCGGATCACGAGGTCAGGGATTCGAGACCAGCCTGACCAACATGGTGAAACCCTGTCTCTACTAAAAATACAAAAATTAGCCAGGTGTGGTCGCACGCACCTGTAATCCCAGCTACTCAGGAGGCTGAGGGAGGAGAATCGCTTGAACCTGGGAGGCAGAGGTTGCAGTGAACAGAGATTGTGCCACTGCACTCCAGCCTGGGTGACAGAGCGAGACTCTGTCTCAGAAAAAAAAAAAAAAAAAGGCTATGCTTTAAATACTTAGGGTAGTTACTCAAAAGTGGGTTTACGGGATTATATGTTTTATATGATAATTCTATTTTTAATGTTTTTATAGTCCCAGGAGGGATGCAGAGTTCTTTATTAATGCAGCTTTATTCAAACCAGATCCTGAATAAAGTCAAAACTCAACCAACAGGTGGAAGTCCAAGAATCCGAGTGGAGGCTCACCGAGGCGAAGGGGCCAACCATGGGAAAGGAGAGTGGATGGGACTCAGGTGGGTACTGCACATGATTCTGGGGGCTGCTGGTCCTTCCGAGGTGAATGCACTTTGTGTCCCACTCTTCTGACACCAGATTATGTCAACCCCAAATAACAGAGAGGGAGGCTATCCATGGAAAAGAATTATTCAGGAATGAATGACGGGATTTTTAAATCCCAGAATACACATGCCACAGTGGACCATGGCGGGGCCACAGATGTACCCAGGAAGGCAAAGGAAGACAAAGGTTTTTAAAAGCAAAACAAGGAAAGTTACTAAGTGGTTTTGAAACAATGATCCTTGGCTACAAGTGTGGCATCAGCCCAAGATTGAACGGGCAGTTGCTGGGCAGTCATCCATTCAGAAGTATTCTTTATGGAAGGCTGCAGTGGCCTTTCTGCAAGGTTGTGGTTTTCAGAGCATCTTTGTAATAGCTCTTTTCATAGGCATGTGTGCCTGAGAGCCCCTCCTTGGTGGCCTGCCTCCATTTTGTTAGGATTTGGCATAAGCGACTCCATTTTAATTCTGACAACTTTCATAGCAGGAAGGCTTTTGGCCTGAGCTGCTGAGAGGATGGATTCCGGGTTCAGCAGTGACTTGGGCCAGAGCAGAGGCAGAGAGACAAGTTAGGAAGCTCCTCCAGTCATCCCACTGAGAGACGCGGGTGGCTTGGTCCGGGACTGGAGCTGCAGAAGTATGAGGGATGGTCAGACTGGATATTTCTGAAGGTGAATAAGCATTCACGGATAGATTGCTGTGAAGGAGAGAAACCATGTGGAGTCAAGGAGGACTCCAGGCCACTTACCCTGAGCTACTGAGAGAACGGGGCTGCCCTTTACAGAGGCTGGGCAGCTGTTGGAGGGACAGCTTCCAGAGGGGAAATGGGAGTGCACTTGGGTCACTTCATGTTTGAGGTGCTTCTCAGATACCCAAGGGACATGTTAAGTAGGTCTAGGCTGAGCACATCAATCTGCAAGTCACCAGAGTACTTAACACAGTGGGACTGGGTGAAGTGCCCCCAGGTGTGGGGCTAAAGCAGGGGAGTCTGAGGACGGACCCTGGACACACCCACACTGCACTGAGTTCAGGGAGAGGGGCTGAATGAGACTGAGAAGGAGAGGCTAGTATGGCAGGGGGAAATGTGGAGGATGAGGCCAGGTGAGGAAGATGTGTCGGCTTCTAGGGCTGCTGTCACAAAGGTCCATGGATTGAATGGCTTAAAACAACAGAAATTTACTTTCTCACCGTTCTGGAGGCTAGAAGTCTGAAATCAGAGTGTCCCAGGGCCATGCTGTCTCTGAAGGCCCTTCAGGAGAATGTTCCATGCCACTCCCTAGTTTCTGGTGGCTGCTGTCAGTCTTCGACGTCCTTGCCTTGTGGCTGCATCACTCCCATCTCCATCTCTGTCTTCACGTGGGCTTCTCCCTGTGTGACTCCAAGTATCTGTGTCTCTTCTTTTTCCCTTACAAGGACCTCAGTCATATTGGATTAAGGGCCCACCCTACTCCAGTATGACCACATCTTCATTACATTTGCAAAAACCCTGTTTCCAATTAAGGTCACATTCACAAGTACCAGATGTTAGGACTCGAACATATCTTTTCGGGTGATGCAATTCAACCCGCAACAAAGACGTTTTGAGGAAGAGAGAGTAATCACCCCTGTCAAGACACTGCTGAGAGCTGGGAACGTTGAGGCCCGAGAGGGAGGGCTCTGGATGGGCACCAAGGAGGTCAGTGGGGACGTTGTAAGTCCAGTTTCTTGGGGACTGGGTTGGGGAGAAGGCTTATGGGTATGGGTTTGAGAGTGCATGAGAGGAGTGGTGGTGTGTCGTGCCTATACACACATCTTGATGATTCACTCATGTTCTCATGCTTTGCATTAGACCCTCCCACTAACCCTGTGAGGTGGCTGCTCTCATTATCTTACACATTTTATAGAGGGGACAAGAAAGCTAGGTAACTGCTCAAGGTCATGCAGCTCTGAGTCTGGGTGCCTAACCACGGTGCCATTCTGCCTTTCCCTGAATGGACAGAACTACCACAAGGAGCTTTGCTCTAAGGAGCAAAGCAAAGTGAGGTGGCAGCTGGAGGAAGATGTGGTGTGAAGGGAGGGGCTGTCCTTGTTTTACTGGTATTGGGAACAATCCCAGAGAGAGGGAGACTTTGATGATGCAGAAGCGAGGGAGGCACTGCTGGAGCATGACTTGGAGTAGGAATAGCAGGTGGGCCCAGCGCACAGGGCGGCAGGCGCACAAGTGGGGAGGCACACAGGTGGCAGGTGCAGGCACTGCTCATCACAGAAGTGGGAGGGCAAGGGAATGTGGGGGCAGGGGTGGTGAGTGGCAGGGGTAGACTTGCTGGTGAGAGCAGGGGGACGCTGTCTTCTGGTTGCCTTCATTTTCTTGGTGAATTAGGACCCCGACAGAGGCAAGAGAGGAGGTGGTGCAGGTTTGAAGATCCAGGGAGAAGTTGTGAAATTTGCATAATCTCAGAGAGCGGGGAGTGAAAGGAACAGAAAGACACAGAGATTGGAGTGATGCAGCCACAGGCCCGGAGCACCAAGGATTGTTGGCAGCCACCAGAAGCTAGAAGGAGGCACAGGAGGACCCTCCCTGAGAGGCTTCAGAGAGAGCGTGGCCTTGCTGACTCCTGGATTGTGGACTTCCAGCCTCCAGAACTGAGAGAATTGATTTCTGTTGTTTGAAGCCACCCAGGTTGGGGTCCTTGGTTACAGCAGCCTAGGAAACTAAGACAGAGCTCAGAAATCCCAGGGTGACTGAAGAACTCCCAAAGCTTGTGTTAGAGTCAGAAAACTGGAAAGGGAGGAGTTAGGGGCCTCTAGGGGGCTGCTCGCTGTAGGGAGGGTACCATTTTGTTATTAACAAGGTCTAGGACAGAATGCTAATAGAACTAATAGAACCTTCTGTTCTCTGAGCTGTCCATTGTGACAGTCACAGGCTACACGTGGCTCTTGAGCTCTTGAGATGTGACTAGTGCAACTGAGGCACTGAGTTCTAAGTTTTATTTCATTTTTAATTCACTAAACTTTAAATAGCCACACATAGCTAGTGGTTACAAGTGGGCAGCACAGGCCTAGGGTTTGACTGAGGGAATATGGGGCATAGAGTCCAAGATCTTTGGAAGCAAGGAAATAAGAACTGAAAGACACGTTTTTGGGAAATGTCATCTGAGTAGGGATTGATATCATCAAGACAGGTCAGGAGTCGTGACAGAGAGAAAGGGAGGTCCTGAGCCATGAGCTAAAAGCTTCAAGAAATGGCAGGGAGTGATGGGAGGATTGAGGCTGATTTTTGCACCTTCTGTTACTTGGCTGAGACCAAGGCGCCTCTTCCTGGGGAGGTGGCTGAGCTCTTTCTAGCAGGCCCTGAAATCTCCAGAACTTTGGTCCCAGCTGCCTAAGCACCCCAGTCCCTGCCCCCGTGGCAGCCATTGTCAGATGTTCCTGCCAGCCCTGAGAGCTCAACACAACTCAGGAGGCCCAGGCATGCTCTGCCCAGTGCTGCAGGGGGCCCAGCCACAAGGCTGGGCAGAGGAGACAGGTGACTTCTGATGCGGGGACCTGGGGAGGCTTCCTGCAGAAGGTGCCACGTGCAGAGCCCTGAGGATGGGGCCTTCACCTCTGACCTATGGCCTAGGATGAGTAGGGGGCTTCAGAAGAGGGAAAGAATAGCAAAGTTGAATTTGAGATGGGGGTATCAGAGAGTACCCACTCCCATAGGTTTGTGTTTGTTTGTTTGTTGTTGTTGTTGTTGTTTTTGTCTCCAGGCAGGGCTGCTGTAGCAGCTGTGGTCGGAGGAGGTGAGTCTCTATGGGAAGGAACTCAAGCCCCCATCCCCCGCCTCCCCCCAGCCCTGAGCCTCTGGGAGAAACTGGCTTTGACCAAACCCAGGATTCTCCAAGACATAGCTGGGTAGCGGTGGAGTGGGCAGAGTGATGGGGACCTTAGAGCAGCAGGAAGCAAAGCAAAGCCATTAAAGGCACAGGGCTTTGGAGGCAGCCAGAGCTGGGGCTACTCTCAGCTTCCACCAAGTACAAACCATGCAACCCCGGATGAGTCATTGGAGCAGTCACAGCCCGGGATTCCTCCCCGTCTAAAGCAGGGCCCATGGTATCCTTGGGGACTTTTGAAGGGAGTATGTCAGCTGAGCTGTGTCTCATTCCTCAAAAGTATTTGACAAATGCTGGTAGCCCATCCACTGAGTCAGAAGCTTTTGACCTGCTATAAAGCAGTGTCCTCCAATGCAATGGCCAAAACTAAAGAAAATCATAATGTTTCTCTGTCACCTGCACCACATTTCAAGTGCTAAACGTGGCTACCCTAGTAGACAGTACAGAAAACAAATGTGGCTGTGATTGCAGATGGCTCTCTGACTGCACTGCTCTGGAGATTTTGGGGAGCCCTAGAGGACCCCCGCGTGCTGCTGCAGGGCCTTCAGGGCCTCCATCCCCTCACCTCTCCAGAAAAGCAGCTCTGATATTGTCTTCTGTCAACCTTTTGCATGGAGAGATCATGTTTTCCTTGCCAAAAGGGAAAGTTTGAAGACTGCTGTTTGCTTCAATGTATTTATTTTACATTAGGGGAACAGAGGCCCAGGGAGGGCCAGTGAGCCCTCAATGGTGTCTGTGAAACAGGCGTAAACAAGCCTGGGATTCAGATTATCCTGGGAGCCGGTCCACTGGCTGCTTTACACGTTGACTGCCCTTGTTTTGGGATCCCATCCCTGCTCAGTCTTTCCTGAGAGCACAGCAGACCCCTCCTCCTCATCGCCCCAGGAGGATGTCAGGGAAGTCTGGGGGACTCCGTCCCATGGGGCCAACCCCAAATCTCCACTTCCCGCAGTTGTGGCTGTGGGGACTGTGCTCGTGGCGCTCAGTGCCATGGGCTTCACCTCAGTAGGAATCGCCGCATCCTCCATAGCAGCCAAGATGATGTCTACAGCAGCCATTGCCAACGGGGGCGGAGTTGCTGCTGGCAGTCTGGTGGCTATTCTGCAGTCAGTGGGTGAGTGTTCTGGACAGGATGACCAGAGCCAGGAGATGATCCAGCCCCGAGGCTGAACCAGGGAGGCCTCTCCTCTCCCTGCAGGTCCGTGATCCTCTGCCTCTTGGGCCCTTTGTCTTTCTGTCACTGTCCCCTCTTCTGGTTGGAGGTGGGACCAGGGGTGCAGCCTAAGAGATCTGCATTCCTGGTGAACCCTACAAAACCCAGGCAGGTCTCCTCCCCTCTCTGGGCCTTTGGAAGATAAGGAACCTGCCATTTCTCAGAGGGTCTGCCCTGTTGCTGGGATTCCTCACCAGAGTTCTTGCCTCCTCTTCGGGCAGTGGCCTGCAGCAGCCCCTCCCAGAGCAGAAATCCTAGGGTTTTAGGAAGCAGAGGTGGGGAACAGGGTTGGACTGCCTGGGCCTCAGGTCTCTGGAGGGACCAGGGTCTCTGGCCTTCAACCCCCTGTTAGGAGCTGCTACCCCTCCCTGTGCCCTGTGCTCACCCTCTCTTCTCCCCCAGGGGCAGCTGGACTCTCTGTGACATCTAAAGTTATCGGGGGCTTTGCTGGGACAGCTCTTGGGGCCTGGCTGGGTTCACCCCCTTCCAGCTGAACACCACACTGAGGCAGGGAGTTGGCTCTCTTGGTGGAGATGACTTTCCTGGGCCTCTGGATGACAATCTTCCAAAGGACAAGTCTCCTACTCCCAAAACTATTTAAGGAAGCATGAAAAATAAAGATGCTGGTTATCTTCTCCTAGTGTCGGTTCTCTGTTCTTGTGGTCAGGATAGGGTACAGCGCTGCTGCAGGACTGCTGGACAGGGAGGGACTCAAGAGGAAGCAGCATGGGATGTCTGTGACCGGAGCCAGGTCTGGCCCCAGGCTTTCCACTCATTCTGTGGTCCTGAGCAGGTCATGTCTGCCCTTTGAGCCTCAGTTTGCTGCACTTCAGATGGGAGAGTCAGCCAGAGTAAGCGTTATAGGATGGCGTGGCTCTTGGGTCATTGCTTGAGCCATTGACCCTCAATTACGAAGCCCTTTGTCCTCATGCGTGACTGATCCCTTCCTTTCCCACCCAGGACTCAGGGTGTGACTGATTACTCTAGAAGTTTACTCTAGAAGTTTACTCTACTGATTACTCTAGAAGTTTAGCAACACTACATTTGCCTGGCCTATGGGCCTTCTCCATACAGGTCGAGAAGTTTCATTCCTCCAGGGAGCTCTGTCCCTCTCAGCACAGAGCCCAGGCTCCTCAGGCCCCAGGTGGACTGAGCAGAGCCTGTGAGGATGGGCAAGGGGCTGGGGCTCCTGAGAAGTAGGCCAATGCAGAATACCCATTTCCAGAGACCTCCTGTGTGCCTGGCCCCAGATCAGGTGCCAGCTGTCCTATGCACACTGACCTGGCATCTGCCACACGGCACCTGCCTGGCCTTGAGGATAAGTAAACCACACTTGACTTCTGCAAGGCCTATTTAGATGTGGCCTCTGACCTCAACGTTAGTCCCACTCTGGGCTGTTTGACCTTCACACTTATTTTTCCTTTACAGCTGCACTCCTGCAGGGCTCTCCCTGGGATGCTGGCTGAGCTGACTCCCACAGCTCCCAAAGGGGCCCCAAGGCTCCATCCCACAGGATTGCCCTGGCTACAGAGGATCACAGAGGTCCATCTCTGCCCAGGGTGCACAATGTTGGGGAAGCCAGCCCTTAACCAATGATGTGAAGGGACTTGGGGTAAATTACAGAAACGACCATATTCTCCGCCCTTTCAGCATGGCTGTACAGCTCCTCCCATCAAGAGGTAGGAATTTCTTTCCCCTCCCTTTGAATCTCCTCTGGCCTGCGGAGTTGCTCTGGCCTGGCCGATAGAACACAGTGGAAGTGATGGCGTGCTAATCTTGAGCCTAGTCCCTAAGAAACCTTGCAGCCTTCTGCTGTATCTCCCGGACCCCATCACTGCCATGAGAACAAGCCAGGCTGGGCAAGCACACAAAGTCCATTCATTCCAGACAAGACCCCAGACATGGCAGCGAGCCCAGCCAAGTTCTGCAAAGCTGACCTGCAGCTGACTGCAGATGGATGAGGGGCCCAGCTGAGACCAGAAGAACCACCTGCCTAGATTGCTGACCCACAGAATCATGAGCTACATAACTTTTTTAAGCCACTAAATTGTGTGGTCACTTTTTATCCAGCCATGGGTAACTGACAACATAAGACAATGTGTAAAATCACTGAAGAGGATCAGGCTATATGGCTCGTAGGACAGAAAAGGAAGCGATAGATTCTAATTGCAGCAACCTGGGAAGACTTCCCTGGAGTAAGTGCTGTTTTACTTAAGGATTATGGAGTTGTAAGTACTAGAAACTTGATCGCAACTTGCTCAGAGTTCAACGGACTTCATTGCTTTACTAAATGGAAAGCTCCAAAGGTAAAGTATGCTTCGGACAGGGTTTGATTCAGCAACACAGCACAGATGCCAAAGACCTGTCTTTTCTATTCTTTGTTTCTGAGGCATCAGCTTCATCTTGTGGCTGCCAGCTCTCGTGGTTACAAGACAGCTGTTAGCAAGCTCTGGAAGCTACCTTCTTTATTCATGTCTCCCAGAAAGAACATTTTTTCATGTACTTTCTCCTGAAAAGCAAAGAAACATCTTTCCCAAATACCTCTAGTAAATGTTCATGCTACTATCTTAAATGGGGTCATTTACTCATTCCTAAAACCCTTTATTAGGCCCAAAGGATGGGTGGGATGTGATGACTGGTTTAAGTCCACCTGGACTCACCTTTAGAAAGTGCGAGGAGAGCCCATGCCTCTGATACACTCATAGGTCAAGGCAGGGGCTCCTATACCTGAAAGAGGAGGTTTCTGTTTCAAAGAAGAGAGGGGGGTAAGAGACAGTGAGTGCCCAAACACAGCGTCCTGTACAGACAGCTTGGGCGTTGTTCTCAGGGAAGACTGCGCCTCGAAGATCCTTGGAGGAAACCAAAGTGGGCTCCCAGCCAGGTTCGCTGCTTCTGTCTCTGTCTCTGTCTCGTTATTCTCACCGCTCCAGCCATTAAGGAAGAGCACACCGGACCCGAAGGTAAGTGGACAGTAGGTTACTGTCTTTTTGTTTTTAACTTTACAGTATGGGATTATATTATTTTCTAATGAAAACCAACATTTTATTGCATTTAAATTACTTAAGAAATCTTGAAGTAGCTTCTACTCTTAAAAATCTAAATTCATATAGGTAAGTCTAAAGCCCCTTTGGCTCTGATAAGCATCCTTGCCCCTCATTACAGCCCCTACTCCCACCCTCAGAAGTAAAGCACTGCTGCAATTTCATGCGTTCCTTTCCAAGGACCCCCCTTTTATAGTGTGATAAAAATTCATAAAATTGACCATCTTGACCATTTTTTAAGTGCAGTTCAGCAATGTTAGGTGTATATTCACGTTGTTGTGAAACATCTCCAGAATTTTTTCATCTTGCAAAACTGAAACTCTGTTCCCATTAAACAGCTCCGCTCCGCCCCTCCCCCTGCCCCGGTAACCACCATTCTACTTTCTTTGTGAATTTGACTACTCTAGGTACCACTTAATGGTAGAATTATATAGTATTTGTCATGTGTGTGTGTATATGTGTGTAGAGATGGGCTTTTTTCTCCGTGTTGCCCAAACTGATCTCAAATTCCTGGGCTCAGCTGATCCACCCACCTTGGCCTCCCAGAGTGCTGGGATTACAGGTGTGAGCCGCCGTGCCTGGCCAAAATTATATAGTATTTGCCTTTTTGTGACTGGCTTATTTCATTTAGTATAATGTCCTCATCCAGGATGCAGCATGTGACAGAATCTCCTTCCTCGATAAGGCTGAATGACATTCCACCGGAGGTATAGACCACATTTGGTTGATCCATTCACCCATCAGTGGACACTTGGGCTGCTTCCACCTCTCGGCTATTGTGCATAGTGCTGCTATGTACGTGGGTATGCAAATATCTCTTTAAGATCCGGTGTCTTAGGCCGTTTGCACTGCTGTAACAAAATACCATAGACTAGGTAGCTTAAAAAACAGAAATTTATTTCCCACAGTTCTAGAAGCTGGGAAGTCCAAGATTAAGAGGTGTCAGCCCCCTTGGTGTCTGGTCAGGGTTCCTTTCCTGGTTTGTAAATACTGCTTTCTGTGTCCTCACATGGTAGTGGGATAAGGCAGCTCTCTGGGGGGCCTCTTTTATAAAGGCACTAATCCCATTCATTAGGGCTCTGCTCTCCTGATTTAGTCACCTCCCAAAAAGTTCCATCTCCCAATACCATCACCTTTGGGGTTATGATTTTAACGAATTTGGCGGGGCCGTGGCATTCAGACCATAGCACCCTGCTTTCAATTCTTTGGGATATATACCCAGAGGTGGGGTTTCTGGATCATATAGAAGTTCTTTTAATTTTTTAAGGAACTTCCCTACTGTTTTCCATAGCAACTACTCCATCTTACGATCCCACCAACAGTGTGCAATGGTTCCAATTATATAAGGGCCAACACTTTTTATTTTCGGTTTTTTTGATAGCAGCCATCCTAATGGTTGTGAGGTAGTATCTCATTGTGGCTTTGATCTGCATTTCCCTAATGATTGGCGATCTTAAACATCTTTTCGTGTGCTTTTTGGCCATTTGTATATCATATTAGTTCATCTTGCACTGCTATAAAGGCATACCTGAGACTGGAGACTGAGTACTTTATAAAGAAAAGAGGTGTACTTGGCTCATGGTTCTGCAGGGAGCATGGCACTGGTATCTGCTCGGCTTCTGGTGAGGCCTCAAGAAACTTGTACTCACAATGGAAGGCAAGAGGAACTGACATCACACGGTGCAAGAGCAAGAGGAAGGCAGGAGGTGCCAGGGTCTTTTCTGCAGTCAGATCTTGCGGGAACTAATAGAGTGAGAGCTAACTCATTACTGTGAGGACAGTGCCAAGCACCCCCATGACCGAAACACCCCCGACTAGGCCTCATCTCCAACATTGGAGGTTACATTTTAGCACGAGATTTGGAGGGGGCAAATATTTAAACTATAGCATATATCATCTTTGGTGAAATGTCCATTTAAGTCTTTTGCCCATTTTATTTATATATATCATTTATTATTATTATTATTATTTCAGATGGTGTTTCACTCTTCTTGCCCAGGCTGGAGTGCAATGGCACAATCTCGGTTCACTTCAACCTCTGCCTCCCGGGTTCAAGCAATTCTCCTGCTTCAGCCTCCCAAGTAGCTGGGATTACAGGCACACACCACCACGCCTTGCTAATCTTTTGTAGTTTTAATAGAGACAGGGTTTCACCATGTCGGTCAGGCTGGTCTTGAACTCCTGACCTCAGGTGATCTGCCTGCCTCGGCTTCCCAAAGTAGTGGGATTACAGGCGTGAGCCACCACTCCCACTTTTGCTCATTTTAAAATTGGGTTATTCGATTTTTTGTTGTTGAGTTGTAGCATTTTTTGGTATACTCTGAATGTTTACTCTTCATTGCCAAGTTTGATGTCATGAATAATTTCCCCTATGTTTTCTTCTAGGAGTTTCATAGTTTTGTGGCTCGCATTTGGGCAATTAGTTCTCCATGCCCTTTTAAAGTTATTTCTGTGGATAGATGATAGAAGAGATATATAGGTATCTCCATAGAAAATATTTGTATATAGTTCTGTTATATGCATTTTTATTGCTATGGTTTTGTTTAACCTAATACATACTATTCTGATGCTGGCTTTTTTTTACATTTTATAAGTCTTTTTCATTATTTTTAATTGCTGCTTAGTATTCTACGGTAATGATCCACCACATTTTATTTTGTCTTTTCCCTTTTAAAGGTACTTGTGTCGCTGGTTGTTAAAGGAACATTTCCTACTTTGGAGGAATTTCTTTTTTTTAATTATACTTTTAAGTTCTAGGGTACATGTGCACAACGTGCAGGTTTGTTACATAGGTATACATGTGCTACGTTGGTTTGCTGCACCCATCAACTCGTCATTTACATTAGGTATTTCTCCTAATGCTCTCCCTCACCCAGCCCCCTTCCCCCAACAGGCCAAGTGTGTGATGTTCCCCTCCCTGTGTCCATGTGTTCTCATTGTTCAACTCCCACTTATGAGTAAGAACATGTGGTGTTTGATTTTCTGTACTTGTGATATTTTGCTGAGAATGATGGTTTCCAGCTTCATTCATGTCCCTCCAAAGGACATGAACTCATCTTTTTTTATGGCTGCATAGTATTCCATGGTATATATGTGCCACATTTTCTTTATCCAGTCTATTATTGATGGACATTTGGGTTGGTTCCAAGTCTTTGCTATTGTGAATAGTGCCGCAATAAACATACGTGTGCACGTGTCTTTATAGTAGCCATTCTAACAGGCGTGAGATGGTATCTCATTGTGGTCTTGATTTGCATTACTATTTACTATTGAAATTGTGTAGAACTGCTGGACAAAAACTGTGTCCATATGCTGGCCGTGTATTGTTCCATCCAGAAGTGATTTGAGCCTCAGCATTAGGGTGACCCCAACCCAGCCTTTGGTTAGGACATGGAGCCTGATGATGTCACATACATACATTCATACATTCATTGTGCTAATTTGCAAAGTCTCTGGTACTGATGTAGTAGCTGCACAGGGGCGTGTGGATTTCTGAATATACTGCCTCCCCGGGGGCCCTTCCCAGAGAGAAAGCCAGAGTGGACACCTGCTGGACCCCTGAATAGGAGTATAGATCGCCATCAGTGTGGCTTAAACTAGTTGAACCAACATATTGATGTCACACTTGTGTCAACATAAAAAAAAAAAAAGAGAGAGAGGGAGACAAATCTTTAAGTAAAATCGTTTTACTTGGGAATAATACAAAAGAAGTAGGATTGCAATCCCACAACATAAATATGGACCAGGGTGGCCTTTTTGTTTTGGAGAACAAAGGAAAAAGCTGGGGATTTTTAGAGAAAGAGGCTGTTATGCAAGTTGTTCTGAAGGAAAGTTCAATGCAATTTGTTTTATGAAAGTTATGCAAGTTGTTTTGAAAGAAAGTTTAATGGCTGTGATCCCACAGCCGAAAGCTCACACCTGTAATCCCAGCAATTTGGGAGGCTGAGGCAGGAGGATCACCTGACATCAGGAGTTTGAGACCAGCCGGGCCAACATGGTGAAACCCCATCTCTACTAAAAATACAAAAAATTAGCCGGGCATGGTGGCAGTTGCCTTTAATCCCAGCTACTTGGGAGGCTGAGGCAGGAGAATCACTTGAATCACTCCACCGGGAGGTGGAGGTTGCAGTGAGCCGAGATTGCGCCATTGCCCTCCAGCCTGGGCAACAAGAGCAAAACTCCATAAAAAAAAAAAAGAAAGGAAAGGGAGGGGAGGGGAGGGGAGGGCAGGGAAGGGCAGGGAAGGGCAGAGAAGGGCAGGGAAGGGCAAGGGCAAGGGCAAGGGCAAGGGAAAGGAAAGGAAAGGAAAGGAAAGGAAGAAAAAAAGTTTATTGGTGGTGGCAGCATCTTACAAGACCTGGCGAGTTCTGACCGCCAAGTGTCAGTAGTTGCTAGGTAGGACTGGGAATCTTGGAGTTATGGTCAGGTTCCTGCAGTTTTGGATTGGGTTTGTGAGACACTGTGCCAGGCAAGTGTTTTTGCATAACTGGCTCGCTCTCCCTGTGCTTCTAGCTGTCCTTGTGTGGCCCATGTGATAAGCTGCAGTTTGGAAACATTTCTTGTGATAGTTCCTGTTAGCAGGCAAACGGGAGAGCCTCATCTTGCGTGAGAGCCCTCCCATTAAAGCCTTGCTGGCTCTGTCTGCTGAGGTTTTACCCAAGTGACTCCATTTTGAATCTTACAACTCGCACACTACTCATGTGGAAGATTTAAATGTACATTCCAGGACCTGGTGCTTTCTCTTCCGCCTGTTCTCAAAGCAGCTGCAGGGTGAGCCTGACTGTGTCATTTCTCAGCTTCATCTCCCTTTCCCCAAAAAGGTATAGATGATAATCCCCTGCAATGGCTTCAGGACACAAGATCAAGTCCTTGCAGTGCTTTTGTGGCCTCACAGGGCCTGGATCCCTGTTAAACTCTGAGTTCACCTCCTGCCTCTCTCCCCTGCCCACCTGCTGAGGCCACACTGGCCCCCTTGCTGCTCCTGCCACACGGGCTCTGCCACTGCTGTGGCCTCCACCTGGAATGACTGCCCCCCCATAATTCTGCCTAGGTCACTGCTTCACCTCCTTTTGCTTTAGCGCTTCATCAAATAACATTCTATACATTTAGTTATTTATTATGTTTAGTTTGCCCCCATTGCTGGTAAACTCTGTGAGGATGGATATTTTGGTCTGTTTTGTTTACAGTCCTGTCCCAGTGCCTAGTCAGTATCTAGCACAGTGGGCCTTCAGTTGAGACTTTTTTTGAAAAACGGAACATCTGCCTATCGCAAGGACTACTATTATTCTGAAAATCACCTTCTTCATTAGAAAGTAATATTTATCATTTTATTATAGAACTTTGATCTTACTTCTTGTGACTTCATTCTGCGTAGAGCACACTCCCATCCTTGAATTAAATGACAAAGCATTTTATATTAACTGACAATGACTGATGCCATGGGCAAATCCTATTTCTGTAAATAACTGAATTTTCTTCTGGACTGCGCATGAGGGGAGAAAGATGTCTGCAGTTTCGGTTTCCTGGAAAATGAAACCTATCTCATTTGTTGCCTGTGTCAAGGGGCAGTGCTTCAGTCGGGGTGGAGCTGCTTAAAAGGCCTGGGATCACACCCTTTGGGAACACATCCAAGCTTAAGACGGTGAGGTCAGCTTCACATTCTCAGGAACTCTCCTTCTTTGGGTAAGACTGGGAGGGTGGGCAGGAGCTACCCTTCCCGTGGCCCCGGACCTTGGGTGGGCTGTGGGCTCAGGGAGCGGAGGGGAGGCCTTAAGCATCCACTCTCTGCCCGGTGTTTTTGTTCTCATCAGGGAGCCTCAGATGGGAAGGGACTCGAGCCCCACCTGTCCCTGGACTCTGGAATGTAAGGACAATTAGCTTTGTCCTTGCCCAGGTTTTCCTCAGGCCTTGAGGGCGGCTTGGGGTAAAGTGGGCAAGGGGAAGAGATAAGTGTTAGGAGGAACCAAGTCGAAGCCATTGCAAGTCCATGCCTGGGCGGGGTGTTGCTTCCCTATGGAAAGCTTCTGACCTGGAGCAAATCACTGAGCCAGATCGCGCTCCCTCATCTGTAACATGCGGAGGAGGAGGGTCCCATCTTTTTCACGTTAGTGAGGAGATTACATAAGAGCAGGCACCTCGCCTGCTGTATATGCCTTAAAAATGCGATTGGTTCTGATTTCTTAGTTTTGGTGCTTTTTCAATTGCTCCGTGGAGAGATAAGGGAGTCCCGGAAGTGTCTAAGACATTGGCGCTGGGACTTTCAGGAGAAAGAAAGCAGCCCCCCTGGGGAAATAAAGTCCCTCAGGGCCCTGACCTAACACAGGTCCTTTGGTAGCCCCAACTCCCCAACATCCCTCCCTCCCTCACCCCAGGATCCTTTCAAGGCCTGCTGCTCCACAAGCTCAGAGCAGCCTCCCTAGCCCCCTGGAGCCCGTCACATTTTTCAGGACAGTGGGAAGCAAGTCAGGTTGTGTGCCCATCCCGTCCTCAGAGCTCCATCCCTTCGGCAGGTCTGGCTGAAGTTGAGGATCTCTTACTCTCTAGGCCACGGAATTAACCCGAGCAGGCATGGAGGCCTCTGCTCTCACCTCATCAGCAGTGACCAGTGTGGCCAAAGTGGTCAGGGTGGCCTCTGGCTCTGCCGTAGTTTTGCCCCTGGGTGAGTGTTCCTGGGAGGGGCTGGTGCTGGGGGCGAGGAGGCGGCTGGGAAGGGCGGGGGTCCTGTCCCGGGACCCGTGGGAGAGAAAATGGGGGACACCCGCAGCCTTGCTGCCCTGTCCTGTCTTCTCACAGCAGGCGTCCACCCTAACTTTCCATCTGGGAGGGGGCCCGGGGCAGGCAGACTCTGGCCAGATGCCCAGCCCTGGGTGTTCCACAGGTCCTCTCCCCTCTGGGCCCGGGCCTCCTCCTGCCTAGCCGGAAAGGGTCTATCTACCACTGAGTCCCACTCTCTTCAGCTCTCCCTTCCCCCAGATTCACCATCAGAATTCATCTCCTTTAGGAGTTTACCTTGTCAATAGGGCCCCGTGTCCTATGGGATCTCACATCCAGAGTATCGATTTTAACAAAATTCTTCAGCTCACTTTTTTCATTAGTTTCTGGGAGATCTCTTTCTGGTTTTATTTATTCTCATTTTCTTCCTTTTCACCCTCGATTCCCCTCCCTCAAAGTCAACCTTTCTAATATATTTAATGTGTGTCTGTTTTTCATATGTATTTTTGCAGAATGGGTATTGTGTTTTGTTTGCGGGCATTTTAACTGACATGCAGGATGGTGTGCTGTAGATCCCATTCTATTGCTTTTTTCCACACTGAGAACCATATTCTTGAGATCCATCAGTGTCATTCGATGAGCATCTAATCCTGGCTTCTACCTGCTGACAAGTGCTCCTCTGTGTGTATCCCCTGCCCTTTACCTTTCTGTCTCCGTGGGTGGACATCCAGGGGTTCCCCCAACTCCGCCAGCACAAATGGCACAGGCTTGAATGGGGGCACAGGGCCCCTGACTCCGACCCTGACTTCTGACCCCTGCCCCAACCTCTAACCTCTGTTTGAGCCTGCACTCACCCTTTGCTGACCCTGTCATCCTCAGCTGCCCTGAGCCCCAACATCTCTCTCCTCAGACCCTTGCTGGGGGCACTGGAGGCTAGCTCCTTCATGCTGGGGTCCCTCACTGGCACCCTGTTTTGCAACTTGGAGGTAACTGGCCCTCGGCAACACACACCACTCTGGGCTCCCAACTCAGTACAGAGAAGTGTGATGAGCAAGCAAGGGCCTGGGCCACGCCCAGCAGTCCTTTCTGTTTGTCAGAAATGCAGATGACTTCTCAGTTTAAGATCAAGCAATTCATAAAATTAAAATAATAACAGCTCAACTTAAGCAAGCGCTTTTATGTTCTAGTCACTTACCCTAGCACTTGAGGTTTGTCAATTTAATTCTCATAACAACCCCAGAGGAAGATAAGAAGATAATATCGTCCCTTATTTACCAACTGGGACAATTTACTGTTGTCCAAGTGCTCTGGGCAGGACAGAAGGGTGTGGGTGTGCTGCTTCCAGGCTTGGAACAGGAGGTAGAACAATGAACAATGACAGAAAGTATTAATAGGCCAGGCACGGTGGCTCACACCTGCAATCCCGGCACTTTGGGAGGCCAAGAAGGGCGGATCACTCGAGGTCAGGAGTTTGAGACCAGCCTGGCCACCACGGTAAAACCCTGTCTCTACCAAAAATACAAATATTAGCTAGGCATGGTGGTGCATGCCTGTAATCCCAGCTACTTGGGAAGCTGAGTCAGAAGAATCACTTGAATCCAGGAGGCAGAGGTTGCAGTGAGCCGAGATTGTGCCACTGCACTCCAGGCTGGGTGACAGAGCTAAGATTCTGTCTCAAAAAAAAAGAAAGAAATATTAATAGAAGTAGGAAAAGGTTGGAGGGAGGTCTCAGGGTAGGGCAGGTTCTGAATGGCACGAAATAATGGCCAGGCTACTCCGCCGTATGAATGCCCATCAGCTGAGCCTAACAGGCAGGCCTCCAGACACACCGCAGCCAGTTCCTGAGGGCTTTTGTGTGTCAGGGTGCAGGTCTGCTGGGCTGCCAGCCAACTTGACATCACCTCTCTTGCCTGCCAATAAAACTGAACCTTCTAACGAGGTTATCCATTCCTGATTCCCTGGGCTCATAACCCTTCTAGGTGGCCTTTCTGGTCACTCAGGGGTGGGCCTTCATACCTGCGTCTCTTTACTTCCTCCCACCATCACTCTAAGGCCTCTCCCTGGGAGCTGGCTGAGCTCACTCCTGCACATTTGGCTGTCTTTAGAACTCCTGGTCCCAAATTGCAGTTCTGGCCCCTCTGGCTGCTGGGGAACATAACCTCTGCCTGCTCCCCAGGGGCTCACCGTGTGGGGGAGCAAATCATGTATATCCAGTGCTGTGAGTGGCTCCAGTCATGGAGGAGCAAGGATGAGTTCTGCCTGGAAGAATCTGGGAAGGCTTCCTGGAGGAGGGAACAATGGCATGGACCTTGAAGAGTCAGAAGCTTTCAATTCATTCCATTCAAGCATTGCTCTCATGTGGCATTCAAGCATTCTATAGTGCTTGCCGTGACTCAGGCGCACAGTGCAAAAGGAAGCACATCTTTCTCTGCCATGAGGACTTATTAGTGTCTGAAGAGCTTTTTCTGGACTATAGGAGAAAGTCATGGTCTCCCTCACTAATAAACACTGACCCTGCTTCGGATGAGCTAACAGCCCTGCTCAGAAAGCATGACACCCATCCTGTTCACTTTTCCCTGCCCCGGTCAAACCACCAAGCCCTAGATTTCATTGCCAAGTATCCTGTATTTACTGGGAATGGACATCACAGTAGCATGCCTTCCTAGCCACATCTATGAGGTTTTGTTCATTTTCATTCTGCTTTTTGTTTGAGCTAAACCTGCCTTGGGAGGCAGAAAAGAAAAGATAACATCTGATTCCCCCGATCAACCAACCAATCAACTAGGTCAGGGCCACGTAAATTCATTCAGGACAAGCACTGAGGTCAAACTCCCCAGTGATCCTCACCCTCCTCCAGAATTTCCACTTCCCGAAATGAAGCAAAGAGCGGTAGACAGGAGTCATCCCTTCTTGTGGCTCCCAACCTGGGGCAGCCCCCTGCCTCCCTTTAGATGGGCAATCGGCTTAGAAAGTGGAGGGGAAGCCAGTGTGGATCTACTCACAGAATGTTCTTTTGGTTTCCAGCCAGGATTGCTACAGTTGTGATTGGAGGAGGTGAGTCTGTGGGGAAGGGGCTCAAGTAACCACCTGCCCCTAGGGAGGTGGACTTGGGGAGCAGCTGGCCTTGTCCATGCCAATGTTTCCCTCACATGGGTGGTCAGGGGAGGAGGTGGGGATGAGGGGCTAAGTATGAACCAAGGAGCTAGAAATACAGCACTGGAAGCTGGAAGCAGGGGGCTTGGAGACTGGGAGCTGGAGTGCGTGTGGGCAGGGTGTGGCAGCAGCCGGCAGAGGCCATTTCCCCTTGGCAGAACATTCACCATGTGACCCTGAGCATGTCTTTGAACTCCTCTGAGCTCCTGTTTCCTCTCCAGAGAAAAGGCTGGTAATGCCCATTCAGGGTTATGGTCAGGATTGCATAGGGTGAAACAATAGAGATTGAACACAGTAGACATGAAAGAGATGCCAGGGCTCAGCTCCCTTTGGTTTAGTTGCTTCCAGTGTGCTCTGTGGCAACACCACGGAGCCCTAGAGCTGTCTCTTTGAGCCGCTCTGAATGTGCCTCTTACATAATCTCCTGGGCAACATCTGCTCCCCTAATGAGATTTGCTCCCCAGCAAAGATAAGAAACTTGCCAACCACTCCCCTGGTCCAGCATTTGGCCAAGGCAGACACTGAGGCTCTGAGGACAAGTGGCTTTCCCAAGGAAGGTCCTGCTGCCCAGAAGAGCTTGGCCCAGAGCCCTGTGCCCAGTGACCCCACTAGCTTTTCCCTCTACTTTCCCCGCCTGGCTGTGCTCCCCTTGATTCGTGCCTATTGGCCGTGCCCATAGTCTCTCCCAAGCTCAAAGTTCACCTCTTTCTCCAGATCCCCTGGGGTCCCCAAGCCTGACTCAGTGTATCTGGGGGGGTCCCTTCTGAGCCCACGCACCGACCCAGCTCCTCTTCCCTGCAGTTGTGGCCATGGCGGCTGTGCCCATGGTGCTCAGTGCCATGGGCTTCACTGCGGCGGGAATCGCCTCGTCCTCCATAGCAGCCAAGATGATGTCCGCGGCGGCCATTGCCAATGGGGGTGGAGTTGCCTCGGGCAGCCTTGTGGCTACTCTGCAGTCACTGGGTAAGTATCCTGGCGGGGCTTGCTGGGGAGGGCGATGAGGAGGGCAAGAGCCTCCAAGGACCCAGTCCCAATCTCAACCCTATGAACCTCAATCTCCCTGTTCCTCTGTCTCTCTCTACACATTCTCTCAGGGTTTCTCTGAGGGAGATGGAGGAGGGAGGGAAGGAGCCCAAGCCAGGAACAGTGCACTCAGGAAGACTCAGCCCGAAGCAGATTTGCTGGGTTACCTGGGGCGTCTCCTCCCCTCTGGGGTGCAGCCTCCTTCCCTGAAGAGCGAGGCTGCTTCTAGCTCTGGAGTTCACCATGGGGGTTCATGCCTGCAGCAGCCTCTCCCCAAACAAAGACCCCGAGGGTACTGGGAAACAGAGAGGGGAACTGGGTGGGGTCTGTAAGCCTCAGCCCCTGCTGAGGGTCACTGGAGTCTCTGACCCCACAGTCCTGCCCACAGAGCTTCCCCGACAGGCATGTCCCACTCTGTCCACCCTCTGCTTCTTCCCAGGAGCAACTGGACTCTCCGGATTGACCAAGTTCATCCTGGGCTCCATTGGGTCTGCCATTGCGGCTGTCATTGCGAGGTTCTACTAGCTCCCTGCCCCTCGCCCTGCAGAGAAGAGAACCATGCCAGGGGAGAAGGCACCCAGCCATCCTGACCCAGCGAGGAGCCAACTATCCCAAATATACCTGGGGTGAAATATACCAAATTCTGCATCTCCAGAGGAAAATAAGAAATAAAGATGAATTGTTGCAACTCTTCCCAGAATCTCTTCTTCTCGCTGGCTGTGGGGCAGGCCCAGCATACTTGGGGTGGGGAGGGGGCATGTTAGGCTCAGGAGTATCAGGAAACGCGTTCGTATGTTGTTTTGCTCCTTCTTTCCACACCCTCTATGAGCACATGCTGTGGTCCAGGCACTGGGCTGGGCCCCAGGGAACAGAGGGGACACAGCTCGGTCCCCTTGGTCCCCTCAACCCCCACAGCCAGCGACACTCACGGTCTGCTGAAGGGATGGACCCACAGGCCGATGGCCATGGGCACGGACCTCTGATAAGTGCTATGCCAGAGGCCAGCCCATGGCTCTGGGGGCCAGAGGCATGTTGAGGAAGGGGAGTGTGGATTTTATCCTGAGGACTTCGGAGAGGCACTGAAGGGTTTCAACAGGCCAGCGACCACAGACACTACAACCCTGCGCACCCTGCCCTGGGGAGGGGTCATGTTAGGCTCAATTCTCTTTCCCCACACTGTCATCACAAAAACTTGGGATGTGATGAACCGAAATGAATCTAAATTTGAAGACAAGCTGTCCCCTCCCCTGCTACAACTCCATATATAACCCTGGGCAGGTCACCTCCTCTCTGAACCTGTTTGCCCCTCTGTAAATGGGGAGTTGAACTAAATGACCTTCAAGATCCCAGCCAGGGTTTGTGTTTGGCTCAGTTCATGTGGCTCAGGTTTGTGTTTGGCCGTAGTGTCTGTGATCACTGCAAACAGAGTGAGTCCCTGTCTCAAAAAGTAAAAAAAAAAAAAAAAAAAAAAAAAAGAAATTATCCGGGTGGCTCTGATCCAATGACATGAGCCCTTTGAAAGCAAAGAAGCAAAGAGCAGCAGAACTGTGAGTCTAGTGCTACAGACATTTCAAAAACTTGAACAACTCATCCATGTCTCTTAATTGGGTCAACGAAGCATGGTTTATTGCTTCATTGCAACTTAATTGTTTATTTCAACTTAATTCCAGCCATAGGAATTAAGCTTCTCAAGATATTCTTTCAATACGTGATTCTTTTCCCCCACCTCCCCCTTTCTTTGATGCCTTGGGGAATCTGAAAAAAGCTGTGAAACTTCTCCCCACAAAATGTACACATTCCCCAAATAACACCCTCATTGTCAGGGCTTTCATTAGAACATCAGAAGACCCTCATTGGAATGAAAGGTACAACCCCCCGCATTAACTAGAAATCCAAGCCCTTCCAAAAGGAAAGCACTTGGGTCTGACCTGCGTCTGGGACGATGGACGAGCCTGCATCCCAGCTGAAGCCCAGTAAATGGTCCTGCAAGGCAGGTCACCCTGGAGCACCCATTATTCTAGGTGTGAGTCCTGACCTCCTCCCTCGTCCCCCTCATGAAGATGAGGCCTCCCGGTTCCCAGAGGACCTGTTTCCATTCTGGCACTGAGCCCCTCACCCCCACCTCGGTTCTGTGGCTCTCACCCCCACCTTGGTTTTGTGGCTCTCACGTGGTTCTTTATCTTTAAACCCTCAGCTTCGACCTTTGTAGCAGGCAGAATTCTAAGAATGGTGCCCAATAACCTCCCTAGAATAATCCCCTCCTCTCTGGGTGTTGGTGGAACTTCTGAGCATGTTGAGCTATCACTCCTGTGATTTTGTTACATTAATGGCAAAAAGGAGATTATCGGCTGGGCAAGGTGGCTCATGCCTGCAATCTCAGCACTTTGGGAGACCAGAGGGATTCCTTGAACCCAGGGGTTTGAGACCAGCCTGGGCAACATGATGAAACTTCATCTCTACAAAAAAACACAAAAATTTAGCCAGGCATGGCAGTGCACACTTGTTGTCCCAACTACTCAGGAGGCAGAGGTGGGAGGATCACTTGAGCCCAGGAGGTTGAGGCTGCAGTGAGCCACAATTGTGCCACTGCACTCCAGCCTGGGCAAACAGAGTGCAACCCTGTCTTAAAAAAAAAAAAAAAAAAAAAAAGAAAAGAAATTATCCAGGTGACTCTGATCCAATTACATGAACCCTTTGAAAGCAGAGAGTTTTGTCTGCTCACAGCAGAAAAGGAAGTCAGAGATTTGAAGCATGCAGGGGATTTGATGTCTGTCTCTGGCTTTGTGGATAGGGATGCCATGAGCCAGGGAACGCAGGTGGCTATTAAGTGCTAAAAGCTGTCTCCAGCTGCCAGCCCACAAGAAAATGGGGCCCTTAGTCCTACAATGGCAAATAACTGAATTCTGTGAATAATCTGAAGGAGCTTGGAAGCCAATTCTTACCAGAGCCTCCAGATGAGAGCCCAGGCTGGCTGAAACCTTCCATTTCTGCCTTGTGGGGCCATAAGCAGAGAACTCAGAACTTCTGACCTGCAGAACTATAAGATAGTAGTGGGTGTCACTTAAAGCCAACTAAGTTTGTGGTAGTTTGTTACACAGTAGTAGAAAATGTATGCAGCCTGGATACCCTGTCTCCCTTCACTGGGCTGAGGCTTTTTCACCCAGGAGCTGGCTGAACTGACTCTGGCAGCCCCAGGATTCCTGACACTCCTGGCCCCAGATGGCCCCTGGGACACCAGGTTCTACTCCTGTGGGATGCCAGAAGAATCTGCCTGCCCTCAGGCCTGCAGTGTTAGGGAAGCCAGGCACATCCACAGCTAACTGGGCTGTGGCACACAGTGGCTCAGCAGGCTGAACAGGGATGCAGAGAATTCTCATTGCAGGGATCTAGAATGGCTTCCTGTTGAGACTGGTGTCTTCACCAGAGAGGCAGAGGCTGCTAGTAGTCACCCAATGCCTGTTCTTTCCTTCTGGATGATACAAGAGAGCCCTGGCTTTGGCTAGGCACACGATCCCTAGGGAAGAACTGCATTCCCAAACCCTCTTGCAGTTAGACGCACTCATCTGGGTATGCAGTTAAAGGGATTGGATGGGCCCACCTTTGCCCCTTTGTCCTTTCCCATGGGCTCTGCTGCAGGTGAGAGAGTGAGCATCTTACACTCATAGCTGAGAACAACACCTTGCAGAAGGCAGAGCAACAAGACTGCAGGAGCCTGGGTCTCCCAGAGCAGAGTCACCACCCTGGCTGATATTTCTAGATGAAAGAGAAGAAACTTCTCTTGTGTAAGCCAAGAGGGTCTCTTACTGCAAACAAACATACATTCTATTGCACACAGTAGGGAATCTTTTGATTGCAAGCAATGGAAGAATTAACCCAATAAAGAGAGTTGCTTCCATCTCTGTTCCATTTCAAAACACCATTAAAATAACAGTCAAGGATCAAAGAAAAGCATAAGCCCACAAGGACAAAGAGAAGAAAAAAGGAGATGACTCCACAGAAGTCACACCTGCTTTCTCTAAACCCACCAATTGGAGCCTGAACCCCGCAAAAGAAACCTGCTTGGGTAACGCCCTGGACCCCCATAAAGGCCCACAGCCAGAAATGACATGGACAAGTGGTTCCACTTAGCAGCCCCAAGAAAGCTGGACATTAAGTTGTCAGTAAAGAGAGCAGAAAGAGTCAGCTTTGCCCTATAGGACCCTGAAGGCTCAGCCACTAGAGCAGCATGGGCTTTGGAGGTGGGCATGAAGGTAGATTGAGAGCAGGAGGGCTGGCTGGAAGTCTGCTTAAGAAGCAGGAAAACCCCAGGATTCCCCCTCCAGTAGACCACTGGAGAGTTATCTTTGGAGAGGTTGAGTCTCTGGACTAGGGGCCACCAACAGGACTGAGGGCAGGAGCTTCACACTAAAAATGAAAGTTTCCATACTAAGTGTTAAGTCTCTCAATCTTCTTTATCAATAGACACCTAGAACACTAGCAGGCAGGCTATGACATTCAGGATGGAAGTGCAGTGAACTCTTACACTGTTATGTTGCCTTGGCCTCCATTCTGAATCTAACTGGGACTTTCTCACACCAGAAGTAGGGTTTGGTCACCCTTGACACAGTTTCCAATTCTTTGCTGCCTTCCAGTCTCTTAAGATGGTCGATCCATATATCTGCCTTATAAACTGCCTTGTGGTGACCACCTCCTTATGGGACACCTAGATACCACCTACTTGATTCACCTCTCAATCACAGTGTGACTCCACAGAAGTCATGCCTGCATGCTGTAAACCCACCAGTTAGAACCCCAAAGGGAAACCTGCTTGGGTAATGCCCTGGACCCTCATAAAAGCCCACATGTCCCTCGCCCCCTCTCTCTCGCTCTCACCTGCTGTTTGAGCACGTGTGTCCTGGAGGGCGCCCTGTTCCCATTGGCCCTGGATGGCACTCTGCCCTCTTCTCTCTGGGACCTGTAAGCAATAAACTGTTTCTGTTATTTCATGCATTTTGTTGAGTTGCCTCCTCTGAGTCTCATCTGACCAATACACATAAACCTGACTCCCCTCCTAGAGTGTGACTATCTTGGTAGGAATAAACTGGACACAAGTCAGACAAGAGCCACAAAAGCATGTGCCAGTATAAACAAGTTTCCTGTGACGAGACTGCCTGGTCATGAGTTGGACATTTAGGCCTTAGGCTGTCCTCCAGGATAAAGAATAAAGAAGTTTCCTGTGCTTTTACATTGTAAACATCCAAGACCAAATTTCTAGAGCCCCATCAGCACAGGGCTAGAATTTATAGCCACTCTCCAGAGAGAGTGAGAGAGAATGAGAGGCCAAATGAGAGGGGAAAAAAAAGCAAAAAATGTGTGTGTGGGTTTAGGGGGAGATTCTTCCCAGGCATGTTACCAGCCCAGGAAAATAAATGCTCACATTCTGACACTCTGGGAAGAAACTGGCCATTGAAAGCCTGGGTCAGATCACAGTACAGTCCTCGGGTTGATGAGAACAGCCCCTGTGGCCAAGCCTGCCATTGGATATCTACAAAGGCTCAGATATGACGGGGAAGCAGGTGTGAGCCCCTCATGTCTCTGATCCTCTCCCTCCTATCACCCCCAGCTGCAGCCCATCCAGGAGCACTCACCCTCTGACAGCTGTGAAGCTTCAACACCGGCTTCCCCACCCACCAGGAGACTCAAGGGACCCAAGGGAGACTGGAGTGGCTGCTCTGAGTTTGTGGAAAACCGTGGGCACAGGAAGGAGTTATGAGCTGTGAGGACTGCAATGAGCCCAAGTGGGAGATGGCTGGAGTGCTGTGACTTCCAAAGCACCTGGACTGGGGGAGGGAGGAAAAGAGCTTCTATGTCCTGCCACTCTGCCCTCTGTTCTCCTGAGTCCCCATACCAACCTCTGGGTCACCTATGGGACACCCTAAATAGCCACAGGGTGGTCCTAAAAGTGCTGGAACAAGAAGATCAACAAGAAGATCAAAACAAATAACACTTACATACACACACCATGGTCAAGTCACTGCTCATGTCTCATTACATAAAATCCTCACACCATTCCAAGAAAGGTGACGCTCCTGGTCCTATTTTATAGATGTTGTTAGAAGAACTTGTAAGAAGTTGATCCAGAGAACCCCACTCCTGCTGCTATTAAAGATGGGCATCTTTCCGTGGCTGAAAATGATCAACTTTGCAGGTTATTCCCAGTAGATCTGCAGCCTGAATCTGGTTGCCTGCCCACTAACTCTCTCCAGCTGCCTCCTTGAGCAACCAGCCTGCACTCAGGGAGGTAAATTTACTTTTACAGTGAATCAAACAATTTCAGATTGATGAAGAGGTCCGGGGTGGGAGTGGGGGCAGAGCAGTTCAATAATTTTAACCATTTTGGGACCAGCCTCAGCCAAACTCTCTTGAGTGTCTTTGGTAACAGGGATTTACTAGTGGAAAAGATAACTGAGAAGAAACATTTAAAATTGAAATTGAGCCAGGCTTTCCCTTGACAAATTGCAAAGACCTAGGGATCAATCACTGGTTTGAGTGGTTTACCCCATTGCCCCATGCCTTGGCACATGGCACTGCCCAGGGTAGCCCAGCTGGGGAACAGCCCCAAAGTTGAGCTGTATCCTCTTCTAAGATTCGGACAGGTCAGGGGCTACCTGTGGTGCTGAGCGGGTGAATCATTGCACAGAGATGGCAAAGCCACCTGTCTGAGCTTTATCCCAAGGGAAGGAGATGGATAAGACCTGAACACAGCCAGATTTCAGGAGCAATACGATAGAGTGCTGTGGCTATCTTAGGCTCAGGCCTATGGGCTCCTGAGTGGGGACAGAGAAGAGAGTGGGAAGCAGCCTTAGCTGAGACACCAAGATGAGATGTTATGTTTTGGCTGTGTCCCCACCCAAACCTCATCTTGAATTGTAGCTCCCATAATCCCCATGTGTTGTAGGAGGAACCCAGTGGGAGGTAACCAAATCATGGGGGCTGTGCTGTGCTGTTCTCATGATAGTGAATAAGTCTCACGAGATCAGATGGTTTTATAAAAGGCAGTTCCCCTGCACACGCTCTCTTGCCTGCTGCCATGTAAGATGTACCTTTGCTCCTCCTTAGCCTTCTGCCATGATTGTGAGGCCTCCCCAGCCATGTGCAACTGTGAGTCCATTAAGACCTCCTTTTTTTTTAAATAAATTACCCAGTCTTGGGTATGTCTTTATTAGCAGCGTGAGAACAGACTAATACACAAGGATGTAAGTGCAAGTGGCTTATTTGGGAGGTGATCCCAGGAAACACCAACAGGGGAATGGGGAGGCAAGCAATAGAAGGGACAGCAGCCCAGAAAGGGTCGATTAATGAGTGACTTTGCAATGCAGGCTACTGAGGCTCAGTCCCGCTGGGGACCACTGGAGACAATGTGGAACAGGCAAGAGTTGTCCCACCTGTAGGGAGTTAATCGCCCGACTCCCATCCATCATTGGCTGAGGTCTATTCTGGATCAACGCGTGGACACTTTCAGCCTGTCTTGCGGGCCTCATGGGTGGGACCCTGGGGCGGGGGGTCAAAGGTGCTGGATGTAGGGAGCAGTAGGCAGGGACTAGAAGAGAGAGTGTAGCGGGTAGGGGCAACAGTACAGACAGGACAAATGATATTCATGCTGGGAAATGTGTATGTCTTTTCTTCTGGCTAGGCCTTTCCCTGGGGATTGAGTCAATCCAAGCAGGAGTCGAGCTGGACTTGGGTTTTGTAGTTGCCCTATGCTATGGTTTGAATGTTTGTCCCAACTCATGCCGATATTTAATTGCCATTGTAACAGTGTTAAGAAAGAGGGCCTTTAAGAGGTAAGCCACAAGGGCTCCACCCACGTGAGATTAATGCCATTATAGAAGGGTGAGTTTGGCTCTCTTTTTCTCTTTCTCATCTTCCCGCTTTCCATCATGTGCTGATGCAGCAAGAAGGCCCCCAAACATACTGGTACCTTGATATTGCACATCCCAGCTTCCAGAACTGTGAGCCAATACATTTCTATTAGTTATAAATTAACCAGTCTGTGGTTTTCTCTTACAGTGGCACAGACTAAGACAATGTGGTTGCTGTGCATGTGCCACTGGCTTCAGATCAGTGTTACCCTGTGCTTAGGGTGGAGGCTGGCTTGCAGAGGAGTTTGCTCAGTGTCTTTAAGCTTCTGCACTGTGCCTGAGCCTTGGATATGGTCTCTGCACATCTGCCCCATCCCCAGTGGTAGACATCTGTTTGCTTGTTATTTGCTAGCCTGGTTGGATGGGAGAAGTTGGATTCTCTATGATCCTCATCCAGCCTCAGTCTAGGCAGGCCCTGTGTGTTTGGGGCTTAGGGGTGGCATTTTCTCAAGATCCCTGCCCCTCTCCTAAGGGTAGCAGGTCTCCAGGTCTGGGCTCAGGATGGTTTCTTGCTCTTCCCCAAGGGCGGAGGGTTTTACTTTTTCTTCTCCTTCTGCAATTGTCTTTGCATGAGCTTTGGAAGCTACAGGGTCGGCTGTCTTTCCCCCGCAGCTTAAGGTTTTTGTGCCCTTCTAGAAGAGAAGGAAGGTGGGGGGTATTTGATGCCCTTCTTGCTCCCTTCCTCCAGTCTTGCCCCTTCCAGGGAAGCTTTCTTCAGGACCCTGCAGGGACCCAGTCCGCAGGGAAAAAGGTCTGCATGTTGGTAGGATCCATGTTGTCTCTGTGGCTTCTGAAGGTTCTATGCACTCACGTGAGTCTTAGTTGGCCTTTAGCAATCACTTAAGACTTTTAGCTGATTCCTTACTCGCTTGTGCAATGGACCCCAGGGGGCTCAGTGATCCAGAGTCCTGTCTCTCCCTGGAGGCACCTGACTGTCCTGCGTTCAGGCCATCTGGTGCCCCTGCAACCTCAGCTGTCCTAGGAGTTCAAGGAAAGTAATGATTTTGGAGACTGGCCTTTTTTTTTTTTTTTTTTTTTTTTTGAGAAAGGGTCTTGCTCTGTTGCCCAAGCTGGAGTGCAGTGTGCAATCTCGGCTCATGGCAACCTCCACCTCCCTGGCTCAAGAGATCCTCCCATCTCAGCCTCCCAAGTAGCTGGGACCCAGGCATGTGCCAATGCACCCGACTAATTTCTGTATATTTTGTATAGATGGAATTTTGCCATGTTGCCCAGGCCGGAACTCCTGGACTCAAGTGATCCACCCTCCTTGGCCGCCCAAACTTCTGGGATTACAGGTATGAACCACTGTACCTGGCCAGCTCTTCCTTCTTGATAGGTTACCAAGTGGTCTATAAGATGCCTTGTGTGCACCCAGAAGGCTGCCTTAAGACCATCTGTTAGAGTGTGGGCGGAAATTTTAGAACTTGTATTTCTACTTATACCTCATTCTTTGAAACACCTCCAGGGAATGAGGCTTCTCTGGCAGGAAGTGAGACTTCACCCTAGCAGTGAATGGAGCATCAGGGGACACCCAAAAATGCCTGTCACCAGGGTAGGAGCTGTGAATACCCACGAAGTTCCTCCTTGGGGAACAGGGGAATCAAAAAAAGTCTAACTTACAAATGTAGTCATCTCCCATCCCATGTTATTTCTCTTTTTTTAAAAAAAATTATTTTATTTTTAAATTATTTATTATTTTTCAGTTTTCCAGAGGCTGAAGCTAAGAAATTCTCTCCTGTCCTTTAGGTCTTAGGCAAAGCGTCTCTGTTTCAGAGGCCTTCTTTGACCATCTCATCTAAGGAGGGCCTCTGTTATTCTCACATGATTACATTCATCACACAGCCTGGCCTAATGGTGGTGGGAGCCAAGGGTTAGGAGAATGAAGGGAAAAGGTTCAGTCCCTGCCATATCTGGGTCTCCAGACAGGGAGGCTGGAGCTGTCTCATGGGTTATGGGCAGCAGCCCTCAGTGGTGACGGCTTCTGAGGGGCCAGGAACATGGCAGGAAGGAGCAAGATGCTGAGACCTCCAGACGAGGCAGAAGTAGACAGATGCCCCTTCTGCTCTGTTCTCTGTGTAGTTGATGCTGCTACCTTGGAGGAGAGGAGAGGCAGCCTTCTCTGTCACCCCTTCATACCTGAGCCCTTGGGGAAAAGGGCTCAGGTTTTGTCCTGGACACTTGGCCTCTCTTTCCTGGGTTCAGCTGTGCAGGCAGTCCTTGGGAGGAAGATGGAGACCAGGGTGCTCCCCTTGTGGGGCCTGGGCTGCCGCTGTCCTCTGAGTGGCTCAGAGCCTAGGTCTCTGTCCCACAAAATACAGGGGAGTTTCAGGAGCAGCAGACATGCATGTGCCTCAGCATAAGGAATCTAAAATGTATGGGGGCAGAAGGACAGCTGGGGGTCATCCAGAGCAGACTTGCCTCCCTGTAAAACCTCCACACTTGGGACTTCCCTCCTGCCTCTGTTGCTCTCCATGGCTGCCTAGAGGTCCCCTTCCTCTCGCTGGCTTCTCGGAGGTATTGCCTTCCACCCACACTGCCATGGAAATGCCTAGTTACATCTCCCTCTCCAGTTCTCTCACTGAGCAGCTGGGACTTCCTTCCTCCTGGGACACCTTTCCCTTTGCCTGCCTCCTCCTCTGTCAGACTTCCATTCGCCTTTCAAGGCCCAAGCCTTTTGCCTCCTCTTCCAGGAAGCCTCCCCAGATGTGAGAATATATCTCTGCCTCCTCTGTGCTCCCTGCTTGTGGCTGGAGTCCATTACTGCACTGAACATAATGCTCTGTGTCACTTTTGTTTGGGTAAGTGCCCAGTTTCTCCTGACATCATAGTCTCCTGGGGGTCTGTGTGGACCCCTCCCATCCACTGTAGCACCCGTCACATGAACAAAGACTGGAGTCGTTAGGTGACTGATATAGTTTGGATGTTTGTACCCTCCAAGTCTCATGTTAAAATGTGATTCCCCAGTGTTGGAAGTGGGGCCTAGGGGCAGGTGTTTGGGTCATGGGGGCGGATCCCTCATGAATGACTCCGTGTCCTCCCCACAGTAAGGAGTGTTTTCACTCTATTCGTTCACAAGAGAGCTGGCTACTTAAAAGAGCCTGGCATCTCTCTTGCTCCCTCTCTTGCCACTTGACACACCTGCTCCTCCTTCCCCTTGTGCAATTGTAAGCTTCCTGAGGCTTTCACCAGAAGTAAATGCCGGCACCATGCTTCTTGTACAGTCTGCAGAACTGTGGGCCCAATAGACCTCTTTTCTTTATAAATGACCCAGCTTCAGGTATTCCTTTATTGCTACCCCAAACAGCCTCACACAGTGAGGGTGTGGTCAGGGTTCCAGGTCTTCACGCATGAACTCAGCCTCTCCTTCAATTTTCCAGCCACATTTTGGTGACCATTCCTGACTCAGCCTCCTCCCCTCAAAGTGCCTAGAGCCTGCATGTAACACTGGACACATTGTCTTTTCCTGCTGGCTTGCTTATCGGCCTTCTGACAAGACTTTGAGGTTAGGCAAGGGAAGGATGGTGTCCTGCTCATTCTGGGTATCTAGTGCCATTAATGAAGAACAGAGGGCTCTACAGTCAGTGGTTCCTGAAGTGCCCTGGCTACCCCTCACCCCTGCCTCCCAACAGGAGCCTGTGACAATGCCAACATTGAATAAGGGGGAAACTGAGGCCCAGAAAAGGCCCACGAATGGCCCTGGGTCACACGGCCCATCTCCGTAAGGCTGAGACCAATCAAAGCCTTCTGCCTACCGATTATCTGCGTGGCCAACCACCTCCCTCTGCCCCTCCATGACAGGGCAGTCTAGGAGAGAGGGAGAACTGGAAACCTCCAGCTCAGAACACCAACCAGAGCTGCAAGAAGCAAAACAGGGAGATGCATCTGCATGTGACCTTTATTCCTCATGTTTCTCTGACTTGAGTGGGGGTTTTGGAGGTTCACCTTGGGGTACATTTTCTCTTGCCTCATCTTCTTTAGCCTCGGGTTCAGCTGGGAGAGAAGAAGAAGGTGAATTCCCCAAGCAGGCCCCCAACACTGACCCAACAGAGGCCAGGAGGATGTTGGATGATGTGGAGAGTCCAGCTGCCCCTGTGGAGGAGACAGAGAATGAGCACAGGGGTCGGGCAGTGGCCCAGAAATCCCACCCGGATCCCTCCTCCAGGTCCTGAAAATCCCAGGGCTCTGCCATGGGTAGAAGCTGCTAGAGGCAACTAAAAGACAGCTCAGGGGTGAATTCACGGAAACTGAGAGACAGAGGGAGAGTCATCCACAGACAGACCCTAAGAGCTACAGAGCCCCTCACTTTACACAGGAGGCCACTGAGGCCCAGAGAGGACAGGGGACCTTGCCCAGGTCACCCAGGTGTCAGAACCCAGGCATTGCTCTTGGCCTAGGTTCCTTTCCTCTTCTCCCTACCCAGCACCCCATCACCCCTCCACTCCTACCCCAAACCTCACTCAGAAGGAGCCAGAAGAGGGGACAGTGAGGGAGAGACTGAAGACCCAGGAAGCTGAGGGTCACGGAACTTCAGGGTGAGAAGAGCTTCCCTCGGGCTCAGCCTCAGGGCTGGATCTTCTCGCAGCTCTGGTGGTCCTGTCTAGGACACTTACCCACGGACTGCAGAGTAGCCACCAGGCTCCCCGCAGAAACACCACCCCCGTTGGCAATGGCTGCTGCGGACATCATCTTGGCTGCTATGGAGGACGCGGCGATTCCTGCCCCAGTGAAGCCCATGGCACTGAGCACCACGGGCACAGCCCCCACTGCCAGGGCTGTGGGGAGAGAGAAGCTGAGTGCAGAGGTGGGCTCAGGAGAAGGGACCCTTCCCCCCGCCCCCCGCTTAGGAATTCCTTGACAGTTTCCGGAGACTGTCAGCTTGAGCAATACAGAGATGGCAACTTAGTGGTCTTCTGGTGAAGAAAAGGTGGAGTGTGGAGCCAGGTGAAGCAAAGATGTCATAGAAGGACCAGCCATGGCCCTGGTTTGTCTCTAACTTGCTGTGTGATGCTGAGGAAGTCAATACCCTTCATTGGTCTCAAATTTGTGTGTGTGTGTGTGTGTGTGTGTGTGTGTCCACGCATAAATGTGAAATAAGCCACGTGGAGTTTAGCTGCAAATCCTCTTTCAAACGATCTTCCTCCTATGCTTATTCGACATAAGGACTAGAAGAGAAGCTGGGTCAGGAATGGGAGTGAGCTTTTCCCTGGAGTATTTTGATGCTGTGGCTCACTCAGGCTACTCGGGCAGCTTCGGAAGTGGAGGGTGAGAGCCAGCCCAGCGCCTCATCTCTGCGTTCTCCCAGCAGCCCGGGGACCAGGCTAGGTGAGGGCCTGGAGACAGGCGATCCGGGTAACTTACCTCCTCCCACTGCAGCAGCAGCTGCCCGTTCTAGAGAGAGAGTGCCAGGGGAAGGCAGAGGGAGATGGGAAAGGGGAGAAAGAGGAGAGAGAAGGGCAGAAAGGGAGGGAGGGGGAGGGAAGCAAGGAGCGGAGGGAGGAAGGGAAGGGGAGGGAGGAAGGGAGGGAGAGGGAGTCAGTAGGTCAGCTGGTTGATGAAGTCAGGGAATGAAGCTATTCCCTGTCCCTTCCTGGGCTGGGGTTGGGGAAGCCTGCCCCCAGCCCAGCCCGCCAGCCCCCTGGGGAAGCAAGACTCACTCATCATGGTGAGGCCGTCCGGGTCCCAACTTGGCCCAGGAAATGACAGCGTTCTTGGGGTGTTACTTCCCCCTCCATCCAGTAGGGACGCGCCTACTCTGCCCTAGAGAGACGCAGGCCCCGCCCCCCGCCCCACCCCGCTCGCCCGGGAGCCTTCGCGACTCCCCGGCTCGCCTGTCCCGGCTTGATGGATCTACCGAAGAGAAAAGCGCTGGAAAGAACCTGGAAGCCATAGCAAGTGAGCCCCGCTTCCAAATTGCTGTAGCACCGCCCCCCACTCCAACCCCGCCAATAACAGAAGAGCTGTTTGCTGCAAAAACCAAAACCAAAAACAACACAACAATAACAAAGAAACAAACAAAATGCAAGGAGAAAAATGATGTTTAATTTAATAAACGATGTTTAACTTCCAGAGAGACACTAATATAAATACATTCTGGCACGTTTGCTCCCAGCCTATGTCTCCCCTGAATATGTAAACACCCCCTCCACCACTTGCCAATTTCCCTTCACACTCTGCCTTGCAAATTACTTACTTTAGTTAATCAACCATTTAGATTTCCCCAGGCTGCTTAATATCCTTCATCAAGATTTTTAAAAAGTCAAGTTTATTAAGGTGTAGGTGATTTACACAAAGTAAAATTCACCCTTGTAGTGTACACTTCTGTGAGTCTGGGAGGCTTTGACGGCTCTGATTCAGACCGTTTTTTTTTTACATGCCCCGCCCCCTCCTCCATCAATCCTCTCATGCGCTTTTGGAGTCACCCACGCCCTGCTCCTGGCAACCATCCCCGCCCATTTGCCTTTTCCAGAACTTCAATATGATATTTGTCATTAAATATTCCATCCCCTTGGGTTCAACGTATCAGCCCTCCCTTTTAAGTGTTTAAAGTCTAATTTTTGCTCTGATAAGTTATTTTAGCATGAAGTGCTAACATTATGGGGCACAAGTGTTTTCTGTATATTCCTGGAGGTGGAACTGCTGGGTCAGAAACTGTGCATTTTTTACAGCACCTGATACCTGTGTTGTTATGTTGGCATCCAAAACTATTGTCATCAGTTTACATTTTCCCAGCAGTATGTGAGAGAATCTATTTTTTTTCTACTCCTCACTAACAATTAGCTTTGTCGTTAAGAAACAATAACACAAAAACCCTTTGTTGATTTAATAGGTGACTTATTTTAATATACTTTTCTCTTCACCACTAGTGAGACTAAACTATTTTTAAGTGTATTAGCTTCATGTACTCCTTATTTTGTGAGTTATCTTCTCATATTCTTGGATCCTTGTTCTACTGAAGTATTTTTTTCCTTATTGGTATATAGGAATTAATGATATATTAATTATCTTCATCCATTCTCATAGATGTTGCAAATTTTTATTTACACTTCATTCCTGCCTTTTTGGTGTTTTTTTTTTAATAGAAAAGTGTTTAATATTTATGCAAACTTACCAATATTTTACTTTATTATTTTTGTCTTTAGAAAAGGCCATTTCTACTAGCTATTCAATACACTGTCACTTGTATTTTCTTTAGATTCTTCTGGGGTTTGCTACTTAAGATTTACTTTAATCCGTCTGGAATTTAGATTGGTACATATAGTGTTTTCTGTATCCATATATGTCTTAGCCAGTTGTTCCACTACCATTATTAAATCATCTTACATTTCACCTTCGATTTGATATTCCATCTTTATATTCAAAACTCATTAGCTGGTATATATACCAGTATATCTGTTTGGATATTTTCTGTTCTGTTCCAAAAAGCTATCTCTTCTGGCAACAATATCACACTGTTTCAATCTTATAAATTTATTATCTGATTTAAAATCTGACTGTGCATAGCAGTATTGTTAATCCAGGGCTACACATTTTTTGTGAAGATTAAAAACACTTTGTAATGCTCTCTACTATCCTGAAATGAAATTCATAGATAACATCCTCTATTATAGTTACACACAAGGTATTGCCCAAACAAAAGAGAAATACAAGAAAATTACTTGTAATAAAATAGTGTATATTTCAGTATGTACATGCTCAAGCACTATTACACCAAAAGGTATAATGAAAGAATGAGTTGTTTGCAACCATATAAGTTTGGATTTAAGATGATACAATATTCAATGGTAAATTCTTAATTTTTTTTTTCTTGAGATGGAGTCTTGCTCTGTCGCCCAGGCTGAAGTGCAGTGGCGCGATCTCGGCTCACTGTAACCTCCGCCTCCCAGGTTCAAGCGATTCTCCTGCCTCAGCCTCCCGAGTAGCTGGGATTACAGGTGCACGTCACCATGCCCAGCTAATTTTTGTATTTTTAGTAGAGACGGAGTTTCACCATGTTGGCCAGGCTGGTTTCGAACTCCTGACCTCATCATCCGCCCTCCTCAGCCTCCCAAAGTGCTGGGATTACAGGCGTGAGCCACCGTGCCCGGCCAATGCTTACTTTTTTATATTTGATGTTTCAAAACAAGGACCTAAGAAACATATCTATATATTTGTATACATATATCTACATCTAATCACCCTGAATGAGGGAGCTGCAAATACAGGCTGAAGTACATTGCTGCCGGTGACATGATTTTCCGAAATGGTGAATAACTCTTGGTAAAGTTCAGAACAAATCAAAGTACGATTTCTCCCTGATTTACAAGATAACAAAATTCCTAAAAATTCAATCTGTATTAAAACTATGCCAAAAACACGTAAAACATGTTTAAGTTCTAGGCCTAAATAATTATGAGCTTTTTGCTTGTATGAAGAGATCTTTGACATTTATACAGGGTAACTTTTAGCTGTGCAGGATTGTCTTACCTATTTCATTTGTCAGGCCTTCGTTCCCATTCAAGAGCTAAATACAAGCATCCTCTCGCCAATTGCTGACTAATAAAAGCACACCATCAAATTTCCAAAATGCCCCCTAGGGGGCAGTACCATCCTGTTAAAAACTACTGCCTTAGCCTGCTGCCTTAGTATTAATAGTTAAAAACTACTGCCTGCTAAAAACTACTGCCTTTGTTAAAAACCTAGAAGTGTTTATAATTACTTATGGAGAAAATAAAACAAAATAAACAAAACCAATGGCATTAACATTTTTGGCATTAGTTTTAGGACTAATTTGTGCATATTGAGTATTTAACGTGTGTATAAGAACTTGGCGTATGGGGCAGATTACTTATAATTCCAATTTTAATGATGTACTTCCATAAGAGACTTAATCTTATGATTATAAAGTTGAAAGGTATTCTACTTTAAAAACAATTTTGTTAACAAATATTGTTTAAGAAAACTTAACACTCAAAATTATGTTTATTTTATTAAATGTATAAAATTCATCTGTGTTCATGGGAAGTCTTTGCTTGTTAGAGACATATGCAGTGTTTAAAAAGAAAATTGACAATGTTTATATATTTATACACACACACACACACACATGCACACACAAAAGGAAACTAGATTATGTTAATATACATGTAACCTTAAATACTTTGGAGAATTTGCTCAACTAAATTGTAAAAGTCCCCTTAGATGTATAAATAGAATATTAGGATTTTAATTAAAGCTAAGAACTTAAGGATTACTAGATTTTTAATTTATTTCAATAAATTGAATATTAATCTAAAAACCCAAATAGCCTTCAGTGTTTATCAAAGCTGCTTTCAAGGATAACCCAAAATTTCAGTGTGTACCAGCTGCCTTTTTTTCTTTTTCTTTTTCTTTTTTTCTTTGGAGGGGACAGAGTCTTACTCTGTTGCCCAGAGTGGAGTGCAGTGGCATTATCTTGGCTCACTGCAACCTCTGCCTCCCGGGTTCAAGTAATTCTCCTGCCTTAGCCTCCTGAGTAGCTGGGATTACAGGCGTGTGCCACCATGCCCAGCTAATTTTTGTATTTTTAGTAGAGACGAGGTTTTACCATGTTGGCCAGGCTGGTCTCAAACTCCTAACCTCAAGTGATCTGCCCACCTTGGCTTCCCAAAATGCTGGGATTATAGGCATGAGCCACCGAGCCCGGCCACCAGCTGCCTTCTACCACACCCTGAGTAGTGTCAACTGGACCTTTTCTGACTTCCTGGAATATGCAAATAAAGACTGTAAGCCTCAAGCAAACGCAAAAAAAGCACTTAAACCTAAAGGAAAACATTATTAATTATCTGAGCACAATAAAATTAAGAATCTCTGTTTAACAAAAGGCACCATGACAAGAATAAAAATTCGTGCCACATAGTGGGAGAAAATACTTGCCATACACATAACTGACAAAGAATTCATATTCCGAATATATCAATGTCACCTTGATACCAAAACCTGACAAAGGCATTAAAAAAGAACTACAGAAAAATATCCCTTACAAACATACATGCAAATATCCTGAACAAAATACTAGCAAATCAAATCTATAAATATATAAAAGAGACTTATATCATGACCTCATGAGGTTAATATAAGGTGAGTTCAACATTTGAAAATCAATTAATTTACTCCATATACAGAATAAGGGGAAAATATTGTAGTGCATATCAATACATGCTTTGATTAAAAATTCTGAGCAATTTAGGAATAAAGGGAACTTCCTCAACCTTCTAAAGTTTTCTATAGAAAAAAGCAACAAATATCATGCTTAGTGCTGCTGTATTGAATGCATTCTACTTCAGATTGGAAGCAGGCAAGGACATCCACTTTCACCACTTCGATTTAATATCATGATAGAAGCCTTAACCAGTGTAATGAAGAAGGGAAGAAAGAAGAAAAAAATAAGAAAGGTATCAAAATTGGAAAGAAAGATGTAAAACTTTCTTTATTAATGTACAACATTGTTGTTTATGTAGAAAGTACTAAGGAATCTACAAACAACTGCTAGACCTAAGTGAATTTAACAATATTGCAAATACCAATTGCATTTATAAATATCAGCCACACAAAACGAAACATCAATAGCATCCAACTGTTTTCAAATGACACAATAGCATCCAAACTGAAATATTTAGGAATAAATTATGAAAACACATGCAGCACATATAGATTGAAACTACAAATATTGCTGAGAGAAATTCAAGTGGACCTAAAAAAAAGATAAATTACATTCATGGATTGGGAGACTGAATTTTAAGATGTATTAAGTTGTTAATACATCACAAACTGGTCTGTAGATTCAAAGCAATCCCAATAGAAATTCCAGCAGGGTTTAATTTTTTGTGTGAAATTGACATGATGTTTCTAAAATATATACGGAAATGCAAACGACATAGAATACGCTTTTTTGTTTTTTTTTAATGAAAAGATAAAGTTGGAAGATTAACACCGGAGTACTTAATTTCAAGACAGTATAAAGCTACATAATTAAGACAGTGTGATGTTGGTGTGAGGATAGGCAGAGAGATAGATGGGACAGAATAGAAATCCCATAAGTAAACCTAAACATATATGGTCAACTGAGTTTCAACAAAGGTACTAAGGTAATTCAATAGGGATGGTAATTGTTTCAATTGATCCTGGAATTACTGAAGATCCATGTGGCAGGCTAAATAATTAGCCCAAAGATATCAGGTCCTAATCCCTGGAACCTGTGAATGTTACCTGTATTAGTCTGTTTTTACCATGCTAATAAAGTCATACCCGAGACTGGGTGATTTATAAAGAAAAAGAGGTTTAATGGACTCACAGTTCCACATGGCTGGGGAGGCCTCACAATCATGGCAGAAGGTGAAGGAGGAGCAAAAGCATGTCTTACATGGTGGCAGTCAAGAGAGCATGTGAAGGGGAACCGCCCTTTATAAAATCATCAGATCTCATGAGACTTATTCATGATCACAAGAACAGCATGGGAAAACATCCCCCCCATGATTCAATTACCTCCTGCTGTGTCCCTCCCATGACGTGTGGGGATCATGGGAGCTACTTTTCAAGATGAGATTTGGGTGGGGACACAGCCAAACCATATCATTACCTGCAAAGTGTCTTTGTGGATGTGATTAAGTTAAGGATCTTGAGACTGTGAGATATCCTGGATTATCTGTATGGAACCTAAATTCAATCACAAGTATCATTATAAGAAGGAAGCAGAGGAATATCTGATACATAGAAGAGAAGAAGATGATGTGACCACGTGGGCCGGTGCAGCCACAAGCCAAGGATTGCTGGCAGCCACCAGATGCTAGAAGAGGCAGGAAACAGATTCTTCTCTAGAGCCTCCAGAGGCAGCACAACCCTGCTGACACCTTAAATGTGGTCCAGTGATACTGATTTCAGACTTCCGGTCTCCGGAACTGTGAGACAATAGATTTGTTGTTTTAAACTACCAAGTTTATGGTAATTTGTTATAGTACACACAGAAAATTATATAATCCAAATGGAAAACAATCAACCTCCAACTTTACTTCATACCATGCATATATTTGATAAAGGATTCGTAAAAAATGCCTATAGCACAATTTGAAAAAGACAAACTCACTCAATTTAAAAAGGGGCAAAAGGTTTGAGCAAATGCTTCACAAAGCAAAATACATGAGTAGACAGTAACCACACAAAAAAGACTCTCAACATCTTTCGTCATTTGGGAAATGTAAAATGATGCCACCATGGAGCACCACTTCGCGCCCGCTAGAATGGCTAAAATTTAAAAGGCTCACTTCACCAAGTGTTGACAAGGATATGGAGCAACTATCACATATTCCTGTTGGGAGTTTAAAATGGTACTACCACTTTGGAAAACCCTTGGCTGTTTTATAAAGTTAAAGATATTCCTATCCATTAATTCCCCTGCTTGGCATTTACACAAGAGCAATGAAAACATGTCCACACAAAGACTTGTACACAATGTTCAAAACAGCTTTGTTCATAAAAGCCCCTAACTGAAAATAACCAAAAAGATACATTAGCAAGGGAATTATACACACAATACGTGTTCATTAGAATATTTAGAAAACATAAATATGCAAAGTTAAAAAAATCAAAGCCCCTGGTTTCCTAACACTAACCCTGTTAATGTTTATGGTGCAGAGAGCTTTTAGAGTTTCTCCCCATTTTGCCTGCATTTAATGTAGTCCTTAGGCTGGCCTCTAGCCAAGTCTCCCTGTACCCCTCTGAAAATTCCACTGGGGTTCTGAGCCAAACTTCCAGCTTAAAATACAGTGACTGGGTTTGCCTGGGATGTGCCATCCTTCATGAGCTGTGGCAGGGCCTGGGCAGCAGGCCAAGAGTTCTGGGATCGTGGGTCCCTGTCCTCTCTGTCTCTGCCAGCCTTGCGGACTTCCTATAGCCAACCTAGCTGGGCCCGCGGCAGCTGAGTTGCAATCTGAGGACTGGAGTTTGAGAGAATGCGCTTCTTGCTTTGGAGTGCCCTCTCGTGGCGATATCTCAAACTGCAAGCGCAGTTGCTAGCGGGCTGGATAACGCACCCACAGCGCCTGGGTTGGCTGGGCTGGAGCTTAGTTTTCAGGACTGGAGCAGGCTTGTCCTGAACCTCAAACTGAAAGGGCTGTTCAAAATGCAAATACTTATTTACAGTTTCTACACATCAAGCACTGTTGAGACCCAAAGCCGAGTTACTGAAGCCTGCATCATGAGCCTTTCCATGAGAATTGTGTGAAATACCGTAGATGCTGGGTGTAAGGTGACCCACAATATTCCATCATGCCCCATTTTCCCACTTTTGGAATCTATAGAAGATGCCGTCACTGGAAAATTAATCCCAAGCCCCAAAGCCTTATTTACGCAGATTAGAATAGCTTCTGTTCAAGTGTTTGTGATGTCGCCGTGTAAGCCCTCATCGTGATGCTTTAAAAGTCATCGTTAAGTCGTGTTACCTGCTGTCCGGCCCTGGCACAGTGAGGCTACACTCCCACAAATAATGACGAAACTCCCTCCTCCCAGTTCTGCCAGGTGATCCCAAAGTGCATCTGAAACCAGCACAGATTGAGGGAGTCTCACAGTCCTCTGTTACCAAAAAATTGAGAGCCCCCCCCTCCCAGAAAATGAAATACTTTGCAACTGCCCAAGTAGGAAGGGACTCTTTCCCAAGGGATATATTTCTGGGGGGATCCTCCTCTCAGTCTTCACTCAGTTAGGTCCTCCTGCAGTTTGTTTCACATGTTTATTTGTATATCTAGGTTTTCTTTCTTTTTTTTTTTTTTTGACGGAGTCTTGCACTGTCACCTGGGCTGGAATGCAGTGGTACCATCTCAGCTCACTGCAACCTCCGTCTCTCGGGTTCAAGCAATTCTCCTGCCTTAGCCTTCCAAGTAGCTGGGATTACAGGCATGCGTCACCACGCCCGGCTAATTTTTGTATTTTTTTTTTTTAAGTAGAGACGGGGTTTCACTATGTTGGCCAGGCTGGTCTCAAACTCCTAACCTCATGATCTGCCCGCCTCGGCTTCCCAAAGTGCTGGGATTACAGGCGTGAGCCACTGTACCGGCCTGTTCTCTAGGTTTTGAACGCACACATGGGAGCATTTAAAACTACCGTCAGAAAGGACTCCTTTAACTTGATTTCCTCAAGGGATTGTGTGCAGCTAGGAAAGCACGTAGGGCCAAGCTGCTTGTGTTTCTTGAAAACAATAGAAGAGATTTTTCTGGAAAGAACATCCCCAGCCCTGAGTCCAGCTTTTAGGATTAGGGCTCATGGCTCCATCACCGTGGATTTGAAACATCGATTAGCAGAGCCATTAGAGTTCAGCTGCTGGGGGAGGCCAAGGAAGGGGCTTCTGGGCCAGACCAGAGCTTTCGATTCATCTGCAAGACTGTGGGGAAAAGGCTAATTGCAAACCTGTGCTAAGAGCGGGCCACACGTTTTCACATTTAATGCTCACCACAGCCTCATAAAGTTGGTATTTTTAAACCCACAAAATGGAGCACTTACCTCCTTGCAATTATCATACCTCTCTCTGGGTAATTACTTGAATGGAGTGTTGTCGAGCATGATGCAGTCCATTTCCCAGCATCGCAGGGAAATTTTGAAACACAGGTCAAGTGCCCTCACCTTCGAGTTATATCAAGAAGCTTGCTTAATAGAAAAGCCAGCGTAATGAGAATACTGCTCGTTAAATGTGCAGACGATGCCTCTGAGACAGTCTGCAAGATCCCCTCAGCTGGTCCCTTTGCAACTTGGAGGATGGAGCTACTCCAGGGTTCCCCGATCCACTTACTGATCTCAGTCCTGGGTTTACAGGGGATACTCTGCAGCCTGGGGCAGGCCGAAGACCCTCCAGGCCTCCTGGTGCCACTTTGGATATCTGACAACCAAGCAGGGCTCTCCACTTCTCAGCTGCCTTTGGCCCACAGCTGACTTGAGGGTCCATGCCAAGAAGCTTCGGTGACTGAGGAAGGGTTGTGGTGGGGGTGAGCAGGGCTGACGGGGGAAGCGCTGATCTCTCCCTGATCTTCTCCATTGTCTTCTCTGACCCATTCCCTTCACACCACTGGGAAGGGGCTCCCTGCCGCTCAGCCCTTTGCCCTCTGCCCCCTCTCCTCTCCATTCCACATTCTCCTTCTCCTACTGCAGCAGGGTGACACTTCTCCTACTGAGGGAACGGAGGCCCCAGTCACCTCTCAAGGCCACGAAGGACTTTGTGGCTGAGCTGAATTTGAGCTCAGAGCTCCAGGATCCAGACCACACATTCTTCTCCCATACCACATTTCTGTTAGCATATTGCAGTACTTCTCATGCAAATCACGTGGGGTCTTGTTAAAATTCAGATTCGGATCCATTAGGTCTGAGGTGTGGCCTGAGATTCTGCATTGCCAGCAAGCTCTCAAGTAATGCTGACACTGCTGGTCCATGGACCAAACTTTATGTAGCAAGCACGTAGCATTTTCAAAAAAAAAAAAAAAAAAAACCCTCATATATTTTTTATTTGTCTTGATCCTTGCCACAATCCAGCAAGGCTATCAGGATGGGAGCTAATGCCCTGAGTGGAGGGGAGAGGAGACTGAAGTCTAGAAAGTTGCCATGACATATATGCGTTTCCCTGGGTAGCAAGCAGCATCAGGGAAATGGAGCCCCCACTTCAGATTAGGAACCTCTTGCCTGGGGCGTCATGCTGCTCTCCTGCAAAGATGCAAAGGGCCTCCGGCCTGCCAGCATGGCCTTCCGGTGGCTGGAAACCACCCTATGTGTTTAATGTCACCCACATACCTGCCTCTGAGAGCAGCCTTGAAATTGTGGTGACTGTCCTATTATTCTGAGGTCCCATTGTTCCTGCCCTAGTGAGGTGCCCCAGTAAAGCAAAAGACTTTGGAAAAGTTGCTTGTGTCCGTGGGTGGAAAGCACACACATCCCAGAGGGCAAAACTCGCTGTTTTCTTGTGCAGGATCAAGTGTGCTTTGTAGGCTGTCCTTGGCAGTGAAAATGGGCCATATAAATTATACATTGAAATAATAGAGGCTGCTGCAATCTGCCAGAAGGTCTACAAAGTTGGAGATGATGAACTTGTCGGTGAACTGTGGGCTGTGCCAAGGGCACCTGGAGAATTCAAGATAGCAGGGACATTGAGTCAGCAAGGACACGTGCTTTCATCTGTGTTTAAGCTTGCCGGCATTTGACAAAGGACTAACGTGCTCGGGGTTTCGGGTCTTGGGTATGAAAAGAAGAATGAAATGCGGTCCAGTTAATGAGCGACAGCGTTAGCTCTGGTGAATCTGAGAATGTCCAGGGTGGAGGGGTGCAGCTGAGGGTCTGAACACCTGGCTCCTCTGCTGAACAACTAGGGAAGCAGAGGCCTATGGCCAGGAACATTTGGCCAAAGCCACTCGTTTATTATGGGCAGTGTTGGGGCCAGGGTGTGGGCTCTGAATTGCAGTCTCAAGTTCATCACCTGGCTTCACCTCTGAGCCTTCTCCTGGACCGGCTCTTGTCTGACTTTTCTTAAGCAGGTCAGAGGGGCTCTGGATTTAAAACAGATGGCGGCCAGGCGCAGTGGCTCACGCCTGTAATCCCAGCACTTTGGGAGGCCGAGGCGGGTGGATCACGAGGTCAGGAGATTGAGACCACGGTGAAACCCCGTCTCTACTAAAAATACAAAAAATTAGCCAGGCACAGTGGCGGTCGCCTGTAGTCCCAGCTACTTGGGAGGCTGAGGCAGGAGAATGGCGTGAACACGGGAGGCGGAGCTTGCAGTGAGCTGAGATCGCGCCACTGCACTCCAGCCTGGGTGACAGAGCGAGACTCTGTCTCAAAAAAAAAAAAAAAAAGAAAGAAAAACAGATGGCAGCAGGGCAGCACACTGGAGCGCCTTGGAGAGAAAGGCTCATTCAGGGGGTGCACGTGGAAAAGACATCAGAAAAAGACACATTCCTATAGGTTGTCACCCTGCCCAGGGCTGTTTCCTTGGGCCACTATTCGATTTGACCCAAGGAAAGAGCATTCCAATCTGCATTTCAATCTGCCTTGCACTATTTGTCTCCACCTCTCAATAAATGCTTGTCAATCAAATGAGGAAGATGAGCTATGTTCACAGGTCATATTCTCACTTCGGGTTCTCATTTTCTTTGTCGACAAAACTGATTTGATGCTTCTCTCTACAAGTCAGGTCCTGTGCCAGGCATTGGCTATCTTTAAATTGGAATATTCGTTTTCTTATTGTTGAGCTTTACATATTTTAAATATAAATCTTTTGTCAGATGCATGAGTTTCTTTTTTCTTTTTTTTATTTTTAAGATGGAGTCTCACTCTGTTGCCCAGGCTGGAGCACAATGATGTGATCTCGGCTCACTGCAACCTCTGTCTCCCGGGTTCAAGCGATTCTCCCGTCTCAGCCTCCTGAGTAGCTGCGACTACAACATGCACCACCACGCCCAGCTAATTTTTGCATTTTTAGTAGAGACGGGATTTTACCATGTTGGCCAGGCTGGTCTCGAACTCCTGACCTCAGGTGATCCACCCTCCTCAGCCTCCCAAAGTGCTGGGATTACAGGCGTGAGCCACTGTGCCCGGCCAGATGCATATAATTCAAATATTTCTTCCCAGTCTAAAGCTGCCCCAACATCCTCGCCCAGGCTGCAGTGTCACGATAATAACTCTGTGCAGCCTGAAACTCCTGGGCTCAAGCAATCCTCCTGCTTCAGTCTCCCAAGAAGCTGGGACTACAGGTGCACACCAACATATTTTTATTATTTTTTATTTGTAGAGACAGGGTCTCACTATGTTGCCCAAGTTGGTCTCAAACTCCTGGCCTCGAGCTTTCCTTTTGCGTAGGCCTCACAGAGTGGTGGGATTACGGATGTGAGCCACTGTGCCTGGCCCTTAACATTCTCTTAACAGTGATTTTCATGAGCAAAAGTTCTTAATTTTGGTAAAATCCAATTTTTAATTTTATGGATAGTGCTTTTGGTGCCATGTCTGAGAACTCATTGCTAAATTCAAGGTCATGTAGATGTTCTCTGGCCTTTTCTTCCGTTATATAATTGTACATGATAAATTTAGATGGATTTTGTGTTTTGTGCAAGGAATGAGGTTTAGGTTCCCTCTTCTGCCTATGAATGTTTGATTGTATAGTAAGTCCTCAATACTGTTGCTAGGTCTTGGAAACCATGGCTTTAAGTGAAATGGCAAAACAACGTATAATGAAACCAATTTTACCATAAGCTAATGGATATAAAGAAGAATTAAATTCCTATGGCATATTTCTCATCACAAAAACATCACCGAGCTTCTAAATAAAGACCAAAACACTTCTAACATTAAACATGGAAATAAATGTGAGTTACGTGTACAGTTAAGAAAGATTAATAAAAATAAGCAGAATTATTTTAATGCAGGGCAGTGGTTGGCTGGAGCCTATCCCAGCAGCTCAGGATGCTAAGCAGGGACCCACCTTGGACAGGATGCCATTCTGTCGTGGGGTGCACTCACACACAGACACACACACACACACACACACACTGGCGTGGGGACATTATAGACACACCAGTTCACCCAGTGTGCACATCTTTGGGATGTGGGAGGAAACTGGAGTACCTGGAGAAAACCCAGGCAGACATGAGGAGAATGTGCAAACTCTACAGTGGCCCCAGCTGGAAGTCCATTTGAGGATCTGCTGCATGTACACAATTGGGTGTAAAGACTATGTTTTTTCCATTTAATTGCTTTTGCAACTTTGTAAAAAACTAATAAGCCTTATCTGTGTGGGTCTATTTCTGTATCTCCATTCTTTTCCATAGATCTGTGTGTCTATCTCTTTGCTAATGCCACACTGACTTCATTACTATAGCTTTACAGTAAGTCTTAAAATTACAGTGTTTGATTCCTACAACTCTATTTTTTTAAAATTTTATTAGCTCTTCTCATTCCTTTGCCCTTCCATACACACTTTATAAATAGTTTGTCTATATCTCAGAAAGAATCCTGCTAGGACTTTGATTGGTACTATATTAAATCTATGAATTTATTTAGAGAGTATTGGAGTCTTTACTCTGTTGAGTCTTCTAATCTATGAAAATGGTATGTCCCTGTACTTATTTAAATCTTCGATTTCCTTAATCAGCATTTTGTGGTTTTCAGCTTAGAGATCTGTTACTTTTTTTTTTAGATTTATACCTAAGTATTTCAGTTTTTGAAGCTATTGTGACTACTATTATTTTAAGTTTTTGTTTCCATCTGTATATTGCTAATGTATAGAAATACAATGTATTTTTATGTATTGACCTTGTATGCTATGACCTTGTAAAACTTATTTATTAGTTTGGGGAGTGTTGGTTGGTTTTTTGTTTTTTTGACTTTCTACATAGATAAAAATACTTCATATTTTTCACATGTAATATTTGCCTCATAGCTATCTCTATCAGGGGACCCTAAATAACAGTACCTTAAAAAAACATAGTAGTCTATTCTTACTTGGCTCTTCTCTGTGCCATTTTGGGGGACACATACACCTTCTATCCCCAGCGTATTGCCTCCACCTGCAGGTTTGAGTTGGCTCTGCACTTATGCCTGCATTCCACTGGCGACAGGAAGAAGAGGGTAGGCCCTGGAAATTCTGCTCACATCTAACTACAAAGGATGCGGGGAAATTGGGTCTTTATTCTGGACAGCCATTGTCTCTAGCCTCCTCCTTAAAATAGGAAGGGGCAACAACTACCAGTCTGCACCACAACAATGAAGTTAAATAAATGTCTCATTTCTTTATTTTTAAAATCAAATTAGATATGGCTTAGAGCTGCCATTGTCAAGGTTTGGGACTGGCTGTCAGTCATCATAGGACTTTCTCCAACGCACCCCACTCTGTCCAGGACAACATGGGGACCAACTGGTCTCATGCACTCTGTTGCTCAGTGTCACTAACAAGGGTGGATCCTTCATTCTCTGAGGAGCACTGTGGCTCTGAGGAGGGACTGAAGATGCCCCTCCCTGAAGGCTCAGCCACAGGGGCATATGCTTCTTCTGTGAAGTCTGTTGCCTTCATAGTGTGGCCTCCACGGCATCTTCCCAGCTACCCCTCATCCAGGGCCCAGGGCTTTAGGGCACTACATGGCAATAGGGCTAATTTCTCACCCTTGAAGAACACTCCAAATCTCGGTAAAATTGACACTTAATAATAATCTTAAAAATACATATTTATGGCCGGGTGCAGTGGCTCACGCCTGTAATCCCAGCACTTTGGGAGGCCGAGGTGGGTGGATCACGAGGTCAGAAGTTCGAGACCAGCATGACCAACATGGTGAAACCCTGTCTCTACCAAAAATACAAAAATTAGCCGGGCATGGTGGCAGTCACCTGTAATCCCAGCTACTCAGAAGGTTGAGGCAGGAGAATCGCTTGAACCCGGGAGGCGGAGGTTGTAGTGAGCCCAGACTGTGCCACTGCACTCCAGCCTGGGCGATAGACAGAGACTCTGTCTCAAAAAAAAAAAAAAAAAAAAAAAAAAAAAAAAAATATATATATATATATATATATATATATATATATATATATATATATATATATATTTAAAATAGTCTTATAAAAAATATATCCAGAGGAGCCTCAAGGAACCTGAACAACCTATGACATTTGACAAAAAAAGCCCGAAACATGGTTAGGTTTAATATTCAGAAAGTAGGTGTCTCAATTAGGGTCTTGGCAAGAAACAGATGGCAGAGTCAATCTGGGACATTTCAGGAGAATTTAATGAAGGGAACATTTACACAGGCAAGGACAGGTGTGGGGGAGCCAAAAAAGCAGTGAATACTTTGGGGCTGGCAACCTCGGGGAGCCTGGGGGAGTGAGGGGGTGGGGCTGGTCACATAAGGATTTGGAGAGGGAGAGAGCTGTGAGGAGGGGCTTCAGGCCCTCAGCAGCCCACAGAGAAGGCACTGGAAAAACACAATACCCTGACAGCATGCTCCTGCCTCCTCCTGTCCCCTCTCAGTGTTCCTCCTTCCTTCTTAGCTGAAGCCAACAGGAAGTCAGAGGTCAGGTGGCCTCCTGATGCAATCCCTGGAAGACAACCCCTGTGGACAGAGATGGCACAGAGTGGGGTTGGGAGGGACCTGTGGAGGCATCCAACACAGTGGGCGAGGGAGGACAAGGATAGGGGTTAATAATGGCCAACATGTTCACAGGGCTGGCTCTGTGACAGGAATTATTCTAAGGCCCTTTCATAGGATAACTCATCTAATTCTCTCAGGGCCACAAGCAAAGGACACATAGAGTGAGGCATTCCAGGGAGGCATTCCAGGGAACCTTTTTTTTATGAGCTAGGGTCTCACTGTCACCCAGGCTAAAGTGCGGTGGTACAATCACAGTTCACTACAGCCTCAATCTCCTGGGCTCAAGTGATCCTCTCACCTCAGTCTCCTGAGTCGCTGGGACTACAGGTGCATACCACCATGCCTGGTTATTTTCCCTTTCTCTGTCTCTCTCTCTCTCTCTCTCTATATATATGTATATATAATTTATATATAATCTTAAAAACATAGTGAGACCCTGTCTTTAAATATATATATTTAGATATATATATCTAAATATATATATTTAGATATATATATCTAAATATATATTTAGATATACATATCTAAATATATATTTAGATATATATATCTAAATATATATATTTTAATATATAATACATATATATTTATATATTTTATATGATAATATATATAATATATAATATACATATTTAATATATAATATATATATTTTAATATATAATAAAATATATAAATATATATATTTAAAAACATAGTGAGACCCTGTCTTTAAATATATATGTTTAAAATAAATATGTAAACATACATATTTAAAGACAGGGTCTCATCATGTTGCCCAGGCTGGTCTTGAACTCCTGGGCTCAAGTGATCCTCCCCAAGTGCTGACATTACAGGTGTGATCCGCCACGCCTGGCCCAGAGAACTTCTGACTGAAAAGATGAGGAAGGGCTTCCTGAGGGGAGGTGGTTTTGAGCTGGGCCCCATGGAGGGAGTGGCTTGAAGAGTAAACACTTGAAAGGCCCAGCAAACAATATCCCTGGATTAAAATGACCATTCATCTCATGAACCAACAATGGCGAGTACCATTTTGTGTGTGCTAGAAGGGAGCAACTGTGTGAGGTAGGTAGGAGGGGTTTGCATGTTCAGGCAGGATTGGGGTAAACAGGAAGTCAGTGCCATTCTGCAACTGCTGCAGCCAGCTGTCTGTCTGTAATTATGACCTTACGGAAGTCCGGCCCAGCAGAAGGAGGACTTACTGCTCATTAACATCAAGGGTGGCCATCACTATTAAGCTCCCTGGGTGCCACTGCATTTATGCCCATTACCTCTAATAATCACCGGAATTTTGCAAGGTAGGCATTATTGTCTCTTTTTTATAGATGAGGAAACTGAGGCCCAGAGAGATTAAGTAACTTGTCCAAGGTCACACAGCTAATAGTTGGCAAAGCTGGGACTCAATTCCAAACGCAGTGAGCTTCCTATTATACTATATTCCCCTGGACATTTAAAAAGGAGACATAAAACACAGAAAAGTGTAGAAGACCAGAATAGACCACGTGCAGAAAGATGGGTGATATGGTTTGGCTGTCTCCACCTAAATCTCATCTTGAGTTGTAATCCCCATAATCCCCCTGTGTTGAGGGAAGGACCTGGTGGGAGGTGATTGGATCATGGAGGTGGTTTCCCCCATGCTGTTCTCATGATAGCAAGTGAGTTCTCATGAGAGCTGGTGGTTTTGTTTTTTTTTTTTTTAATTATGCTTTAAGTTCTGGGATACGTGTGCAGAACGTGCAGGTTTGTTACATAGGTATACATGTGCCATGGTGGTTTGCTGCACCCATCAACCTGCCATCTACATTAGGTATTTCTCCTAATGCTATCCCTCCCTTAGCCCCCCACCCTGCAACAGGCTCTGGTGTGTGATGTTCCCCTCCCTGTGTCCATGTGTTCTCATTGTTCAACTCCCACTTATGAGTGAGAACATGTGGTGTTTGGTTTCCTGTTCCTGTATTAGTTTGCTGAGAATGATGGTTTCCAGCTTCATCCATGTCCCTGCAAAGGACGTGAACTTATCATTTTTATGGTTGCATACTATTCCATGTTGTATATGTGCCACATTTTCTTAATCCAGTCTATCATTGATGGGCATTTGGGTTGGTTCCAAGTCTTTGCTATTATGATTAGTGCTGCAATGAACATATGTGTGCATGTGTCTTTATAGTAGAATGATTTATAATCCTTTGGGTATATACCCAGTAATGAGATTGCTGGGTCAAATGGTATTTCTGGTTCTAGATCCTTGAGGAATTGCCACACTATCTTCCACAGTGGTTGAACTAATTTACACTCCCACCAACAGTGTAAAAGCATTCCTATTTCTCCACATCCTCTCCAGCATCTGTTGTTTCCTGACTTTTTAATGATTGCCATTCTAACTGGCATGAGGTGGTATCTCATTGTGGTTTTGATTTGCATTTCTCTAACCACCAGTGATGATGATCTTTTCTTCATAGGTTTTTTGGCCACATAAATGTCTTCTTTCGAGAAGTGTCTGTTCATATCCTTTGCCCACTTTTTGATGGGGTTGTTTTTTTCTTGTAAATTTGTTTAAGTTCCTTGTAGATTCTGGATATTAGCCCTTTGTCAGATGGATAGATTGCAAAAATTTTCTCCTATTCTGTAGGATGCCCTGTTCACTCTGATGATAGTTTCTTTTGCTGTACAGAAGCTCTTTAGTTTAATTAGATCCAATTTGTCTATTTTGGCTTTTGTGGTCATTGCTTTTGGTGTTTTAATATGAAGTCTTTGCCCATGCCTATGTCCTGAATGGTATTGCCTAGGTTTTCTTCTAGGGTTTTTATGGTTTTAGGTCTTACGTTTAAGTCTTTAGTCCATCTTGAGTTAATATTTGTATAAGGTGTAAGGAAGGGATCCAGTTTCAGTTTTCTGCATATGGCTAGTCAGTTTTCCCAACACTATTTATTAAATAGGGAATCCTTTCCCCATTGTTTTTGTCAGGATTGTCAAAAATCAGATGGCTGTAGATGTGTGACGTTATTTCTGAGGCCTCTGTTCTGTTCCATTGGTCTATATATCTGTTTTGGTACCAGTACCATGCTGATTTGGTTACTGTAGCCTTGTAGCATAGTTTGAATTCAGGTAGCATGATGCCTCCAGCTTTGTTCTTTTTGCTTAGGATTGTCTTGGCTATACGGGCTCTTTTTTAGTTCCATATGAAATTTAAAGTAGTTTTTTTCTAATTCTGTGAAGAAAGTCAATGGTAGCTTGATGGGGATAACATTGAATCTATAAATTACTTTGGGCAATATGACCATTTTCACAATATTGATTCTTCCTATCCATGAGCATGGAATGTTTTTCCATTTGTTTGTGTCCTCTCTTATTTCCTTGAGCAGTGGTTTTTAGTTCTCCTTGAAGAGGTCTTTCACATCCCTTGTAAGGTGTGTTCCTAGGTATTTAATTCTGTTTGTAGCAATTGTGAATGGGAGTTCACTCATGATTTGGCGCTCTGTTTGTCTATTATTGGTGTATAGGAGTACTTGTGATTTTTCACAATGATTTTGTCTTCTGAGACTTTGCTGAAGTTGCTTATCAGCTTAAGGAGATTTTGTGCTGAGATGATGGGGTTTTCTAAACATACAATCATGTCATCTGCAAACAGAGACAATTTGACTTCCTCTCTTCCTATTTCAATACCTTTATTTCTTTCTCTTTCCTGATTGCCCTGGCCAGAACTTCCAATACTATGTTGAATAGGTGTGGTGAGAGAGGGCATCCTTGTCTTGTGCTGGTTTTCAAAGGGAATGCTTCCAGCTTTTGCCCATTCAGCATGATACTGGCTGTGGATTTGTCATTAATAGCTCTTATTCTTTTGAGATATGTTCCATCAATACCTAGTTTATTGAGAGTTTTTTTTTTTCTGCATCTATTGAGACAATCATGTGGTTTTGTCATTGGTTCTGTTTATGTGGTGGATTATGTTTATTGCTTTGTGTATGTTGAACCAGCCTTGCATCCCAGGGATGAAGTGGACTTGATCCTGGTAGATAAGCTTTTTGATGTGCTGCTGGATTTGGTTTGCCAGTATTTTATTGAGGATTTTCGCATTGATGTTCATCAGAGATATCGGCCTGAAATTTTCTTTTTTCGTTGTGTCTCTGCCAGGTTTTGGTATCAGGGTGATGCTGGCCTCATAAAATGAGTTAGGGAGGAGTCCCTCTTTTTTATTGTTTGGAATAGTTTCAGAAGGATTGGTATCAGCTCCTCTTTGTACCTCTGGTAGAATTTGGCTGTGAATCTGTCTGGTCCTGGGCTTTTTTTTGGTTGGTAGGCTATTAATTACTGCCTCAATTTCAGAACTTGTTATTGGTCTATTCAGGGATTCAACTACTTCCTGGTTTAGTCTTGGGAGGGTGTATGTGTCCAGGAATTTATCTATTTCTTCTAGATTTTCTAGTTTATTTGTGTAGAGATGTTTATAGTATTCTGTGATGGTAGTTTGTATTTCTGTGGGATCAATGGTTATATCCACTTTATCATTTTTTATTGTGTCTATTTGATTCTCTCTCTTTTCTTCTTTATTATTCTGGCTAGCAGTCTATTTTGTTAATCTTTTCAAAAAACCAGCTTCCAGATTCATTGATTTTTTGAAGGGTTTTTCGTGTCTCTATCTCCTTTAGTTCTGCTCTAATCTCACTTATTTTTTGTCTTCCGCTAGCTTTTGGATTTGTTTGCTCTTGCTTCTCTACTTCTTTTAATTGCGATATTAGGGTTTTGATTTTAGATCTTTTCTGCTTTCTTCTGTGGGCATTTAGTGCTATAAATTTCCTTCTAAACACTGCTTTAGCTGTGTCCCAGAGATTCTGGTACATTGTGTCTTTATTCTCATTGGTTTCAAAGAACTTAATTATTTCTGCCTTAATTTCAATATGTACCCAGTAGTCATTCAAGAGCAGGTTGTTCAGTTTCCATGTAGTTGTGAGGTTTTGAGTGCATTTCCTAATCCTGACTTCTAATGTGATTGCACTGTGGTCTGAGAGACTGTTTGTTACAATTTCCATTCTTTTGCATTTGCTGAGGAGTGTTTTACTTCCAATGATGTGGTCAATTTTAGAATAAGTGTGATGTGGTGCCGAGAAGAATGTATATTCTGTTGATTTGGGGTAGAGAGTTCTGTAGATGCCTATTAGGTCCGCTTGGCCCATAGCTGAGTTCAAGTCCTGAATATCCTTGTTAACTTTCTGTCCGTTGATCTTCTAATATTGACAGTGGGGGTGTTAAAGTCTCCCACTGTTATTGTGTGGGAACTTAAGTCTCTTTGTAGGTCTCAAAGAACTTGCTTTATGAATCTGGGTGCTCCTGTTTTGGGTGCATATATATATTTAGGATAGTTAGCACTTCTTGTTGCATTCATCCCTTTACCATCATGTAATGCCCTTCTTTTCTTTTTTGATCTTTGCTGGTTTAAAGTCTGTTTTATCAGAGACTAGGATTGCAACCCCTGCTTTTTTTTTTTTTGCTTTCCATTTGCTTGGTAAAGATTCCTCCATCCCTTTATTTTGAGCCTATGTGTGTCTTTGCACGTGAGATGGGTCTCCTGAATACAGCACACCAATGGGTCTTGACTCTTTATCCAATTTGCCAGTCTGTGTCTTTTAATTGGGGCATTTAGCCCATTTAAATTTAAGGTTAATATGGTTATGTGTGAATTTGATCCTGCCATTATGATGCTAGCTGGTTAATTTGCCTGTTAGTTGATGCAGTTTCTTCATAGTGTCAATGGTCTTTACAATTTGCTGTGTTTTTGCAGGGGCTGGTACCGGTTTTTCCTTTCCATATTTAGTGCTTCTTTCAGGAGCTCTCGTAAGGCAGGCCTGATGGTGACAAAATCTCAGCATTTGCTTGTCTGTAAAGGATTTTATTTCTTCTTCGCTTATGAAGGTTATTTTGTCTGGATATGAAATTCTGGGTTGAAAATTCTTTTCTTTAAGAATGTTGAATATTGGCCCCCACTCTCTTCTTGCATGTAGGGTTTCTGCCAAGAGATCTGCTGTTAGTCTGATGGGCTTCCCTTTGTCTCTGACTGCCCTTTCTTTGTCTCTGACTGCTTCCCTTTCTCTCTGACTGCCTTTAACAGTTTTTCCTTCATTTCAACCTTGGTGAATCTGATGATTATGTGTCTTGGGGTTGCTCTTCTCAAAGAATATCTTTGTGGTGTTCTCTATATTTCCTGAATTTGAATGTTGGCCTGACTTGCTAGGTTTTGGAAGTTCTCCTGGGTAATATTCTGAAGAGTGTTTTCCAGCTTGGTTCCATTCTCCCCATCACTTTCAGGTACACCAAACAAACATAGGTTTGGTCTTTTCGCATAGTCCCATATTTCTTGGAGGCTTTGTTTGTTCCTTTTCATTCTTTTTTCTCTAACCTACTGTTCACTCTTTATTTCATTAAGTTGATCTTCAATCCCTGATATCCTTTCTTCCGCTTGATTGATTCAGCTCCCTCAGGGTGGGTTCTGCTGAGCTAGACCACTTGGTTCCCTGGCTTCAGCCTCCTTTTCAGGGGAGTGAACGGTTCTGTCTCGCTGGCATTCCAGGCACCACTGTGGTATGAAAAAAAACTCCTGCAGCTAGATCGGTGTCTGCCCAAATGGCTGCCCACTTTTGTGCTTGAAACCCAGGGCCCTGGTGGTGTGGGCACCCGAGGGAATCTCCTGGTCTGTGGGTTGCAAAGACCGTGGGAAAAGCATAGTATCTGGGCTGGAGTGCACCATTCCTCAAGGCACAGTCCCTCAGAGCTTCCCTTGGCTAGGGGAGGGAGTTCCCTGACTCCTTGTGCTTCCCGGGTGAAGCAATGCCCCAACCTGCTTCAGCTCACCCTCCGTGGGCTGCATCCACTGTCTAACCAGTCCCAATAAGATGAGCCAGGTACCTCAGTTGGAAATGCAGAAATCACCTGCCTTTTGCATCGATCTCACTGGGAGCTGCAGACCAGAGCAGTTCCCATTCCTTTTTTTTTTTTTGAGACAGAGTCTCACTGTGTCACCCAGGCTGGTGTGCAGTGGCATGATCTCAGCTCACTGCAACCTGTTCCTCCCAGGTTCAAGTGATTCTCTGGCCTCAGGTTCCTGAGTAGCCAGGATTACAGGTGCCTGCCACCACACCTGGCTAACTTTTGTATTTTTAGTAGAGATGGGGCTTTGTCATGTTGGCCAGGCTGGTCTTGAACTCCTGACCTCAGGTGATCCACCCACCTTGGCTTCCCAATGTGCTGGGATTACAGGGGTGAGCTACTGTACCTGGCCTCTGATGGTTTTATAAGGCAGTTTTCCCTGCTTTTGCTAACTCTCTCCTGCTCTTGCTAACTCTCTCCTACTGCCATGTGAAGAAGGTCTTTGCTTTCCCTTTGCCTTCTGCCATGATTGTAAGTTTCCTGAGGCCTCCTCAGCCATGCAGAACTGTGAGTCAATTAAACCTCTTTTCTTTATAAATTACCCAGTCTCAGCAGTTCTTTATAGCAGTATGAAAACAGACTTATACAATGGGGGACCCAGGATGGCGGAGGAGAGGAGGGGTAGGATTATCCAAGATAGTTCTAGGAGGAAAGCAGGTGCACATTGTACTTTGAAGGACAAGGTTAATTCCTGTTAGTGGCTAGTGAGAAAAGAGCATGGGCAGTGGGGGAATAGTTTCAGCAAATGTATGCAGGCAGGAGTGAACATAGTTTATAGCACAAGGCAGAGGAAACTATCCTGGTTAGAGCAGGTGGGCTACTTTGGGGAGGGACTTTGCAATAAAACCTCTGGGGGCAAGACTTTGGACTGGCTTCAGTAGGACTTAGGCATCAGCTCAAGTTCTTGAGCAGGAAAGTGAGATGATGAATGTGGTGACTAAGGAAGATTAAAATGCAAGGTACACAGTTCAGTGCCACGGACAGGACTTGAACAATGTACATGACACAGCTATATAGATTAGGTCTTCATAACAAGGGGCTCTCCAACACAGTCATTGTCCAAGTCTCTCCTTTGGCACTAGGTATTAAAACAAAAGGCTGTCATTCAAAATGTAGCTAACACAAAAGGTAGATTTTTTTTTTTTCCCTTTTCTGGCTTAGTGAGTTTAACTGACACTGTATTACTTTTCTGGAAAACTACTGCCCACAAATAAAACCTATGAGTGTTTGTGTGTCCACCACAAAGCTTGTGTAAGGTGCTATGCTATTTTGTCAGTGTTGATGGTGGGTCCCTCTAACAGAGCTCTGCCATCTGCTCCTGAATCCCTCAGCAGGTGCTAGAAAGGTCTGAGGAGCCTCAGGGCATGAATGTCTAGAATTGGCCTGGGTGCCGGGTTCCATGTAGACCTGTAGTAGATGAACTCCTCTTCAGAGACAAGCCGAGAGCGTGGAAGCCGGGTTTCACTTGTTTTTTTATAAAATTGGCAAATCAAACTTTGACTGGTGCAGTGGCTCACGCCAGTAATCCCAGCACTTTAAGAGGCCAAGGCGGGTGGATCACTTGAGGTGAGGAGTTGGAGACCAACCTGGCCAACATCACGAAACCCCATCTCTACTAAAAATACAAAAATTAGCTGGGCATGGTTGTGCACACCTATAGTCCCAGCTACTCAGGGGGCTGAGACAGGAGAATTGCTTGAATTCAGGAAGTGGAGGTTGCAGTGAGCTTAGATGGCACTACTGCCCTCCAGCCTGCGTGACAGAGTGAGACTCTGTCTCAAAAAAAAAAAAAGAAAAGAAAAAACCTTAAACACACGTAAGTGAACTTACCCCCAGGGCTCAATGAATAAGGGAGTGGGAGAAAGGTGAATCCAGCTGCTCAGGTGCTAAGTGGTCATCTGGGATGGCAGAATAGGTGACAGTGCAAACCAGTGGTTCCTCCATGTCCACCCTGCGAAAGGCTCTGTACCAGGTACGGGAAGATGCAAAGCTGGCTGGGCCCAAGTCCCTGCTCTCAAGTGGGGAAGCCACAGCTACAGCTCCTCAGATGTCACCTCTTCTAGGACCCTTCTATCCCATTCAGGTGCCTCACTGGGACCCCACAGGCTCACCTGTTGATACTGAGCACGCTGCTTGCTGCACTGGATGGTCATTTGCTGACTTCTGTCTTCCTATGCTCCTTCTATTGCATCACTGCTGGGACCTATGTTTTACACAATTGACTGTCCGGTGAAATAGGGGAAGTGAATTTAAATCTAGGTGAGAGGGCGAATGAAAAATTTTGAGGTGCACTTGAAAAAAGCCAAACTCATACAAATGGAGAGTAGAAGAATGGTTACCAGGGGTCAAGGGGTTGGAGAAATAGGGAAATGTTAGTCAAAGCGTACAAACTTGTAGTTAGTTCCAAGATGAGTAAGTTCTGGAGACTTAATATACAGCACAGTGACTATAGTTCATGTATACCTGAAATTTGCTAAGGGAGTTGATATGGTTTGGCTGTGTTCCCACCCAAATCTCATATTGAATTGTTGTTCCCATAATCCCCACATGTCATGGGAGGGACCCAGTGGGAGGTAATTGAATCATCAGGGTGGTTACCTCCATGCTTTTCTCTTGATAGTGAGTGAGTTCTCATGAGATCTGATGGTTTTATAAGGGGCTTTTCCCCACCTTCACTCTGCAGTTATCCTTGCTGCTGCCATGTGAAGAAAGATGTATTTGCTTCCTCTTTTGCCATGATTGTAAGTTTCCTGAGGCCTCCCCAGCCTGCAGGACTGTGAGTCAATTAAACCTCTCTCTTTTATAAATTACCCAGTCTTGGGCATGTCCTTACAGCAGCATGAGAATAGACTAATACAGTCAATTTGTACCAGGAGTGGGGTCCTACTATAAAGGTACTTGAAAATGTGGGAGCGACTTTGGAACTGCACAACACGCAGAGGTTGGAACAGTCTGGAGGGCTCAGAATAAGATAGGAAAATGTGGGAGAGTTTGGAACTTCCTAGAGACTTGTTGAATGGCTTCGACCAAAATGTTGATAGTGATATGGACAATAATGTCCAGGCTGAGGTGGTCTCAGATGGAGATAGGGAACTTGTTGGAACTGGAATAAAGGTCACTCTTGCTATGCAAAAAGACTGGTGGCATTTTGCCCCTACCCCAGAGATTTGTGGAACTTTGAACTTGACAGAGATGATTTAGACTATCTGGTGCAAGAAATTTCTACATGGCAAAGCATTCAAGAAGAAGCAGAGCATAAAAGTTTGGAAAATTTGCAGCCTGACAATGTGGTAGAAAAGAAAAACCCATTTTCTGGGGAGAAATTCAAGCCTGCTACAGAAATTTGCAAAAGTAATGAGGAATCCAACGTTAATCACCAAGACAATGGGGAAAATGTCTCCAGGGCATGTCAGAGACCTTCATGGAAGCCCATCTCATCACAAGTCTGGAGGCCTAGAAGGGAAAGGTGCTTTCATGGACCAGGCCCAGGGCCCCGCTTCTCTGTGCAGCCTCAGGACATGGTGCCCTGCATCACAGCTGCTTCGGCTCCAGCCATGGCTAAAAGCGGCCAAGGTACAGCTCCAGCCATTGCTTCAGAGGGTGCAAGCCTTAAGCCTAGGCAGCCTTCACATGGTGTTGGTTCTGGGGGGCACAGAAGACAAGAATTGAGGTTTGGGAACCTCTGCCTAGATTTCCGAGGATGTATGGAAATGCCTGAATGTCCAGGCAGAAGTTTGCTGCAGGGACAGAGCCCTCATGGAGAACCTCTGCTAGGGCAGTGTGGAAGGGAAATATGAGATTGGAGGCCCCACAGAAAGTCCCCACTGGGACACTGCCTAGTGGAGCTGTGAGAAGAGGGCCACTGTACTCCAGACCCCAGAATGGTAGATCCACTGACAGCTTGCACCATGTGCCTTGAAAAGCCACAGGCACTCAATGCCAACCTGTGAAAGCAGCTTGGAGTGGGGGGTGCACCCTGCAAAGCCACAGGGGCAGAGCTGCCTAAGGCTGTGGAAGCCCACCTATTGCATCAGTGTAACCTGGAGGTGAGACATGGAGTCAAAAGAAATATTTTCAAACTTTAAGGTTTAATGACTGTCCTATTAAATTACAGACCTGGGTGGAGCCTGTGGTCCTTTTGTTTTGGCCGATTTCTCCCATTTGGAATGGCTGTATTTACCTAATGCCTTTACCCCCATTGTATCTAGGAAGTAACTAACTTGCTTTTGATTTTACAGGCTCATAGGAGGAAGGGACTTTCCTTGTCTCAGATGAAACTTTGGACTTGGACTTTTGAGTTAATGCTGGAATGAGTTAAGACTGGGGGACTGTTGGGAAGGCATGATTGTGTTTAGAAATGTGAGAACATGAGATTTGGGAGGGGCTGGGGTGGAATGACAATGGTTTGGCTGTGTCACCACCCAAATCTCAACCTGTAGTTCTCATAATCCCCATATGTTGTGTGAGGAGCCCGGTGAAAGGTAATTGAATCATGGGGCTGGTTACCTCCATGCTGTTCTCATTATAGTGCATTCTCATGAGATCTTATAAGGGGCTTTTCCCCACTCCCCTTTGCTCTGCACTTCTCCATGCTGCTACCATATAGGAATAGATCTTATAGATACCTTAATTAGCTTGATTGTGTAATCATTTCACAATGTATATATATTTATCAAAAATCACATGGTCCATACAATTTTTATTTGTCAGTTATATCTCAATAAAGCTGGAGGAAAATAATTTGGAGTTACCTTGGGACCATTTGCTTTCCTAAGAGAAGTGATTCACAAAACATTCTCCAGCAGCTCAGAAGGAAGCCACCTAGAGTGTTTCTGGACTCCAGGGTGGTTGTGGGACTCTGGGAAACTACAGCCACCAACAGGTGCATGGATGCCCAGCTGTCTGGACCAGATGGACAGTGGGTCAGAACTACTAGGAGGAAACGCCAATCACTTCTTACCCTCTCACTCCTCAGGGAGGAGAATGCCACCATAATCCCAATGGCCTTGGTCCTCCTTGGGCTGGGAGTGGGGAGTGGCTTAGGATGATGGTGACGGCCACTGTGTAAATATTGCCCCTCACTCTACTGGTCAGTGTACATTATGGCACCAAGTCTTAGGTTCTCATACTTGACCAGGTGACAACACGGTATTTGACAAGGAAAAAGACAAAAGATGATAGACTGCCACCTGGTTTAAGTGTGGTCATTGGTGGGCTTCTGTGTATTGTCACACGAAAAATCATATTTACCTCCTTCCTCCATATGCTCTCAGTTCTTCCTTGCCCTCTCTGTTCTTTCACCTTATTCTAGAAGACACTTTTAGTTGGCTGGACAATAATAGACTAACTGTATGGGTGATGAAAAATGAAATCTCACATTCCATTCTCTAATGTTAAGTTCACTCTATTATGTTGGCATAATGAGTTGACACAAGAAACAGAGTGCTCACACACTCATACCAGGCAGTAGTGGTTACTTAGCAACAAACTGGAAACTGTGTTAAGTAGGTCTTGTTTGTGTCCAGGTTCATGTGCTATAAAGAGCTGGAGTCACTGTTGAATGTGGATGGACATTTTGTGCATGCATTGAGTTCTCCAGGTTCTATTGCAATGTAGTTACCTAACAAAGAGTTTGAAAGGCTGTAGTATTCCTGAAACTGTTTCATGGTTCTAGAGCTAATTTTAAGAGGAACTAATCTTATCTGCTTATACTTGTCATTAATATACTCTTTGAGTTAGAACAATTTTCCTGGAGTAGCATAGAATAGCTATTCTTAAGATCTGTCTTAGTTTCTAAATTCATCAATCCCTCCTATTTTCTGTTGCTTCAGTGATCTTAGTGAACATGCTTTATTTCCATTTTACCTCCTGCAGTAGAGGCTCAGAGAGGAGAAGAACAGGTCCAAGGTCACATAGCTAGTGAGGGGCAGGACTAGGATTAAGCCTGAAATCCGCCCACTCTGTTATGTCTATGGTATTTGTAGGAGGTTTCTGGTTTGAGACTTAAACCATTAGAGTGTGTCTCCTAAAAGATGGCAGCAAGGGTGTTCTTGGGTGTCTGTGATGTATGTTATCACTCTCCCAAACTTCAGCATCAAATGATCACTGTTCTGGCAGCCTTTCTCTCTGGATCAAGATGTAGGAGGGAATAAAGCCAGACTAGTCTCCACTGTATACCCTGCCTGCTGTGTCACTGGTGTCTTATTAGTATGTGCTGAATGAATGAATGAATGAATGGTTCTAATCCCATTCACTGCCAAGGTTTAAGCTTGCTATGAAAACTGAAGCAGAACATATGGTTTCTGTTACCCAATACTCAGGAGATTCTTTTTCTGCAAATGACACTACTTTTGCATGTTACTAGAGAATTATAAGTTCTCATTGTTCAAATTATTGTTCTCAATAATTATTGTGGTGACACAGGGAGAGAAACAGAGCTGCCCCCTCTTATGAAACTGAGCCAGTGTGAGTCAGGAAGGAGCATCAGCAGGTATTGTGGTGAAACAGGTGGCAGCGGACTGCCAATAGTTCTGTTTGCCAAGACAAACGCTATCCTAGGGCATGGCTTTAACGATCTCTGCATAGTCTTGCTGAGAAATTGTGTAGAAGCATTTGTAAATTGGTTCACTCCGTTTCATCCTGAATGTGAGCCGTTCTGACATAGGCTGACTTCTGAGGCATTTTGAGTTTTTGGGGCCATGGCATCTATTTATAAGCTGGGTCTCCAAATATAAAGGAACAGAAGCCCTGCGTCGCCTCTCTCTCCAAGCCACATCCTGGGGCAGCGCCCTCCTCGTGTGCATCCTGTCTCTCCAGTTGTACCCAGATGTGAGGTTAGAGAAATCTGTGCTAGTCGACCATCATTCACTCTCTAATCATCTATTCATTAAATATTTCTTCTTTTCAAAAATCTCTCTCATAATAAATAGTCATCAACTTCTTGCCAAGTGCCAGACACTAATGGGAGAAGTAAAAATGAGAAAGTCATTTTTCACAGTGAAGAAGCCCCACTCATGGGACACAGTGTCTTTGTCTCTGGGGCCAATTGTCTTGAAGATTTACTGGCAAAAGAGGGGCCTTTACCACTCAGCAATGCAAACAACTTAATATTGAATATTAGACATCACCATCCTTAAGTATTTTTTTTTTTTTTTTGAGACAGAGTCTTGCTCTGTCACCCAGGCTAGAGTGCCGTGGCACAATCTCAGCTCACTGCAAACTCTGCCTCCTGGGTTTAAGAGATTCTCCAGCCTCAGCTTCCTGAATCGCTAGGACTACAGGCATGCATCACCATGCCTCGCTAATTTATTTTTATTTTCATTTGTGATATCTAAAAATATTTATTCATTTTTAAAAAAATTTCCCCCATAGGTTATGGGGGTACAGGTGGTGTTTGGTTACATAAGTTCTTTAGTGGTGATTTGTGAGAGTTTGGTGCACCCATCACCTGAGTGGCACTGCACCTTTTTTGTCATCTTTTATCCCTTGCACTCCTCCCCACAAGTTCCCAAAGTCCATTGTATCATTCTTATGCCTTTGAGTCCTCATAGCTTAGCTCCCACATATCAGTGAGAACATACGATGTTTGGTTTTCCATCCCTGAGTCACTTCACTTAGAATAACAGTCTCCAATCTCATCCAGGTTGCTGCGAATGCCATTAATGCACTCCTTTTTATGGCTGAGTAGTATTCCATTGTATTTATATATACTACAGTTTCTTTATCCACTCATCAATTGATGGGGGTTGGTTCCACGATTTTGCAATTGCTGCTATAAACATGAGTGTGCAAGTATCTTTTTCATATAGTGACTTCTCTTCCTCTGGGTAGATACCCAGTAGTGGGATTGCTGGATCAAATGGTAGCTCCACTTTTAGTTCTTTAAGGAATCTCCACACTGTTTTCCATGGTGGCTGTACTAGTTTCATTCTCACCAGCAGTGCAGAAGTGTTCGCTGCTCACTGCATCCATGCCAACATCTACTGTTTTTTGATTTTGTGATTATGGCCATTCTTGCAGGAGTAAGGTGATATCACATTGTGATTTTGATTTGCATTTCCCTGATCATTAGTGATGTTGAGCATTTTTTCATATGTTTCTTGGCCATTTGTAAATCTTCTTTTGGGAATTGTCTATTCATGTCCTTAGCCCACTTTTTAATGGAATTATTTTTTGTATTTTTAGTAGAGATAGGGTTTCAACATGTTGGCCATGCTGGTCTTGAACTCTTGACTTCAAGTGATCTGCCTGCCTCAGCCTTCCAAAGTGCTGGGATTACAGATGTGAGCCACTGCACCCAGCCACCATCCTTAATTCTTTCCACTGTGATGCCTTCCTTGTGTTTTGGGCATCTTCTTTCCCTCACAGGGAAAGACTTTTATCTCTGCCTCCTGATGACTCAGGGAATATCTTGATGGCCAAAGATTCATTCATGCAACCTCCTTGAACAGCAAACAGTTACCTTAGGTGTGATTCCCTGCCCTTCCAGTCTTTTATAAGGGAAAGGAGTTAATGGTATTAAGATTTAATTTATTCATGGATTTAAGTTATATCACACACTTTCTCATCCCTTCCCACTCCTGCCCTGACCCTTAGAAGTAATTTCTGAGTAACTACAACCAGTTTTGGTTTTAAGCCACATATATTTGCATTATATGCAGCTGTACTTAACAGTCTGTATGTGTAGTTTCTTGTCTTAGATCATAAGCTCATCTAGGCAAGGGTTGTACCTCATTTAGATGCCTTTTGTTCTGTCTTAGTTCCAAGCATGGTGCTAAGTGTGTAGAGCAAAGCTTTAGGAATGTTTTTGCTAGATCGAAACAGGGTTTGCATTGGGGTTGAATAAAGGGTTCATTTCCTTTATGCAACAGAGGAGAGCATGCAGGACAGGAACTAAAAACAGCCTTCAACTCTGCTTGTTGAAGAAACTGATGAATAAAGCTGGGATAAAATGCTCAGAGAAATAACAAGTGGGTGGCATGGCCAGGTTCTACCCCAACTAGGAGTAGTAAGGCCAGAGGCAACTGGGCAGCGCTATTCCCCTTCATAGTTTTGAAATTCAAATTCCAAAGCAAACAAAATATTGTACTGGCCTAAGAAACCGAGAACCCCATCCTCAGAAACCAAGGGGTGAGGGAAGTTTTCTCTTCCTTGGAATGAACAATAATATTAGCAAACCCTTTGCTATAGTTCGGCTGTTTGTCCCCTCTAAAACTCATGTTGAAGTTTGGTCCACAATGTTGGAGGTGGGGCCTAATGGGAGGTATTTGTTCAGTGGGGTGGATCACTCACAAATGGCTTGGTGACATGCATGTGGTAATGAGTTCTTACTGTATTAGTTCCTGTCAAAGCTGGTCGTTCAAAAGAGCCTGGCATCTTTCCTCTCTCTCTTGCTTCCTCTCATGTGATCTCTGCACACATGGGCTCCCCTTTGCCTTCTGCCATGAGTGGGAGCAGTCTGAGGCCTTCACCAAAAGCAGATGCATGTGCCATGCTTCTTGTACAGCCTGCAGAACTGTGAGCCAGATAGACCTCTTTCCTTTATAAATCATCCAGCCTCAGGTATTCCTTTATAGCAACACAGATGGACCAAGACATCCTTAGGATAACACTTTCTATGCTGCAAATGCTGTCCTCAACATTGGACTTGTACTGACTCATTTAATCCTCATCAACTCTACGAGAGTCAGTTATTTACTCCTTTTCACTTCTTTTAAAACTGTTTATTTGCTTGCTCTGTAAGGATGGAAACATTTTCCAGAATAATGAAAGAAAGAAGAAGAAATTAGCTTTTTGGAGACAGGCACTATGTTCCCAACTTGTGACCCCAGGGTTGGCTACATAATTTGTGGGGCCCAGTGCAAAATAAAAATGTGAGTTTCCTTGCTCAAAAAGCAAAACAAGAAAAAAAATCATTAGAGATACTAAAATAGAAAGCATTTTCCTTTCTTCCCTGGTCTCTCTCTCTCAGCTTTTCATGTATATTTTATATATTATTTAATGCTGTAAGTAAAGAAAACTTATTAGCATGAATTTCAGCATTCATCTTTATGTTATGCAATGCCATTTTTAAATGCAAACATGAATGCATTAAACTTGTTTATGGAACCACGGAATTTTGTAGTTTGCATGTGCCTATGTACTTTATTTTTACCAGGACAGTGTTTGAAATGCTGCCAAAAACAAGCTAATCTGTTTTCCTTTCACTTCTTGATATGTGCACGTTTCATCAGCACTCTTTGCCTTCCTGTTGAGGGGAGTAGGGAGGACTGAAAGGAACAGGAGCTCTGGGGCCCTTCTCTCCCCTTTCCTTCTAAGTCATCTTCAGTGGGTGTGGTTGGCCAATGCAGGGAAGCAGCACCAGTAAGGAAGGATGTGATGGGGCATCTTGCCATGGTGTGGGTTAGAATACCATTGCCTTCTTTCTGTATTTGAAGCAAGTCTCCTAGTTTGAATAGAAATTTCGGGCTCTGGGCAGAACACAGTTACCTTGGACTCACTTTGAGCCTCTCTGAACTGCCATGCCTGTGGGTCCCCAGAACTCCATGTTCATGGAGCATCGTGAACACTCTCTGTAACTGGCAGCAAGGAAGGGTGAACGCGACTTGTACCTCCTTCCTCTGCTCACAGACATGTTCTAGCATCCCATAGGACTTCACTTGCAAAACACAAGTTCAAAGATAAAATTGTTGAGAATTTCAAGATGGCCACAACAGGAAACCAAGCTCAGGGCCCCTCTGAGCTCCGGACCCTGTACAACTGCCCAGGTCATTTACCTATGCAGCTGGCCTGGCCATAGGAAGTACTCAATAAATACTTGGTTAATGAATAAACAAATGTCACTTCTTAAGCACAGGCCTCGTTAACCAAAGCTCAATCTACTAATGGTAGACAACACAGATATATTAATCCCTCAGTTAATTCTGTTTAAAAAAACTCCGAGCCAAGAGTTTTAATCTTTTCCTTTTATTTATTTATTTGTTTTTGAGACATAGTTTCACTCTGTTGCTCAGGCTGGAGAGCAGTGGCAGGATCTCGGCTCACTGCAACCTCCTCCTGGGTTCAAGTGATTCTAGTGCCTCAGCCTTCCCAGTAGCTGCGATTACAGGTGCACACCACCACATCCGGCTAATTTTTGTATTCTTAGTAGAGACAGGGTTTCACTATGTTGGGCAGGGTGGTCTCGAACTCCTGACCTCAAGTGATCTGCCTGCCTCAGCCTCCCAAAGTGCTGGGATAACAGGTGTGAGCCATCGAGCCTGGCCTAATCTTCTTTTCTTATATGAGATTGGTTAATCAGCTGCAATTCTGAGTAGATTTGAGTTTCATCAATTCCATTTTTTTGCTAGACAGAAGGGGATGGGAACTGATGAGGCATGAAGAATTCATGTTTGGAGGAGCAGATTCCTGCAAGGGAAATATTAATTCTTGTTGCATATGAAATTTGATATATTAATAACCAGTAAGGTTCAGAAGAGCTTGTATGAATGAAAATGCTGAGGAAACAGTACTTCAAAAGTTTGAGGGTCTGGTGGGCTGTATCTGCATGCCCTGGGCTTTCCTAGGGGGATCTAGTACTAATGCCAAGGGGACTGAATGCCATTTACAGGGGCTGATTTCAGCCCCTGTAATGCAGTTTTCTCAAAAAAGGTAAGTGGGGAAGAAATCAAGTAACAGATGCCTGGAGTCCTAATTGCATTTCATCTCTCTACTAAATGAAGTGAATTGTTGATTAAGAAATTCAGATTTACACTGCATTTATTCATTCAACCAGCATTTGTCATCTGCCTACTGTATGCCAGGCACTGCTTTAGGTGCTGGGGCTTTGAAGCAAAATTCAGCCAAGTCCTTGTCCTCCAGAAGCCCTCAGTATACCCTGAGATGAGAACTGAAATGATGATTGGGTTGGGATGAGAGAGGTGTGTATCCCTGCCATCTCCTAGTGCCTTTGGTAAAATGACCACAGACATCCAGAGTATTTGGATGTTGGAGGAAGTCATTTTACCCTACAGAGGTTGAGGAAGCTGCAATTGTCATGGCAACAGATTAAACGGAGCTGAAACTCTCGGGTGTGAGTGCCCCAGCTGTGAGCACTGCCTCCTCCTCTTCTGCCTAAGTTCTAGCCTGACTGATTCTCGCTTACTGCAGAAGCCATTTTCCTGGATGTGGGATTTGCCTGGCAAGGGGCTGCTGGGAAGGCGAGAGGGTAGTAGAGATACTACAGGTTCACATAGAATAATAAGCGGAAAGCCTAACATTTATTGGACTCCCCTGCCCCAAGGTGCCAGGCCCTGTGCTATGCTTGTGGCCTTATCTCATCTGATATTCACAGTAGCTGCATGGGTGGGAGTCCTTTTTCCTCCACTATACAGATGAGGAAACTGAGGCTTAGATGGGCTACAGATAGATTGTCCTGTCAGATCCCAAAGCCAGCACTTTTAATGACAGATTACAGTGGCTCTGAAATGCAGGTCCGGTGTATGTGGAAGGTGCAGGGTGGAATGGCTAAAATGCAGATTCTTAAGCCCAGCTGTGGACCTACTAATTACAATGTCTGGGGGTGAGGCCTAGGAATCAGAACACAAAGAGGTCCTGGAGGGTTCCTTGTCCAAGTGAGGACTAGAGGGCGGGAGCCACTTGTTCCAGGTTCCAGGGCTAACCAGTTAGGATTAGGATCCAGGCCTTCTATGCCAGCTCAGTGGGCTTAGAGCAGGTGCTGTGGGGTTTTCTCAGGGAACCAGAACAGGATAAGGTGGGTCCAGCCACTGAAAGTTATCTTTCATTTATGATCACAAGGCTCTATCGAACTGGTGCTCCAATCAAGAAAAAGAAAAGGGAAAATCCCTAAATGGTGCTTATCATATTTTCCTTCCAGCATTTGTCGGCAAGGCCAACCCACTTCCCAGCCTAGTCACCAGGGCAACCATCACCCCCACCTTGACAGACAAGTGCAAATGCAGCTTCTTGCACCCACATCCAGGGCCACGGGACCCAGCCCTATAATCAGTCTCCCGCTGCCTCTGCAGGCAGCCAGCAGCGACAGTCACACACACTCCCTGCACTCCGAGCCCATCACCCCATCACGGTTCTACAGGCACCCCCTCCCCACGCTCACACAGCGCGTTCTGCTTCCCTCGCCCACTGCCTCCCAGGAGACAAATGTGCAATCTGCTCCTGGCGCGTATCATCACCTCTGGAGGGAGGAATCTGCCCTCGAGTCGAGGCACAGCCCAACACACACAGCCCACACATGAGAAAAAAACACCCCTTCCCGGAGAAGTGGAGTGGTGGCAGCGAACCCCCTCTCCCCTTCCAGAGACAGCTGAGGGGGCGGCGGAGTTTAGGAAGAGTTTGCAAAGTGACGAGCACATGAGCGGCTGGCTGAGGCAGCTGATGGGGAGGCTAGTGGCGGGGCGGGTTGGGAGTGGGGGAAGGTGGGCGGCCACAGCCTGTTGCTAATGAAGCAGCTCGGGCTGCCATGCGAGATCAGAGCCCCTTACCTGGCTGCAGACACCTGGAGTCCCACCCAGCAGAAAGTGAAGCTGGGCTCCCTCTTCAAGGTCCCTGCTAGAGCAGTTTCATGAGACCAGGCTGCCGGGGACATGGACCCTCTGTCAGGACTTCAAACAAACAAAGCCAGCTCCTTGGGTCCAGGGTGCCTACCCAAGTGCCTGCCCGCTATACTGTGCTCACCTGAGCTCCCTCCTCAACTGCTGGAGCCCACCTGTGCTTCTGACCAGCTTTACCATGGCCTCTGTTCCAGATGCCTCAGCTGTTCCCCTCACTGACTCCTTTCCCCCTTCTCACCTGTCTTGCACACATCCTGGGCATCTCAGAGTCTCTGGGTTTCCCCTGTCTCCTAGGCTCAGAGCCATCTGCCCAGACTGCAGGGATCAGGGCTGCTGTCTTCATGACCCTCCTTCCTCAGGTGCCTGCAGCCTGAGGCCGACCCCTTCAGGCTCCTCCATCCACTTCCTGGCTGGAGGCAGCCCTCCTCCTGAGGGGTTGAGCCCCAGAGGCTGCTGAGCCAGGTGAGACCATTCCAGTGCAAGGGAGTTAATCCCTAAGAAGCCAACTCTGACCAATGGGAGGTGGCAGGAAGCCTGACAGGCCTCCTTCCCATGGACAGTTCCCAGGCCTGCCTCGAGATGTCCTGTGTGGCCGGGTATCTGGCAGTGCCTATTGGTAAACTGAGGCCTGGTGGGCAGCACAGTGCCCTGTATTTGCTTCCCTTCTTGCCCCATCTCACTGCCCTCTCCCTCACCCCAGCTGCCCTGCGATTGTACCCCCCCGCCCCCGCACCGCCCCCTCCGACCGCCAGGCAGCATTAACACCTAAGCTTCACTGCAGTCTGCTTTCTAGGTAAGCCAGCTACGTTGGCACTCAGATTTAAATAAAACAGAATTCTTGCTCTGTCTTATCTAGCCTAATTCCCTTATTTGACAGAGGGAGCTGAGGCTCAGAGAAGTTAAGCGGAGGAGCTATGTCTGTTCATTACTGTAACAAATAGTTAACAAGCATCTGTTATGTGCCAGGCATGATTCTAGGCACTGGCAATGCAGTGGTGAATAAAATGGACAAAAATCCCTGCCTTTATGGAACATAGCATTCTATAAGAGGAGAAAAAGACCATAGACAAAGTGAATAAGTAAAATATTCAGAATGGTAGAGTGATCATTGCTGGTGGTGGCGATGCTGGGTGTCATGGGCTGAATTGTGTCCCTCTCAAAATTCATATGTTGAGGCTCTAACCCTTAGTATCTGATTGTGACTATATTTGGAGATAGGGCCTTTAAAGAGGTAATTAAGTTAAAATGGGCCCTAATCCAATAGGACTGTGTCTTCATAAGAAATTTGGACACAAAACCAGGGAGGTCTATACCCAGAGAAAAGACCATGTGAGGCCCTGGCAGGAAGGCAGCCACAGGGGTCAAGCCATCCTGCAGATGCCTTCATCTTGGACTTCCAGCTTTCAGAACTGTGAGAAAATACATTTCTGTTGTTTAAGCCACCTAGTAAGTGGTATTTTGTTTTGGCAGCCCTAGCAAACTAATACAGTGGGATTTTAATTTCATGAAAGGCATCCCAAGTTGGCCTCATCGAGAAGATGACATTTGAGTAAAACCCTAAAGGAGGTGATGGAATGAGTTATTTGAAAATCTAAGGGAAAAACATTCTAGGCAGAGGGACTAGGCTCAATGGCTCTGATCTGGATCATACCTTGAGTGTTGGAAGAATAGCAAGGGAGCCAGTATTCATGAAGGAAGCAGAATGGGTGAGGGAGAAAAGGGAGGACATGAGATCAGAGGGTGAGGGCATGTGGAAGGACATTCTCCACATGAGATGGAGAGAATTGCAGGGTTTGGGGTGGGAAGGAGGAATTTTGTCTCCAGGGGACATTTAGCAATCTCTAGAAACATTTTTTATCATCACAGCGGTGGAAAAGAGGGTGGAGTAGCAGTATGACACTAAGTGGGTAGAGGGTACCTTTCAATGCACAGGACAGTGTTTTCCTCCCCTCCCCAGCAATTACCGGGCCCACAGTGTCTGTGGTGTCAAGGTTAAGAACCCTGGTTTCAAGCTCATGGTGACTAGGTCTGACTTTTGTGTTAATAGGTTCACGTTGGCTATGTTGGGGACAACTTTAGAAGAGGAAAGGCAGAAGCAGAGGCACCCTTGATCCAGGTGAGAAATAATGGTGGCTCGGACCAGGGTGGTAGATGGCCTCCTGATATTCCAGTTTATTGCTCCCCACCTCCTCCCTCTTTCTCTTCTCACTTTCTCAATAAACATGAACAGGACCCTTACTATGTGCTAAACATCGTATCAGGTGCTGGGTAGATTCCAACAAGTATGGCCCACTAGGAGCCTGGTCTAGTTCACTTAAGATCCAAGTGAAGAGAACTGCAGAGAACAGGCACTGACTTGGGAGCAGACTATGTGACGTCCACTTGGAGCTGCAGATGGAGCTCTGGGGCAGTTGTCAGCAAATGCCATCTACTCAGACATTAATGAAAGCACAGAATGAGCACTGGGTGGCTGATATTTCCATCTATCCAGCTCCACAAGCCAAAAACTTGGAAGTCATCTTTACTGCCTCTGCGTCCCTGAACTCCACGCACCGTCCCCCCACCCACCCATCTAATCCATCCCAGTTACCTGTAAAACTTCTCTTGAATCTGTTCACATCTCTCCACCTCTATACTAATGACTCTAGTCCAAGCTACGATCATTTTCCACCTGGTCCCTGTTGTCACTGTGTGGCCTGCAATCTTTATTAGTCAGGATATATAGCCAATGCTGCAGAAACAGAAAGCATGGCCTCTCAGTGGCTTAACACAAAGAAGGTTTATTTCTCACTTACGCAAAAGTAGGTGGGGTGATGCTCCTCCATCAGTCTAACTACCTGTATTTTTTCCATAGCAATTATCATAGTTTGTAATGCTATATTTAATTGTATGCTTATTGGATTAGATTGCTTTTCATTGTTCTCACCAGGATGTATGCTACCTGGTAGTAAGGCCTACACCTAGAACAATGCCTATAATATAGCAATAACCCTTGAAATATTTTTTAGTGAATGAATGAATGGATAAATGAAGTGGCTAAGCTATAACTGGAAAACATTTAATTGCCCTGATCTAAAAAATTATAAAATATTATTTCATGCATAAAAAATTATATATAATACATACGGATATTTTAAGCATAACAATAAAATAAACACTCATGTTACATCAATTCAAAAGGTAACACATTACCTATGCCCTCTGTGTGTCCCTCCCTGATCACGTCTTAATCCTAGAGCTAAACAATAGGTTGCATTTTGTGTGTATCATTCCTCTTCTTTTTTTGGTCATTTTAACCAAGTATAGATATTATATATTATTGTTTCAGAATATTGTGTCAATGGTGTCATATGTAGATAAACTTTGGCAATTTGCATTTGTTGTTCAACATGTTTCTGAGATTTGTCTTCACTGAATTATGTAGTTGTGGTATATTTTCACTGACAGTTTTCCATTGATTGAGTAAAATGCAATTAGTGAAAGTATTTAAATGTCCGTAAATGTTTGAGTTCTTTCCAGGCCTTTGCTATTGCAATATGTACTGCTATGAAATTTCTTGTGCATAGCTCTTCGTGCAAATGTGCAAGAGTTTCTCTAGTGTTTTACAAGTTAATGCCAAATTATTTTCCAAAGTGGTTGCACCAGTTTACACTCCACAAGCAGTATGTAAGTCTGCCTCTTGACATTTGCGAAACATTTGATGTGATCAGATGTTTAAAATTTTGCCTGTTTGATGGGTGTGTAAATTTGCCTTTCCACTTTTATTAGTGAGGGTTGAGCTTAATTATTATTAAGGTTATGTTAATTATTCTTAATTAAGGATTATTGAGATTGAGCTCCTTTTCATATTGATGATTCTTCTGTAAAATCACTGCCTGTTTATATATTTTGCCCATTTTTCTATTTAGTTGTCTTCTGATTTTTTCGAAGTTCTTGATTCTGGACAGTAATTCTTCTATGATTAATTGGTTGTCAATATGTTTTCCCAGTTTATAGTTTGTCTTGTCATGGTCTTTGTGGTATTTTTTGATAAATACAAGTTCTTAATTTTAAAGTAGTTAGAGTTTTTTCTTTTTTCGAGATAGGGTCTGACTCTGTCACCCAGGCTGGAGTTAAAGTAGTTTGATTTATCGATCTTTTATTTTATGGCTTATGCTTTGGTTTTAAGAAAATTTTCCCTATTCAGATGTCATAAAATGACTCTCATATTTTCTTCCAAAAGTTTGAAAGATTTGCCTTTCATATTTCAGCTTTTTATTCACCTAAAATTGTTTTTTGTGTATGATATAATTGTATTAGTTTCCTATGGCTGCTATAACTAATTACCACCAACCTAGCAGCTTAAAACAACATAAATTTATTATCTTACAGTTATGGAAGCTAGAAGTCTGAAATAGTTTTCACTGGGCTAAAATCAAGATGTCAGCAGAGCTGCATTCCTAGAGGAGAATTTTTAAGTTTTTTTTTTTTTTCCAAGTTCTATAGGGTGCTGGCTTATGGCCCCATTTCATATTGAAAGCCAGCAGTCAGCCAGGTGTGGTAGCTCATGCCTGTAATCCCAGCACTTTGGGAGGCTGAGGTTGTCCTTGAGTCTAGGAGTTCCAGATCACCCTGGGCAACATGGTGAGATCTCGTTCCAACAACGACAACAACAAAAATTAGCTGGCACACAGCTGTAGTCCTAGTTACTCAGGAGGCTGAGGCAGGAGGATCACTTGAACCTGGAAGGTCAAGGGTGGAGTGAGATTCTAGCTCAAAAAAAAAAAAAGTGGCTGGTTGCATCCTTGCATGGCATCACTCTGACACTGAACTTCTGCTTCCCTTTTTCACGTAGAAGGTCCCTTGTGATTACACCGAGCCCACGGAGGTAAACGAGGATAATCTCCCTACTTCAATATCCTTAAATTAGTTGCATCAAAATCCTTTAGGCCATGTAAGGTAACATGCCCATATGTTCAGGGAATTAGGATGTGGACGTCTTTGGGGAAACATTATTTTGCTTCCCATTATAATCAATTGATTCAGCACAACTTCTTGACTCTGTTCTGAACCTGGGTTCAGAGGGACACTGGTCTGGTGACAATGATAATAGTAACAACAAACACTTGTGCCAAGAATGTTTCTAAGCATTGTATGCATATTATCTCATTTAATTTTCACAACACTTTGTACTAAGTGCTACTATTATTCCTAGCTTAGCGATGAGTGAAGTGAGGAGCAGAGAGGTGAAATACTTTGCTGAAGATAGGGAGCAGCAGAGTTTGACTCAACCCCAAGTACCTGAGCTTCGAAGTCCATGTGCTTAGTTAGCACCATGCTATTTTTTTTTTTAATTTTATTTTTTGACAGGGTCTCATTCTGTCGCTCAGGCAAGAGTGTAGTGATGCAATCTTGACCTCCTGGGCTCCAGTGATCCTCCTGCCTCAGCCTCCCAAGTAGCTGTGACTACAGGTGTGCACCACCATACCTAGCTAATTTTGTTATTTTTTGTAGAGACGCTATATTGCCAGGGCTGGTCTTGAGCCCCTGGGCTCAAGCAATCCTCCCACCTCAGCCTCCCTAGTAGCTGTGACTACAGGTGTGTGCTACCACGCTCGGCTAATTTTTGTATTTTTTGTAGAGACAGGGTTTCACCATGTTGCCCAGGCTGGTCTCGAACTCCTGAGCTCAAGCAATCCACTTGCCTCAGCCTCCTAAAGTGTTGAGATTACAGGCGTGAGACACTGTGCCCGGCCTACCATGCTATTTTTAAATGAATAAACAAAGTGGATAAATCTAGTTTCAGTTAGCTGTGTGTTCATGACTAAGTCACATAAATTCTCTGAGCCTCAATTTCATTATTTGTAAAATTAGAATAGTGATGCAGCTTTTCTGCATTCCACAGGGATGATTTGAGGGCACGTTGAGACAACATGCATGAAAGCAGTTCAGATAAGGAAAACAGAGATCCAAGAGTCATTCTGCCACATGTCACTGGCAGAGCCAGGACAGGGACTCAGGTTTCCTGGCAGCCAGGCTGGGCAGGCTACTTCCACCACAGAGTGGTAATTAGAGCAGTTACAAATTCCAGTCATCAAATTGAACATTTTCCCTTCATCACCCTCCTGCCCTGGAACGGCCAACATTAAAGCCGTATCTGTATATTCAATCAATTGTTCATTAAGAACGCCCTCCAGTTTTAGAAGATACTGTTACAAAATCCAAATGTGAGATAATACTTCTTAGCTGGAACAGGGTAAAGTTGACAGGTAATATTTTGTATCATTTACAAATCAAAAGGCAGAGAATTTCAGAAATTGACAGAAAGGGGAGGCTGTAAGATATCTGCTTAAGAAAACCACCTCCTCATGTGTTTGCCTCTTTTCCATCCTCATCCTATGTTTCTGTCCTCTTCTACTTCCCTTCACTTTTCCTTAGTAAAGCAGGGATTAGAAAACCTGAATTTTAGCTGTGGGCATCATTATTGACCATTTTGCTTTGAATTTCAAAGGCAAAATTGAAGAACAAAAGAGCCAAGAGTGGGAGATTCACTCTACCAGATCTTAGGATGTATAATTAAGCCACAGCAATAAAATCAGCACAGCACTAGCATAGGAACAGATCTAGATCAATAGAATAGCCACAAGAGCTCAGAGACAGACGTGTGTGTCTCTAGGGACTTGGCATACGATACAGACGCCATCATGCATCTGAGGGGAAAAGATGGATTGTTTGGTGGGTGCTGCTGGGAAAACTGGCTCACTAAATAGAGTTAATAATACTGTATTCCTGCTCAAACTGTATGCAAGGTGAACCCCAGGTGGATTAAGACCTGTGACAGGTAAAAGTATGAAGCCAACTAGGGGAAAATGTAGGAGAATATTTTGCGACTAACAGGTGGGAAAAGATTCTTAAACAAGACCCCAAGACCACACTGCACAAGGCTAAAATTTGATGCATTAGGCTAAATGAAAATTAAGGATTTCTCCTCCATTGCAGCATAGCAAAGACCAAGCAAACAGGATGCATGAAAGATTGAGAGAAATATTTGCAGTGTTTTTCTAAAACTGACAAAAGATTAATATTTAGAACATATAAGAAACTCAACTGCTTCAATTCATTCAGAAAAAATAATAAAATCCAGCAGAAAATAGGTAAAGGATGTAAATAGATAATTCACAGAAGGAAAACAATCTCGATGGTTCTTAAGTATATGGAAAAATGGTTAACACCACCAATCAAAAAAATACAAATCGAAATTACAATGTGATACTACTTTACTGATTTCAGATTGACATAAATTAGGACATCGGATAATACCAAATGTTAGCATATAAAATGGGAAACGGGTACCTTCCTACCTTCATGTGCCATTGGTGGGTGTGAATGGCAAAGCCATCTGGAGGCCAACATGACAGAGTGAAACCAAACACTGTGGACTTCATGACCCAGCGACTCAATTTCTTATGTTCTGTAAGGGACACGTCTAACATCCATTCCAGCATGGTCTGTGGTAGTAAGGAACTGCTGGCGACCTAACTAGCCGTTATTTGAGGAATTGATAAGTAGAATATGATAGACACACAAATCAAATATTATTATTAGTCATTATTAATGAACTCTTGTTGTATAGTGTCACATGGATAGATCTCTAAGACACTGAGAGAAAAACAAGGAACAGAATGAGTTCTCATCACAATGCCGTTCATATATGTTAAAAACAGACACAAACCATGTATCTTTTGAGGCTGTATACGGTGCATGAACTGGGACATACCTTAATAGAGGAGAGGGTGCATATGGCGGGTAGAAGAATGGGTGTGGAGAAGGAACGAGTAAAAAATAAAAACAAAAAAGAAAAGGGCCTTGCTGACTGACGAGCTGAACAGTACGAACTTGTCCCCAAGGTCCAAAAAAATCGCCCCAATCCCCCTTCCATCTCGTCCCATTCTTAACAGAACCAAGTGCAAGGGACTCAGCGTGGCTGTCCAGAGCAGGGCTTTTCTTCATCAAGGACCTAGGTCCTCTTCCTTCCACCCACCTCGCCACGCCCTCGGTGCCCGAGCCCCGAGCTGTACTTCGACGGCACTTTTCAAACACAACCAAACACACCCAGGCTTCAACCCCGGACCGGCTTGCTTTTATTATTTCTCTTGGGAAAGCCTTATCGGTCGCTAAGATTCAGTTTAAGTGACTCTTCTCTGGGAGGCCTTTTCCGAATGCTGCCCTTGACCAAAAGCCAGCCCCTCCAGGGCTGTATTCCCACAGCCCCCTCCCCCGTCAGCCGGGCACCCCGCGTCCTAACTGCTTATTTTGGGCACTCAGCGCTCCCCTCAGGGCTGGAGTTGTGCTGGGGGGGGTCTCTGGGTTCACGGCCCGCCAGCTGGGGTGGGCGGTCCTGGGAATAACTGGACAGTTAAGTCAGCAGGTACAGCCGCAGCCCAGCCAGCTCCCTCTCCTCTGCTTCCGCTCTCATTGGCTCAGCCTCCCCGCCCCCCAGCCCCCGCCCCCCAGCCCCCCTCCCCAGCGCCCGCCCCCAGCGCCCGCCCTCAGCCGGCTGCGGGAGGCAAAAGGCTCTGCGCACGCGCTGTGGGGTGGGGCACACTTGGTTGGGGGCGGACGGGGGTTTAGGAGAACGGCGAGGAGCGGGCGCAGAAGGGTGGCGGGGCCGCCGGGTCGTTGCGCGGCAGTTGCGTCCGGCCTCTTGCGCGCGGCGCCCGGGAAGGGGCGGGGCCGAGGCGGGCAAGGTGGCGGGCCCCCGCCCCTGGCCCCGCCCCCGCAGCCCGCCCGCGAGCCTCGCCCCGCCTCCTCGCCGGGCCCGCCCCGCCCCCTCGCCGGGCCGTGCTCTTGCTCCCGCCGCCTGGCAGCCTCACGCTCGGCTCCAGCGGCCAAGAGCCGGAGAAAGTCCTGCTGGTGGGCGGCCGCGGGGCTGAGGGCGTCCGGCATCCCGGGGCCGCTCCGGCCCGGGCGGCGAGAGTGCCCGGCGGTCCATGCATCCGCCGCCGCCCGCCGCCGCGATGGATTTCAGTCAGAACAGCCTGTTCGGTTACATGGAGGACCTGCAGGAGCTCACCATCATCGAGAGGCCGGTCCGCCGGAGCCTCAAGGTGCGCCCCGGGGAGAGGACCTGCCCTCACGGCGTCCGGCCGCCTGCCCCGCGCGGTCCCGCGCTGATCTCTGCCCCACGCCACCACCCTCCCCTCCTCCGGGCCGCCGGGACCCTCTCAGTCGGGCCGGCCCCTCCTCCTCCACCCCTCTTGCCGTGTCGCCCTAAGCCAGTTCCCTCTCGGACCCTTCCTCAGAGCGGACCGGGTCCTCTCTAGTCTGGACCCCCATCCCCAAGGGACGGGTCCCTGCCCCAGCCCCGGACCGGCGCCAGCCCCGCGGCCCTTGCCCCTCCTGAGGCGTCCGAATCCCCCCGGCCCACCCCCAGGAACGGCCGAGCTCCAGCCCTCGGGGCAGCCCCAGCGTCCTCCGTCGCGGACCCCCTTCCTTCCGCCCCCCCCCCCCAAAGGAGCTGCCCCTCGAGGCCGCAGCCCACTTCTCCCCGGTCCTCTCCTGGGCTCCCCAACCTCTGGTCCGCTGACGCCGCCCGGGTTCTGGCCCCAGGCCCACCCATCGGTCCACACATTCCCAACTCCTCCCCCCACCTCTCCCGGAGACACCACCCCGCGTCCCGTCCCCTCACCCCCAGCCCAAGTCAGATCAAGCTCGGGTCCTTCTGCCCTCGAGGTAGCCCGGCCTCCCCTCGCTTCCCAGCCAGCACTCTTTCTCAGTGTCGTCCTGGTCCCTGTCTACAAGCCCTCGCGACCCTTTGCCGCCATCCTGAGTCACCGCTCATCCTTTCCTCCCATCCCCTCCAGGACTGTAGCTGGGACCCAGCTCCCCAATCCCCTTGAGGGGGTCAAGCTTCAGCTTGCTCCCCCCACCCCTACTGGCTCTCCCACCCCGCAGAGTCATCTTCCTCCCGGCGGCTCCAACCTTTAGCGCCAGCAAACCTAGTTTACGGACCGGACCCCTTTCCCCTGGCCATTGCTTAATTAGCTGCCTTAGCGCCTCTCACTCCCACCTGCCGCAATATCTCAAATCTCTGGTTTTTTTCCAGCCCCGGAGTTTATTTCCTTCCCTCCCCCACTCCAGATCTTGTCCTTTTCATGCCTACTCGGCTGCAGTCTTCATCCATCTCCCTTTTAGCATTTCTTGGGGTGGAAAATGCTGGAGAAATAGCCTTGAAGTATTAGAGATAAAAAGTGTGTGTATTCGTTTTATAACATGCGTATGAAATGGATTTCAGCCAAGGTTCTGAAGCCACGATGTGATTTTCAAGCTGCAGTCCAGGAGCTAGAAGGATAAAAACAGAAAAATACAGCCCCCTCCCCAAACTCCCCAAACCACCCAATTAGAGACCTCCGTGATTGATGTCGCCTGGTATCCTCAGCTCCTTGATTAGTTTTCATTGTTAATGCTTAATTGTGAAACTTTTTCATTCGTTTATCCTCATAGAGGGTCACTGGGAGGTTGGGGGGCAAGACTGAACCAATATTTGTGGTGCATAAATGTGTATTTTACCCTTGACAGACACCGGAAGAAATAGAAAGATTGACAGTCGATGAAGACCTCAGTGATATTGAAAGGGCTGTTTATCTGCTCAGGTATTTCCTAGTCTTTCTGTGAAATTGCTCTTCTTTTTTCCCTGTGCAGCAGAGATGAATGCTTTCTAAAATGTATGTTCGCGTTATGTTCAGATTTACTTAGCCACTTGAACAGAGTACTTTTGTGTGCATAGTACTTAACTATATTATAAATTAGATTTGGCTATGGACTTATGACTTTGAGAATTTAAATAAAATACCTAATTTATAGAATGTTGCTTGGAGGAGCAAGAGCAGATGGTTGGAGTTGAACCTCATCCTTTTTTTCTTTTCTGGCTTTGGTTTTTCTCGCGTAAGATTCAGTAAGTTTACATGAGACTTGAGTATACAGTGATTAGTTTTAAGTTCATTGTAGAGTAGGAACATTATACGGGATCTACTATACGGAAAAAAATCCACAAATATGGTAGTTCATTTTGCTGTTCAGGATATCCTGTTTGTATTACTTTTGCCGTGCAAGCTTTATGATTTTGTCTGAGGGGTTTTAGAAATTTGGTCGAGCCTACTGTCATTTCAATTTCAAACCATCTCACAGGCTCTACAGAATTGCTTAAGGCAAATGGTTATTGCAAATATTTACAAGATTTTTCTGAACTATTTAAAACATTGTCTTGTAGATTGAGCATCTTAAAAACTAATACAGTGAACATGAATGATGTTTTAATTAATTGATTAAAATCCTTTAGAAACAAATTTCCTACAGCATTTTGCGTTTATTTAAAATTGTTCATTAGCTTACACAACATATTTTTCCCTTTTGGCAAATTAGTCACTCTTTTTTTTTCCAGAATCAGGTTTTGAAAACTGATGTAATTTACCTCCTAGGATATTTGTCACCCTTGTTTCCTTAGTTCAGCGCCAGTTTCAGGTACTGGCAAGTTTCTCGTTCTCCTTTCTTGTTTACAGATCATGTTCCAGTCCCATGTTACTCATTGAATGATTCTGTAAAAAAAAAAAATCCCTCTCCAGGTCTTCAATTTTCTTAATTACTTTTTTAGCCTTCTAAAAGTGGCATCATGAGTTTCTGTTGTAACTTTAGTCAGAATATCAGCATATTTACCATGTAGACCATTCCCTCTGATAATTGTATCATTTAGAAATGTTTCTGCATCTTAGACTTTATGTTGATGTTATTTTCCCCCCTCTTTGGGGTATCTGTGGTAGCATGCTCTCATCATTTCTATTTACTTCAAAGAAAACTTCTATTTATGTGTGAATTCAACGGTATGTGTTTTGGGTGTTTACTTAGAGAATAATCCAACTTTTAACCCATTTTCATATTGTGTTATATTTGGAATACTTTATTCCTTAACAATTAACATGTTTATTATGATGAACAATAGATGTCAACATTTGCCTTTTCCCACAGTTCTTTTACTCAAAGTAGGTAGAAAATTGATGAAAGTGTGGACAAATGTGTTTTAATCTACAACAGTTAATGATTTGAAATAAACTCCTGTTTATTCCTACTGAATTCTTTTCTTTAGTATAAACACTGGCTTAGAATTAGGAAATGGAGAGTCTTGCTCTATTTACTTGTGATAGAAGACACCGTATTCTAAATATCAGTGATAAGGCTTCTTTTTAAGGAAAGCTTATTTGTTTTCTATTTTGCTTTTATTGTTTGTTAGCAAACTAGGTTGTCTGAGTTGTCTTTATTTCTCAGACTCAACATCAGTTTCGCTCAGTTCTGGAATTTACAAAGCCCTTAAAGAGACAGATGGGCCCTCTCATTCTTGGACAAGAGAATTTTAAAAGAGATTCAATATCTCCTTTAGTTTCTTGTGGCTCACCTACCTTGAAGGAGGTTTGCAAGGTGACTCACAAGGGGAACACTGGTTTGGTTATGTATGGATTCTCCAACTGAGTTCTTCTTTTGTATCCCTACCATCTTACCACCTCCTGGGGGAATGTGGGATTTCACCTTAGTCCAGCTTTGGGAGGGATGATGCCAAGAATGCCTGAAAGGGTCTTTCTTCCCTGGGATTCAGGGGAGGGGACAGGATTGTTTCATAGAGATGTTCTGAACTTTGCCTCTGTTTAGGCCTTCTCATCTTCTCTCATGTATTGAGCCTGCTATTGTAGATGTAATTTATTCCTTTTTTTCTAGTTTGTACTTTGCTGAGTCCTTTTTTCCGTCTGTCATTGATTTTCAGGTTTATTTTTGAGCACTTTACCTTTTCCTCTGCATTGAATATTATATAAATGTATAATATATAACATGTTATATATATATTTTCTCTCTGCTTTTATGTGTCAGGTTTGTTTCTTTAGTTCTTTTATTTTGTGTATTGAAACTATTTTGGAGTATTATGTTAAATTAGAATTCAAAGTCAGATGTGTAAGCATCAGTAAGCAATGCTTTATATTAGTGGGGTTCTGATAGCATTTAGATTGAATCCAGTATCTGAAAAAAGCATTTTATATATAGAGTACTGTCATCGATAAAAAACAAATTATACTGTTCATTGTCTTACCCTGAAATATGACATGTCAGTTATTAATGACATTTTCACAATTAAGTTTAGAATATTACAGTCTTCAAAGATTTGACACAGATGAATTTGTGGTTTTGCATACGTGCGATACTGATATACCCATCTGTGGCATTTAGCACTGAAGCAAAACAACTTTCCTAATAGTCACAGCTTGTGTCTTAGTCAAAATCATATCTTATCTTTTTCCTGTTTTTTCTCTTCTTTGTGATTTTGCGTATATTTTTGGAATGTACTTAAAACATGTGAGTGATTTTATTATAGAAGAATCCTAAGTATGTATACTGTGCTTTCATTAGGTAAATCTTTACTTGTATATTTCTGATTGTCTACCAGATAAAGTGTAGACCCTGAAGGCTGGCATTCAGAATACTCCATAGGTGACTCTATCTTAGCTGTGCAATGTGATGTCCCACCAGTCCCTCACTTTTAAAAATGGCTTTACTGAGATATAATTCATAGTCCTTGTAGTTCACCCATTTAAACTGTACAGTTAAGTGAGTTTTAGTATATTCACAGAATTGTGCAACCATCACTGCAATCAATTTTAGAACATTTCCATCACCCCCAAAAGAAACCTTGTACTATTAGCAGTTGCTCCTCAGTACCAACCCTCTCAGCCTTTGGGAACCACTATTCTGCTTTCTGTATCTATGGATTTGCCTATTCTGGAGATTCCTAAACACGGAATCATACAGTATATGGCCTTTTGTGACTGACTTCTTTCACTTAGCATAAGGTGTTCAAGGTTCACCCATGTTGTAGCAGCTATCAGTAGTTTATTCCTTTTTATTGCAGTGTAGTATTCTACTGTATGGATATAGCGCTTTTGTTTAGCCATTCATCAGTTGATGGATATTGGGTTGTTTCCACTTAATTCTTCACTTTTTGATTCAGTCATGCTGGCCTTTTCACTGTTACTCAGTTTCATTGTGTTTATCCTTAATTTTTGCTTTTCCTCATCCTGGAGTACTCTTTCAATATATCCTTATCCAACATACACCATCTCTAGGATCCAGCTGTAATCTTACATCTTTCATAAAGTCTTCTCTAACTGCTTAAACCACATGGATCCCAGGCTTCTTTGAGCTCCGTTATCACTTAGTGGCGCTTTCTTCAATTGGCCATTAATCACTGATTTACATTCCTTAACTGTGTGTGCATGTTTTCTTCAGTAGATTGTAAGGTCCTGGAGGACAAGCTTTTAGAGGACAAGGGCAAGCTTTCTTGTTGTTGTTCTTTCTTGTTCTTCGCTGTGATATAAATATATGCCTCTTAATGGAATAAAGAGTATTTAAGATGACCATACTGCCAGATGAATTAAGGAACTTCTGATATTTTTGATTTTAGGTATTATGAGTCATATCTTGTTCCACAATTTATTATCTATGTGACAGTGGTGAAGTTAGTTATGGTTTTCGAGCCCTGCTTTTCATTTGTAAAGTGGAAATAATCATTCCCTTTTCCCAGTGTGGTTGAAGCACCTGGCACATAATAGGCATCCCGTTACTGTTAATTCCCTTCTGTCTCCTTTTCCCTTTCCCTACTTCCTTGCTACTTAGGTGCTCAAGTTACATTTAAAACTTTAAAAGAGGATAATGGTATTAATTTTGCCTTCCAATAATTTAATAAACGGACAAAGTATACCAACTGAAGTTTGTGATAGATATCCATTAACTTCGTTTGCTAATAGTATTTATCAGAAATTAGAATCTTCACAAATCATAATTAAGCATTTTTAACTGAGTAATAGTAAGGTCAGCCTGTTGATTTATATTTTCTTACCAAATGACCCTAAGTAATATTTGCTATTATGCATTAAATGTATTGATTGGTTAATGTACTGAGACTAGCTTTTATGTTGCTTACTTTTAAAGTCACTTGTGACTTTAAAAATATTTTTCACTTTGTGCTGTGACTTTTAAAGCATTTTGAACTTTGCTTTCCCAGGGCAGTCAGATAAAGAGCTTTGCTTTTTTTTTTTTTTTTTTCTTTTTTCTTTTTTAAAGACAGGGTCTCACTGTGTTTCCCAGGCTGGAGTGCAGTGGCTATTCACAGGCACGGTCACAGTGCTCTAACTCCTGGGCTAAAATGATCCTCCCACCTCAGCTTTCTGAATAGCTGGGACTACAGAAGGCACACACCACCTCCACAGCCACTGCCCCCGATCATAAAGTGCATCTTTATTTGGAACTTTTTTTTTTAACTTTCTCTTCCTATTTTTTAAAGAGTAAGTGCTCCCCCTAGTGATATGAAAGAGTGAGATTTCTGCAGTCAAATCAGTGGAAATAAACAAGTGTTGTACCATGTGAGAACTCTGGCGTACTTCTTCTTGGGTTCAAGACTAGGATAGGGTAGCAATGAGACAGTAAGGAAGAACTCCAGTGATTAAAGCTTTGCTACTCACCTAGCTTTTGGTTGTTTTTCTTTTAAAATACCTATCTTATTTGCTATCCCAAAGTGGAAAGTTGTGTGAAAAACTCCTTTGAATGCCCTCCTTTTTATGACGTGTGTCCCCACATTTACTTTCATTATTGTCTTGATTTCTGTTTTTGATGCTTGCTTCCTTTCAGTATTGTTTTAGTGAGGCATGGTTTGTGTGTGTGTGTATGTGTGTGTGTGAGAGAGAGAAAGAGAGAGGAAGAGAGAGAGATCACATTTGTGTTGTGCATGCATGTGTATATGTGTATATAGGTGGTCTTGAGTGACCAGTATTGCTTGCTCAGTTTTCTTTAGTGATACACAGGAGAGGACTTTTGCATTCTTCACAATTAAGATAGATAGTTGGTTAGTTAATACAAACAATTGGCTAGAATCATAAAATCACAAATGTTACATATTTTCAACATCAAATTTTAATGTAAACTATAAATATATTTTCATTTGCCAATCTTTTGATGTGAAGTCATGATCTTTTCTTTGAGTATGGGTCTGCTGATTAAAGTTTGAAATTCTCCTTCTTTCATAAATCACCCCATAATGCATTTACAATATCAAGTTCAGTTTTCTTTAAAGTTGAACAAGAATTTAAATTTGCTTATGAAGCAGTCTGAAAGCATGGTTCTAGGTTTTTATGATTTTCTACTTGTGTTTTAAAAGTTTTGTTCTTCCATACTTTAGTAGCAATTTTCTTTGACAACTTATGTTTATTGAATTTAGTTTTTCTAAAACTTTTAACTTAATTTGATAGAAACAAATATATGTGTTCATATATTTAGGTAATATTTAATTAAATTATGTAATTGCAACAGCAAGTGAAATTTGAAATAAACTAGTTTGAGAACATACTTAGCTGACTCTTAATTACAACTCAATTAGTGAGAGTGGAATTCTGTGGGCTTTCCAGAGAGTAGCCTATTAGCGACGAGCTTTCAGCTTGCAGTTGCAAGGGAGTAGAGAGTATTGCTTAATCAGGTCTTTTAACATCTTGTCACATCTCAAACACCTTTGTTTGAGAGAGATACATACCATCTCCTTTCCAAGTGTGCTCTGTGATGATCTTGCTTCATTCTTGATATTCCTCTCCTGTCTCTCTGTTGTATTTGTTCCCATGGTCTGGTTTGTTCTTTGTTTGCCTTTATAGATTTAAAAAAGTAATGAATTTGGAATATCAGTTAAAGAAGTACTTTCATAAGCTTATATTTTATTTTTTAACGCGAACTTTGAATGTATGCAGAAATGTGCACAAATCATAATACAGCTTGTTGAATTTTCACAAGTGAACACACCCATGTACCCAGTATCCAGATTAAAGCATAGAACATTATCATGTTAGCTTAGTAGCTTCCTTTGTATTCCTGTCCCAGTGCCCTGTACTTCCTGCAAAGGGTAGCTACTCTACTGACTTCTAACACTATACATTGATTTACCTGATTTTGCACTTTATATAGTAGGAAGCACTCTGTGTACCTTTTGTGTATAGCTGCTTTTGCTCAATATTTTAAAAAAGAGATTTATCCATATTGTTGCATGGAGCAACAGATTGTTCATTCTCATTGCTGTATACTATTCCATTATGTGAATATACCACAATTTATTCATTCCACTGCTGATGGACATTTGGCTTAGTTTTCAGTTTGGGGCTTTTATGAATAATGCTGTTATAATCATTCATGTACAAGTCTCTTGGTGAATACATGTGTGCATTTCTTTTAGGTATCATTATAGAAGCCGAATTGTTGGTCATAGCATATGCCTATGTCCAGCTTAAAAGATATTGCTAAACAGTTTTCCAGTGTGCTTTGACCAGTTTGTACTTCTGCCAGCAGTGTCTGAGTGGTCCCAGCCTATATATTTTTAGGAAACAAAAGTGACAAACTTCTAGTACATAATTTCTAGCATATCAATAATGAACTTCCTAGTTAATAGCCTTTAGATGTTTCGTTTCTCTGTGCATGACTTACACCATCTAACTTTTTTTCTTTCCCTACAAGAAGGGGAGTTCTATAAGGTTTTACTTGGCTACACTGTTGGTTAGAAGACTCTCAGTTATTAGATTGTCTCTTAGGAGATGAGGCATGTTGTGTGATTAGTTTTTCTTAGAAAAAGAGAAACAAAGTGGATATTGGAGTCTACCTGCTTATGGGAGTGCTATTCTCAGTCCCTGTGCTTTTAATGATTCTAAGAGGTCCTCATTAAAAAAATTGCCCACGTTGTCATCCTCTGTGAAGATGATGTACAAATGACTTGCCTTTCTACATGGAAATTGCAGGCATCTTCATTTGTATTTTTTAGGACAGAGGGATCACTGTTTAATATATTAAGAGCAGTATATAATGGATTCCAGCTGTATACCTTCCATTATTGCTAAGGCCAAATTACTGAAGTCTTTGGCAAACCTTGAATTCCCTGTTTTGGAAAAGTACGAGGTCTGTGAATATAAAGGGTTTGGAGATTGTTTCCCATCTCTGTTTCCTTGTCTTTTGTTATGAGAACAACCATGGGAGGCATCTGTGTCTTTTTTCCTACTTACCAAACACTCAGAAAGGTTTCTTTGTGACATCTGTAGAAAGCAGAATGCTCTCATGGGATCTATAGGAAAAGCTTGAAAATAAAAAGTGAAATATTTTCATCAATGTAAAAGTGACCCATATAATGTCATTGAAAAGACCTCTGAAAGCGTAATAACATAATGTGATGTGAGAGAATTGAGCAAAGTTTTCATCTTGTAAGCATAGTGTTTTATTACTTTAAAAAAGCCTATACAATTCTGTAGTACAAAATAATTTCATAATATAGAATAATAAAATACATTAAAATTAATCTATAAAATAAGATAATATATAAAGCAATATAAAATAAATGAGTATACATATTTGAATAATGTGTCAAGTTATGTAACTATCAATGTAATCATATTATAACATATGTATATCATAAATGTATATGCATGTGTGTGTATATGTTTATTTTCATGAGCAATTAATTCATCCCAACGCTCCCTCTTGAGAAGTAGCTAAGTGAGACACAGGGACATAGGAAGATTGAGTTCTATCATAAATTATAACTAATTAGTTCCCAGTAAAAAGTGGGAGTTGTACTGCTTGGTTCCCAGTCTTGTAATGTTGAATTGTGCAGTAGTTTCTTAGTATTGACATTAAGAATTAGAGGGCTCACCATACCAAGTGGTAAAATTCATAGCTTTCTTTTTTTTTTGAGACACGGTCTTGCTCTGTTCCCAGGCTGGAGTGCAGTGGTGCGATCACAGCTCACAATAACCTTGAACTTCTGGGCTCAAGTGTTCCTCCTGCCTCAACCTCCTGAGTAGCTGAGACTACAGGCACTAGCCACCATGCCTAGCTAATTAAGTTTTTTTTGTAGAGTTAGGGGTCTTGCTCTATTGCCCAGTCTTGTCTTGAACTCCTGGCCTCAAGTGATCCACCTGCCTCAACCCCGCAAGGTGCTGGGATTATAGGTATGAGTCACCAGGCCTGTCTTCCTTCTTAAAATTAAGATTGCATGAAGGGAATTAAAGCACTGAATAAGGTCCAATGAACTTTTAAATCTGTACGTCTTTCAGTTTGATATTTTGGGTATTATAGTGTCTTTCATTGACTATGTTGGCTATCAAATGTGGAAAGCATAGAGAAAGTGTTTAGGGTTCTTCATAGTCATCACTTTTGGCTTATCCTTATACTGGTATAATATTGGTATATGGTAATCATGTTAGTAATAATTACAAAATCTATTATACCCTTAGAATGTAATTTTCCCTCCAATCAGAAATGTTAATAATGGAAAAGATTTGTAATGCAACTAATAGTTGCTTTACAGTATCTTATTAATTTAAGTTAAAACATATATCTGAGTACTTATGTGCTAGGCATCTCCTGGGGAATGAAGGTCATTATACTAGCAGATACTTGTATTCAAGGAGATAGTTTAAGGAAGCAAATGCATTTTTCTTAAATTTCAGTAGAATAGAGGTTATCCCCAATTAACAGGTACTGGGAGTCAGTGTGTTGTATTGGAAATAGTTTAAGACAGACCCAGATTTATTCTTGGAGGCTGAGGCTTGCTCATTTACTTACTGAGAGACCTTGGGTAAGTTGCTTATCTTCTGTGAGCCCAAGTTCCCTAATGTAAAATGGGAATAAATAGGCTGGGCATAGTGGCTTTCACACTTGTAATCCCAGCAGTTTGAGAGGTCAAGGCAGGAAGATCAGTTGAGCCCAGGAATTCGAGACTAGCCTGGGCAATATAGCGAGACCCTGTCTCTACAAAAAAATTTAAGAAATTATCCAGGAATGGTGGCTTGTGCCTGTTTTTTGGCTACCTGGGAGGCTGAGGTGGGAGGATCGCTTGCGCTCAGGAGTTTGAGCCTGCAGGAAGCCACGAGTGTGCCACTGAACTCCAGCCTGGGCAACAGTGTGAGACCCTGTCTCAAAACAAACAAAAAAAATAAAATGAAAATAATAATATCTTCATTGCAGGATTGTTGAGAAGATGAGAGGAAATGTATGTATAGGGCACAGTGCTTGGTACAGGGTAGTGTTCAGTAAAGGATAGTTGTTGCTGCCCTTTTAAATCATCTGTTTGGGATTAGGAACATATTTTACTTTGGATATATAGGAAACATCCCATTTGGAAACATCCCATTTAGAAACTTCTTGTGTTACAAAGTTTCCTCTCTAGATCAGTTTTCTAGATTGGGCACCAAATTCCCCCATCTCCATTTTTGGAAAATAACTTTATTGAAGTATAATTTAAATAAACTAAGTTTATAGTTTGATGAGTTTTGACAAATGGGTACACCTGTGTAACTAGCACAAAATATAGAACATTTTCATCACCCCCACAAAAGCCACTGGTATCTCTTTGCAGTTAATGCCACACCCTAACCCTAAGCAACCATTAATCTGCTTTTTGTCACTGTGGAATAATTTTGCCTGTTCTGGAATCTAGCCATAGTTTTTTATATCTCTTGGATAAATGCCTAAGAATGTTTGTTGGGTCATATGCTGACTATATATTTTTTTCATTTTTTGAAGCTTTTTGAGGTATAATTCACATCCAATAAATCACATGTATTTAAACCATGTAATTTAATGATTTTTGACATATGTATACACGATTCAGATATTGAACATATCCGTCACTCCCAAACACTACTTGTGTGCTTAGATTATCTCTCTCTCCCTCCCGTGAGCCCCTTCCATTCCAGGCAACCACTGATGTGCTTTCCGTTACTATAAATTAGTTTCCAATTTCTAGAATTTTATAGAAATGGATCATACAGTCTACTCTTTTGTCTGGCTTCTTTCAATCTAATTATTTTGTAGATTATCTTTGATGTTGCCTATATCGTTAATTTACTGCTTTTTATTATTGATAATGATTCCGTTTAATGGGTATAACACATCTTGTTTATCCATTCATCAGTTGATGGACATTTGGGTAATTTTCAGTTTTCAGCTATTACAAACTTAGTGACTATACACATTCATTTATAAATCTTTATGTAGACATGTGCTTTCCTTCCTCTCTGGTAAACATCGAATTGCTGGACCATATAGTAAATATATGTTTATACCTTTAAGAAACTGCTAAACTGTTTCTAAGGTGATGGTACCATTTTACATTTCCACCAGCAGTATATGAGCGTTTGAGTTGCTCCTTATACTCTATAACACTTGATATGATCAGTCTTTTTAATTTTAAGTCATTCTAGTGGTGTGTAGTGTTATTTCATTGTGTTTATGATTTGTTCTATTGATTACAGAGAGTATTGAAGTCTCCAACTGTAATTGCAGGTTTGTCTAGTCCTCCTTTAAAATATATAATTTTTTACTAGTAGTTTAGTATTTTGAAACTGTGTGGTGAAATGCACATAAAATTAGGATTATTATGTTTTCTTGAATTGACCCCTTTATCATTATGTAATGTTTATTCTTTGAAATATACTTTGTTAGGCCGAGCGTGGTGGCTCACACCTGCAATCCCAGCACTTTGGGAGTCCGAGGTGGGCAGATCACAAGGCAGGAGTTTGAGACCAGCCTGGCCAACATGGTGAAACCCTGTCTCTACTAAAAATACAAAAATTACCTGGGTGTGTTGGTGGGCACCTGTAATCCCAGCTACTCGGGAGGCTGAGGCAAGAGAATTGCCCCGGAGGCAGAGGTTGCAGTGAGCCAAGATCGCGCCACTGTACTCCAGCCTGGATGACAGAGCAAGACTCTGTCTCGGAAAAAAAAGAAAAAAAATATGTTGTTCTGAAATCTACTTTAATATTCACATATTCATTCCAACTTTCTTTTGGCTAGCATTTACAAAGTATATCTTTTTCTGTCCTTTTAATTAATTTTTTAAATTTCAGAATAATTTTAAATTTTCACAAACATTGCAAAGTTAGTATAGAAAGTTCCTATATATCTTCCACCAGTGTCCCCTAATGCTAACATGTTATTAATACATAATCATGGTACATCTTTCAAAAATTCAGAAATTAACATTGATACATCACTCCAAACTAAACTTCAGACTTTATTTGGATTTCACTAGTTTTTTCACTTTTTTTTTTTTCTGTTTCAAGATCAACTCCAGGAAACTGCATTGTATTTAGTTGTCATGTCTCCTTAGTCTTCTCTTGGCTGTGACGCTTTCTTCACTTTTCCTTATTTTTCATGATCTTGATAGTTTTGAAGAATACTGGTCAGGTATTTCATAGACTGTCCCTCAAGTTGGGTTTGTGTGATGTTATTTCTCATCATTAGATTGGGGTTATGTGCTTTTAGGAAGAGTACCATGGTGGTGAAATGCCTTTCTTATTTCATCATATCAGGGGGTTCATGCTATCACCGTGGATTTATCATCAGTTATGTTAATTTAGGTCATTCAGTTAAGGAAATACCTGCCAGGTTTCTCCACTGTGGGAGTGGTGAGAGATGACTTGCAGCCTTTCCTCATCTTAGGAGAAAGCATTCTGTCTCTTACCATTAACTATATATAATGTGGTGGTACTTTTTTTTATAGATACCATTAGGTTAAGTTTCCTCTATTCCTAATTTGCTAAGTTTTATCATGAACGGGTATTGAATCTTGTAGAATTTTTTTTCTGTATCTATTGATATGGTATATGGCTTTTCTTATTTTGTCTTTTAGTATAGTGAAGTACGTTGATTAATTTTTGAATGATGAACCAACCTCTCATTCTTGGAATAAATCCTACCTGTTCATTATGTATTAGTCTTTTTATATGTTTCTAGACTCTATTTGCTAATATTTTGTGGAGGATTTTGTCATTTATATTAATGAGAGGATTAATCTTCAGTTTTCTTATAATGTCTTATTTTGATTGTATTTTATGAAGATGACCCTACAATCAAAATGCCTTGTATTCTGTTACACTGCTTAGTTTCTTCATTATTACTACATAAATAGCATATGGACCTAGTCTTTGGACAACATATTGAAATCTTGACAGGGATATGTCTATCTTGCCTAATATATATATATGTGTGTATACACACACACACACTTATATAAACATTTATATCTTGATATAGTACCTAAATTATTTGCTGTTGAATTACATATGTTGTAATTAATAATTATATTTCCTTAGACATTTGTATAGTTGAAATTTGCTAAGAGAGTAGATCTTAAGTATTCTCACCACAAAAAGTCAGTATGTGAGGTGATGGACATGTTGATTAGCTTTACTGTAGTAATCATTTTACAATGTATACATATAGCAAAATATCATAATCACTTTGTAGCCTGTAAATACATAATTTATTTTTTCTCAATTTACAATTAAAAAGGGTTAAAAAATCCCATCACATTGTATATCTTGAATATGCAGCATTTTTGTCAGTTATGCCTCAATAAAACTCAAAAAATTATTTTAGAATAACTAGAGGACTGATAATTCATATATTGTTGAATGATAAGTATGTCTAAAACAATTACCATAAGAGAAATCAGGGAGAAAATTGACTTTTTTTCTCTTAGAGAAGAAAATATACATATGTAAAATTTATTTAAATGAATAGTTATTTAGGAACCCATGAGAGAGATTATAGGATCAATAGTTTTTAAAAATTTGCTCTTGCTTTGTGGAGATGACATTTTGACCCTGATAGTAACTAGCTGGTTGACCTAAGTTCCATAATCTCTGTAGATGTTGGTTTCTTCATTGTCACAATGTGAAGGAGATGTATTTTATTTCCAAGACCCCCTTTTAGTTTGAACATTTCATTGTATTCTATCTTATCCTGTCCTTATTATTAGAGAACAGAAATAATTATTTCACGTAGCTTTTACAGATTGATTTTGGATTGACTGATGAGTTTTTAAATATTATAATTGATTTGTTTGTATTACATTTCTTCTGATTCAGTGCCCCATTTACAGTGATAATCAGTCAAATGAACAGACAGGAGCCACTGTATATTATTTGGGACTCTCTTTCTGGGTCAGATTATACACTCTGGATTTCAGTCATCATTTCCATGGCATGATTTCCAAATGTGGCTGTAGCCTTGGCCTTTCCTTCTCAACTTTGGATCATTTCTGTTTGCTGGGCACCTCCACCAGGGTGTCTCCACCAGAATGTCTTGCTGGCTTTTCAAACTCAATGTGCTCGAAACTGCATTTATCACTTTTTATCTAAATATGCCTCTGCTTGTTATTGAAGCCTGACCATCTTTCTATATCATACTGGAGGGAAACCTGGGAGTAATTTTATACTCTTTTTCTCTCAGTACTCTTGACAGTCTTTATTGTCTGACACATTCTGTGCTAGGCATAAAGCATTATTGGATTGTGTTGGAGAATCCAGAACCAGTGCCTGGCACCCAGCAGTTCCTGAATGATTGAACATGTCACTTTACCTATTTAGGTTAGTTAATTGGGTCTCTTCTCCTTCCTGTAATACTTGTCACCCCTTCTTCCTGTAGGTGCCAGGGATTTGGCTTGCTTTTATCTTTTTTTTTTTTTTTGAGATAGGGTCTTGCTATATTGCCCAGCTGGTCTCAAACTCCTGGCCTCAAGCAATCTTCCTGACTTAGCCTCTCTAGTAGCTGGGATTACAGGCAGTGTGCCACCACACCTGGTTTGTTTGTTTGTTTATTTTTAATAACTGTCGGCTACTATTCTGTTTTCTGAGTTTGTCTTACTGGCTGGGTTGGCAGTATGTTATCTTAGCTAGCCCTTTTCCCCTGCTATGTCTTAACATATCTATATATTTTTAAAAAGTATTTTAGGCTGGGATGGTGGCTCACGCCTGTAATCCTGGCACTCTGGGAGGCAGAGGTGGGTGGATCACTTGAGGTCAGGAGTTTGAGACCAGCCTGGCCAATATAGTGAAACCCTGTCTTTACTAAAAAATTAGCCAGGTGTGGTGGTGTGTGCCTGTAGCCCCAGCTACTCAGGAGGCTGAGGCAGGAGAATTGCTTGACCCCGGGAGGCAGAGGTTGCAGTGAGCCAAGATTGTGTCATTGCACTTAAGCCTGGGCGATGCAGGGAGACTCTGTCTCAAAAACATAAATAAATAAATAAATAAAATAGAAAGTATTTTAAAGGAATTTTTACTGCTATTTGTTAATGAGGAAATAGAAAGGCTGGTTAAAAAAATTAACAGGAGGGAGCTTACAATGTTCCCAGAACTCTTCCAAGTTTATGTAGTTATTCCTGAACTAATGTTTTGCATACCTTTCAATATTCCTGCTATAGCTCATATATTTAGGACAGACTTTGATAATATTCCCTTTTACTCTATGCAAAATACTGTAGAGCAGTGATTTCCAACTTTTTTTTTTTTTTTACTATGACCTTATCATGTAAGGAATACATTTCAAACTGTGACCCTACATATACAGACACGTTTGTGTGCATGTGTATTAATATAGATAACTGAAACTAAAATTTAACAATTATTCTTCCATGTATAATACAATAAAACATATCAAAGTTAATATCAAATGTAATCTTTGTATTGCAGTATAATATGGAACAAATCCAAGATAAACAATACAAAAAACCAAGGATTTATTAATGCCACAGGTGTACTTGCACCTTAATAAGTTCTTTTCACTCCAGAACAATTGGGAGTCATACACATCTTGTTATACTGTTTTGAAATGTGCTGTGGGGTGTGAGGAGAAAGGGAAGGTTGAAATAATTCTAAACTGTATCCTAAGGAATCAGAGGGCTGTTTGTACCCTCGTTGGTATAAAGAGGGAGGGGAAAAATAAGCTCATCTGTTTTTTTCAGGCAAATTTTGAGCCTTTATTTTTTCGTTTAAGTTGACATGTAGTAATTGTATGTATTTATGGGATACAGAGCATATTTCAATACATGTATGCAGTGTGTAATGATCAAATCAGAGTAGTTAGCATTCATCACCTTGAACATTTATCATTCCTTTGTGTTGTGAACATTCAGAATTCTCTCTTCTAGCTATTTGAAAATATACACTAAATTGTTGTTAATCGTATTCACCTTACACTGGTACAGAACAGCAGAACTTATTCCTCCTATCTTGCTGTATAAATTGTTGAAGAGCCACTCAAAAGGCAGTGTTCTCTATATCATTGATGATAAAGGTTTAAGCTAAAGAGGAGTTTATCTCTTCGCAAGGAACATGAAACTTTCGTATACTGTTTTGACATGGCATTGATAATAAAGGATACATAGTGGACTTTATTAGTAAAATACCTTATTGTAACATAAATATTAAATCATGAACATAACTCTTACAAAATTATCAACTTAGAAATCCTTTTAGGCTGTCATTTCAGCCAGTTCTTATGATGGGACTATGACCTGAGATGGTATGATGGCTATAGGCTATGGACTGAGAAATCATAGGTTGGAATACTAGCTCTAATCTTTACTAGTCACATGACTTTGGGTGAATCCCATTTTTTTTCCTGAGCATCAGTAAGGATAGAAATATACCGCTCATATATTGTGATGATTAATGTGATTATGTATGTAAAGTGCCTTGTATAGCACATAGTAGGCCCTTAAATGTTAACTTTTCTGTTACTCTTTCTTTGGTCCTACTAAAAAATATTATTTGTTTCTCTATGGTCTTAAGCATGAAGACTATAATCAGGTTTGAATGGTTTTCTACATAAACCTTTTAAGGCAATGTTTTAAAGATTTAACATTATTAAGAATTTCATTTTACAGGACTAACATATGGAAATATGCTATATTTGAAAAATTACTGATGTTAGGGATTGGTATTCAATATCTTCTGCTTAAGCTTCTTGTGTCCCTCTATCAGTCATCTTTGCCTTACAAGAAGGTTTTGTCTTTCTTGGAAGGTTAATTCTCTAAGGTAATCATTTAATTTATTTTGTTCTATTCATTAAAACAAACTGTTTAATAATTTAATTTGAGTAAGGAAATAATTAACTATCAACTATGTAAAGTTTAGTTTTTATTGTGAACTCAAAGCAAGGCTTTGTGGCATCTGCTTTATTGTTATAAATTCAAGCACAGTATCAGCAGCTTATGAGTTATATTTTGGATTTTAAGTGAGAGCTGCTAGGAGTAGGATCACTGGCTCTCTATAACTACAAACATTTGATATCCTGCACATAGTTGAACAGTAGCAAAGCTGGAGTTCTCAGATATAGTACTGACTGATTATGTCACGTCATCATTTTTGGATAGCATCTGCTCATCTCCTCTCTCTTGTCTAAGTGGTTTAGGATTAAACAAATTATGAGGGTGTCCAGGCTAGGAAAAGAGGACTTTGTGCTATGTAGTCAAAATTTTTAGTGTGTGAATCTATCTTCCTTATTAGATTTTAAGTTCTTAGAGGTAGGAGCAAGGTACAAGAATAGATGAAGATAATATTGTTAGTACCTGGATTTATTCTAACATGTGGCTTATTCTTCGTGGAGGAGGGCAAGGATTTCATAAACTAGCACAGGTAGCCTCATTTTGAGAGATCAAAGATGTTTCTGAAAATGCTTTAGGCAATATCGTAAACTAAGAATTTCTGGTTCCTTTCTTGATTGCAACAAATTGGTTATCATTTTGTGTTTTTGTCTAGCATCATTGATCATTGAGGACAAACTTTTTTTTTTAACCATATGTTTTTTAAAAGCATTAAGCAGCAAAGTTACACAGTTTTCTCTAGCAGTGCTGCATAGCTTAGGAGCAGGAGTGGGATAGGAAAAGCTGATAGATGTGTTTGGTATTGTCTGGATGCACAGTTTGGACAGGAGTCAGTGTAGTATAGTGGTTGGTATGAGTTTTGGAGTAGTACAGGCTGCATAACTTTAGGCAAGTACCTTAATTTCTCTAAGCTCTAATTTCCCCATCTACAACATGGGATAATAATAATATCTACCTACCTTATAAAATTAGTATGATAATTAAATAAGATGAGTGCAAGTAAGGTGCTTATTTATTAGCACAATGCCTGGCTTATAGTATATTAGATGCTATTTTTATTTTGTTGTGATTAGAAGGAGGTTATTAAAGTAAGGTTATTGGCGAGAATCTAATTGAAATAATAGGGAGGTTCAGGCTGGCAAGGAGGAAAGTGAAACTAGGAAGAATGTTAGGTACTGGAGAATAAGAAGGTTAATAGGTTAGAAATGTGATGAGGGTGAAATGTAGGCTTAGCAATAGAAAAGTAGAAAAATAAGAGTTAATGGCCAATAAGTGAGATCACAGCTTGAGATTCTAGAGATGGAATATTTCCAGATAATATCCAGCCTTTGACAAAAGGAATGGGTTGCTGATATGAAGTGAAGATGAATTCATTTTAACAAATATTTATGAAGCCTTTACCGTGTGCTGCTTTGCTAGGCATTGGGGAATGTCACATTTGGGTAAAACATCCTTGGATTACAGGAAATCAGAAACCAGCTGTTGGTCACTCACCTGAATGAAAAAGTTTACCATGACAATGGCAGAAGCTGGGACAACAAGAAAGACTATAAAACTTATTGTATCTAAGAATACTTCAGTGGATTGACTTGTTTTTCATTGGCATAAGATTTTACTATAAATGGCTCTAAAATAGGTGCATCTCCCAGTAGGGATAAAATAATTAGTAACATTAATTTAGAGTTTAAAAGATAGGTGTCCTAAATTCATTTATTTAACTAGTCTTGTTTTTTTCAGCTTTCCTTTTTAGCCACTAGTGTACAGATTAGATGATTAACCCAATTCTTTTTAGTTTTAGAGGAATGGTTTGTTGAGTGGGCTTGTGTTCATTTTGTTTCTGAGTAAGTATCCTAGAAAAGGAGCATGTCCCAAAGAATAGCACAACTGGGGCAAAAAGGAGCAGCTCAAGTTGTAACCATGATGATTGTTTCCTGTGCCGGCTTTTCAATAGGAAGTTGTAGATTTTAAAATCTGGGAAGCTGGGAAGCTTACTTTGAAACAAAAAGAATAATGTTGATCAAATATTTAAAAATTACATGTGTGCTATAAAGCAGCAAGAAAGTGAAATCCTGTATGCCATTTTTTTGGGTTTCTTCTAGTCAGTGATGGTAGCATAGATCCACACATACTTGTTTTTTTTGTTTTCTTTTGTTTGTTTTTTTCTTAAGAGATAGAGTCTGGCTGTGCTGGTCAGGCTGGACTTGAATGCCTGGGCCTGAGCTGGAGTGATCTTCCTCTCTTAGTCTCTTGACTAGCTGGGACTATAGGCGCAGTACCCCACACCGGGCAATACTTGGTTTATTTATACTGATTATGACTAAAGTCAGCAGAACAAAACAACATGTTCACAGCCCCAAGAAATTCCCAGGCATGCAAGTTAAGAACTCCCATTTTAATGCAAGCCAAGTCTAGTCAGTGACCCTTTTGTCTGATACACAACCTTTTCACAAACTCCTTATACTTTTCTCTAATGTACATTTAAGTAGACTTACATGTTATTCCATCTCTGCTATTTTTTTTCCATATTACTTTTAACATCATTATGAGGAGCCCAGTAGCCAGGACTAACAGAAGTTGTGAACATATGCAGTCTACTGTCAGATGGACCTTCCGCTTCATTTGGGCAAACTGCTACTGTGCACTTGGCTCATTTCACTCACATCTAAAAAATGTTAAGATTCTGCAGTCTCCTTTTCCTCTTTTTTGTTTTTGACTGTCCTTCTACCATAGTGACTCTCACTGTGTGATCCCCAGTAGTATCACCTGGAAACTTCTTAGAAACTTCTTAGAAATCAAGTTCCCAGGCCTAAACAAGACCAACTGAACCAGAATCTCTGGGGGTGGGACCCAGTTTTAACAAGCCCTGTACAAGTGGATTCCGACACATGCTGAAGTTTGAGAACCGCTGCTCTAGCATGTTGTAGTTACCAACCTGTATACATTTTCTTGATGTCACTGACTTAATATATTTCTGCTAAGCTCAACATATATGTTGAACTGTGGCCAGTAATTAATGTTGGTGGTTTCATGTGGCTCAACTAATATTTGCTTTGTCTAAACCAGGATTTCTTAGACATATTTTGTTGAGATATTGACATTCTTTGTTGTAGGCAGCTGTCTTGTGCATTGTAGGATGTTTAGTGTCATCTCTGGCTTCTACCTACTAGATTACAGTAGTATTTCCTAAATGATGATTAAAAAAAAATGTCCCTAGACCATGAGTAGAGGGGAGGGGAAGGGGGAGATCACTCCTGGTTGAGAACCACTAGCTAACCCAGTTTCTTTTCCTTCAAACTCATAATACCCAATGTACTACCCATAATGTATCAGTTTTTCTCCCTGGGTAGGAAAAGGGCCAGATATAAATTAATTATAGAAATTAAAGATTATGGTGATTATAATTTTTTATAATTTTACAAAATTTATATTTCTTTTTATGTTTTTTCATGTCCTATTTATAGTGAGCAATATCACCCTATAGACTAGTATTATTTGCTTTCCTTGTATCTTATTGCTGTGAAAGTCTAATGATAATTTGCTTTTCTTTTTGTTCCTAAGTAACTTGCTTATTTTGCTTGGATGCCCAAAGGATTTTTCTTTTTCTTTAAGATTCAACAGTAAATCTCAGTATTGGTTATATTGGATTGATTTTCTCAGGTTTGTGGTATGTGCTTTTGAATCTTTTTTTTTTTTTTTGACTTAAAAAAAATTCCTTCCCTTGCTTTGGTTTTGGTTTTCTTCTTCAGGAACTCCTATTGAAAGTTGTTAGATCTTCTTTGTCTATCTTATATATTACTTTCTCTCAAGCCTGTATTACTTTCTTTCAAAGGTTTTTTTTTTTTTTTTTTTTGGAGACAGAATTTCATTCTGTCGTCCAGGCTGGAGTGCAGTGGCACAATCTTGGCTCACTGCAACCTCCACCCGCCAGGTTCAAGTGATTCCTCCTGCCTCAGCCTCCCAAGTGGCTGGGATTACAGATGTTTGCCACCACACCCAGCTAATTTTTGTATTTTTAGTAGAGACGGGGTTTCACCATGTTGGTCAAGCTGGTCTTGAACTCCTGACCTCAGGTGATCTGCCTGCGTCGGCCTCCCAAAGTGCTGGGATTACAGGCATGAGCCACTGTGCCTGGCCTCAAATCTTTTTTATTTAAAAATTTTTCTTCTTTTCACCTTTTATTTCTCTTGAAGTATTATTGTGTTTATTCATCTTTTTCTTCTTTCTAGTTTAGTCTTTTTTGAAATATTTTCTTCTAATTCTTTCCTGAGTTCTATCACTTCATTTCTGAGTTTTCATAATTACGATTCATGTGTTTTTTCATATCTTACACATTAAAAATTTCTTTGCTTGTGGAGAAATAGTAGGTTATAGTTACCTGTAGTTTGCGTATGTCTTTCATGGTCTTTGGGAATATTAGTCTGCTCCTTATTCTCTCTTTAAAAATTAACTATCCGTGTAATTTAATCATGATCCTTATTTTTCATTTTTATGTGAAATTAGTTTTCATAAACCTTAGGAGGTGTGGTTCAGGATAGCTTTTCTAATTTCAGGGCTCTAGAGCTCCCTTTTTTGTTGTTTTGTATAGTGTTCGAATTAGGATACCTTACTTTGTGAGGTTTCTCGGTTCTGTTTCTCTCCTGTACTTTTATGTGGACCTTCTTGTTGTTCCTCTGCTGCTCAATTTGGATTCTGTTTCCCAGAATTTTTCTTCATCTTGGGTCTTTGTTCTAGAAGTTTTGAAAGTTCATGGGGATAAGACTGCTTGGTCCTCTCAGATGTTACTATGGACTTGAATTCATCAGCTGTTGGAGGATACAAAACCATTTGCAGTTTTAGCTGCCATTCACACGTGGCATGCATTTTTGGTTTGTGTGGGAAATCTTATCACGTAGTTATGGTGTAGATGTTATGCATGGTTTATTTTATTTATTTTGTTTAATTTTATTATTTTTGTCCTAGTTGCTCTGTTTTTAATGAGGGATTCAGGAAATTTTAAAAAATGATGTGTTCACTGCTGCCATCTTCATAGGGGTACTTTCATCAGTCTTTTTGTATTTATATACTTTATTTTGCACCAGTTTATTGAGGTATTGATGTACAGTAAACTACATATATTTAAAATGGGGAATTTGATGACTTTTCACATATGTGTATTCCCATGAAACCCTCACCATGATCAAGATAATAAGCATATCCACCTCCGAAAATTTCCCCATGTCCCTTTTGTAACCCAGCTTTCATTCTCCTTTCCTCATTCCCAGGCAAAAACTGCTTTCTGCCACTATAGTTCAGTTTGTATTTTCTGTGATTTTCTGTAAGTGAAAACATACAGTAGTATTATTTTTTTTGTATGGCTTCTTTCATTCAGTGTAATTGTTTTGAAGTTTATCCATGATTTTGTTCATTTCTTTTTATTGCTATATGGATATATCACTGTATGGAATATAATAATTTGATTATCCACTTGTTAGTGAACATCTGGATTGTTTTATGTATTACAAACAAAGCTGCTATAAATATTTACATTAAAGTGTTTATGTGAACATATGCTGTTATTTCCCTTGGATAAATGTCTAAGTATGGAATATCTGGGTGGTTTGGTAGGTGTATGTGTATCCTTTAAAGAAATTGTCAAACTTTTCCAAAATGATCGTATTATTTTATATTCCATCAGTAGTATGTGAAAGGACCATTACTCCTCATCCTTGCCAACATTTGGCACGTTGAGTCCTTATAATTTTAGTTATTTTAGTGAATGTGTAGTGATATCTCATTGTGGTTGTAATGTAATTTTACCTAACGATTAAAATTTTGTTGAGCATTTTAAGATGTATTTATTTGCCATTTTTATATTTTCTTTGGTGAGGTGTTCAAATCTTTTGTCTGCTTTTTATTGGATGTTCTTACTCTTGTAGTTAAGAATTCTCTATATATTCTAGATACAAGTTGTTTGCTAAATATTTATTTTGCAAATATTTTATGCCAGTCTATGGCTTACATTTTCATTTTTGTAACAGTGCCTTTGAAAAACAAACATTTTTAATTGTGATGAAGTTTATTTGGTTGATTTTTAAATTTTTTATACTTTACCTTTTGTGTTTTCTTCAAGAAATCTTGTCAAACCCAAGGTCACTAAGATTTTCTGCTGTTTTCTTCTAGAAGTTTTACATTATTGGCTCTTAAATTCAGGCCTGTGATCCACTTTGAATTAAATTCTGTTTATTGTTTCAGGTTGAGGAGAGACTCATTGTGTTTGTATACGGCTATTTAATTGTCCCACCACCACTTGTTGAAAAGATTATCATCTCCTCATTGAGTTGTCGTTTCACCTTTTTAAAAACTCAATTGCGCATTTATGTTTGGGTCTATTTCTGGACTTTCTGTTCTTTTCCATTGATCATATGCCAGTATTGCACGACATTGTCTGTTGTAGCTCTACTGTTGTAGCTCTGTGATAGGTTTTAAAATCAAACCTGCTAGTATTAGCCCTACAACTTTGTTTTTGTCAGATTTGTTTTAGCTATTCTATATCCTTTGCATTTCCATATAGATTTTAGAATAAGCTTGTTCATTTCTGCAGAAAGCCTACTGGGTTTTAGAAGGGGATCATATTGAATCTGTCTTCAATTTGTGAGATTGACATCTTAACAGTATTGAGTCTTTGATACTTGAATATATTTAGTTCTTCTTTATTTCTCTCAGCATGTTCTGTAATTTTTGGTCTACAAATCTTAAACATCTTTTGTCAAGTTTTCTAAATATATTTCATATTGAAATAGGAAAAGTTCCCCAGACCGCTCGCAGGGCGTGCAGTGGGGGAGTGGCGTGCTTCTTTGGTGCCCCACTGCTCAAACCTCTAGGGGGAGCATGCAGATGGGCAGGTTGTGGGGCTCTGACCCCATGGCAGTGTCTAGAGGTAGATGTTTAGAGCTCCCGAAGTCCCAGTGGGCATGTGTTACAGGGTGCTCTTTCAGTTTTGCTGTCCGTAGGCGGCTTGTGTTAGTCAGCTCAATTAGACCCTTGCCTTATTGCAAGGTCAGAGGGCTTTCTGTATCTCGGGGTTTCTTGCCTTGGTGTACTGGAAGAATCGGATCACACGTGGACTTGGAGAATAAGTGCAAGGTTGTATTGAGTAGAAGTAGCTCTCAGCAGATGGGGGAGCCAGAAGAGAGACAGAGTGGAAAGGTAGTTTTCCCCTGGAGTCGGGCTGCTTAGCAGCCCGCGCTCTCCTCTGACTGCCCCAGCCAAACTCCACCTCATTCCGGGGGTTGATGGCTTGCGGACCTGCCAGTGCCTGTTATTGTGCTCTTATGCGGATGCGCTCCTCTTGACGGCCTCTTAACATCTAGCTGCGTGTGTTTTCTTCCGCTGGAGTGTTCCTTTCCACGTCCAGCCACTTGCGTCTCTGCCTGCTAGGGTCTTGGGGTTTTTATAGGCACAGGATGAGGGTGTGGTGGGCCAGGGTGGTCTTGGGAAATGGCAGAATTTGGACGTGAAGGCAGGAGTTCCTGTCCTCACCTAGGTCCGTGGGCACAGGCCCAGGGGTGGTACCCTAGTCAGGGAACAGCCTTTCCCTTCCCGGCACTTCCCTGCACCCCCTCCCATATCAATATTGTTATGTTAATGTAAATTAGATTACTTTTAAAATTATAATTTATATTTCTTTTCTATTATATGGAGAATATAATATATAAAAGTAGAGATACTTTTATGTATTGACCTTGTATTCTGCATACTGCTAGACTCACTTATTCTAGCCATTTTGTAGATTATTTAGGATATTCACCATAGACAACTATGTTGTTTGTGAATAAAGATAATTAAACTTCTAATCTGTAAGTCCTTTATTTCCTTTTCTTGCCTTATTGCACTGGCTCAGAGCTCCAACACAGTGTTGGATAGTGGTAATGGCCTAGTTTCAATAGGTTGGTACCAATTCTTCTTTGAATGTCTGATAGAATTCAGCTGTGAATCTGTCTAGTCCTGGATTTCTCTTTGTTGGCAATTTTTAAATTACAATTTCAATCTTGCTGCTTGTTATTGGTCTGTTCAGAGTTTCTATTTCTTCCTGGTTTAATCTAGGAGGGTTGTATACTTCCAAGAATGTATCCATCTTCTCTAGGTTTTCTACTTTGTGTGCATAAAGGTGTTCCCAGTAGCCTTGAATGATCTTTTGTATTTCTGTGGTATTGGTTGTGATATCTCCCGTTTCATTTCTAATTGAGCTTATTTGGATCTTCTCTCTTCTTGGTTAATCTCGCTAGTGGTCTATCAATGTTGTTTATCTTTTCAAAGAACCAGCTTTTTGTTTCACTTATCTTTTGTATTTTTTTTTTGTTTCCCTTTCATTTAGTCCTGTTCTGATCTTTGTTACTTCTTTTCTTCTGCTGGGTTTGGGTTTGGTTTGTTGTTTCTCTAGTTCCTTGAGGTGCGACCTCAGCTAGTCTATTTGTGCTCTTTCAGACTTTTTGATGTAGACATTTAATGCTATGAACTCTCCTCTTAGCACCGCTTTTGCTCTATCCCAGTGATTTTGGTAAGTTGTGTCACTATTATTCAGTTGAAAGAATTTTTTAATTTCCATCTTGATTTCATTGTTGACTCAATGATCATTCAGGAACACATTATTAAATTTCCATGTATTTGCATGGTTTTGAGGGTTCCTTTTGGAGTTGATTTCCAATTTTATTCCACTGTGGTCTCAGAGAGTACTTAATGTAATTTTGATTTTCTTAAATTTATTGAGACTTGTTTTGTGGCCTATCATATGGTCTTTCTTGGAGAATATTCCATGTGCTGATGAATAGAAAGTGTGTTCTTCAGTTGTTGGGTAGCATGTTCTGTAGATCATCTGTTAAGTTCATTTGTTCTAGGGTATAGTTTAAGTCCATTGTTGCCTTGTTGACTTTATGTCTTGATGACCTTTCTAGTACTGTCAGTGAGGTATTGAAGTCCCCCACTATTATTGTGCTGCTGTCTTAGGTCTAGTAGTAATTGTTTTATAAATTTGGGAGCTCCAGTGTTAGGTGTATATATATTTAGGATTGTGATATTTCACTGTTGGACAAGTCCTTTTTATCATTATGTAATGCCCCTCTTTGTCTTTTTAAACTGCTGTTGCTTTAAAGTTTGTTTTGTCTGATGTAAGAATAGCTACTCCTGCTCACTTTTGGTGACCGTTTGCATGGAATATCTTTTTCTACCCCTTTACCTTAAGTTTATGTGAGTCCTTATGTGTGTTTGGTGAGTCTCTTGAAGACAGCAGCTGGTTGGTGAATTCTTATCCATTCTGTGATTCTGTACCTACTAGGTGTCTACCCAGAGGAAAAGAAGTCATTATATGAAAAAGATGCTTGCAAATGCATGTTTGTAGCAGTACAATTTGCAGTTGCTAAAATATGGAACCAGCCCAAATGCCCATCAGTCAATGAGTAGATAAAGAAAATGTGTGTGTGTATATATATAAATATATATATATACATATATATACACACTCACCATAAAAAGGAACAAAATATTGGCATTTGCAGCAACCTTGATGGAGACTATTATTCTAAGTGAAGTAACTCAGGAATGGAAAAGCAAACATCGTATGTTCTCACTTATAAGCAGGAGCTAAGCTATGAGGACGCAAAGGCATAAGAATGATACAGTGGACTTTGGGGACCCTGGGGAAAGGGTGTGAGGGGTGTGAGGGGTAAAAGACTACACACTGGGTACAGTGTACACTGCTTGGGTGATAGGTGCACCAAAATCTCAGAAATCACCGCTGAAGAACTTATTCATATAACCAAACACCACCTGTTCCCCAAAAACCTATAGAAATAAAGTGCTTAGATACGAATCTAAGAAAATGTGTGTAAGATCTGTTTGTTAAAAATTACATAAAACTGAATAAATTATTCAAAGATATAAATAAACAAAGATAAATATTGTGTTTATGGATTAAAATAAAGAAGTGGTAATGGTCAACATCCCTGCCTTGTTCCTGACTTGGGGGAAAGTATTCTTTCTTTCACCATTAAGTATGATGCTAGCTCTAAGTTTGTCGTAGATATTCTTTATCTGGTTGAAGAAGTTCCCTTCTATTTGTAGTTTGCTGATAGTTTTAAATCATGGGTACATACTGGATTTCTCAGATTTCCACATGCAGTGAGGTATCCATGTGTTTTTTGAAAATTCTGTTACATTAACTGATTTCAAAAATTAACCCTTTTGGCCTGGTGTGGTGGCTCACGCCTGTAATCCCAGCACTTTGGGAGGCTGAAGCAGGTGGATCATGAGGTCAAGAGATCGAGACCATCCTGGCCAACATGGTGAAACCCTGTCTCTACTAAAAAATAAAAACAAAATATTGGCCGGGCGTGGTGGCACGTGCCTGTAATCCCAGCTACTCGGGAGGCTGAGGCAGGAGAATAGCTTGAACCAGGGAGTCAGAGGTTGCAGTGAGCCGAGATTGCACCACTGCACTCCAGCCTGGTGACAGAGCCAGACTCCATCTCAAAAAAAAAAAAAATCTTTTTATTTTGAGAAAACTATAGATTCACATACAGTTGTAAGAAATAATACAGAAATACCCATGTTCTCTTTATCCAGTTTTCCCCTATAGTAACATCTTGACAGGATGTTGACATTGATAAAATCAGGATACATAAGATTTCCATCACCATGGGATCTCTCACATTACACTTGTGTAGTCACACCTATTTCCCTCCTGCTCCTGTATCTCTCCTTAGCCCCTGGAATTCACTAACCTGTTCTCTATTTGCATAACTTTGTCATTTCAAGAATGCTATATAAGTGGAATCATACGGTATGTAACCTTTTGGGATTGAATTTTTTTCACTTAGCATAATTTCTGGAGATTCTTCAGGTGGATACACATATAAATAGTTCTTTTTTTTTCCTTTTTATTGCTGAGTAGCATTCCACAGTATGGTGTACTACAGTTCATTTATCCGTTTCTTCACTTAAGGACATATCATTGTTTTCATATCTTTTTTTTGTTGTTGTTTTGTTCAAATAAAGGTGTTATAAACATTCATCCACAAGTTTTTATGTGAACAGAAATTTTTATTTCTTTGGGATAAATGCCCCAGAGTACAATTGCTGGCTTGTATGGTGTTGCATATTTAATATTTTAAGAAACTTCCAAAGTGTTTTCCAGAGTGGCTATACCGGCTTACATTCCTAGCAGCAATGAGTCATCCAGTTTTTTTGCTTTTGGTAGTGTTTTTAAAATTTTAGCCATTCTGATAAGTGTGTAGTGATATCTCATTGTCCTTTTACTTTGTGTTTGCCTGATGGTTAATGAATTAAACATCTTTTAGTGGGCTTATTTGCAATCTGTATATCATCCTCAGTAAAATGTTCCCTCATGTCTTTTACCCATTTTTGAATTGGATTGTGTATTTTATTACTATTGAGTTTTGAGAGTTCTTTATATGGTCTCGACACTAGCCCTTTTTCAAACATTCATTTGCAAATATTTTCTCCCAGTCTGTGGCTTGTCTTTTCATCCTTTTACAGGGTCTTTCACAATGCAAAAGTTTTAAATTTTGATGAAGTCTAACTTTTCTTTCTTGTGGATCATGCTTTTACTGTCAAGTTTAAGAATTCTTTGTCTAGCCCTAGATCTAGAAGCTATTTGCCCATGTTTTTCCTGACAGGTCTATTGTTATATGTTTCACACTTGATCTTAGTGAAAAGGTTGAGAAGTGATTAGTTTTATGTTTTAAGTATAAGTCTGTGATTTACTTTGAGTTAGTGTGAGGCATAGGTCATGTCAGTTTTTTTTTGTTTTTAATTTTAAACACCTGTGGATATCTAGTTGCTTCAGTGCCGTTTGATGAAAAGGCTGTCTTTTGTCTACTGGATTGTCTCTGCACTGTTGCCAAAAATCAGTTGGGCATATGTGTGGGGGTCTATTTCTGGGTTCTCTCTTCTGTTCTGTGGATCTGTGTCTCTCTCCTTCCACCAATACTGTGCAGTGTTGGTTACTATAGCTATATAATAAGTCTTAACAGTGGGTGGACACAATTCCTCCTACTTCATTCCTCTTTTTCAAAATTGTTTCAGCTATGCTCATTCCTTTGGTTTTTCATACAAATTTAGAAAAAATATAATCTATGTCTCCCGAAATCTTGTTGGTATTTTGATAGGAATTGTGTTAAAGCTGTATACCACTTTGGGGAGAATCGCCATATTTACCATGCTGAATTTCCCAGTGTGTGCCTCTCTGATTGCTTAGATATCCTTTGATTTCTTTCAGCATTGTGTATTTTCAGCCTACAACTTCTGTACATATTTTGTTAGTTTTTTGGAGTGATTATAAATTATATTGAATTTGTAATTTCAGTGTTCATGTGTTGACTTTTGTCACATGTTTTTTCTGAATTGGTATGATCATGTGATATTTTTCTTCTTTAGCCTGTTAATGTGATGGAGTACATTGATTTTTAATATTGAACCAGCGTTGCATCCCTGCAATAAACTTCATTTGATCATGGTATATAATTCTTGCTAAAATTTTGTTAAATATTTTTGTATCTATATATATGAGGTATACTGCTTTGCAGTTTTTCTTCATGAAGTGATTTAGGAAGTGCCACCTCCTCTTCTCTTTTCTGGAAGAGATTGTGTAGAATAGTGTTAATTTTTCATTAAATGGTAGTATTCTCCATTGAAACCATCTGGGCCTGGACAATTTTTTAAGACTTTGAAAATATTAATTCAATTTCTCTAATAGTTGTAGGAGCATTCAGATTATCTCTTTCATATTGGATAAGTTGTGACTATGTTTATCAAAGAATTGGACCATTTTGTCTAAGTTTTCAAATTTATATGTATAGAAGTATTCATAGCATTCACTTATTATCCTTTTGATTTCTGCAGTCTGTAGAGATACCTACCGTTTCAATCCTGTTGTTGGTAATTCATGTCTTGTCTTGTTCTTTTGTCATTCTTGCTGAGATTAGTTGATTTTTATCGATCTTTAAAACAACTAGGTCTTTGTTTCCTTCCTTTTATTTTTTCTATTTTTATTATTAATCTCATCTCTTTGTTTCTTCTGCTTGTATTGTGATTATTTTGTTCTAGGTTCTTGAAGTGGAAAGTTAGATTATTGATTTGAGATGTTCCATTTTTTTCTAATGGTTACATTTCCCTCTTTGAATATGTTACCTGTATCCCACAAATGTTGATTTTTTATTTTCATTAGTTCAGTGTATTTTTTGATTTCCCGTGAGACCTTTCTCTTTGATTCATGGGAAAATACAGAAGTTTGTTGTTTAGTTTCCAAGAGTTGGGAGATTTTTCTGTTACCTTTCTTTTACTAACTTCTAGTTTGATTCCATTGTGGTTAGAGAAAATTCTGTATTATTTAAATTTTCAAAAATTTGTTGAGGTTTGTTTTGTGGTCTGTCTTGATATATATTCTTCGGGCACTTGAATGGAATGTGTATTCTGCTGTTGGATAGAGTGTTCTATAAATGTCTACTAAATCTTGGTTGATGGTATTCTTGAGTTCTTCTATATCTTTGCTGATTCCCTGTGTAGTTCTGTCAGTTGTTGAGAGATGGGTTCTGAAATCTCCAGCTGCACCTGTGTATTTTTGTCTGTTTTTCTTTTCAGTCTCATCAGTTTTTGCATCACATATTTTGCAACTCAGTTTGTTGTATACACACTTAGGTTTGCTATTTCTTGGTGGATTCATCTCTTTTATCATTTTATAATGTCCCTGTCTGTCTCTGGTGATTTTCTCTTCTCTGAGATTTACTTTACTTGATACTCATATAGCCACTCCTGCTTTCTTTTGATTCACATTTCTATGATACATTATTTTCCATTCTTTATTTTCAACCACTGATACTGTTATATTTGAAGTGAGTTTCTTGTAGACAGTATATAGTCGAATCATTTTTAAAATCCACTCTGCCAATTCCGGTCTTAAATTGATATATTTAGACCACTTATATTTAATGTAATTGTTGATATTTTAAGGCTAAAGTGTATCATTTTATTTTTTATTTGTTCTTTTTTTGCTTCTGTTTTCTTTTTCTTGCCTTCCTGTGAAAAGTTTTGTTTTCACCTCCATGAGGTATTAGAGATTATACCCTTTTTTATCTTAATTGCAAATTAGTGAATAAAATTCACTGAACATTCAATATTTAATGTTCCTGACATCTGTTCATCTAGTTAGCCATCTATTCATTCATGTTTTCAAGAGATATTTATTGAACCTCTACCCTGGGCCAGGCATTGTCATTTTCTTTTTCTTTCAGATTATTCTCTTTCAGTTCTTTAGCAGTGTAGTAAATTTATTTCCTCTGGTTGTTGTAACAAATTACCGCAAACCAGGTGGCTTAAAAATAATAGAAATTTATTCTGTCACAGTTCTAGAAAACAGAAGTCTGAAGTCAAGATGTCAGCAGGGATCTAGAGGAGAATCCATTCTTGCCTATTCCAACTTTTGGTGGTTGTCACCATTCCCTGACTTGTGGCTGTATTGCTCAAATTTCTGCATCTGTGGTCAAATGGCCATCTATTGTGTTTTATTCTCTGAGTTTTTCTTTTAAGGACACTTGCTATTGGATTTAGGGCCTAGATAGTTTGGATAACCCAGGATAATCTCTTTATCTCAAGAGCCCTTTAAAAATTAAGACAATAATCGCAGGTTCTAGGATTAAGATGTAGACATATCTTTTAGGGGGCCACCATTCAGTTCACTACAAATAGTATTTTTCTGTGCAACTTTGATTTCTCTTTTTTTGATCCTCTCTCCATTTGGCATGGGTTCTCTATTTCACACCCTTTGCTATTCCTTCTGAATTTTGTCTATTAAAGGATTCTCCTAGAGAGTGATGAGAACAGTGGAATGATTATGATGTCCTGTATTTCATAGCTTACCGTATAGCAACAGAAAAAGCCTTTCTTCATGACAGGGCAGCTTCATTTAGAATCAGAATATGTTTCTTTCTAATAGAACTTACTCTAAAGCAAAAATAATATTATTTTAAAAACTATGTAAAACATGTATTAAAGTCTTATGTACGTATAACTACAAATCCATTTGAAGAGATAAGTAAAAATAATTCTAATCAATAAGTAAATATTATGGAATCAGCTATCAATATTTAAATTGGTGTCAGTTAAGAACAGGTGGAATTTCCCTCTGAGGTGATGCCATGTTTATTAGCATCTTTTTGATATATATATCTATATCTATCTATCTATATATATATATGTATATTTCAAGTACTTTCAGAACTTAGGCCACTTTGGTTATATTTGAAAACAGTTTTTTGCTGTTTGTGGAAATGGTTTTTTTGGGAAGAATCTGAACATTTTTTTCAAGGTATTTAGGCCACTAGAGTATTGCTGAGATTATTTTGATAACTCCTTAATGAATGTTAATTTAAAAAGGAGTTATGTAAATATACCCTGCTGATCTTTAAGAGTATTGAGTGTATCTTTAAGAAGTTTCTGACATGGAGTCAAATCTAGTGTAACAAGTGATTTCACTGTACCAAGAGAAAGTTGTATGATTTTGCTGTAGTTGATTTTATTGCTGTCCCTGTTGCTATGACTATTAATGTTTTACCGTAATAAAATGTTACCATTTATATATTTTTATAAAGTATGGCAAACTGGCAGGTCACAGGAAAAAATGAGGTAGAATTAAAAAATATGTATTTAATAATAGTCTCGAAACTTTTAGACTTAAGACATATAAAACAATAGACAATCTTGTTTCAGCACAAGCATAATTAATATCTTCATGTATTTGTTATAAGATTTGCTTAATAAAATTTCAGTTTTGGTTTTAATTTTATATCTAAATGATGTATTTCTGGCTTAAAACTTAGAAGTCTGAGTGCTTAACATTCAAAGCAGTCATTTTTCCAATTAGTCCATACTTTTTATAACTGTGCAGAGGAATTCAGCTTATAATTATAAATTTTAAATTTGTGTTTTCTTTGTAAGTGCTGGTCAAGATGTCCAAGGAACAAGTGTGATTGCAAATCTCCCATTTTTGATGCGACAGAATCCCACTGAGACGCTTCGGAGAGTGTTGCCAAAAGTCAGAGTAAGTTGGTATGAAATAAGATTGGAGTTTCCCATTTTTTCCCAGTAGCATGTTGTCATTGTTGAAAGGATTTTGGAGCTTTGATGGCTGATCTTTTGCACCTAAAAATTGAGTGGAGGAAGTGTTATTATATACATTTTGAATTATAATGAAAATATTTAGGGAAATTAGCTGATGGAAATGGAGAAATCCAGATCTTAAGTTGTAAAATTTCTTTAGTCATTTTCTCAGTAGAGACATTTTACTAAAGGTAGTTTTTAGTAGCTCAAAAACACCTCTTAATTATTCTTAAAAAAAAGTATTTAGTATTCTGTTGACTTAAATCTATATTAATAGTATTTGTATAACATTGATAATATAATTGAGCTGATATTCCTAATAATTGACCCTATGATGACTTCTGAAGAATCATCAGATAAAGATTGAATTATAGCCATCACAATTTTAGATGTGTATGTAATTTATTGCTTTATAAATTTCTTCAGAATTAGTTTTTCTGCTATGAACAAAAATGTTTGATCTATTACATTCTTTCTTCTGACTAATATTTATTGATTATTAATATAAAATTAAATAATTTCAACTATTAAATATTTAGTAATTATTTATTTGTACTTATGTGCAAAGTGCTTTTCTTTATAAGAACTTGAATGAATAAAACAGACACCAGTGTGTGTGTCCTCCAAGAGTTTACCTACTAATGGGGTCAGTGAGGTTACATACTAATGAGGATTATGTTTGCTAATAGAGGTTGGTAGATTTTGCTTTGTTTTTTTATTTGGATATAGCTCTTGTCATAATTTTTAATTTATGTGTTTAAAATACTGAAGTTATTATTGAGTCCTTGAGTTTTATTTTTAGGCATGTGTAGCATGGTTCTAGTTACTGTGATTTAGATCAGGGACATACCATGTTATTTTCATGAGATGCCCACCTATGCAGGCACTGTGAACATTTTGACTGATTACAATGGTGAATTAAGATGATATTTATTTTGGCATTGCATGTGATTCAAAAGTAAATCAAGCTTTTTTATATCTGTTTTTCCCAGAATCATGCCATGTTTCAAAGGAATTAGGCCCACACAGACCAGGTTTATTTTTACGTTCAATTTCAGTGATACTAACTGACCTACACTTGTCAGCATGACACCTGGAAGTGCCAGTTAAACAATAGCAGAAAGGAACAGGTATTTAGGTCCTCTTGGCTACAGAGTTAATGTAAGTAAGCAAATTAGATTTATAGCTAAGAATACTGCATGCTGCACACTTTGCATTGAGCAGGTAAAATCTGGTCCACAGAAAGCATATTAGATATCCAAAGTTTCATATGCAAGAATAAAAGATGAAAGAGAGCAGTGAACTTTAGAGGTCTCTAAATTACTTTGCAAAATTCCTTTTGTTGAGTTCACAATAAAGGAAGTTAAGTAACAGCTCCCCCAAAACCTTAATTTCATGGGAGTATATAAAGAATATTATACACTTTTTTTTATTTTCTTACTTTCTATTTAAAATATTCTAAAGAAAATTTTATACAAATTTTCATTACTTTTAAAGCTTATTAAAACCATATCTTCTATAACTCAGGCATACCTTACAGTTTCAAAAGATACATTTGATTCTTTGTATAAATATGCTATATATATGAGTGTATAATACAAAGAATCAAATGTATCATATTTATACAAAGAATCAAAGTGTATAAAGAATATTATACACTCATGTATAACATATTTATACAAAGAATCAAAGTGTATAAAGAATATTATACACTCATATGTATAGCGTATTTATACAAAGAATCAAATGTATCTTTTGAAACTGTAAGGTATGCCTGAGTTTTAGAAGATATGGTTTTAATAAGCTTTAAAAGTAATGAAAATTAATCCATAATACAGAGTATATTAACTGAATAATGGATACAAAGGTAGTATATACTAATGAACATGTACTAAGGAAACCTTTATTTATATGTGAATGATTTCACTCATTTATTTTACTAATCAACATGCAACCATTTATTTAGGACCATCGTCTTGCTGTACTCCGTTTAAAAGAGATGCCGAAAAGGTAGAAGAGTCCAGATTAGACTGTATATTAGGAAGGTCTAGTGACCATGGAAAACAATGAGAGAACAAGTATAATAGAGTATTGTGTGCTTGTGACTTGATGTAAAAATGCTGAAGAATAAGGCAAATGAGAAGGGCTTTATGGGGGTAACTCCAGTAATAATGACTTTTATCGATAGTCTAATATATAATGTAGACAGCCAAACATTTAATCACTCCCATTTCAAATGATAAAATCTGTGTTTCTGTGCATATTATTTTAAATTCATTGTATTCAGATTTTGTTATGACTTATTGGTACTCCTGGTTAGCACCTTTGTCAATTCCACCTCACTTCTGTGAGTGTCTACTTTCCAGTGATGAAATGCTGACAGCATCTCGGGTAACTGCTTTATTTACTTTTGCTTGGCCATGATTTCTCAATTTTTTAAAAGAAAGTAATCTTGAGCATTTAGTAATAATGGCATTCTCATTCATTCATAAATATTTACTGAGTCCTTTTATAAGGCAGGCACTGTTCGAAGCACTGGGAAAATAGAAGTGAACAAAAGATGGGGGACTTGCCCTCAAGGAGGAGGCTACAGTCCAGATGGAGAAACAGACATTAAACAAGTAAATCCCTCCTCACCCAAGAAAGGTATAATGGTCATTTGTGATAAGCACTCTGAGTGTACAGAACATGAGTTGATGAGATAAAGTAATATAGTAACGAGGGCACCTGCTGTGCATTGGGATGGCAAGGAATGCCTTTCTGAGGAGCAGAAAACTGAAGGGATGGAAAGAAGCAGCCATTTGAGAGTCAGGACCAAGTAGTTCAGGTGGAGAGAACGGTAATTAGCCCTAAGGTGAAAGAGCTGGGTGGGACTGAGAGAGACAGGTGTGTTTTGGACCCAGTGGATGGTGTGGGGTGTGATTGAGAAGAGGTTAGAGAAATGGTTGATGAAAGAGCATGCAAATGTTGGTTTTCATTCTTAGGACAGTGAAAAGTCGTTGAAGTCTTTAAAGCAGGCAGTGACTTAATTGTGTTTCTATTTCACAGTGATCATTTTGGTTATTGTATGGAGAATAGATTGGAGTGGGATAGTTAGGAAGCTTCAGTTCTGGCCCTCATAGCTAGTATGAGGACAACTAATTAAGACAGTAGAGAGCAGTAGACATATCTGAGATACATGGGTTAAGGTAGAATGAGCAGAATTTCGTAACAGATTGGGTTTGTGAAGTGAGAGATGACTTCCAGATTTCTGGCTTGACCATGCATATGGTTCTGCTGGTTTTCAGTTATAGTTGATAGTCTGTTAAATTCATAAGGAAAATAATTTGTGTACTTGATAATACTAGTCTTTTGTGAATGATTTACTTTTAGATAATTTAAAGATATGAACAATACATATTTTATGCAAGAAGTTAATCAATACCAAGATTTTTACCACATTTATAACAGTGGTGTGTGCAGCTTTTAGAGCTCACTTTTTACCTTGTCTTTACCTTTAAGAATATCAGATGAAGTAATGGAGATTTTGCTGGCCTTATGTATTATAAACTTTCACCAGTGATATTTTTGTTTTATTGCATTTGCATTTTGTTCTTATGATAATGGATTAATTGAAAAGTGATTTAAAAAATAGGTTGCTTTCACTGTTTTAGAGATAAAGGAATTTAATGTTTAAAAATAAAATGTCAGAAACAGAGTTAGTGTTACAATTGAGCTAATCCATCAGATTGAGGTTGCTGTCTAGAATAACTAACAAAGAAGAAAAATAGAAAGTAAGAAAAATAGAATTAAGCCAATCCATAGTATTTCCCCAATTTATTTTCTAAATTGTGTGCTAAGTGGGCAATGAATGGTAGTGCAGTTAGGCCACTCATCTGAAGGTTAAATTTAGCTAGAAATTTAGAAAGGAAATATTTTGACCTCCAATTTAAATTTCTTAAATGTGGAGACATTTTAAAATATAGTTTTTACCATATATTCATGTTACATGATTTAATCCTAGGGTATCTATTGAATAATTTTTTTCCTGTGATTTTATTAAGTTTTAATTCTTTTTCCACAGTATATTAAATTGAAATCTTAGATGTTTGTTAGACTTCAATATTTGCTTTGAACTTCTCATTATCTAGAAGTGAAAGAATTTGATTGTCAAGATAAATATCCAAAATATTATACCATGGTCTTTTATAAAATTCAGAATAATAGCGATATAATTACACCACATAACGAAGGTGATTCCATTACAATCCAATGCAAAAAACACTCTCTACTTATCGAGGTATTAAATTTATTTAGTTGTTTTTACACTTACATTTTGGCAACCATAAATTTGTCATAAAATTATATAAAAGAAATCGAGCAATTCCAGGCACAGATAAAAATAATGTAGCCAATATTTATTGAGGTCTTACTATGTGTCAGGCACTGTATTCTGTCAGATATTCTACACATTTTAATCTGAATACTCATAGCAGTTCTATAATGATCACTTGACAGTGGAAGAAACAACTTAGTTAAGTAACTTGCTCAACGTCACAAAGCTTGCAAGTGGTATAATTAGGTTTAAACAGGAAGTCTGAGCCCTGAGTCCTCACTCTTTACTACTCATTAGCTGATCATGACTGTAACAGATATAAAATGTGTAATTTAATGTCTCAAGCCTTAGTCATCTCCTGTCTGTACTACAGCAGCCTCCTCACTGAGTCTGTTGCTTCCATTTTGCCTCCTAGAGCAAACTCACCCAGAGAAATCTTTTAAAAAGCATCAATCATATCTTGTCTCCCACTTGCATGAAAATTACTTAAGTGGTGTGGTAGGTAGAATCATGCTCCTTCCCAAAAGATATTGGGCCCTAATCCCTAGAAATTGTAAATGTTACCTTATTTGGAAAAGGGGTCTTTACAGATACAGTTAAGGATCTTGAGATTGGGAGATTATCCTGGATTATTGGGGTGGTGGTCTAAATGCCATCACATGTGTCCTTATAAGAAGGCAGACGAGAGTTGACGTATACATGTAGAAGAATGCAATGTGAAGATGGAGGTAGAGATTGGAGTGATGTGGCCACAAGCCAAGGAATGATAGCAACCACCAAAAGCTGAAAGAAGCAAAAAGCAGATTCTACCCCAGAGCCTCTAGATGGAATGTGGCCTTGCCAACACTTTGATTTTGACCAGGTGATACTGACTTTGAAATTCTGGCCTCCAGACCTGTGAGAGAAGAAATAGCTGTTGTTTTAAGCCACTCAGTTTGTGGTAATTTGTTACAGCAGCCACAGGAAACTAATGAAAGTAACTTCCCATTTCAGATATAATACAACCCCCTACCGTGTCCTTAAATCACCCCCATCTACCTTTGTGACCTCATCATCTGCCAGTCTTTTCCCTTTCTTTCATAAGGGCAGAATATTTGTCAGTCTAGTTTCTCACTATACCCCCGGAACCTAGAATAGTGCCTGGCAGATAATAGGCACTCAAAAAAATTTTGTAAATGAGTGTTCATTGAACTTAACATTTAGAGACAATATAAATATCTACCTGAAAGACCAAGGGAACATTGGCCTGATCCACTGATGGCATTCTTGGATGAGAAGTAGGAACAGAATTTGTTTGGAAATTTGACACGTACATGTAGAATGGTATATAACGCTGATTTATGTTCGAGAGAGACTTTTTGGGGGTTTGGAGAGGATTTGGGAAATATATAATAAAGAAAGGATAAAAGGGACATAATCAATGTGAAATGTGATTTCCTTTTATTTCGGTGCATGCCCATAGTCTCAGCTGCTCAGGAGGCTGGGGCCCAGGAGTTTGAGGCTGCAGTGAATAGTTACTGACTGCACTCCAGCTAGGGCGGCATAGCAAGACCTTGCCTCTAAAAAACAAAAAAAAAACAGAAAAAAAAAGAAAGAAATAATAGGAAAAAATAATAATTTCTCCTAATATGATTATTTATTATAGAATTTTATGTCTCCTGTATATGGGTAGATTTTTTTAACATCTTATTCTAGAGTTTTTACAGAAAGCATTCACTTTATAAATACATTTGTAAATAGAAAGCTTAACTTTACTTTTTTAAAAGTCCTATTTCAAGTAGCATAGTTAAGTGAACAAACAACACAGATTGAGCATTCCTAATCCTCAAATCCAAAATCAAAATGCTCCAAAATTTGAAGCTTTTTGAGCATAAATATGATGCTACAAGTAGAAAATTCCCCATCTGACCTCATGCGATGAGGTGCAGTTAAAGTCAAAATGCAGTCAAAACTTAGTTTCATGCACAAAATTATTTAAAATATTGTATAAAATTACATTCAGCCTATGTGTATAAAATGTATATGAAACAAATGAATTTCATATTTAGACTTGGGTCCTATCCCCAAGGTATTTCATTATGAATATGCAAATATTCCAAAATCGCAAAACATTCAAAATCTGAAACACTTCTGGTTACAAGCATTTGGGATAAGGGATACTCAAGCTGTAATAATGTGTGGAACACTGTAGGCCAGGCACTATGCTTAATGCTTTAGATATATCCTTAAAAAAATCCTCCTAACAGCTCCGTGTGATGTATTTATACTCATTTTACAGTTCGGAAAATCTAGGCTTAAAAAATTCAGTGTTTATGAATATTTTATTGGGAGATTTCTAGGAAGCATGAAAGTATGTAATTTATTCTTACAGTTCACCAAGAAAAAGAAATAGTTTTGACTAAAGGAATTAAAGAGCATAAACAAATGATACAGATTGCTTTCTTCTTTGGTTTGCAGCTAAGAAAACAGGGATCTGTCTTCCTCACTGAAGATGATGTGTTCTGAGATAAGCATAATAAGCAGATCATGATGTTCCAGACCCTTACAGATCATAAAAAGCCCACAATATAGTATTCTTTAGACAGGCTAAACATTTAGGGACACTGATAGGAAGGAATGTAAATAAGAAAGTGAAATAATTCCTATAATGTAAGGTTGATAGAAGATAATCATCAGGGTCAGAATTAAGAGGTCTTGTGGTTTAGGAAGCATAAAATTATGTAACTTATTGTTTATTTCACTCAGAAAATAAAAGTATTAATGAAAGGAATTAGAGATGAACAGATTGATACAAACTGTTCTATGGTTTACAGCTTAAAAAATAAAGGTACATTTAATGCTATGCATTTTGAGAATAATGTCTTTTATGCTTTTTCTTTTTACATATATATCTATTTGTATTTAAGGACAAAATAGATTGACATTACTAATTACTTCACTATTAATAATTAAAGTTCTGTGAAACATTTACTGAGTATATAGTTTTTCTGGGTATATATAGTTATATTAGCTGGTATGCATTATAGACCTAAAAATATTGCCTTTCAGTAAATTCCTAGTGGACACCAGTGTTTTCACATATGCTTCCTAGTCATTCAGTCATTTGTTATTTTTACCCTATCTGCAATAAAAACGAACAGAAACTTCTGAAATTACTTTAAATGTGTAGTTAAGCTTGTAAGTGAGTAAGGAATGATACTAGGGCTCAAAAACAAAGCAATCCGTTTCACTTCCATTTAGGATATAGAAAGCTGCAAGAGAACATCACTCTTATTCTAATAACAGTAGGTTATCCACAAAATCCACACAGTCATAACTTCTTGAGCACATCAGAGTTGGTCACCAGGCAGCCAAGTGAGCTGAATTCTCAAGAGTAACAAACCCCTCTTAGGATAGATGGGACACAGGAACATTGACTTGGCAGAGCATAGGAGGAAGAGGTGCCCACCACATAAAGTAGTTAGCAGTATCAGCTAAGATTTTAACACATTTTTAAAGGGTGAATGTGCACTCGCACAGTTTATGTGTTTAGGATAACTTGTAGCTTAGACACAGAGGAGCTTTGCATCCATTTGCAAGCTCTTTTCCATACGTTTCCACTGTTTGATCTGTGAGAAAGACTAGGGGACAAGGCAGGAGATTGGAGAGCATCTCCCTTGGTGATAAAGGTGTGGTGGTGATGAGCTGTTGCTGAGGGACAGGAGCCAACTCTGCCCATTTCCTGAAAACCTTCTCCTTTATGAAGCAAGAGTCTAAGCTGCAGAGGGAGAAGCAGTGAACTTTCCTGCTTTTACAGCCCAGGTGAAGTGCCATTGCTTTGATGAGTTTGGTAGGAGCAAAACCCACTTGCTTCTGGAAGAGAGGTAGAAAACCCTCACTCCTCCAGGACCATGCAAAGATCACTTACTTCTGGGAGAAAGGTGGGAGCATAAGCCTTTTGACACTAGGGGCTGGGTGTGGAAGGCAGGAGATGTTAGAACTAGGACCCTGCACTGATAAAAAGCAGAGGTCTGCCACCAGTGGGGATAGGGCAAGAAACTTGACCCTGGCAAAGGTCCCCCTCCCGCACCCCAAGATACAAAGTTATAGGACAGGAACACTGAAAAAGTTACATTCCTGAGGCCCAGGCTCAAAGACCCCCTACCTAAGATGAGGCTGCACCAAGATATCTGAGAATACTCTACATCCACCATTAGCCTAGTGTGTAGTAACAAGCAACAGTTGTCTACTACTAGAGAAGGGACAAGAGTGTGGAGAGAGACCGCCTGCTGAAAACTGAGGGTGGAGCAGGAACACTGAGGCAAACCCTTTGGCATCTGAGGCTGCACGTTAAACAAAAGGTAATAGTGGCCCACTATTGGAGGTCTGAAACCTGTTGTGCTGTGATTGCCATAGCAACAAAAAGCCTGAAACCCAGCTCAACTGCTAACTAGACTGGTTATTCAACCCCCTGGACTTAACAGCCTAGCAGAGGTGGAATGTTCATTTCTGAGCATAAATACTGTTGCCCCTATCATCACTGAATATCCAGCATTCAACATTTCAAAATCAAAAATTTCTGGGCACACAAAATAGGAAAACTTACCAAAACATAAAGCAACAACAGGTCTAGTGTCAGAGATGACCCAGATATTGGAAGTATTAGAGAATTTAAAGTAACTGTGATTTATATGGTAAAAAAAAATCCACTGAAAAAACAACATGCCTGGATGTATAGGGCATTTCAACAGAGAGAGGATCTATAAAATAATCAAATGAAGATGCTAGAAATAGGCCGGGCGTGGTGGCTCACGCCTGTAATCCCAGCACTTTGGGAGGCTGAGGTGGGCGGATCACCTGAGGTCAGGAGTTTGAGACCAGTCTGACCAACATGGAGAAACCCCATCTCTAGTAAAAATACAAAATTAGCCAGGCGTGGTGGCACATCCCCGTAATCCCAGCTACTCAGGAGGCTGAGGCAGGAGAATCGCTTGAACCCGGGAGGCGGAGGTTGCGGTGAGCCGAGATTGCACCATTGCACTCTAGCATAGGCAACAAGAGCAAAACACTGTCTCAAATGAAAAAAAAATGCTAGAAATAAAAAAGATGATATCTGAGATGACGCATTTCTTCAATGGGCTTATCAGGAGTTTGAACATGTCTGGTGAAAGAATCAGTGAACTTGAAAATAGAAACTATCCAAACTGAAACATAGAGATAGAAAAGAGTGAAAAATGAGAACATCCAATGGCTTTGAGACAGCATAAAAAGAGATCTAATATATATGCAATCGGCATCTCAGAAAGAGAAAGGAGAAATGGGAAGGAAGAATTATTTAAAGAAATACTAGCCAGGACAAAGCATAGATCTAAGAAGACCAGAGGACTCAGAGCAGGATAAATGCGTGCGAGCGCACACACACACACATACACACACACCCTCACCCCTAGACACCGCACGCGCGTGCACACACACACACACACCTCCTCACCCCTAGACACCGCACGCGCGCGCACACACACACACCCTCACCCCTAGACACCGCACGCGCGCACACACACACCCTCACCCCTAGACACCGCACGCGCGCACACACACACCCCCCTCACCTCTAGACACTGCGCGCGCGCACACACACACACTCACCCCTAGACACTGCACGCGCACACACACACACCCTCACCCCTAGACACCGCACGCGCGCACACACACACCCCCCTCACCTCTAGACACTGCGCGCGCGCACACACACACACTCACCCCTAGACACTGCACGCGCGCGCGCGCACACACCCTCACCCCTAGACACCGCACGTGCGCGCGCGCACACACACACACACACCCTCACCCCTAGATACCTCATAAACTGCTGAAAATAAAAAGGATAATCTTGGAAGTAGCCAGAGACAAAGGTGACAATTGAACAGGCTTCTGATCAGAAACTATGTAGTCTAGAGGACAAAAGAATATCATATTAAAAGTACTGAAAGTAAAAAGCAAAAATTAAAAAGTCAACTGAAATATATACCCAGTTAAAATACCTTTCCAGGATGAAGACAAAGTAGCTTTTTAGATAAACAGAAATTGAGAGAATTAATTATATCAAATCTATACCACAAGAAATGGTAAAGGAAAATCTTTTTTTTTTTTCTTTTCTTTTCTTTTTTTTTTTTTTTTGAGATGGAGTTTTGCTCTTGTTGCCCAGGCTGGAGTGCAATGGCACGATCTAGGCTCACTGCAACCTCTGCCTCCCGGGTTCAAGCGATTCTCCTGCCTCAGCTTCCCAAATAGTGGGGAACAGGTCTGCTGCCATGCCCAGCTAATTTTTATGTTTTTAGTAGAGACAGGGTTTCACCATGTTGGCCAGGTTGGTCTTGAACTCCTGACCTCGGGTGATCTGCCCCCAAAAGTGCTGGGATTACAGATGTGAGCTACCGTGCCTGGCTGTAAAGGAAATTATTTAGGTAAAAGTAATGTGATACCAGATGGAAATTGATTTACATGAATAAATGAGCACTGGAAATGGTAAAAATTAGGGTAAATGTAAAGGAAATAACAATTCTACACAAATTCTTTCAGAAAATAGAGGAGGAGGTAAGAACTTCCTGATAAACTTTCAGGCCCAGCATTACCCTGATGTATATATACTCATGAGCGTAGATGCAAACACCCAAAAAATGAGAAATCAAATCCAACAATATATCAGAAGGATAATAATACATTATGACTAGTCAGGGTTTATCTCAGGAATTCAAGATTGTTTCAAAATTTAAAAACTAGTCAGTATAAATCTTGTCAGAAACCTAAAAAAGGAACACCACCATCTAATCATCTCAGTAGATTTAGAAAAAGTATATGACAAAATCCAACAACTATTTCTGGAAAAAAAAATCTTAGCCAGGTGTGATGACACACACCTGTAATCCCAGCTATTAGGAGGCTGAGGCTGGAGAATCTCTTGAGCCCAACAGTTTTAGTCTAGTCTAGGCAAGATAGTGAGACCCTGTCTTAAAATAAAATAAGGCCTGGCATGGTGGCTCACGCCTGTAATCCTAGCACTTTCGGAGGCCGAGGCAGGTGGATCATGAAGTCAGGAGTTCGAGGCCAGCCTGGCCAACATGGTGAAACCCCATCCCTACTAAAAATACAAAAATTAGCCAGGTGTGGTGGCAGGCATCTGTAATCCCAGCTACTCAGGAAGCTGAGGCAGGAGAATTGCTTGAACCTGGGAGGCAGAGTTGCAGTGAGCCGAGATTGTGCCACTGTATTCCAGCTTGGGCAGCAGAGCGAGACTCCATCTCATAAATAAATAAATAAATAAATAACCTCACAACTCAGTAAACTAGAAATAGATGGGAGCTTCCTCTGTGAGAAACCTACATGTTCAGTTAAAGGTGAAAGACTTTTTCCTAAGATCAGGAAAAGGCCAAAAGTGTCTGCTCTTAACCACTTTTGTTTAACAGTATACTGGACATTCTAGCCAGTACAGTAAGGCAACAAAAAGAAAAAGCATTCACATTGCAGAGAAAGAAGTAAAGCTGTCTTTTTTTTTTCTCAGATAACATTATCATATGTAGGAACCTGCAAAAGAAAAATGCTGGAACTTCCAAGCGAGTATAGAAAGGTTATGGGATATAAGATCAATATACAAAAATCAGCTGTGTTTCTACAAACCAGCAACCAACAATTGGAAACTGAAGTTTTTCTTAAACTATCAAAATAGCATTAAAATAAGTGATACTTAGAGATAAATCTGGTAAATGTTACATAAGATCTATAAACTGAAAACTATAGAACATTTCTGAGAGGAAATAATGAGAGAACTAAGTGAACTGAAATATAGATCATATTCGTGGATCAGAAGACTCAATATTGTGAAGATGTCAGTTTGCCCCAGATCAATGCGTATATTTAATGCAAAATAATCAAAATTCAAGTAGGTTAGGTTTTTGTAGGAAATGACAAACTAATTCTAAGATTCGTATGAGAATGTAAAGGACCTAGAATAGCCAAAACAACTTTGAAAAATAGGAACAAAATTGGAGGACTTGCATTACCTGATTTCAAGACATAATATATAGCCACAGCAGTTAATACTGTATGATTGGTGTAAAGACAGATAAAGTAATCAATGAGACATAGAGAAAGTTTAAGAAAACTCACACCTACCCCACAAATTGTCAGTTTGTTTTTGACACGGGGCAAAGGCAATTCATTATAGAGAGGATAGACTTTTCAACAAATGATGCTCAAACAGTTTGAAAAATAAATCCATACCTTGCTCCATATGCAAAAGATAAAATAGATCATAGACCTAAATGTTAAAGACTGAAATTATTAAAACTTCTAGAGGAAACCATAAGAGAAAATTTTTGTGACCTTGGGTTAGGTAAAAGTTTCTTACATATGACTCTAGAAGCATGATCCTTAGAAGAAAAATTTGATAAATTAGATCTGTTCTTCAGAAGACACTATTAAGTGAATGAAAAGACAAGTCAGAATGGGAGAAAATATTTGTAAATCACATAGATGACAAAGGACTGTGTTCAGAATTCATAAAGAACTTCTCAAAACACAATAATAAAACAACCCAATTTTTAGAAATATGGAAAAATTTTTAAGATGCTTCACCAAAGAACATTGGCAGATGGCCAGTAAACATAAGAAAAGATGTTCAACATCATTAGTCATTAGGACAATGTGAGTAAATCTCCAATACACTTGTTAAAATATCTGTACTAAAAATAACAAAAAACAAACAAACAAAAAAACAGCAATTGACCATACGAAGTATTGTGGAAGACTGTAGAGCAACTCAAACTCCCTTACACTGTTGGTGGGAATATAAAATGGTACAACAACTTTAGAAAACAGGTTCTCAAAAATTTAAATATACATCTACTATATTACTCAGCTATTTAATTCCTAAGGATTAAGAGAAAATGAAGCATCTTTTCATATAAAGTCTTATACATGAATGTTCATTGCAGCTTTACTTGTTATAGCTAAAACTGGAAACAACCCAAATATCAGTCAACTGTTGATGGATAAGTCAATTGTGGTATAACCATTCAATGATATAATACTCTTTACATATTCTGGTTATGTGTTGAAATTTCTTCTTTGACTCTGTGGCTTCTCCTGATGTTTTAGATTTTATTTTGTAAACAACATGATTGGGTTTTATTTTTTAATCCAATCTCACACTGTATTTTAATTAGAATATTTTTCCCATTTACATTTAATGTAATTGCATAGGTCATCTTACAATTTGCTTTTTCTTTTTGCCAACTGCTCTATGTTTCTATTTCTCTTATTTATTTTATTTGAATTGATTAAGTAGTTTTATTATTTCACTTTCCCCCTCATCTATTAGCTTGGAAGTTACAGACTCTTTTACTTTTCTTGTGTTAGTGAGCTTAGACATTACAAAAAGGACATATTATCAAAGTCGAATTTCATTGGTATTTTTACCCTTTTCCTAGATAATAATATAATTATTATTTAATCCTCTTCTGACTTATATGTTACTGTTGTTAGCTATTTTATTTATATATTTCAGGTCTCCTAGATATTGTTTTATCTAACCAATATCTATTTAGATTTACCCACATAGCTATCATTTTTTATTACCTGTAGTATTTCCATTTGGAATCTTTTTTTTTTTTCTGCCTGAAGAACACCTTTTAGTATTCAGTACAAGTCTGCTGGTAACAAATTATCTTTGTTTTTGTCTGTTTGAAAATGTCTTCCACATGCATTTTAAATAGATGTTTTTATTAGCATAGGATTTTACACTGTATATCTGTAGATTTCTAGAAATATGGAGGCATATTTATGGCTTTTTGACTCTGTGGCTTATTTTCTTTGGCCAGTTTTGGAAAATTCTCAGGTATCTTTTTACATGTGCCTCTGCCTAATCTTCTCTCTCTCCTCCTTCTAAGACTCCAATTTTATGTATATTAGATCTTTTAATAGTATTTCCATGTCCTTTATCTTCTTTTCTTTCTTTTCCATCCTTTTTTCTGTTTGTGATTCATTGGTGTTTTATTCTAATACACCTTCTGTCTCACTAATTCATCTGTATCTAACCTGATTTTTATTTTGATTATTGTATTTATCTAGTCTAGAATTTCCATTTAGCTTTTTAAAATCTGCCATTTTTTATATCTTAGAGAATTCTCTGTTGAAATCCTCAATTGTATCTTTTATCCTCTTGAACCATGTATGTATCATATAGCACTAGTATCTGGAGCTCCTTTTGGCATGTTTATATTTTGTATTGTTTCTGCTTATTATCTTATCTCCTTATATATGTTGATATTATTGATTATGTGCTTGGTCTTGTATTTGACAAATTATTTGTAGAAATAGTTTGAGGCCTAGGATGATATCTTTCTCATGGAAGGAATATATTTTCTTCTGGCAGACACCTAACTGCACTAGCAATAGAGTCTTACTTAACCTGATTTCAGGTACTGGATGATTTGAAGCTGGGCTGTCCTCCCCTGCAAAGGACAGTCTATTCAGGACTGCCCTTATTCCCTACTGCAGAGGGGCTTACCAGGGACTCTGCAAGGCTGTCAGAGAAGTCACTTAGGCTCTCAGTCCCTCAAGACCCTCTTCTAGAATCAGCAAATACCCCCAGGCCCAAAGCAGGCCCCAAATTACATGCTCACTTTTCTGGATATTTGTTGTCTCTTAGATCTTGGAAGGGTAATTTTTTACTACCCTGTTAGTTTCCATAGGCCTGTATGCAGATGATTTTTATGTTTTGTTCAGCTTTAAAAATTATCCTTGCCAAGAGGGTTGATTAGAGTTACCTAGTCTGCCTTTATTGAAAGAGGAAGTTCCCTTTCCTGTTATTATTCCTTCTTGATTTAATCTTAGAATGAGATTAACCCCAACATTTCTATTTATATACCTGCATAGGTTCTCTGTGCACATATATCCCTCTACCATACCCTGTCACCATCTCCACATCCACACAGATCAACTGATTGTTTTCTAACAATACGTTAGAAGTAATCAAGAACCTAAAATTAAATATTTTGCCAAAACCCTTGTGATATATGTCCTTAATTTACACTTCTAGTTCTTAAGCTTCCTTATTTTGTTGGTATGACATTACATGTATGAAGAGAAATAATTAGATGAAGGGCAAGATAAGGGGAGATAGGAAAGCAAACATTCCCAGCATTGAGAAGGAAAGAGAAGCATGCAGATTGAATGTAGATTCAAAGAACTGAGAGAAAATCAGTGTGCCTAGAGCATAAAGCAAAAGGAGTTGCCGAGACAGTGAAAAAGCCCAAATTATGCAGATCCTTAGGTGCATTATGCAAGAGAATATTCAAATTATAGTTTTAAATGCTTTGAAATCTCATGCTGACTGTAAAGTCGAAAATGAATCAGAAGAGAGTGATGTAGGATGGAATGGAAGGGATGTAGTGGGTGAGGATCACTTGGAATCTGTTACCCTTACCTGAGCAAACCTTCAAAGTAGCTTGGACTATGGTGGAAGTAGCCTGGTTGGAGAGGTGGATGGATTAAAGAAATAGACAACAAAGCAAAACCAGGACTATATGAGCAATAAAAAACCAATAGTATCAACGATAACTCCTGAAATCCTGGTTTGTAAACCAGGTGGGTAACAGTGGCACACACTAAGATAGGAGACTAGAGAAAGCCCACATTAGGACAAGAGACTGGAGGAGGCCCAGGTGTTACAGGAAATACTGTGAGCTCAATTTTGGACTTGTTACCTTTGAGATACCTTTGAGACATCCGAAGTAGAGTTTGCAGAGAGTTGTATATACGGATGTGATACTCTGAACAGGTCTGCCAATAAAAAAGTAAAATTTATACAGATTACATTTAAAGTCGTTGGTGTGGAGGAGATTGTCTACAGAGAAAATGAAGACCAAAAGTGGAGAACTGCTATTGGAAACATAATTTTACACCAAGAAAATAAGGAAGCTTAAGAACTAGAAGTGTAAATTAAGGACATATATCACAAGGGTTTTGGCAAAATATTTAATTTTAGGTTCTTGATTACTTCTAACGTATTGTTAGAAAACAATCAGTTGATCTGTGTGGATGTGGAGATGGTGAACAGGGTATGGTAGAGGGGTATGTGTGCACAGAGAACCTATGCAGGTATATAAATAGAAATGTTGGGGTTAATCTCATTCTAAGATTAAATCAAGAAGGAATAATAACAGGAAAGGGAACTTCCTCTTTCAATAAAGGCAGACGAGGTAACTCTAATCAACTCTCTTGGCAAGGATAATTTTTAAAGCTGAACAAAACATAAAAATCATCTGCATACAGGCCTATGGAAACTAACAGGGTAGTAAAAAATTACCCTTCCAAGATCTAAGAGACAACAAATATCCAGAAAAGTGAGCATGTAATTTGGGGCCTGCTTTGGGCCTGGGGGTGTTTGCTGATTCTAGAAGAGGGTCTTGAGGGACTGAGAGCCTAAGTGACTTCTCTGACAGCCTTGCGGAGTCCCTGATAAGCCCCTCTGCAGTAGGAATAAGGGCAGTCCTGAATAGACTGTCCTTTGCAGGGGAGGACAGCCCAGCTTCAAATCATCCAGTACCTGAAATCAGGTTAAGTAAGACTCTACTGCCAGTGCAGTTAGGTGTCTGTACATTGTTAGTCCTGCTCATTGCTGGGTCTCTAGGTCTCTAGCACCTAGCAGCACAGTGCCTTGAACATAATTGAGCATTTGAGTGAGTGTATATAGTCAACAGGAATCACTGAAAGGTAGAGATCCTTATCTTTGACTTCTTTCCAGTTTCCCAGAATACGTAGTATGATGCTGGGACTTGAATGAAATTAAAATGATATTATCTTCAGAATTAGATTTTCTTTGGGCTACTTTTGAGAGAGATTAGGATAGAAGGTGAAAGTATTATGACTGACTTGGGAGAAAAAAAGCCCTGTTTCCTCTTTCTTATAGATATTTGCTAGACTTTCCATGGCTGCTTTTTTTTCTAAGAGAACTGTGTATAATTTTTGGAAAAAAATATTGAATTAATTAAATATTGCTATAGTGAATCATTCAGAAGGAATGGTTCTTTATCATTCACATCCATTAACAAGATTATTTCTTTGAAAAGCACATCCTTTCTTTGCAAAGTTTTGAATTGCTGCTTATTTACATTTTAAGCCTAAATTATGAAATTCCTGTGATTCTAATTTATTACGTTTAAAAATGACTTAGCAGAGTACTGCAGCTGGAAGGCTCAGTTGCAAAACTATGGTCTTTAAATTGATTTGTTTGTTTTGATGTTCTTATGATTTGCATGGCAGCATATTTTATTGTATATTTACAATAGTCATATGATACTTGTATTTCCTTTATGGAAAGAGTTCTTAAGGATATTTTTATGTGTACCTCCTCATGAATCTTGCTAATCACTGAAATACAGACTTAGGAATGGTAAAACATATCTCCCTTTGTTATTTCTGTTTATTGTCTTCACTTCATTTTTCCCTCTCAGATTTTGATTTTCAGTGATCTCATCTAGTCCTTTACACCCTTTATTTTAGTGGTGGAATGTGGCAATCAGGGATAGGGAAAATGATGAGGTATAATCATTAAAGGTATCTTAGAACCTGGCATATTTCAATTATTCATATTTAACCTATTTGAAAGTCTTTTATAAATATCATGATTTTATAATGAAGAGGGCTATTACACTATTATGTTAATTACTAAAACCTCCCACATTTATGATCTTTAATAGCCCAGATATTTTATATGTCCCTGATCTTCAGTGTTTTAATATAGAAGTCCCTATTATTTAATTTCAAAATAATCAATGCTATCTCTAAAAATACACAGATATTTTGTAATTTTAGAGTTCCTTTACCTTTTACTAGCACTATTCATGATAAATATATTTTTCAGTTTTATTCAATAAGATTCTTTTCAGAATTTGTGAAACTTAAACACTTGCTCTTTTGGAGTAAGCCAATGATTTATTTAATGCTTTTCTATATTGTGTATTTTAAGGAGAAATATCTTCCTGATGGATATAATACAGGCTTGTTGGAGACAGCTATTTCCCTCTCTGCAAGGAGTGTATTATGTTGTTTTACAAAATGCTTTCTTGCACCACTCATGTTAACTAAAGAGCGAATTTAAACACAGACGTGTCTACTGCACTTTCCTTCCTTGAATGGGTACAGTTTTTAAAACTTGGAAACGTGCCATTAACTCTTAATGTCTCATTTCATTTTTGAGGAATTCAAGTTGGGATGCCAGCCGTACAATAGTAATGTAAGAGGAATGGTAACTGGCTTAAGGCATGCACTTAAGCAATAGAGGAATTTACTTTTCAGTGTCTTCCAAGGTCCATGAGGATGCACACTTATTTATCCAGAGAGTATGGATCTCACATATGTTTGTCCAGAGGGTGTGACTCTGTGGAGGAGAACACTTACTGGTAAGTATTGAACTCTTATTGTATTATGTTTCAGAAAAATATGTTTAGAAAATCAGTTGATTTTTAGCAGTGATGAAATCTCTTAGTCTGTGCTGGTTTCTTAACAGTGGACAGTCCCAGATGTTGAAGTCAGCACAACAAGAGAAAAACCCAAATCCTGATAAGACTTGAGGATTTTTCGAAAATTAAATGCAAAATAGTTGGGGCAAATGTTGCTGCGGGAGTCAAGACTAAGTAATACAGTAAGAAGATATGAAGTTGGAGAGCTTCTCATGTTCTTCCTTTGTATAAAGTTTGCATACGTACAAAACCCAGGACTTTAATGACTTTAAGAGGGGGCAGAATTGCATCTCTTGGAAGTTAACAGACTCATGTGAACTGGAATGTACGTTGTGGCCCTCACAATTGATTTTAATATTTATTTGCAAAGTCCTTTCTGTTTCTAAATAAAAGCTGTGCCTTCTGAAACCTGTAAGTGATGTATACTGGCCACATCAAATCTTTTAAAAGTGTTTTCCAAACCCCAAATTGTTAGTGTGGAAGAAATGTTTCTTTTGGGAACACTAAAACAAAGGGGTATGGGAGGATTGATTTCAGAGACCACTTGCTGCTTCTGCTTTATACTTTAACATTCTTTCCCTCTTTCTCTCAGCCAAGAACTCTCATGATATGTAACTGACTTTTGGTTGAAAAAACATGTAAAATAATGTTTTTGTGTATGATACAAAAGTTTAGAATAAAACAAAAATCAGCCACTCTAATATGTGGTAGGTTTTCTGGCAATTAACCATAGCACATAGACATTTGCCACAGGAAATGCCACTGCCAGATCTCCCACACCGCCACATGAAGGCTTAGCATTGCTTTAAGTCATGCCTTAATAAATGATGAATGGAAGTGCAGAGTCCGTGAGGAAGAATTCAGTGCATAGGAGTGTTTTGGCATCTGGTAGACAATTGTTTGTTAGAGTTGCCAGTTATTAGCTTGCTGGCCTTTATCAAAGTGCTTTACTATTCTGTTTCTTCTGCTGTAGAAATCCCTGTGTTATCCCCTATTGTGATGACTGACAGTGTCCCACTGTGCTGAATCAAGAAGACTGGGTATATAGGTCCAAATCATGGTTATGGAGATGTTAGGGTAGAAGACAGCAGTATGGACATGATAGAAAGAGGATTGAGAATACATTTCTATGTGATCCATTTTTGCTTTGCCTTCTATCTAATTCTGCCAATTCCTAATCTTTAGGACTCACCTCAAAATCTCTTGAAGCCACTTTTTGGGAGATGTGCAAAATGTGTGTGAAGGGAGAGAGCATCAAGAGCAGAAAGCGTAGGTGAGAGGGTAAGAGACATTTAGTCACCCGGCAGCTGCTTACTGAATGCCTGCTGTGTGCTAGGAGGTGGGGACACATGAAGCTTGTGTCCAGTTTTGAAAGATAGGCCATAAACAAATAAATATGTTGTGTATTGGATGATGGTAATGAATAAACTGGTAAAGGGGGGTAGTGAGAACTGGGATAAGGAGGTGACTTTCAGCTCGAAGTAGGGTCATCAGGGAAGGCCTCATTGACAAGGTGGTATTTGAGTAGAGGCTTGAAAGAGGTAGGGGAGCCAGCCATATGGAAATCCAGGAAAAGTGGAACTGAGAACACATACTGTAAGTCATTAAAAGGACTTTGACATTTCCTTTGAGTGAGATGGAAGCCCATTGGAGAGTTTTGAGCAGAAAAGTGACATTATCTGACTTATTTCTTAAAATAATTCCTCAGGCTACAGTATAGAGAATGGATAGTAGAGGAACAGTGATGGAATCAGGGACTGGTTAAAGGTTTTTTGAGTAATTGAGGCTGGAGAAGATGGTGACTTGGACTAGGGTGGCAACAGGAGAGGTGATTAGTGTTCAGATTCTGGATTTGTTTTGAAGGTAGACCCTTCAGGATTTATTGGTCTTTTGACTGTGGGGAGTGAGGGAATGAGAGGAGTTAAGGATGACCCCACAGTTTTTGGGCTGAGCAGCTGGAATGGCAGAGATGACATTTACTATTTATCAGGATGAGGAAGATTACAGGAGGAGCAGGTTTTAGGGAGAGATCAGTGAAGGTGCGAGCAACTGAGATTCCAACTAGATATCCAAAGGTAACATAGACAGAAGACAGTGGATATACAATAGTAATTATTTAAACGTTCATTTTGCACAAGTTGATAAATCACAAAAGTTCTGTTTAAATGATTTAAATCTTCATGAAGATGTTGCTATAATTCACATTTTATAGATTAGGAAATAATGCAGAAGGATTAATATTCCTAAGATCACTGATATGAAACTATTTTATGACTAAGTTCCAGGTTGTTCTACTGACTTTATTATATTATAAAATAGGCATATAAGGGAAATTTTCATTATTGCCATAATTGAGCAAGTAATACTTCTTGTTGCCTTTACATTACACACACAAACACACACACTTTCTCTCTCTATCTCTCTCTCTCATAGAGAAGTACAGTAATATCTTTGAGGCTTACGTAGAAAGATAGTTTTTTTGACCCTTTGGTGTGTTGAAAACATACTATAATATAGGCTTTAATTTTGGATATGCATTTTAAAATTCTTTAAATGGTGAATGGAGATGACTATGAATATAATTAATTTTTAAAAGCATATTCTTAAGAAATTTTCTTTTGAAAACAGTTTACTTCATGGTAATTTGTGTTCTCTTCAGTTGTTTAAAGGGGAAATATTTTGCATACTCTTAAGTGTATTCTTTTTTATAGTAGAATGTATGATGTTTATTTTTTGAAACACAAATACAAATAATGGAAACACATGTGATTGTCTGAGCTTTGACATTGTTCTAGGTAGGATGACAAACTGTCACAATCCAAACAGGAAAACAGAAATTAAAACCTCTCTAAAGTTTCTACTCTGTTGCTTAAAGGTTTATGTACTGTTTATAATTTTTATTCAATAAAGCGGTGGCAAGTTACTTTATCTTATAAAATCCTAAGACACTTAAATTTTATGTAGTGTAATGAGTTAAATGATCAGGAGCAGATTAATATAGTTCTCTGAAATAAGTACATATCCTTAAAGGTCATATGTCTTAATTTTGTGGAATATGACTATTTAGTTTCTACAACCTTGGATTTTTAAAAATTATAATTTGTGATCTCTCATCTATGTAAATAGCAAACTCTTTCTGATTATACAGGAAGCCCTGCATGTTGCAGGAGTGGAAATGCAGTTAACGGCTGCGATGTCATTTCTGACCATTCTGCAGGACGAATCAGTGTCAATTCATGCATATACCCACTCATTCCTCCAAGTCATTCTCCTGCATCTGGAGCACAGGGACACAGGTCAGGGGCCTGGCATGCTTAATTATATACTTGTTTATTGTTTTTTTGTGTATGGCCATGATATTATATAAATACTGTTAGCCTGATGAGGATAACTGAGTAAGGCCATGCTGCCTAGGAGTTGAGCAGTGGAATGACTTAAAATAGCTATGGCTGTCTTATAAAACCCACAAAATTTAATATCCTTGAAAGCTGAAGATCCATTAATTCATCTTATGATTTATACTTTCTTGTTACTTTTTTTCCTTTTCTAGCAGTCATGTTTATAGTATTGTACAATAAAAGAGCAAACCTTGGTTTAAAGATATCTCACCAATACTATTTTTAAAAATATAAAAATTTTCTAGATGTTGACTGAGACAAAATAATAGAGAAACTTTTTAGAATAGTAATGAAAATAATTATTTCCATTTTATCATTAAGTGCTATTGTAACTATTAATGGCTGAGTTGAAACTGAATTTGAAGTGAGACGTTTAATTTAGTATGTTTTATCTCTGTCAACCAGGTGTCAGCAATGCATGGCTGGAAACTCTTCTGTCTGTTATAGAAGTATTGCCAAAAGAAACCCTACGGCATGAGGTAATACTTTCATGGGGGCAAATACTAATAAGTAAGTCACTCTAAGGTTTTTTTTTAAAAGGTTTCTTGTCAAAAATGGTTTTTAAAAAAGAAAGTTGTTTTTCATTTTGAATGTAACACGTGCACATTGGAGGAAATTTGAGAAATATAAAATATAGAAGGAAGAAAAAAGAATTCATAGCTCTGTACTTGTCCACTTTTAAGGTCCTGATGTATTTCCTTTCAGATTTTTTTCCTATATATGGTTGCTGCTTGGCTTGCTATATCAGTGATCATACTGAATTTATATATGGTTGTTTTTCACTTAGCATTACTTTCCTATATTTTTTAAACTCATTTGATAGTAGCTGCAGAATATTTTACTTGTGAAACATTTAAGCCTGTTTTCAGGCTTATATTTTACTATTGAATAGGACATTAATGAGCATTTCTGTAGAGCTCTTCCTGTTTTTCAGATAATTTAATTGTAGCTTTCAAACAGGAATTAATGGATCAGAGGGCATTAATATTCTTAAGCTTTTGACTAACAATATGTGAAGATGCTCTTTTCCTAGACTTTTATCAGCAATAGTGTTTCTGTTACATTTAATGGGCCAAAAATGGAATTACATTTTATTGGAATTTTTAAATTATTGTGCTGTTGAATATTTTCTCATATTTATATCAGTTTCTCTTTATTCCTTTGCAATTGTTTGATCCTATCCTTTAATCACTATTTATATGTGCTATTTACCTATTATGGTTGCCAATTCTTTGTTATATTTACAAATATTATTCCCAGCATGTTGTTTGCCTATTAATTTTCAACATTGAACAGCATACTCTTCTCTAAAGACTTTAAATAAATTACAATGACAGAAGAAGAAAAATGGAAAGAAAAGTATCCACTAATGAAAAGATTTTGTATTCTTTGAACATTATTCCTATATACATTTCTTTCCAAATATGTCATGATTGAAAAAAAGAGTCATCAGCCAATGAAATGTCCTCTACTGACTTCATTAAGTGTCTTTGTCCTTTCTTTGTCTTCATACAGTTTATGGTCCTGTCACAATGCTTAAATACTGGCTTGAAAATGGGAAGATTTTCTAGTTATAAGGATGTTTGCATACTTGATGCCAAACATCTAGATGATTATGCATATTTAAGTGCTGAATGTAATATAGACATGTGATTTTTATATTTTTTTGAAAAGCAATATGCTGTATAATGCAATTTTTACTCTAGAATACCATATTATTTAACATGTGGTTTCAAAGATTTTAGATATGTAATTTATTCTAAACTTTTCACTTCTAAATTATCAATGCATATTCAGTAATTCCAGCTACTTTGAGAGGAAACAAGCCAGTTGACTATAGAGTCATAGAATTTTAGAAATTAAAGAGATCTTAGTAGGACATATTCTTGTTTCCATTTTAAATAGATGAGAAACTGGAGATTAGAAATAGCGAGATTATGGGCTGGGCGCGGTGGCTCACACCTGTAATCCCAGCCCTGTGGGAGGCTGAGGCGGGCGGATCATGAGGTCAGGAGATTGAGACCGTCCTGGCTAACACGGTGAAACCCCGTCTCTACTAAAAATACAAAAAATTAGCTGGGCGTGGTGGCAGGCGCCTGTAGTCCCAGCTACTCGGGAGGCTGAGGCAAGAGAATGGCGTGAACCCGGGAGGTGGAGCTTGCAGTGAGCCGAGATCGCGCCACTGCACTCCAGCCTGGGCGACAGAGCGAGACTCCGTCTCAAAAAAAAAAAAAGAGAAATAGCGAGATTATTTGGACAAACTAGAGAACTGGGACTAGAATCAGAGTCTGATCTTCATAGTGTTTTATGGTCTGTCAGGCTGTTGTAGTATTTGAGTGTCCAGTATATACATAATGCAATATCAGACTTGGCTTATTGTACTCAAATGACAGAATTATTTAATAGGATTTATTTGAAGCTATAATGTTTTTCATCCCATTAGGATACATATAAAAATTAATCTATATGGAATAAAAATACATTTCAAGGTATTTAGTCATTATTTGCTCTTTTCTTTTTAAAATATGTATTTCAAAATTCTACTTTTATCTGTGCATACAGAGCATTGTAAAATCACCATAAACTTTACTTCAGTTTTTTCCTAATTGTTTTAATTGCATAATTTGTAATTATCTTTACCTTAATAACTCAGAAGACAAATAAGATAATCCAAGTTATTGAGTCATGAACCTCAAATCGTAATTCAGGTTCTTTAAAAACATTTAGAACTTTAAAATACTCTGAAGGAATAGCTGACATGAGTGGCATGAATGTATAAAATTTTGTGAATTTTTTTCTCTAAATTTTCTCTTTAGATTTTGAATCCACTTGTTTCCAAGGCACAACTTTCCCAAACAGTCCAGTCTCGTTTAGTTAGTTGTAAAATTTTAGGAAAATTGACCAACAAATTTGATGCCCACACGTGAGTATTTGTATGTAATTTTCGGTCTACTTTATTACATTCGTTTAAAATGTATAATGACTGTGTAACAATATATTTGTGTTATTTCATACTGCATACAAATTTAGTTATCTTAACTATTTTAACTTTATGGAATTCTCATGACGAATTTACTTATTCAGATGCCTTTCTTTTCAATCTCATAACTTTTCAGAATTGGTAAGGTTAACTTTTTTCCTACTTCCTATCTTAATCTTCCCTATCTCATACCAAATATAGTTTTGAGGATAAAATAGCGTTATCTTATTGACTTTCAAAATTGGCAGCGGCATAAAGATAGAATTGCTGCTTTTTTACACTGTTGTTATGAATTTGTTATTTTGAATAATTTAACTTATTGTGAGGTTTTATGGAGCATGTTTATAATTCATGTGCTACTTCTTGCCTGCTTATTAAATACCAAATGAAAAGAATGGAATGTTTTATAATTATGATACAAGAGTAAAGCTGAAGAGTATTTTGGTTGATGGTTGCTAGACTCAGATATTCTACTGCTACAGCCTTTTATCTTAGCTATAGACATTTCAACTGCCAATCCAAAATTAACCATTATTTTAAAAAGACTGTGTGATATACATAATTTACAAGTAGCTAATAACATCCAAATTTAATAACATGTAAAATACCTTGTAAACTATTATTTTTTTTCTATTAAAGTACATTTGTTATTATTAAGGTGAGTTAAGATTTTAATGATAATTGTTTGGGAATATTATTCTGAAACACTCATTCATTTGCATGTTTCTTTTCTCCCCACCTTCAGCATTAAGCGAGAAATACTTCCTCTGGTAAAATCACTCTGTCAAGATGTAGAATATGAAGTTCGATCTTGTATGTGTCGGCAATTAGAAAATATAGCCCAGGGCATTGGGTAGGTATACTTTGAATTCCTTATGCCATTTCCATGAAAACATGCCATTGAAAGGCTGTATTTGATCTTTAAAAATGATCATAACAAGTACCTCCTCTATGTCTGGATTAAAAGAGATAAAGAGGAATGTGCTTAGCATGGTGGTAGGCGTTTGATTAATGTTAATTTCTTTTTTTCTCACCTTAGTTGCTTAGTTATCATTCCAGACACCTAGATTCAGGAAAGAAAAGATAGCCCAATATAAACCATACTTGGAATATGTTTGACTGGCTATTCTTTGACTATATTATTGGGTCATTTCAGATGGGATTGCAGTTGTCCCTCCATATCCTTGGGAACTTGGTTCCAGGACCTCTTTTGGATACCAAAATCTGAGGATGCTCAAGTCTCTGATATAAAAGAGTGTAGTATTTCCATATGACTTGCTTATATCCTTCCACATGTTTAAAATCATCTCTAGATGCTAATAGTACCTAATACAATATAAATGCTATGTAAATAGTTATGCTGTATTGTTCAGGAAATATTGACAAGAAAAAAGTCTGTACATGTTCAGTAAAGAAGAAATTTTTTTCTGAATATTTTCTATTCATGGTTGGTTAAATCCACAGATGTGGAACCTGCAGATGTTGAGGGCCGACTACACTCTAATGGAAGCCTTTCTATAGCTCCTGTGCAACTTCAGGCTTCCAATGTTTGTTTTGTTGCTCTCCTTGTTCTTTTTTTTTTTTTTTTTTTTTTTTTTTTTGAGAGGGAGTCTCACTCTGTCACCCAGGCTGGAGTGCAGTGGCGCGATCTCGGCTCACTGCAAGCTCCGCCTCCCAGGTTCATGCCATTCTCCTGCCTCAGCCTCCCAAGTAGCTGGGACTACAGGTGCCCACCACCACGCCCGGCTAATTTTTTGTATTTTTAGTAGAGACGGGGTTTCACCGTGTTAGCCAGGATGGTCTCGATCTCCTGACCTCGTGATCCGCCTGCCTCGGCCTCCCAAAGTGCTGGGATTACAGGTGTGAGCCACCGCGCCCAGCTGTTGCTCCCCTTGTTCTATGGGTGCCTGAAGCTCCAGGAGAGGCATAGCAGCCAATCTCTTCACCCATAAGAACTGATCTCATTTCAATCTTAGAAGTGTGATATTAAAGGGAGTCTTACCTAAAAACCATCTTGGGAAATCTTTTCTTTTAAAAACAAGATTCAAAATTGGTACAAAAATCATTGGAACCTCTCATTTTTAGCAGAAGTTGCACTGATTTCATCTGGTTCTTTGTTGCACAAGCTAGGACAATCAGATTGTGGTCATTGGTACCTTTGTTAATTTTTTAAAAATCTGGGCCAATATTTAAGGCTCCGAAAAGGCTTTTGAATGTCACACAGGGTATGGTAGAGTGTCACACAGGGTATGGTGGAATGTCACACAGGGTATGGTAGTGTACTCTGTCCTGTGTCCACTGTTGCTAAATAGTATTTAAGTGTCGTGTTGGAAGTTTAACACAATTAATGAAAGAGTTATCTGTTATGATTATTTTCTTTTTTAATGCCCAGAGATAATTAAGTTGAATTTGCATCACTGTCACATGTTTTTGAAAAAAAGAGAACTCTGTTTAAAGATTGAATGGAAATAACTTTTACTATAGAGATGAAATTATTTTTCTTAAACTATTTTCTTTCATTGTTAATAAATTCAAGGATTTCAGTAGGTATACAAATATATTCTGAGCAAAATTTATATGAAATAAATTTTTATGAACTTTGGATTTGTTCTATCACATTTTACTCTTCTACCTCCTCTGTCTATATCCTGTATTTGCTGAATGTTTGTGAAGTACTGGTAATGTTAACATCTCTATCTGTATGATCTAGATCAATCTCTTAGAAAAACATGTTTTTTTGTGGCTCTTCAATTGCTTAAGTCCTTGTCATTGTGGTATGCTGCCTAATATGGTAGCCCCTAGTCACATGTGGCTATTTTAGTTTAAAATAAGGAAAATTAAAGAAAATTAGAGCTTTAGTTCCTCATTCATAATAAACTTATTTTAAAAAATGCTCAATAGTACCCTACTGAAGAGTACAAATGATAAACATTTCCATCATTGGAGAAAGTTCTACTTGACAGCATTGTCTTAGAGTCTTTGAGATTTGCGCTGAAATTTTTAAAAGTTTTCTACAACTCTTAATAACTTTCTTGGACTCTATCAACATCTTATGTCAATTATAATTGATGCTGTTTTCCATCTTGTACCCAAGAAAGCTAACCACATCACAAGGCTCTCCTTGATCAGAGTGTTTGTCATTACAGTGACACCTTATCATGAGGAATAAGCAGAAACAAAATGTTGAATACAAACTATTTGTGATTGTATTATAAATATTGTATACTCCCTAAAAGTATTTATATTATGTTTCATTCTGCTAGGTAGGACACCTAGAGTGATATATCATCTTCTATATAGAAATTAGTTACCATAATTTCATGTATTAGGTGAATGGAAAATAATTTATACCCTGAAATCTAGATAGAAATATATTATTTAGGTTTCTGCAGTTACTACTGATAAGTTTTTCTAATTAGTCCAGATTTTTGCTGAAGTTGCTTAAAATGGAAAACTATATTATAATTTATAAAGTTTGATATAAACTCTTAGTTATTAAGATTTCTGTAGGTAACAATATTATGCTGGAGGAAGTGGGATTGATTGAAATCATTATGAAATTACTATTAATGTTTCTTATATGTATGGTGTGCTTTCCCAATAAGACTGAAAGCTTCTGGAGAGCAGGAACAGTATCTTTATGATTTTTCATATTTTCTGCAGCAACTAGCCCAGTCACTGGTTTTTAGTAAGTTCCTGCTACACATTTATTGATTTGATTTATTTTCTTCTATTGCTTATTGTGCAGGACAGAACTTACAAAAAGTGTGGTGCTCCCTGAATTAATAGAACTTTCTAGGGATGAAGGCAGCAGTGTACGACTTGCAGCTTTTGAAACTTTGGTTAATCTGCTTGATATATTTGATACAGGTAAATCATGTGGCTACATCTTTGCTTCTGAAAACAGTGTTTTTCTACATGTTTTATGTCACTAATAAGGAATAAAAGTAGATTTAGAATTTCCTATGTTAAGCCTCCCTTCCTCTCCCTCTTTTTATGATTCATTCTGTTTTCGTGTCTTCTTGGCTTTCACTTTTACCCTCATGGTGTCGTAGTCCATTTTGTGTTGCTGTAACAGAATACCTGAGACCAGGTAATTTATAAAGGAATTTATTTTGGCCCACATTTCTAGAGGCTGGGAAGTTCAAGATCAGGCAGCCCCATCTGACCTGTTTCTGATGAGGGCCTCATGCCACCTCGTAATCTGGCAGAGAAGTGGAAGGTGAAGCAGGCCTGCAAAAGGGAGAGGGAACAAAAGAAGCTGACTTTGTAACAACCTGCTCTCCAGAGAACTAACCCAGTCCCACGAGAGCTAACCCAGTCACTTGTGAAGGAGATCTCAATACCACAGGAACTTCACCAGTCAACCCACGAGGGTGGAGCCAGTGGGTGGACCCATGCGGCCCCACCTCTTAAAGATTTCACCTTCCAGTATTGCTGCACTGGGGCCAAGCCTTGACAGGCATTTTGATGGAGACAAACCATATTAAAACCAGTACCCTATGGCATACAGTGTTGCTACATATTCCATCTCTCTTTTCTCCCATCAAAACTTAACTGACTTGTGTGTGTATAGGGCTAAGAATTTGACTTTAACTTTTTCACCTAATTGACATTAAGACAGATCCTGAGACATTGTCTACATGAGTTTCCTCTCCTTAATAATATTTTAATGCTAGAGATCTCATGGCCATTGGGGGAGAAATTTGGGATGGGGTATTTGAGTGGGAGAGGGTAAAGAGATATTCCTTAGTGTTATGTAAATCATGTCACAAAGACAGTTAACTGCTCTACTGAATGTATGGCTAGACTCTTGACTAATGCTGGATATTAGTTATCAGTAAACATTAACTATTTTGATAAAGAGAAATTTGGAGGAGTAAATGTCAAGTACTTAGGTACAGAATTCAATCGTATAATTATAGTATTACATTTACTTGGATTACCAACATTTTATCTGAACTCTAGGAAGCCTCTTAAAGATTATTGCAATATGGACAATAATTGTGTTTGGAAATTCCAGAACAGTCATTTAGACAATATGACAAACCAGAGGAGTAAAACTGCAGTACATGATAAGTGAATGAATAAATCTTTTTTCCTCTAATAATGGGGCATCCCCAGGCTCCAAACTAGAACCTTGCCATCATCTTTGATCTTTTCTCTTTTACTGCCCACACCCATTTATCACAGAGCTGGGCCTAACCTGTGTTTGTGGCTTTATTTCCTACCATTCTTTCCCACTCCTCTTGTGTCTGATGCTCCAGTCCCACTTCCTTAGCATACCAGATTCTTTCACACCTCTAGTCTTCTCTCATACTTTTTCTTTCTCTATTGTTTCCTTCCCTCTATTTTTGTCCTAGCCAACTCCTTCTGCTTCTTTTTTTTTTTTATTATTATAGTTTAAGTTCTAGGGTACATGGGCACGACGTGCAGGTTTGTTACATATGTATACATGTGCCATGTTGGTGTGCTGCACCCATTAACTCGTCATTTACATTAGGTATATCTCCTAATGCTATCCCTCCCCCCTCCCCCCACCCCACGACAGGCCCCGGTGTTCGATGTTCCCCACCCTGTGTCCAAGTGTTCTCATTGTTCAATTCCCACCTATGAGTGAGAACTTGCGGTGTTTGGTTTTTTTGTCCTTGCAATAGTTTGCTGAGAATGATCCTTCTGCTTCTTTAGTTCCCAGTTTAAATACAGTTTCCTCCCTGACATCTTTCTAAATCCTTTACACCAGGGGTTGGCAAACTATGGCCCTTAGACCAAATCTGGCCCACCGCCTGTTTTTGTGAATAAAGTTTATTGGGACAGAGCCACACTTATTTGTTCACATATTGTCTGTGGCTGTTTTTGTGATGCAAGAACAGAGCTGAGTAGTTGAGACAGAGCCTGCAAAGCCTAGAATATTTACAAAAAAAGTTTATAGATCCCTGCCTTATACCAGCTATTAAGACAGTGATCACATTGTCTTATATTTTTTGTGTTTGGCTTTTTTGCTGGTTTACATTTCTCAAAATCAGAGACCATTTATTATTCATATTTCTACTTCTACTTAGTTACAAGGCTTGTTCTGTAAGAAATACAGTGTGTTGAATGAATGTCATTTAACAAAAATAGTAGATATGGCACCGAAATGTAATGATAATAGTAATAATAATACTCATAAGCCTGTTATAGCATTTTATTTAGTATTTCTAGATAATAAAGAAGTGATTCATTTCTGAAATTTAAGAAAACTGTGAGAAATTTGGAGAGCATTTAGAATTGAGACTTAAAAATCACCAGTATGTCAGATACTTATGACCTAAGCAGATGTACTCAAATAATTGATTAATTTTTTAAAGAAGAGCCATCTAAGAAGTAAAAGTGATGAAATTCAATACATAGAACATATTATAAGCTAATGTAATTTTAGTAATAAATGAAATGATAAAATGGGCTTAAGCTGTAGCATGGTATGAGATGTGTGTAAAAGAGAATAAGAAAAGTTTCCTTTGCTTACTATTTATCTATTTATGTTAATGGTGTTAGAATTCTTTTAGTTATTCAGGCTCAAATCCTCAATCATCTTAGCTTTTTAATTCATAATCACTCTTTATATTCTGTTCCCAATGGCCTGCAGTATGAAGTCCAAACCCCTTAACCTGACATTAAAGTTTTTGATCATTTCAAGCCTCCTCTTACCCCTTTTTCACCACCCACCTCCATCGTTGTTGCTTTCAGGTATTTTCTATTACTATGAGGCTAACATAGTAATTTTTCTTTCTGGAATTTGTGTGTGTATTAGTTTCCACATGTGCAATGTGGACGACTGAATTTAAAGTATGTATTATTTTGTTTTGTTTTCCAGATGACAGAAGTCAAACTATACTTCCCTTAGTGAAATCATTTTGTGAAAAATCTTTCAAAGCAGATGAATCAATTCTTATTTCTTTATCTTTCCATTTAGGAAAACTATGTCATGGACTATATGGTATGATATATCCTAAGAATTTTGAGACTGTAGATAATTTTTCCCTTTTTTTTCTACCTCAGTCATTAAACTTTGGCTCTTCAGTTAATTGTAAAGCCTAACTCTTAAGTATATAAAAATCTTATGAGATCTTAGAATTTTGATAGCATCATTTAGAGCACATTTAGGAATGACTTTTTCACCAATAGAACCTATTTGAAAGAACAGTGACAGAATGAAGTAAGCATAGCTCTTTAAATCTCTGAATATTTTATAATTATGTATTATTTGGTATGTGATAATAGAAGCTCAGGCTTATTAACTATTTGTACGTAGTAAGTATACACTTATTAACCATTTATTGAATAATTTATTATATCATTAGAGAAGTTCAGCTTGGGATGTAGAATAATGCCATAACTCTTGGCATTTTGAACACATAGTTCTTAGCTTTCCGTATCGATGTGAGATAGACTGTTTAATAATGAACTCGTAACAATATATTATGAGTTTCTAGCTCCTTGAGATAGTTAATGAAGTGGAACCATTCCATTGATTAAAAATATTTTGAATTTATTTGCTGTCTTTCAGATTCAATTTTTAAGCTCCTTCCCTGCAGAGACACATACACACATGCATGTGTCTTTTCTGTCAGCAATTTTAGAACATTTACTATAATAGCAGATGTATAAATAGCCACAATGTTACTATTAGTGACTTTTTAGTGGCCTACAATATGATACATGCTGCAGCAATTAATGCAGCTACAGTTCCTGCGTTATGTAAGTTATACTTTTGAAATTAAAATATTACTGGTATTAACATGAGGTAAAATAATGTGATCTGTTAGATTCCTAACAGATACTCTTTTCATGTTCCTTTTATTTATAAAGTATCTGTAACCATTTATTTAAGTATTTGGCTCCAATTATATTTTTATTGTACTTTGATTTTCCCTTTTTAAATTTTGTTTTCAATTGAAATGTTGAGCTAGTTTTTTATATTTGTTTTAGGAATTTTCACTCCAGATCAGCACTTGAGATTTTTGGAATTTTATAAGAAACTTTGTACATTGGGTTTGCAACAAGAAAATGGACACAATGAAAACCAGATTCCACCCCAAATCCTAGAGCAGGAGAAGAAATATATTTCAGTACGGAAGAACTGTGCTTATAACTTTCCGGTAATAAATATGTATTTATATTTACTGAGGATTTTTATTATAACTTTAAAATATGTGCATAGATGGCATTCAAAATATTGCCATTTTTGACACTTGCTGCTTGCATTATGTCTAGCATACATAGTATGTGCAGAGTAAATATTTGTGAAATTTATATCTCTACGTATAAATCAGAATAATAGACACATATTTGGATCTTCCAAATATGATTTTTAGTTAAATTACAATTCAGAGAACATGATTTCAATTTAAGTGAAACGATTATAATATTAGGTATTGATGCATGTTTTTCTTTCCTTCCCACTCATCTCCTCCCTTCCACCTCCACCAGGCCATGATTGTTTTTGTTGATCCTAAAAACTTCCACATGGAACTCTATTCTACATTCTTCTGCCTTTGCCATGACCCTGAAGTACCAGTCAGATACACTATTGCTATTTGCTTTTATGAAGTAAGTCTGAAGACTTGATATCACTTTACGTTTGTTGTTAATTCTACCTATGTATACTAGATGATTTTGTGCTTATAGATTATAAGATATAGACTGGATATCTCTTTCATGTTCTAGTCTTAAATCTTGTTTAAAAATTTCCTTAATTTTCTTCTTTTTTAGTATGTTTACTGAATCATTTCCATAAATACATTATATTTGTGTATTCTTTTATTAACCCATTCATTCAGCATATCTATACCAAGTGTTTAAACCAGACATTGTGGTAGATATGGGTGATGCGGATTTTAAAGTAAAATCAGTTTTTATATGCTTTATAATATTTACAGTTAACTTTGCACCTAAACTTAAGCACTTGAGAACCAATAGAAAATTGAGACACATTAATTATTTTTACTACAAATGGATGGTGTTTCGTGAGCATGGCTTTTAGATTCTGCTATTATGACTATAAAGTAAGAGCAAAAATAAATTGAAACTTTTATGATGAATTTAACTTTTTAACCCTTGAAGTTGAAATTTGGGGCATGTTTCTTGAATGACAGCAAGAAGTGCACGTATGCCGTGGTTGCAATAAATACGGATAAGCTATAACTTTCAACTTCAAAACTGACACATAAAAGCCTCTGGATAAGTGGTACAAGTTCTTATTCTCAGTGAGAATATTTCACCCCCTTCCTTGCACTGTGTTCCTATGTCAGAGCACTTTGATGATCTGCAAGTGTGCAGGATATCCATCCATAGCATCATTATTAATGTTGCTTAGATTTTTTTTTGGCTATTGGGTGATAGTTTTGCTTTTTTAAAAGAACGCTTTTTCTGGTATGAAAATATATATGCATTATACAAAATCCTGGACATCTTCTCTTTAAATTAATTTCAGTGCTGCACAATTATATCATCTTTGTAAAACACACCTGTAGAACTCTGCTTTCGGAGGAGCGGGGATAGGGCAGAAAGCACTGGCCAGCTGAGCAGAATATTCACCTCCAAGATGCATTAAATGGTCACTTAGGCTTGGTTACCATGTCCACATGTACTTGTTAGATCAGTGGTCTCCAGAGAGGGTTGTACAAGTTTGGAGTCTGAGAATGCAGTATTTATGCAATTTTAGACTTTCTATTTTTTTCTCATCAGTTTAATATTTAATTTTATTTATGTTTTATAGTAGACATAACATAGCACCATATAATTAAACATATGGAAATGTACATGTGTATACAAATATGTTTCACTGGTGGAAGTGAGTTTGATAATCATTGATCTATATTTGCTGGGTGGCTAGTTTCCATATTCTACCACAATCATACCATGTAGGTAGGGTAAGAATGATGTGCCTCTCCATAAAATGAGGGGCTAGTGTAAATTTTTTTTTTTTTTAAAGTAATGAAAATCCACTGGTGGATTTAAATTTTTCTAACAGTGTCAATGCTAGAGTCTGATAATTGCTTTTGTATTCTTTGTTCTCATTTTTCAGAATAATAACACTTTGGAAATATTTTTGACAAGTCAAAAACAACCCTGTTAGAGCAAAGAATTTTAAAACACTTTCTTTATCCAGGGACCATTTTTTTTTTCAAATAAAACTTTATTCAAGCCCAGTGTGTTTTAGAAAGAATAAGGTGAAATAGAAACTGGTAAATTCACCATTGTGGGCTCCGAGTTTATAAGGAGGAGACAAAAAAACTACTGTCTACAAGGGGAACTGTATTATTCTGGACTCTCCCAACTCCTCTCATGCTGGTTAAAGTCTTTGATGGGGAAAAGTAAAGTTGGTTTGCTTTCTTAGGAGTTATAACTACCCCGACATCACTGTAGGCCTTCAGTAGAAGTTACCCTTTGGGAAGTTCTGAACTGGTATGAACACTTGTATGCCTAGGATATCCTTTAAGACCCTGTTGGCTCCTCTAAGACTTTAAAATGTGAACTAGAGGCCCCTGTGGGCTTGTTATTGCTGTTGATGTGAAAGTAATGACTCTGGTAAATCCCATTCTTTTGTATTTCCTCACCCCATGTGTGTCTGCACATTCCAGCATGTCACGAGGCAGACTAGAAAGCTGGTTATTTGTGCCACTAATTTTTATAGAATCTAATTTTATATTTGTGTTATAACATGGCTTTATTTTAGAAGAAATATATAACAAGGATGTATTTTTAAAAATTATTATTGTAACCTGTATCTGTCTAGTACTCTCAAATCTGAGAGACTTTATTGCTATATTTTAGGTATCTAAGCTTCTGAATTCTGGAGTATATTTAATACATAAAGAACTAATAACATTATTACAAGATGAATCACTGGAGGTAATATTTTCTTACTCTTTGATTTTTAATTCTTTTATGTTTGGTCCAAATATACCAATGCCTTTTCTCCCCTTCTTCTTGGAATCGTGTCAACTCTTTCAGCTGACTAGCCCCAGAAGCTTCAAATTGTTGTACCACTATATCATAAATAGGATATTGGGAAGATAGTTTAAAAAATAAGGTTTTAAAATATATTCAGTTTTAAAACTTAGTATATGTATATTTGTTTATTAAGAAAAATTTAGGAAGTGCCAAAAAACAGACAAAAGAATGCCTTTAATTTCAATTACTGTTACTATTTGTTTTCTTTTTCTTTTTTATATGAATATTCTTTTCTATATAAAGGTTTTTATTTTACTCAATTGTAATCATATATCACATTTTATAACTTGTTTCTCTTGCCATTGTGTAGTATTTTACCACTTAATATGTACTTATGAAGACTTTGAAATACTTTATTTTGATGCTATATTTAGATATTCCTTTCACCTAAATGACTGTTAGTTTGCCAAAGCGCAGCTCATGAATATTTTGATATCACTGAGAATATTATCCAATTTAAACAACGTTTCGAAAGTTTGGAGGCAGTTTTTGAACATGTTAGTTTTGTAGAAGTAGCTGTCTCAGATTTAGACTATTTGGACAATGTCAAGAGGCAGGTACACTAATCTCTTTTTGAAGGTTGGCCAAGGCAGTTGATCATGTTTCTAAGACTTTTCAGCAAGAAGATGGCAGAGTAAGAAAATACAAATCCTCAAAATGTTATTTGGGGGAAAAAAAAAAACCACTACTACTATATAGAAATTGACATGTAGAATTAATCTAGCAAAAACATAGTAATCACTATAACAGTAATCAATATCTCTGTTAAAAGGTACTAGATGCTCTTATAGATCATCTTCCAGAAATCTTGGAACTTATGTCTACTGGTGGAGAAAGCAGTGTTCAAGAAAATAAGGTAAACTTCATCTTTCAGAAACATTCTGAGTTGTGTAAATATTATCCTACTCTACAGGGTGTTTTGAGGCATCAATGAAAGAATGTTTGGAAAACTTGTAAAATAGTGCATGCCACATAGCAGGTGGTCAGTAAAAGCCTATTAGAGTTTGAACAGCTTGAATTTCCTCTATCTTTCTTACATTAATAATTTTAAATTACCATGATTGTTGTCTATTGTCTTTGGAGTTTATGTTCATATTTTCATTTTTCATTAGCATTAATGATTATTCCAAGAATAGCAAATAGGACAAAAGGGTAGAAATTTATTCTTTATTATTATTTTTTAAGCCTCTGTGTAACCTAAGAAAAGGGTAGGATTTAGGAGGTCAAAGCTTATTGACAGTAATAATATGTAATACATTTTACTGTAGTTGGAAGAGTTGCTATGATAATCTGACAGGAAGAAGAATGAGTTGTAGTTTTTATTTCAAAATTTGGTTCCCAGGAATCATACTTTTTACTTAATGATTTCTTTTAAAAGTGTTTGATTTAACCAGATAATTATCTCCTTGTGACAACTAAGATGTCTCCTAAACTCTGAAATGAGAAGGAGTATTCTCTTCCCCAATGTGTTATAAGACTGAGTAATTTTACTGAGTGCTGCAATTTATTTATAATTGATTTTTTGATGCGTTTCATTTTCAGTTATCTTCTCTGCCTGACTTGATTCCAGCACTCACAGCTGCTGAACAGCGAGCTGCAGCCTCTTTAAAATGGAGAACTCATGAGAAGCTACTTCAGAAATATGCCTGCCTGCCACATGTCATATCAAGCGATCAGATTTATTACCGTTTCTTACAAAGAATGTTCACAATCATGATGACAAATGTGAGCTCAGTACCTTTCATCTTATTCTTTTGAACTCATGGTTGGTTCTGGAATTACCAAAACTCTTCATATTTTCAAAATAGTAGAACAAACTCAGTTCATTCCATTCTACCTAGGAGGATGTCAGCTTCGTAGGTCCAGAAGAGGGGACTCAGGTTTCCCTTTGCCTCCCCACTAGGTCTCCCTCTGAGAATCTTCTCTCTAGCTGGAGAGAGGAACGACTAGGTGGCACTTTCACCTACCCTTTGTTTATATACTGCCAAGAACAGAGTAGACTCACTTCAAACTTGAAATAGTTCTTCTTAAGAGGAAGGTTGACAGGACTCAGTGACCTTGACTGCAAAGGACCTTCTTCTGTTCTGATGTGCACCTCTGATGCATCCACAACCTTAGTGTTTGACCCCAGCTATGCTGTTTTGCCAAGGCACCCCTTAAGCTTCCTACTATAAGTTTGGTTACTTTTAGAGTGTGGCAATGGAACAGAGAAAGCTTATACAAATACATGGATGCCCTGCTATTGATAACCTTATAATTAGTGTTAAAAGAAAAAGACTCCTCCCTCAAAACAAGGTGGCACTCAAGCCTCCCCACAAAGTTAATTGTCTACTTTTTTCACAGAAATTTCCAAGGGGATTATTTAACTCATAATTCACTGTACATTTAACATGACATCCTATTGCAATTTTTTGAAATATAGAAACATTCCATGGCTCTGTGATCTCGGCACAGAAGGCTTGGGACAAGCCCAACTGGTCAGGCCTGCCTCTGGGGCAGATGCTGAGTTGGGGTAGTGCAAGCTGGGTGGGCCCCACACTCATCTGCTGGGCTGAAAACCCTGGGCTGCATGTGCCTACCTGGTTGTATACCAGTTGTACCACTGCCCTGCCCAGGGATCTCCCATCTTTGACCCACTGCACTGCCAGACTACCAGCAGACATACCTTGCAAGCTCCTCTGAGCTGGAATCAATCCTACTGAAACTATTCAAAAAATTGAGGAGGAAGTGTTCCTGTTTAACTCATTCTACAAAGCCACCATCACCCTGATACCAAAATCTGGAAAAGACACAAGAAAAGAAAACTGCAAGTCAGTATTCCTGACGAACATCAACATAAAAATCCTCAAGAAAATACTAGCAAACCAAATCCAGTAGCACATCAAAAAGTTAATTCACCACAATCAAGTGGGCTTCATTCCTGCAATGTGAGGTTAGTTCAACATAAGCAAATCAATAAATGTTATTTGCCACATAAACAGGATTAAAAGCAAAAATTACATGATCATCTCAATGGATGCAGAAAAGGCTTTTGATAAAGTCCAGTGTCTCTTTGTGTTAAAAACCCTCAGCAAACTAGGCATTGAAGGAACATACCTCAAAATAATAATAGCTGTCTATGACAAACCCACTGCCAACATCAAACTGATTGGGCAAAAGCTGGAAGCCATCCCCTTGAGAATTGGAACAAGACAAGGATGCCCACTCATACCACTCCTATTAAACATAGTACTAGAAGTCCTAGGCAGAGCAATCAGGCAAAAGAAAGAAATTGAAGGCATCCAAATAGGAAAAGAGGAAGTCAAATGATCTCTCTTTGCTGATGATATGATTCTATACCTAGAAAACCCTAAGGATCTTGTCAGAAGGCTCCTAGACCTGATAAACCACTGCAGTAAAGTTTCAGGTTGCAAAACCAGTGTACAAAAATCAGTAGCATTTCTATACACCAATAATGTTCAAGCTGAGAGCCAAATCAAGAATGCAATCCCAATTTTAATAGCCACAAAAAAAATATCCAGTAACACATCTAACCAAGGAGGCGAAAGAGCTCTGCAAGGGGAGCTATAAAACACTGCTGAAAGAAATCATAGATGACATAAACAAATGGAAAAACATTCCTTACTCATGGATTAGAAGAATTAATATTGTTAAAATGACCATATTGCCCAAAGCAATCTACAGATTCAACACATTCCTATCAAACTACCAATGTCATTTTTCACAGAATTAAAAAAATTATTTTAAAATTACTCTTGAATAGCCAGCGCAATCTTCAGCTGCTATTTCAGCCCTCTGTTTACCCAGTGTCCTATCAGCCTTTTACCTGTTAGTTGTAGAATCCATTGATGATCCTTGCTTGAATTGGTGATTTCATTATAACTTGAAAAATAATTTTAAAATTCCATCATTTATGCATTTTTAATGGTGGCATTCTGTGAAGAAGTGCATTCCTTTGTCCACATTGGTTATTTGATTACCTTGAGCTACGTTTACTAATGTAAAGACAGGATGAATTCTTAATTTTTTCCCTTGAATTATCAATTTTCAGAGCTAGGAGGTGGCGTAGTAGCTATTTTTAATGGTGACAAATGCACTTTGTTTTTAATGTTGACTCTCTTTTAGATAAATGTTATTGCAGTTATTATTTTTTGTGCACAAATTGTTACAACTTCTTTAAGCTGGCTCTTATGTGCTTTTGACTTGATTACATTTATCTTTGACTTCTGGCCCAAAAGAATACCTTATGCCATAAACTATAATATATATTTTATATGAGGTACAAAATATACATGTTTTCATATGACTGTTATATATGTATTTGAAATTCTATCAGTATATATAAAATGAAAGAAAAGAATAATATGCTTTTGTTTAGTTCACCATTTATCAAAAATTCATTTTCCTTAAGTCTAATCATGTTTCTGCTTATGTATATTTTTTAAATTTTCTTTTCTAAATCATAGGAAATACCCTCTTTTTACATTCAACAGATTAAAAACCCCACTCAAATTGTACCCGATAGAATGTGAATAGCTCATATAAAATATGAGAGGAGGTAGCAGGCAACACTGTCTCAGCAATGTAAAGTTTCAATTTGAATTTCAAGGATCCCCACTATAATATTTGGGATCTTTAGTAATTCAACATTATATTTGTATGTAAATCAAGATAATGAACATGAATTTATACTGGACACAATACGTCTGGTTGAGAGATTTTTCTCTAATATATGGTTTGAACCCAAACCCAGGAAAGATAAATGGCCATATTTATTTAGAATTAAGGTTCTGCCTAGTGGTGTGACAGAAATTGAAAGGACAAAGGGACTTGAAATACTGGTAAGAATGATTGACATGGTGTCCTTTGGATTCTAAATGTCATCTGTATCATGAAGAGCTAGAATTAAGCCAGAAGGATTGAAGAGTATACCTGATCACAGGATCTCTAAATTAATATTTCAGTAGTGGCATATTTTTGGTGATGTACCTGACACATGGCATGTTATAGCAAATGTTTGTCAGATGAATGAATGACAAAGTCCAGGGAACAGCTAAAAGAATAGGTGGCAGGGGTGTATTTGATCATGTAAGATGAGATGGCAAGGAAATGAGAGTCAAATCTGGAGGATTTGGACATGACTATGCCAAATTAACTTTGTAATATAATTATTGGTTGATTTGCCTGAGTGATTAACATTAAATTATGAAGATACTTCCAGAAGGATGTAAGTTCAGTGAGTTGAGAGGCAGTGAACACTTTAGTTTTGTCAATAACTTAAAATTGATTTGGTGGGGTCAAATTATCTAGACTAGAATTAGCCTAGTGTAACTGTCTGTCTTACTTACTTCTTCAAGAATGTTTTACCTGTCCAAAAGGCGGCTTCACGAACTCTATGCATTTTTCTGCGTTATAATCGTAAACAAGAACAGAGACATGAGGTCATTCAAAAATTAATTGAACGTAAGTAATCATTGTCTACTATTTTGAAAAAGGAAAGTAAACAAACTAGTTGGCTTTAGTTATGTCTAACTTATGTATCATTTTGCTGTGAATAATTAGGTTACTATTGGGTTTTATAAGATGATTTTTATTTTCTAGAAATCCTTATGGCAAGATTAGATCTGTGATGAATGAAAGTAATAATTACTCTGTTTTCTTTTGTAAATGTCTACACTTTAGAAATTAAAATATATTTACTTATATTGAAAGCCCAGTATCTCCCCTGATGAAATAGCATTTGGAACTAAAATATAAATAGAATATCCATGCATCTAATCATTTATTTTATGGTCCTATTTCAATATTCACATAATTAACAGAATCTGGGATTTTTCTTTGAATAGAGTTGATAGTATATTTGAATATTAATTTGATGAGCCTAGTTGGTTTATAATGTCTTAAGAAACTAAGTCAGTTTACAAATGCAAATTTATTTTAATTTGTTAAGAGCTAAAATCAAGGCAAAAACATTTGGTTTATAGTATTGATTCTAGAAATAGTTGCACACACCTATATATACTTAGTGAGTTTGTTAATTATTGTATATTTGCTTTGCCCATAATGTCTTAATATTTTTACCAAACTATATTATCCAGCATAGGCAGGTAATGGGATTTTCTAGTTATTGGAGTTTACCAGTTTAAGTGTGTATCACTACTTTTCAAAAAATTAGAGTACTTTTATAAAATTCCATTTAAGAAAAAATATGCTCAGTATACTTTAATCTTTCTTTTTATAGTCTTATTTTAATTCGGTTTTCATTTTTCAGTGGCAAGAGCTCATGTTTAGAATGTTTTATTTTGAAAGAAGATTCAGTTTGGTTTTATTTTTGAACATTTATGTAAAAAGTAGAAAATTAACCTTTTAAATATTGACCTGAATTATTGTCAGTAATGCTGTTTATATATGACTGTATCTACTTTAGGCATTTTTAAGGAAACAAAGGGAAGAAAACAGTTAATTTGATTATTAAAACACTTAGAAGTTATACAGAGCTGTGTTTGAATTCTAGCTCTGCACCTGCCAGCTGTGTGACTTTAAACTCACTAAATCTTAGTATCCTTATCTTTTAAGAGGAAGAAGTATGTGCATCCCTTGGGCTGCTTTTCAGGGCTAAATGAGATAATATGTGTAAAGTACTTAGCACATAGTGGGTGATAAAAAGTAGTAAATACAGTCATTCCATAGTTAATAAATGCTTATGAAATTGAATGAAATGTTTGACAAAACTGTTTTATGGTTTTTGAGGTGTCATTTTGGGGATTTACAAACCTGAGGTATATAATAATGATATTTTTCCTCTTATGTCTTGTATTTGCTAGCCAAATTGTGGGTATGAAGAAACTTCTTATGCATTTTGTGTGTCTAACTTTGTCACTTTAATTTCATATAGGAAAAATTAACTTAAGATAATTTTTGTTGTTGTTTCTAGAATTGGGCCAAGGAAAAAGTTACTGGAATAGACTTCGATTTTTGGATACCTGTGAATTTATTATAGAGATATTTTCAAAATCATTTTTCTGTAAATATTTCTTTCTACCTGCTATTGAACTGACACATGATCCAGTAGCAAATGTGAGGTATGTTATCAATGAAGGAAAATATTGGAAATTGTATTTATTTTTATCTACTATAGTGAACATATGCAAAATCTTTTCCTTAGCCAATTAAAAACTTAAGTCAAGAATTTACACGTGCTTTGAAATTCTTAGTATTCATAATTGATGGGCATCAGTAAGACTTGGAAGCATACTCTTTCAACACTGTCTCAGATCTTTTGTCTTTACTGGGTTGAGAGCAGTTAGTCAAAGCCAGATTGGTAAGCTTCTTCGGCCATTTGGATATACACATTGAAATGATTAGAAGGTTGAGTAGATGTTATTAATTTATCTACCATTAAAACTAAAGAAAAGACGGTCAGTAGCCTTATCACTTCAAAGTTGTTTGGTGAGCATCCGTTAGTTTCTAGAGGCCCATTTATTCAAAGAAGTAGAACTGCTTCAAAGTCTTCATCTTGTCTTCTATGTTTTGCCTTATATTATTGAAATCCAGTAAAATGTTAATTGCATTTGATTAACTGTTAAGTTGGAAGGAACAGACCTGAAAATGGCTTGCCTGGAAATGGAAAAAAATAATAAATATATTTTGTCCTTTTTCTCTCCAAAAGAGCACATCACTTCCTTTTTTTTTACTGTGGTAAAATATGTATAATATAAAATTTACTATTTTAACCATTTATAAGTGTATAGTTGAGTGGCATTAAAGTACATGCACATTATTAAGAGCTATTTTTGTACATTTGATAATAGAATGAAAAGAATGTTAAACCCTCAGCCATTAGATTTCTGTGTTCTAAGTCCTGTGTCTCTATTTTGAACTTGAACTCAGATCTGCAGGAAAGAGAGACATCAGAGTCAGTTGGCCAAAGGCATTCCTGAACAAACTCTAGAACTCCCTGCTGAATTTTCATACATTGGGGCACTTAGTCTTATGCATCTGAAAGATGCATATGTACCACTTTTATAAACAACTGATGTGAATTTTAGGCAATATGTAAAACATCAAAACTTTTTAATAGGAAGAGTTGGTGAGATAATAAGCTAACTGAGATTAATAGTCTTGGTGTTGAGATATATATGAAGATGAATTGTCAAAAGATACCGAAAAGTTCAACTTAAGACTTTTATGAGCATTTTTTAATGGGAACAAATCTAGAAGTTTTTCTTTTGTATTTTAAATGTGAGAAAATACAGAAAGCACAACTGCATTGACTTTAGTTTTTGTTGCATATTTCTTGTGCTTTATAAATGAGAGGTGGGGTATTGCTGACATTTAAAGTGAATTGAAAAGAACCTTTTGGGCTGGGCGTCATGGCTCATGCCTGTAAATCCCAGCACTTTGGGAGGCCGAGGCAGACAGGATCACTTGAGGCCAGGAGTTTGAGACCAGCCTGGCCAACATGGTGAAACCCCATCTCTACTAAAAATACAAAAATGAGCCGGTCGTGGTGGCACATGCCTGCAGTCCCAGCTACTTGGGAGGCTGAGGCAGGAGAATCGTATGAACCTGGGAGGTGGAGGTTGCAGTGAACCGAGATCACACCACTGCACTCCAGCCTAGGTGACAGAGCAAGACTTCGTCTCAAAAAAAGGAACCTTTGGTAATTCTTTAGATTTTAGCTCTTCCTAAACAACTAATGGGTCCATCTTTATGAACATTTTGTGAATTAAAATTGTGATTCTATAAAAGCAACTTTCAATGTGATGTATTGTCACTTATCAGGCAGTTGACAAAAATAATTTGAAAGGAAACGAAATCATCTCTACTTTGATCAGTGTAACTAAGAGCATAACATTGACTCTTTGAGAAAGAAATCTGCCAATTCAAAAAACCAAATGAAGAGTAATTAAATATTACTCTATTAATTTCAGAGATCTGCAGGGCAGCAGATTATTGTATAACTGTGTGTCTTGGTTCCTACTCTCTTGCCTGGCCAGCTGCCAGCCAAGATATGTGTCCAGCAACACTGTATGCTAACTGGCTTTGGGTATAAAAGCCCTTGCTCAGTGCTTTAGGGATGTGCAGATAGAATGAAAGCCATCACAGGCAAGGGTGGTAGGATCATGTTGGTTAGGAGGACAGTTTCCGGAGCCACACTCCCTGAGCTGAAATTCCAGCTCTATATTAAATGTGTATCTTTAGCCAAGTTACAAAACTTCTGTGTGCATTGATTTCCTTAGTACCTAATTTATAAAGTATTCTGAGGTACAAATAACTGAGATAATATACATAAATTATCTGAAAGGTGTGGTCCCTAATCTCAAGAATTTGATCATCTCATGGGCCCAGGAGTCTCATAGAGATGAATCATTACGATGGCTTGGGTAGCTTCTGCTGAATATCTGTTTTCTAGACATGCCTTGGGTTATAAAGAATGGAGTGTGCATAGATTGTTAAGTGTTTTTGTTTTTCCTTAAGTTAATGTTTAAAATTTAAATTCACCAAGTTTAGACAATGTCAAGCTGGAAAAAGACTCTTGGTATTCAGAGAAGCCTTTTCCACAGCTGCCAGAAATGAAATAATTTATTTGGGGGGATTGATACTCCTTAATTAGAGAAAGCATTACTAGGTTTAGCTGTATCCGTGGTGAGCTGTGAATGAGATTGAGACCATTGTTGCTATTTACAATGCTGGAAATTCTACAGGAGGAGCTTCTTTACCCTTTTTGGTTAAATCAAAAGCAAATTTTGTTGTATATGAAGAATCCTCAAGTAAAAATTCAGCTGAGAAAGTGTTCTGGAAACTCTAAAAATGGGATTCAGGTGTCTCAAGGTTGCAATAAAAATAAAAAATAATAATTTGTAGAGCATTCAGATGAATAAATGAATATAGCAGCTATAAAATAGATACCCACCTAGCATCCCTCTCTAAAACAGCCATGGAAAAAGAGTAGACTTTTAGCTTAGCAAAGGAGAGTATTTCCTCTGAAATGCCTCCTCCTGGAAAGGCTTTTTTTTAGGCTCTGGGATTTACTCTTAACTTCCTGGCATTCTTCAACCTCCTTGTTTCTTCCTTTCCAACCCAGTCTAGACTGTGGTAGTGCCTTAGACCACCTTAGACTAGGTCCTTTTATCCTTTTCTTCTCTAACTGTACACATTACTTTGGTGATCTCTCCCATTTCATGGTTTAAATATCATCTCCTTGCTGAAGATTCCTCACTCTATCTCCAGCATTGACATCTACCCTGGACAGCCAACTTATTGAGCCTGTTGCCCACTTGCATTTCCATTGCATATCTGATAGAAATCTCAGACTTAATCTGTCCAGAATTAAATCTTCATCTTTCTTATCTGCTTTTGCTCCTTCTGTAGTCTTCTCCATCTCAGGAAATAACCATCACATCTGCTTAGATGAAAACCTTAAATAAATTCTTCTCTCTGTCATTCTACCTCCAATCCCTCAGCACATCCTGCTGCTGGTAAAAGATATTCAGAATCCGGACTGGGCGCGGTGGCTCCTGCCTGTAATCCCAGCACTTTGGGAGGCCAAGGCAGGCGGATCACAAGTTCAGGAGATCGAGACCATCCTGTATAACATGGTGAAACCCTGTCTCTACTAAAAATACAAAAAGAAATTAGCCAGGCATGGTGGCGGGCACCTGTAGTCCCAGCTACTCGGGAGGCTGAGGCAGGAGAATGGCATGAACCTGGGAGGCGGAGCCTGCAGTGAGCCGAGATCACACCACTGCATTCCAGCCTGGGCGACAGAGCAAGACTCTGTCTCAAAAAAAAAAAAAAATGGTATTCAGAATCCAACTACTTCTCACCACCTTTTACTGCTACCACTCTGGTTCAATGTACCATCATCTCTTGCCTGAATTATTGTAAGAGCTTTTCCTATTGTTTCTCTTTTTCTGTTCTTGACTAGCTGCAGTCTAATTTCAACACAGTAGACAGATGATGCTTGTAAAACATTGTCAGATCATTTCACCCCTCTGCTGAAAACCTACCAATGGCTTCTTGTCATACTCAAAATAAAAGACAATTTCCTTACAGTAGCCCTCAAAGCCTCTTATTTACCACTCTGAGCTCTCCTGCTAGTCTCACCTTCACTCTGTTTAGGCATAGTGGCCAATTTGCTCATTTGGACCAACAGTAGAGACAAGCTCTCTATATTTGCTGTGATGCTCTTTTCCAGATATTCACATAGCTCATTCCCTAATTTTCTTTAGGTCTTTGCTTAAATATCATCTTTTCAGTGGAACCTTCAATGACAACCCTCTTTGGCCACCTGCTTTAAAACTGATTAATCCCCTGCCCCTGGTACTCCCTTGTCTTTATTCTTCACTTTATTTTTCTCCATAGCATTTAACACTATCTGACAGATTTTACTTGTTTCTTTTCTCTTCTCTGCTCCCATACTAGAATGTAAGTTCCAGGAGAGCAGAGAATTTTGTTGGTTTTATTTACTGTTGTATCTCAGCATCCAGAATGATGAATGTTTGACACATAATAGACACTCCATGAATATATCTTGCATGAATAAATGAACTCTCAGGCTATCTAAAACTTGATTTTTGTTTTATGTTTCTGTTATTCTTAGTTATTAACTTCACTCAAGAGTAAATACTATTTTATTGTAGAATGAAACTTTGCTACCTGTTGCCCAAAGTGAAATCTACTCTGAAGATTCCTGCTGATAAGCATCTACTTCAGCAGTTAGAAATGTGTGTGAGGAAACTCCTGTGTCAAGAAAAAGATAAAGATGTTCTGGCTATTGTAAAAAGAGTAAGTATCACTCTTGCCACAATGTTGCATTTTTTGCATTAAGGCAGTAAGAATCTTAGCTTCACTATTTCAGCTTGACAGGATAGCAATATATTACAATATTTTTATCCTTGCTAAAATTGTAAGAATTAGTAAATGATTTGGTTGATATGTGCTACAACTGGATATGAAACTTTCGAAGGGCACCTAGACATTAAACCTGTATTACTAGTAATATAAGCCCATGTTGAGAGAGTTTGACACATGTTAGGTGCTCAATAAACACTGTTCAATTAATAATGAATGTTTTATTCATCAGACTTTCTTTATAAGTGATTATAATCCAGTGAAACTTTGTTGGTAAAATTGGCAAAGTCACATTTTATAGAAACTTATCCCTGGAAGGGCCCTTTGAGTTAATTCAGGGGTCTGTTTGACTTTATAGAAGTTATATGCCTAGAAATATTGTGTCTACTTGAGATCATATTAGTAAGTAGCAGAATCAGGAGGACTAGAATAGAGACCTCTTACCTGCTCCTGAGTGCATTTCTTTGTAAATAATGTAACATTGTATCCTATGAGTTTTTTGTTTGTTTTAGCATGAGATCTTAGTATATGGATTCTTTGGAGATGTTGGAAAAACTAAACAGTAAAAATTTGGGTTAGTGAGCCACATCTTAGAATAATTTTTACTCTTCAAAAATTGTTTATGCTGAATATATAACTAATATTTTTATAAGTTGAAGTGAAATTATTTACTTTTATGAATCTGAATATAAACTTCAGGACACATTGTTTTTGAGCATTTATTTATAGTGAGGGAAATTTCCTTATTAGTGTCATAAATAAATTAGCATACATGGTGAGAAAAGAGAGAATTCTTATTTTTTCTCTTTTTTTCTAGAAATCATTGCCAGATGTCACATGAAGAATCTTTTAATTAAGTGATTTGATGACTTAGTATGAATTAGTATAGTTTTAGTTTTAATGAAATGTGAATTCTTCTTTCATTAACTGGTATAACCAGAAATACGTAGAGTTGCACATGCATTTAAATCTACACACACACACACACACACACACACACACACACTTGTTTCTACCAGACAGTTCCTTCCTTACTATTTAATATTTAAGTATAGAAGTTTAGGCAATGGAGTTAACTTGTCAAAATAATAAACATGAGATGGTTAATTACTTTTCCAGAATAATTTATTAATTCAAGAGACAATATAAGCTAATGCTATACAGGTGTAACAGTGATGTAATAAAATTAATGGATTATTAGTCTATAGTGGATTATTCTGGAGTACAGCTCTTATTTTCAGTATGCTGCATATAGTGAAGCCAGTCTGTCACATGGAAATTCTGTAGTATAATGAGACATTAGTATGGAAAACTCCCAGGAAGCTACACAAAACTTTTGGATAAAAATTGAATAGTTTCATCAGTTTTATAATATGAGAAGTAACTTTATTTAAAAAGAGAGTCTTTCATGGCATGCATTATGAATTTTTCATAAATTTCAGCAGAAAAAGCTTCCACTAAATTTTATGTTTGTCATGGATAGCTTTGGGCATATGCATATCCAAATGTACTTTATTTTGGCCATTAGGGTTACTCTTGTAGAATAAGTTTTAGAAGTACTGCCCTCTATCAGAGACAGAACCCTGGGTTAGATTGACCATTGTTTTGATTGGGATAATTTGTTTCAAACTAGTGTATTCCAAAAGACAAATAGTAAATTGAGAGAATATTTTCAGAGCAGATATAAAATTTCTACAGAAGGGAACTAAGGATTATTAGGCCCCATGATGGCTTGTCTCATTCATATATAGCTAAAAGACTTTTTAAAACTTCAAAAGCTACATTATGTTTCTGAAAATTCAGAAAAGATTGGCACTGGGAGTTACTAGAAATTAGTTAGATTATATGCATTTGGTATTTGAAATATGCCTGTAGACTTGGTCTTCTTAAGGTTAAAAACTTTCAAAAGTTAAAATTGACCCTGGCATGATTGTATAAAGATTGATTGTAAGTACAATGTAGAATTGGGCAGAACTTTAGTTTTCTGACTTAGTCTTCCCCCTAGTGCAGAAGTCTTCTATTTGAACCTCCATTTGCAAAATAAGTTGCTGAGAAATGATTGGTTGTTTTAATTTAATTACTTTAGAATAATTTTAAAAACTTTCCTTATAGACTGTATTAGAGTTGGACAGAATGGAAATGTCTATGGATGCTGTAAGTATACTCTCTTTACCTTATTGTGTTGGTCCATTTTCATGCTGCTGAAAAAGACATACCCAAGACTGGGCAATTTACAAAAGAAAGAGGTTTAATTGAACTCACAGTTCCACGTGGCTGGGGAGGCCTCACAATCGTGACAGAAGGCAAGGAGGAGCAAGTCACATCTTACATGGATGGCGGCAGGCAAAGAGAGAGCTTGTGCAGGGAAACTCCCCCTTACAATACCATCAGATCTCGAGAGACTCATTCACTATCATGAGAAGAGCATAGGAAAGACCCACCCCCATAATTCAGTCATCTCCCACCCGGTCCCTCCCACAACATGTGGGAATTAGGGGAGCTACAAGATGAAATTTGGATGGGGACACAGAGTCAAACCATATCATTTATATTGAAAGGAATATTTTAAACTTGGCAGAAACTCATCACTAATGTTTCACAATTTCATTTTAAACTTTAAACAGTTTCAGAAAAAGTTTTATGAGAAAGATTTGTTGGATCAAGAGAAAGAAAGAGAAGAACTACTTCTTTTGGAAATGGTATGTTGTTTTCACATGCACACACATATACTCTTTTCTGATTAATAACTGTGTTTTTTTATTAAACTTAATCATTTCTTTCCATTTCACCATTTCACATTACTCTTTTTTCTTCTTAAATGATAGTCCAGTTTTTTGAAATCTGTTCTTTTATGAACTAGATAGAAAACTATATTTGAGAGCCTTTTAAAAAAACTACTTTGCTGAAGTATAATTGACAACTACATATATTTAAAGTGTACTATTTAATGAATTTTGACATATCGATGAAACCATCACCACAATGAAAATATGAAACATTTCTATTCCTTTAAAGATTTCTGCCCCTTTGTAATCCATGTCTTCTACTCTAGTCCCCAACAACCAATGATATAGTTTCTGTCACTGTAGATTAGCTTGCATTTCCATAATTTATATAAATGGAATCATATATTAGGTATTAATACTATTTTTGGTCCTGCATCTTTCTACCAACATAATTACTTTGAGATTCATCCATATTATCGTATGCATCAAGAAGCCATTCCTTTTTATTTCTGAGTAGTAGTCTATATTTCGGATATATCACAATTTGCTTATCCATTCACCTCTTTATGGACATTTGGCTTACTTCTAATTTGGGGATATTACAAATATAGTTGCTTTGAACATTAGTGAAGAAGTCCTTGAGTAGACCTGTTTTCATTTCTCTTGGGTAAATACCTAGGAATAGAATGGCTGATTTGTATGGCATGCTTAACTTAAAAATAAAATAAAACTAAATTTAAAAAAATGGCCGGGTGTGGTAGCTCATGCCTGTAATCCTAGCACTTTTGGGAGGCCGAGGCAGACGGATCACGAGGTCAGGAGATCAAGACCATCCCGGCTAACATGGTGAAACCCCATCTCTACTAAAAAATACAAAAAATTAGCTGGGCATGGTGGCGGGTTCCTGTAGTCCCAGCTACTCAGGAGGCCGAGGCAAGAGAATGGCGTGAACCCGGGAGGCAGAGCTTGCAGTGAACCGTGGTTGTGCCACTGCACACCAGCCTGGGTGACAGAGTGAGACTCTGTCCCCCCAAAAAACAAAACAAAACAAAAAAACCTGCTTTCAAGTGGTTGTACCATTTTACATCTACATTGTCTATGCTGGAAAGCTTTAGTTACCAGCCATACTATTGGGTATGTAATGGTATCTCATTTTTTTTTTAATCTCTTTTTCTATTCCTGATGCCTAAAGATGTCAAGCATCTTGTCTTTGCTTACTGGCCATCTTTATCTCTTATTTGATAAAGTTTGTTTTCAGAATTTTAAGTGGGTTGTTTATTATTGTTGAGAGGTAAGAGCTTTTAATTCATTCTGAATACAATTTCTTTCACAGATATACATATTATGAATTTTTTCTTGGAGTCTGAGGCTTATCTGTTCATTTATTAATGGTGTCTTTTGAACAACAGAAATATTTGATTTTGATGAAGCCCAGTTTATCAATTCTTTCTTTGATAATTCTTTTTTGTTCCAAGAATCCTTTGTCTGTCCCAAGATCATAGATTTTTTCCTCTATTTTCTTTTAAAAATTTTCATTTTAGGTTTTATATTTAGGTTTATGATCCATTTCAAGTACATTTTTATATAATATATGTTTATTTTTTTCCATAGGGAATATTCATTTATTCCAGCACCATTTGTTAAAAAGCCTTCTTTTCCCCATTGAATTGTCTTAGCGTCCTTAAGAAATAGTTGTACACATATGTGTCTATTTCTTGACTTCCTATTATTCTGTTCCACTTATTTATAAGTTTATCTTTTAAGCAATACCAAACTGTCTTGATCACTGTAACTTTATAGCGTTCTTGAAATTTGGTAGGATACGTTTTCCATCTTTGTTCCCTCTTAAAATTGCTTTGGCCAGTCTAGGGCCTTTGCATTTTGATATGAAGTCTGGAATTTATTTCTACGTATTTTATGTTTTTGGCATTATTATAAATGGAAGTATACATTTTTTTATTTCACTTTCCAGTTTTTTGTTGCTGGAGTATAAGAATACTGTTGATTTTTATATATTAACCTTGTATCTTATAAACTTTCTAAATTTGTTTATTCTAAAAATTGTTTTTTAGATTTTCTAAAACTAAAATTTTATACGTAAGTGATCATATCTTCTTTAAATACAGCAATATTACTTCTTTCTATTCAATATTTATGCCTTTTGTTTCTTTCTTTTGTCTTATTGCAAGATCCAGGACCTCCAGTAAAATTAAGGTGGTACAAGTAGGCATCCTTGTCTTTTTACTGATCTTAGGGGGAAACAGTTCAGTCTTTCATCATCAGGTATGATGGTAGAAATAGGTTTTATGTAGATTCCCTTTATCAGATTGAGGAAGTTACCTCTTACTCCTAGTTTGCTAGGAGTTTTTATGAATGGTTGTTGCATTTTGTTGTATCTAGAAATGATATTTGATTTTTCTCCTTCATTCTGCTAATATACTGAATTACACTGATTTTTCAAATGGTAAACCAATGTTGTCTTTTGGAGATAAACCCTATTTGGCAATGGTTTATTGTCCTTTTTCTCCATTGGATCCTTGGCTAATGTTTTTGTTAAGGGATTTTGCATCTGTATTCATAGATTCATAGTGAAATTGGCCTATAATTCCCCTTTTTGTCATTTTTGGGATTAGATTTGGTATTAATGTTATTCTGGCCTCATAAAACAAGATGGATGGTATTCCCACCTTCTCTATTTTCTGACCAAGTTTGTATAACTTGGTTTTATTTTTGCCTTAAGAGTTTTATAGAATTCACTAGTGAAGTTATCTAAGCCTGGAATTTTCATTTTGGAAAGTATTTTGATAATTGATTCTATTTCCTTAGTAGACATTAGATAATGTAGATCTTCTGTTTCTTCTGTTGTCAATTTTGGTAAGTTGCTTCCCTTCCACCCCAGTTTACATGTTATTTAAACTGACAAATCTGTTGGCATGAAGTTATTTATAATATTCTATTATCCTTTTAATTATGGCATTAATCTATGATGATAACCATTTTATTCTTGTGTTAGGGATTTCCTCTCTCCTTTTTTTGGAAATTTTTTTTGCTTGTTTCTCTAGGGATTTTAATATCCATACCTAACCTTTTACAGTCTACATATTGTTATTATTATATCATGTCACTTAACAATAATACAAATCTCTTTACCTCCTCCACACCCATTCTTCATGTTACAGTTGTCATATGAATTATATCTGCATTGAAGACCCCACCAGTGTTGTAATTTTGCTTTAAGTTGTCATATGTATCTTGAAGAATACACTCTTAGTGTAAACTTTTACATTTACTCAGATCTTTACCATTTCCAGTGCTCTTCATTCATTGCTTAAGATCTAAATTTCCCTCTGGTATTTTTTTCCTTAAGATAAAAGAATTTTCTTTAGCAAATCTTGAAGCACAGGTCTTCTGGTGACAACTTCTCTTATTTTTTCTTTATCTAAAATGTCTTATTTTTACCTTCATTCCTGAAGGATATTTTCACTGGGTATAGAAGTCTGGGTTGACAGCCTTTTCCTTACTGCATTCTAATAATGTGTTTCTGTCTGTCTTCTGGCCACCATAACATCTGATAAAATAGCTACTCTCATTGAATTGTTGATGCTTCTTTATGAAGCATTGTTTTTCTCTGGACACTTTAAATATTTTTTTCCTTTAGCTTTTGTTTTTAGCAGCTTACTTTTGATGCATCTAGGCATTATTTACTTGAAATTTATCCAGTTTGGATTTGGTAATCTTACTGAACCTGTAAATGTATATCATTCCCCAAATTTGGGAAGATTTGGTCATTGTTTATTTAAATATATATTCTCTTCCAATTTTTCTCTCTCTTATTTCTGGGTCACCAGTTGCACATATATTAGATCGTTTATTATTGTCCGTAGGCCAAGAGGCTTTGTTCTTTCTCAATTTTTAAAAAAACTCTGTGCTACTCAGTGTGAATAATTTCTCTTGATGTATCTTCAGTGTTACCAACCCTTCCCTGTCATCTCCATTCAGCTGCTGAGCCTATCCAATTAATTTTTTTATTTCCAATATTATATTTTTCAGTTCTAAAATTTCCATTTGGTTCTTTTAGTGTTTTCTATTTCTATGCCAAGAATTTGTGTGACTAAAGTGGAAATTTTATTATTTCAGCAGCCTTTCAAAGCAAGATTAGAATTCAGGATTGCCAGTGGGAGAAACTGTAGGGAAGACTCTAAAAAATTTTAGGACCAAATGACCTAGCCCAAGACAAAAACAGACAATAGAAAGAGAACCGCAGATAATCCTGATACTGGAATTAGTAGACAAGGACTTCAAGATAACTGTGATTAATATGATCAAGATAATAGAGGCAAACATGTAGAAAATAGATAACTCCGTTAATCCAACCCAATGAAAATTTTCAGTTTTATGCTTTATTTCTGTTTTAGAATTTCCATTTGATTTTTTTATGTAGTCCACTTCTATGTGGAAATTCTTTATCTTATTTTCTCCATATTTTTCCTTAGTTTACATGTGCATTTGAAAAGAATATTTATTCTCCACTTGTTGACTCTAGTATTCTAGCATGTCAGTTATACCAAGTTTGTTCAGAACTTGCTGTGTTTGTTGATTTTCATGCCTATTCTGTTAGCATAAGGGCCTCCTGTGTTTTGGTAACGTTTTGTTTCATGATATTGGAGCTGGTTATACAAGTGCGTCTATTTTGGGAAAATTCATTGAGCTATGAATTTGTATACCTATAATTTGTGTACTTTCTTTATACATATTTATGTATGTATATTTGAGATGGAGTCTCACTCTGTCACCCAGGCTGGAGTGCAGTGGCATGGTCCAGGCTCACTGCAACCTCCACCTCCCGGGTTGAAGTGATTCTCCTGCCTTAGCCTCCTGAGTAGCTGGGATTACAGGCGTGCATCACCATGCCTGGCTAATTTTTTTTATGTTTTTAGTAGAGATGGGGTTTCATCATGTTGGCCTGGCTGGTCTCAAACTCCTGATCTCAGATGACTCACCCATCTTGGCCTCCCAAAGTGCTGGGATTACTGGTGTGAGCCACTGTGCCCAGCCTCTCTATGTATATTATACTTAAATAAAGCATTTAAAAATATCCAAGACCATTTTCTTTTCTCTCAATCTTTTTAAAGAAAGATATTATTTAGCCATTTACCAATCTGAAATTGAAACGACCAAAGTAATGGATATTTTGCTAATGTGATTTAGGAAATACCGTCTAGAAAATGAAGGGTAATTATTACAATGATACCAAACTCATTGTTTTAGCTTGACAAACCCTCAAGGGCATAATTCTGTAGATATGAAAAGAGCACAAATCTGAAAGAACCCTGAATTCTTTAGACACTAACATTGGAAAAAAATACTTCTTTTAGGCATTTTTATGAACTTTACTTGAATCTCTAATGCTTAATTTCTCAGAACAATTTTCTAGACCTACTTCAGTTGTACCTTTAATGCAAGATACTGTCTTAATAACAGGAACAATTAGAGAAAGAAAAGCAACAGAATGATGGAAGGCCCATGAGTGATAAAATGTTTGAAAAGAAACGTAAGTAGTTTTTCTATGTCTTCAACACTTAATTACATAATTAATGTTGCATCCTGGTATTCTGAAAGACCATGCTGAATTTTTTATTTGATATGGAAAATTGCTTTACTTTCTTTCATTTTTGAAAAGTCGTTTTTGAAAATTGGCCACTTAATGTGGTACAGATGTTAAGAGTACATGAATGAAAGGCAGGAACCAGGGTGGACGTTCAGATGCTTCAAAAGAAAAGCTTCAAGTCTGATAACAGCTGTAAGATTGTGAAATTGATCACTGAATAACAAAGATTGAAATATGTAAATATTACCAAGTAAGAATATTTGGAAAAGAAAGCTGCTTAGCTAGGGATAGTGATTCATATTGTCTGAGTTGTCTTGTGTATTTATGGAGATTAATAAGGACTTAGAGGAAATTATACAACTTAAAGCAGAATTTATTTTAGGTAGAGACACTAAGACACCAACGCAAAGTCTGCCCAAGAACATCCCCATTTCTGTTCCTGGACCCTCTTCTGTCACCCCATCGACAAGTAAGAAATAACTTCTTTTTATATCTTTTTGTAATTTTTCTTCCTTGTATACAAATTGCTGGGAAAGTCACTCTATTAGATGAGATACAGTAGGATAATATATCTCATTCTAAAGCACTTTTCACCTTCTATCATTAGGTGTTTTGGTAGTTTTTAATTGGTAGTAAGGGTAAGAGATACTTCAGTGAGCTCAAATTAAGGAAAAAAGGCTAAAGCCATCTGTGTTTTACTGAAAATGATGGTAGTTGGGGAGGGAATGGGGGTTGGAGCAGCCGAGGATGAACTGAATACATTTTTCTTTTTTCTGCTTATTGCTCTAGGTAAAGAAATCAAGAAATCCAAACTGATTCGAAGCCAGTCTTTTAATAATCAAGCTTTTCATGCAAAATATGGCAACTTAGAGAAATGTGCTAGGTACGATCTGTAAGCCCTTCAATTTTTAACATAATTTTTATCTTTATTCACATCTTCATATATATGAGTTTACATTTTATAAAAATCAGAATTAATTTTGAGGTTTTTTTATAGGCCAGTATTTTGTGAGTGTTCTTCTGTAGGGATTGTTATATTTAAAAATAAGAGACCTCCAACAATTTTCACAAAAATAGGTATTCTGGCATTCTAGGAAGAATACTGACATGATACTATTTAATAATATCATAGAATCCATATATTATTTCATGAGGGAGATAGTAGTATATCACATGTGCCACTTAACTTTTAATACGTATGAGTATGTTCCATTATCTAAATGTATATAGACATCCCTTTGCTACTAATATTGTTTCTGTCTATAAAGAATCCATTGGCATGTTCATATGATAAAGTGATCACAGCAGAGTTAGCGTGACAATAGATGAATGTCTGGTTTCCCCTTTAGCCCAGGAGACAAAATTACAAGCAGTTAAGATTAGGATAGAATCAATATAAGTTAAATTACCATGATTTTTTATATGTGCTATACAAACTGCTGTATGTCAATTGACAAGCAAAATAATTTTAAGAAAACAAATATCTTTAAAACTATTCCTTTGTCTATCAAGATAAATTACATGTTTCAGGAAAAAGTATTTTTCTTTTATTAAAGATAGCTTCTTACAGAATTTCAGCTGTGTTTTTGGGCATTATCAGTAGATCCATCAAGAGTACCTGGCCAGTAGAGTGATCTCAAGATAGAAAAAAGAGATTATAACTAAAGATAAGTTTTGTTTCCAAGAAAATTTTACCCATTTTAGCTGCCTTGCTTGAACCTCAAAAGAAAAACTGTAATTCTGATGAAGCAAAAGTTTAAGGAAATGCTTTCAAGTTATAGACGAAGTAAGTGTTGTGAGGCATGAATATAAAAAAAATGAGAAATAAAAGCAACAAACGTTTCATAAGTAGAGGAAAGCATTAAAAAGAAGATTAAAACAGCACAAGTGTTAGATGACTGAGATTGTAAGAAGTGTGTTTTTGTATTTTAAACTAAATCATGTTGTTTTCTAGTAAAAGTTCTACAACAGGATATACAACTTCTGTCTCAGGGTTAGGAAAGACTTCTGTGCTTTCACTAGCTGGTAAGTAGCAATCTAAGTTCTTCAAAAAGTTGCTAAATTTAACAAAATATTATTTTCCTTAAATGACCTATTTCTTTAGTACTAGATGTAGTGTTTTCTTAAATCTAAATCTTTATCAGGTCCCTAAGAAATTAAACTTTTGTCTAGCAATTGAGAAAATATTTGACTAAACTATTTTGTCTTCACTGTGTCAAGACTCAAGAGTTTAGTACTTTTAAAATAGAAAAAGAACAAAAGTGATAGGGTATGTTTTGCCATACTGGGAAGGTTTACTGAGGCACAGACAAAAAGGTTTTGCAATAATTTTTAGGGAAGTTAAAAACAACAGGACTTCACTGTAAATCTAGATGAACAGCTAGACATTTACAATATTATGTATTTGGAAGTTTGTGGCAGGGGTCAGCACATTTCCCTGAAGGGCCAGAAGGTAAACATACAGGCTTTGTTGGCCAAATTGAACTCTGCTGTTACTGAGTAAAAGCAGCTATAGACAGTACATAATGAATAGATATGGCGGTGTTCCAATAAAACTTTATCTACAAAAACAGGCAGTGGATTGACCCACAGACTGTAATTTGCTGGCCTCTGGTTTATATAATAGAGCATAGAATTATACTATAAATAATGTAGACTATATTGTTAAAATTACTAGTGGCTAAATGTGTGTTTTTAACTTTATGCTTTGGAGATACTGGTTGAAAATTTTACTATTGATCTATGGTAATTTTTTTAGGTGTAAATAGTAGTGAATCTGCTCAAAGATCTGAAATTTTTAAGAGATTAGTTACATTTTCTTTTTAGGTTACATTTTGAGTATTCTGTCTTCTTTTTCTTTTTCTTTTTAATTCTTAGGAGGAATGTATATACTCATTGGCTCTTCTGTAAACTGGTTCATTTGCTGGAAGAGAAAATCTTTCTAGCATTAAAGCATCGACATTCACGTACAGTATATAGAGTGGTTTTCTGCAAGGTAGATGGTGATTATCGCAAGAAATAATTTGATAACAGAAAGTTGATTAACTAAAATTTTCCCCATATCTTGGACTATAAATAATAAAACCATTGATTACTTTCAGCTCAGTAAAGCTGTGAATTCTTTAGGAGGTACTAAGGAACATTCAGAGTTTAAGAACTTTATTTAAAATATAGAGTGCCTTTAAAAATTTTAGTGTACAAAACCAGTTTGAATTAGCTTCGAGCTAATGGTGCAGATGATTATAGATGTTCATAAGGGGTTCTTCAGACTTGGATGGATCTCACCTGTCCTCTTGGTACTTCTTCACTTAGCTGTAATGAGCATGTTTATTCATGATTTTGTAACATTTTTTGTCAAGAAATTTCTTTGTCTAAATCATTAAGAATATTGATTCAGAAGTGGTTTTTAAAAGTTTTAATTAAGTGCATTAATTTATTTAGTTTTAACTTTGCTAGTTTTTAAGTGACCTTAAGAACCAAGAGAGTAGATATGGTCCACAGATTCTAAAACTTACATCCAAAGTCTTAAGTTATGTATTTTATGAGGTGTATTTGTCTGTTCTCATGCTGTTAATAAAGACATACCCAAGACTGGGTAATTTATAAAGGAAGAGGTTTAATTGACTCACAGTTCCACACGGCTGGGGAGGCCTCACAATCATGGCAGAAGGCAAAGGGAAAGCAAGACGTGTCTTACATGGCAGCAAGCAAGAGGGTGTATGTAGGGGAACTGCCCTTTTATAAAACCACCAGATCTCGTGAGACTTATTCACTATCACGAGAACAGCATGGGAAAAATTCGCCCCCATGATTCAGTTACCTCCCACCGGGTCCCTCCCACAACACATGGGGGTTATTACAGTTCAAGGTGAGATTTGGGTAGCGACACAGAGCCAAACTATATCATGAGAGTAAATATTTTATTAAAATATTTGAAAAATATTCTATTTTAATGTCTCAATATTATTTTTAGTTGAGGGAGAACTGTAGGTTGAATGAAATATCTCCTAGAGTTCTTGGTTAGAAAAAGGTGCTTATTATTGTTATTCATTACTTAAAATAGAAACTGAAAATATTTACTATGTAATACATCTATAAAGAGAAAATGGAAGCAGAACATCTTTTAACAAATTTGTCAGATGTTTGCATAGAGAAGAGATCTTATTTGTCGGACTCAAAACAGGCTTCAAGATGATTATGTCATTTGAGATGAACCTTAAGGTATGCTAGGATTTTGACAGGCAGAGATGTGTATAGAATAACATTCCATTCACAGTACCGGTCATAAACAAAAGATGATTGTTGGTGTTTTCAGGGAGCAGCAGCTGACTAGTTTGGCTGGAGTGTGGAGTGAGTATAATGGAGTAGTGTTACATAAAACTGTAAGGAGGCCGGGCGCTGTGGCTCACGCCTGCAATCCCAGCACCTTGGGAGGCTGAGGTGGGCAGATCATGAGGTCAGGAGATCCGGATAATCCTGGCTAACACAGTGAAACACTGTCTCTACTAAAAATAAAAAAAAAAAAATTTAGTCGGGCGTGGCGTCAGGCGCCTGTAGTTCCAGCTACTCAGGAGGCTGAGGCAGGAGAATGGTGTGAACCCGGGAGGCAGAGCTTGCAGTGAGCCGGGAGAGAGAGCGAGACTCCATCTCCAGAAAAAAAAAAAACAAAAACAAAAACAAACAAACAAACAAACAAAACTGTAAGGAAAGGTCAGAGTCAGAGCTTGGAATGCCAGATTGGATACTTTTTACTTAACACGAATCCACTGTTCATTGTGTGGGGACTTATGCCTGTCTTCAGTTATACTACTCAAAACTGTTCAGGAAAGTCTGAGAAACTGTCACAGCCAAGGAGAGCCTAAGGAGAACTAACAAGTAAATGTGATATAGTATCCTGGATGGGATCCTGAGACAGAAGAAGTTGCTATTAGATAAAATAATAACTACTATGGATTTTAGTTAATAATGTATCAGTATTGGTTCATTAAATATAATAAATATAGCATACTTATGTAAGCTGTTAGTAGAGGAAATTGGATGAGGGGAATATATGAGAATTATTCTGTCATCTCAATTTTTCTGTAAATCAAAACTGTTCTGAAAAAGACAGTTTATTTAAAAAAATAACATTTACAGTATCTTCAAAAACACTAAGTGCTCAGGGACAAATTTAACAAAATATGCTAGAGATACATAAAAAACTTTGAAATATTGCTGAAAGAAGCTAAAGACCTAAATAAATGGAGAAATATAACATGTTTATGGATTGAAAAACTTAATATTGTTCCAATGTCAGTTTTTTTCTAAATTGATCCAGAGATTCAGTGAAATCCTAATTAAAATTCTAGTAGTCTTTTTGCAGAAATTTATAAGCTGATTCTAAAAATCTGTATTGAAATGCAAAAGGACCCCAGTGTAGCCAAAATAGTTTTGAAAAAGAAAAAGCTGGAGAACTTAAATATAAGTTTGATTTCAACAATTACTATAAAATGCTGGTAATCAAGACATTGTGTTCTATGTTGTCATATATAGTCAGTAGATTTTAACAAAGGCTTCAAAGATAAATCAATGGTGATAGAATAATATTTTAAAAAATGGTGCTGGATGGACCAATTCCTGGAAAGACACAATTCATCCAGGTGCAGTGGCTCATGCCTGTAATCCCAGCAATTTGGGAGGCAGAGACGGGTGGATCACCTGAGGTCAGGAGTTCAAGACCTGCCTGACCAACATGGCAAAACCCTATCAACTAAAAATACAAAAATCAGCTGGGTGTGGTGGTGTGCACCTATGGTCCCAGATACTCGGGAGGCTGAGACAGGAGAATCGCTTGAACCTGGGAGGACGAGGTTGCAGTGAGCCAAGATCATGCCAGTGCACTTCAGCCTGGGAGACAGAGTGAGACTCCATCTCAAAAAAAAAAACAACAACAACAACAACAAAAAAAGACTCAATTCAAAACTCACAGAAGAAGAAATAGACAATCTGAATAGGCTCATATCTATTAAAGAAATTGAATTGGTAATTAATAATCTTCCAAAACAGAAAGCATCTAGCCCAGATGGGTTCACTGATAAATTCTACCAAATATTTGAGGAATAAATTTTACCAATTATCTACAATCTCTTTCACAAGATAGAAGCAACGGGAATACACCCTAACTCATTCTGTGAGGTCAGCATTACCCAACTACCAAAGTCATTCCAAGAAAAGAATAATACATACCAACATCTCTCAAGATCACAAATGTGAAAATTATCAAAAAAATTAGCAAATCACATCCAACAATATATAAAAAGAATTATACACCAAAACTGAGTAGGATTTATAACAGTTATAGAAGACTAATTCACCATTTGAAGAACCCTTAATGTAATACATCACACTAACAGGCCAAGGAAGAAAAATCACATGATCATGGTAATACATGAAGAAAAGACATTTGACAAAACCCAACACCTATTCATGATAAAAACCATCAGTAAGCTAGGAATAGAGAACTTCCTCAACTTGATAGGGAACATCTACAAAAAACCTACAGATAACATCACAGTAGTGAGGAACCAGAAGCATTCCCTCTAAGATCAGGAACAAGACAATGATGTATTCCTCTCACCATTCCTTTTTACCATCATACTGGAAGTTCTAGAAAAGGAAAGAAAAGATATACTGATTTTGGAAGGAAGAACTCAAATTGTCTTTGATCACAGATAACATGATCATCTATGTAGAAAATCCACAAGAATTGGCAAAAACACTCCTGGAACTAAGAAGTGATTATGGCAAGGTTGCAGAATATAAGGGTAATATATGAAGGTCAATGTAAGGTTAATGTGCAAAGTTGAGTATGTCCTATATTCCAGCAGTGAACAGGTAGGAATTTAAAATTAAAAGCAAAATACCATTTACTATCAGCACTCAGAAAAATGAAATACTCAGGCATAATTCTAACAAAATATGTACAAGATCTATATAAGGAAAACTACAAAATTCTGATAGGAGAAATCAAAGAACTAATAAAGAAGGAGATGTCTCATGTTCATTGCTAGAAATACTCAATATTGTCAAGACGTCAGTTCTTCCCAACTTGATCTATAAACTAAATGCAGTCTCAGTCAAAATCCCAACAAGTTATTTGGTGGATATCAACAAACTGTTGCGAAGTTTACCTAGAGAAGAAAAGTCCCGGAATAGCCAACATGATAATGAAGAAGAACAAAGCTAGAAGATTGACACCACCTGACTTCAGGACTTAGTATAAAGCTACAGCGATCAAGACAGTGTGGTATTGGCAAAAGAATAGTCAAACAGATTGAAGGAACAGAATAGGAAGCCCAGAAATAGACCCACGTAAGTGTAGTCACATGATCATTAACAAAGGAGCAAAGCCAATACAATGGAGAAAAGATAGTCTTTTCAAACAAATGCAGCTGGAACAATAGGACACCCACATGAAAAAACAAAATTAGATCTTTTACACCCTTCACAAAAATGTATTCAAAAATGAATCGCTGTTCTAAATGTAAAATGCAAAACTATAAAATTCCTAGAAGTTAACATAGGAGAAAATCTAGATGACCCTGCTTATGGTAATGACATTTTAGATACCATGTCAAAGGCGCAATCTATGAAATAAAGAATAAGCTGAAATTCATTAAAATTAAAACTACTATTTGAAAAATACTGTCAAGAGAATGAGAAGGCAAGCCACTGACTGGGAGAAAATGTTTGCAAAACACATAATCTGATAAAGGACTTTTATCCAAAATATACAAAAAACTTGTAAAACTTAACAGTAGGAAAACTAACAACCTGATTAAAAAATGGGCAAAGACTTGAATAAATACCTCACTGAAGAAGATATATAGATGGAAAACAAGCATATGCAAAGATGTTCCTCATATGTCATCAGGTTTATGCAAATTAAAACAATGAAGCCCCATGACACACCTATTAGAATGGTCTAAATCCAAAACGCTGACAGCAAATGCTGGTGAGGATGTGAAGCAATGGGAACTCTCATTCATTGCTGGTGGGAATACAAAATGGTACAGCCACTATGGAACATCAGTTTGGTAGTTTCTTACAAAACCAGACATTCTTACCATATGATCTAGCAGTTGTGCTCCTTGGTATTTATCCACAGGAGTTGAAAACTTACATCCACACGAAAATCTGAGCATGAATGTTTATTCATAATTGCCAAAATTTGGAAACAAACAAATTATTCTTCAGTAGGTAGATGAATAAACAAACTGTGATACATCCAGACAGTGGAATATTATGCAGTGCTAAAATGAAATGAGCTATCAGGCCATGAAAAGACATGAAGAAACCTTAAATACATACTACTAAGTGAAAGAAGCAAATCGAAACATTCCAACTATATGACATTCTGGAGAAGATGAAACTATGGAGACAGTAAAATGATAAGTAGTTGTCAGGGGTTCGGGGGAAGGAGAAATGAATAGATGGAGCACAGATAATTTTTAGGGCAGTGAAAACACTCTGTATGATACCAAAACGATGGAAACATGTCAATTATATATTGTCCAAATCCGTAGCATGTACGCCATTAAGAGTGAATCCTAATGTGAACTGTGGACTTTGGGTGATAATGACATGTCAATGTGGGTTCATCAATGCAACAAATGTACCACTGGTGGGAGACATTGAAGTTGGGAGGCTGTATATGAATGGGAAGATATGGGAGATCTCTGTACCTTCCACTCAATTGTGCTGTAAACTTAAAACTGTTCTAAAAAATAGAGTCTACTTAAAAAGTAGTGCTGGAACCATTGGATATCCATATTAAAGAAACAAAAACAAAAACAAACCCTGAACCTTAATTATTTGTTAAATTTATATAAATTTAAGGCATACAAGTTCAGTTTTATTACATGGATATATTACACAGTGGTTAAGTCTGGGCATTTAGTGTAACCTAATAGTGTACATTTTACCATTAAGTAATTTCTCATCCATCATCCCCTCTGACACTCCCACCCTTTCTAGTCTCCAGTGACAAGTATTCTACATTCTATGACCACATGTACACATTATTTAGCTCCCACTTATAAGTGAAAACAGGCAGTATCTGACTTTCCGTTCCTGTGAATCTCAAGTCTTATCACTATACACAAAATTATACTATACTCAAAATGTATTATAAACCTAAGCATAAAAGTGTCTATATTTTCTAAAGAAAATACAGAAGAAAGTCTTTGTGATTTTGGAATACACAAAGATTTATCTTGACCATAAAACAAAAATATCAACACACTGGACTTAATCAAAATTAAAGCGTCTGGGCTTTGAAATAGAGCATTAAAAAAATAAAAGGCAAGGCATAGATTTGGAGGAAATACTCATAGCATATGTACCAGACAAAGAATTTGTATCCAGAATATATACAAAGATGTCTTTGTAAAAATTAGGCAACCAATTTTAAAATGGGAAAAAGGTTTGAACATGAACTTCACAAAAGATACACAAGTAAGTGCATGAAAAGATGCTTAACGTCCTAATCATTAGGGAAATGGAAATTTAAAAGCAATAAAAAAAGCACCCAAGGAGATATCACTTCACACTTGCTAGAATGTCTAAAACTAGAAAGACTCACAATATCAAGTGTGTGTGAGGATGTGGAGTAACTCTCCAGAATACTCACATGTTCCTGGCAGAAATGTCAGGAAAGAAAAGAAATTCTGCACATCAATTTGGCAGTTTCTTTTGAAGTTAAATATATATTTAGTCTATGACCCAGCACTTCCACTCCTTGGCATTTACTGAGAAGAAACTAAAACATATGTCCACACACAGACTTGTACGTGAGTGTTCATAGCAGCTTTATTTGTAATATATAAAAACTGGAAAAAAATAGAAATGTCTATCAACAGATATTATGGGTAAACAAATTTTGACAGATTCACACAATACCAGTCAGAAATAGAAAGGAAGGAAGTATTGATACATAAAACATGAATGATTTTCAAAATTATGCTGAATGAAAGAAGCCAGACAAAAAAGAGTATATGCTGTATGTTTTCATTTATATAAAATTCTAGACAATACAAACTAATTTATAGTTGACAGGAGTGGTTTGGAGAGGGAGGAGGAGGATTGTGATGGGGTATGAGGGACTGTTTCATAGTGATAGACATGTTCACATCTTGATTGTGGTGATGACTTCATGGGGGTGTACATATGTCAAAACCTTAACTTTTTGCAGTTTGTTGTATGTAAATTATACCCTCATAAAATTGATTTAAAAGGTGAAAAAGTTAGCTATCATTAACCTTTTCTTCTCTTTGGTTACCCTCTTTGTTAGTATATTTGGTATGTCTGACTTTATATGTATTGCTTTCAGATGATTCATTCCGGACTCGTAATGCCAGTAGCGTTCCATCTTCCTTTTCTCCTAATACTCCCTTACCGAGTACTTCCCGTGGGACAGGTAACTCAGTTGACCCCAAGAGCAGTGGAAGTAAAGATACACAACCACGGAAGGCTACCTTGTAAGTAATCAAGTGATGTCAGACTGAGTGTATTATCCTCCTCTTTTGCTTAACACACTTTCCTTCCCACTTAAGTACTTTCCAAAGAATAGAAAATGTCTGTGATGAGAAAATGTTATAAATTAAAGGGTATTATTGTCACATGTGACTCTGTTATGTTAGTTTATATAGAATAACTTATATATGGCAAAGGCATTATAACCTTAGGGAATCAACAGGAAACATTTAAATGGCTCCCACTAATGTCTGAAATCTATTTTTTTTCTATGAAATGTTTACATTTAGGGAATTTATCTCTAAGAAGGCATCCCTTTAAACACCTAGCTTAAGGATATGGTATTTAATCACCCAGTGTGCAGAAAGATTGGTAAAGCTGATGTCACTTAAGAAATAAGTGGCAGCATGGAACCCAGAATTGTGAGTCCAATAAACTGAAGAGATTTACAGACTGTACTTGTGTCTTGAAGCTGAGGTTATAAAGGGCCTCCTTTCTCCTTTTCCCCCATGATTCCTTTTAATGTGCTGTTTGTATCTTGATTTGCTGAAGTCTTTCTTTTACCTTAAATATTTAAGAGAGGGGTACCATAAAAATCACCATGATAAGAGACTATATCAGGGTATAAATGATTCAGCCAGGATACCCAAACCATAGTTACAAGTTAGCCATTTCATATAGGACACCTGAACCTTCTGGTTGGAACAGACTTTTAACAAGATTTAGATTTTCTTTTAAATGTATTTTAGTGAATGCATGGGCATTTTTGAATAAAGTTTCTTAAATACATTCTTTTGCAAAAACTGTGCTGGAGTCCCTTTTAGGATCTGATTTAGGCTGTTTTGCATTGCTATAAAGAAATACCTGGGCCTGGGTAATTTATGAAGCAAAGAGGTTTAATTGGCTCATAGTTCTGCAGACTTTACAGGAAGCATAGCGGCATCTGCTTCTGGGGAAGCTTCAGGAGGCTTATTATCCTGGTAGATGGTGAAGCAGGAGCAGGCACATCACATGGTAAAAACAGGAGCAGGAGAGAGAAAGTGGGGTTGGGGGAGGTGCCACACACTTTTAAATGATCAGATCTTGCGAGAACTCACTGTCACAAAGAAAACACCAAGCCGTGAGGGATCAGCCCCATGATCCAAACACCTCCCACCAGGCCTCATCTCCAGCATTGCAGATTACAATTCAACATGAGATTTGGGCAGGGACAAACATCCAAACTATGTGTATTCCAAATTGTAATTGGTCGTTGGGTATATGCCCAACTTCATTCAAAATTTAGAAATAAGTTTAGAAATAAATTTATTGACTAGAGCTCAAGGAAAGAGGACCAATGTACTATTACAAAAATGTAATAGTAATAGAAAAAAATGAACATTGATATTACAGGTTAATGTCAATGCAGAGTATATTTTTATTTACAGAGAATGCTCTTTAGCTATACAATTATTGCTCCCATGATTATACGATGGAAGTTCCACTTAAAAGTCATGAAAGTGCCAGGTGCAGTGGCTCACGCCTGTAATCCCAGCAATATGGGAGGCCGAGGCAGGTGGATCATCTGAGGTCAGGAGTTTGAGACCAGCCTGGCCAACATGGTGAAACCCTGTCTCTACTAAAAAATTACAAAAATTAGCTAGCTGTGGTGGCATGTGCCTGTAATCCCAGCTACTCAAGAGGCTGAGGCAGGAGAATCGCTTCAACCCGGGAGGCGGAGGTTTCAGTGAGCTGAGATTGCGCCACTGCACTCCAGCCTGGGCAACAAGAGTGAAACTCCGTCTCAAAAAAAAAGTCATGAAAACAGAGGCAGGACATGGTAATGGTGTATAGAGAGCTTTGTGTGCCTCGTTCCCAGCAGCAGCTAAGTGGTTGTGCAAAGTTCAACTCAGCGCACTGGCCCTCGCTGTGCATGTCTGTCACATGACAGGGCTGTCTCATGGTTCCTCCTCCTCTAAGGTGCCTTCTAGCTCTGGCATCCTGAAATCCTCTTTATTACCCTAAACCCTCTTCCTCTGAAAAGATTGCCCTGAAATTCTTCTGTTGAAGAGCATATTTAGTAACATCAAAAGTAATCTCTTGTCCACTTGCTATATTTTTCTAAATGCCATAGGCATTTTTTACAGTAAAGACCATTGAAACCCAGTATATTTATGCTGGTTCTCCTTTCTTTCAGATTACTCTCTTTATCTGTTGTTTCACTGTTGAGCATGCTTTTCCTTTTCATAGACTGAATTTTTTCTTGTTCAACATACGTAGTATGTAGTTATTTATATAATTTATATATATGTATAATTGATTAAAAAGTGAATCTAGAAACAAACATTTTGATAACACATCAGGTTTATTTAGTCTTTTCTGATTCTAAAGGAGGGACGTTGATATCCACAGTTGCTTTTTTAACTTGTGACTGGGTATACAAGTTTGTAACTATATTTCCATCTGATGTGGCACTTATATGGATCTCTCTTGAGTGCACACTGCCACATGGCTGGATGGGTGATGATATCCACATTGGTCTTTCTTCTGTGAAATAGTATCCACAATTCAAAACAGGCCATATCCAAGTGAAAATATGTTCTTTTCATTTAAAATAAGCCTATGAGGTGATTTTGGAAAGTATAATTTATCTTAATTTTTGCTTCTCAAATTCTATGCAATACATTCCCCAGCTTTTCAGTGTCATTGAGATGACACATTTGGTATTTAGGAATATTAGTGTCTTAAAGGAAGCATAGGTATGTTATTATATCTTGTCTTTTAAGGCAGTTCATATATTTATGCCTATGTAACTTCCATTATGGTTATACAAAATTAAAAATGTAGGAAAAATATGAATTAAATTGAATGCTATGTTATATATATACACAGAATTTTTGGTAATTAAAGATCATTCCAAGTAATCTTTAATGTGTAATTCATTTTTTCCCTTAATCAGACTTCTCATATATTAGAATTATTCAAAGTAGAGTATCTATATATTTTTAATTTACTTTGTACACATTATATGAATAACATTTTTCATATTTTTTTCTTTTTCTCCCTTTCTCACTCCCTCCTTCCCCACCCTCCCTCTCTTCCTTCATTTCTTTCTTCCCAAAGAAAATCCAGAAAATCCAATCCTTAAATCAACTGCTTGATGAAGGAGGCAAAACAAAGGCAGCAGGAGATAATGTGATTGGTACACAAAAGCTAAAGCAGTGGCTGGGGCTTTGTTTTTAAATTTTGGGTTTTTTTTTTTGTTGTTGTTAATGAGCAGAAAGAGAGACATAATGACAGCTGATGTTAAACTTTTCATATTTCAAATTAGATTCCCTAGGAGGTATAATATATATTTCTTGAGTAATAATGTGGTTACGGAATTCCAATGTTATAGTGAAGTGTAATGAAAAACATCTCTAGGAATGTGCTTTAACCACTGCTGCAAAAGAGACAAGTCTGCATTTATTTGTGCAGGAAACCAGCCATTTAATTGTTCTAGAGTTTTAGCATTTAAAAATCGTATGAAAGTCTACATCAGCTGAATTGTCCTAGCTTGATAAGCACTTGGAGGGGGACTTGGAAGGTGAGAAAGATACTGCATTTTCTCATGAGTCTCCAAGCCCACTTGAAAAGTCACACTGAAAGGATGCAAATAGCCGTCTGCGATTTTGGCGGCCCTCCGGATTGTGGTGACAATATGTTGTACCCGGACATTCCCAAATTTAAATTTGGCAGTGAAAATTCCACAAAGATTTCTGGTAACTTTGAGCTATAAATACCTTAAAAATAATAGATTGATGATTTTCTTTATTTCCTAGAGAATTTATTTTATAAATACTTTGTTTACATTTTAGATTGTACTTGTCTTTATTTAAAATGATGAATCTAGTCTGAATCAGCTGTTATTCCAAGCTATCATGCTTAAGCTATGTCAACAGCATTTATTTGTACTAATGCTAATATTTCCATCAAAATTTGCCTGTGGAATATATACAGTTCTTAATTTTAAACTGTCAGTTCTTGAGATATACCGTGTGAAGCTATTGTCAGCTTCTCTATTTCAAAATGCAATCAGCATATAACTATATTGATATTAGAAGATATTTGTTTTTTAAAATATATTGATGTATGATAAAGATGATCTAATTTGTGAATGCATATGTATGTGTGGTTACTTTTTATAATGTGAAATAATGAATAATGAATTTACTCAAAATAAAACATAGGTTAATGAGATACCTGTGTTTGTGAAAAAAAGTCTTAAATACTTTCCTGCAGTTTTTATTCTATAATTAAAGAGTAAGATAGTTCATTTTTAGGTAGTGAATAAAAGAAATATACCAGCGTCAACTATAAGAGCATAGTTACTCAGTGAGAGACCTTTTCATGCCATTTGTTTTCCTTCTTCCTTCCATATGGCTTCTTTATGGCTATTTTTAGTGATTCTTAATAATATCCTTTGCCAAAGGACAATCAGGTAAATGGAATTGTTACTGCTCATTTTGTCAGTAGTTAAAATTCAATAGGTATGAGAAATTTGACAGTACTGGTTAATCAGTATACTCGCTGTGGATTTCATTTAACTGTTTTCATTATGTCTCCTACTAGCACCAATAATGTGGAACTGAATATATTAAGATCTGGAGAATGTGGTACAGAACGAGACATCAAAATTGCATCAGTTTTTTTGGTGCTTTGATTCATAACATTCTATTAATTTAATAAAATGGAGAATTTCAATGTATTTGTTATAATAAATTTAGCAGAATTATAAGGTTTCACTTTCCCATGATGCAAATGGGAAAAGGGGACACTGATTTGACAGAGAGAAACAACTACTGCTTATAAAGTTCAGGAATGTAGAGCAGTCAATTGCAGTCTTAGTCCTAGTTAGTACTAAGTTATCAAAACTGTTCATCAAAATTACTTTTGGAAGTTTTTTAACAGAACATGACATTTCCTAAAATCTTTGAAATATTTATTAAAATTATACTCTCAAGGACAGATATATAGAAACAGGATAAACAGCAAATTACTGACAGTTATGAATAACTACATGTATCTCCATTTATATCAAAAACAAGATGGATACTTTTGTGAAAGTTCTCAGTTTAACAACTTATCAAATTAATCCTTTAAGCTAGTTGTATGGCAAAGAAAAATCTCCCTCCATCTGTAGTTGTAGGGAAAAGGGACATCTTCATCATCATTTTGTTAATTACTAAAACTTGCATTTTTAAGAACAAGTCCAGGAATTTCACTAGTTAGCCTTACAAGCTAACTGTAGAGCTCACTTTTACTGCAGAAATGGAGATAGGTCTATAAAGGATTTTACTTAATAGAGGTTAAATAAGGAGCACATAAAGTTTTTCTTTATAACCTCTTACACATTTAAAAAATCATTTCTATTATTTGACTTCCTGAGCTTGAATATCTTAGTCTGGAGATGAGTCAGTTTTGCCATACAATTAGTGGATATATGAGAAATCTTTGAATTGAAATGAAACAGGCTCTTCAGCTGGAGTGGAAGTTTTACAATGAAGATAGAATGAATTAGATTAAGTCAGTAACCTGTTCTCAGTTGTTACAGCATATATATGTGAGAACGTGTGGTTGAGTGTGTCTGTGTAGGAACAATTTTTAAGACTCGACACTTGGCCGGGCGTGGTGGCTCATGCCTGTAATCCCAGCACTTTGGGAGGCCGAGGCGGGCAGATCACAAGGTCAGGAGATCAAGACCATCCTGACTAACACAGTGAAACCCCATCTCTACTTAAAATACAAAAAATTAGCCGGTCGTGGTGGCAGGTGCCTGTAGTCCCAGCTACTCGGGAGGCTGAGGCAGGAGAATGGCACGAACCCGGGAGGTGGAGGTTGCAGTGAGCTGAGATCGCACCACTGCACTCCAGCCTGGGTGACAGAGCAAGACTCTGTCTCAAAACAAAAACAAAAACAAAAACAAAAACTCGACACATATATAGTGAAGACTTCTACAATGTTAAGATTTCCCCCGCTCGGTTGGAAACCCTGAATTTGTGTGTATGTATTTGTGTAAGGTAAGTTACATTTTTTATTGGTCTGCGTTTTTCTGTCATGCCTGTGTACTTGGGAAATCTGAAACTGAGTGTCTTAGGAACTTCTTAAAGCAAATGTGAGGGAACATTAAAAAGTATATTTAAAATATAGAATAGGTCCATTTTCTACCTTAAAGAGTAGTATATTAAATACAATTATTATGCTGTTGTTGCTTTGCAGTGTATGTGGTGGGAAGAAGGCAGGAGTTTTTTATCTGCATGCTATATGAATCCTTCAATAATAATGTACCTTTTTATTACTGGGTTTGGCCATATTGATTTCAGTGAGTATTGTGCTCTCACAGACTTATTTTTCCAGATTTCATCTCTTAAAAGTGGGAAATTGGACTGGATGCTACTTTATTCCTCTTTCTACTATTTTTCCACAAACAAATCTGACTAATTGAACACAAACAAGGTGACTTAAGAATGTCAGATAGAGTTAGTCCTCTGTCTTTGGCCCTCTAGGGCCTAGAATTGCCTGTCCCTTCATAAGTGTCAATTAGTACTCTTGGAATGAATACAGGAATGAATTTTATTTTATTAATATGCAGTCTAAATACTGACTTTTCATCAGTCCAGGTTATGGAATGATGAAAAGTCAGTATTTAGACTGCATATTAATATTATTACCTATTCACATTACTCTGAATTATATTAAACAACTAATCAATAAATGAATTTTAGGTTTTTTTAAACATTAGATAGCAGACAGACAGAAATCCAATTAGGCATTTAGTTAACATAGTTCACACTGTAAATCAGCTCTATTCAGGATTCTCTGAATATAGTCTTTTCTGTTTCTGTGACAGAAAATAACTGCCTAAGGAAGATCAGGGATATTTACGATTTTCCTTTTCACCCTGGGACAAAGTTCATGCTTATATTCTGTTTAACCCCCATGGGTAGCTGTAGTGCATGCTGTTTACCTGGTCCCCATCAGATGTTTTAGATGGAAGGAAGAGTAAAAAGGGCTTGGAGACTAGACTCAGGAAAGGTAGGCTTCTGACTCTGCCATTGCCACACTGGAAGACCTTGGACAAGTATTTTGTTCCCACTGGTATATAAGGTATGACTTATCCACTAGATGCAGAAGACACAGTGCCCAAGGCTGACAGTACTGTAAGGGCCCATGAAGGTGTTTTGCTTATTGCCATATGCTAGACATATAACTTTGAAGCTAGATATGCAACTTTGAAAGACGAATATATTCATCTTTCTACCAATGCAGCCATAGAACATATATATCTTCATGAAGGAAGGAGGAGTCTACAAGGTTAAACGTGCCTAGGGCCCATGAAAGTAAGAATATGGACCTGTTTCTGGGTCCCTCTTTCTTTCCTTTGTAAAATGAAGGTATTGAACTAGATGATCTGTGATTCAGCCAATGCCTCTGCCAAGCGATTTGATGCACCATGGAAGCAGATGCTGTGATCAGGACTGGTTAGAGCTATTTTCTTCTGATGTCAGTCAGCAAGAAATGACTCCGTAATAGATTAAAATAAAACACTTATTTTGCACCAGAGAGAAGGAAAGAGAGAGAAGCACATGACTCAAGGAGAATGTTTACATGTGTTCCTCCCAAAGGCTTTATCTTGACATAGTGTTCTCATCTGCAACTTTTTAAAAATGAAAATATGTGAGCAACAGAGAAAAGATATTCTACCCAGCTAGTCTTTAGCCAAGTAACTAAGGTTCTTAGAAACAAGCTTAAAATACCAGACAGATTGCACAAACATCTTAAAAAATATGTATCAATTTAATGCTTTTGTAGTAGTCCTCCCTTATCCATGGTTTTGCTTTCTGCAGTCTCAGTTAACCATGGTCAACCATGGTCCAAAAACATTAAATGAAAAATTCCAGAAATAAACAATCTAAAAGTCTTAAGCAGCATGCCATTCTGAGTAGTGGGATGGAATCTTGCATTGTCCTGCTCTGTCCCACCCAGGATGTGAATTCTCCCCTTGCCCAATGTCTCCACACTGTCTATGCTCCTCGCCCATGAGTCACTTAGTAGCCTTCTCTATAATCAGTTTGACTGTTATGGTATTGCAGTGCTTGCATTCAAGTAACTCATTTTACTTAATGTTGTTATTATTGTTAATCTCTTACTGTGCCTAATTTATAAATTAAACTTTATCATAGGTATGTATGTGTAGGAAAAAATATATATAAGGTTCAGCACTGTCCACCGTTTCAGGCATCTGCTGGGGGTCTTTGAATGTATCCCCCTCAGATAAGTGGGGACTACTGTATTTATTTGAGAACACCCTAAACTAGTTAAGAACAAAAGGAACACTCTCCCCTGCCATCCATTGCTGGTATCCTGTGTGTGTTTGATACCTCAGATTCAGCATCTACTACAGCACGAAGTGCTTATGCGTGTCCTGAATTATAGGAGAGTCGGATTCACCACCCTGCCCAGAAACAGAAGCATTCCAGAGGTTTCTTCATAGATCATGAAATGAAATGGCCGGTCCACTTTGATGACAGGAGGCATGGAATAAGCAGTAATTTCTGACAAGATTCCTGCCACTGCCTCAGTGCCCCTTTCATCAACTTCAATCACTGTTCTTTGTAAAACCTGGAAAAAGGAAATAATGTGAAAAACCATTTGTGTGGCAGTGCAAAGGAGGAATTAAATGAGCCCCTTGAAATTCTTCACAGTGGTCCTACCCATGGGGTCATGCTCCTGGGATTTAGTGGAGCAGGCCCATCTACGTTAAGAGGAGTGGTCTGGGGTTGCACCAGGGACTGCCACAGGAGTCTTAAACAATACCAGGAGACCTCAGGAACCCAATGTGAAGTATTGTGGAATATGTGAAACACATTCCGGGCATGGACTCAGGATGCACTCATGCATCAAATCTTTATTGAGCATGTAATTTATGCTACTAATTCTTGAGCTGAGCTGGTGCTCCTAAAAGGTTTTCAAGCTGCCTGGATCCCTTGATCCCTGGATCCCTTGAGTCCTCTGACTTTCCTTTTGGCAGGCAAGGTGGAGGCAGGGAATGGCTAGTCTTCTGTAGCAGCTTCCCAGCACCTGGTACTACTCTGAGGCATTTTTCTGGGCCAAGCCCAGGGGTCCCTGGAGCCTTCCTGAATTCTGGCTGCCTATACTGTGGCTGCTTGCTATGTTTGGGAGGCCCTTTTTTACAGAAACAAGATGTGATATGAGTGATGTACCTATATAATTACTGTGTTATAAGAGATAATGAAAACATAACATGTAATTACACTGATTTTCACTCCAGGAAATTCCCTGATTTCCTAGAGGAAAATTAATTCCCCAGAGCAAACAGAGGGAGAATATTTAATCATTTACAGTTTAAATTTCATGATGACCCTTCATAAAGCAGCAGCGCATTTCAGTTTTTCATGTGTTCATAGCAGAAACACTTTCAGGTGCTGGTCTGACGGATTGTTTTATTTAATTGTCTTACCTCTCTTGAGGTTGTAAGACCTGATTCCAGGCCACAGTTACCCTACTGTGTCCTACTTAAGTGGATGCCATTTTTAGTCTCTCTTGGAATTGAAAATTGCAATTGTATAAGAAAATATTAAACCACACAGCTAAGGAAGAATGTAGAGAGATGTAGCTGCCATTTGGAAATGTGTGGGAGCATTTTTATAGTGATGACTGGAGTTTCCTACTGGCATTAGTGAACATGGGCCAGCAATGCTAACCAGTTCCCTGCAACATGCACAACTGCTCTGGACAACAAGCAGTTCCCCTCAAAACCAAGAACCCTTCCACTGAGAAACACTGAGTAACTGAAGGGATTCTATGTGGATGGTGACTAAACTTGTTCTTAGAAGTTTTAGAGATAGAACTAGGACCAAAAAGTATGAATCAGAAGTTACAGGACTCTCTCTCTCTCTCTCTCCATATATATATGTATGTCTCTCTCCATATATATATATATGTGTGTGTATATATATATACACACACACATATACACACATATACATTTATACACACATACATATATACATATATATACACACATATATATATATACATATAACAATTTTAGCTATTTGTGGATTGGGCAGCTCTTCAAAGAAATGGTGAGTTTGATGTCACTGGAAGCATGAAGAGGAAGAGAAGTTGGAGGGCTATTTCGTAGGGCTATGGAGGGGATTTCCACAAGGAGGGAGAAGTTGGGCTAGATGATGTCTAGGGGTTTGTTTCATTGTAAAGGTGGTGTAATTTCATGAACTATTCAAGTTGTATTCAACATAAATGATGATGCCTCTGTAAACCAGTTCTATTTCAGGGTCAAATTTCTCCCTGAGCACTTTAAGCAGAGGGGGAGAGGTCTGCTTAAAATAAATTAGTTGAAAAGTTATTTTAATGAAGTTGCTTGAAATTCTTAAAACATCCAACCTGGGTGCTATTTCAAGTATTTGGGACTTAAATCTAATTTTCCACTACAATTAGGTATTTTATCAAAGTTAAATGGTTTGTAAAAGCATTTGTTTTGGTGACATTTCATGCTGAGGTTGGGCTCTGATGAAAGATCCTGACTTACCCTGGATACTTGGAGATTTCTTCCAGTAGCTGAGAGTTCACTAAGGTCAGCAAAGGGTGAGAAGATTCTTCTGATTCCCATCTGCCTAAGCAGCTCATGCATCTCATACTTCTGATCTAGCTTGAACTTCGGAAAGAAAACTTCCATGTTTCTGTGGTACAAGAACAGATGATGGTGAAATGTAGACAAAGCCCTAGTCTGTGGACACCAAAAAGGTCACAATTTTTGTTCTTTAAGATTATTTCCATTAATGAGTCTTTCAGTTGACTATGTAGTTCATGCCATTCTTTTACAGTGGTCTACTCAGGGAAAATATTTCTAGCTTATCAAATAGTACTTCAGCTTCAGTGAATGAGTTTTATTCCTCAGCCAGTGACTCACGTTTTCTTTAGCAAAGTACTTATGTGTTCATTTCCCTATATTTTAAAAAAAACCTGAGTTAACAGCTGCTTTCAGCAGTCCTGCAGCCTCCTGGATGATGGCTGTTTTCAGCTCCTGGATTCTGCAGACCCGAGGAGTCTGGGGATGGATGGGGAGGGGAGCAAAGAAAACTTTCAACCCCTACCCGTCTTTAGCCAGAGAAGCTCTGATACCATCTATTTTGTATACTGGAGTCCTCCTTTGAAAATATGTTGCTTGAAAAGATGAGTTCTGTGGCTCAAAATAAAATTTTTTTATTTATTTAAAAATAATTGAGGACATGACGTGTCTTGAAGATTAATTTAAAAAGTTATTCATTCAGCAAACATTACTTGAGGGCTTATGATGTTTGGGGTTCATTGTTAGGTGCTAAAGATATGAAGAAAAATGAAAGAAGAATAATGAAGATAAAACTAACCCTGGGGACCTTTAGCTGCACTTGTCTGCCAAAATCTGAGTCACAGGATTCAGAAGCCATAGCCATGGAATTCGTATTGCAGCCATTTTCCTTGTACTCCAATAGGTGGATTAATTTATTGGGCAGACATTTCAGTGCCCACTCTGTGCTTTCTTTTCCTCTCCTCTATATTTACAGACCCCAACCCTGTCATGTGTCTAGATTCTAGTTCTGTGTTGATGACCGAATTTATATCTCCGGCCTGGACCTCACCCTAGACTCCAGATCCACCTGTCGTCTTGACATCTCAACTTGGATGTCTAATAGATATTTCTGATCCAAGTGTTTAAGACTGAACTTCTGCACTTACCCCAGACCTGTTCCTCCCCCTTTCAGTAAATGGCAAATCCGTCTTTCCAGTTGCTAAGGCCAAAAACTTTGTGATCACCTTTGACACCTCTCTCACCCACATCCAATCGATTAGCAGATCCTGCACTTCCTAATAGATCCAGAATCCAGCCACTTCTCACCACTTCCACTACCACCACCGCAGTCCAGGTAGCAGCATCTCTACCTGGATTGCTAGTAACTTTCTAACCACTCTCCCTTGCTTCCATCCTTACCCCCTAGTGTCTTTTCTCAACACAGGAGCTTATGTGATCCTTTAAAAACAGAAGTCAAAATCAGGTTGCTCCTCTACTCAGAACCATCCAGTGGCTTCCTGCCTCTCTCAGGAAAGCCCAAGTCTTTTCTGGGGACTGGGCCCCTGTTTCCTCTCTGATTTTATCTCCAACTGCTGAAGCCACACTTGTCTCCTTGATGTTCTTCAAACCCACCAGGTACACTCCCATCCCAGAACTTGTACACTTCTGCCTGTAACATAACACTTCTCTCCCCGAATATATCCACATGGTTTATCCTTCATCTTCAGATGTTTGCTTACTGTTACCTTCTTGGAGAGGCCTTGTCTAACCTCCATCTGCATCCTGATGATGCTTCTTGTCCCCTTCCCTGCATTATTACCTATTTTTAATTTACTCTTTGTCTTCCTTCAATAGAATGTAAGCTGCATGAGGGCAGACTAATTTTGCCTGTTTTGTTTGCTGATGGATCCCTGGCATCATATATTTATCACAGTCGCAGAACGTAAAATACTGATGGACTCAATGAATGAATCAGCCAGGCACCCTGTGACAGATGCTGGGGATAGAGTGGAAAAAAAGACAAATGCTGCCCTGCCTTCAGGAAACTTATAGCTCACTGGAGGAGACATTAAATCACGGTGCATTCAATGAAATTGTGCTGAGCGTTTGCCAGTACAGAAAGGTAGAGTTTGTATAGGGTGTGGGCAAGAGTTGTACCTGGTTTTCATGTTTCTGAGCCATGTCTCCACCAAGTCTGTGGTCAGGTAGTCTTCAAGGGCGAGGTGGTCACCCATTTTCTCCATGAGGACCACCAGCATGGTGGCATTTCCTTGGTAGGGCAGTTTGAGGACATGACAACGAAAATTCTTGTCAAAGGTGGAGGCAAACTTGCCTGCACCGTACATCATGGGCACCTTAATGGTCTTGTACTTGTCCAGGTGGAAAGTGTCGACTTCGGTGAAGACAGGGTCAAATGGGGTCAACCATTTCCCTGAACAAGTAAGAGAAGAACTCATTGCAGAAATTCCCTCTTTGAAAAGCATTGTTCTTGCTCAAATAATAGAGAGGGAGCCTTCTATCTCACTTCTCTCACTTCTCGTCTTCTCGTTCCAACTAGGAAAGGCGTTCCCTAATTGGGTTGGCTTTTCCACAGCTCAGGCAGGCAAAATAAATTTCCCCAAAATTTTCCCCGTCCTCTAGCCCAGCTAGCAAAATGCAGCTCCACTCGCAGGCCCTATTGGGAATCGCACACGAAAGCAGGGAAATGTTTCCTAACAATCCCTGGCTCCTCTCATTGTCCTGGACCTGAACGGAATTCACAGTCGTTCCCTCATAGTTGGCTCCAGCTTAGAGAAAAGCCTTTGCCTGGCACCTCTGACTGCCACTTTGTCTCATTCACACCAGGCACAAGCACATGCAGAGTCCAAGGTGGCAGGAGTGACACTTCTCACCCACCCACTGTTTAGTGTGGTTCTGAGAGAAGGCCCCACAATGCAGAGGCTACTAGCAGGCAGGTACATTACTCTCTACATAAACGTCTGCCCTGGGGGTGTGGCCTGGCTGGTTGTAAAGTGGCTTCCCCTGCCGGGGCTTTGTAAGTCTGGTGCCAGCTCTGCGAAAGTGGCATCCAACCCACGTCCAGTGCCCCATTAGGGAGGCAGGGCTGGACAGAACCTAGGATCAGGGGGTCAGGAGGCCCTTGTTTGGGTTTTGCCTCTGCCACTTACTGTGTGACCTTGATCAAGCTAACGTCTCTGAGCTGGTTTCATCTTTAGAAAGGAGACAACTCCTGCTCTACCTGCTGATTGGCAGTTTGGAAGAACAAGTAAACAATAGATACTCAGTGTCTGCTATGTGCCAAGCCCATCTGGGCACTTTACATTCATTGTCTCATTTAGCCTCTAACACTGTAGTAGGTGGAGTGTCCCTATTTTCTATAATAGGAATCTAAGGGCAGAGAGTTGGTCAAAAAGTAAAAATGAAGGAGCAATGATGCAATCCTAAATCCCCCAGATAATCCCCCAGCCCCCTGTTTTTTGGAAAGACCCTATGCTTCTAAGTGTCAGAGGGGAGCTATGTAGAGTGCTCTGAAAATAATAAGGACTACAAGCACATAGGATACCAGGGAAGGGCCTCAAATGACAGCGTCTGGCACTGTTCAATATGTGTATCAATCTGTTTTTGAAACGTGAAAACACATTCATAGAAAATCACGTAGCGTTAATCATATGCTGGCCTAACGAAAGGAAAGGGAGAGACAATCGTAGGGCCCTGTGGCCTTGGGAGAGCAGAACATTATCAAAGTACCTTTGAACAAGATGTAATCCACAAGAATTAATTTGGTTTCAGGATTAATCTCATCAAACAGTTTGGGAATTTTCCCCCGAGTCTCTTTGTTAATGTAATGATTCATGAGCCTTTTGGCCTGTGAGGCATTGCGAAAATTCATAGGCACGCACTCTGTATCAAAATACCTCTTGGATAAATTGAAGAAAGTCTCTTTGACATCAAAATCCTTGTGGATGAAGGCAAAACTCCCCTGTGTGAGGCCCAGTTCCAGGTTGCGGGAGAGGGTCTCTCTGAGTCCCTTAAAGAGGGAAGGCAGGAGCCCGGGCTTGGTGGGCTTCAGGGCCTGCAAGTGGAGCCCTCTCTTGATCTGGGTTTCAGTCGGCCCTGTGGCCCCCAGCATCAAGCCTGTCATGGCCAAGGACATGCCAAATGGAGAGAAGACCATGTTGCCATCGTGCCTCATGGAGATCTTTCGCAGCAGGCTGAATCCGAAGTTTGAAGTCTCCTTGGCAAGCTGCTGCCTGCTGGCCATCAGCCAGGCTTTCTCTTCCTCACTGGCCTTCTCCTCGCTGGCCTCCTGCTCATCTTCCTCTTCCTCCTTGGGAGCCTGCACTACCCTGCTGGTCTGGTTCTGAGGGGCTGGGGTCTCTGGCGACTGAGGACTGGGGGCCAAGCCGGGTACCAGCCACACCTGTGCCAGGAGGACGGAGAGCAGGAGACTTGGCACCACCTTCATGTGATCGGCTGCGGAGGCCAAGGAGTGCCTCCCTTCAGCTGCAAGACTTCCTGTGGAGAGGAGAGGATAGAGATGGTTTTAATGCCTCCTAAAATGTCTTTGTGGATAGTAAAAGCTTCTTCAGGGACCCTGCCTCCTTCCTGTGGCTCAAGTAGGTTAGCCCTGCCCCAGGGAGACCTAGAGCAAGTGTGGGTGACATTTGCTCACCCAAAGAGGGGACATTATTTCACAGAGCAAAACCTCCTCCAGTTCCCATTCCCTGCCAGGCCGGCAGGCAGCTCTCAGTCCTGACCCCGTTTTCATTCATCCCGTCTCCTCCCTGAGGGCCAGGGCAAGAGAGTCCACTCTGGGAGCAGGAGGCAGCACAGAAGGTGGGGGTCCAAGCAGGTGGAATCAGGGGTCCTCACACACCTTTCCTTGATCTGCTTCATTCACTGCCCTGACCATCTGGTCGTCAGGCTGCCCATCCAGATGGGTGGCCGGCCTTGCCCAGTGCCCTGTTTGGCTGGGGATTGGAGTGCCTGCATGCCCGTTAGGCAAGGAAGGGGGAAAGTATTGGAGCTTTCCTGGATTTTTTATCAAAATTCTCTTTGCACTGCACCTCTGCTACACAGTTCCTTGGAGGTCTTCCTTCCTTCCTTCCTTCCTATAGCTGCAGCTCCCGGGTAGCAGGAGGCCCCGCAATTCATACAACCCACTTCTGGGCTCCCTCCACTGTGGCTTCATAGAGCCCTCAGCCACCTGGGCTGCATGCCGGTTCTCACTGTCCTAGGCTGCAGTGTGGGAGCTACACTTCTTCACCGTTAGCTGTCCCCTTCTCTGTCGCCTTTTAGGCTCCCTCCACATCCTTGGACACAGAGCCTGGCTCCTGAATACTTCCATGTTTTCCATCCAAATACATGGCTTGGGACTGGCCTGGGCCACCTGGCTGTGTCCAAACTCAGTTCTGGTGTTCAGCCACACTGCAGGCCTGATCCCAGAGGCTGGCTGGGCAGAACCCCTGGGACACCTGCCCTCCCTCATCCTCTCTCTGGGCCCACTGCCCTGGGAGGGTCTGGGTGGGGTAGGCCACCCAGCCCAGTGAGCGCAGGGTGGATGCTGCCGGCCTCACAGTAGTTCCCATCAGCAGAGACCCTTATTCTTGACCAAGGTCACCTGCGGCAAAATGTATTGACAGGCGGTGCTGCCAGGCCTCTTCCTGATGCAGGGGCTGAGTCCTTATCTATGCCTGGGACAAAACCGCCTCCAGCGCCAGGGCCCAGCATGTTGCCCCTTGCTCGGGCTGAATGGCACCCCGGAATTCAGGGCCTCACTCTGCAGTCTGAACGGCACTACCCTCTCCCCTGTAGAAGCAGTGAAATACTTCCACTGTGTTTCCCAAAGGACACTGTTGAGGAAGCTCTTTTTGACTCTAAATGGCAAGCCTGCATTCAACAGGTCACCCAAGTATTGTAAACGTTGGGTAAATAGCTCTTTCAGTGTAAACGCAGCCCAGTTTCACGCTTTTATTGTTATGGACTGAATGTGTCCCCTGAGAATTAATAAGTTGAAGCCCGAACCACCATTGTGATGGCAATAGAGTTGGGGCGCTTGGGAGGTGATTAGGTTTAGATGAGGTCGTGAGGGCAAGGCCCCTGTGATAGCACTAGTGCTGTCATAAGAAGAGAGCAGAGTCCCCCTCCGCACCTCCTCTCCATGGGAGGACACGGTGCGAAGGTGGCCATCTGCAAGCCAAGAAGACAGCCCTACCAGAATCCGGCCACGCTGGCACCCTGACTCGGACTTTCAGCCTCCAAAACTGTGAAAAATCAATGGCTGTTGGAGCCACCCAGCCTGTGGTGTTTTGTTAGAGGAGCCTGAGCTAAAACGATTACGTGGCATCATTTAGTGCTACTTTCTACATTAAGACCACACAGAATACTCCTGAATTCAAGGTTACTTCTCCCTGTACAATGGTCAGGAAATTAGCCCAGCACGCCAACTAGATGTCACCACCTCCAAATGCTGAGTCTTACCTTCCTGTTCTTGGAGCTTGTCCTGCAGTCTGCAGTGGTAGCCCAGTAATTCCTGGGTGCTCCTGGACATATATCGCCTAAGGTCTTTGTAAAGTCTTTGCTCATCTACCCAACCCTTTGGAGTCTAGGCCAGGAGCTCAGGGGGTGCTCCTGGACTAGGACACCATCCAGCATGGTGAGGACGCACCTTCCTAGACAGAACCTGGGCAGTAAGGAATCACCAGCTCACCTGCCACTTCTCAGCCCTGGGACAGCACACATCCCTGCCTCCCCTCAGCCCTGGGAAGGGGAGACCTGCTTACTCCGGCAGTGAGTGGTGGTGGGTGAAATATCAAGCCTTTCAAGCCTCTTTCCCTTGGCCTCCTTCCTGCAGAGGAGCCCCTTGTGTCTATAATTCGCCTCTTACCCCACTCCAGCTCCCAATCTGTATGTACAGTCCCTGTGGAGTGTAGGATGGAGGTCTTTGCACTGCTCAGCCACACAGCCCTCACGTTGGAGCCCGCCCAGGGATGATACCATCCTTCCCGGTCCCTCCCTGATTAGACTCATTGAAGGTCTCCTGTAACCCACTGCCTCTTACCAGTGTGTGGCCTTGGGTCCTGGAAAAGTCCTTCATTTAGAGCAGAAACCAAAGCTTCAGCTTTGCAGCCCAGAACCTTCAGCAAATATTTGCTATTCCAAAGTATGATCCCCTGTGGGACGGTTACTGATTAACATCCTGCTTGTGATGGTGGAGTTTCTGGAAAACCAAAGACCAAGTGGGAGGCTTCCCATACTCCCCAGCTCCTCCTATAACCCGGAATATGACCCAAATCCCATCACGAGAGCTTCTGCCTTGCAACTCAAGGCTTCGCCCCAGTAAGATTCAGCTCTGTCTGGGTGGGGTGTGGGGAATTTGTCTTGAGCTGTTCTAGGTGCTGAACACCTCGAGAAAGAAGGCACTGGGGGATCCCATGGATGCTTCCTGAGTCCCCAGCCTGGTACTGGACACTATGAGGATGTGGGTTGGGGGGCACAGCAGAAATGTTCAGGACCTGTTCTCTCAGCCCCCAAGGAACTGGTCAATCCAGTGGGGGAGGCAGACAGGTAAATCACTACTTAGAGTACATAGCTCCTTTCAAGGTAAATTTCCTGCTTCACAATGTTGCTGGACTTGAGACTGAATCCTCGGGCACTCAGAGTTGAGGCTGGTGGAGACCGTTTATGGCAAAACTTTTCAGACTTCTCAGACTCTCTTTTTTAATATATATAAGTAAATATTTTGTTATGTGCCCCTTACTACTACCATTGAAGTGAAACGTATAGCTAATATAATCTACCCACAAAATTAAAAAAAAGATAATGCTGTAATGATAATATGGAGGCATAATAAAAGAGAATAATGTGTCCCTGAATATGGCAGTGCTGTGGCCTAAGGGCCTGGGCAGGTGCAGTGAGGCTGTCCAATGTGGAGCCCACGGGAGGTCGCTTGTGTGCTGCTCACTGCTGGCCGGTGAACAAGAAAACCAATGGTACTACCAGGGATAGAGCTTTTGAAATGGTAAATAATGCTTGGTAAAGTTTCAAACAAAATAAAATATAGATCTTTCCCTGATTTACACGGTCATTGTCTTCACAGAAAATGCAGTGTGTAGTAAAACCTTGGATAAATATTATATTTTTATATGAAATAAAGCAGCCCCAGGACTGACAGTCTAGGCTCAGATAATCCCACGTGAACTTGAGGTGGACATGTGAGTCCTGGGGAACCCGGCGGCCTCTTCATCATGGGAGACTGCCCTGCGTGTTCTGGTATGTCTGGCATTGCTAACCCTCAATCCTTAAATGCTAGTAGTACTCCCCCCAAACGTTTGTGAAAGGCAGAAGTGTCCCAACAAGTTTCCAGAGTGTTCCTTTTGGGCAGTACCTGCTCTGTTAATAGGCAGTTCTTTAAGAGGTGAAAGTGAGGGTGTAGAGGGGCCAGGCTGGACTCACACCACGCACAGGAGTCAGCCTTTGCCTGCCCATCCAGGTCGAGCTCTGCAGCTGCGGGCTTGTGGATTCCCAAAAAGCAGGGGCTGTTTCCTCCAGGCCTGGGAAGGTGTCTGCTTTGCTAAATGTCTGAGCGGAGCCAGCGAGTGTGCAGGTCTTAGGGCACAGGGTTTCTTTCTTTTTTTTTTTTTTTTTGAGACGGAGTCTCTGTCTGTCACCCAGGCACTGTCTGTCTCAGCTCACTGAGACCTCCACCTCCCAGGTTCAAACAGTTCTCCTGCCTCAGCCTCCCGAGTAGCTGGGATTACAGGCGCCTGCCACCACGCTAATTTTTCTATTTTTAGTAGAGACGGGGTTTCACCATATTGGCCAGGCTGGTCTCAAACTCCTGACCTCGTGGTCCTCCTGCCTTGGCCTCCCAAAGTACTGGAATTACAGGTGTGAGCCACCGTGCCTGGCCAGGGCACAGGGTTTCAGAAATGGATCCTTATAAAGGAAGGCAGCGGAGTATATTGGGAAGATTGTGAAGGCTTCAGCCAGGCCATTGCCTCCTGCCCTGGTGTGAATCTGAGGTCCTCTGCTCCCGGTTCCTAGCTGCTGGGATGTAAGTTAACCTCACCGAGCCAGCCTTTCTTCCTCTGTTAAGTGGCCAGAACTCAGACTCTGTCCTATGAATATCTCTGCAGCACCGAGGAACCAGGAAGGGGGTGGACGATTTTGCTCCTAAGGCTGTGAGCCCTGGACCCCAGGGTGTGGCTCAGAAGTCCCCCTCCTTCAGGGAGGACATTATTCCTGTACAGCTCCCAACAAGGGAGCTGCCCACTCTTTGACCTTTAGCCCTCCAGTTAGATGGGAAAGTGAGAAAACTCAATGCATAGCACTGTAGCCTGAGCTCTTTTACCAGCAGCATGACCCTGAACAAGCTACCTAACCTCTCTTAGCCTCAGTTTACTAATCTGTAAAATGGGGTGCCCCAGGCTGAGCTGTTAGGACTTCTGAGAGGATGAACTGAGGTGGTGCCTGTGGAGTTGAGTATCTCGCCCGGTAGGAAGGAAGTGCTAAAGGAATGGCATTTGTTGCATAATTTTAGAGCCAGATTGAACCTCAGAAGTAAGTAACCCTGTCCCCAGGCTTTGATTTTATAAAGGAAGATATTCAGGCCCCACCATGAAGGCCTTTCCTGCTAGAGTTAAAGCAGAATAGACCAGGCTGTCTGACTTCCAGTTGTTATGAACTTTAGCTTCTCACACTCCTTGGCCAAAAACGATTGGGAAAGCTCTGACGGGAAGGCCTCTGGTGATCCAGATAAACTCATAGGCGATGCAGAACCCTTCCTGGAACTCCCCTCAGGCAGGAGGCACAACTTCTGAAAGCCACTCTTCAGGGCGACATCGAGGGGCTTCTAAAGCAAATTTGTCCAGAGACCTACAGGGTTAAACGTCTGAAAAACAAGCGTTAGGGCAGTCCTATGAGACCAAAAGCAGACTCCAGGAAACAGTGAGAGAACTGCAAGAGTTTACTTTGTGTGGATCAGATGAAGGGGGTGTTTGGGTAGGTGGGTAGTAAAGGAAACCAGACTATGTTACCCCTTGATATGGTCTGTCTGTGTCCCCACCCAAATCTTATCTTGAATTGTAGCTCCCATAATTCCCACGTGTTGTTGGGGGGTACCCAGTGGGAGATCATTGAATCATAGAGGTGGTTTCCCCCATACTGTTCTTGTGGTAGTGAGTAAGTCTCACGAGATCTGATGGTTTTATAAGGGGATTTTTAAGGGGAAATTCCTTTCGCTTGGCTCTCATTCTCCCTCTTGCCTGCTGCCATGTAAGACCTGCCTTGATTGTGAGGCCTCTCCAACCATGTGGAACGGTGAGTCCATTAAACCTCTTTTTCTTTATAAATTACCCAGTCTTGGGTATGTCTTTATTAGCAGTGTGAAAATAAACTAACATACCTCTAAATATGCCTTTCTGATATAAAAATTATTTTTGAACTGAAGGTAATTAAGAAACAGCAAATGGAGAAATAGTTTTCTCTATCTTTCCCCCTTTCTTCCTAAAGACAGATAAAAATTCATCTTTACTGGAAATGACTCTAGACTCTTATCAACCCAGAGATGGCATCAGAGGAATATGCAAACAAGCCTTATTCCTTTAGTTTCCTCCCATATATTTACCTTCCATGATTTCCTGCCCTTGGAAGCATAAAACCACTTCCCTTGTCCCGATCCATGATTTTCCTGCTAATTTATTGCTCTTTACTAAAGGTAAGTGGAGTTCTAAGGCACCATTTTGAGTTACTTTTCATGCAGGTTTCTCCTGTGTGAAGTGCATGGCCCATGTTGTAAGCTGATTTTTCTCTTGTCTGTCTTTTGTTACAGGAGTCTATCCCAAAAAAGAACTAAGATGGGAAGAAGTCAAGTTTAGCCTCCCCCCACAGTAGTACAGAGGTAGGAAAAAAAGGGCTTTCCAAGTCCTTGCAACATACACACACACATATGCACATGCACACACAGGTGCAAATTTCTCGCTGATTTCCAGACATCCCTCCTGCCTTGAACTTTAAAGACATCTTTCTATTGTGTTATGGCTTATGTGATTTCTTCTTTTTAAACTTCTAATTTAGAAATAACTTTAAACTTAAAAAAATTTGCAAAAATCATGGTCTCCACATCTACCCTTCACCCAGCTTCCAAAAATATGAAAATATCATATGACTATAATACATAACCACAGTGTATTAGTCCATTTTCACGCCGCTGATAAAGACATACCCGAGACTGGGAAGAGAAAGAGGTTTAAATGCACTTACAGCTCCACGTGGCTGGGGAGGCCTCAGAATCATGGTGGGAGGCAAAAGGCACTGCTTACCTGGTGGCGGCAAGAGAAAATGAGGAAGACGCAAAAGCAGAAACCCCCAATAAAGGCATCAGATCTTGTGAGACTTATTCACTATCACAAGAACAGTATGGCGGAACCACCCCCATGATTCAAATTATCTCCCACTGGGTCCCTTCCCACAACATGTGGGAATTATGGGAGTACAATTCAAGATGAGATTTGGGTGGGGATACAGAGCCAAACCATATCATTCCGCCTCTGGCCCTGCCAAATCTCATGTCCTCACATTTCAAAACCAATCATGCCTTCTCAACAGTCCCCCAAAGTCTTAACTCATTTCATCATTAACCCAAAAGTCCACAATCCAAAGTCTCACCTGAGATAAGGCAAGTCCCTTCTGCCTATGAGCCTGTAAAATCAAAAGCAAGCTAGTTACTGCCTAGATACAATGGGGTTACAGGTATTGGGTAAATACGGCTGTTCCAAATGGGAGAAATTGGCCTAAACGAAGTGGTTACAGGGCCCATGCAAGTCTGAAATCCAGCAGGTCAGTCAAATTTTAAAGCTCCAAAATGATCTCCTTTGAGTCCAGGTCACGTTGATGCAAAAGGTAGCTTCCCTTGGTCTTGGGCAGCTCTGCCCCTGTGGCTTTGCAGGGTACAGCCTCCCTCCTGGCTGCTTTCACGGGCTGGCGTTGAGTGTCTGTGGCTTTTCCGGATAAATGGCGCAAGCTGTCGGTGGATCTACCATTCAGGGGTCTGGAGGACGGTGGCCGTCTTCTCACAGCTCCACTAGGCAGTGCCCCCATAGAGATTCTGTATGGGGGCTCCAACCCACATTTTCCTTCTGCATTGCCCTAGCAGAGGTTCTCCATGAGCACCCCGCCCCTGTAGCAAACTTCTGCCTGGGCATCCAATCATTTCTGTACATGTTCTGAAATTGAGGCGGAGGTTCCCAAACCCTAATTCTTGACTTCTGTGCACTCGCAGGCTCTACCACGTGGCAACTGCCAAGGCTTGGGGCTTGCACGCTCTGAAGCCACGGCCTGACTCGACGTTGGCTTCTTTCAGCCATGGCTGGAATGGCTAGGACACGGGGCACCACGTCCCTAGGCTGCACACAGTACGGGGACCATGAGCCCAGCCTACAAAACCATTTTCTCCTAGACCTCTGGGCCTATGATGGGAGGGGCTGCCATGCAGACCTCTGACATGCCCTGGAGACATTTTCCCCATTGTCTTGGGGATTAACATTCTGCTCCTCATTACTTACGCAAATTTCTGCAGCCAGCTTAAATTTCTCCTCGGAAAATGGGTTTTTCTTTTCTACCACATTGTCAGGCTGCAAATTTTCCAAACTTTTTTGCTCTGCTTCCCTTATAAAACTGAATGCTTTGACAGCACCCAAGTCATATCTTGAGTGCTTTGCTGCTTAGAAATTTCTTCTGCCAGGTACCCTAAATCATCTCTCTCAAGTTCAAAGTTCCAGAAATCTCTAGGGCAGGGGAAAAGTGCCACCAATCTCTTTGCTAAAACATAACAAGAGTCACCTTTGCTCCAGTTCCCAACAAGTTCCTCATCTCGATATGAGACCACCTCAGCCTGGACCTTATTGTCCATATCGCTATCAAGCTTTTGGTCAAAGCCATTCAACAAGTCTCTAGGAAGTTCCAAACTTTCCCACATTTTCCTATCTTCTCCTGAACCCTCCAAACTGTTGAAACTTTGCCTGTTACCCAGTTCCAAAGTCGCTTCCACATTTTTGGGTATCTTTTAGGCAGTGCACCACTCTACTGGTACCAATTTACTGCATTAGTCTGTTTTCACGCTGCTGATAAAGACAAACCTGAGACTGGGAAGAAAAAGTGGTTTAATTGGACTTACAGTTCCACATGACTGGGGAGGCCTCAGAATCATGGTGGGAGGTGAAAGACACTTCTTACATAGTGGTGGCAAGAGAAAATGAGGAAAATGCAAAAGCGGAAACCCCTGATAAATCCGTCAGATCTTGTGAGACTTATTCACTATCATGGGAACAGTATGGAGGAAACTGCCCCTGTGATTCAAATTATCTCTCACCAGGTTCCTCCCACAACATGTGGGAATTATGGGAGTACAATTTAAGATGAGATTTGGGTGGGGACACAGAACCAAACCATATCACATAGTATAATGGTCAAAACCAGGAAATTGCAGTGATTCTGTATATTGTCATTATTCAAGCTTTTTTTCAGTTGTCCTACCAATATCCTTTTTTCTTGTACAGGGTCCAATCCAGGAACCCAATGTTGCATTGGGTTGTCACATTTCTTCATTCTCCTTGAGTATGGCACAGCTTCTCAGGTTTTGTCTTTCTTGACCTATGACCTTTTGAAGAATACTGGCTAGATATTTTGTAGAACGTCTTTCAATTTGGAATTTTCTGATATTTTACATGTCAACTTTAGGTTGTACGCGTTGGGCACAAATATGGCAGAGGTAATATGCCTTTCTTTGTGTATCATTTCAGCTGGCTGGCATAATTTCTGATGAGAAATCAATCCTTATTTTGATCTTTGTGCCCTGTATGTAATATATCCTTTTTTCTAGCTGCTTTTAAGATTTTCTCTTTATCTTTAGTTTTAAGGAATTTGATTATTAAAATTGATTTTTAATTATTGATTATTAAAAGAGCACCTTGGCTGGTGTTCTTTCTCCTGCTTTGGGCTTGTTGAATTTCTTGGAACTGTGAATTTATAGTTTTCATCATGTTTAGAAAATAATTTAACCATTATTTCTTAAAATATTTTCCTGTCCCCTAAACTGCCCCCTTCTGGGGCTCCAATTTCATGTGGTGATGTAATGGTGAGGGCTTAGGTCATGTGTAGTTTTATGTGCACTACTGCTGATTTTATAGCTTGTTGGGGTGATGTGTAAGAAATATTCATGCAGCTACCATTATCCTACAGTCAACCAGAATTTTATGACTTATAGAATAAATTAGCTATTTAAGGATATGAATGGCAAGATTTTTGGCACTTTGTTATTTGCCTTTTAAATTTGATTATACTTTTAAAAATGTTTGTGTGGTTGAATGTATCTATCTTTTCTTTAGTCATTTCTGGATTTATAGCATTCTTAGATAAGTCTTTCTCATTATGAGATTATTTTTAAAACATTCATTATATACTTTTTATTTTAGGATTTCAATTTTTTATATAAATCTTTGATCTATCAGGAATTGATCCTGGTGTAAGGATGACAGTGATTCTAATTTACACTGTCTTTCAGCTGGCTACCCGATTGTCCCCAAACATTTTAAATAAATGTTTTAACACAGTTTGTTTGCCCCATTTATTTGAGATGCGTTTTTTTTTTTTTTAAGAGAAGTCTCATTCTGGTGCCCAGGCTGGAGTGCAGTGGCGTGATCTCAGCTCATTTCAAGCTCTGCTCCTGGGCTCAAGCAATTTTCATGCGTCAGCCTGCTGAGTAGCTGGGGCTACAGGCGTGTGCCATCATGCGTGGCTAATTTTTTGTATTTTTAGTAGAGACGGGGTTTCACCATGTTGGCTAGGTTGGTCTCAAACTCCGGACGTCAACTGATCCACCTGCCTTGGCCTCCCAAAGTGCTGGGATTACAGGTGTGAACCACTGTGCCTGGCCTGAAATGCCACTTTTCGTTTAAAAATGAAAATTTTAAAACTGTATTGGTTAGCTTATAAAAGTCAATGATGTAAAAAGCATACTAAAAAAACAAAAACAGAAACAAAAACAAAAAAATGAGTAAGACGCATCTACAACCATCTGATCTTTGACAAACCTGACAAAAACAAGAAATGGGGAAAGGATTCCCTATTTAATAAATGGTGCTGGGAAAACTGGCTAGCCATATATAGAAAGCTGAAACTGGATCCCTTCCTTACACCTTATACAAAAATTAATTCAAGATGGATTAAAGACTTAAATGTTAGAACTAAAACCATACAAACCCTAGAAGAAAACCGAGGCAATACCATTCAGGACATAGGCATGGGCAAGGACTTCATGTCTAAAACACCAAAAGCAATGGCAACAAAAGCCAAAATTGACAAATGGGATCTAATTAAACTAAAGAGCTTCTGCACAGCAAAAGAAACTACCATCAGAGTGAACAGGCAACCTACAGAATGGGGGAAAATTTTTGCAATCTACTCATCTGACAAAGGGCTAATATCCAGAATCTACAAAGAACTCAAACAAATTTACAAGAAAAAAACAAACAACCCCATCAAAAAGTGGGCGAAAGATATGAACAGACACTTCTCAAAAGAAGACATTTATGCAGCCAACAGACACATGAAAAAATGCTCATCATCACTGGCCATCAGAGAAATGCAAATCAAAACCACAATGAGATACCATCTCACACCAGTTAGAATGGCAATCATTAAAAAGTCAGGAAACAACAGGTGCTGGAGAAGATGTGGAGAAATAGGAACACTTGTACACTGTTGGTGGGACTGTAAACTAGTTCAACCATTGTGGAAGACAGTGTGGCGATTCCTCAAGGATCTAGAACTAGCAATACCATTTGACCCAGCCATCCCATTACTGGGTATATACCCAAAGGACTGTAAATCATGCTGCTATAAAGGCACATGCACACTATGTTTATTGCGGCACTATTCACAATAGCAAAGACTTGGAACCAACCCAAATGTCCATCAATGATAGACTGGATTAAGAAAATGTGGCACATATATACCATGGAATACTATGCAGCCATAAAAAAGGATGAGTTCGTGTCCTTTGTAGGGACATGGATGAAGCTGGAAACCATCATTCTCAGCAAACTATCACAAGAACAAAAAAACAAACACCGCATGTTCTCACTCATAGGTGGGAATTGAACAATGAGAACACTTGGACACAGGAAGAGGAACATCACACACTGGGGCCTGTTGTGGGGTGGGGGGAGGGAAAGCATTAGGAGATATACCTAATGTAAATGACGAGTTAATGGGTGCAGCACACCAACATGGCACATGTATACATATGTAACAAACCTGCATGTTGTGCACATGTACCCTAGAACTTGAAGTATAATTAAAAAAAAGAAAAGAAAAAGCTAAAAAAAAAAGAAAAAATGAATAAGACGAATTCAATCATTCACCAAACAGAAACAGTGTTCCTGGCGCTGTAGGGGGTAGTATCATATTAGCGCAGTGTTAGGGCAACTGCCATAAGATGGCCCAACCCCAGCCTCTACCTGGGGTTTTGCTTCAGTGCATGTTGCTTTTGCAATAAGAAAGGAAAACCAATGAATGTTGGAACTGATTCTGTGTTACTCTCTTTTCACACTGCCATGAAGATACTACCTAAGACCAAGTAATTTATAAACAAAGGAGGTTTAATTGACTAATGGTTCCACATGGCTGGGGAGGCCTCAGGAAACTTACAATCATGGCGGAAGGGGAAGCAGACACATTTTACTGGCAGCAGATGAGAGGGACAGTGTGTACAGGAGGAAATGTCAAACAATTATAAAACCATCAGATCTCATGAGAACTCACTATCATGAGAACAGCATGGGGGAAACTACCCCCATGATCCAATCACCTCCCTCCCTGGACACATGGGGATTACAGGCTTCTCCCTCCACATATGAGGATTATAATTTGAGATGAAATTTGGGTGGGGACACAGAGCCAAACCATATCACACACATCTGCTGAGTCTCCTCCTATCTTTCTAGAGTAAGACTCCACTGTTCACCCACAACAGGCTTCCAGCGTCAGCTGCTCTGGTGGGGGCCCAGAAATGTCCAACCCCTGCCCCGCCCCCCCCGCCCCAGGAAACTTTAAAGACTAGAAACCTTAAAAGACCTTCAGTATCTTAGCTCTCATGGACCTGGCTGGGATTCTGTCCCTTTCCCACATACCTCCCTGCACCGCCCTGACCCCTAAGACCCATGACAAATTAAAGATGCCACATTCGTCTGCAGTTGTCAGGGCTGTTAAATCAAGTTTAGCCTAATGCGGCCTCCTTACATATTTTAAATTTGGCCTAAAGATTTCTCAGTACATCATGAACTATAACAAGTAGAGGGACGAACAGACCATAGCCTACACTTGTGCCAGTCACCGAGTTTTGGCTGATCAAAAGTAGCCAAATAAGACAAACATCAACCTATAACCAATCCGGCTGTTTCTGTTCCTCTCTTCTGTTTTCTGTACATCACTTTCCTTTTTCTGTCTGTAAATCTTCTTCCACCACGTGGCTGCACTGGAGTCTCACAGCTGAGGAGGCTGTCCGATTTGCGAATCATTCATTCCTCATTTATACTTTAGATTTAGTTCAGCTGAAGTTTGTCTTTTATTAGGGAAGAGGGGAGGGTTTGTTGGCCAGAGGAGTTGCTCCTCCTGTGGCAGTACCAGGTGTTATGACCTGAATGTTTGTGTCTCCCCAGATTGATACATTAAAACCAAATCCCAAAGTTGATGGTGTTAGAGTTAGAGCTTCTGGGAGGTGATTAGGTCATGGGTAAAACTCTCATGAATGCGATTAGGACCCTTATAAAAGAGGCCCCAGAGAGCTTTCTCTGCTCTTTCTGCCTTGTGAGGACACAGCCAGAAGATGCCACCCCTGAACCAGGAAGCGACCTTCCCCAAAACCCAACAAGGCTGGCTTCTGATCTCAGACTTCCAGCCTCCAGAACTGTGAAAAATGCATTTCTGTTGTTCATGAGCCTGTGGTGCTTTGTTATGGCAGCCCACATGGATGAAGATGCCAGGCCTGGGGATTTGCAAACACCACTTTAACACAGTAACCTCCAGAACGCCCCTGCCCTTCTCTTTAACCACACCGGTCATCAGAGTCGCAATGACATTTATTAAAAGATGCCTAAAGTTAGACACAACTCTGGTTGGAGGGAGAAGAACTTGGAGGAGATTGGGGGAAACCTCCCGCTCTCCAAAACATTTCTGTGGGATCCCTGGTTCCCAAAGTCAGACAGTGCTGAGGCTCTGGGTGGGTGGTCTCTTACACTGGGTTCATAACCCTCGCCAGGAAAAGGCTGCTCCAGGTGAAGTGGTCGAAGATCATGATGATGAAGGGCTGGTTGAAACGCAAGATGATAGGCTTGGACGTCAGGTTTAGGGTGACCCCAGTGGAGCCAGCTGTGTCCACACCCTCCTCATTGAGTTGCAGCACAGCTTTATGGACCACCTGTTAGGTACAGAATGAAGATGGGTAGTGAGACCTGCTGTGCGTTCTCGCTTTCCTGACTCATTGCTGGGACCCTTCACATCCTTGGTTTTAGGAAGGTAAATCCAGGGTCAGAGAAGGTCACTTGCTGGATTCTTATCCAAGTGGCAGCCCCAGGATTACACAGCCCAAGTCTGTCCACCTCCAGAACCTGGGCCGCACCTACACTTCCTATTCAAAGGGCAGATTGGGCCCATCACATGGAGATTAGAAGTCTCATGGCTTGAACTGGGCTTCACTGTCCATGTTGGGCGCTTCTTACCATCCTGGGGTAGCGGAGGGAGATCTTGCTCCCTTTCCACTCTGCTGGGTAAATGCTAGGGTTCAAGTTATGCAAAGTGCCTATGTCTGTTCTGTTTGGGAAAGCTGAGGCAGAATCTAAAAATGTAAATCTTTGACTGTTGATATGTCCTTGTTGTGATCAAAATTAGGAGGAGTTCTGAAGTCAGCAAAACGTCTGCCTAGCTTGTATCAAAAGACTCTGGTAACTCATAACCTGGCTAAATAAGTAACAGGTGATATTGGTGAGCTCACAACACCCTAAGGGGTGGGAACTTCCAGCGACTCTTTCCAGCAAGCACACTCAGGCTCTGGTGGCTCTGTGAGTGGCACCCATGGCTAGGAAGAAGCTGAGCTGGGATTGGAACCCCTGCAGTGTGTCTTGAGCAGATGAGGTTTTGAGTCAACAGGCCTGAGATCAAACATCAAACTGTTATTTACTAGCTCTGTGACTGTGGGGAAGCTGCATACCCTCCCTGAGCAGGAGATTCCTCATCTGAGAAATTGGGATAATACCTGCCTTCTGAGAAGGCAGCTGTGTTGACTCAATCCACTCACACAGCACGCATTTTACTGAGCACATATTACGTGCCAGGTACCACGGAGGCCACAAAGTCCTGTGTCTTGAGGTCAGGGGCCACACATCTGAGTAACGGGGGCATACACAGGGCCTACACAGTTTGGGATATATAGTAGGTGTTCAGTAAACATTTTCTGAATGCATGAATAACAGAACATAAAGCTGAAGGATTTATGTAATTGAATGGATGTAATTGGGTAGAAGGCTCAATATGATCCCAATTAGACATTTACCACTTTTCCTGTTTCTTTTTGCCAGGGGCCACTCACAGCTCTGCCATGACAACTTGGTTTTCACAGTTCCCCTCTGTGTGGTCTGGTGGGATGGGTAGGTGCCTGGCCTGTGGCCCTCCTGTGTCGACAGCTTCCTGTGTGATCTTGGGGATGTCATGTTTTCTTGCTGAGCCTCCATTTACCTCATGGTGAGACAAGGGGCTTTGACTCAACCTGGGGTTCTCAGCCAGGGACCTAGAGGCTCATTCATGAACGAACTCAGTGCCACTTCCTAGTATTATATTTATATTGTGAATTTTGGAGGGGGAAGAAAAGGTGGGTTCCCATGACATTTACCTTTGATGACTTCAGCTGGGCGTCCTGGGTGATGCGTGAGAAATTTGCCTGGTTGGTGAACAAGTCTGCAATGCCCATTTCCTCCAGCACATCTCCGAGGTCATAGACTCCAGAGATGGTGACCTTTGGAATGTACAGGTCCACCTGGCTGCTCGGGGTAAGCAGACAGAGTTAGACATTCCAGGGCTGGGCCTGGCAGAGGGGAGAGCAGCACCTCTTCTCCTGGCCAGACTCTTATTTCCTCATGCGCTCCCTCCAGCTCCTGCCCTCCAGCCTGACTTGCTCTTTGTGGGTAGGAGAAGGGACAGAGCAGGAGGCAGGATCTGTCTCTGCCTCCATGACACAGGCAGCTTTCCCACGGGGCCTCTGAATTGCACATTCTTTTCTTCTCTGCAATTCCTTCGAGCTGATTCCACCTGGGATGCAGCTGGACCATGGAGCATTTAAGACAATAGTCCATAATGAAGCCTTTTTAGTCCCAGGAGAACCCCTGCTAGAAGCAGAGGACTGGAGGGAGTGCCCAGCTGGGAGCAGTGGTCCCTGGCTCCAGCTGTGCCACTAATGCTGTGTGGCCTTTGCCAAGTCCAGCCCCTCTCTGTGCTAATGTCCTCACCTGCACACAAAGGTGGTTGAACACAGGCTCTCCCAGGGCAGGTGGGTGCGAAATCTCTGTGATTCTGCAAGAATCTGATTCAGCTGGCAGTTTCTACCAGATGAAGCAGGTGGGGTTTCTAGAAAGGTAAGTGGGGTCACACTAGGGGCAGCACGGGCATCTACGCTTTTTAACATGTCAAGGCCTTAGTGTTATTTTTAAATTCTTCTTGTGCCTTCTCCCCAGAGGGAGAGCAGATGTCTAAAACACTGAAACTGAGGGGTGTCAGTGAACTCGCACCGGCTCTCTTGGCAGATGGGAGGGAAGGCACGAGACCCTCTCCTCACTGAGCAAAAGCAGCCCTGAGTGAGGCCCGGAGGCTGGCAACCATCCTGCGTGAAGTGGAAGCCGCCCTTTTCTAAAGGAGAGGGAGAAGAACCAGAGGCGAGTCGGTGTGTACCTTCTCCAGGTGCGGAAATAGTAACAGAAAGAAAGGAAGGGAGACCAATTTATCCCAAACACCTGGTCTATGTTCTTTACTTTTTTTTTCTCCTCTCTCTGTCTCTCTCACACATGCATGTGCACACACACACATACGCACCTATGAAGTCGGAATCAACATCTTTAATTTCCAGGTTGAGAGACCAACACTTAAGAGAGGTTGAGGAATTCCCCCAAAGTCACACAACTGGGAGGCAACAGAACTGAAAAGGCCAGGACTAGTTTTGCCATCTGCCGCCTGCTGCGTTGTTGACAGCTCTCTGAGAGCAAGGTGATGGGGCTTTAAGTTATGTATTATTGATTAATGTTGCTCACATTGAAGTATTTTCATGAAAAGATTATTTTTGGTGTAAAGAAAGATAGATAGTCCTTCCCGTCATTTTCAGTGGAGTATGAGCTGGAATGCATTGTTTGCATCATGGTGCGTTATCACCCCCTTGTGGTATTACACCTAAATTACAGGTTTTCTTTGGTGGGTAGAAAGGAGGAAGAGATGGCAAATGGATCCCTAGCATCGCCCAGACACAGGTTCACACCCACGCATATATATGTGTACACACTCAAGCGTAGTTATGGATGGTTTAAGAACTGTGTCCTCCACATAGCTATAGGGGATTGCTCAGAAACACAGGGCTGACTACATGACTTCCCTACAGGAGAGAAGTCAAATTCCCAGACACTTCCATGTGCATTCACAGAACTGGATGAACTTCTCTAGAAGCACCCAGCATCAAATAGATCTCTGAAGGTATCATTCAAAATGAAAACAATCTGAAACCATAAACCACAAAACCTACATGTTAATAAAGTAGAGGAGCTTCCTCCTAGATTATCTACTGCAAAATTTTTAGACCACAACATTTGTCCAAGCCAAATTTGTCTTCATTACTGCTGGCCCTGCATTGTTGGCACTCTGGGCATGGTCCCCTGACTTCATGTCGGGTCTGGAGGCCACTTCCCCCTGGCTGAACTTCCATTCACACTCAAAGCAGTTTCAAGGGAAAACAACCTGCTCTGCAGCCCTTCCCCATTCCCGGGCAGAGTCAGGCATTCCCACCTCCCAACCAGTGGCATGTTACATATCTCTGTCTGTCTCTCTCAGAACTCACATTGTCGTACCACTATTAATTCCACCAGAATCTGTTTTCTGCTCTAGAGTGCATGTCTTTAAGGGCTCTGTTTTGTCCTATTCACCACTCCATCCCCTGTGCTTAGCTAGGGCATGGTACATAGCAAGTGCTTCCGTTTATGTGCATTGAATGAATGAGCGAATGAAATGCACATTGAATGAATGAATGAGTGAGTGAGTGAATGAAATGCTGCCTGATCCACCAGCCTTCCTGAGCTACTCCAGATCTACATTCCCACTCTCTCCTCAGCATCCCCCCTGCTTCTGAGTCTGCATCAGCCCCCCTGCCACCAGGTTTCATGCTGGTTGGCATTTTCTGACCCTTCTGCACAGATGGAACTTGAATCTCCCTGAGAGTGAGGACCATGTTCTAAGAACACCTCCTTCCTCCTTTAAGGTGAGGAGCAGGGCTGCGCACTTGCATGACAATAATTTCAATTACTGTCTAGCTCAGGGGTGCTTAGGGGGAAAATCTCATTTGTTTGTGCATCTGTCCATCCATCCAACCATCCACCCATCCATCCGCTCACTCATGCATCCATTTACTTATTCATTCATCCATTCATTTACTCATTCTCCATTCACTCACTCACCCATCCATTCACTCACTCACCATTCTATGCACTCACTCACCATTCTATGCACTCACTCACTTATTCATCCATTAATTCACTCACTCATTCATTCTTCCATCCATTCACTCACCCATCCATTCATTCAGGCATTCATTCATTCATTGCTGACTCACATCCTCAGCTGACCTTGCCTGAGTGTCAACCCTGCACCAGCCCCTTGCTTGGGCCTGAGGTCAGAGATAGAGGGAATCCATTGGCCGCTTCTCCTCCTGGCTACTGCCTCTTCAGGATATGCAGCCCTTGCTTTCTTTCTACTTACTCGCTTATTACCTACTTTAGCCTTGCTTTCTTAGTTGTTTACTGATGATTGATTGATTGAAGAGTTAGATGCCCTGAGTAACTTAAGAACCATTCATAGATTTTGCATTGGCTCCATGATGTATACATTTCATTATCATTTTCATTATATTTCTATGGGGTCTTCCAAGAATCTTTAGCAGGGCGTGGTTTCAGGTAAGCAAGATAACAAAACAGATAAGTGTGTAGCTGGGTGGTTGGTGAACTTACTTTAAGAAAATGCTACAAAAATATGACAATGCAGAGGGTATGTATGAACCTCACAGGGAAAGGGAACCTCACTCTGTGAAATGCCCCAAAGTATTTCAGTGTTGATGGACAGATCAATAAATAAGCGTGAGCTCTAGATTAGGGAAACTTACAGCCTTTGGGGGCCCAGCAGACAGGAAAACTGAGCCCTGGAGGGTGAGTCCAGGGAAGGAAGGATGCCCCAGCATACTCCCTTTCCACGTGCCCCACTTTCTGGGGACACGTGCATTGCAGAAATCAACATGATGGCTGGAGGACTTACCTGCTGGTCAGGCCTGCGGACCACCTGTTAATCGTGTCCCGGCTCAGTGCAGCGATGACTGTGTTCATCTTCCCCTTGTCCGGAAGGATGAAGAAGACAGTCCCATTGCCCACGTAGTTCATCTGCACCAGCTGGCAGGGGAGCTCCGAGTCATGAAGGTAACTGATGGTGCTCGACTGCAACATCATGGGCACCTTCACCACAGTTGTCTCGTCCACATAGAAGTTCTCCTCCCTGGTGCTTGCCAGGTCAAAGGGCTGTGTCCATGTGCCTAGGAAGAGGAGGAGACAGGTCTGTAGGGCAGAGAGGAAAACACAGTTCCAGGTGATCTCACGGGCCTACTATCCAAGTGACACAGTGGCCTTCTGCATGCTTGGAATGTCCCCATTCAAGCCTCAAGGGTTTTTAGGTAAGATATAAAAATTCCCAGAAATTTAAATCCTGTTTCATCCTCTACTTCTTGGAATGGGTTGAGGATGAGCTCTGTTTCTGAGACTGGCTTCTAAACAAGGAAGTAGGGAGAGACCAAGAGGGTACTGGTCCTTGGATTTGGGGGTAGGTCAGACTGTGCCTTGGCTCCCCATGCCTAGAGTGGGTCCCAGTTCTGAGGGCTCTGGAAGTGGTGCTAGACCTCAAGTCTCAAACTCAGAGTCCCTGGTGGGAAGCGAGGGGGCCATCTCCACCCCTGCCAGCCTGGCCGGCCCAGCTGAGGCTCCTGACCCTGCTGAATGGTCCTTCCTTCTAGGCCACGTTGTCCTAATGAAGAGTCAGGGTGAGAAGACTCCTTCAGGGTCACAGACTCCCACCCCCAGCAGGCCCTCAAGTCCCATCTACCATGTTCCAGGGTGCCACCATCCAGCTTGTTTTTTTGCCTTGAGATGGAGAGCTCACTACCTTCACAGATGGGACTTGGCGGTACTCGTCAGCTCTGATGGGAAGAAAATTGCTCCTCAGACTGAGCCAAAGCCTGCCTGATTGTCCGCCACCAGCAGGACCTCTTCTGTTCTTCTGAACTTATTCCAGACAACTGAGTCCACCTGCAGGAAACTTACCTGGGCTGAGTGTCACAGGGTCTCTCTGCTCTAGGTGACGTCTCCCCAGTCTTAAAGTGATGACTGAGGCCCTTGAGTCCAGCAGATCCCAGGTGTCCTGGCTGCCATTGACCACAAGCCCTGAAGCCCTTGCCAGGCCACCATTTCCCAGCCCAGGCTCCCTAAAGGTGGCCAGAACATCACTCCAGGTAGCCCTTTCTCCATCCTACTGTCTGTGGGATCTATGGATTGCTCAGCCAAAATTCTTGGTTCTAAGCCAGCCACAAACCTTTTGTAATAGCTACTTATGGAGACAACAGGGAGAGGCTGATGGATGTAGAGAAATCAGCCATGGCTGCGGAGTCTAGAGACACCAGAGCTATGCTGGTCCCTTCTTAATGACCTCACTAACCTTGATGTCTGCAGACACTGGCCAATGGTAGTAAACTCACCGTCCGTCTGTCTCACGGCAAATGAGATTATTTGAGGGTTCTCAAATCATCCTCCAAAGGAGGTCTAAAATCCTCAGAACCAGAGGGCAGTTGTATTTTGTGGCTAACTTACAGCAAAAAAACAAAGTGGGTAAAATATTTTTCATTGTTAGGTTTTTTTCGTCCTTAACATTTTGCTGCTTGCTTTTTATGGAGTATTTCTTTTCTAGGAGTAAGCATAATGTATATAGTTTGACACAAAACAAAATACAAAATGGGGTTCAGCCTCTACTTTAAGGGATCTATTCTCAAAAAGTTCTAGGAGAATTGGTGGTAGAGAAAGAATTTATTGGGGACGATCTGAGAGAGCAAGGATGGCTCCTCTGGAAAATCTTTTAACAATATTTTTAATGTTATTAAAAAAAAACTGTCAAGAAAGTCCGATAAATAACACATCAGGTGCTGGGTGCGGTGGCTCACACCTGTAATCCCAGCACTTTGGGAGGCCGAGGCGGGTGGATCATGAGGTCAGGAGATCGAGACCGTCCTGGCTAACGTGGTGAAACCCTGTCTGTACTAAAAATACAAAAAAATAAAAAAATTAGCCGGGTGTCATGGCAGGTGCCTGTAGTCCCAGCTACTCAGGAGGCTGAGGCAGGAGAATGGCATGAACCCGGGAGGCGGAGCTTGCAGTGAGCCAAGATTCTGCCACTGCACTCCAGCCTGGGCAACTGAGCAAGACTCCGTCTCAAAAAAAATAAAAATAAATAAATAAATAAATAACACATCAGGGCCATTTTACATATTCTACATTTAGTGATAATACCTACACTAATCTTGATTTCTGTTTATTATCCTGGCTTGCTAGAAATATTTCAGAGTATTTTGCCAAAAGTTTTAACCAAACACTCACGGATTCGTTTTGTTGTATTATAGAAAATCTGTGTACAATGAGGCATTTCATCTCCATCAATGTCTGGTCCTGCATTCAGGTGTTCCAAGTTTCTCTGATTTTGTAACCTAAAGCTGTGATCTCCTATCCACTTAGCCCCACTGTGGTCCTGAGGACACTGTGAAACCTCGTACAGAATGACACCAGGCCAGCACCCGTTCCACCAACACCCATTCCACCACATGTGCTCAGGCATCTCTCAGGCTCAGGAGGGCCCTCCCTGCACCTGGGTTTACTGTGCCTTTTCCCCAGGTTGTGTTGCCTGAACCTCTGTGCAACCACTGCTGAGCTTGTTCCATGCACCAAGCATTAAACAAGGGCACTGGAATCTCCCAAAGAGACAAAGATACCCTGCACAAGAGTGCACAGTCTCGTGGGGGAGATGGTCTATGGAATTTGTGGGAGCACACAGAAGAGTTTCTGGGCAAATGTTCCCAGCCTCCCTGGCCCTCCCATAGTCAGGTGTTAGGAAGGCTGCCTTTGCCTGGTCAGCCTCTCAGCCTCACCATCCTGCGAAGAGGGCGGCCTCTCCTGGGAGTTCCCAGCCTTGTGCTGGAGAGCAGGAAAGACCCAGAGGCAGGTAGAGAAGAAGGACTCGTAGAGATGCTAAGGCAGTCCAGGCAGTAAGGAGGTGCGGGATGGGAGGGGAGGTGGGCACAGTCTGATGGGAGGTCCTGAGAGAGAGCTGGGGAGGAGGGGAAGGGGGCATGAGGGGTCCTGGCTGGGGATCACATCTCCTCTGATCTGATGATCTTGTCGAGAGACACATGTTCAGTAGAGATACTGGCTTAGTTTGCTTATTTTGGCTGTTTTACCTGCATTCCTTTGAATATGATTGCTTAACTGAAACTCAACCACCTGGGTGCTAAACAACATGTTATGGCAAGATGATTGCCCAAACAAGGCATGGGCAAACTGTTGAGCATGCATATGAGGGCAAAGTCTTTCCTGGGTGACTCTGGGGAGGCTTCACAGAGGAGGTGACTTTTGAGCTAAGATTTGAAGTGAGGGAAGATGTTTTAGGCAGTCAGATAAGTTGCAAGAGGGCTCATGAGACAGAAGAGGCCTGGGCTTTGTGGCAGGCAGAATAACAGCCCTCCAAAATGTCCACATTCTAATCCCCAGAACTTGAGAATATGTTAGCTTTCATGTCCAGGGGGAATTAAAGTTGTAGAGGGAATCATAATTGCTAATCGGCTGGCCTTGAGATGGGCAGCCTATTCTGGATCACCCAGGTGGGCCATTATCCAGTGTAATCCTGAGGGTTCTTGTAAGTCAAAGAGGAAGGCAGGAAAGTCAGAATCAGAGAGATGTGATGAGGGAAGCAGAGGTGGGAATTTGCAATTACTGGCTTTGAAAATAAGAGAGGCCCACAGGCCATGTGGCTTCTAGAAGCTGGAAAAAGCCTGGAAGTGCATTCCCCCCTAGAGCTTCCAGGTTTTTATGAACAGGAAGATTGAAAAACTGAAGCAGGACCTGGTCAGAGCAGTGTGTGCAGGATGGCTTTGGGGGCATCTGGGAGTTCCCAAGGGGCTGGGTGGGGTTCTGTCTAGTTCTAGGCCATTTTTCCAGTCCCTGGCCCAGTGCTTGACAGTCAGCATTTGTGGAGCATGAAGCAGCCAGACTGTTCATGGTTACAGGTGTGGGCCTCAAACCAACCTGCCAGAATGTAGGCACATTGTTCAACCCTTCTGGGTGTCATTTTGATCTTTTGTAAAATAATATAATTCCACCTACCCAGCAGGATTGTGGTGAAGATGGAGATTCCCAGATGTGTATGTGCTTTACAGAATCAAAGACTTTGCCCAAGAGTGTGCCCTGGATTTTAGCGGCTGTTATTCCTGGCCATAGTGGATGGGCCTTCAGATGGGGATGGGTGGGAATACCTTTGAAGAAGATATAGTTGACCAGGACGAGGATGGCTGGGCTATCCAGCCCTGAAAACAAGTCGACAATTTTCCCCTGTGTCTTATTCTTGACATAGCTGTTGATCTGTCTGCTGGCTGTTGCCCAGTCCTGGAAATTCATAGCCAAGACCTCTGACTCATAGTAGTGCTTGATGTCTGCTGAGAATGACTCCAGCAACTCCAGGCTGCCATCAAGAAACAAGGCATTGCCCATGGTCATTTCTAAGCTGGTGTCTGACTTTGCAAAGAGTTGGTGCAGGTGCTGGAAACCCTGGTGGATCTCAGTCTCAGACCTCTCAGTGAGGTTGAAACCCAGGCCCTGGAGAAGCTGGGCCCGTGTGTGGCCACAGGTGCCCAGGGACAGCATAGCTAAGGCCATGGAGATGCTCACAGGGGAGATGAAAATGTTCTTTTTGGGACTCAAGGCCACTAGGTGCTTATACAGGCTGAAGGCAAAGTCAACGTTGGCTGAAGCCAGGCCCCGGTGATGGTTACTCATGTTCACATAAGCAGCGTTAGGATCCATGGCCTGGACGGTCCAGAGGCCGCTGGTGGGCAGCCAGAGAAGACAGGTGTACAGGAGGAGTGGCATTGTCCAGTATAGCCAGGCCCTGCCAAATCAGAAAAGCTTGTTAGATGCTGTGGCAGTCTCTGAGTCAATGGGGCGTAGTGCAAGAGGAGGCAGGCAAAAGACCCCATTCAAGCCCCAGTTCCTTCCTCCACACTGGCTGTGTGACCTGGAGCACATCACAGAGGGCGCTGGACTTCAGTTTCCTCATCTGGAGATATGAATAACAGCCGTTATGATTTATCCAGTGCCTGACAGGTACCCAACACTGATCTAGGTAGTCTGGCTATATTCAGTCATCTAACCATTACCAAAACACTCCTAAAGCAAGTATTATTAACATGATTTTAGGCAGGCAGAAATAGGTGCTCAGAAAGGTTAAAACCCACCCAAAGGATATGTTCAAAATGCTGGAAGAAAAGCAAAACACAATTAAAGCATTCCCAGAAAAACAAAAGCTGAGTAAGCTTTTTTCCACAATACCTACCCTGCAAGAAATGAGAGGCATTTTATTTCGGATTGAAATGAAAGGACACTGGACAGTAACTTTAAGCTGAATGAAGAAATAAAAGACCTCTGGTAAAGGTAGATGCGTGGGCAATTATAAGTTATGTTTTTGGGCACATGATGTGTAGATATAATTTGTTACATCAGTAACTGGAAACAGGAACAGAGCTATAAGGAAGCAGAGCTTTTGTATGCTATTGAAGTAAAGCTGGTTATATCAAATATACTATGGACTAAATGTATTATGAGCATACATATTACATTTTGGTTTAATTTATTTTCTCTATTGTTTTTCTATTCTTGATTTTATTTATCTCTGCTCTAATCTTTATTATTTCCTTCCTTCTGCTATTTTTCAGTTTAGTTTGCTCTTTTTCTAGTCTCTAAATTATAAACAAAGACTAAAAATTATTTTTACACATTAGCCTTCTAAAATATGATCCAAATATATGCTGTCTACAAGAGACTCATTTTAGATCCAAAAATGTAAATAGACTGACTGAAAGTGAAAGGATGGAAAAGTTACCCCATGCAAATAGTAATCAAAAGAGAGCAGGGGTGACTACACTAATATTAGACAAAATAGATTTTGAATTAAAAAAGTTCCAAAAGACAGGGCAATGACATATTAATAAAGTTTTCAGTACAGCAAGAAGATATAACATTTTTGGTTCTTCATTTCCTATATTACTGTCCTTTTTTGTATTTAGTTTTTGTACTGAAATGCTTTTTTGTATTGAAACACTTTAATAATTCTATTCTCATCCCTTTGTGGTTATTATGGGGATTACATTAGCATCCTAAAGTTAACACCTGAATTTGAATATATGCCATTGTTTATTTGAGATCTTCTTGTTTTTAATGTGTTTACAGCTTTACATTTCTATCATCACACTGCTTTCACTCATTCCATAAGTTTTGGTATGTTGTGTTTCCATTTTCGTTTGTCTTTAAGTATTTTCTAATTCCCCTGGTGGTATCTTTTTTGATCCTCTGGTTGATAAAGAGTGTGTTGTTTTTTCCACAATTTGTAAAATTTCCAGTTTTCCTTCTGTTATTGATTTCTAACTGCATCTCATTGTGATTGAAGAAGATACTTAGTATGATATCTGTCTTTTAAAATCTATTGACTCTTGATCTGTGGCCTAACATAGGGTCTATCTTGGAGAATGTCCTATTTGCACTTGAGAAGAATGTGTATTCTGTTGTTGTAGGGTGTTCTGTATAGGTCTGATACATCTAGCTTTTAGTGTGATATTCAAGTTCTCTATTTTCTTACTTATTTTATGTCTGGTTGTTCTATCCATTATTGAGAATGAGATATTGAAGTGTCTAAATTGCTGTAGAACGATTTCACCCTTCAATTATGTCCATTTTTGCTCAATTTATTTTGTCCCAGACACACTCAAAAATAATGTTTTACCAGCTGCTAAGGTTTGAATGTTTGTGTCCCCACAAATTCATATGTGGAAACCTATTCATGGGGGCTCTACCCTCATAAAAGGAATTAGTGCCTACATAAAAGAGGCCTGTGGCAGTATTTCTGGAAGAAATTGGCATATGAATCAGTGGATTGAGTTAAAGACAGCCACCTTTACCAATATGGGTGGGCATTTTTAATCTATTAAAGGCTGAATGGAACAAAGAGGTAGGAGAAGGGCAAATTCTCTCTTCTGTCCCTGAGCTGGACATCTGTGTTTACCAGCCCTGAACACTGGGCCTCCTGCTTCTTGGACCTTTAAACTCTGGGACTTAAACCAGCAGCCTTATTAGGCCCTTTTCCTATTGTGGAGCTGCACCATTGGCTCCTCCGGTTGTCAGGCCTTCAGACTCAGACTGAATTACATGGCTGGCTTTCCTGGGTCTCCAGCTTGCAGATGGCAGATTGTGGGACTTCTCAGCTTCTGTAATTACATAAGGCAATTCCCATAATGCCTCCTCTTATATATATTTCTATATATCCTATAGATTCTGTTTCTCTGGAGAACCCTGACTAATATAATGGATTAAATTAATTTTGAGAGCCTACTAATAGGATTATATGCCATACCCAATTTGGATTTATTTCTGTAATGCAAGGATGTTTCAACATACAAAAATTGATCAGTGTAATACATCATATTAACAAAATAAAAGAAAAAATCACATGATCATCTTAATTGGTGCAGAAAAAAGTATTTGACATAATTCAACACACCCTCGCATGATAAAAACACACAGCAGATTGAGACAGTCAAGTGTAAAGAGGTGCCTGGAGAACATTCAGTTGGCCTGCACACTGGGAGAATGGGGTGGAGCTGTGGGAAGTTTGTGCCCTTTGCAGCGGGGAGGAGCTTGGCCTCTCTCTCCTGATCCGATGTGGTAATCTGGGGATTCAGTCAGTCAGATGAGGGCCTGTTAACAGGACTCTCTCTTGCTTTGCTGAGTTGTTTTCCTTTTCACCCAATAAATTCCATTTTATTCACACCTCAAAGTGTCTGTGAGCCTAATCTTTCATGGCCATGTGACAAGGACCCCGTGTTTAGCTGGACTAAGTAGAAAGTCCTACAACAAAATTAGTAATAGAAGAAAACTACCTCAACATAATCAAGACTACGTATTTATAAAACCTTTTATACTCAATAGTGAAAGACTGAAAGCTTTTCCCCGAAGATCAGGAACAAAACAAGGATGCTTGTTCTCACTACTTTTACCTAATATAGCACTGGAATTTCTAGCCAGAGCAATTGGGCAAGGAAAGAAAAGGTATCCATATTTGAAAAGAAGAAGTAAAATTGTCTGTGTTCACAGATGACATGATCTTATATGTTCAAAACCCTAAAAATTCTATAGAACTCATAAACACATTTAGCAAAGTTGCAAGATATAAAATCAAAACACTAACATCAATTGCATTTCCCACCACTAACAAAGAAAACAATTTGAAAAGGAAATTGAGAAAACAATTCCATTTACAATAGTATGATAAAGAATAAAATAGGGATTAATCAGGGAGGTAAGAGACATACACTGAAAAGTACAAAACAGTGCTGAAGGCAATTAAAGAGGACATAAATAAATGGAAAGACATCCTGCATTCATGGATTGGAAGAAATTGCTAAGATGATAATACTATCCAATGCAGTCTATAGATTCAATGCAATTCCTATCAAAATTCCAGTTCTGTATTTCACAGAAATAGAAAAATTTATCCTAAAATTTATATAAAAATCTCAAGGGACCTGGATAGCCAAAACAATACTGAAGAAGAACAAAGTTGAAAGTCTTGCACTTTCTGATTTCAAAATTTACTACAAAACTATAATAATCAAAACAGTGTGGTACTGGCATAAAGACATACATAGAGACCAATGGAATAGAATACAGAACCCAGAAATAAGCCTTTCATATGTAGTAAAATGATTTTGACAAGGATGCCAGACCATTCAATGGGGAAAAGACAGCCTTTTCAACAAGTGGTGCTGAAAATTTGGATATTTACATGCAAAATAATGAAATTGGACCTTTAACACCATATACAAAAATTAATTCAAAATAGATCAATGACCTAAAGATGAGTTAAAATTATAAAAATCTTAGAAAAAAACATGGGGGAAAAACTTCATGATGTTGGCTTTGGCAATGATTTCTTGAATATCACACCAAAGCCATGGGCAACAAAATAAAAAATAAACAAATTGGACTTCATCAAAATTGAAAACTTTGTTCATCAAAGGATACTATCAATAAAGTAAAAATGCAACTCACAGAATGGGAAAACATTTGCAAATTTCATATCTGATAAGGAATTGATATCCAGGATATATAAAGAACTCCTAAAACCCAAGAACAACAACAAAACAAATAAACCCAGTTAGAAATGGGCAAAGGACTTGAGTGGACATCTTTTCAGAGACAACATACAAATGGCCAGTAAGCACATGAAAAGATGCTCAGCATCACTAATCATTAGGAATATCAAAACCGCAATGAGATACCACTTTGTATCCACAGGGATGGCTACTAACAGACAAACAAAACAGAAAACAATAAGTTGGCACACCAGGCATGATGGCCCGTGCCTGTAATCCCAGCTACTCTGAAAGCTGAGGCAGGAGGAATGCTTGAGGCCAGGAGTTTGAGACCAGCCTAGGTAACATAGCAAGATTTCCTTTAAAAAAATTTTTTTTTTAATTTAAATGTTAGCATTGCATGTGGGGAAATTGGAACCCTTATGCATTGCTGGTAGGAATATAAAGTGCTACAATGTGTGGAAAACAATATGACAGTTCTTTAAAAATTAAACAAATTGTCATTTGACCCAACAATTTTGCTTCGAGTATATACACCAAAGAACTGCAAGCAGCTAGTCAAGGAACTTGAAAAGATAATTGTAGACCAAAGTCACAGCAGCATTATTCACCATAGCCAAAAGATGAAAACAACCCAAATGTCTATCAATGGATGAATGAATAAACAAAGTCTGGTATAAACATACAATGGAATACTATTCAACTTTAAAAAGGAATGAAATTCTGACATTTCCTACAACATGGATGAACCTGGAAGACATTATGTTATGTGAAATAAGCCAGACACAAAAGGACAAATAGAGTCTAATTCTACACCTAGAGTAGCCGAATACCTAGGGACAGAAGTAAAATTGTGGTTACCAGGGGCCGGGGCAACGGGAGATTGGGGAGTTATTGTTGAGTGGGTATAGAGTTTCAGTCTGGGATGATGAAAAAGTTCCGGACATGGAAGGTGGTGATGGTGGCACAACAATGTGAATGTACTTTTATGAACTGTATGCTTGTAGTTAAAACGTTAGGTATTATATTTTCCCACAATACAAATTTAAGGAAAAAATTAAATATAAATGATTTAAAAAGAGTTCCATAAGAGCAATTAAAAAAAATCCACCCAAGGTTGGAATCAGTCGGTGGACACTGCCTGCCTGCAAGGTTAGTGGTTTCAGGCCCTGTGCTGTGTGGAGCTACCTGTATCACAATAAATACAGGATGCTTACAGGAGAAGCAGGTCTTACTGCACCACCCACTGTTGAACCAGCCATTCTGGGTGAGGGGCTGGGAACCCTCATTTAAACCAGTGCTCCAGGAGGTTGTGTTGTGTTAAATTAAATTAAAGATGGGCTAAAGCTGCCTCCTCATGTAGCAAACTGTAACCTAGCTTAATATGTAAACAAACTGCACCTAACTTGAGAGTATATGTTTGTAACAAGTAACCAAGTCTCAGCCAATCATAGCAGCTGAACTTTCAGTCAATCACAGCCTGCCAACTGCTCAGACATGTTCAAACAAGGCAAACACAGAGCTGTAACCTATCAGCCTATGTGTGTATGTCACTTCCTTCTTCTGCCTGTAAATACTGCCTACGTTGCTGGGTGGCACTCTCTGAACCTTTACTGGTTTAGGGTGCTGTGTGATTCATGAATTGTTTCTTTGCTCAAATAAACTCTGCTACGTTTAATTTGTCTAAAGTTTTCTTTTAACAGGTGCGCTCCGAGCGTGGGAACCACTGTTCTGCTCTGGAATTCCCTAGAGGCCCCTTCCCTGGTGTGTTCCAAAAGCAGAATCTCAAGAATGACAGGTGGGAACTCCCCCGCAAAACCCTTAGTTCTCCTGAGTCTCCCAAAACCCTCCTTGCGTGTCTCCCTTATCTCACCAGGGTGGAAAACAACCCCTGTTGGCTGCTCTAGCCCCTAGTTCTCTGCTTTAGATAATAGAGGCAGGTGTGACCTGCTCCCCACTCCCCGCACCCAAATGATGGGCTTTATTGAATTCTCCATCGGGTTTCTGACTTGGATTTCTGGGTCCTCGCGACAATTCTTTTGTCGCGAAACCCAGAAAAGATCCTGGGTTTCGTGGCAGATCAAGCTGGATTGGGGCCCTAGCACTGCCATGTATGAATTAGGTGATGTGGGACAGGCTACTTAAACTCTGCCTCAGTTTCCACAGTATAAAATAGAGCTGATAATAACACCTCTAGCCTTACCCATTTTTCTGGTGTTTGTCTATTCTCCAGTGCCTCTGCACAGCCTCCTCATCTCTCTCAGGACTCAGCAGTAGCCCCTACCTCGTCTCCCTGCCTCCTGTTCAACTCCCTCCAGCCCTTTTACCCATCTGCAGCTGCATCTTTTTAAATTCTCAAAAATTCAAGCTGATCGGTTCTGCTTTGAAGTTTTCAGGGACTCCCCATTGCCCACCACAGGGCTGATTCTCACTAATGTAGCCCAGGGGGTCTTTGTGACCCAGTCCCTGGTGACAGTTCTGCCTCCAGCCTCAAATCTGGCCCTTTGGGGTCTCAGCCACAGCAACACTGGGTGCCAGGGGTTCTTCCAGCACACATCAGCCTTTTCTCCCACTGTGGGGCAGGGCAGGGCATGTCACATCACTATAGGGCAGGTTACAGCAAGACAGGTCACTGCAGTTCCCCAGGGCAGGTCATTTTGATTTTTCCATGTTTGCTGAGCCCAGCTCTGGACTGGGAGCAGGGAACAAAGATGGATCTGCCTCAGTCCTGCCTATGTGGCTCCAGTCTGTAGGTCCCTCATCTCCCTGCCTCATCTGGCTCACTCCATCTTGTCCTTTGAGACTCAGGTCCCAGGTCACCGCCTCCAGGAAGCCTTGTATCTGTGCTTCTCTATGGCCTTGCCCCATGACAGGCAGTGAAATCTTTGCTTAGCTTTGGTCACTGCCATACCTATCTGGGATCTCCTCTCAGGCACAGGCCCTGTGCGGTATGATGCCAATGGTAGGATGGGCTCCCCTGCCAGCTCTGGGGAGATTGCATGTCTCACCTTCTCCTGCGTTAATTCTCTAAGATGAGGGTGAAAACTCCATCCACCCCACAATATTGTTGTGAATACCAGACGTGGCTGTTATCAGTGCTTGGCTTATGTGACCTCACTTAATGGGTCATCCTGGGGCCCATTTTACAGATGAGAAAACTGAGATCCAGGGAGACAGAGTAACTCCCCCTGAGCTGGAATTCTAAGCCTAGATGTCTGACATCGGAGCTTGTGCCATGCCATTCTGCCTATCTCTACAGAGAGCAAAATGATGAGTAAAGCAGCTCTTAAGAGTACCCAGCCATGGTCAGGTGTGGTGGCTCATGCCTGTAATCCCAGCACTTTTGGAAGCTGAGGTGGGCAGATCATCTGAGGTCAGGAGTTCGAGACTAGCCTTGCTAACATGGCGAAACCCATTTCTACTAAAAATACAAAAACATTAGCTGGGTGTGATGGTGTGTGCCTGTAATTCCAGCTACTCGGGAGGCTGAGGCTGGAGAATAGCTTGAACCCAGGAGGCAGAGGTTGCAGTGAGCCGAGATCGCACCATTGCACTCCAGCTTGGGCAACAAGAGTGAAATTCCATCTTAAAAAACAAACAAACAAACAAACAAAAAAGTACCCAGCCATATAAAAATGCAGAGTATCAATATTATTCATGCATTTCATGTCAAGTATGCCCTCTTTGTTCCTCATCTCTGAAGAGACTCACTTAGTAAATATTCACTGTGTTCTCTGTTTTCACAAATGCCCTATGAGCCAGGCACAGTTCTTGACCTTCTGTAGTGAAACCTCATGACATGTGGTACAGTGCAGACAGTTCTGTTCTCTGTGCATTATCTCTGCCCCAGGTCACTGAGTGAGGAGCCATGGTGGAGACAGGTCTGCGTGACTCAGAAGAATACCCCTGCACTGGGCCAGCTGAGCCCTCCCAGGCCCTGACCCGCGGCCAGCATCCTTCATCGGTGGTGCCGACTGGAGCAGATGCATTGTAGCTTGCAGGCTGCGACTCTGTGGCTGTTGTGGCTGTTGTGGCTATCTGGCTGGGCTTAGGAGCATCAATCATGGCAGTGGACGAGAATGGTTCTTAGCTACAGCCCTCTGTGTCAGCCCCCTGCATGGCAGGAACCCAGGGGACATCGGAACCCCTGTGGATGACTCACAGACTCCGGGGTCTGGAAAATCCTAACCAGATTGCCTCATAACACTGCTGGCTGCCCTAATGTTCAATGTGCCCTTTAAAAAAACAAAGCATCTCAACAAACCAAACAAGCGAGCTGCAGCCATGGCTTTGCTCTGGAGGCTGGGCAGGGGGAGGGACAGAGGGTTCTCAGGTGTTACTCACAGTCTGCGGTGGGCTCAGGCTGTTTCTGCTGGCTTGGTCCTGCTGTCCTGGACCCTAGCATGTGTACAGTAAGCCTGCGGTGGATGCTGCCTGTTAAATTTTGTTTGCCAGCTTCCTGGGTGGTTAATGGTTAGAGGGGCCAGTGGCCTTCACCGCTTGGTAGTCCTCTCCCCCGAGTCATTAACCAATGGGAGGCTTTGTCAGGATAGCTGAGTAAACACAGAAATGCTGCAAATTAACTTTGCTCTGCGTTCAATTCTATGAAGTCTTTTTTTAATACCAAAATGTGGCTGGAGTTGCATCAATGTGGTTGCCCTGTGTCAGTTGGCAGAGATGTCTTAGGTGCCCTTAATTAGCACCAAGGTGCAGATACTTGTAAAAAGAAAAATAGGTGTTTAGCTCCAATTGGGGATGACTTGGGCAAGGTCCTGCCTTCCAGTGGTCTTAGTCTGGTGGGAGAGACAGACATGGAATAATATCTGCCAAGCGCTTCCTCTGGATTATCTCACGAAATCTTCACAATGACTCTGTGAAGTGGGTACCATTGTCACTCCTCTTTAGATAGGAAACTGAGCTGCATGGAAGTTAAGTTAAACGCCCTTGAGATTCAAATCCAAGGCCATTCAATTCTAAAGTCTAGCACCTTCCCCTTTCCCCACATTTTATTTTTCATCAGTTTTCTTTGGATTACAGGTGACAGACATCAAATTTGAACTGCTTTAAAGCAAAAAGGAATGAATGAGAGGTCCAAGGGTGGAAAGGACTTCAGGCATGGATCTACGGAGTTCTAAATCAGGCATCAGATCTCTCCTTCTCTCTCTCTCTCTGTCTTTTTTTTTTTTTTATTCCTTCCTAGCTCTGCTTTCTTCTACTTTATTCTGTCTGCATTGGGGACAAATGTGGCCACAGTAGCTCTGGGTTATTTAGTTCTAACTGGTTAGTTGATATCAGAAGGAGAGAAATTCTCATTTTTCTCAATGTTCATAACAGTTCCCCCCAAAAGTCTATGGCGTGGTTGCCCCCCTTAGGACTGATTGATCACAGTGTGGAGAAGGATGAGGCATTGTGAATGCCTCGCTAGGGTTCTTTGCTCTCTGTTGGGTTGACAGCATCATTGCTTCCATCCAGAGATGAGGGAATCTCTTCCCAGGGGAAAAGAGGAGAGTAGAGCCTACAAATGGGTCTGCAGTTTTGGAGACACCTTAGTTTTGTAGATGTTTATTGGTCTTTTCAAGTTTCCTATCCTATAAGGCAAGTTTGAACTTTATATCTAGGAATTTATCTATTTCATCTAGATTTTCAAATTAAATACTACAGTTATTCATTAGGCCTCTCCATTATTATTTTTACATTATTATTTTATATCAGTAATTCTTTTTTCTTTTTTTGTTCTGTATTTTGTTTATGTCTTTTCTCCCTTTGATAAGTCCTGTTACAGAGATCTATATAGCTAATTAATCTTTCCAAAGATCCACCTTTTAGTTTTGTTACTGGTTTTTTAAAAAATTGATATTTCATTGATTTCTGTTTATATCTTTATTTTTTAATCACCCCTTTAAATTCTCTGGGTTTTGGTCTGTTGTGCTTTTTTCTATTTTCTTGAGATAAATGCTTAGCTTTCTTACATTTTAATATTTCCAGTCTCCACATAAATGTATTTAAGGTTACAAGTTTTCATCTAAATACTGAGTGAGCTATGTCCCACGCATTTTTGATAATTACTATTTTCATTGTAATTTTTTTCTAAGTATTTTAAAATTTCTTTTCTGGTTTCCTTTAAAACCAGAGTGTAGTTTAGTAATATGTCACTGAGTTTATTTAGAATTTTAGGCTATTCTCTTGTTATTCACTTCCAATTTTATTTCACTATGGTCAAAGAATATTGTCCATTATGATATTGAACATTTGGAATGTTTTGAGGTTTGTAATAGCCATATATGGTCTTTTTTTTTTTTTTTTTTTCGAGACGGAGTCTTCCTTTGTCATCCAGTCTGGAGTACGGTGGCGTGATCTCGGCTCACTGCAACCTCCGTCTCCTGGGTTCAAGGGATTCTCCTGCCTCAGCCTCCCGAGTAGTTGGGACTGCAGGCGTGAGCCACCATGCCCAGCTAATATTTTTTATTTTTAGTAGAGACAGGGCTTCACCGTGTTAGCCAGGATGGTCTCAATCTCCTGACCTCATGATCCGCCCGCCTCGGCCTCCCAAAGTGCTGGGATTACAGGCGTGAGCCACCGTGCCCAGCTCATATATGGCCTATTTTAATAAACATTTCATGTTTTCTTTAAAAAATAATGGATATCTGTTTGATATGTATATATACACATTCATATATGTATATATGTAATAACTTGAGCTTATTTTATTTAAATCTTCATATTTATGTTGATTATTTATTTAAGCTTTCAGTTTCTCATTGGGGAATGTTAAAATCACCAATAGCAATTGTTCACTTACTTCTCTTGGTCAGTTGTTGCTTGACTTACTTCAAGACTGTATATTAAAGCACATATACTTTCGATAATTATGTCCTCTTGTATTTGTTTTTCTTGTATCTTTTTTTTTGTATAGCATACTTTTGTCCTAAATTTAATTTTATACAGTGTTATGATTGCTTTCCTTTCTTTTGGTTCACTCTTACCTGATATTTTTCATCCTTTTATTTCCAAAGTCTCTGTGCCTTCTTTTTTTTTTTTTTTTTTTTTTGAGATAGAGTCTCATTCTGTCGCCCAGGCTGGAGTGCAGTGGCACGTGCTCAGCTCACTGCAGGCTCCACCTCCTGGGTTCACGCCATTCTCCTGCCTCAGCCCCCCGAGTAGCTGGGACTACAGGTGCCCACCACCATGCCTGGCTAATTTTTTGTATTTTTAGTAGAGATGGGGTTTCACCTTGTCAGCCAGCATGGTCTCAATCTCCTGACCTAATGATCCACCTGCCTCGGCCTCCTGAAGTGCTGGGATTACAGGCGTGAGCTACCGCGCCCGGCCTGTGCCTTCTTTTTTTAAGAGCGTCTCATGTACAAAACATCTTTTTAGATTTAGCTTTTTATCCCCAAAGGAGGGTCTTTGTCTGTTAATTGGCAAAATTAACCTTTTTACATTTATTTTAATTGTCTTAGGATTGACATATTATCTTATTTTATATTTCCCATTTGCTATATCTTATTTTTGTTTTTTTTTTTGTGAATTTTACTGACTTACATTGAAAAGATTGAGTTTTATTCCATTGAGTTAAAATATATTCATTATATTTTTGATCTTATGATGGTTTCTCTTTACTAAAAACACTAAAACCAAGTTTAGTTTAGTTTGATAAACTAATACTTTGCTAAAAACACTAAACCCAAGTTCCTAGCCATCATCAAATAGAGACAAGCCATCCCCACTGTATCTTTTCTGAATTCCTGTCCCAAGAACCCAAAAGCATAAAAAATGATTGTCTCAAGCTGGTAAATTTTTGGATAATTTATGAGGCAGCCATAGTACCTAGAACACATTTTGGCACCTGGAAGTGGAAAGCTGCATATGAAAGCCAAACATGTGGCAATGACTTTGGGATCAAATCAGAGTCGGAAAGTCCTTATAAAGATTGTGAGTGGAAACGTGATGACCCACAAGGAGGCCGTTGATTAGGGCTTAAAGGAAAGTGAGAAACAGGCTATAGCTAGAGGAAAGAGAATCCTTGACATGTAGTGGTAGAAAGTTTAGCAACATTGTCACCTGTGATAACATGAAAATTGAATATATAGCAAATGAAGTGGTGGTATAGCTGGTGATATTTCTCTGAAGCTAAGAAGGTCTCTGAAGTTATTGTCTGACTTCTCGATACTTATAGTAAAATGTGAGAGGATATAGATAAGCTTAACATTTTTGTTAAATATAAAAGAGCCAGCGCTTATTGGGTTAAAAATAATATAATTTCTCCTTCTTAGTCTTTCCAGGATTACCCAATTAAGAAAGAATTTCAAAACAAACATATATCTAGGGTGTAACTGTAAAAGCCTTTATAAATACCTCAGAAAGTTCTAAGGTGTTGCCTTAGCAGACCATTGGATCAGATATAAGGCCCTCTAACGCTATTTTACGGTCAATGTTCCATACGAGGTTTGTAGATAGCCAAAGATATAGAAAAGCTTATCTTGAAAAGATTGGTGGTTGTGGCCTTTATTATAGTGGAGTGGATTATAAATTAATTCATATAAAATTCACAATTAAGAAATTAGCTTTGTCTGAAAGGGGCAAGACAGTGCAAAATGATGAAAGGCCTTTGAACTTTCAACCTTCTACAGGCAGGAAACAGGATACAGAGGCTGAGCCTCAAACATGAGGTATTTTTATGGAAAAGGAAGCGTGACCCAGGCAGAATCAAGATCTCAAAAGACACAGCAAGGGGCCATGGTGAATTATCCCCAGGAGCAGATTGAGAGTGCCAATTGTTTTAAATTATGTGTGTCTCACAATTTTATGTTGTGTGTGGAGAAGTGGGAGGAGAGAACTTGTCTCTTCCCTTCGCATCTTCTTCTCTCAATCTTCTCTCTTCTCTCTTCAATCTTCAATCTTCTCTCAATCTTCTTCAGATTGAGAGAAACTACACACTTCAGGAAGGACGTTTAAGGACGCTCCTCTGTACCGTGACTGATTTAAGTGAGGGTATCTGGATTTCAAGGAGGTGTTGCAGTTGGATGAGACTTTGGGAGTCATAGGGGAGGTGGGTGTATTTTTCATGTGTGAGGGAAAATGAATTGTTGAGGCCATAGGGTAGACTGCAGTGTTTTTTCTCCGACATGGCTGCCGTCCTTCCTTCTTTCCCTCTGTGAGTATGCTGCACCATCATCAAGAGATAGAGTCTATTTCTCCCTTCTTGTGAATCTTGGCTTGTTTTACTGGCTTTCTTGACTAATAGAACGTAGAAGTGATGTGCTGGAATTTTCAAGGCTAGTTCATAAGTAATCTCCCAGCTTCTGTCTTGGGCTCTTGGAGCCCTGAGTCACCTTGTACGATGTACAAGCACTCTGCTAGAGAGACTATGTGGAAAAACCCTGAGACAGTATGTGGAGAGATAAAGAACCAGCTAAGTCCTGCCTCCTAGCTATCCCCACCATTGTGCCACACATGAGTGCAGCTGTCTTGGATCAGTCCAGCCCAGCCCAGCCACCTAGTGAATACTTCTGAGTGATCCCAGTTGATGCTGTGTGGAGCAGAAAAAATCACTCAGGCATGCCCTGCCTGAATTCCTAACCTGAAAACTGTGAGTAATAATGGAATTGTTGTTCTTTTCTTTGCTTTTCTTTGTGGAGATGGCGTCTCACTATGTTGCCCAGGCAGGTCTTGAACTACTGGCCTCAAGTGATCCTCACGTGTTGGCCTCCCAAAGTGCTGAGATTTATAGGTGTGCGCCACCTTGCCCAGCCAAGATTGTTCTTTTAATCCATTAAATTTTGGAAGAGTTATTACATAGCAGCAGATAATTAAAAAGAAATTGCTGGGTCATATATTTAGCTTTAGTAGAGACTGTCAGACAATTTTCCAAAGTAATTGAACCAATTTGTATTTCCAAACAATGGTGTATGAGAGGCACAATTGCTCCACATCCTTGCAAATCGTTGGTGTTGTCCATCTTTTTCATTTTATCCATTCTGGTGGGTGTGTAATGGTTTCACATAATAGTTTTATACCTCATTTCTCTGATGACTAATGAAACTGATTACCTTTTAAGTTTTTTACCATTTGGATATCATCTGTTGAGAAGTAACTGTTTAAGTTAGATTGAAGAGAAGTGCCTGTTTCTGTCATATTGTCTTTTTCTTGTCAATTGGTAAGTTCAACAATCATTTGCCAGATCAATAAATTGCAATATAAGTTTGTGACTTATCTTTTCACTCTCTTAATGGAATCTTTTGATAAACATGGTTCATTATTTTAATGAGGTCCAAATCATCTGTTTATTCTTTTACAGTTAATGCTGCTTATGTTCTGTTTGATAAATCTTTGCTGACCCAAATGTGATGAAACTTTCTCTTATGTTTTCTTTGAAAAGCTTTATTGCTTTATTTTTCACTTTTAGGTTCGTTATACATCTGGATTTGATTTTTGTGTATGGTGTGAGGTAGAGGTCAAATTTATCTTATTTCATATATATGACACCATTTAGTGATGGTGAGGATTGTGTTGCTTAAAAATGACATGTAATAAAAGACAAAATGTGTTACCTCTCAGAGGATACTAAAGAGACATGAGATCAGTAATGGTGTGATTTCAGAAAAGGAGGTGGTCACTCTTGGACAGCATTGGCAAGAAGCTCCTCCCAGGAAATGGGTGATCTTCTGAAAGTTCTCGATGACTTACTAAATGCAGAGCTTGGATCCTTAATCAGAGAAAACATGTGCTATGTATTAAGGACCTTATTGGGACAATTGAAGTTGGAATATAGATGGTATGTTAGATAAAGGTATCAGTGCTAAATTTCCTCAGGTTGATAGGTTTACTGAAAAGTAATATCTCAAAATCTTAGAAAATATACACTGAAGTATTTAGGGGTACAGAGGTATTATGTATACAATTTATTCTCAAAATATTCTGAAAAAAATTGTACATGCACATACATGCATGCATACATATGCGTGTGTGTATGTCTCGGGGAGAGAAATTATGTGTGTGTTTTTTGTATTATTTTTATTCTTGCAGCTTTTCTGTAGGTTAGGAATTACTTCCAAATACAAAGTTGGAAAAAGAGAAAAAGCTAGGCTCTGGCTCATGCTCCACCACTGTCAGCAGGTGGCCTTGTGACCTTCCTCTCTGGGGCATGCTCTCACCTCTGGTGGAGCTACAGATATTCCGTGCTTCATGGGGTTGTTGTGAGGATTGGGTGATGCTTGAGCCTAGCACAGTTGCAAGCACATGTTAAGGCATGAGAATCACTGCTAAGATTGTTATTTTATCTCTTCAGTGACTGGTGCCCACCAAGTACTGGATTCTGCTTGGGAAACGCCAGCCAAGACCTTTTCTTTCATCATCAACCTCTTAGCCCTTTAATAAAGAAGAATCATTTTTTAAAATAAAAGAACACTTTTTATAAGCAACTTTGAGCTGTTTCTCACATGTTCCCTGAACCACTGGTCTGTGCCCACCAGGCCCTGGCTAGTGACTTCAGGTGAGTGAGACCTGCTTCCTGCTGACCAGGAGGCTGGGTTGTTCTCTTAAAGGCAGGGCTGCACCTGCCCCAGACATCCTTGCCTGGTTCCCAGGTCAAATGCTGCTGCATCTGGGTCTCATTTGAGAATGACTTGCTGGTCTCTCAGGGGTCACCCCCAGTACTGGAGGGAGCATCTTGCTGAAGCCCTCCATGAAGGGCCACCCCTCTGCAATCGCACCATCTGTAAATGGTCACCCCTCTGAAATCACACCATCCATGAACGGCCATGCCTCTGAACTCAAACCATCCAGGAATGGCTGCTCCTCTGAAATCACACCATCTGTGAATGGCCACCCCTCTGAAATCACACAACCCGTGAATGGCCACCCCTCTGAAATCACACTGACCATGAATGGCTACCTCTCCAAAATTACAGCTGTGCTGCTCTGGGTTCAACTTGCCCAATTCTGCTGAGCACAGAAGCTGAGCCAGGAGGGTTGCTCAGGGCATCTTGCCCAATTCTGCTGAGCACAGAAGCTGAGCCAGGAGGGTTGCTCAGGACATCTGAACTTCCCAAGCCCTCTCTAGGATCGTGTCTGTAGGAGGGAAGGGCCCAGGCCTTGCTTGGCAAGGGACAGGCCATGTGAAGCCAGAGACTACGGTGACCACAACCTCTAGAATGAGTCTTGGCTGGACTTTCCAAGCCCCACCTGGCTGTTTATCTGAGGAATCATGAGCTGTATTGGCAAACAGGGATGCCACCCAGTACTAGTGGCCAGTGTGGGGGTGGCAGGGTAGGCTGTGGGTGCTCCAAGGGCCTCTGAGTCCTCTCCCAAATCATGGACTTCTGAGCTGGACCTGGCTGTCGCTGGACCTGGAGCCTGGCTTTTGGTTGTGGTGGCCCAAGGGAACTGCCTGGATCCCTCTCCTGCCAATCTGCACTTCAGGGGCCACCTGTACTATCCACAGCCTTTGAGCCATTCGTGGACCAAGCAGGACCCCAAACCCCTCTTGGCCTCATCCTCTCAGACAGGCAGGAACATAGCCTAGATGTGCCATTCATTTGGCCTTAGTTCCTTTGGGCTACATGTTCACTGATGAGTTGCCTACATTGTCTGGATCCCCATTCTGCTCCTCTTCTCCTCCCCACCTGCCAGCCCCTGCCCTACTCTGGTCTCCCCGCAGCATGTAAGCACTGAGCCCAGTGCCCGGAGTCTGGTGCAGGGAGTAGCTGGCATTTTATTGAACCCTCACTGGGTGCCAGCTCTTGGAGTGTGGTGTAGACTGATCTACTCGATCCTCAAAGGAACCCTGTGGGTTACGATTGGGATCACCCAGGGTAGTTTAGCTAGCGAGAACATGGGCTCTGGGTTAAAATCCAGACATCTAAGCATAGGCTCTGGTTCAAATCCAGGTGTCTCAGTTAACTGTGACATGGCTCAGCTGCATCATCTGAGGGGTGCAAATTCTGGCGCCCAGGTCTCTTCAGGCTGTTGTGCAGATTTGGTGGGGTCATATGTGGCAAGAGCTCAGAGCTGCGCCTGCCATATAGTAGGTGCTATATGCATGCTAGAGATTATTGCTGTTTCCACGTGGCAGGTGGGGAAACTGTGGCAGAAAGGGGTAGAAGACTGGCCTAAGTCACACTGCCAAGTACAGGAGTCAGAATCTGAACCCAGGCATCCTAGCTAAAGTCCGTGCTCTTACCATGGAGCTCTTCTGCCTCTGTCTTTGTTCAGCCCTTCCCTGCCTAGTCCCACATCTGGCCAGTGGTTACGGCATTCCAGGGTTGATCCTGAGGAATTCTTTAGGGCAGACGCTGGGGCCCAGGGGCTAGATCAGGGTGTTGAGTTGGGGTGTGGAGTGGTGATGTGAATGCTCCTCATTGGTCCAGGTGTGGCCCACGAGTTTAGTAGCCTTAAAAAGCCCCAGAAACGTGGGGTAGGGCGGGCAAGCTCTGCAGACACCATCTCCCTCAGGAGAAGCTGGGCCAAGTCCCCACTCTGCCTGCCTGCCGCTCTCTCACCAACTTGCTCTGTGACCTTGGACAAGTTGCTTGACTTCTCTGAGGCTCAGCTTCTTTTTTTAAAAAAATTATTTTTAATTGACAAATTATAATTGTGTATTTTGGTGGGGTGCTATGTGATGTTATGGTGCATGTACACAGTGTGGAATGAATAAATCAAGTGAATTAACATATCCTTCACTTCACATGCTTATTTTTTGTGGAGAGAACATTTGAAATTTGCTCTTTTAGCAATTTTGAAATATACAGTACATTATTAACTATAGTCACCTTGTTGTGCAGTAGATCTGAAAAACTTATTCCTCCTGTCTAACTGATACTTTGTACCCTTTGACAAACACCTCCCCATCTCCTCCACTTGCCTGCCTCTTGTAGCTATCATTCTACTCTCTTTTTCCATGAGTTCAATTGTTATAGAGTCCACATGTAAGTGAGATCCTGAAGTATTTGTCTTTCTGACTGAGTCTGGCTTATTTCACTTAGCATAATGTTCATCCATGTTGTCCCAAATAATAGAATTTTCTTTCTTTTAAAGGCTGAATATTATTCCATTGTGTTTGTTTGTGTATGTGTATAGAAATGCTACTGATTTTTGTATGTTGATTTAATATTCTGCAATTTTACCAAATTTGTTTATTACTTCTTATAGTTTTTTGGTGGAGTCTAGGCTTTTTTACATATAAGATCATGCCATCAGCAAACAGAGAGAACACACACACACACACACACACCAGATTTTCTTTATTCATTTGTTAATGGATGATTAGATTGATTCTGTATCTTGGCTATTGTGAACAATGCTGCAATGAACATGAAAGGGAAGGTATCTCTTTGACATATTGATTTCATTTCCTTTGGATAGATACCCAGAAGTGGGATTGCTGGATCATATGGTTGTTCTGTTTTTATTTTTTTGAGGAAACTCCACACTGTTTTCTATAGTGGCTGTACTAATTTACAATCCTACCAACAGTGTACAAAGATTTCCTTTTCCCACATCCTCACCAATGCTTATCTTTTGGCTTTTTGATGATAGCCATTTTGACAGGTGGGAGGTGATATCTTATTGTGATTTTAATTAGCATTTCACTAATCATTAGTAATGTTGAACATTTATTCACATATCTGTTGGCCATTTTTATGTCTTGTGAGAAATGCCTATTCAGATCCTTTGTCCATTTTTAAAAATCAAAGTTTTTTTTTTGCTATTAAGTTACTTATATAATGTGGATATTAACCCCTTATCAGATGCATGGCTTCTAAATATTTTCTTCCAATCTGTAGTCTGTCTCTTCGCTCTGTTAATTGTTTCCTTTGCTGTACAGAAGATTTTTAATTTGATGCAATCTCATTAGTCTATTTTTGCTTTTGTAGCTTGCGCTTTCAGGGTCAAATCCAAAAATTTGTTGCCCAGACCAATGTCATGTAGTTTTCACTTAATTTTTTTCTAGTAGTTTTGCAGTCTCAGGTCTTATATTTAAGTCTTGAATCTATTTTGAATTTTTTTTTGTATGGTGTGAAATAAAGGTCCAATTTCATTCTTCTGCACGTGGATATTCAGTTTCCCCAGCACTATTTGTTGAAGAAACTGTTCTTTGCCTGGTGTGTGCTCTTGATACTTTTGTTGAAATCAATTGACCATAATCACATGGGTTAGTTACTGGCCTCTATGCTTTTCCATTGGTTTATGAGTCTGTTTCTATTAGCCAATACTGCTGTTTTGATTACTATAGCTTTGTAATATATTTTCAATCAAGAGGATAATACCTCCAGCTTTGTTCTTTTTGCTCAATTGCCTTGGCTATTCAAGATCTTTTGTGGTTCCATATGAATTTTAGGGTTGTTTTTTCTATTTCTGTGAAAAATGCTGGAACTTTGATAGGGATCGCATTGACTCTGTAGATTGCTTTGAGTAGTGTGGCCATTTTAACAATATTATTTCTTTCAATCCATGAACACAGGTTACCTTTCCGTTTATTTGTCCCCTCTTCAATTTCTTTCATTAATGTTTTATAGTTTTCAACGTACAGGTCTTTCACCTCCTTGGTTAAATGTATTCCTGAGCATTTTATTTTTTTGTAACTATTGTCAATGCCATTGTTTTCTTGATTTCTTTTTTTGATAATTTGTTGTTAGTGTATAAAAATGCTACTGATTTTTGTATGTTGATTTTATATTCTGCAATTTTCTCAAATTTGTTCATTAGTTCTAACAGCTTTTTGGTGGAGTCCAGGCTTTTCTATATGTAAGAGCATGCTGTCAGCAAACAGAGACGATTTAGCTTCTTCCTTTTTCTATATGAGACTCAGCTTCTTGTCTTCCTAGCTTCCCTGAGGAGGAAGGTTAGATTGAAAAACTAAAGAGAAAACCTATGCAGACCTTTGTAGTCGGTCACATCTGCTTTCTATACTACTATAATGAATTACTAATTATGTGACTTTGTCCAATTTCATATGCTCCCCCAACCCCAATTTTCTGATACATTAAATGAAGCAAAGAATATTACCCATCTAAGAGTGTCACGGTGATGAGTGTAAACAGTTGATGTAGTGTTTTCAGTACACACAGTGGTCAGTAATTTTCCTTTTTCCCTGTGCTCTTGCCAGCTCCGGTTGTCAATGTCATGCTGACCTCATTAAACAAGTTGAGGCGTGTTATTCTAAGGCCTGGAAAAATGTGTAAGCTTAACGTCAGTTTTTCCTTAGATGTGTGGTAGAATTTGCCAGAGAAACCATCTGGGCTTAGAATTTTCTTTGAGAGATATTTTTATTTATGGATTTAATTTCTTTCATAGTTAGAGAACTATTCAGATTTTCTATTTCTTTAATTTTTTTTTGAAATTTGCCCATTTAATCTAATTTCTAAAGCTTACTTATACAAAGTTTTCATACTATCTTCTAATTACCTCTTTAGCATGTTTCAGATCTACAGTAAATGGTCCATTTTTCATTCCTGGCCTAGCTTATTTGTGCTTCATTTTTTTTTTAAATCAATCGTTAAAATTATGGCATATTCAAAGAACCGACTTTTGGAGTTCTTGATTTGTCTAATTTTATGTTTGCTTTCTATTTCATTAATTTTTGTTCTGCTTATTTCCTTTTTTCTACGTTGTTTTGTATCATTTGTGCTTCTTTTTCTAATTTCTTGAGATGATTACCTCGTGGATATTTTTTCCTTTATAGGAAAATATATGTCTTAGAAGCAGTAAAATTTCCTCCTAAACATAGTGCTAGATGTGTCTCCAAAGATTTTTAACAGCTTTATTGTGATATAATTTATATACCATAAAACTCACTCATTGTCAGTGTCTAATCCAATGATTTTTACTTAAGTCATAGACTTGTGCCATTTTCACCAGAATCCAGGTTTAGAACCTATCTGTCACCACAAAGATCTGCAGGAACCCTTTTGCTGTCAATTGACCCTCTCAAATGTGTAGAGCCAGAAAGTGGACCAGCTATAACCCTAGGCCACCACTGATCCACTTTCTGGCTCTACACATTTGCCTCTTCTGGATAATTTACATAAGTGGACTCATAGGTAGCATTATGGGTCTAGCTTTTTTCACTTAGCACGACATTTTCAAGATGCAACCACATTCTACACGTGGCCCTTGAACAACATGGGGGTTAGGGGAACCAATCCTCCATGCAGTTGAAGATTCACAAATAACTTTTGACTCCCCAAAACTTAAGTACTAATAGCCTACTGTTGACCGGAAGCCTTACTTATAACGTAAATAGTCAATTAATATGCATTTTGTTGTTATAGCATTATATAGCATATGCTTACAATAAGGTAAGCTAGAGAAAAGAACATGTTATTTAAAAAATCATAAGGAAGAGAAAATATATTTTCTGTTTATTAAGTGGAAATAGATAATCATAAATGTTTTCACCCTCCTTGTGTTCATGTTGAGTAGGCTGAGGAGGAGGAGAAAGAGGAGGGGTTGGTCTTGCCATCTCAGGATTGACAGAGGAGGGAGAAAGTCAAACGTGCTTTATTCAAGGGTTAACTATAGTAAGATCATTAGCTCATTCCTTTTTATTGCTGAATAGTATTCCATTGTGTAAAATTTTATTAATCAATTCACCAGTTGATAAATATTTAGATTGTTTCCAGTTTGAGGCTATTATTCATATGTGAATTGATATTATTCATATAGTATTGTATTCATATATTTATTTATCCATTTAGGAATTCATTTTGTTCATATAGACTTGTGTTCATGTGCAAGTCTCTTTTTGTATAGACTTATGTTTTCATTTCTCTTTGTAGAATTGTTGAGTCATATGTTCACATTTGACATTTTATGAAAGTGCCAAATTATTTTACAAAGTGACAGCACCATTTTATAATCTCACCAGCAATGTGTGAGAGTTCTAAGTTCACCATCTTAATAAACACTTGATATTTTCTGTTTTTTTGTTTTAGACATACTAGTGGTTGTGTGGTTGTAGCTCATTATAGTTTTAATTTGCATTTTCCTACTGACCAAATAGAGTGCCTTTTCATGTGTTTATTAGCCATCCATATGTCTTCTTTGGTGAATGTCTATTCAAGTCATTTGTCATTTTTAAATTGGGTTAAGTCATTTGTTTTATTATTGAGTTATAAGAGTTCTTTATATATTTTGGATACAAGTTCTTTATCAGTGATATGATTTGCTAACATTTTTTTTCCTATCTGTAGCTTGCCTTAAATTTTTTTTATTTTAGAAGTTTTAGATTGACAGAAAAATTGCAAAGATATTATAGAGAGGTCCTATATACCCCATACCCAGTTTTCCATATTATTGACAACTTATATTTACATATGTTCATTGTAATTAATAAACCAATATTGATACATTATCATTATCTAAAGTCTATACTTTATTAATATTTCAATGTGAATCTTTCTTACCAAATGTCCTTTTTTATTCTGGGATCACATCCAGGATACCACGGAACACGTAGTCATCATGTTTCCTTAGGCTTCTCTTGGCTGTGACAGTTTCTTTCCGTGGTTTTGATGACCTCGCCAGTTTTGAGGCCTACTGGTCAAATATTTTGTAAACTGCCCTCTAGTGAAACTTGTCTGATGTTTTTCATGACTATATTGGGGTTATGGGTTTTTCAGAGGAAGACCACAGATATAAAGTGCCATTTTGATCACATCACATCAAGAGTACATACTATCAACATGACTTATCACTGTCGATGTTGACCTTGATCACCTGTTTGTCGTGTTTATCCAATTTCTTCACCATAAAGTTACTCTTTTATACACTGCCCTTCTTGGAAGGAGTCACTATGTGTAGCCCACACTTAAGGTGAAAGGAATTAAGCTCTACCTCCTTGAGGCTATTTACATAGTGTATTTGAAATTATTCTGCATTGCAGATTTATCTCTTCTTTCCAATTTATTAATTTATTCAATAATTTATTTATAATAGTATGGACTCATAAATATTTATTTTATACTCTTGAGTTGTAGCCTATTATATATGCACACTGTTATAATCTATAATACTACTTCACTTATTTTTTGTTAAAATTGACCCAACTTGGATCATTGGGAGCTCTTTCAGTTGACTCCTGTGTTCCACTGACATACTCCCAGCACTGTGATGGTTTTTAAAACACTTCCTTATTTCCTGGCAATACAAGATGCTCCAGCATCATTTTGTGTATTTCTTGCCCCAGTCCTAGACTCAGTCATTTCTTCAAGGAGGCCTGGTTACTTCTACTGAAGAATGGTGTTAGAAACCAAGATCCTGTTGCTCTGTGTGCTCACTGCTGCTGAAGTATCATTGCTTCTAGACCCTCTCAGCTGACAGAGTGTATTATTCCATTCTCACATGGCTATGAATAAATACCCGAGTCTGGGTAATTTATAAAGAAAAGAGATTTAATTGACTCACAGTTCCGCATGGCTGGGGAGGCCTCAGGAAACTTACAATCATGTTGGAAAGCACCTCTTCACAGGGAGGCAGGAGAGAGAATGAGTGCCAGCAGGGGAAATGCCAAAGACTAATAAAACCATCAGATCTCGTGAGACTCACTCACTATCATGAGAACAGCATGGGGGAAATTGCCCTGATGATCCAATTACCTCCACCTTGACATGTGGGGATTACAATTTAAGATGAGATTTTAGGTGGGGACACAGCCAAACCATATCACAGAGTAAGGGAATATATGTATATACACAAACCAGTGCCTATACACATATCTTAGCATTTATACGTATAACCATCTATCTCTAGATTAAATAGCAAATCACGAGTTTATACTAATATCTCCAACTCTAAGTCATAGACCATCTCAGTTTCCTCTTACTTATCTGTCACCACCCGCCCCAACCTGGCTCCCACCACCCACCTTCCATTTACTTCATTTGGCTAATTGTTTAATTCCTGTATACATGCATATTGGTATCAGAATTGTTAACTTGTACCCCTGTGGGAAACAACTTTTCTAACTAGAGCACCATGCTTACATGCAATTTATTTTTCCTTTACTCTTTCTCCAGTCATTTCTAAAGTTACTCACGTCAGCAACACCTATCCTGTCAGTGAAGTTGTTTCATGTATTTCTAATACAATTAGATTGTTTGGTCATATTCTACTTTTTATCCTGAGATCCTCCAACTCTTTGATGAGTATTCCCTAATTTGCAGGTTCATATTTTGTGTTGTAAAGTTCTATGGGCTTTGACAAATGTGTAGTGTCATGTGTGTGCCATTATAGCACTGTACAAAATAGTTTCATCACCCTAAAAAATAGCCTGTGTTTCAACTATTTTACCCTTCACTCCTTCCCCTGAACTCCTGGCAACTACTGGTCTTTTTACTGTTGCTACAGTTTTGCCTTTTCCAGAATATCTTATAATTGAAGTCATATAATATGTAGCCTGACTTCTTTCAGTATGCAGATTGACTTATTTCACTTAGAAATATGCACTTAAGGTCTCTCCATGTCTCTTTAAGATTTGACAGCTCATTTATTTTTGACAGCTCCTTTATTTTTATTACTTTATCTCTTTATCTTTATCATGAAATTTTATTGTTTGCATATACCAAACTTTATTAATCTATTGAAGGACATCTTGGTTGCTCACAGTTTTTTATTTATTTATTTTGAGACAGAGCCTCACTCTGTTCCCAGGCTGGAGTGCAGTAGTGCAATCTTGGCTCACTCCAATCTCCACCTCCCAGGTTCTAGCAATTCTCCTGCCTCAGCCTCCCTAGTAGCTGGGATTACAGGCATGTGCCACCATGCCTGGCTAATTATTATTTTTTGTATTTTTAGTAGAGAAGGGGTGTCACCATGTTGACCAGGCTCGTCTCGAACTCCTGACCTCAAGTGATCCGCCCACCTCAGCCTCCCAAAGTGCTGTGATTACAGATGTGAGCCAACTGTGCCTGGCTTGCTCACAGTTTTTAACGATTATGAACTATAAACCCTTGGGTACAGGTTCTTGTGTGGAGAAAGCTTTCTAATTGGTTGAGTAAATATCTGAGATAATGATTGCTGCATCTTGTGATAAGACTGTGTTTCAGTTTGTAAGAAACTTGTGGCTGGACTTTTAATTTTCCTAGTAGCATCTTTTGAAGTATAAACATTTGCTTTAGTAAAGGCCAATTTACCATCTTTTTTCTTTTATTGATCATGCTTTTGGTGTCATATATAGGAATGCCTTACCTAACCTGAGGTCATAAAATGTTTCTCCTATGGTTTATTGTAGAACTTTTATTGTTTTAGCTTTTACATCTAAGTCTGGTTCATTTTAAGTTAATTTTTGTGTACAGTATAAGAAAGTGGGGCATATGTTCTTTCTTTTTGTTGCATATAGATATCCAATTGTCCTAGGCCAATACGTTGAAAAGACCATGCTGTTGCATTTTCTTGGGATCTTTTTTGAAAAATTATTGAGCATTATTAATATATGAGTTTCTTCCTTATAATTATATACGCTACATTTAATCATCCTCTAGTTCTTTAGATAGCATTATTGGGTCAGTATATTCCCATATTTTCTGTCTCTCCTTTCACCTCTACATTTAGGGAGTTAGTTTAGGCCACTGTCGCAATAGTTGAGGAGAAACTTAATAGTAGCTTGGACAAGAGGGTAGCAGTGGACATGGTGAGAAGTAGTTGGATTTTAGATATATTTTAGAGGTAGGGCTGATGGTATTTGCTGACAGTGTTTGCTGACAGATGCAATGTGTGGTGTAAGAAAAAAATGACAGGTCAAGGATGACTCCAAAGGTATGAACCCAAGCAATTGGAAGGATGACATTACTGTTACCTATTAACTAAAATGAGAAGACTGAAAGTGGAGCCAGTTTGGCTGTAGGGATCAGGAGCTCAGTTGTAAATATGTTATGTTTGAGATGGCTATCAGATGGCCAGTATGCAGTTGGATGTATGAGTCTGGAGTTCAGAGGTGACATTTGTGCTAGAGATACAAATTTAGGAGCATCAGGTTTTAGATGGCTTTTAAGATCCATGAGACCAGATGAGATCACCTAGGGACTGAGTGTAGATGGAAAAGAAAAATGGCTCAAGGACTGAGTCCTGGGACATTCAAAAGTTAAAGAGTTGGGGAGGTGAGGCAGAGCCAGGATAGGACGCTGAGAAGCAGCAGCCAGCTGGGCACAGGAGAGCACAAGATGACCAGGAGAGTGTGTGTGTCCTGGAAGCCAAGCGATGAGAATATTTCTAGAGCCACAGTGATAAATTCTGTCCACTGATGCTAAACAATCAGGAAAAATGCAGACTAACAACTGTTGGAGGAATTAGCAATTGATCATGGGTGACTAGCCAAGAGTAGTTGGGTGCAATGGTGGTGGGATTGGTGGGGATGGAGAAGGAGCTTGAGTGGAGCATCTTTGAGAGAAGGAAAGGAGATGATTTTGTGGGATGACCACCTCGTCCTGGTTTGTCTGGGAACTTTCCTGGTTTTAGCATGAAAGTTTGCATCCTATGACTTCTGGTTTGAAAACTGAAAGATCCCATGTCCTGGAACCCTTTCATTTCCAGGCAAACTGGAGTGGCTAGTCACCTCAATTTGAAGACAGGGGAATAAATATGTTTTTCAAGAAATGGTGTGTTAACTGGAGGAGCAAATGATATCTATCTATCATCTACCTACCTACCTACTATCTATCTATCTATTTGAATATGGAGGCAAAAACGCGTGTTTGCATCCTGATAGAAAAAGCCCAGTAGATAGGGAAGATTTATGAGTTAGGAGTAAGAGGGAAGGGTAGCTGGTGCAATGTCTTCATTATTGTATTTTATTTGAGTGAGATAAAATACAATGGCAGCATCAGTGGATGGGTGGCCCTAGCGAGGAGCATGGCCAGTCATCCATTGTGGCAGGAGGGATGGCAGAGGCATGGCTAGAGCGGCAGGTGAGTGGGCAGATGATTGCCTAAATTTTGCCAGTGAAAAAGGAAGTGATGTCATCAGCTCAGAGTAATTTGGGGATGAGGGTGTGGGAGGTGAGGGTATGAGAATGAAGGCATAAAGTATTTATTTAGGGCAGTGGGAATATGGAATGGTTCAGGGAGTAGAGAATGCTTGCTCTCCAGGATCCAAGCTCTCTTGAGGTTAGTGATCATGGATTTAAAACGGGGCTAGCCTGCATAGTGTGGTTTTCTCTGGCTACATTCAACAGCTCGAGTGTTGGCACGGAACAGGAAGAGAGTTGGAGGACTTGTCAAGCAGCCCTGATAAAGCAAGAGGAGGACAAAGGAGCAGAGGCTGTGACTGATTATGACATTGAAGCTGGGCAAGAAGGAAGTGAGGACCCAAGAGAAGAGAGAGAAATGAAAACCAGTAGAATCAATGGATTTGCATCCCAGTGGGACTAGAGGATTGTTGGAGTTGGGTGCCAAAAGGAATGAGCTAGAAAGAAAGGAGGTGGTGGTTGGTCTGAGAGTAGAATACTTGAGATGGTGGGGGTTAACTGTTGTAACAACAGTGTCTATGGAATGACTGTAAGAGCAGTCAAAGTCCTGTCAACTTGCAGCTGTTTTCTGGCACCAGCTCAAAGTGAGGCTACACCCTTCTCCCTCTTGCACATGAGTCAGACTCTGTCACTACTGGGCTGCTTGCCCACTCAGCTTAAAACCGTCTGGCACACCTCCCAGCAAGAACATGGATTCTATTTGAAGAACAGGAAAATATGTCACACTGATGAACATTTGCCCACACACCCAGGGTGGCTGCATGATGGCAGCATGTTGTATACACCTGTGTGATGAGTTCTTGTAGGGTGGACACATCACCTCCATCTCTATGTCCTTTCAGCCCTAGAACTGTGCCTGGCACACAGTTGCTACTCAATGGATGCTTACTCAAATGACTTATATAGGATTGACTGCTAAATGGAGACTGTTATGAAGATGTCAGTCTCTGCTCTGCAGTCTCCTCTGATGCAGGCGATTCCCTCATGGAGAGAATTTTACAGGTGGAGTTCAGGGAGCCTTTGTTCTTGCTTCCCTGAATCCTTTGCAGGAACACAGCTGAGGCATGTAAATGGCCTTCAAATGCAGCATAATACCAAGTGGCTCTCTTTTCAAAGAGACTCAGAGACAATCCCTGCATGCTTTCCTTCTCAGACACTTGTGGAGGAGACCTAAAACCCCATTCGACCCATCGGATACCAGCGGGCAGCAATGACAGGATGGTCCTGCCCCCTCCATGTCACAAACATGTTCCCAGGACACTCTCCACAGAGTCCCCAAGTCCTGCCAGGGGGACAGCCAGTCCATCATCACCAGAACACCCACCCCTGCCACACACACACAGTTCATTTGCTGCTTTATGAAGCCGATCTTTCAAAGGAGAACAGTTCTGCTACAATCCAGGTGGCAAGGGTCTGAGAAAACTGGAAGCCAGGGAAAAGTCCAGAAGCCAGCAGAGGATAGGAAGCTGGTGAAAGTCCATGAGAGTGACTTAGGTCTAAGATCCTCATTGCATGAAGGCAGTGAATGAGTTTGGCTGGTGATCTGTGTAACCGTGGACCTTGGTTTGCGGATCTGTGAAATGGGAAAATCACTCACAGGTGCTTTGTGCAGACCAGAGGATGGAGCCATAAGTTGCGAGCTGTGTTGATGAGCTCCAGCCATGGTTTTCCTTTTTCTTCAGGAGGCCCGAGCATTGCCCAGCACTGGGAGGGTTAGGGGTGGGGGCAAGGAGGCATGAGCTTTTGTCACCTAATGGTGACTTTGCTTTGGGATTCATTACTTTCCCCAAGAAGGGGAGGTTGCAGCTGCCTTCCTCAAAAATTAATAGTAGGAAGGGCCTGTTGAAATGGAGGTTGGGGAGAAAGTGGTGGGGGGAAGGACTGGAGGTCGGTGACATCTTCCTCTTCTACTCCTTCCTCTTCCTTGGTCAGTTCCACCCTGTGCTCTGCCTTTGAGGGACCACGGTTCACAGTGTTGATCCCAGCAGAAGTTGTCCCTTCCTCCAGGAGGTGCCACACTGAACCTCAGTCTGAGCTTAGCCCAGGAGGTCCAGATTCGAGTCCTGGTTCTGTCCTGACTAGAGGCATGACCTAGTGCATCCTGTTCCCTGGTGGAGTCTCAGTTTCTTCATCTGCTCCTTCCCTCCCCACCAGGAGTGGGGGTGCTTGCCTTAGCACCCAGCTTGGGAAACCCTTCCCCCATGTCACAGGCCCAGCTCGCTCCTCAGATCAGCTGTCCTCAGGACACCAGTGGGTGTTGTAATTTGACATTTCCACCTTTGGCTTCCCCCAGCAGTGGAGCGGCTTCACAGTAACTCCACTGGTGCACGGTGAATGTGTGAGAAAATGTATGCACTTTTAGAAATGACCGGACACTGGTGGGTTTTAACTTTTACCTTGAAGGCCTTCATGGGTGTGGTTTGCAGAGAAATTCTCAAGGCCTGCATGGTAACTGAATATAGCTGAGATGCCCATTTTGGGCAAGAGCTGGTCCAATTGAATATTGCCAGGTAGGGAGAATTTTGGAAAATATGGCCTCCTCCTTCTGTTCAGGGGAGTGAGAGGAGAAAACAGAGCTGAAATAATGTCATCTACTAAACTGCCCCAGTTAGCAATCTCACTGCAGAATAACAGAATAAAATTAACGTCAGCTGTGTTTCCCGAATGTGCCTGCAATACACGGGTCTGTGCCAGGTTCTTTACAAGGAAATTTTGATTCATCCTCACTGTAATCCCAGGGACTGAGTGCCCCAAATACCCACTTTACAAATGAGAAAATGGAGGGTTGAAGAAGTTGAGAGATTTGCCCAGCAGTTAGGAACATGGTTTGTAAAAAGCTCAGAGTGAACCCAATGCTGAAGCCTCTTCTCCAGCTGCATTGCTGCTTCTCCAACTGGATGTGGCCTGCTCCTGAGTGCAGTGGAATAGGAGCATCTCTCTGTCTGTCTGCTTACCTTTGTTCCAACACATAGCCTCGCCCTGTTTTCTTCCCTCTCTAAGCCCAGCCTCGAGGGCCTCAAAGGTCCCAGGGGAGGATTGAGAGCTCCCTTTTCTTGTGTTTACCTTTTTAAGTCTTACATCAATGGCACATGATGGGTGCATGCTCTCTTAGAAGTGGAATCTAAAAAGTCCAACTGTTAGAAGCAGGAGCAGGAAGGGGTGGCCAGGGGCTGGGGAGAGGGAAGATGGCAGAAGTTGATCAAGGGGAAAAAGTTCAGATGAACACATTCCGGATTTCTACTGTGCACCACGTGCCTAGAAGTATGTATACAGCGCTGTGTGCTTGAAATGTATTAAGAGGCTAGATCTTAAGTATTCTCACCATACAAACAAAAATGGTACTCGTGTGAGGTGATGGATCTGTGAATTAGTTTGATTGTGGGAATCATGTTCAATGTATACACGCATTGAAACAGCACGTTGGACACCTTAAACATACACAGCTTTTATTTGTGAATTCTACTTCGAGAAAGCTGGAAACAGATAAAAATGAAAAGCACAAATTAGAAAACAAAGACAAACCATCTGTGGGCACAATTTCTGTATGGCAGCCTGATTGTGACTTGTGTCCACAGCCTGGGGGATGACTCACCATTGAGAATTTATCTTCCCAGCTTTAGTTTCCCAACTGCCTTGGCCATAAGAAAGCGTGCCTTCTTCCCTCTTCCCACCATGACTCACCTAGTAGCTTCCTGGTGGCAGGATGCTGGAGCCTCCTAGCAGCTCCAGCGTGGATAAACCAAGCAAAGTGGGGTGTGGAGGGGAAAGCTGGAGACTGTCAGCCCTCTCCATGGGAAGGGTGCTTGAGGAGTGTGAGAAAGTCCCATCAGGATGAGCTCAACCCTCAGATCAAGGCAGCCCATTGCATGTCCGTCAGGCCTTCAGTGGGGAATGAAAACTCAGGACTGAGCAAAGTGCACAGTCCCCACCTTCTAGAATCCCACAGTCCACACACAGTCTAGAATAGGAGTGACTCTGCCCCCCAGGGAACATCTGGCGATGACTGGGGACATTTTTGGTCATCACTACTGTGGGGGTGTGTGTGCTGCTGGCATCCAATAGGGAGAACATCCAGGGGTGCCGCTAAACATCCTACAATGCACGGGAAAGCCCCTGCACCACGCAGGACCGTCCAGCCCGTGATGTGCCTGCAGTGCACGGGAAAGCCCCTGCACCACGCAGGACCGTCCAGCCCGTGATGTGCCTGCAGTGCACGGGAAAGCCCCTGCACCACGCAGGACCGTCCAGCCCGTGATGTGCCTGCAGTGCACGGGAAAGCCCCTGCACCACACAGGACTTTCCAGCCCGTGATGTGCCTGCAGTGCACCGGAAAGCCCCTGAACCACACAGGACTTTCCAGCCCGTGATGTGCCTGCAGTGCACGGGAAAGCCCCTGCACCACACAGGACTGTCCAGCCCGTGATGTGCCTGCAGTGCACGGGAAAGCCCCTGCACCACACAGGACTGTCCAGCCCGTGATGTGCCTGCAGTGCACGGGAAAGCCCCTGCACCACACAGGACTGTCCAGCCCGTGATGTGCCTGCAGTGCACGGGAAAGGCCCTGCACCACACAGGAATTTCCAGCCCGTGATGTGCCTGCAGTGCACGGGAAAGCCCCTGAACCACACAGGACTTTCCAGCCCGTGATGTGCCTACAGTGCACGGGAAAGCCCCTGAACCACACAGGACTTTCCAGCCCGTGATGTGATGAGGCTGAGAAACCCTGAGCTGGAAGAAAGGGCTGGGCCTAGGGACAGAAGGATGGGTGGAGAGAAGGCACTCAGGGCACAGCACGTGGGTCACCACTTGGTGATTCGTAATGACAGGGCATCTGGAGGATCTATCAGGAAGCAATGTGATTTAGGTCAGAGCTCCCCAGTCCTTAATATGCTCATGAATCTCCTGGGATCTTATGAAAATGAAGATTCTGGTTCAGTAGGTGTGCGGTGGGGTCTGAGAGCCTCTGATTCTTACAACTCCCGATGAAGCCAGTGATGTTGGTCACAGACTGCACATTGAGTAGCAAAGACCTCAAATACTTGAGAAAAGCAAGGAACTTGATCACAGAGTGTGGCCAAGAGGAGAGATGTGCAGATGGCTGGAAAGTGGCTTTTGTGTAAAGCCTCCTTGACAAGTGACCAATAAAGAAGCCCGGTCCCGGCTCCCTCTGAGTTAATCACCAATCATGTTGACTGCATCAGTATATGAGCTGGAAAGACAGCTCCTTGGCCACTACCGAACTACAGTCCATGGAACCGTAGCTTGTTGAAAGGTCTTTTGTTAAAATGCCTGCCATGTTCACATGCTGTTTGGGAAATGCTGAGTAAAGCTAAGTCAGACATTGTTCCATTCTGTACAACTTCTCAGTGCTTTGAAGTGCTAAGGTGAATTGCAAATCTCTCAGAGGAAGATGCAATGTGACAACATGGTGGTCGTGGTGATGATGATGAGAATGATTTTATTGTGCCAGCACAATTGTTTCCATCTCTTGGAGGAGTCAATGGCTGAATCCTGTTTGATAATTAGTGCGTGACCTAGTCCCACCCCCTCATGTCATGGTCCAGAAGACCAGAGGGATTTCATCCTCCAGCTGCAGAGACTGCAGAGGTGGATGTCGAAAGGGTTCCACAGCATGCAGGGGGCAGGGGTAGCTGAGGTTTTACCTTACTGGGAAGGGCTGAGTCCATGTATCAAAATTCTCCTTCATCAGTGCCCCTTCTATCTTTCTGACTTTCCCCATGTCAGAAGGAATGAGTACTGCAGTGCCATTGCAGCTGGAGGGCAGCTGGAGGGCGTAACCGTGCAGGTGATAGAAACACAGGGGCAGGAACCTACCCAGCCGCTGCATTGTGGGCACCAGGATCATGAGACTCTTGCTCATCGAGAAGGGCCTGGTCTCAGTGAGCTTTGGGTCAAGCAGGGGAGCAGTGCTATTTACCTTTATTTATTTATTTATTTGAGATGAAGTCTTGCTCTGTCGTCCAGGCTGGAGTGCAGTGGCATGACCTCGGCTTGCTGCAACCTCTGCCTCCTGGGTTGAGGCGATTCTCCTGCCTCAGCCTCCTGAGTAGCTGGGATTATAGGCACACGCCACCACGCCCGGCTAATTTTTTTTTTTTTTTGTATTTTTAGTAGAGGCGGGGTTTCACCATGCTGGCCAGGCTGGTTTTGAACTCCTGACCTCAAGTGATCTGCCTGCCTCGGCCTCTCAAAGTGCTAGGATTACAGGTGTGAGCCACCGCATCCGGCCGCTATTTGCCATTATTTGGGTGGGAGAAACTTATCTAGAGAGAGGGGGCTGGAGAAGGGTTAGGCAGATGCTCCATGAGAGATGGAGAGAGGACCCCTGGGTTCTTCAAGGTATTCCTGGTCTAACCCTGAGGCTTAAGGCTCCCTGCTATCCGTTAGGGCTGGCAGGCCATCCTTCCACTGTCCTCTGCTGTGGTCATCATTCTTCCCATCTCTGAAACCCCTGTGCACAGTGCACCAGGATTTGGCAAAAACCTTCATTCAAAGCAAGTCATCAAGGAAAACCTGAAGGTGGGAATGGGGGTGGGGGTGTCACAAATCCCCTATTTCTTAAAAATGTCCAAAATCTGGATTCACCTTCTGGCTTAGTGGGGAATTTCATTCAGCCAATAATACAAGTTATAGTGTAGTGAGTGCCTCTGTGCTCAGGGCTTAGCTCTTTAAGGAGTTGAGAAAGAGAAATAGTGTGTGTGCTCGTGGTACACAGTAGGTGCTCAGCAAAAGCTGGCTATTACTGATACTAGCGGCGACGCCTTTTCTGCAGGCTGTTCTCTGTTTGCCAGTTCCTGCCCACCCCTGCGCCCCACCAGATCCTTTCTCTGCCCTGTTTTGTGCCCTGAGAGGCTGACCCCTTTGGACTGAGCTGCTGGGCTTTCCTGCCAGCTGGCTTCCTCTTGGGTTTGGTAGTGGGAGCCCTGGGCAGGAGAAGAGAGAGGCTAGGGTGTTCCTTCCCATTCCCTCCCTGCTTCTGCTCCACATCTTTGGGAGTAGCTGAATCCCCTGGTCACTGCAGATCACCCCCTCCAAGCACCCCTCTTCTCCATGGCTCCAGCTCCCACCCTTTCCTCCCCTGGCTCCTTCAGCTTTGAGCAGGTAACAGCTCCCTGCTTTTGCTAACCTCTGGGAGCCTCACCTTTGCATTTTTTTCCCTTAACTCTTTCCACACCACTCCACATAGTCTCTTCATTAAAGCCTCCTCCTTTGAACCCTTGAAGGGACTCTGAGTATCACTTTATTTAATACTTATGGCCAACCCCTGCAAAATACTGAGTCCCAGGGAGGTAAAGTGGCTTACTTGAGGTCAACAGCTTGCCAATGGCTAAGCCAGGATTCCAGGCCAGTTCTGCTGACTCTAAAGGTGGGTTCGTTATTTGATCCTTCACTGGCTGCCTATTTCAGAATAAGGTGACCCGCAACAAGTTCCCTCTGCATGTGAGCCCTGCCTGAGGGCTGAGCCTCTGAGCTCTTCTCTCCTCTTATTGCTGACAGCCATGCAAAGAGCTGTTTCCTCAGGTGCAAACTGGGAGCCATGGGGACGCCCCGTGAAGCAAGGGGACAGGTAATTTTTACTTACAGGTTATGTACTAGGAGTCTGGTGCATCCACAGCGCCCTCAAGTCTCACCCTGGGCTGAGGAGTTGAGGGTAGCACACGTCATTTGCCGATTCTGGTGGTGGACATAGAGTTACATGAAAAGGTCAGCTTGTACCTTTCTTGGGCAAATGTTCCAGCCCTCAGCTCACTGCACTTATGTCTTTTGGATGCTACAGTGTGCGGTGCTCATGGTGCCTGGGGAACCTGGAGGAACAGAACCTGCCGGGCTGGCCTAGCTTGGAAGGTGGTCACATCTCATTGACAGAGAAGCTGAGAAGGGAAGGATGAAGGTCACCTTCTGCAGGGGAAGCGATTTCCTTATTCCCCCCCTCCCTCCCTTCCTCCCTTTTTCCTTCCTTCCTTTCCCCTTTGCATCCATCCATGCACCCATCCACTTCAGAAGCACTTGCTGTATGTCTAACCATGGGTAGGCATTAAGAGGGATTTAGGGAAGAGTAAACCTTATCACTGCCCTCAAGAGGCATGTCTCACTTGATGCCCTGTGTATTAGTCAGGGTTCTTCAGAAGGATAGAACTAGTAGGATAGACATATATATGAAAGGGGGTTTATTAAGGAGAATTGGCTCACATGATCACAATCCCACAGTAAGCTGTCTGCAAGCTGAGGAGCAGGGAAGCCAATCCAAGTCCCAAAACTTCAAAAGTAGGGAAGCTGACAGTGCAGCCTTCAGTCTGTGGCCAGGAGCCCCTGGCAAACCACTGGCTTAAGTCCAAGAGTTTAAAAGCTGAAGAACTTGGTGTCTGATGTTCAAGGGCAGGAAGCATCCAGCATGGGAGAAAGCTGAAGGCCAGAAGACTTAGCAAGTAAAGTCCTTCTATGCTCTTCTTCCTGCTTTATTCTAGCCGTGCTGTCAGCTGATTAGATGGTGTCCATCAGATTGAGGATGGATTGAGGATGGGTCTGCCTCTCCCAGTCCACTGACTCAGACGTTAATCTCCTTTGTCAACATCCTCACAGACACATCCAGGAACAAAACTTTCATCCTTCAATCCAATCAAGTTACACTCAGTATTAACCATCACACCCTGGATGCATATTGTCTCCACGTTCAAATCCCACTGTCTCTGGGATGGGAGGTGTAGGTGTAGAAAAAACTCTGAACTTGGGAAACACTGAATTGACTGAAAGAACTCTGAGCTGACAAAGTTTATGCTGAACTAACAGAACTCAACTAGAACTGAACAAGATCAAGTCTCCTCCACCAGGCAGGGTTGAAGTCTGAGGACTCAGTGGTGGTTCCTGTAAGCATGTGGCCTTGAGCTGGGTCCTGAAGGATGGGCAGGATTTCAGCAGCCAGAAAATAGGGGAGAGAAAACACTGGCTAAACAACCTCTGAGCAGTGCCCCAAATGGACTCAGAGCCTCTTGTGGTCATGCTGTGTTCCTCCAGTTTGTTCATCTGCCTTTGCTCCTTTTTGTACTTCTCCGGGCATGAACAGTATCTTATTTCTGTATGCAAAAACCCAAGAATGTGGCTCAAAGACTGAAAGATGAATATAGAAATAGTACTAATAATGATAATAATGCCTGCAAGGATAGCAGCCATTCTTTTTATTTGTTAAATGTCTTTTAAGTGGGAGAATATCTGCTATGTGCTAAAATGACCCTATGAGGAGGCATTAGTCCTATTTTTCAGATGATCCCAAGAAAGGCTGAGGCGGTTGTTCAAAAGCAAACAGCTTATAGAGGCTGAGGCAGGCTTGGCATGTTGAGCTACATGACACCCAGTTCTGCATTCTTTCTATCCTAAGATGACTTCTTGGGAATAAGCATATTCTTAGGTTGCTGCTAAGGTAAGAAGAGAACCAGAGGGTGGCTTGAAGGCTTGGTTAGGCTCTTGAGTATTGAAAAGAAAGAAATTCATATAGCACTGGTTTGAAGCTGTTATCTATAACACACACACACACATACACACACACCCCACACCCATGAACAAACACCTGTTTTTTTCTTGGTTTAATAATTTGATCTAGAGATTTTTTTGACACACTTTCTTGGGATGAAATGGCCATTGTTTTTATCTGATACATCAATTTCAAGCATTTGGTAGGGCGTGCATCGGAGACTGGGTTAAGAAGTGTTTGAGACGCCATCTCTTTGTGAGATTATGCCTTAATCTGTTAACTATGTAATCATGACTATCTCGGGTATGGAGAGAGGAAGTGGTAAAATAGATATTTTAGTATGAATTAATCATGCTCTGGAATACCTAGGAGTTTCGAAAAGTGAAGGTGGGGGAAGTGGGGTAGGGGAGGAGAGAGAGAGGTGTAGGTTACTAGGAGCCAGGTTACCTAAATTAATGAAGTTGATAAAATCTAGGACTCTGGTCCTGGGGAGGATGTTGGATATCTGGTCTCATCTGGTCTGGGAGAAGAAGGTATGGAACAGTAGAACAATTCATGATGTAGGACCCCAGACAATGAAAGGTCCTAAATACTACATAAAAGTCTTGGAAGACGCAAAATAAAGGCATTTCTGGTCAAGAAAGGGATCAGACTCAGAAAACCTAGGAGCCAGAAGACATTTTAAATATCACCTAGGACAGGGCAGTAGTAAATTTTTTCCATCTAAGCTGCCATCTTGGGTTTCTTGTTGTGGTTCCTGGAGTATTATCTTGAGAAGGATTCTGAAGCTGTGTCTGAACAAAGATGGAAATAAGGGCCATGGTTGTTAGCGATGTTGTCATGGGTGTGAGAGCAGAAAGGGTAGTGTATTAGTTTTTTTTTTCATGCTGCAAATAAAGGCATACCCGAGACTGGGTAATTTATAAAGAAAGAGGTTTAATGGACTCGTAGTTCCACATGGCTGGGGAGGCCTCACAATCATGGAGAAAGGTGAAGGAGGAGCAAAGGCATGTCTTACATGGTGGCAGGCAAGAGAGCATGTGCAGGGGAACTGCCCTTTATAAAACCATCAGATCTCATGAGACTTATTCACAATCATGAGAATGGCATAGGAAATACTTGCCCTCATGATTCAATTACCTCCCACTGGGTCCCTCCCATGACATGTAGGGATTATGGGAGCTACAATTCAAAATGGGATTTGAGTGAGGACACAGCCAAACCATATCAGGGCGGCACACAGGCCATGTACTTGGCATTGTGAGTCTAGTCAAGGGCCCTTAATTTATAGATGAGGAAGCAGAGGCTGAAAGAAATGATAGGGATGTGCCAAGAGTTACAGAGCTGGGGGCTAAGTGAGCATTAGAATCCGCCTCTTGCCTTCTGAGCAAGTGTGTTTCTACTCCACCATGCATGCTCTTGGGACTGGCAAAAAAATCAGCCAATTCTCAGAGGGTCTAATGGGGATAAACACCTGATATCAAGTGAGTATTGATTGTGACCGCCACAGTCCTGATGATCTTCACCTGCAGGCACTTCTTTATTGAACAAATAAGATTTTTAGCCTGTTTTCTAGTTCCCTTGATCCTGTCTCTGGATTTTTGCCCCCATTTCTTGAGCACCTACTATGTGCTTGGAACTTTACATGAAACACCTTATTTAATCCTCACAACAACCCTACAAAGAAGCTGTGATTATCCACGTCTTTGTGAATGAGAAAGTGACATTCAACGGACTTACTGGAGATGATGGAATTTGTGAGTAGTCAGTGCCAGGAATGGAACCCAAGCTCCTACTATACTTTTGTCATGTCAAATTGCTTGGGCTCTTGTAGGTTTCCAAACAACCTTGTCTGGTGTCTTTATTTGTGGAACAGCATTGGGTGTCAAAATTCAACTGTGGTAAAAGTTCTATGCTTAGAGCCCCATCATTTGACATTAGCTGGCTTTTAGATTTCAGTGGGCGATGACTTCTCTTCAGTGTCAATCACTTCTTCCTAATGCAAACAGTAGCACATAATCAGTTCCCAGCTCATCACACCCTACAAGAACTTCCTCTACTAAAATGCTGCCTAAAGTCCTCCTGACATTTGTACTCATCCTGAGAGTTCAAGAAGGTGATCAGGCCACTGCTACACCTCAGGACACCTCCCTTTGTACAGATTAGAAAAAAAAAAATCTATATTAGTTTGCTAGGACTTCCATAACTGAGTACCACAAACTGGATGGCTGAAACAACTGAAATATATTGTCTCACAGTTCTAGAAGCTAGAAGTCCAAAATCAAACTGTTGGCAAGCTTGGTTCCTTCTGAGAGCTGTGAGGGAATGATCTGTTCCAGGCCTCTTTCCTGGGCTTACAGATGGCCATCTTCATGTTCATACAATGTTCTGTCTGTATCTTCACATTGTGTTCCCTCTATGTGCATGTCTTTACATTCAGGTTCCTCCTTATAAGGACACTAGATGGGTTAGGGCCCTAATAATCTCGTTTAACTTGATTACCTCTGTAAAGTCCCAATCTCCAAAATATGCTCACAATCTGAGATATTGGGGATTAGAACTTCAACATAAGAATTTTTGGGGAAATATGATTCAACCCATTACAGCATCTCTCTGCCCATGCATAACTTGACAAGTAATAGTATGCCATTCAACGTTTTATTATGAAAATTTTCAAATATAGCAAAGTTGAAAGATTTTTACAGTGGACACCTTAAACCTATTACTAGATTCTACCACTGACATTTTACTATGCATGTTTTATCACATATTCTCTGGGGTAATGACATCTTTGTGCAAAGAAAAAAAAAAACCTCTTCAACCAGATGGATGCCACCATACAGCAGATACATCACTTGGCAAGTAGCACCTGGGTTGGGATTCAGGCCTCATGCTCCCTCTGCTAGGCACCCATGTGCAGTGCACAATCTGTACTACTGGCCACATTGACCCAAAAGACAATCCTCTGAAGAAGCAGAGCAACAGAGTATCTACAAAGCCCTTGCTTCTTTTTACAAAGAAGTTTATGATTCAACGCTGTTCACTGAGGCTGGGTGCGGTGACTCACGCCTGTAATCCCAGCACTTTGGGACGCCGAGGTGGGTGGATCGCCTGAGGTCAGGAGTTCAAGACCAGCCTGGCCAACATGGCGAAACCCTGTCTCTACTAAAAATACAAAAAATTACCTGGGTGTGGGGGCGGGCACCTGTAATCCCAGCTACTTGGGAGGCTAAGGCAGGGAGAATCACTTGAACCTGGGAGGCAGAGGTTGCGGTGAGCTGAGATCGCACCATTACACTCCAGCCTGGGCAACAGAGTGAGACTCTGTCTCAAAAAAACAAAAAAACAAAGAAACAACTTCATCTCAAAACAAAAACAAAAAGTGTTCACTGAACTTACATGGAAGTCACACATAGCATGATGTGTAGCCAGCCCAGGACTGGCATGTGGTGGCACAGAGTATAGGATAAATAAGTGAATGAATGATTCATGCAGCATGAGATGGTTGAATGAATGAATAATTGATGGACTGAATCTACTTCTTCATAAGCCTAGTTTATGTGAACAATGACTAGCAATCAAAAAAGTGTCCAGACACCAAGCACAGGGAATGCCCACTAGGAAGATATATACTCTTCTTAGAAGCAGCTTTGATGGCACAATTACTGAAATGATTCAGATGACAGTTATTCTGAAACCCTTGCGCTGACAATTCATGTTGCTCTTGTTAGATTTCTGCTCCCATTCAGTCCCCCACCAGATTCTGGGAGGAACTTTCCCAGCATGTAATGATAGAGGTTAAAGGTGTATATGTATGTGACTCTCAGTGGGATCACCATCCAAGGCCAAGGGAGAAGCCTTGAAGATCCAGCCAACAAAATGAGCAAAATCATGTTTATCAGGTCAGTGACTCTTGGAGTTGCTGGTGCTTCCCCAGGCTGGAGATTGAGTTAATATTAACAGGCCCAAGGCGATGTGGGCTTGTGCAATCATAGGCCCGGCCACCTCCCCCGCAGTGGACAGTCCTGTACATTCACCCCACCTCCTGCACCCCAGTTATAATGCTCAGGAAGGAGAGAGGTGGGCTGGGACTCTGAACAGCAGCATATGTTTTCTCTCTGAACCAAGAATGTCGAACTCCAGGGGGCCGCATCAGCATCCTTTTAGTGGATGCCACCGAGTCCTGGGGGCGTCTGAAGGCACCACGTCACTGTCTCTGGGCGCAAGGGCATGTTGTTGCAGAGAGGGCAACAGATGTGCATGACAGGAAAGTAAGCTCCGGGATCTCCTTACAACTGATCTTGTCTCCCAACAGATTCCCTTCGCCGCCGCCAGAGTGAGCCACCGAAATGCAAATCTGCCCTTGCCACTACCCCATTTAAGAGCCTCTTCACCCCAGCAGCATTTTGCAGCGTGTCCCATGGAACAGTAGAGATGATTTGTGAATAAATAGGCTCCATGGTCTAATAAGTTTGGGAAACCGCATCCTCTTTCTCCCACGTGCAGAAATATTTTCATATCCTAAATTGTAATATTTTAAAGGATCTGGGAAGTCCTGCAGTAAAGATTTATCCAGTTCTTCAAACCCATTTGACCAAGAAAACTTTACTCCCCTAACGCAAACTAACCCCAGAGAGAAATGTCTCGGGGGACCGTCTTCCTTTAGGACAGCTCCCTGCCTTCTCTGTCCAGGACGGAACCTCCCTGAGCTCCCACTCGCCCACCCACCCTCCCCTGTCTCCCAGTACCCACTTCTATTAAGTTGGTGCAAAAGTAATTGTGATTTTTGCCATGACTAATATTTGATTCTTAAATTAATATTTGGTACTTTTAAAAAACAGAAAACTGTAAAGAAGAAAATAAAATGGTCCATGATTCCACTACCCAGAAAGACTCCACTTATTATTAAAAATAAATAATATGTGTCTTTATGAGATTCTGTCCAAAAAAATAATTTTGTGCCTCTACTGGATATCCTCTTTAGGGTCTAGGTACTCCTAAGATTACTTAGAGAAAAAGTCAAAGTCTTTATAGGTGCACAACTGAAGAGCCCCCGTCCACAGCAGGCACTGCTGTCATTTCCCCGGCCTCTTCTTTAGCTTCTCTCTCTCTCTCATACTTTCCACTGCTCAAATCACATGGTCTCCCTGCTTCCCTTGATCATACCAGACACATTCCTACCCCAGGGCCTTTGCACTTCCTGTTTCCTTAGCCTGGCTGATCTTTTCCCTAGATACTCATATGGCTTGCTTTCTCACCCGCCTTGGGTCTCCAATGCCACCTTCTCATTGAGGTCTTCCTTGGCCATTCTATCTGAGTGTGCCCCACACCCCAGCACCCCCATTCCTCTCCCTGCATTATTTTTTCACTGTAAGACTCATCAACTTCCTCTATTCTATGCACAATATTTACTTACCTGGTTTATTTTCTGCATCCCTCGCTGAGCTCCTATGGGCAGGTATTTTGTCTGTTTGTTCACACCTGCACAGCCAGTGCTTGGCACATACTACACGCTCAGTAAATAATTCTTGAATGAATGTGTGTGTTCATGGAAGAAATCAGGCTGTGTACACTGTTCTGTGTTTTGCTTCTTACCATAGTTTTTGCTTTTAGAGATCTCTCCCTGTGAGCCTCTACAGAGCTAGCCTCATGATTTTTAAAGACTGCACCTCTAGTATAGAGGCACATCTGAATTTATATCATCAATTTCCTATTGATAGATTTTTTTTTTTGCTCAGCAAACAATCCTGCAATTAAAAAGAAGAATTTTTTTACATTTGTTTTGTTTATTAATATTGTCATGGGGTAATTCCCATTAATAGACTTTCTGAGTCAAGTAGTAGGGTTTTGTGTTCTTTTAACTTTAATATATGCTACCAGCTTGTCTTCAGAAATAGCACAAATTTACATGCCCTCATATGACAAATGACAATGTCTGTTTCTTTACATGCTCATAGCTCTGCATATTACCAACCTCGTACATTTTTGCTAATCAGATAGCTGGAAAATGCCACTCTGTTAAGTTGATTTGCATTTAAAAAATTGAGAATGGGGTTTAGAATTCTTGCATATTTCCATTGTTAATTTGTATTTTTTTGTAGACTACCTACTTAAATCCTTTGTCCATTTTTCTTCTGGATTGCTTACTGTTTCCCTATGGATTTAAAAGAGTTCTTTAAAACTAAAATGTTTATCTTAGTCATATCTGTTATACAATTTTTTAGTTTATCCTTTAGCTTTTTTATGGTATTTTAAAAATATGCAGTTGAGTATCTATTTTTCTAAAAATTGATGTAAAAATACCATTAAAACCATAAGGATTCTGAGTAATAGTAATATGTTAGAGATTTGACTGGTTTATTATGAAAATATTGGCTGCACAATTATTATTATGTTTGTTATTTAAAGATAATTTGTATTTAATTTTTTTAAATTGTAGTAAAGTACACTTAGTATAAAATCTATCATTTTGACTATTTTTAAGTATATAGTTTAATTGTGTTAAGTACATTCTTTGTTGTGCAATCAATCCCCAGAACTATTTTCATCTTGCAAAACTCAAAATCCATACCCATTGAACAATTACTCATTCTCCCCTGCACCCAGTACTTGGCAATCACCATTCTACTTTCTATCTTTATGAATTTGACTATTCTAGGTACCTCATATAAGTTGAATCATATAGTATTTGCCTTTTTTTGACTGACTTATTTCACATAGCATAATGTCCTTAAGGTTCATCTGTCTTGTAGCATATGTCAGAATTTCCTTCCTTTTCGATGCTGAATGCTATTCCATTGTATGTATATACTATATTTTGTTTATTCATTCACCTGTTGATGAATTTGGGTTGTTCTACTTTTTACCCATTGTGAATAGTGTTTCTGTGAACCTGGGTGTACAAATACTTCATCAAGATCCTGCTTTCACAGTTTGGAGATTTCTCAAAGAACTTAAAACATAACTACCATTCAACCTAGTAATACCATTACTGAGTATATACCCAAAGGAAAATAAATTGTTCTACCAAAAAGACACATGCACATGTATGTTCATTGCAACACTATTCACAATAGCACAGACGGACTCAATCTATGTGCCCGTCAATGGTGGATTGGATAAAGAAAATATGTTACATATATACCTTGGAAGATTCTCCTTCTGCCATAATTTTAAGTTTCCTGAGGCCTCCCCAGAAGCTGAGTAGATGCCAGCATCATGCTTCTTGTACAGCCTGTGGAACCATGAGCTGATTAAACTTATTTTCTTTCTTGTGTGGAAACACGGCTGATTTTTGTGTGTTGATTTTGTATCCTGCAACTTTGCTGAATTTGTTTGCAGTTTAACAGTTTGTGTGGTGAATCTTTAGCATTTTCTACATATAAGATTATGTTGTCAGTGAACAGAGATAAATTTATTTCTTCCTTTCCGATGCGGATTCCATTTTATTCTTTTTCTTGTCCAAGGGCCCTGGTTCGAAACTCCAGTTCTAAATAGAAATGGTTAAAGCAATCATCCTTAGTGACATTATTATATTAGGATTGTACTTCTGCAGAAATTTGACAACTAACAGGTATAAAGTGCAAAAAGGAAAATACAAAATAAAATAAATAGTAACATGGCAACCCCAGTTTGCATAATGGTCTTGAGCTATGAACATAGGCTTAAAGGCAACTAATTGAATAAATGAAATGACCATGGGAAATTAGGTGAGACTTGTTGTCACCATGTGAACTGTTTTTCTTCATTTTCTGTATATGGGTCTTAACTTCCCAGAAGAGTTTACTCAGGTACAGCATATAGTATTAGCAATAGCACAGACATTTCCTCATTTAGCCAGTAGATACTAAAGGATCTACATCATCCAATTTTGTCTACATCATCCAATTTTCAGTGAACAGTTGTTCCTAGTATTCTCTTATAATCTTTTTTTTTTTTTTTTGAGAGAGAGTCTCTCTCTGTCGCCCAGGCTGGGGTGCAGTGGCATGATCTCGGCTCACTGCAACCTCTGCCTCCCGGGTTCAAGCAATTCCCTACCTCAGCCTCCCAAGTAGCTAGGATTACAGGTATGCTAATTTTTGTATTTTTAGTAGAGATGGGGTTTCACTATCTTGGCCAGGCTTGTCTTGAACTCCTGACCTCGTGATCCACCCACCTCAGCCTCCCAAAGTGCTGGGATTACAGGTGTGAGCCACCATGCCCAGGCTATAATTCTTTTTATTCCTGCAAAAAAGTCTCGTAACATCCACTTTTTCATTTCTGAGTTTAGTTATTTTGGTCTTCATTTTTCTCTTAGTCAATCTAACGAAAGAATTGTCAATGTTGTTGCCCTTTTCAAAGAACCAACTCTTCATTTTGTTGATTTTCTCTGTTATTTTTCTATTGTTGATGTTCTCCCTTATTTTTGTATTATCTGTTTTGTAGGTTTTGCTCTAATCTTTAGTTTCCTTCTTTCTGCTAGCTTTAGGTTTAGTCTGTTCTCTTTTCTCTCTAGTTCCTAAAGGTGTAGTTAGGTGCTGGTTTGAGATCATTATTTTTTAACATAAATATTTTCAGCTACAAATTTCTCTCTTAGCACTGCATTTTTGCACACGAAATTTTGGTATGTTGTGTTTTCATTTTCATTTGTCTCAAGATAGTTTCTAATTTTCCTTGTGATATCGTTAACAATTGATTAAGAGTATGTTGTTTAATTTCCTTGTATTTGTGGATTTTCCAGTTTTACTTCTGTTATTAATTCCTAGTTTCATTTCATTTTAATCAGAAAAAGATACTTTGTATGATTTAAATCTTCTAAAACATGCAAAGACTTGTTTTGTGGCCTAATATATGGTGTATCCTGCAGAATGTTCCATGTGCACTTCAGAAAAATGTGTCTTCTGCTGTTTTGGGGTAGAGTGTTCTGTATGTTTATTAGGTCCAGTTGGTCTGTAGTGTTGTTCAAGTTTTATGTTTTCTTATGATCTTCTGTCTGGTTGTTCTATTGGTAATTGAAAGCAGGAAATTCTCCTACTATTATTGTGTTGCTGTCTATTTCTTCCTTCTACTGGGTCAATGTTTCTTCATATACTTCAGAGTGCTGATGTTGGGTGAATGTATATTTATAATTGTTATATTTTCTGAGTGAATTGAATGGCATTTTTGGCATACAGTTTGCATTTTTAAAGGTAAATATATCAGTCCTTGCTTTGTGACTTTTGGGTTTTCTACCTTCTTTAGAAAGGACATATCCACTTAAAAAATTAAGAAAATAAATTACTTCTTACTTTCTTCCAGAACATTGATGTTTCTGATGTTTTAATATTTGATATACCCAGAGGTCTCAACACTATTATTTACCTTGGACTTTATCCTTTAACCCCCGAGCTCATTGTGGTCCACAAGAATACAGATCCCATAGCTTTCTCCCTACTGTGTGGCCTCCCCAATTTACCCTTTTGTTACCCATGTCCTCTTTATTTATCTCTCCTAAAAAACTCTTAACACTCAATTAAGTGTTCTGATCCACCTCCAGAGACATCTCTCTTTTGTTATTGCTGGCTCTCTCTATCCCTTAAATTTCCTCCTAGGAAATAACTACCTTTTATATCAGATGAGCTGCAGAATTAGAGATACAGGCTGGAGAAACAGTGAGGGCCCCAGTAGGTAAAGGATGGGGCCATGAACCCAGATAAGAAAGAGGAAGAAGGTGATGGAAAAGATCGCCAGGTCACCTGAGGAGTTAATGAATACATATCTCCTTTTCAGGCCAGGATTCTAAACAAGAGATCAAAGGTAGAGTCCACTTGGGACGGAAGGGTGGTATCCAGAGAGCAGTGGGGATAAGACACAGTGTCCTCTGGAATCTGGGTAACAAGCTCTGAGGGGCCAGAGCTAAAAGGACACTCTTTCCTCCTCTTTGACCCTTAGGGTGGGGGGCATCCCTAAGGCTGAGTCTTTCCTGCCTCTACAGGTGGAGACACAAGTGAACACCAGGAGACCACAAGGGAGTCCCACCCTGGGGAGGGCAGGAGAAGGGGAAAATCACACCTGACCGAGCCCCGCCCCCCAGCTTTTACCGTCTGTAGGGGCCCACCCTGTGCTGGGCACTTTGTGAGAGATGCAATTCCATCCCCCAACTCACTCTGCCCCGCAGGATCACCAAGGTTCAGACGCCTGGGTTCAGATCCTGGCTCTGGCCAAGAGGAGCTAAAACTCTGCGTGCCTCAGTTTCCTCCTGTGTGAAGCGCAGATAAGAATTCAGGCAGGGAGGCTCACGGCGCTCTCCCCCAGCGTCAGCTCCAGAGGAGGCTGAGGGAGAACTCCTCACCCAGCAGAGCCTGTGGGTTGTGCAGAGAGGCTCGCTGTGCTGCCTTGCACACAGGCCACCCCCACGCACTCTCAGGGCTTCTCGTGCTCATGGGCCAGTCTAGGGGGCTGTGGGGATGCTCAGTGCCTGTGTCCAGGAACCCCCTATCCTGGAAATCAGCCTGGGGCACCTCCAGCTCCTGCCATGCTGTTTGTCTCCAGTGAGCCCGATCTCACCTGAGGGTCTCGCTGTTCTTCCCTGGATGGGCTCAGTCCAGCAGAACCAGCCTGTGCTGTGCAGTCATGTGGGGATGTGGGTGGAAGGGAGCCCCATGGCCATCCAAGATCCAGGTTCCTCTCTCCTTGACACACCCTCAGAGAGGTGACGAGAGGAGCCAAGGAATTCATACACGCTAGGGGCCTGGAACCGTGGCTGACCCTTGGTAGATGCCCAGTAATTGCCAGCTGCCTGAAGTCACCAGGCTTGTGTCTACCAAAACCCTGGCCCAAGAATCTCTCATCAGGAGCTGAAATTCATGTAGCTTGGGCTTCCTAGCCCATTTGTGTGGGTACTTAGGGTGGTGACACCACCTGACAAGTGCCATCCAAGGGCTCCAGGGTGTGACTGGGAAGGACTCATTCTCTCCACTCCAGTGAGGGGTCCTTGTTTCAGAATAAAGAGAATTAAGACCCCTTCATTCTCACTACATCTGCTTCTGTTTCATGTAACACATGCAGTCACAGACAAACACCAACTCAGAGACACACAATCACAGAAACACACACACACAGACACATAGCCACAGACACATCCTCAGTCTAGATAGAAACACCTAGACACACAGACACATATAGACTCAGACAAACAGAGAAACATCACACACACAGCCTCACCCACAACCACATGCAAACACACAGAAACACCTAGGTACCCTAACACACATAGACTCAGACACACAGACTCTCAGACTCACATTGACTCAGGGACACACAAACACAGAAGCACACACATACACAGACACACACAGACATATCCACAGCCATATGCAGACACAAAGACAGAACTACTTAGACACACAGACATATCCACAGCCATATGCAGACACAAAGACAGAACTACCTAGACACACAGACACACATGCACAGACACACACACAGACACACACGCACACACACACACAGACACACATGGTCACACACAAACACACAGAGACACATGCACGCGGACACACACAGACATACCCACACAGAGACACACACACACAGACATACCCACGCAGCCACACACACACACGCAGACACACAGATGTACACACAGAGACACACACATATACAGACACACACAAACACACACAGAGACACACACACACATAGTCACAAACAGACATACCCACACAGAGACACACACACGCAGAGACACACCCACGCAGCCACACACACACACAGACACACACAAACACACGTGGTGGAGTCCCTCTCACTCTGGGCCACACAGACGCCACCAAAGGCTGCACATCTGACTTCCCCAACCTCCGGGTTGGGGCCTGGCAGGGAGGCAAGGTGTGGCAGTGTCCCCGCCGTCGCCTCTGACGGGCTGCTTTGCACTCACAGGTGGGGGCATTCTCTCCTCATGCTGCCACTGAGAACGGGAGGCTCAGCAAAGTGGCTTTTCTGGGTCACACAGTGCCACAGCGTTCTAGCACTCAGGCCCTGGCCTGGCTCTCTCTGGGTGACCCGCACTTGGCGGCCGCTCCTGGTAGCCCCTTGCTCTTCCATAAGCTCCCAGGTCCAGGCCCTTAAACTGAGGATTCAGCCCCCTCCATCCTGGCCTAGCACATGCCTGCCCAGTCAGGTGCTCCATGAACACAGTTCAGGAGGCCCGGAGACAGCACTGTGACCTGGAGTCCACACACAGCCTCAGTGCACAAAGGGAGACTCAGAAACAACAGGGGAGGGGTTTGCAGTCACACGCAGGCAGAGGGCAATTCAGCCTTTCTTTAATGTTATCCAGGGAGGGGGCCAGGGGTGGAGGGGAGGGGCTGAGGAGTGACAGCCAGTTATTTTTGGGTGGGATTCACCACTTTTCCAATGAAGAGCGGAAAGTTGGTGCCATACACTAATGTATGGCTTATGCTCAAGTATCATTTACTACAGGACACCCAATCTAACAGCATCGATAAAGCGACAGAGAAACGCAAGCCTTCTGCTAACATGGCCTGGCTGTTCCAATTCCGAACTTTGTTTTTCTGGGCCTTGCCACACAGGCTCTTCCCCCGTCCCCTGAAGGACATGCTACCCTTGAACTCCACACTCCACTGTTGCCTTTGCCAGGAAGCCCATCTGTTCCTTCTTGGTTCTGCCAGAATGTGTGGTGGTGCTGCTGTCCCTGCCCTGGGCACTGGATATTGGGAAGGGACAGTGTCCACACTGGAGTGGGAAGTCCCCAGGGACGAGATCTTTACCTCCTCACCCCTGGGTACTGTCCTCCTCATGGAGCATGGATGGTCCTGCCTGAACTCAGTGGTGGCCTCTGCAGTAGCTGTGACCCAGGGATGTGAGGTCCACCCTCCCCAGCCCTCTGGCCAGTCCTGTTGGGCCTCAGTCCTGACATGGCTCAAAGGTCTGGGCAGCTTCTGACTCAGCCCCTGAACTGGAAATCACCTTATGTCAAAGGCTCTCTGGATATTTTCAAGGTGGCTGTAGGTCAATTTTTCTTCCAACTGCCACATCTTCTTTGGATCGGGCAGGATGAAGAAGGCAGTGGCGTTCCCCACATAGTGCTGTGCCAGCACCCAGCTGGATAACTCCCTGTCCCGGTGGATGTCAAATCTACCCAGGTGGTTTATCATAGGCACTCTGATGATGGTCTTATCATCCACATGGAAGCCCTCTACCATAATGCGCTCAGCCTTGAATTTATCTTTCCACTTGCCTGGAAGAAAAGGAAGGTGGGCATCAGCCAGGTGTGGGATAAAAGGGTGGAAGTGTGTGAATGAAAGGAGCCCTGAGCCCCTTTGGCAGGACACTTCCCTCTGCTTCAGCTTTATCATCTGTAAAATGGGATTCAAATGGAACTATCTGGCTGCTGGAGAGCTTTTGTGAGAATCACCTGAAGATAAAGAAGAATCCAGAGTTTCTATATACTTGAACTAATTGGCAAAATCCTGGTGCCACAGAAGAAGCATTTATATTTGGCTCTGTTTATTCGATAGCGGCTTGGGGATGGTTAATGAAAGTTAATGAGTAAAATCGGAACTCCTTATGCCTTGCCACCTTTGGCTGGAGGCTTCTGATCTCATGCAGAGGGCTGGTTCTGTTGAGATACGAGGACAGCATTGTGCTTACTTCTCCTGAGGCCTTTCCCTGGATGAGCAGGGGAGATGCAGATGCCTAGGCAGACTCCCCTCTGCCGTACCAAGAAAGCTTCACCATCGAGGCATGCCAAGTGGGCAGGTGCCTCAGGGACCCTTGAGCTCAGCTTTCTCATTGGACAGAAGGAGGAGACGGGGGCTGGAGAGGGGCCTGGGCCTGCCCTAAGGCCACAGCAGAGCCCGGACCTCAGCTGTGCTGACTGCAGCCTGGCTGCTCTCCACTGCCCTCCTTTGCCTCAAGAGCAAGGGAGCCTCAGAGTGGAGGAAGCAGCCCCTGGCCTTGCCTCCACCTCCCCTCCCCTATGCTGTTTTCCTGGGACAATAGGAGCTGGCTTAGAATGCCCTGGGGCCCCCAGCACCCTGGCATTTTAACCCCTCAGGGGCAGGAAGGCAGCCTGAGATACAGAAGAGTCCATCACCTGCTGTATGCCACACACCATCCCCATGGTATCTGTCACTTGTTTAATCCTTAAAACAACCTGACAGCAAGGATGCTATTTTGTCCATGCTAAGACGGGAAATTAGCACCTCAGAGAGGTAGAATGCATTGTCCTTTATCAAAAGCTAGTAAGTGGTAGAGGCAGGATTTGAACCCCAATATTTTAGACGGCAAAGCTGACACTGCTTCTGGGACACTAGGGTCGTCTAAAGTATGTTCCATGAAACTATTCCTTTATGCATGTGCCACAAAATATTTTTCTGGCTTTAGCATGTGGGAAGCATTTCATATTCTGCCCCCTCCCTATTAGGGATTTCCAATGAGTATTAGGACAATAAAGGCTCTGACAAGGTCTGTAGAGAAGATGATGGTTTGGCTGTCTTAAACTCATCATTCTTCAATCTTGTTTGATCATGGAAAGTATTTTATTGTTTGTGTTTGGAAAATTGCAGAATCCATGTTAAATGCCCTGCCATATCTCATAGTACATTGTCTAGGAAAGCTTAAGAACTAGTAATTTGAGAATATGTTTGGATTATTTCAGTGGAACGGGCTTGGACAGGTAGTGCTACCTTACCGTGAAAGGAAATGTAATCCACCAGGGCAAGACTTGTGTCTTTTTTCAGGTGTTTGACCAAATCCACTACTTTTCTTCCAGTTCTTTTCTCCACATAATTGTTGATCTGCTCTTTGGCCTCCTCGGTGTCCCTGAAGTTGATGGAAGAGGCTTCTGAGTGGTACAGCTTCTTGGTATCCTCCAAAAACGTGTCCACTAGCTTCATACTCTTGTTAACAAACAGGCTACTGCCGGTGGTCAGCTGGAGCCGGGTGTCTGGCCTGCTGAGGGCTTGGAGAACTTGCTGGAAGCATTCGTGGATCTTGGCCTCAGGCGTCTCTGTGAGGTTGACATTCAGGCCTTCCAGGATCTCTGTGCGAGTGTCAGCCTTGGTCCCCAGGGAGAGCATTGCAAAGGCCATAGCCACGCTTGTTGGGGTGACTAAGACATTGCTGGTTTGTGATAGATCAGCCAGCTCTTTGTACAAATCAAAGGCGAGGTCGGTGACGTTATAGGAGATCTTCTGGCAAGCAAGGTCCTCCCAGTCCCCTTGATCATGGTGGGATGTATCCGTCTTTTGGGCAGCATCTTCCTGGGGATCCTCAACCAGGGAGCTGGGGACCAGGCAGCACAGGCCTGCCAGCAGGAGGACGCCCCATGAGACAGAGAATGGTATTGTCCTGCAAGACAGAGGCAGAGGGCCAGGCCCCAAGTCAGGGCACATGATGACTCCCAGTGACCAGGGACTGACATTGTGTGATTGCAACCATGAATTATTAAACATCCACCATGTGCCCAGCCCATTGCAAACACTTTCCTACACCATCATCATTGAAAGAATAAGAAAGATAGCAAGCACGTGTAAGGTACTTAGCTTATGCCAAGAACTGTTCTAAGCACACGTGTGTTAACTCATTGCTTTCTTGTAACAATCCTGTGAGGTGGTAATGCTACTATCTTCCTTTTACACATGAGGAAACCAAAGCCCAGAGAGGTGAGACTCAAGCCCAAGGTCAGCAAACAGGAAAAGCAAGCATCCCTCAGCCTGGCCGGCTGGGTCTTGAGTCCTTGCTCTCTGCAGCTCCACTTACCTCTGTAATGACCTTGAGGTGCAAATGCCACAGCCCCATTTTGTTTTATTTTATATTTTTGGAGACAGAGTCTGGCTCTACCGCCCAGGGTGGAATGCAGTGGTGTGATCTCGGCTCACTGCAACCTCCGCCTCCCGGGTTCAAGCGTTTCTCCTGCCTCAGTCTCCCAAGTAGCGGGGATTATAGGCGTGCACACCACGCCAGGCTAATTTTTTGTATTTTAGTGAAGACAGGGTTTTGTCATGTTGCCCTGGCTGGTCTTGAACTCCTGACCTCAAGGGATCCTCCCTACTTGGCCTCCCAAAATGCTGTGATTAGAGGCATGAGCCACAGCATCTGGCCCCCATTTTAGAAAATAGGAAACTGGGGCACGGGAAGCATAAGGGACTTGCCCAGGGTTACTAAGGAAGTGGGTTAAGTCAGGATCAGCAATGACTTCCACACACCACAACAGTCCTTGGAGATCTCCACTGACCTCCCTTATTTAATGGACAGAGAAGCTCTGTCCCCAGAGGGACGGGATACTGTACCGTGACACACAGCCAGGGCTCAGAGGCGCTGTGTAAACCCAGCCTACCTGAATTCTGCCTAGGCTCTCCCCAGATTCCACACACTTCATGCATCTCCCTCTCCTCCCAACTGTGATAGCCTTCACTTTATAGGACCCTGGAGCCTGGTTTGATTATTGTCTGAGCCCTGTGACATTCCTGGCCTGGGGAATGCTGCTGATTAAAGCACATGACAGCCCTGTTTCTAGGGGCAATCGCAGACATTGCCTTTCGTCTAAAGATATGTCTTGTAATTTCCATTTTCATAGGATGGGAAAGGTGAACTCAGAGTGGTTCAGTAACTTGTTCAAGGCCACATAGCTGGTCAGGCAGAACCGGGAGCCGACAAGCCACCAGCTGCTGGCCAAGTGCTTTGCGTAGAGCTGTAGTACTGCCTCCTCAGAGGCTGGGGCCTTGGATGCTGCTCTTGGCCAGGCCCGGAGGACGTCAGGGCTCCTGATCCTGGCCGTTTGGACATATTGGGCTGGGCAGTGCTATGCTGTGGGGGACTCTGTGGTGCATCCTAGGATGTTTGACAACATTCTCAAGAAAACCACAGTCATGTAGTGACCCTCAACTCACAGGGATGGTGATAAACCATCCCCTGGCCTTGCTGATTGCCCCTGTGGAGCACCCCTGGGGTGGGGGCTCAGATCACCCTGGCTGTCTTGAAGGTCTCCTCTTGCCTAATTGGACAGAAGCTTCTCTCCTTCAGACTGGACTTAAGTCAAGTGAGGCCCATGTGAATCTGCCTGGGCCCAGGCCGTGTGGGATGTCCATTCCTCTGGGATGGGGGCCCTGTTTAGGGTCCCCAGGATTGCACTGCGTCTGCTGTCCCAGGTCTCAGGAACCTATAGCCGATCTCCTCACTGACATGATGGAGCTCTCACATCCATAAGGTTCCTCCCTGACCCAGGGCTTAATGCCAGCCCCCAGGGAGACTCAGGGGCTGTGCCCACAGAGGAGCCTGTGCCCCAGCCCCTGGAGCCTGTCCTGGAGTTGCCCCGCTATGAGTCGGAGGTCCCTGCCACACACGTGGGCTGAGGCTCCTGCTGTCAGCTCAGGGGAGACTCAGGTATTGCTGGTTCCAGCCCTGGGCCTAACAGCAATAAGGGACCCGGGGAGGTTGAGCTCTCCAGAAAAACATGAGTGTGTGGGAGAGGAAGTGATGACAACAGGCCTGGCTTCTCTTCCAGGCTCTGTCGCTCACCAACGATGTGATCTCAGAAAAGTATTTCCACCTCTCCATCTTCCTTTTGAAGTGGGAATATGGGGAGAATGAGGTGAAATCAATGTAAATGTGAAGCTGGACAACGGGAAGGGGCCTCAGAAGCAGCGCTTTGCGGGGAGGAGAGGGCTGGGTTTCGAACCCACAAAGCCTTCAGGACCTGTGAGGGCCCCAGCAGGTAGAGGAGCGGACCATGAACCAGGTAGGAGAGAGGGAAGAGGGGACTGAAAAGGTCGTCAGGCCATCAGAGAAGTTAATGAATTCACCTCACCCTTTCAAGCCAGGAGTTCTAACCAAGAGATCAAGGGCAGAGGCCCCTGGGGGCAGGAAGGTGGGGACCGGAGAGCAGTGAGGAGATGACACAGTGTCCTCTGGAATCTGGGTAACAAGCTCTGAAGGGCCAGAGCTAAAAGGGCATCCCTCCTCCTCTGAGACTCTTAGGGAGTGGCCATGGGGTCCAACAGGGTCTTGGACTCTGGCTCAGGCTGGAGGTTTGAATGAGCAGGGTAAGAAAAAGAGAGCCTGGCTGCGCGCATTGGCTCACGCCTGTGATCCCAGCACTCTGGGAGGCTGGGGTGGGTGGATCAGCTGAGGTCAGGAGTTCAAGACCAGCCTGACCAACATGGTGAAACCCGGTCTCTATTAAATACAAAAAAAAATTAGCCGGGCATGGTAGCGCATGCCTGTAATGCCAGCTACCTGGGAGGCTGAGGCAGGAGAATCGCTTGAGCCCAGGAGGTAGAGGTTACAGTGAGCCAAGATTGCACCATTGCACTCCAGCCTGGGCAACAGAGGGAAACTCCATCTGAAAGAAAAAAAAAAAAAAGAAAAAAGAAAAAAAGAGCCTGAGGCGGAGGGGCCTGTTGGAGAGCAAGGGGGCATCCCTAAGGCTGAATCCTTCCTGCCTCTACAGGTGGAGACACAGGTGAATACCAGGACACCAGAGGGGAGTCCCACCCTGGGGAAGGCAGGAGAAGGGGAAAATCACACCCGACCGAGCCCCGCCCCCCAGCTCTTACCCTCTGTAGGGGCCCACCCTGTGCTGGGCACTTTGTGAGAAATGGAATTCCAACCCCCAACTCACTCTGCCCCGCAGGATCACCAAGGTTCGGACGCCTGGGTTCAAATCCTGGCTCTGGCCAAGAGGAGCTAAAACTCTGCGTGCCTCAGTTTCCTCCTGTGTGAAGCGCAGATAAGAATTCAGGCAGGGAGGCTCACGGCGCTCTCCCCCAGCGTCAGCTCCAGAGGAGGCTGAGGGAGAACTCCTCACCCAGCAGAGCCTGTGGGTTGTGCAGAGAGGCTCGCTGCGCTGCCTTGCACACAGGCCATCCCCACGCACTCTCAGGGCTTCTCGTGCTCATGGGCCAGTCTAGGGGGCTGTGGGGATGCTCAGTCCCTGTGTTCAGGAAACTCCTGTCCCGGAAATCAGCCTGGGGCGCCTCCAGCTCCTGCCATGCTTTTTGTCTCCAGTGAGCCCGATCTCACCCGAGGGTCTCGCTGTTCTTCCCCGGATGGGCTCAGTCCAACAGAACCAGCCTGTGCTGTGCAGCCATGTGGGGATGTGGGTGGAAGGGAGCCCCGTGGCCATCCAAGATCCAGGTTCCTCTCTCCTTGACACACCCTCAGAGAGGTGACGAGAGGAGCCAAGGAATTCATACACGCTAGGGGCCTGGAACCGTGGCTGACCCTTGGTAGATGCCCAGTAATTGCCAGCTGCCTGAAGTCACCAGGCTTGTGTCTACCAAGACCCTGGCCTGGGAATCTCTCACCAGGAGCTGGAATCCTTGTTGCTCTGCCTCCATAGCCCATTTGTGTGGGTACTTAGGGTGGTGACACCAGCTGCCAAGTGCCACCCGAGGGCTCCTGGGTGTGACTGGGAAGGACTCGTTCTCTCCACTCTAGTGAGGGGTCCTTGTGTGAGGATAAAGGGAGTTAGACCCTCTCATTCTCACTACATCTGCTTCTGTTTCATGTAACACACACAGTTACAGACACACACCGACTCAGAGACACACAATCACAGAAACACACAGACACACCCTCAGTTTAGATACAAACACCTAGAGACAGAGACACATGTGCACTCAGGCACACACACTCACAGACACACACACAAACAAGGAAAGACATTACAGTTACATGCCAACACACAGAGACACACACACACACACACACACAAAGACACATTGACATATAGCATCACACAGAGACACGGATACTCAGATGCACACACACAATCACACACACACACACACACACACACACACACACACACACACACACACGGTGCAGCCCCTCTCTTCCTGGACCACACAGACACCACAAAAGGCCATACACCTGACTCCCTGCAACTCGGGTCCCAGGCCTGGCAGGGGGGAAGCTGTTGCCGTGACCCCGGCAGTCACCTGCAGACAACCTGTCCTTCAGGCCGAGGGTGGTGATTCTCTGTTAGTGAGAATGGGAGGCTCAGGATGGTGACTTGTCCATGTCACTCAGTGTCACAGCGTTCTGCCTGCACTCAGGCCGGGGTGGGCCCTCCTGCGGTGACTGATGCCAGGCTACATCTAGCAGCTGTATGAGCTCCCCAAATCACTGATTTCTCTGACCCTCTGTTGACCACCTGTAAGCGAACCTGATAATACCTGCCCTACCTCCCCTCATGGGGATATAGCTTCTAGGACAGTACTTTGTGAGTTATAAGAAACTGCAAAAATTCTTAGCCACCTTGATGGAGAAGATAATGAGAACTAGACCCCGCCCCTTGGGAGGGCTCCCAATAAGCCCAGATCAGCCATGTTCACTTCAATATAAGGCAGTTTGTTTTATTCCTTTCCTTGGGCTAAGAGAGAAATTGTAGCTGCCCCCTGAGGGAAGGAATAGAATGAAATGTTGGTGGTGGGAGTGGTCGGGAGAAGGTGCCTGCTGTACAGAGAGAGAGACTCCAGGCTCAGTGAGGGACCTGCCCTCCTGCTGTCCCTCCTCAGGAGGCCAAGGCCTGCCTCTGTCTGGAACAGGGGACATGGGACCTAGACACCATTGCAGGGTAGGTTTACAAGGGCCACCTCTATCCCGTTCCTGAGGCTACACACAGTTCACCTCTGAAGTCATTTTTGCTGCAGAATCTGCCTGATAGTCGGGGTTTTGCGCTCATCTCCATTTCGCTCTCACCTGGAGGGGCTCCCTGTTGGAGGGGCTGTGAGTCTGCACCCCCCAGGGGGGCACAGCCACCTCCAGATCTGGCCCTGGCTCTGCTGTGCCACTGCCTGAGAGAACGACCCCACCATTTCTCTCCATCCCCTGGCGGGGGAGTTTCACCCTGGCTCCGAGCCTTGGTGCTGCTGGCCCTCCACCTCCAACCCTCTTCCTTCTCCTTCTGTACCTTGGCCCTTCCCGACATCCCAGGTGCGGTCTTTGGGTTGGGCTTCCACAGCTCTCCTTGGTGGCGCTTCCTTCACACTCCTTTCATTCCTTCCCTCTTCCAGCCCCATCATCCCCTCACTGGTAAAGTAGGGCATTCTACAGGCTCAACAGCGCCCCCCAGAGATATGTTACCAACTATGGAAGAAATGTCCTTGCAGATGTCGTTAAGGGTCTTGGTAGGAGAAGACAATCCAGGTGGTCCCTAAATGCTATCGCAAGTATCCTCCTGAGGGGGAGGGGGAGGGAGACCTGACACAGATGGAGAAAGAGGGGGCAGTGTGACAACAGAGGCCGTGACTGGAGGGGCAACAAGTCAAGGAATGCCGGCAGCCACCAGAAATTGGAAGAGGAAGAAGTGGCACATCCCCTAGAGCCTCCAAGGACACTCGGCTTTCCTGACACCCTGACCTTGTCCCAGTGATACTGTTCTGGACTTCTGGCCTCCAGAACTGTAAAAGAATGCATTCTATTGGAAACCACGGAGCTCATGGTAATCAGCTAAATCAGCTACGGCAGCCACAGGGGACTCACACGGGGTCCTCACCTCTGCTGCTTCTGCCGCAGTCTCCATGCGTCGGTCTCAATGTGAGATGCGATTTTTAAGAGCAGCCTGGGCCCTTTCCCTGTGCCTCCTCTGCCCCAGATCAGCAGTGGGCACAGGGCACACAGGTGAAAGACTGACGTGGGGCCGGCCTGAAGCCCTCAGAGCTCTATGGAATGTCAGGACTCCAGGGACCTCAATGCTCACATTCTCTGGTGAGGAAACTGGGGCTCAGGGAGAGGAGAGGATGTCCGCAGTGTTAGGTGGCACATTAGTGGTAGACCTGGGAAAAGATCCCAGGCTGATTCCTAGCTCAGGGTCATTGGTAACAAACTTGTGAATATCTGTAATTTATTCCTCTGTTAGTTCCCTGACAGAGCACGGGGCACTGGGGGAAGGTAGCCACACCACTCACATTAACTAATATTTTTGGAATCCACAGTATTCATTAATGTTTGGTGGTCATTTAAGTAGCAGCACTTTTTTAGGGTGATGCTTTGCATATTATTCATGAAAGTAACCTAGGAGTTTTATTTTACCTGTCTTGCAGGTGAGGGCGCCGAGGCACAGAGAGCTGTAACAGCCCACTCAGGATTGTATGCTAAGGAGAAGGTGGAGTTGGGATTCCTGTGTTCTTTCCACTTTGCTAAGAAGCCCTTAGCAATTTCATCCTAATATTTTAATGCTGAAAGACACTTACTTGATCAATCTCAGAACATATTTTGAGGGTATTAACTGCCAATTAAAAGGAAAAAAAGTTTTTTACTTAAGACACACTGCTGACTTTGTTTGCTCCCCGTGCCCTCTGTCAAGGAAGCCCAGCAGAGTTTAAACACAATTCTATTAGCTCTGATTGTTCATTCCTTTTTGTTGGTGTTGTTCCTAAATCATCCCAAACAGTGAGCACTTCAATTGTGGAAAATCAGCTTTGACTTCTGAGAGCAAATGCCCCTGGAAGCTGTTGGCCAACAGTGCGTGGGGTGGAGGCCGTCCCCTTGCTGGCTTGAGCCCCTATGAGTCTCTCCTGCGTGACTCAGTGCTCACATTCCTACCGTTCCTTGCTCACCACCGGATCTGGGCGTATTTCTGCATGGCCTGTGCTGAGCATCTTGTAACTAGAACTTTCTAATGGGGTTTCCTTGTGGGAGTTCCTTTAGCCTTCCCGGTGTTTTTCAGATCTTAGTCACCCTTCCAGGCTTGCGTAGTAGGTGAAGACTTCTTTGATGCATTTCATGAATTCTGGTTGTTTCAGTCAGGATGGGCAAGGATTGTGCTGCAGCAACCGAGAAGCTCACAGCTCAATGCTTCAACCCTTTAGAAAGGGTTGATTCCTCTCCCGCTCTACTTGTCCCATGTGGGATGAACAGAGGGGATCTACCCACCCTGGGGACACAGCAACCAGACTGAAGGAGGTTTCAGCTCCTCACTTCCCCGCTCCAGACCATCTGACTCTAGTTCCTTTCATCATTCCTGATGTCACGATTTCAACAGTAAGCGTGATACCAATGACAGTGATCAGAAAACTCCTACTGCCATTGAAGCGTCTGCTGTCAGCATCTTCCAAGCTTGGATAACCAGCCCTTCTGCCCTGCCCAAGTGCCACCCATTTGAGGAAAAGGACAAATGAATAAGACATGTTTTTGTTTGTTTGTTTCTGATAGAGCTGATATTGGAGGGTGAGGCTTATGCCTGTTGGGATTTGGGCTTCTAGAAACTGACCTCTCATGCTGGTCAGCTTCACCATCTCCAGCAATGTGCGACTTAGGCCAGGCTCCACAACTAGGCCAGAGGAAGATTTCTGGGCTACATGGGACAAGGACAAGGAACTTTAGAGAAATAAGTCATTGCATTGAAACCTCAAATTTGATTTACATTTTGCAGATGAGGAAACTACGGCACAGAGAAGTTGAGGAACTTCCCTGAGAGCACACAGCCTGCCCTCTCCCATATGATACAATAGTGACACTCCTGCTTTTCCGAGTTGCTGCCTGGGTCCCTGCTGGGGAGGGAGTTTGCCTCAGTGAGAGTGCCTTTCTCTGACTTCTCTACTCAGGGTCATTCCATTTGTCCTTTTAGAACTGACCCAGGTTCCTGCGGAAGCTGTCCCTGGTTCTGAGTCCTGTGGTGTGCCTTGTTTACTTCATTGCCTGTGAATAATCCAACCAAGAGCAACACAAAAGCCTCAGCCTTTCAAGGAGCACTTGGGGTGTTTGAGGTCATCTGTGGGTGTAGGCTGACTGTTTCTCATGCCTCTGGAAAGGTCCTGGGTTACACCCTGACCCTCTCCACCCAGATCCATGGATGTACGCCTCATTTATTCACTGCTCCCCACTGCCATAGACCAGCATTCTCCCCGGGATGGACCTGGGTTTCATTCTCTCTATCCCCCATACACAGCTCATGTTTGCTTGTTTGTTGTTTGGATAAATGCTTCCCGCTCGGATTTATGGAGAGGATCAAGTTGCTCCTGGGAAGGAGATCAGTGTGAAATCTGTATTTCCTGTTTCTGGTGTGAGAGCCTGGAAGCTCTCTGACTATTGTCCTCTTAACAAATGGGGCTCACAGGGTGCCCCCTGTCCGGCAGAGCTTGCACTTCAAACTAAGGCTTCCTTTATTTAGGCTTAAAATCCGAAATTCGTGTGTTCTCTCCCCTGCAAACTCCTAGGCGAGGTAAAAGGTCAGGACTCTAAGGTTCCTGGCTGAGCTGGAAGCTGTTTTCTGCGTTTCCCTCTCATCTGTTTCAGAGCAGGATGAGGTTCCTGCCTGCAGAGGGAAAGTGACTTGGAACACCCAGGGTGCCCCGCAGCTTGGCCTTCAGCTGATGTTAGGGCACAGCAGGTTGATGCAGTGTGGTCCTGGAGGATGGAGTTGTTTATCGTGATCCCATATGGACTGAGGAAGTATGTGCTGTTGGGGACAGCCAGGCCTAACAGTGGAGAAGACCTGCCTTCCAGGCCCACACTGGACAGAGCATTTGACCTGCTGGGCCTGAGTTTCCCCATGTGTACTTTGGGGATAATGAGTCCTAGGCTGCGTCCTGCAGAACCTGTCTGGAGGATCACGTTGGACAGTGAATACATTTTTTTAAAACTCTGGAAGATACAGTGAAGCTGAGGTCTTATGGTTGTCCCATCACGGACTTGTGACATATATTTGTCTTCCTCATAATGAGGTTGTCATGACACTCTGCCCATCCTTGACTGATCCCTGTTGATTCCCAGGGGAGCCCAGGAATTCCCTCTGGGAGGTTATGCTAGTTTGAATGGGGTCTCTCCCATCCTGACTGTCAACTCGTGTGTGACAGACAATTCTTCAAAGTAAAACGATGGTGTCTAAGGTGACCGCCCTCAGCGCTGCCACCTCCTTCCCTGCCCTGGGCTCTCCAGAAAGCCAACTTGTCTTTGACTCTGCCCCTGTTCTCCTACCAAATGCCAGTTAAATAAGAGGAGTCCTGTGGGTCGCCCAAGGCTGCGGGCTGTGTCAACATCTGGTGGATGAGCTTCTGCTCACCACCTTCAGCTCAATGCCTGCTCCACACTGGGCACAGGGTGTTTTTCTCATGAAGTGTGCTAGGCGTGAGCTGTGGGCCACCAGCAACCCTTCTGGTTTAAGGAGGAATTACCTCTGCAGAAGTTTAGCGTGACCCTCGAAGGGGAGAGTGTGGTGAGGTGGTATGGTTCAGAGGAACAAGTAGCCCATCAAGCCAGCTTTGCCACTTATGAGCTGTGTGACATTGTGGGAGACCAGTAGCCTCTCTGAGCCTCAGTTTCCTCAGATTTGGAGTTTAAGAGCACAGCAGATATACTCACACATCGCAGTGCTGCTACAGTGAGTAAATGAGAAACAGCCAGGGGAGGTACTTCATAGGGATGTCTGATTCACAGAAAGCTCATAAGTGCAAGAAATGTAGTTCTATTTATTCTCTGTTCTAATGGGTATAAACATTTTGTTATCTAACTTGAACATCATACCAACTCAAAGGCAGGTCTTACTAGCAATGACTGGGGCTCAGAGAGGTTTGGCGACTTCACGAAGGTCACACAGCTGTCAGGGGGAAAAGTCAGAACTTGGATCCAGGTCTTCAGACTCTCAGGTCTGGTGTCATCCTAGGGGGCTTGGTGATGGCCATATCTTTAATGTATTTGTGGAGAGTGAAAGGCTGTCAGTGAGTAAGCTTAAGAGAACAGGAGACTTGTGTGGGAAACAGTCGGTATCCATTGATTAGACTGAATCATGTAGAATTGCTAATTTCACCATTTTGAACTATCGAAATCACTATTTGGTATGACTCAACCTCATCCTTTAAGTACACATTCATGACAGTGAGTGGTTAGACAGTGATTCCTAGATTAGTTTGGGATGGGGCAGTGCCTTCCATAGGACAAGGCCATTCCTGGTAGAGACGGAGGGAGCAGGCTGTCCTTCAGCTAGGGGCCCAGGGGACTTCCTGGCTGCTGTGTCCTTTAGCAGGGCCTTGGAGGATGGAAGGACTCTCCTGGCCCTTACCACAGGGGCTATTCAGGAACAGCCTCCTGCCGTGGCACTGGAGCTGCGGTGGCCCTCTGAAGACTGCAGGGACAGCAACAGGCACAAAGAAGTCAGGCTGCATGTGGCCCCAGTCGGGACTCAGAGGAGGAAAGGGAGGGGTTGCGGGGGTCAATGGGTGATGTGCTTCCTCTCCCATAGCTGAGGAGTCCTTGCAATGGCCTTCCTGAGCCATCAGCAGGCCTATGGCCATGTGACTAGGGAGGAGAAGGGATATAGGGTAATGGTCTTCTGGGGCCTGCTGGGCCTGGTCAAGTCTGAGGAGGAGATAGAGAAAACAAAGCAGAGACCCTCCTCTTCATCTGGGGAGAAGGGACCTGATTCTAAACGGAGATATGTGAGGCTTTCTGGGGCAGCGATGGAAGGACAAGGACAGAATAGGTGTCCTTGTTGCCCCATGGAGAATGGGCTTCAGGAAGAATCTGCCTCAGTCATTTTCCAGAAGTGCCTGAGAGGTGCAGGGCCCGAGTCTGGTTAGGTGACAGCGGGTCAAGAGGAGGACATTGTCCTCTCTCTTGTGTTGCTGCAGATGCCACAAAACTGGGCCACGGCACGATCAGGCAGTTCTGGGGCCCCCAGGAGGGCAGCCTTGGGGTGGGCACAGCCAGCCCTGGCAGGATGAGCAACTCTGGGTGGGGGGGAGTGGGGGATGAGCAGGGGGACATGAAGATGCTTGGTGGAGCCTGGGGTCATGGCTGGTATCTGGTTCCTCCCCTGTGATTCCTTCTTGGGGACTCCAAGACAGGACAAGGAAGACTGGAGCCCTCCAGAAACAGATGGGCCCAGGTCCGTAAGCTGAGGATTCAGTCCCCCCTGGATTCAAGCCCAGCATGTGCCTACCCAGCCAGATGCTCCATGAACACAGTTCAGGGGGCCCGAAGACAGCACTGTTACCTGGAGCCCACATACAGCCTCAGCAGGCAAAGGGAGACTCAGAGAAAACATGGGAGGGATTTACAGTCACATGCAGGCAGGGACCAGCTCAACCCTTCTTTAATGTCATCCAGGGAGGGGGCCAGGGATGGAGGGGAGGGGTTGAGGAGCGAGAGGCAGTTATTTTTGGGTGGGATTCACCACTTTTCCCATGAAGAGGGGAGACTTGGTATTTTGTTCAATCATTAAGAAGACAAAGGGTTTGTTGAACTTGACCTCGGGGGGGATAGACATGGGTATGGCCTCTAAAAACATGGCCCCAGCAGCTTCAGTCCCTTTCTCGTCGATGGTCAGCACAGCCTTATGCACGGCCTGGAGGGGAGAGAAGCAGAGACACGTTGTAAGGCTGATCCCAGGCCTCGAGCAAGGCTCACGTGGACACCTCCCAGGAAGCGCTCACTCCCCCTGGACGGCCCTGGCCCTGCACATCCTCTCCCTCCCTGTCACATAGGCCTTGCTCCTCCTCAAGGCTTTGGCTGATGGGGCTGGCTCCCCTCTGTCCATCTTCCTGACAAGCGCCTCTCCCCCTGCTCAGGTGCACCCACAACTCAGAACAGGGAAGAGCATCGTCACTCCACGTCTGCCTCCAGGGCTCTCTCCTTTCTAGTACACGGCTTGAAGCTCCTTGAGGACACGGACCCTGGCAGTGACCTTCACAGTGCCCAGACCCCAAGATAATGCAGCCATTCATGGAACTGCAGTTGTTCATTGGTCGCCTTTAGTTTTCCAAAATAAGTGTCATCTTTAGCTGAAATCATTCATTAATTCAGACACCAAATCTCACAGATCGAAGGAGTCAGAAATTCCTTTGAAACAACTTAGCCCAAACCTTTCTGTGTCAGTATGGATAAATCAAGGCCCAATGTCTAGAAGGTCTTGGGCAAAGTTGAAATTCAGGGTCAGTGACACAACCTCAAGGGAGGCCCCGAAAGTGCCAGCTGCACAGCAGTCCCCTGCCTGGCTTTGCTGTTTGACCACGTCCCGTGTCAGTGAATCACGGGCATCTTCAGGAGCTCAGCCTGGGTCTTCATTTGTTTCCCTCGGCCCCTTCCTCAGCCTCAGGACAGAGCTGCAGCCCCCACACATTCTTCCCTACAGATACCAGGGTGCAACAAGGTCGTCAGGGTGATCTCACCTTGGAGAGCTTCAGGGGTGCCTCCTCTGTGACCCCGGAGAGGTCAGCCCCATTGCTGAAGACCTTAGTGATGCCCAGTTGACCCAGGACGCTCTTCAGATCATAGGTTCCAGTAATGGACAGTTTGGGTAAATGTAAGCTGGCAGACCTGTCGTGCAGAAAAGAAATTCAAGGCATGGCACAGCATTCCTCTTGTTCTTCTGGGACCCACCACAGTGCAAGTGTTTTCTTTTCTGATTATTTCTGCCACTTACTCCTGTGTCCTCCACCCACACTAAGATGGGAACTCGGCTTTGGTTTGTTCTACTTTTAGCTCTTCTACATTGAGTCAAAGAATGTTAACATCGAATGAATCACAAAAGCTTGAAATGCCACCTCCTCTGATATTCTAGGTGTCCTGGAAGCCTGTCTCATCTTGCCCTGTAGTGTTGGGTCACCTGGCCCCCAGCCTGTAACATCCCCAGGGCCCTACACCCAGAGAAACACGGGGCTGGTGGCAGTGCCCAGTGACAACCGTTTAGTGGATAAGAGAAGAGTGACCACACCAGGCTGAGTGCTCCTCTCTGGTTTTCCATGGGGAGACAATGCCACCCTGAGCAGGGTCTGGTGTGAGCGGGCAGCTTGGCTCTGGGCTCTCTGATCCGTTACCCTCTCAGCCTCTTTGTTCTTTCTCAACCCCTGGAGCAGAGACCTCAGGAGGTGCTGGCATGGAACAGAGAAATTCCAGCCTCGATTCCTATTATGAACCCGACACCTTTTGTATTTTCATCTTGGTTTTACAGTGTACAAAACGAACTAGATCAGCAGGGCATGGGCATAATCACGAATGCACACACATACACTAATGTGTGGCTCATGTTTAAGTATCACTTACTACAGGACACCCAATCTAACAGCACCGATAAAGTGACAGAGAAACGCAAGCCTTCTGCGAACATGGCCTGGCTGTTCCAATTCCGAACCTTGCTTTTCTGGGCCTTGCCACACAGGCTCTTCCCCCGTCCCCCCAGGGACATTCTACCCTTGAACTCCACACTCCACTGCTGCCTTTGCCAGGAAGCCCATCTGTTCCTTTTTGGTTCTGCCAGAACGTGTGGTGGTGCTGCTGTCCCTGCCCTGGGCACTGGATATTGGGAAGGGACAGTGTCCACACTGGAGTGGGAAGTCCCCAGGGACGAGACCTTTACCTCCTCACCCCTGGGTACTGTCCTCCTCATGGAGCATGGATGGCGCTGCCTGAACTCAGTGGTGGCCTCATTCTGGAAGCCAAGTTTATACAGAGTAGCAGTGACCCAGGGATGTGGGGTTCACCCTCCTCAGCCCTCTGGCCAGTCCTGATGGGCCTCAGTCCCAACATGGCTAAGAGGTGTGGGCAGCTTCTTGGTCACCCTCAGGTTGGGGAATCACCTTCTGTCTTCATTTTCCAGGAACTTGGTGATGATATCGTGGGTGAGTTCATTTTCCAGGTGCTGTAGTTTCCCCTCATCAGGCAGGAAGAAGATGGCGGTGGCATTGCCCAGGTATTTCATCAGCAGCACCCAGCTGGACAGCTTCTTACAGTGCTGGATGTTAAACATGCCTAAACGCTTCATCATAGGCACCTTCACGGTGGTCACCTGGTCCACGTGGAAGTCCTCTTCCTCGGTGTCCTTGACTTCAAAGGGTCTCTCCCATTTGCCTGGAGAGAGGGGAAGGTGGGCATCACCAGGGGTGAGTGAAGGTTTGGAAGAGTGTAGCAGAATAAAGAAACCATGAGTCCCCTCCCTGAGAAGCCCTGAGCCCCCTTGACGACACACATCCCTCGAGGCTCAGCTTCATCATCTGTAAAAGGTGCTGAAACTGACCATCCAAGCTGCCGAAAAAGATTGTGTGGGGATAATTCAAAACTAGAGGAAGATGCAGAATTTCTACATCGTGGCGATGTCAGGCTAAGAGATGCCATCGTGGCTGTGCATTTTTATTGGAATCATATGTTTATTTGAGGGTGTCTTGGATATTACAAATAAAATGTTGGAGCATCAGGCATATTTGGTACCTTCTGTCTAAGGCTCCCTGCCCCTTGTTAATTGGCAGCTCAGTTATTCATCCAGGGCAAACATTCTGCTTACTATTCCTGAGAGCTTTCCTCATCCTCTAGATTGGCAGGGGAAATGCAGATGCCTGAGCAGCCTCCCCTCTGCCATACCAACAGAGCTTCACCATCGAGGCATGCAGAGTGGACAGGGGCCTCAGGGACCCCTGATCCCAGCTTTCTCATTGGACAGAAGGAGGAGACTGGGGCTGGAGAGGGACCTGGGCCCCCACTAAGGCCACAGCAGAGCCAGGACTTTAGCTGTGCTGACTGCAGCCTGGCTGCTCTCCACTGCCCTCCTTTGCCTCAAGAGCAAGGGAGCCTCAGAGTGGAGGAAGCAGCCCCTGGCCTTGCCTCCCACCTCCCCTCCCCTATGCTGTTTTCCTGGGACAGTGGGAGCTGGCTTAGAATGCCCTGGGGCCCCCAGGACCCTGGCATTTTAACCCCTCAGGGGCAGGAAGGCAGCCTGAGATACAGAAGAGTCCATCACCTGCTGTATGCCACACACCATCCCCACAGTCTTTGTCATTTGTTTAATCCTAAAAAAACCTGACAGCAAGAATGGTATTTTGTCCATGCTAAGATGAGAAATTAGCACCTCAAAGAGGTAGAATGCATTGTTTTTGTCAAAAGCTAATTGTGTTAGAGGCAGGATTTGAACCCAGGTCTTTCAGATTGCAAAACTGATACTGATTCTGGGACACTAGAGTCGTGTAAAGTATGTTCCATGAAACTATCCCTTTATGCAGTGTATTACAATTTGTTCTATAGTTCTAAGCATTATATATTCTACATATACAGTATACACAAGGACATTAAAGGCTCTGAAAAGTTCTGCAGAGCTGTCAGTAGTTTTGACAGTTTAATCTATTATTTCCTCAAATTACTCAATGATGGAAAACATTTTAGTGTTTGTGTGTAGAAAACTGAAGAATCCACGCTGAAAAGCATTGCTATGGCCCATAATGCATTGCCAAGGAGAGTTCAAGAACTGATGGTTTGAGAATATTTTTGCTTGTTTCTATGGGAACAGCTCAGGCTGGTTGAGCAACCTTACCTTTAAAGAAGATGTAATTCACCAGAGCAAAAACTGTGTCTCTGTCAAGCTCCTTGACCAAATCCACAATTTTCCCTTGAGTACCCTTCTCCACGTAATCGTTGATCTGTTTCTTGGCCTCTTCGGTGTCCCCGAAGTTGACAGTGAAGGCTTCTGAGTGGTACAACTTTTTAACATCCTCCAAAAACTTATCCACTAGCTTCAGGCCCTCGCTGAGGAACAGGCCATTGCCGGTGGTCAGCTGGAGCTGGCTGTCTGGCTGGTTGAGGGTACGGAGGAGTTCCTGGAAGCCTTCATGGATCTGAGCCTCCGGAATCTCCGTGAGGTTGAAATTCAGGCCCTCCAGGATTTCATCGTGAGTGTCAGCCTTGGTCCCCAGGGAGAGCATTGCAAAGGCTGTAGCGATGCTCACTGGGGAGAAGAAGATATTGGTGCTGTTGGACTGGTGTGCCAGCTGGCGGTATAGGCTGAAGGCGAACTCAGCCAGGTTGGGGGTGATCTTGTTGAAGGTTGGGTGATCCTGATCATGGTGGGATGTATCTGTCTTCTGGGCAGCATCTCCCTGGGGATCCTCAGCCAGGGAGACAGGGACCAGGCAGCACAGGCCTGCCAGCAGGAGGATGCCCCACGAGACAGAAGACGGCATTGTCCTGCAAGACAGAGATGGGGGGGCCAGGCCCCGAGTCAAGGCACATGATGACTCCCAGTGATCAGGGATTGACACCACGTGGAAGTGCCTAGGGATTATTAAACCAGCCTGTGCCAAGTACTTGCCGACATCAGTAACACTGAAAGAATCAGAAGAATAGCAAAATGTACGTAGTGCTTACCATATGCCAAGCACTGTTCTCCGTGCTCACATGTGTTAATTCATTGCTTTCTTGTAACAATCCCGTGAGGTGCTAATGCTAATATCCTTCTTTTACAGATGAAGAAACCAAAGCCAGAGAGATTAGGTCAGCTATTCAATGTCACTGAGGAAGTAGCAGAACCAGAATCCTACATCTAGGTCCTGCACCCAGGCTCTGGACAGCAACACTTACATCTGCAATGACCCTAAGATGCAAATGGTACAGCCATTGTTTTACAAAAGAAGAAAATGAGGCACAAGAAGAGGAATGGGCCTGCCCACGATTATCCAGGAATCGGGCCAGATCAGAATCAAGAATCATGTCAAGCTGGAAGCCCTTGGAGGGCTTCTATCTAATCCCACTATTTAGTGGCCAGGGAAACTGCTGCACAGAAGGGAAATGCATCTTGCACAATGGCAACAGCTAGAGAGCATGGAGGGGCTGTGATTAAACCTCCTGGGAGCTGTTCCCACCCAACACTCACAAGGATCCTCAGCCCTTAGGGTTTTTTTCCCAAGAGACGGGGCTGTCCCCACAATGCTCTGTGGTCCCAGACACAAGAATAGGCTGATGCTCCTGCAGTCAGCTTACCTGCCGTCTGGGTCACTAATGGTGTCCCAGTTCTGGGCTCTTGCTGTCAGGGGCTTTAGAGACGCTCATCTCTCCTTGAAAGCAGGGGTTTGTGCTGCTTTAAAGTAGATGGAGGAGGTGGGAAGTGAAAAGACACCTCTTTTAACTTCAGATAGACCTGGGATCTAATCTGACTCTGTCACTTTCCAGGTGTATGAGCCAGGACAAGTCATTCATCTCCCTGGTCCTCATTTTGCCTCATACATAAAGTGATGTTTATGTATGAGAATTTAGTGAAATAAGTCTCAACACCAAACCTTACATCAAAAGGATCTGAGAGGGCAACTCTTTTGAGGGAGGGGTTGGCAGGTGTTGCAAATTCAAAGGCTTCAGGTGATAGGCCAGTGAGGAATACATGTTTCATACCCGGGGCTGAGACAATAGGGAGTGGTGGGGCCTGTGGCTGAACCAGCGAGAGCAGGCTCTGCCGAGCAATGGTCAAAGTCAACGTCATCCACAGCAACACAGAACCTGCCCTGCCCCACAGTGATCCTTCTACTCCAGATATGCCCAGGCTTCGGACCACCAGCCTGCAGCCCCCTAGGTAGAACCTGCCGTCTTCACAGATGGGAAAACTGAGGTCCTAGCTGAGGAGAATATGCCCGGCAGCCACATTGTTAACTACTAGTCACAAAACCAAAACCATCATCTTAACAAAATACAAAGAAAAAGGTGTCCTTGAATTTGGGAAATGAAAAACTGGAGAAAAAAAGCTGGAAATAACAAATATTGAGATTCTTCAACCCCCTTGGACTTTTAAAAGTTTCCTTCCAATAAAGCAACAAATGAAGTGCAAAGCTGGTTTCTCTCCACCACCTTTCTCCTGGCCCTCGTGCCTCTAAGTAATCCAAATGGAACAGACCACACATTACATAATACATGTTTGTATTTTTCTTCAGCTAGCTAGTGTTGTTAGAACTAAAGACGGTGCTAAAATTAGTGCTGTATATTTCCATCTCCCTTTAATTTCTCTTTCACTTCCCAACTGAACTTTGTGCAGTCCTTCATGGCTTATGGAAATTCCCCCATCATTACAGGGCTCAGTGGTCAGGAGGGAGTTGGGCCTCTGCAGGGTGGGGACACTAAATATGCTGAGTGGCCTCAGGGCCAGAGGTTGTGGCTTCTAGCCCTGGCAGGGCCATCACTATCCACTTGGCCTTTAGCAAGAATCCTCTGGTCCTGGGGCCTCACTCTCCCCAGTTGTGCAAAGTGGGGCTGGGAGAAGACTTCACTGGGGCCCTCTGTACACTAACATAGGTTTTTGGGTTTTTTTTGAGACAGAGTCTCGCTTTATCTGCCAGGGTGGAGTGCAGTGGCGTGATCTCGGCTCACTGAAACCTCCACCTCCCGGGTTCAAGAAATTCTTCTGTCTCAGCTTCCCAAATAGCTGGGATTACAGGCGTGTGCCACCACGCCTGGCTAATTTTTGTATTTTTAGTAGAGCTGAGGTTTCACCGTGTTGGCCAGGCAGGTCTTGAACTCCTGACCTCTTGATCCGCCTGCCTTGGCCTCCCAAAGTGCTGGGGTTACAGGCGAGAGCCCCTGCACCCAGCCAGGATTCTTGGTTAGAATGGCATCTGGGTTCAATGTAGCAAAACAGATGGAGAATTCCCATGGCTAGGCATGAGACAGGTGCCCTCCTAGACAGGGGAATTCTGGGCTCAAAGGAGGTGGAGAGGCTGGTGCAGGGAGGGTGGCGAGGGGGTGACAGCTGGGAGGAGCACATTCCCCCACACCCATCCATCTTTCCTGGTGTCACATCACCTACTCTGGTTTCCTCCTTTCACAGTGAAGAGTTTGAAGCCCAGAGAGGGTCAGGGCCTTGTTGAGGCTATACAGCAAGTCAGTGACAAAGCTGGAACAAGTCTTGGCTTTCCCAGCACTCAGATCATGAACTGAGACAGCTGTGTCCTCAGATCTCAGATGATGAATGTCAGAATTGGGCTGTGACATTGGTCTCAAGCATCATGTTGGGTTCATTATGCCTCCCAAGCTGTTCCTTATAACATCAGGACTCCAAAACCTGCTCTCTCCTGGCCCTTCTATCAGAGGCAGCACCCTGCACTCCTAAAAGCTAGTGCCTGGGAGGGCGACTGGAGAGGAGAAAGTCGCCATCTGGCCAAGTACCCCATGGTGTACGGACACTGAGGCCAAGCTTTAAACCAAAAGAATGAAGGCTTCATGGTGACATTTCTGGGATCGGGGCAGGTGGGAGCACTCTTTGCGGGGCCAGGGACAGGGAAGCGAGCCACTCCCTGCCTAATCTCACACCATTTCTACCCGGGAGCATAAAATAAGGGACCAAGAGCAACCCGGCAGGGTGCAGGGAAGAGAATCTCGCCTATGGTCAAACAACCTGTTGAACTGGGCAATAAATAAACCCAAGTGTGACCAGGCCCTGTCACTTACTGGCAGGGGGCCTGGGGTAAATGACTTCACTTCTTTGAGCACTAGCTTCATAGCTGTACAATGGAGAAAAGAATCCTTTGGACAGGGATGAGGAATAACTGACGTAATGCATGAGTGGGCACCAGGTGAGGAAGCCCTCCCTGTACCTGCACACAGGTTGAGCTCCTGCCCGAGAGATGGTAGATTTCTTCCCGGAGAGCCTGCTGCACTCCCCAGGACCATTTCAGCAGGAAGGGGCTCCTGCTCAGCAGTGAACAGCATCTGAGTTTGGCAAATTTTCCATTAAATTATCCAACTGTTTACTGCCTGCCAGCTGCCTAACCCTATGCTAAGCAAACATCAGCCTCAGCGTCACCATCATTGCCACACTTACTAACACCTGGTGTTTTACAGGCACCGTATCATCTAATCTGTCCTCAAAGCTTACCCTATAAGGTGCAAATTATTAGCCCTATTTTATAGATAGAAAAATTGAGCCCCAAAGAGCATTAAATAACTCACTAAAAATCACAGAGCTACTTGCTTACAAAACTGAGATGTAATCCTAAATGTTTTGTCTGGGATTAAACAGATTTCACTCCAAAACCTGACATTGAATCATCTCTGTGTACAAAGCTGAAGCCAGAAGTCTTGAATCAGAAAACTTCAGAGGCAGCCTGGCTAAATGAAGAGGGGAGCATCAGTCTGTGGCTAAAATTAAAGGCTCTGAGGCCAGATTGCTCCACGTCAACTTGCTATTAGCTGTGTGACCTTGGACAAGTTACTTAACCTCTCTGAACCTCAGTTTCCTGGAGATGAGAAAGGTGGACTTTGTCATAGAGCTATTGTGAAATTAAATACACATAAAATGCCAAGAAGTGCCTGCTGCGCAGCAAGTTCTCGAGAATACCAGTTCTTGCTGCTATTGCTGCAGGTCTTTTAGAGGCGTTCTATAGGAAACTGGCCACCTTGGCCTTGGTCATCTTTTTGACCTGTCTCCAAAACTCAGTGCAGGAAAAATTAAATCCTTCCAACACTTCAGAGATCAAGGTCGGGTGGGGTGAGGGGAGGGGACAGAAGTCAAAGGTTATCATGTTTTGCCCAAGAGAACAGAGAGGTTGAGCAACTGTCTGAAGTCACCGAGCATCAGAGAGGCCTCAAGTCCAGCCCAGGTTTCCTGTTCCCCATCCAGCGCCTGAGACCCAAGAGAAACAGTGACACTAGGGCCAGGTTCAAGAGTTTGGGGACTGGAGCCAGGTGCCTGAGCCCGAATTATGGATGGTGTGTGATTTGGGGCCAGTTATTCACCTCTCTGTCCCCATCTTCCTCATCTGTAAAATGGGAATCACACTAGTAACTGCCTTGGAGGGTTATGAGGCTTAATCACGCACTGAGCTTAGCCGTGGCCTGGTGCAGAGCGATTATTCAGGAATGCCAGCTTGAGCCCTGGGTGACAGTGCCCCTCACAGCTTCCTGTCCTCCACTGGGACAGGAGGGCCCAGAGGTCCACGGTGCATGGGGAGGCCCATTTTGATGTAAGGCTGAGGCCTGGCACAGGTCTGTTCCTGGTCATATCTGGAGGGGATGGAGAATGTGAGCCGGCGTTCCTCCCCACCCCTCTCTGGACCTTAACCTCCTCATCTATAGAAGGGGAGAAAGATGCATGCCCAAGCAGTAGGAGAGGTGGTGAGGCTTATAGGAGACAACAGACAGGAGCCCCCGACAGACAGAGGAGCTGTGCAAACAGAAAGAAATGGCTGCGCTTTGTTGCTGTTGCTGTATCTTGGCTGGTGTCCCCCATCCTGGGGTGCCAGGACTGCAGACCTAGACACCCTCATCCACTTCTGCTTACAGGAACCAGTGTATCCACCAGGAGGTACCGAGGGGGGACCGGGCAGGACTGGGAAACAGGACACAACCCTCATGGCTGCTGTTATTATGAAAATAGGAGCTCAGCTGCAGCCTCTCCATCTGCCCTGCACCTCAGCAGGCGGATACCCACTCCACAACCCCCCTCCTGCCCCAGACCTGCTGCCTGCCTGGGCCATGGGGAGCTCAGAAGCCTCTCCAGAACCTCTCGCAGTGAAAGGCATACTTACGATTCACTGTCCCAGGTCAGTGGTGGTGCCTGAAGCTGAGGAGACAGGGCCCTGTCCTCGTCCGTATTTAAGCAGTGGATCCAGAGGGGCAACGGGGGAGGCTGCTGGTGAATATTAACCAAGGTCACCCCAGTTATCGGAGGAGCAAACAGGGGCTAAGTCCACTGGCTGGGATCTGAGTCGCCCGCCTACGCTGCCCGGACGCTTTGCCTGGGCAGTGTACAGCTTCCACTGCACTTACCGAAAGGAGTCATTGTACCTGGCTCAGAAACCACAGCGTCCTGTGTCCAAGGTGGAGGGGGTGGCGTGAGTCAGACAGTCTCTGGGAGAGTACCACTTAGCTGGCCCTCTGCTCTCACTGCAGAATCCTTAGTGGCTGTTCCACTGGTAGCAAGATCTACCATTTACTGAGTCACCCCAAAATGCCTGATGCTGAAGACTTACTGCCGCCCTGGGAGATCAGAGTGGGTTAGAGCCCATTTGACAGATGAGGAAACAGGCTCAGAGCGGAGAGACCGCTCATCCAAAGTTACCCAGTCAGCCTTAGACACAAACACCCTCTTGATGGTCCCGATGGAAAAATGGAGCATGACTGAGGCAGACACAACCGTCAGGCTGGCATGGGGGGCCGTGAGACAGGGTAGAGGTGGGGAAGCACATCTGTAAAGAAGAGCTGTGCTGCCTCAGGCAGGCCGCTTCACCTCTCTGAACCAGGAACTGTTTCACCTGCATCCCAAAGAGTTGGAAGTTTCATTCCCAAGCATGCTTGTGAAGTGCCTCGGGTGAAGTGCCTGGCACACAGTAGGCTCTTTATGTGGGTCTGCACAGCCCTCTGCTTAGTCTGCCCCCCAGGCTGCTCAGAGCAGGAGGAGGTTCAATTTTGACCAGCCTCAGGCCTGTTTCTGTTTTTGCTCCTGGAAAACCAGTGTGATCCGTATACAGCTTGGAGTTTCTTTGGATACATGGCCCCCACTCTGGGGTTGTTGGAGGCCTTTGGAGACTGCTGGGGGTGGAGGGGAGGGGAGGTACAGGGTTGAGGCTAGTGGGGCCCCACTTGATTGCAATCCCTTTAAAAGCCTAAATCAGATTGCATCGCCCGCTGTGCAACCCGCAAACCTGCTTGGGAGCTGGCGTACGTGCCGTAGATACTTGCAGAGTGAATGGATGAGTGCATTTTTGCCCCTTCTGTCATTCACCAGTCCCATTTATGCCTCCACCTTGGGGCTCTACCAGGCGAGTGACCCACAGGATCCTCCAGCACACACATTCAGACCAGGGAACCCACTTACTGGCTGTGAGGCCTCAGGTGAGTTGTTTAACCGCTCCGAGCCTCAATTTCCCTATCTGTAAAATGGGGATGGTGACGGTATGTACCTTGTTGAGCTGCTGTGAGGATTAAAATGCAACAGTTCAAGGAAAGCTCAGAGACGGGTACTGGGTGTGCCCAGAAAGCCCCTCCTGATGCTGCCCTCCCTCCCCCGTGTCAGGGGCTGGTGTCACTGGGGTGGGGTGGGCCACACTTGAAGAGCTTTCCTCCAGGCAGTCTCTCATTCAGTTACCCTGTGAAGGGAGTAGGTACCACCCTCCTTTCAGGCAGCGGGAAACTGAGCTCAGACTCCCCTCCCCTTCTCTCTGAGCTCCCTTCCCTGCAGCTCCATCCCCTGGCTTCAGGGCCCCTGTCCTTCCCCTGAGCTGGCTGAATGGATATTCCGCTGCTCTACATCCACTCACAGCTCCAGCACTGGGCTGTGGTTGAGGTCGCCTGCCCTCGGTAGCTCCTGGGCATTTCTTCCCCTCTCTGGGCCTTTGTTTTCCCATCTGCACAATGACCCCCACTCTAAGCCCTGCTGTCCCTCCCACCTGTGGAACTGAGTGAGCAGCAGCAGCAATGTCCCACCTTTCCTGCTCTCCTCAAGCTCTCCTCAAGCTCTGTCTCTTCTGGCAGGCACAGGAGAGTGGCCTGAAGGCTGGCAGGAGGTTGCCGCCCCTCCAACCTGGAATTCCTGGCAGCAGCAGCGGCTAGGCCTTCCTCGGAGGCCCGACCCCCTCCTCCTTCTTGGTTCAGCTCAGGACTCTGAGGGTTGCTGCGTGGAGGCAGTGCATGCCCTGGGCACAGTGCCCAGTTCCTGCCCACCCAGGAAGTAGACTTCGGGTGGAGGCAGTAGGCTGGGGAGGGGCGGGGAGCTTGGACAGGAAGGAGCCTTGCTCATTGCCCGGCAGACACAAGACTGGGCCCTCATAAACTCAGACAGCCCGGCATGTCACCTGTTGTACCTGCCCTTTCAGCTCTGTGACCCGGGACAAGTCACCCTCTCCCTTTGAGTTGCCGCAAGAGGTACAGTCACACTGCCCAGAGGATTACTAGAAATGACAGGCCTCGCCCTCCTGGCACAGACCTGGCACCAATAACTGGCAGGTTTCTGGGGCCAGCTGCAGAGGGAAGAGGACTGAGCCACCTATGAAATGCCCAGTGGGCAGCCCCACAGTTGGGCAGGTCTGTGTGCACTGGGGAGGTGTGTGTCATAGGACCTGGCTGGGTGCAGAAGGGATTGCAGTGGGGAGCTGGGGCTTTTGGAGGAGGAATGAAGAAAGCATGGGTGGGAGCAGGTGAGGCAAGTAAGGGGCTCAGAATTTGGGGTCCTGCTCTTTTGGCAGGGCTCTAGGCTCAGCCCCCGCCCTGCTCTGGACATCCATCCTGGGAGGAAGGGCTAGGATAATCTGGAAAAACGCACCAGGACAAAATCCCGGGGGTTGTGGTGGGAGGGGTGGGAGTACTCAGTGGCCATTCACAAGGATACTGTGCCCCCAGGAACCCCAGGACATGAGGGGGAAAGTCTTGTCCACCTGGTTACTTCCACAATTGTCTATTGCAGCATCTGGGCTGATCCCCCCAGAGGAAATGCATCATGGGAAGATCCTGTGAGCTGGTCATGAGTAAGGGGCATCTGGGGGAGGCCCTGCCCCACCACAGGGCCCTGCCTGGAGATGGGAGCCTCGTGGTATGGGCTGGATAGGGATGTGAGAGTCGAGATTTGGGGTCTGCAGCAAGGAATCGGGTAAGGGGGTGAGGTGTGCCAGTGGCCCTGGGCCAAGTAAATCAAGACTGAGTGGCTGGTCAGGAGAACAACAGTGGACTTCATGGGAGCTGAACTCATTGGCAAAGTGCCCCCGGAGAGTGCTGGCCACCCCACAAACACACACACCCCATGCACACCCTCACTATGCACCCTCCTTCCCAGGCACCAGCTTCCTTCTTTGAGAGTCAGTGCAGGTCACTGGTTAAGGCGTGGGTTCGGGATCTAATATCTGGGGCCAAGCCTTAGCTCCATCGCTCTTTTTGTGAGCTCTTAGACAAGCCACTTAACCTCTCTGTGCCTCGGTTTCCTCATCTGTGAGATAGGAAGACTCTAAGAAGAGTCACTTCCATCAGGACTGTGAAGATCGAATGAGATAATAACATTTAAGCACTTCGGGCAGCCTCTGGCATGTGATGGGCCCCAAGTCAATGCTAACCACCAAAGGCCATGACCTTTGGGGATGTGTCCTGGCTCTGAAAAACCATATAGATGGGTCTCAGGGGTCTAAGTGGGGGAACAACTGCTGCGTTTGGCCCCAGATTTGGGGAGCAGCACCTGTTGTTGAGGGACACCTCCTCAGATTCAAACTTCCATTTTTTCCAGAAAAGGCTGTCAATCCCCTCTTTAGGGGCCGTGCTCATTTTGGCTTTCCGAAGGTGAAGGGCCAGGTGCCTTCAGCATCTTTCTGAGCACCTGTGACATGCAGAGGATGTGGGGTGACTGCAGCTAGGTGGACTTGGATCCGGGGGAGGCCCTCAGTTCTCTGAGCCTTGGTTTCCTCATCTATAAAATAGGGATAAAAGTTTCTTTCCCACATAGCTCTTCTGAGGCTTAGATGAGGCGATGCTGGTGGGGTGTTTAACACAGAGCTCTGTTAGCATAATGGACACTTGTGTCTGTCTTCTTATAACTCATTTAATGAATGAATGAAGTTTGCACCATTTTTTCACCTCCTCCAGTCACCTTTCAAATTAGCCAACTTGCAAAACCCCAGCAGACACACTTTCCTTCTGTGTGTAATCTCCTGAGCCACTTCCTGTGTGTTGGGGAGGGGAGGGGGGATTTCTGCATTTTCTGGAACTATGTGGCCTACTCACAGCTTCTTCTTTTTTTTTTTTTTTTTGAGACAGAGTCTCACTCAGTCACCCAGGCTGGAGTACAGTGGCGCAATCTTGGCTTACTGCAAACTCCACCTCTCGAATTCTGGAATTACGAGCGATTCTCGTGCCTCAGCCTCCAGAGTAGCTGGCATTACAGGCATGTGCTACCAATTCCAGTTAATTTTTGTATTTTTAGTAGTGACAGGGTTTCACCATGTTGGCCAGGCTGGTCTCAAACTCCTGGCCTCAAGTTATCTGCCCGCCTCGGCCTCCCAAAGTGCTGGAATTACAGGTGTGAGCCACTGTGCCTGGCCTTTACTCTTTATCCTTACTCAGACAGAGAAAAATAAGGCAAAGCTATACATTATAAGGGGCAACATAGTTAAAAGAAGGAATAAAAATGCATCTATAGCTTCATCCCCTTCTTGTTAAAATTACTAAAACTCATGTTTTATTGCAGCTAACCTTTTCTGAACTTTATTTTAACTTTACTCTTTTGAGGTTATGGGCCTTGATGGTCATTACGGATTGGAAGCTTTTAAGAGACTCAATGTGTCCTATTGAACTATAATTATGATTTGATTTTAGATGGTCAACTTGTCGCATTTTGGTCAATAGGAACCCTTTTAAGTTATCTCTTTATCCCTTTGACAATCTCTGCTGATGTTTCAGCAACACACACTTGCTTTCTGGCAAGGCCACCATGTTCATGTTCCAGGTCTGTCTTCATTTTCTCTTGCCCCAAGACATGGCACTGGGGTATCTTCCCTGGGAGAGAAAGCAAGCACGCAGTGACAGAGGCCTTCTGGGAACCACAGGCAGGGCTGAGCGTGCAAGACTCACCCTTGCGTGGGGACTATGGGAGACCCAGCAGGACTTGAGGGCTTATTATTCAGAAATACATGCCCTGCGTGGGTGGCTTAGATAACAGAGAGCAATAGGGCTCTTAATTTGCCCAACTCCGACCTTGGCTTCAAATTGTTCGATTTACCCTGTTGACTCCTTCATGTTGATTTTGAGCATTTCTATTTGCTTGGTTTTAACAGGCCTCTTGCTTCCGAAATTTTATAATATAAATCTCCAAATACTCCAGCGGTGGTGTGCCACCCCCTGAATCGCGGCTGAGACTCCTTGCACATGTGGCCTCTGCCAGGCCCTGTCTTAAACACTTCACATGCATCACCTCACTCTATCCTGTGCAGTGAGTACCACTGTTACTGCCTTAGAACAGATGAGGAAACTGAGGCAGAGTGTTACCCTGATGCTGAAACAGGTACCTCCCTCTCTCCCTTCCTCTCTTTCTCCCTGCTTGCTGCTTCCCCAACACTTCCTACACATCCCTTTGTAACATTAGCATAATAGGTAACAGTGAGCACGTGGCTCATGCCAGAGCCATTCCAAGCATTGGTTACAGATTAACTCCTCGTCCTCACATCAAGCCTATGAAGTCGATATTTCTGTTATCCCATTTTACAGATGAGGAAACTGAGGTTCATAGACGTCGAGCACCTAGCCCTGGGTCACAGAGCTGGCAAGTGGTGGAGGGCAGATTCTAACCAGGCTGTGAGGCGCATGACCCCAAAGCTCGGTGGCATCACCAGGCTGCAAGTAACCGGAGGGCAGGGACTGTGTTTTTTCCATCTCTGTGGCTTTGTACTGAGCACAGAATAGGTGATCAAAGGTTGCTTCATGAACTGAGTTAATCAAGGGTCATGGAAATGGAGCATTTCTTTAATCAGATGGCTGAGGTGTCTTGCCAGGGTGAAAGTGTGAAAACCTCGCATATGCTAAAAATTTGTGTGAGGCGTGCAACTTCTTAGGTAAAACAAAACAAAACAAACCCAGTTGCTTTACTATTCAAGCTGGAGTCTAACACTGAGGAGGGAGAGGTTAGCAGGCTGCCAAAGCCTCCCAGCCAGGACCTAGAACCCAGTGCCAAGCCTGGGCTTCCACCACCACCCAAGCTGCTTTTCCACCCGCCTCCTCTGTCTGCCCCATGAGAAAAGGGAAACAGTCCGTGGGAGGACAACAGAGCAAGGACTGAGCTGTCATGATGAAATCCACCGATGAGGAAGGAGGTTGCATCATGCCCCTGCCGTCCCTCTTTCCATTCTCCTTGTGGCCCCTCCTGAGCTCATCAGCAGAATCCCAGCCAAAGCAACCCATTTGCTGATTGGTTACCAGATGCCAAGGCCTCTGTCAGAAATTTGTGCTCACAAACGTTCATTTCCCCAGCAGCTCTGCAAGGAAGGTTTTATTATACCTACTTTGCACGTTAGGATTGAAGAGAATATATAAGATGACACTATAAAGCCTCTCTTGAATCCTCCAGCCTCTCCGCATCTCCCCTGTGCCACCATCCCTTCCCTGTCTTTATCGATTTACTTTTTATGGACGTGTTATTTGCATGTAGTAAAACTGTAACTCCTAAATACACAGCTCAATACATTTTTACATGTGTGTGCATCTGTGTAACCGCCATTCTGAGCAAGACAGAGCAAATTCTCCCATCCACAAAGTCCTCTTTCTATCAATGCCTCCCGAAGGTAACTTCTGTTCTGACTTCTGTCTCCATAGACTGGTTTTTCCCCTTCTAGAAGAGCATGTAAATGGGATAATACACTACCTATGTTTTTGTGTCTGTCTTCTTTAGTTCAACATCATGTTTCTGAGATTGATCTATGTTGTCACCAATATCAGCAGTGCGCTTATGCTTCTTGCTGAGTCCTATTCCATCATCATTGTGTGGGCGGACCACAATTAGCCCATTTATTGACGGATGTCTGGGTGGCTTCCACTTTGGTCTGTTATGGGTGAAGCTTCTAAGAGCATTCATGTAGAAGTCTTTGTATTTTCATTTCTTTTGGGTGGAATGGCTATTTGTAGAGTATGATAAACTGTATTAAAAAAAAACCCTTTTCTCTCCACTCCTTGCTTTTTTTTTCTCTTCCCTCCTTCCCCTTTCCTTGCTGTCTTGGAAGGATTCCAGGAATTAAGTGGAAAAGAAGTTGGACATAGTTCAAATCCCAGATCTGCCATTAACCACCAAGAACCCAGAGCCAGCGACTTCATCTCTTTTATCTGTGGAATGGAGATGATAGTCCTGACATGGTGGGGCTGCAGTGAGGATTACAGAAAGTGCCTGGTTGAATAAATAGTATTTCCTTACTCTTTCACCCTTGGGACTGTGTGCCTGTTGTTCTGATGGCAGACAAATAGAAATTTAATTCAGTGAAATGACTGGGAACAAAAAACAACGTTGTTTCAGGAATTTAGTGAAAAATCAATGATTTCCATTCTACTTAAACTGGTTCTCAGGACCTGGTGTTTGGCTCTCCCCCTCAGAGAGCATTGGGCAAGAAGGGCAAACACAAGCTGGGTCAACATCAGCCCTCCTAGCAAACAATGAGGACGTGTGTGTTCTGGACTTCTCTGCCCTCTTCCCTCTACCTCTGTTCTCCAGCGGGGCTACGTGGGAAGCAGATAGGGAAGACTCTGTGAAGCGACTTAGGCTCAGGTACTGGAAGCTGTGTGGATGGGATTCAGGGAGCTGAGGACACACTTGGAGAAGTGCCCTGCTCTCTTGGGATGGAGCCCTCAGGTTTACCAGGGAGGGCAGGACAAGGCACTTAGGGTGCTGAAGACAAACAGTTTGCACACATGTGCATACACACACTAACATCCCCACATAAGACTTTTGGGGGTCTCCTTCCTTATTTTAAGGGCTCTGGAAAAAATGATGGCCCTGACACCACCTGAAATAGTGTAGACTATGGCAAGATTATGAGATTTGGGAGAGTTAGAGCTAGGCTCAGTTTACTGTGGACAAGTTACTTAACTCCTTATGGCTTTACTGTCCATATGTGTAAGTGGAGTTTATAGTTCCGAGGTCTTAGAGTTGGTTGCTAAGATGAAATAAATGAGTACACAGAGAGGACCAGCATAGAGAAGACACTTCATAATGTCAAAGGTATTTGAATAAGAGTGACTCCATCTTGAATAGGGACTGGTTAGAATGAGGCTGAGACTTACTGGGATACATTCCCAGATTGTTAAGAGATTCTAAGTCACAGGATGAGTTAGGAGGTCAGCACAAGGTCATAAAGAGCTTGCCAATAAAACAGGTTGAAGTAAAGAAGCTGGCCAAAACCTACCAAAATCAAGATGGCCACAAGAATGACCTCTGGTTGTCTTCACTGCCACACTTTCACCAGCACATAACAGTTCACAAATGCCATGGCAATGTCAGGAATTTACTGTATATGGTCTAAAAAGGGAAGGCATGAATAACCCACCCCTTGTTTAGCATATCAAGAAACACCATAAAAATGGGCAACCAGCAGCCCTCAGGGCTGCTCTGTCTATGGAGTAGCCATGCTTTTATTCCTCTACTTTCTTAATAAGCTTGTTTTCACTTTATTCTGTGACTTACCCTGAATTCTTTCTTGTGCAAGATCCAAGAACCCTCTCTTGGGGTCTGGATCAGAACCCCTTTCTGGTAACAATAATGTTGATTCCCTTTCTTTTCCTTTTTGGAAAAAAAAATTGGGCAGTCCCCATACCAGAATAGGTTCAGAGAGACTCCTCCTCTTTCTATTTTCCTCTTCTCTTTTGGTCTTTTGTTTTGGTTGGAAGTAAGAGAACAAAGCCACGTACAATACATTGTATAGGGTAAGAGTCTATGCATATATAGAGAAACTAAAGGAGATGCATGGAAGGCTCTGAGACACAACCCAGTGACTCTCCTGGAATGCAGATTTGCCAGCTGGGACAATGACTTCTACTTTGTTCTTTATGTTTCTGTGTGTTTATATTTTCACAAGAATGGGTTGCCTTTATAAGAAAGCATGCCTTTAATTCCTTTTAACTTAAACAAATGGAAAGACTCTATTCAAATACATGACAGTTTCTTTCAGGGTCTCTAAAAAGGTGACTTCCCCGGGGGTTCTCCTTCACCTTTTTGGCTTTCCTCCAAATGCCCTAACCCTCGGAAGGCGGTCTGATGGAGTGGAAAAGCTTCTGTGATGAAGTCGGACAACATGGGGCTCAAATCCTAATCTGTTGCTTATTAGCTGTGGGAATTTAGGAAGTTATTTAATCTCTCATTGAGCCCAGGAATAAAACTGGGAACGTACCTACTTTGGTGTGTTTTGGAGATGGCTGATGTAGTAACAATATACGGTCCAAGCATATAGAAGCTCCTTGAGGAGCAGCAGTTTTGTAACTGCCCAATGGGTTCACCTTGCCCTCTGCCTAGACAGAGCCGATTTATCAAGATGGGGCAATTGCAATGAAGAAAGAGTAATTCACACAGAGCCTGCTGTGCGGGAGACTGGAGTTTTATTGTTTCTCAAATCAGTCTCCCCAGGCATTCAGGGATTGGAGTTTTTAAAGATAATTTGGCAGGTAGGGGCTTGGGAAGTGGGGAGTGCTGATTGGTCAGGTTGGAAGTAGAATCATAGGGGGGTCGAAGTGAGTTTTTCTTGTTGTCGTCTGTTCCTGGGTGGTTTGGCAGAACTGGTTGAGCCAGATTACTGGTCTGGGTGGTGTCAGCTGATCCATCGAGTGTAGGGTCTGTAAAATATCTCAAGCACCGATCTTAGGTTTTACAATAAGTGATGTTATTCTCAGGAGCAATTTGGAGAGGTTCAGACTCTAGGAGCCAGAGGCTGCATGACCAGTGAACTGTAATATCTCATCTGTAGCTAATTTGTTAGTCCTGCAAAGACAAACTGGTTCCCAGGGAAGAAGGAGATCTTTTCAGGAAAGGGCTATTATCAATTTTGTTTCAGAGTCAAAACCATGAACTGAATTCCCTCCCAAAGTTAGTTCGGCCTATGCCCAGGAATGAACAAGGACAGCTAAAGGTTAGAAGCAAGATGGAGTCGGTTAGGTCTGATTTCTTTCACTGACACAATTGCCTGAGTTATAATTTTGCAAAGGCAGTTTCAGTCTCCTTCCCTGTGTGTTAGTTCAGTCTCCAAGGATATGACCTCCACAATGCCGTGCCATAGTCACTGCATGCTGTCATCTCACTCTGCAGATGAGCAACTGAAACTCAGAGAATTTAAGTGACTTGTTGAGTTGTGCCCGGGAAAACCAGCATTGTTCCTTGTTCTCTGTGTTTACATTATTATAGGTATTCTCTACGCATTATGGCCATGCCATATTTTGGCTTTGACCCTGGTGCCTGAAGAGGTCATTAGATCTGTGTTTGTCCTTCACTTGTCCTTGCATTTTGCACCAGGCGTGTTTTCTCCAAGTGGAATCTGGAGGCTTCCCTGGGGATGGGATCCCATGACCTGGATTTCAAACCTTATGACATTAGCCTCATTAGCATGGAAAGACCCTGGGGAATACAGTATTTTTGTCCCTGAAGAACATCTTTCAGATGCAAAAGCAGCACTTCCAGCATCCCTGTGTGGATCCTTTGACTTAATAGTTCATCATGTTGGTCATTTGGTCACCTAAGGTAGAACTCTTCTGCAACTGGGACTTGTTTTCTACCAGAGAGTTTGGTGATCCTTGAGGATTTGCAATTCTCCTGAGCTCAGGGCAGTTCTGAAATAGGTCTCCAAGTACAGTTTTTTAAATCCTGATTCCACACTAAGTATGAAAACATGAATTAGTCAACAAAAATCATGTTGGTATTTTCGCCCTGCATCTTCAAGCTCAGCATATTAAAACATCACATCAGGTGCACACCTGTAATCTCAGCTATGCAGGAGGCTGAGGCAGGAGAATTGCTTGAGCCCAGGAGGCAGGGGGGTGCAGTGAGCCAAGATTGTGCCACAGCACTCCATCCTGGTGACAGAGCGAGACTCCGTCTCAAAAAAACCCAAAAAACCAAAAACCAAAAAAATCAAAACCCATCACATCAGGAAGGGACTACATGCCTGTGAGCCACTGGGTTTCTTAGTCGGATGGATCTCTCAGAGCTCTGGGATTACAAAGCTTTAATCCGAGGAAGTTACTGAGTAAATATCTTCATTTCACAATTTATATTTTTTCATACTTTGTTTCAACTTCTTTCCTCTTTCACTTAAATTTGGCATTAGTAAGGTCCCTAGCAGAAGGCCAGTTTGTAATTTTGATCACTTGTCTGCCACACTGTGCAGTAAGTCTAATTAGTAAATCTCTTGCATATCAATATTTCCTGATACATTTTCCCAAGGAGGCTAGAGTACTACCTTTGATTTTATGATTTATGTCAGCCGTTCCCAATCTTTTTGGTACCAGGAATCGGTTTCAAAAAAGACAATTTCCACGGATGGAGGTTGGGGTGATGGCTTTCGGATGAAACTGTTCCACCTCAGATCATCCTTAGATTCTCATAAGTGTGCAACCTAGATCATTTGCATGTGCAGTTCACAATAGTGTTTGCACTCCTATGGGAATCTAATGCCACAGCTGATCTAACAGGAGGGCACTGATCTCACTCACTGCTCCCCTCCTGCTCTGCAGCCCGGTTCCTAACAGGCCAAGGACCGGTACTGGTCTGCAGACTGGGGATTGGAGACCCCTGATTTATATGAACCTTTGAAATCTCCATTTCCCCTTAGGTTCATGGATTAGTCTCATCCAAAAATGGTCTGTAAAACATTACAGCAAATTTCGTATGCTTAGCATGTGTGTGTGTACACATACACATGCAGGAGTTTAGCACTTCACATTTAAATGCCTTGGATATCACATCTATCCTGCCTTCGTAGCTAGGGAAAATGAGCCTGCTTCTCAGTAGGGGCTGTAGCGAACTGTGCAATGGAAGAAAAATAGCAGTGACATATTGTTCTTTCAAATTCCTTATGTCTGGTTTGAATGCCAATAAGCTTAACAAGCGACAACAGCCAACTCCAGAATTCCCCTGTTTCCTAGGCCCAGCCAACAGTTGACTTTGCACCTTCCTTGACTGCTAACAATTGGAGGAATGCAAATATCAAACATTTGCACTGAGCAGTGTCTGCAAGACTGGGCCATTTTAAGTGACAGTCTCCCTGACAGAGACTATAAACTGACCCTAAAGAAGAAATGACTGGTACCCACTATCAGAGCATGAGCATCTTTTTGGAAATGTTCCAGAAGCCATATACCAGGCCACAGATGGCTGCATAGAAACTTCCAGAAGGAAGGCTAAGTTGAGTGTGAGAGACATCACTAATGCTTGCCAATATCTGATTCTCTTTTTCCTCTGGGCATATAGAAGGCAACAATTTCCAGCCAAGTTGCAGGTGGATGGGTCTGTGTTCTGGCCAAAAATAATGCTAGAATAAATGCTACCTATCACATCTGGACTGAAGAAGGGAAAGGCCTCTGAGTGATTCTCCAGTCTGTCTTTGCTCACTATGGTCAAGATGAGGGCTCATGCTGAGATGGGAAGCTATGAGAATGGACACCTTGATCACTGCATCCATTCAGACATGATGCCTTGAAAAACAGTTGGTCTGAGAGTTGTTGATACCCATACCCAATCTGCATGAGAGAGAGATTTTATCCTGAAGCCACTAAGATTGTTGGAGTTGTATGCTACTGAAGCATAACCTAATCCTTCCTGACTAATACAATAAGACGTTTGTATTTTGCTGATGCCACCTCATGTTACAGCTTGCTCACAACCATAACCATAGAATTCCTGTTATAAAAAGTGTCTTTTCTAGCCTTGGCAACATAGCAAAACCCTGTATCTACAAAAAATAAAAAAAATTAGATGGGCATGGTGGTATGCACCTGTAGCCTCAGCTACTTGGGAGGCTAAGGTGGGAGAATAGCTTGAGCCTGGGAGTCTGAGGTTGCAGTGAGCTGTGATTGCACCACTGCACTACAGCCTGAGCAACAGAATGAGCCCCTACCTCAAAAAAATCATTTTAGTTAAAATAATAAATCTCTTATTTGCCTTGAAGTGATTGAGGTTATTACTTTGGTTTTTAGCAAGCCAAAAATAGGAATAACGATTCCATGTGGTTGATATAAGATTAGATCCTAGCTTAGTCCATTTATGGATGTAAGAATTCAAATTTTTCATTTTTAGATTAAACTTCTAAAATTATTGTAACTGCATATGAGATGGTTCTACTTTCCTGTGTACTGGCTTATTAAGTAATTTACTTTTAAAAAATCTCAGGCACATCATAGTTGAGATTAAGTGGACTCTGTGAAAGTCACATAGAATGTATTTTAACAATTCCCCAGGTGAGTCTGATTGCCGTGCATCTGGACCATGAACAAATGTTTGGAAACAAATAATCTAAGCAGTGTGAGTGGCTGGCTCAAATTTCTTTCTTTCTTTCTTTCTTTCTTTTTTTTTTTTTTTTTTTTTAACAGAGTCTCTCTCTTTCACCCCAGCTGGTGTGCAGTGGTGTAATCTCAGCTCACTCCAACCTCCACCTCCCAGGTTCAAGTAATTTTCCTGCCTCAGCCTCCTGAATAGTTGGGACTACAGGTGTATGCCACCATGCTCAGCTAACTTTTGTATTTTTAATAGAGACGGGGTTTCACCATGTTGGCCGGGTTGGTCTTGAACTCCTGACCTCAAGTGATCCACCTGCCTTAGCCTCCCAAAGTGCTGGGATTACACGCTTGAGCCACCATACCTGGCCTTCAAATTTCAAATGAATAATTCCTGATTTATCCTCCAGTTCTGTTGATCTTATATCTCTGTTCTGTCAACTATTTCTTCCTTCTTTCTTTCTTATTTTCATGAAAAATGTCACTGATGTTTAACAGCTAACCCCTTATATACTTCCTATGTACATGTTGCATTATGCTAGTCACGGGCCCAAGTTGATTCTTAAATAACCCTGTTAGATAGGTAGTTTATAGTTCTTTATCAGTTTTCTCAATTGTTTTACAAGTACTGAGTAAGGGGCTACAAACCAACATCCACAACTAGACATCTTCTTGTGAGCTGGCCTCATTTCAGTAGGGATAACCCTTGACTGAATCTGCCTGCAGGTTGCAGTCTGGGCTGAAGTGATCAAGCAACTCAGATGTGCACAGAAAACACAGCGTGGCTGGAACTGTGTTACACTGAGTGATAAATAACTAAAATGACTCAATGTCAATCAGCAAAATATATGTCTCAAACTCAAGTGAGGCTTGAAGAGTATTGCAATGTCTGGAATCCGTTGGCCAAGGATCCTAATCAAAGACTGGGTAGCAGTTGTGATGGAGGAAAAAGTAAACAGTGGTTGACTCCAATCCCTGCCCTGAGACTTGGCCGGAACTTCAAGGATCCCAACTCCTCATCTGACCTTCCTTCCTTTCTTTCCCCTGACAGTGTTCCAGTTGATGGGTACATTGTCCCCAGAAGTCATTAATCCCCTAGAATAGCATTTGTGCTTCTCTTTCCTCTGCTTCAGTCTGTAGCAACACCTCTTTAGCATCCTCTTCTGCTCAGACTCCATGCTAACTCCTCTATAATTCCTCATCTAGAACTAATCATGCTGGTTTCTGAAATCCCAGAGTAATTTCATTCTATGTTATTTTACATGTAAACTGAGTTCAGGGACAAGATGTGGTACCACTCCCCTGGCATATTACCAACTTTAGCCCCACCTCTTCCTGGTCACTATTACTTGAGTTTGCACTCAGGGATCACTGTGTGCCCACGCTCTGGATGCCCAGTGGTGAGACTGGTCCCCTAAATAGCTAAGCAGGCTCACTTTCCCTGTGGGGGAACTTCAGCTGAGCCATGTTGAAGACCTTGAGGAGGGAACAATGGTCAGGAGAGGTCAGAGATTGAATTGCTCAAGACTTTCCTGCTGCCTCTTGCTTGTTTCAACTTGTGACTGCACTGAGCTCTCAAACCCCACCTCCCATCATCCCATGAAAAGAACAGTGGGCTCACTTGTCTCATATCAGAAATTACATTATCAGTACATACGGGGAAAAGGTAAATTTTGGAACTTGTTTATCAACTTTTGTGCATCTTAGGGCACCTCCCACATGGTCTGGCAGAAATAAACTGTGTTTGTTAGCAGAGGAAGATGCTTAAGTAGAGATGAAGTAATTGATGGTTCGTGAGTAGGAGGGATTGCTGTTAAGCCTTGTCTTAGGAGGTGGAGGAGGTAGATCTAGTGCTTAAGTGGATTGGCCTTGGCCGACTGCATAGACACTTCACCCAAATACAGAAGAGAAAGAAGAACATGAGAGCATATTTTCAGGAATGTAGAAAATGTTGAGCTGGAAGCATGTTCTCTTTTGATTGCTTTAATTTTCTCAGTGCAGCAAGGATGTCATTGGCTTAGAATAAGAATGGAGAAGGAGGTTTTGGAAATCTGAGGAAAGAGAGGAAATCATGAAATAGTCACCTAGGAGAGTGGGAAAGAATGAATTAGAGAATTTATTAGAATGGATTATTGCAGAGAATGGATTCAAGAAATACAGTATGATTGCTAGGTAGCATTAGGAGTCCTTGGTGATTGTGGTGATTGTACAGTGATAGCGTGACCAGTCACAGTGGATGTGCTGCCCTCCCATGTCTTTCAGCTGTACAGAAGCACACATGGAGTATATGCACAGGAGGATTTAATCAGGCTTTGGTTTTGCTAGTATGATAAGGGAAAGAAGAGCATGGTAGTTGACTGATTATAATGCTGGGTCACACAGCATTGGCAATTACAAGATCAAGGCTGTGATCATGGGAGTGAGTGTCTTAGTTTGAGTGAAGGGAAACATTATGAGAGGACAGGGGGAGATACAGGAATGAGAAAGTCCTGTTTTTGTGAATATTGACATTGCCGAGAGTTAAGAAAGGAGAAAGGTTGGAGAGCATGACAATGAGCCAGTGGCAAAAAATCTTCAAGGAAGAGAAACCAATAAATAATATAAATGTTAAGTTGCATTATAGAGGAAATTAGTAAGAGGCAGAGATAGAAGATAAGGATGTATACGGGAGCCTGCTTTAGGTAGGGTGGTTAGGGAAATTATCTGTGAAGAGATGAACTAAAGTTGATACCTACAGAATGAAAACGGAGGATGTAAACATGCCAGGCAGAGGAAACAACTGCATATGCAAAGGCCCTGAGGCAAGAAGGAGCTTATTCCAGGACTTACAGAAAGATTCTTGTGGCTGGAACATAATGACATGTGGGAAAATAGTGGGAGATATTTGTTAGATAGAGGTGTCTGCCTAACTAAGAGACAGAGCAAGAATCTCTAGAGGACAGTGGATTTATTCAGGAATGGGCCCTGCATTGGGAACAAGCAGGCTGCAGTAAACTATGTGCGTGTTCCAGGAGGTAAAGGAAGACAAAGGGGTTTGCAGGAAAAATGAAGAGAATTACATAACTGTTTTGACATAATTATCCTTGGTTACAAGGATCAGAAACAAGGGTGGTGCCACTCTGAGGGTGGATAGGCATTTGCTGGGTAGATGTCGCCACAAGAGTATCCTTTTGTGTAAGGTTGTGATGGCCTTTGTGCAAGGTTGTGGTTTTTGCCATCTTTTGTGATAGTCCTTGTTATCGGGCATATGTTTACAAGAACGCTTTCTTCATGGCCTTCTCTGGCTCCATTTGTCAGGGATTTAACACAAGTGACTCCATTTTGATTCTGACAACTTCTATACTTCCCCTTTTGTTCAAGATCTTTCTTCCAAAGCACTGCTGATCAGTCATTCTATAGTTAGGTTTTGGTTTTCTGCTTGTTTGTTTTTGAGACAGGGTCTCACTCTGTTGCCCAGGCTGGAGTGCAACATTGGCTCACTGCAACCTCCTCCTCCCAGGTTCAAGTGATTCTCCTGCCTCAGCCTCCTGAGTAGCTGGGATTACAGGCACCCACCACCATGCCTGGCTAATTTTCATATTTTTAGTAGAGATGGGGTTTCACTACATTGGCCAGGCTGATCTTGAACTCCTGAGCTCAAGTGATCATCCTACTTTGGTCTCCCAAAGTGCTATGATTACAGGCATGAGCCACCGCGCCTGGCCAAAATGTACCATCTCAAGGAGAAAAAGAGGAAGAGCAGAAGGCCATAGTGCATGACCTGCAAATCACATGCAGCAAGCTCTAACAACAGTTGAACCTCTGGAATATGAATCTGAGAAGTTTCAACAGGAAAACTCTACCTTGCAAAATGAAATTACCAGTGTAGCTGAAGAAGATAGTATTTCTAACTTGAAACCAGGGAAATTAAATGAAGACTAAAACAGAAAAAGCTGCAATTTAGAAGCTGTCTGAAAATTTAAAGAAACAGGTTTCAGAAATAAAATTAAAAACTCTTGCAAGTTTTGTAAAGAGCAAATCAATACTTCAAGAAAACTGTTGTTCTAATATAGGGGAATCAAATTTTATTCAGCACATAGAAAATACTTTTCATGAATTCATTTTTCATAAACCTTTTACAACTTACTCAGACCTTTCATTATATACTTAGACCTTTGTTTCTTCCTTTCTTAAACAGTCATGTTACTTTAGGACAAAAATGTACTTTCCTTTTTATTATTATTTGAAAAATAATTTTTTTAAACTTCCTTACCAAAAATACATATGTATGACTTATAACTTCCTTCACATCTTTCTTTCCTACTTACTGTTTTTTTCTATCTTGTCTTTCTTTTCCAAATTTATTTTTTTAAAAAACCTTAAATAGCCTCTGAACTTAGACACAATTATTCTTTTTCTCAATAAAGAGTTTATTTTAATGTCTTTCTTATATTTTCATCATAAATACATCTTTTAGTACACTCGTTATACAGAATTATATGTATTAATTAGAATTGTTAACTCTCAGTAGCCTAAATTTCTAGTGAAAATATGAGAAGCAAGAAATTTTTAACTGTGATGTATCAGTATTTTACAGATAAGAACCATTTTATAATTTTAGAAACATGTTTCCCCATAACATAATTTTTATGTGTACTAAAAGACCCAAATATATTTTAGTCTTTATATAAAATTTAAGAAGCCAAGAACAAACTTACATTGATGTTCACTAATTTATGTTTCAGTATTTTATTTTATTTGGAAATGACCTGAACATCTGATAAGTATCTATTGCTTAATTAAATATAATATAACTTCAAGATTTTAAATTACATAAAAAGTTCATTTATAATCATTTATTCCATTTACATTCACCTTTTTCATTTATTTATTTATTTAACAATTATACCTAGATTACTTTTAAAAACTAAACTATTAGACAAAGTTAGTCAGCATTTCAAGTTATTTCCTTAATAACAATTTTTATAACTTGTGAATATCAGATATTCACCTACTTAAGAACCCTAAATACTTGGGTATTTGCCAATAACTCAGAAGATACAGCTGTTTTTATTAAACAAACAATATTAAATTAGTCTACTTATCAAAGAGTTTCACAAAGATCATTTTGATTTTAGGCTGAGTTTATAGTTTTATGACTTTAAAGCATCTAGCAAAGACAAATATAATCTTGTCTGACCAGTAAACTCAGGCAAGAAACTATGCTGAAAACTATGAATACATGTTTATTTTATCAACAAATTTAAACACAGCTTATTTATTAAATATTTACTTAAGTCACATGAACTGAAAGACATTTGAGTTAATTACCATATTTTAACAATTTATATAAGCACTCACTTATCTAAGCCAATATGCATAGAATTCCTTAAGGGATTTCAAGCTGACTATGCCAGATTCCTATATGTAGATACAACACACAACATAATACACGAATATACATGTAAAAACACTTAACCTCCCCCCACACAAAGAGCTTGTAGCTTTCATTTTAGAATTTTAGTCATGAGACAGCAAAACTGATTGATACAAACTCATTGGTTTATGAAACACAGTTGGATCCAAATTATATTTCTGACAAAACGGGACCTATTCACATGGCTGTTTGCCCAGATTGGTAATCTAATGAAGGCGTACCAAAATTGTGAATAAAGTCATTTGGTAAAAACAAATCTCTTTAACTCTTTTTTAAACAGTAGTTTTACATGAGTCTTGGAGTTAAATGTTTACATTTTAGCTATGGCTGCTGAATTGTGTAGAAAATCCCAAAATCTCCAAGCAACCTTGAATTTTAGTAACAAATTTATCTTTTATTTGTTGGCCTGGTTTGCTTGACTAGTCAATGTGGGAGGGGAAGCATTTCAGAAAAAGCTATTTGCAGGGTGTTTTTTTCCTGGCTTTTTCTGGTGCATGCATGGCAGACAAAGCAATTTTTATGCCTTATATTATTGAGATACCTTATATTATTGCTCTGAGCTCAAGATCTTTACCAATTTGATTGGAGAGCTTGACATTTATAAATATTTATCTAGTTTTTTCCTTTGAGAATATCAGTCCATCAATTAACTGTTCCATCACCCAAAGATTGTTAGCCAGGCAAATCTAAATTTACATTTCTAAAAGGGATGACTCAGGAGTCTAGGCTGTTGGTTACCATGGAACCACTGTAATTTGTAAAGTCATTAATTTAAAAGCCCTTTAAGAGTTTTTAGAAAATGTTGGCTGGGATGCCATAAGCAGTGAGTTTAGCACTAGCAAAAAAAAAGTCAGAAAATTAAAAATAGGCAGAAAAAAGAGATAGAGATAGACAACTTAGAAGACTCTAAATGTTAACTCTATAGTTGGCTGCTGTTTCTATTTAGTTTTAAGAAAAGCAGGCTTGGGGAGTTGAAATGATTCCCTTTAATGGCCATATATTATTTTTGGTGTAATTTTTCCAATAATTAAAAAATGTACATGAGAATGGACCATAAATTTTGAATATGTAGCCAGCTGGAGTCTCAGAAATTTTGGCATACTTTAGAATTTTGAGAATCCCATTTTATCTGTTATTCATCTCTTGAGAGCAAAGAAAATCATACGAATCCTATTAGGGAATGTCATGAATTTGAACCAGTGTTTTAAATAGTGGCAATTGCTCTAATGGCTTTTAATTAGCTATCCTGCTCACATCATTTAGAATGTTTATTATTTTGCTCTCAGAAGGTCTTCAGAAATAAGAGGAGAAAAAGTAACAGAGCCAAATCATTTACAGATGTGTGTAACCAAAACAAAATGAAGCAAAAATAAGGGTGCCCACAAAAATTTTAAGCCAGGCATCCAGAACAAACAAAATATTAAATTAGGCTCATAGAAAAAAACCAAAAGTGAATTCGCCAGAAAAAGACATGCCTCAGAGCTAGAATGCAGATTCTGTAGAAGCCAGAGTACTCTCCAAAAGGACACTTACGAGCAAGGGCTTGTCAAAACAGACTTGTATAGTCCCAAGACAAATGCGAGGTCCTTCATTGAAGGCAGCCTTATAACCAGATCAGATCCTGCATAAAACAGAAAAGAACTCACCAAGAGGAGGGAGTCTGAGAATCCAAGATGAGATTCACTGGGCCGAAAAATGTGACTTATGGAAGAAGAGAGAGCAAGGGGCTCAGTCAGTATCACAGCTGGGCTGCTGATCTGCCCAAGATGAACTGACTTTGATCATGTTTCTGAAACCATTTTGATAAACTCAATAACAGACAGAGAGAGGCTGTTTAAAAGAAAATGGTATTTATTTAAAAACAGGCACCAAGATGGGAATATGCATGCCACAGTAAGCTTTGTGTATATTCTGGAAAGTAAAGGAAGACAGAGGTTTTTTTTTTTTTTTTTTCTATACGGAGTCTCACTCTGTAGCCAAGCTGGAGTGCAGTGGTGTGAGCCAGGCTCCCTGCAACCTCCGCCTCCCAGGTTCAAGTGATTCTCCCACCTCAGCCTCCCAAGTAGATGGGACTACAGGCGTGTTCCACCATGCCCGGCTAATCTTTGTATTTTTAGTAGAGAGGGAGTTTCACCATGTTGGTCAGGCTGGTCTTGAACTGCTGACTTTGTGATCCGCCCACCACGGCCTCCCAGAGTGCTGGGATTACAGGTGTGAGCCACTGTGCCTGGCCAACAGAGGCTTTTAAAGGAAAAATGAGGAGGATTACACAACAGTTTTGAGATAATTATCCTTGGCTACAAAGATCAATAACAAGGGTGGCACCAGTCTGAGGTTGGACAGGCAGGCAGATGACCTTGCAGAAGTATCTTTTTGTGGCAAGTTATGGTGGCTCAAATCTGTAATCCCAGCACTTTGGAAGGCCGAGGTGGGTGGATCACCTGAGATCAGGAGTTTGAGACCAGCTTGGCCAACATGGTGAAGCCCTGTCTGTACTAAAAACATGAAAATTAGCTGGGCATGGTGGTGCATGCCTGTAACCCCAGCTATTCAGGAGACTGAGGCAGGAGAATCGCTGGAACCTGGGAGGCAGAGGTTGCAGTAAGCTGAGATCATGCCACTGCACTCCAGCTTGGGCGACCGAGTGAGTGACTATGTCTCAAAGAATTAAAAAAAAAGTACGTATCTTTTTGTGTAAGGTTGTGATGGCCTCTGTGCGAAGTTGCAGTTTTTGCAGAGTCTTCTGTAATAGCTCTCGTTATCAGGTATTCATTGCATGAGAACCCTCCTTTTATTGTCTTCCCTGGCTCAACTGGTCAGAATTTTTAACACAAGTGACTTCATTTTAATTCTGTGAGCCACAAATACAAATATGGATTTCTTAAACTTGCCAAAAAAGTCTAGCAAGCATTGGGCCTGCAGAATGCAGAAAATTCACCTTGGAGGTGATAACTTGACGTGGCTCGGACCATTAAGTCTCCAGAAACCTCCTTAGTGAAGTGGCGGGGCCCCTGATATGCCAAGTATGACCACCACTGATGCTTCTTCTCCTTCTCCTCCTCCTCCTCCTTCTCTTATTATCATACTCAAAAATTATTATGGAAAAATGTCAAATAGTTTCATTTTGTCAACTAGATGACCCTGTTCTAAGTTTAAGAATTCCATTTTTTAAACCAATTAATGTCCTAACTTTCACATGGAAAACTTGTGGAGACTCTGAATTCAATTTTCATTGCTGTCCAGCAACCCAATAAATTAAATTTTGTATTTGATTTTCAGCAATATCAGTCCTGCAACTATTGATACGGTTAATTGGAGTTTTTTCTAGGGCTGTTACGGAAATGCTCTATTTCTCGGATTGGGACTTGAACTGAGAGCTAGTGGATCTCAGCTTGTCATTCTCATTTTGTAAGAGCTCAAGTGCATTCCAAAGAATTCATTCATATCAGGGCTTTTGCACTTGCTTATAGTCCTTACGGCCATAGTGGTTGAGTGAAGCAGAGGCATCATTGTAATTCACCACAGGTGAAACTTTGATTAACTATGATGTCACTGTGCACCACAGTACTAACATCCCATTTCTCACTGTCAAGGAGCTCAGCACTCTCTCAAGCCCAAGGGCACAAACAAGTCAATCCTAAAGTCCCAGATCTGTCTTCTGGGTCCACTGACCCAGACTGATACCAATTTGTATTAGTCTGGGTCCAATCAGGAGAAAAACATACACAGTAATTTTAACAGGGAATAGCTAACATAAAAAAATCACTAACTAAAACAGACAATTGGAGTAATGAGACACTGGCTTCTAAAAAGTAAAGGGAATCCTAAATTTTAAAGGGAGATCGAGACCATCCTGGCTAACATGGTGAAACCCTGTCTCTACTAAAAAATACAAAAAATTAGCCAGGCATGGTGGCAGGCACCTGTAGTCCCAACTACTCGGGAGGCTGAGGCAGGACAATGGTGTGAACTTGGGAGGCGGAGCTCGCAGTGAGCGGAGATTGCGCCACTGCACTCCAGCCTGGGTGACAGAGCAAGATTCCATCTCAATAATAATAATAAAAAAAAGAATAAAGGGAGAGCAGATTTAAGGAATAGCCAATACCCCAGGACTGAGTCAGAGCACCCAGGGAAGAGCCTCAAAACCCCACTACCTCAGAGAGTGCAGAGAGTGCAGTAATGACTCTCTGAATGACAGAGAAGTCAGTGTGCTTCTGTGTTGGTAGAAATTTCTGAAAATTTACTCTCCAGAATTTGCCAACAAAGGTTACTGGGGAAAGCCTTGATGGGGAGGTATCTCACTGGAGGTGGTCTGTTATGAAACCATGCAAGGTGGGTGCCAGAGGAAACAGTGGCCCCTGTGCACTGCAGGATGGGGGTACCAGGATGGGGATATCAGGAAACAACCTGGACTTCTGGAGCTGGGGCTGAGCAAGCTGCTGGAGTCTGCCTGGGAGCACACTGGAATGAGGAAGCAAAATCCTTTTCTCCTGCAATGTCTCTCTGGTTCGTTTACTTGTAAAGCTGTATGTTCTGCCAGCTGGCAAATGAAAAGCTTTTTAAAGGACACAGATCTGTTTTCTCAGAGCAAGCAATGAAGGGTAATTTGGAGCTGAGAGACAATAAATTGATAGCCTGCATAAATGGCAACTCCATTCTTCTAGTGGCTCATGATGAAAATCCTGGGTCATCCTTTATTTCTCTCTTTCTTTTTCATCCCACACCTGATTGGTCAAAGTCCTATAGACTCTACCTTCAAAATATACCCAGAACCGGCCCCCTTTTCAACATCACCAACAGTACCACCCTGGTCCCAGTTACCTTCATTCTTTGCTTGGACTATGACAACAGTGGCTTACTTGTTCATCTTCTTACTTCTGTTTGTGACTCCCTGAAGTCTCTACTCAACACAGTAGTCAGATCATGTCACTGTCTACTCAAAAATCCTTTAGTAACCCAGAGTAAAGCCAAAATCTTTACAAAGCCTACCTCATTGTTGTAGGTTGCTGTTGAGTTCATGTTTCAGTCAACCAAACAAATAAGCTGAGAGATCCACATCCAGCTGCTCCCATGCTCCCTGTACCCCATTCTTCTCTGTCCTCATCCCCTTGTATGCCCCCTGCAACCCATCCCATTCCACTCCAGCTATACTGGTTTCCATGGTATTCCTGAAAGAAGCCTCAGGGACTTTGCTTCTTGCTTTCTCTGCTTAGAGGGTTATTCCCCTACATATGCATTTGACTGAATTCCTCATTTTCTTCAGAACTTCCCAAAAGTCTTCTCAATGGGACCTTCCCTGGCCATCGCTCTTGAAATGTAATTTCCGACCCATGATATTCCATAGCCCCCTTCCCTGCTGTATTTTTCTCTCCTTAGTACACACCCCATCTAACCTGCTGTGGATCTTACTTCCCAAGCACTCTTGAATGCCTGTGTCCTCAACTAAGCTCCATTAGGGCAGGCTTGAGCATGTCTCGTCTACCTTTGGAACATAAGATCCCTCAGAAAGTGCCTTTTCAGTGAGTGAGAGAATGTACAAATAAATATGATCATGAGGAGGCTTGACGATGCCTACATGCAAGAATGTAATGTGGAAACATTCTTCAAGAGGTTTTACAAGTGAAAAAGGTACACGGCCTGGAGTCAGGAAACCAGTGTCTCAGTTCAGTGTCACCATTAGTTCCCTGGGTCACTTTCAGCAGGACATATTCTACCTACAGGGCCCCAGGTTAGAATTGGATCCCTCTGCAGTGGCTACCTCCAACTTTGCCTACATGAAAGAGCGTCACCTGCTGGGGTGATAAGGGAGGCAGAAAGTAAAATATTGCAGGAACCTGGCTGGCCAAGGACCAAGGTATCTGGATTTCAGTAAGAAAAAGGGAATGCTTGGAAGATGCCATGCACCCACCCCAGTCACCTTTTTCTGCATTCTGTTCTTCACTGGGAAAGAGAATTCCCTCTTCCATTCCTATCCCTTTGCTGTGACCCACACACCTGAAGACCACGGGATTCTCTGCCCTCTCACATCATAAGGTCTGTTCTCTGGACAGGATCTGACCACATGACACACAGTAAAAGGGGCTGCTAAGCCGAAGACTCCTCCCCTGTCCTGCTTCCCTGGTGGTGGAATGTCAGGCATTAGTGATAAGTCAGATGGAAGGTTTCAGCAGTAGCTTTTACCCCACATCTTCTTAACTCCCATAAAAGAGTGCAAGTGGTAATTTTACACTCATTCCTCTTAACCATTCATATGTGTGTTGGGGAGGTGGTCAAAGACCCCTAAGAAAAATTCAGTGAACAATATAGTTCCTCTGCCCAAAGAAAGATGTGTGTGCAAGTGTGCATGAGTGATCCAGATGACAGCTGGTGTTGGGAGCTGGGAACAGTCATCAAAATGAAGGTCGTAATTTTGTAAGGTGAGCACATGCCCTCCAAGTAAAAGCAGCTTTATGCTTGTGTAGTCCTCCGGGTTCTTGATTTTTCCTACTTCTCTCCTTTTAATTAATTTTACTTTTAAGAATTTTTTTAAATCCATGTTTTCTAGTTGTTATCAGTAGCTTGGTTGATTCACACAAACAAGCTGGCCATTGGCTAGAAACAGTTTTTTGTTTTATTAGGTTCCTTTTCATGAGTGAAAGCCTGTGTTTCCCCTTCGTTGTCAGCTATGGGAAGGCAGTAGCCTTATTCTTATATTTCTCACTACCATCAATGCATCTAGCAAGGGGCCCTTATACTAAAGCTCCCTTTGGGGGTCCTACCTCATAAATGTATGTGTGCATATTGCTCCCTTCAGTTATTTAAATAATTTTTTATTTTTGAATAATTTCAGACTTGTGGAAAAGTTACAAAGATTGGGTACAGGCCCCCCAAAATCTGGCCACAAACTGGCCCCAACACTGGCCATAAATGAAATCTCTGCAGCACTGTGACATGTTCATGATGGCCATAACACCCACACTGGAAGGTTGTGGGTTTACTGGAATGAGGGCAAGGAACATCTGGCCCACCCAGGGCGGAAAGCCACTTAAAGGCATTCTTAAACCACAAACAACAGCATGAACGATCTGTGCCTTAAGGACATGTTCCTGCTGCAGTTAACTAGCCCAACCCATCCCTTTATTTCGGCCCATCCCTTCGTTTCCCATAAGGGATACTTTTAGTTAATCTAATATCTATAGAAACAATGCTAATAACTGGCTTGCTGTTAATAAATACGTGGGTAAGTCTCTGTTTGAGGCTCTCAGCTCTGAAGGCTGTGAGACCCCTGATTTCCCACTTCACACCTCTATATTTCTGTGTGTGTGTCTTTAATTCCTCTAGCACCACTGGGTTAGGGTCTCCCCTACTGAGCTGCTCTCAGCACAGGTTAAAAAAAATTAGTTGCCAATATCTAAAAATCAAGAGACTTTTCATTTTTGCCTAGAAAATTAGAAGATCTGGCATTGTTAGTAGATTTCTACCTGGTGACAACTGGCTGAGGCCAAGTAAAAAAATAATAATAGCTATGAATATGCTGAACATTTACTCAGCACTTACCATGTGCAAAACACTGTTTCAAGTGATTTGCAAGTATTAGCACATTTCATCCTCATTACAGGTCTTTAGGTGATTGCTGGTATCATCCCTATTCTACAGAAGAGGAAACTGAGGCACTGAGCCATTAGGTAGCATGTCCAGGGCCACCCAGCTAGGACGTGGATAAGAAGGGGCATTCTGTGGCTTCCAATTGCCACAGGGTACTGCCTCCTGAGCCTTTTCAGATTGTCATCCTCCATCTGACTGCTAGTCATTGACCTTTCTCTCTTGGTCTCTGTTGACATTTATTCCAAAACCTCTGCTTTTTGACAATTGTCACAGGAAGCCCCTCCCAGTTTACACACAATTTATAAAGCACGCTCACATTAATGACTTCATCTGATCCCCAGCAGCCAGGCTATTTTATCCCCAAAGGGTCACTCTCATGGCTGGAATGCTAAAGGGTGGAGATATTAAAATATTTGCTGCTACAATTTGTGGGGCATCTCAAACATCATACTTCTTTCACATAGAAGTTGGAGGCTCCTGTCATCTCCCTGCTGCAGATGCCCAAGGCACTCCTGGCACACTGCCTTGAGCACCCCTACAAGAGGAAGGCTGGGCCTGCAGCATTGCCTTCAGCTCCAAAGGACCTCTATTCTGCACAAAATAACCCCAGATTACTGGATAGAGATGAGTCTGACACCTGGCTTCTCTATGGTTTGAACCACACAGATTTCCTGGGTGATGCTAAAACCGGCCCAAGTCCCATTATTGAACTTCGTCCCCCTCTTCTGCATGCTGGACATAACTTCATACCTGCTGGGCTCAGTACTGGGCCAGGAAAAAAAGAAAATGTTCAAAAGGATCTATTTGTATTCTTATCAATCTACCCTCAGGCTGGGTGCAATGCAGAGGAAAGATGTAGATCAGAGAGCAAAGACGGCACTTAGGGTTGAATTTAAATTGGGTCATGTACTCTATATGAATGACAGGGTTTCTACTCTTTCTGTGTCCTCTTATTATAAAGAAGATGATGAATTGACTATTTCTGGTACTGTTTATGCCTAGTTTCCCTGTGAAGCAGCTAGAAGTGGTAAGTAAATAATCTAGTTTTCCCAGCAAGGACATTGAAGTCCTCTCTGTATGGCAACTCAGTCAGTGGTTTGGGCAAAATGGAAGCTTGGTATTGAGATGGCCAGACACCTCCTCCAGGTGCAGCTGATTGCTTTGCTCTGTGTCTTTGAGGCCCACTTTTAATCTTCCTTATAGCAGCTCTGTAGGATTATGAGCTCTTCTTTGTGTAGACACCTAGATGATCTGTTCTGCCTATTCCATTAAGAATGTGCTTGCTTACATGTTATCTTCCTATCTAGATTGTATGAAAGAACAGGTATTAGAATTGAGAGTAGAAGATCGAAAGGTTCTGGAGAAAAGAATAGAAACCATACCAAGAACAGGGAGGGATGTGCAGGATGACCAGCCACACATAATTACTGGATGTGAAGGGAGCCCAAGAATGTGTTGCAAGGCAATTTGTCAGCCACGGTCCGGAGTAGAAGCTCAACAGTGTAGACTCAGCCCTTTGTCACATGGAAGATGGCATCACTGGATGGCCCCAGTGGCTTGTGAGGGAGAGAGCAAAGAAAACTACAAATAATGAGGATAACTATGAGCAAAGCCATTGTAAAAGAAAAAGGACCCATGTATCATGAGAAAGGTGGAGAGAAGAAGAGGATAGTGTTTCTTGTTGTCTATAAGCCAGTCATCTCCACCATGTTGCTAAGCTTGCCTCTGGTGATAACTTCCCTAGGGTAGCAAGGGTTCCCAGGTTTTATGTTCAGCCAACGTGATAACTACTACACTATGGAAACCTATGATTCCCAGGTTTTAAAGAAATACTTAAGAGGCCTGGCCAGGTGCAGAGGTTCACGCCTATAATCCCAGCACTTTGGAAAGCCAAGGCAGGTGGATTACCTGAGGTCAGGAGTTCGAGACCAGCCTGGCCAACATGGTGAAACCTTGTCTCTACTAAAAATACAAAAATATTAGCTGGGCGCGATGGCAGGTGCCTCTAATCCCAGCTACTCGGGAGGCTGAGGCAGGAGAATCACTTGAACCCAAGAGGTGGAGGTTGCAGTGAGCTGAGATCGTGCCATTGCACTCCAGCCTGGGCAACAAGAGCAAAACTCAGTCTAAAGAAAAAAAAAAGTCTTTAGTCTCTCACTGGGTATGTGATGTGGGATGGCCAGAAATCATGCCCACCAACCTGGTCAGAGTTGGCACCTATAACTTAATGCCTTGTGGTGGTGAGGTTTTTGGCAAGAGGGCATCAATGAGGGTGCACCAAGTATTCACAACACAGGGATGCTGCAGATCGTTCTAGTCCTTTTTTTTTTTTTTTTTTTTTTGAGATGGAGTCTTTCTCTGTTGCCCAGGCTGGAGTGCAGTGGCATGATCTTGGCTCACTGCAAGCTCCACCTCCCGGGTTCATGCCATTCTCCTGCCTCAGCCTCCCGAGTAGCTGGGACTGTAGGTGCCTGCCACCATGCCCGGCTAATTTTTTGTATTTTTAGTAGAGACAGGGTTTCACCATGTTAGCCAGGACGGTCTCAATCTCCTGACCTCGTGATCCACCTGCCTTGGCCTCCCAAAGTGCTAGGATTACAAGCATGAGCCACCACACCTGGCCAAAATTGTTCTAGTTCTAACCAAGAGAAACAGCATCGAACAATAGAGGGTTAAGCATGGACCCTGTGCCAAACACAGGACTGTAAGGGAAATTCTTTCTTTCATGTCTGCTTGGCCAGACATTGCTCAGAGCTACTGGGGTCAGCTTTGTCATCAAATTTCCCCAAACTTCAGAGGAGAATTATATATTTCTCTGGGGTCCAGAGGAGGGTGAGGCTCCAGAGCATGGGTTCCTTTGAAAATCTGGCCCATTTTGCCTTTTGCTCCATAATAAATCAGTGTTTGTTTGACATGAAAAAAAATGTTTTAAATTAGTTACTATTGAATAACTAAAGCACTCATTATCTCAAAGTTGGTTTATGATATGTTTTGGCTGTGTCCCCACCCAAGTCTCACTTTGACTTATAATAATCCCCATGTGTCAAGGGCTGGGCCAGGTGGAGATAATTGAATCATGGTGGTGGTTTCCCCCATACTGTTCTCATGATGGTGAATAAATCTCACAAGATCTGATGGTTTTATAAATGGGAATTCCCCTGCACAAGCTCTCTTGCCTGCTGCCATGTAAGATGTGACTTTGCTCCTCATTCACCTTCCACCATGATTGTGAGGCCTCCCCAGCCATGTGAAACTGTGATTCAATTAAACTGCTTTCCTTTATAAATACCCAGCCTCAGGTATGTCTTTATTAGCAGCGTGAGAACAGGCTAATATAGTAAACTGGTACCTGTAGAGATACCCAAAAATGTGGAAGCAACTTTGGAATGGGGTAACAGGTAGAGATTGGAACAGTTTGGAGGACTCAGAAGAAGACAGGAAAGTGTGGGAAATTTTTGAACTTCCTAGGGACTTGTTGAATGCTTTTGACCAAAATGCTGATAGTGATATGGACAATAAAGTCCAGGCTGAGGTACTCTCAGATGGAGATGAGAAACCTGTTGGAACCAGAATGAAGGTGACTCTTACTACGTTTTAGCAAGGAGACTAGGGCATTTTGCCCCTGAGCTAGAGATCTGTGGAACTTTGAACTTCAGATAATTTAGGGTATCTGATGGAAGAAATTTCTAAGCAGCAAGGCACTGAAGATGTCATTTGAGTGCTGTTAAAAGCATTCAGTTTTATGTATTCACAAAAATATGGTTTGGAATTGGAACTTACATTTAAAGGGGAAGCAGAGCATGAAAATTTGGAAAATTTGCAGCCTGACAATATGATAGAAAAGAAAAACCCATGTTCTGAGGAGAAATTCAAACCAGCTGCAGAAATTTGAATAAGTAACGAGGAACCAAATGTCAATCACCAAGACAATGGAGAAAATGTCTTCAGGGCATGTCAGAGGTTTTCATAGCAGTCCCTCCCATCACAAGCCTGGAGGCCTAGAAGGAAAAAATGGTTTTGGGGGCTGGACCCAGAGCCTTGCTGCTTTGTGCAGGCTCAGGACTTGGTGCTTTGCATCCCAACTGTGGCCAAAAAGGGCCAACATACAGCTCAGGCCATTGCTTCAGAGGGTGCAAACCCCAAGTCTTGGTGATTTACACATGGTGTTGGGCCCGCAGGAGCACAGAAGTCAAGCATTGAGGTTTGGGAACCTCCGCCTAGATTCAAAGCATGTATGGAAACACCTGGATGTCCAGGCAGAGGTGTGCTGCAGGGGTGGGGCCTTCATGGAGAACCTCTGGTAGAACAGTGCAGAAGGGAAATGTGGGGTGGGAGTCCCCACACAAAGTCCCCACTGGGGCACTGCCTAATGGAGCTGTGAGAAGAGGGTAACCATCCTCCAGACCCCAGAATGGTAGATCCACTGACAGCTTGCACTGTGCACCTGAAAAAGATGCAGACACTTAATACCAGCCTGTGAAAGCAGCCAGAAAGAGGGATGTTCCTTGCAAAGCCACAGGGGCAGAGCTGCCAAAGACCATGGGAACCTACCTCTTGCATTAGCATGACCTGGATGTGAGACATGGAGTCAAAGGAGATCATTTTGGAGCTTTAAGAAATTGGCCAAAACAAAGGGGCTAGAGGCCCCCCTGGATTTTGGACTTGCATGGGGCCTGTAGCCCTTTCATTTTGGCCAATTTTTCCCATTTGGAATGGGTGTATTTACCTAATGCCTATACCCCCATTGTATATAGGAAGTAACTAACTTGCTTTTGATTTTACAGGCTCATAGGTGGAAGGGACTTGCCTTGTCTCAGATGAAACATTGGACTTGGACTTTTGGATTAATGCTGGAATGAGTTAAGACTTTGGGGGACTGTTGGAAGAGCATGATCGTGTTTTGAAATGTGACGACGTGAAATTTGGAAGGGGCCAGGGGCAGAAATATATGGTTTGGCCCTGTGTCTCCACCCAAATCTCACTTTGAATTGTAATAATCCCCACATGTCCAGGGCAGGGTCAGGCAGAGTTAATGGAATCATGAGGGTGGTTTCCCCCATGCTGTTCTTGTGGTAGTGAATAAGTCTCATGAGAGCTGATGGTTTTATAAATTGGAGTCCCCTTGCACAAGCTCTCTTGCTTGCCACCATGTAAGATGTGACTTTGCTCCTCATTCTCCATCCACCATGATTGGGAGGCCTCCCCAGCCTTGTGGAACTGTGAGTCCATTAAACCTCTTTCCTGTATAAATTACCCAATCTCAGGTATGTCTTTATTAGCAGTGTGAGAACAGACTAATAGTTTAGGTCCTGGCACACACTGTGGGCCACAAGCCAAGCATGTTGATTTTCTGCTGGGATGTAATCTCCATCTGTCTCTCTGTCTGTCTCTCTGTCTGCCTGTCTCTCTTTCCAGAGAACCCTTATTTAGTTCCACAGATAATTAATAAAAGAAGAGATGAATTAGCTAGGTTGTGCCATGATCTGAATGCTGTGTCCCCCCCCAAATTTATATGTTGATACCTAACCCCCAGTGAAATGATGTTAAGAGGTGGTGCCTTTGGGAGGTGATTAGGTCATGAAGCTGGAGCCCACATGAATGGGACTGTGCCCTTTTTAAAGAGGCCTGAGGGAGTTTGTTAGACTCCTCTGGCGTTTGAGGACAAATAGAAGGCTCCATCTATGAGGAGCAAGCCCTCACCAGACACCAAATCTGCTGGCACTTTTATCTTGGACTTCTCAGACTCCAGAATTGTAAGCAATAAATTTCTGATATTTATAAATTACCCAGTCTCAGGTATTTTGTCATAGCAGCCAAAACATACTGAGACAGGCTGCTTTAACAAATTACCATAGACTAAGTGGCTTAAACAAAAACATCTATTTTTCACAGCTCTAAAGACCGGAAAGTTCAAGACCAAGTTCCCTGCAGACCTGGTATCTGGTGAGGGCTACTTCCCGTTGTTCAGATGGTCATCTTTTCCTGGTATCCTCACGTGGCAAGAGCAGAGACAGAACAAACTCTGTTGTTTCTTCTTATAAGGGCTCTCATCCCATTCAACAGATTCCATCCTTATGACCTGATTACTTTCCAAAGGTCCCACCTTCTAATATTATCATATTGGGGATTGGGATTTCAACATTTAAATTTTGTGGGGACACAAATATTCAGTTCCTAACAGGGGATTAGGGGTAGGCTTCCTGAATTGCTGAATTTGAAGAGTTTTTTCCCAAAGAGATGCTTAACTGTGCAACCTTACCCTCCATTAAAATCCCGGTACAACTACTGCATACCTGGTGCCAATACAAATGTCCCATCTCCAACCTTTCAGCTGACTTTGCTCTCCTGTGCTCCAAGGCAGCTTCTTAAAACTTTGTGTTCTTCTGGAGCCCAATCTCATCCTGCCTGCTTGGTCTTAGCAGCCAATGGCACCTGCTACTCTCCTGAAACATTCGAGTTGGTCAGGCAGGGGCAATCTCATTTTCACATCTTACTCTTCCTAACTTCTCTGTTTTCATCCTCCCAGCTTCTCTCCAGTTTGGGACATGTATTGTCCCTTTAAGGTGACTTCATCCTCTAGAACTGTTAATGCAACCTCCCCCAGACCTTGTTCCTCCAGATTTCCTGTCTCCCTGTTTGTTTCAGTTTTTCATTTGTACTTGATCCCATTATTACAGCAACACCTGCCTGGAGCTGCAGAATGAACAGCGAGAGCCCTGATGCAAAGCCTAATAAGGGACTCTGTCACACAACACAAAGGCATTACCTCTGTCATCCACCGTTGTGAAAACTTTACCAATAACTTTAATTTATCTCTTTCATTTTTCAACAACTCTTGAGTGCCTACTATATCCTAGGTGATGGAGCTACAGAAATCAACCATACAGATGTCCTTATTATCGGATTGGAGCTTAGAGGGTTACAGGAGAGACAAATTAGAAAAAAATCACAAAATATACACATAATTGAAAATTGCTATGATGAGTACTATGAAAGAACAGATAAGTCTTTTGAGAGTTTAATAGGATGCAATTTAGACTGTTTTGGCTCACCAAAGGGATTCTTTTTAATAAAATGAATTTATGTAGGCAAATTGGAAACCTAAAATTTAATATGAAACATTATATAATATACAAGGGGGAAGTCACTCATTAAAAATGAATTTTAAGACAGTAAGCCATTTTCATATAATTTCCTTTTATCTCTCAAGCTGTGTGAACATGTATGCTGAAGACCTGCTAATCCTATTAAACATCGTGGACCTAGCTCCATCTTTCAGTAGTTTATATATTTAAAATTGGAAATATATAGATACGAAGATTGGAAAGGTTACAAATAGATAGATTGATTAATAAAAATAATATGGAGTTAACCAGCCAGCTGCATCTCACTTCTTTATTATATAGAAATTGTATTTAGAGTGTGTGATGGGATATAAGGAGTTTCTAAGCCTCCTATACATGTATTCCTCAATTCCCAGGCTCAGAATATTCAGGAAATATTCGCTATCTTCTAAACCTCACCCTTTTCCTGTGTTTGAAATCTTCATGAACACCTCTGCATCCAGCCTTTTGTACAAGTCAGACAGAAATCTGAGAGTCATCCTGGACTCCTGGCTCTCCCCACTGTCATCAAGTCTTCTTGACACATTGGAAGTTGTTCTACAGCATAATCATTGTCTCTGTTTTAAGTATTAAAAATTTTTAAAATATTTGAAGGAATAATTTGAGGTCTATGACAGTGATATGTTCCTCCAGATAGTATTTTGTTGTTGTTGTTCATTTCTATTAGGTGTTTGGGAGTATTATTTAGGATGCAATAGGTCTTGAAATTATACTTGGCTCACCCGAAATCTCACGGTAAAGTCCTTTGTGATCCCACATCAGGCCCCCTGGCTTACCAGGCCCCCTGCCATTGCAGAGTCTGGACTGCAACTTATGTCCATTGAGCTTGTCCATCCAGGTTATCAAAAATGCTGCTCAGACGCACTCAGCAGCATCTTCTAAAATAGCAATCTTTCCTACATCAGCAAACATTCACTTAGTAATGGTGGCCCAAGTTGTCTTTCTGGATTTCTATTCTTTCCTGAAACTTAGCTCGATAAACCTCAATATCCTGTTAGCTTTTCAATGCTTTAAAGATCTTTGAAAAGTATTTAATCTAGATCTTTTCATTGTTTTAGTTGGAGGGTTGGTTCAAATGATGTGTTCTATCATTATCACAAATTAAAGAAGGTTTATTTTGCTTGTTCATTTATTTTTAACTGCACTGTTAACTCTGGTTGTTCCAAGAAGGTGAACTTACAGAGTGAGAGTTTTGCTTCTTGTTTTATTTACCACTTGTGTATTACTTTTATAATTATAAAAAATCGTAATTCCAAAATTTAAAGACAAAATATATGCAAAGGATTAGCATGATGTTGGCCATATAACCACTGCTCGAAATATTATCTTTCCATTTGCCGGTTTCCTTTTCTTTTCATTCACCCTCTCCCAGATCACCACCAGGACTTCTGTCTTTTGAGGTCTTGCTCCCTTGGGGCCGTGAACCCTTCTCTGTCACAGCAGCCTCACTCCCGCTCTCTTTCCTCACTTTACAGCCCCGGTCTTCAAGAGCGGCTCGGACCTTACCCTCACAATGGGCCACAGGAATTTATATGTCCCTTGAAAGACCTGAAATGACACGGCAGTGTCTGAACACACGGGGGCGCGCTAATCACCTCGTTTTAGAAGAAGTCCCAAAGCTCTGCTGGGACTCAACACTTGGGCAGCCTAGCAGTCATGGAGCTAACTAAACCCGAAATTCATCACCCCAAAGGCTGATTGTATTGAGTCTTTGCCACGCTCTTCTGGGGTGTGTTTACCAAACACCACTTTAGTTTGTGATCTCTGCGTAACAGTGACAGTGGCAAGACTTGAAACATTGGAAAGCATTTACTCCAGAAAGACTCTCAGAAATAAACTTCTAAGCACAAGTCCTCTGACAGTCCCTGGAAAGTATACTGAAGATTATACCAGCCTTCCCTGTGGTTTCTAATGCAACTTCCTTCCAGTGCACCCTATAGGACCTGCCTGTGTTCTCCTTTGGTGAATCTTGCAACATTTACGTTTTTCGACTCGCTTTTCCATTTAATATCAAGTTTCATTCTATTTGGTATTTGTTTCAGAAGTTTGGAAGCCAGGAGGAAAGATATAAATCACAGATAAAGGAATACTTCTGTGATGCCCTTTACCAAGGTAGGGCACATTTCTGGGCAGGAAAGATATAAATCACAGATAAAGGAATACTTCTGTGATGCCCTTTGCCAAGGTAGGGGCACATTTCTGGGCATATTTGGTGGATGTTCACTTCTCTGAGGATGCAGGAACCTCCAGGAAATGTCCTCTCTCAAGCACATCAGGGATTTACTTTCATTTAACTAACACTTGCATAGGACCTACTGTGCACCAGGCACTGCTCTAGATGTTTAATACTTTAACTCCATTATTTCCTCACTAGGGAGGCAGCACATGGTAGATGTATTTCAAAGAAATGTCCAGAGCACAATTGTCTCCTCTGACTGAAAGCAAAATGGAGCAGGTGGCAGATGCTTTGCAGATCAAGATGCTGACTCAGGGATCAAGGCTGGGAGAGCAGGCCATGTGACTGGTGGCTCCAGTGACTGCATGCCACTAACTTAGGAACTATCATGATGTGGATGGGACACGGTTACAAAAGCCAGATCAAGTCAGTGTGTCAGAATTCCGAGCAAGGTCTTAGGAACGGGCTTTTGGTACCAAGAAGGGCATGGATATCTAGCTCAGAGATCTGAGTTAGAGCCAGCCAAGGGGCCAGGCTGACAGGAAATCAAAGAGGGCTGGGTGGGAGGTGAACTCCCTCCAGGATAAACCAGTTTCAAACTTAGGTCTGCAGGAGCAAAGCAATTTGGGGGTATAAGTGCAGGGAATATTATTTCAGAACATCTTTTTCAGAATTCTGTGAGCTAAAATAGCATTCTGGCATATCATTTTTTATACTTTTTCTGAAACTGACTTAATGTAAGACCTAGAACCTGGGAATAAAATAGAATATTCAAATACAAGAAAACATCTTAATTTATACACAGTGCTAGACTCTTTCTAAATTGCAAGTCACTAATTTTATCTGAGAGTTTTAACTCAGTGTATAACTTTCTTCTTTTCTCTGGAGTCTGATATGAGGTCAACCAATTTTACGGTGGGGATAAAGAAGGGTGAAATATTAAGAGAAAAAGCAGCAGGGGCCATATCACCTAGAAGTATGTGGTTCCAAGAAACAAACTGGTGATTCTACTGGCCATTCCCATCAATGTTCCAAAGAGGGACTTGGTTCTATTGACCTTTTCTGACTCTCTTGCACCCAGGAAACTTACTTTCTGTCCCTGTTTTTGAATCTGGGCACAGGAAAGAGAAGTCCGACAGGTTTTTAGGCTCTTTCAAATGCCATCTTAGATTATATTCAGAAGGCAAACAGATACTGCTAGTAGGTTATCAGTAGATGGAGGGTGAAGGGTCAGCCATGGAAAGGGACATGGTTTTAGCTGGTTTGCAGGTTTTTGTCTCTGAATTAGTTTTTTATTAAAATAATTGGGTCTCTTTATAATTCTGACTTGTTGAAGAACTAATCTGCGATAATGTTTCTGTGTGTCAGTTATCATTTTACTCCCTCTCACCTCCAAATTCACCCTTTGATATGTGCTCAATGATAATGGAAGGGCCTCCTTCAAGCATTTCTTCTTCACAGTGAGCAAGATGTTAAGCACTGGTGCCCCGTGTCCCTCTGCTAGCTTTCTCCTACAGCATTTGGTCTTCCATGGCCCGTCTGATGCTGTGGCCCTCCTAACACAGACACCACATATCCTCCTGTCTGCACCAGAGCCCCTACTCCCTCCATATGCCTGAATAAACAGCCACTGACTGTGGCCTATGTGTGCCTTAGAGGGTTGCTTCCTGCTTGCCCAGGGACTGTGGACCAGTTCCGGCCTACTAAAACCAGCAAATGTCTCTGACACCCAGTGTGTTGCAATAGCCCTTTCTCCAATGAGGTTTGATCCCCTTGGAAAGTGGAACCTCCTTACCAAGTTTGTCCTTTGGATATTCTCCATCAGCCCTAGAATATTCTGTAGAGTTCTCTTACGTATTATAGTTACTCTTTTACCATAACTTAATAATTCTTTATATAGAACTCCCCTTGTTTAAATCGCAATATGGTTTCTGTCTCCTGATTATTCCTAAATTAATACAGAAATTCACATTTAATTAGCCCTTACTATGTTTCAGGAAGTTCATGTACTCTATTTCACTGAAGGCAACAACGTGGTGCAGGAGAGTGGATCAAAGCACAAGCTTTGGAACCAGGCAGATCAGTACTTCCATTCTGGCTCCAACTCTTCCCATCTCTGTGATGTTTGGGTACAGGATGCTGTGGTTCTACACTCAGATGCCCCTTTAGGACTAAATTTCTCATTAATTTATCTGCCAACAGTATTAGCTGCTGACAGCTCATGGTTTTGTTTCTCTCTGAAAATGGTTTTCTACTGTAGGAAGCTGCCATGCCCAAAGTGACAACCCCTCTGGGGATAAATCTGCACCAGTGATGGGTTGATGTGGGGGTACAAAGGCTCGCTCCTCTTCAATTTCATTTGGCATATCTCCATTACAGAGCATCCTGTGCAATCTGACATTGCTGTTGCAATTGCGTTGAAGTTTTCCTTTGGTGCAAACCTGTTTTTCTTGCTCCTTCACAGAGGTTGTTCCTGAGAGTGTTCCCTGATAAACTTCTTGCATGCAAATCTGCGTTTTCCAGGAACCTGAACTACAAGCTACTGAAAGGCTCCGAGCTTCTGTTCTTTTACCTGTAAAAGGAAGATGATCATTGCAACCAAGTCAAAAATTATTGTAGGAGTAAAGGAGATAACACATACAAAGTGTTTGGCTAAGTACCTGACACACATATTTAACACTCAAAGGGGTTCATTATTAAGATCATTAATAAAATGGAAGCATCTTTATTCCCATTTTACAGACAAGGCAACTGAGGCTCAGAGAGTTTAAGTAACTTGCCAACATCACGTATTAAGTCGTGGGGCTGGGATTTAAGCCTGTATGTAGATATATATTTTTTCCCGCTGCCACTTTATACGGCCTCTTGTTCTTTTAAGCTACTTGGTAGAAGTTTTGATTAGAATCGAAAGTTTCCAGAGGAAGCTGGGAAGGGCATGTAGAAGCTTGTCTTTGAGGTTTGTGAAAAATGTGTGGGAATCAGCTTCAAAGCAAGTAGAAAGAAGACCCACATGTACAATAGATCTGTGATAAAGCCTTCTATGGGAATCCAACTAAAGAGTGATAAAGCACTGCAGTTAAACAAGCCCCCCCGCCACCAAAAGCCAGTGTTTGAGTCTGCCCGACGGTGCAGAAAATTAAAGTTGAACCAATGTACTTCCCAGAAATTTTAATGGTTTTCAGGGTTATTTTTAACTACTTGCCAAATCGTTAGAACTAGACAAAAAAGCCATTAGAATTTTTGTTCTTTACACAATTTGCACAACCCCACTGGCAGTTTATCTTTTTCTTTTTCCACTGCAGGATAATGGAAGTAATCATTCCATTTGTAAATAACTCTCCTGAGCACCTTTGGTTGAGAGTAGGAGGAACATAAGATGAAAAGTAAAATGAATAAGAAACCCTTTCTGTAGAATTGAAAACCCGCAGGAAACAACAAAGTTTTTAAAAAATTTAAAATATCAGTTAGCCAGAAAGGGTGGTTCCAGCCCTCAGTAGCCACACTGCTGGGCGTTATTATTACCAAGACACTGTGGGCTGAAATCTCACCGTTGGTCTCTGGGCAGGATAAGAATCAAGAGGAAATAAATGAAATCTTCTTGGTCTCTTCTCTCCACTTGTTCTGTTAGAGACTCTGCAGGTCACTTCAAGAAAGTAGCCTTGCATTTCACATTGACCAAGTACATTGGCACAAACATAATTAGCTGCTCTGAATCCCATACTGGGGATAGGAGAGGCTGGGCAGCACCGTGGAGTGCAGACGGGCATCTTCCACCTGGAAGAGAAGGTTGTTCTCCCAGGCTGAGTCAGGGGGCACTCAGACGCCACCAGCATTGATATGGCAGAGGATAAAAAGGAACTTCTAACCAGGAGTTGTTTTGTACACAAAGTCACCCCTCTCTATGGATGCACATGAATTGTGCCTCTACCGATTGGAGTCTTTGGACCAGGAGAGTAAAAATCCAATCTTCGAACTTTTCATCCAAGGCTAACTTTTGCTGAGAACACTTCCTTTTACTGCTATGCCCTCACCCTGCTTGCAAATCCAAACTTCAAGAAGCTCCCTTCCCTCCATTTCTGGCCCTGAGAGAAATAAATTATTTTGTGGAAAGAAAGTAATTGTATATAAATGGCTTGCATTATAGAGCTGGAAAATCCAAGCAAAAAAAAAAAAACAAAAAAAGTTATTAGACACAATTAACATGCTCAAAATTTTAAAGTGGTCAGTTATGAAGTTAGTCAATAGTTTTCCTACATATAGTTTAAAAGGCAGCCAGAAAATGGAAGAAAAGACCTTATGCACAAAAGGAACAAAATATAGAAAACATCTAAGAATGATATTAGCAAGAAATATGCAGGAGCTTTAGAAGAATAAAAAAGAAAACTTGGGCCACATAAAGATGAGAGTAAGAGAAGAGATTCACTGTGTTCTTAGATTGGAAGACTCTACAGTGCATATAATGTACATTTCTCTGAACTGATTTTTATATTCAGTGTCAATCCTATCAACAACTTGGCAGGATTTTTTTTTTTTGGACTCTGGACAAAGGGAGTCTAAAATTCATTTGGAAGTGTTACAGTGGAAGAGATCGGAGTTACCCTGAGTTACCAGCAGTGAATCCGTACTTGTCTGCAGGAACTTCAATTCTTACCTCCTCAGAAAGAATTTGCCAGGGGGCATGAAGCAGAAAAAGAGAGTGAGGAGAGCTCCAGAGCAGGAGTGGAAGTCTGTTAAAAAGGCTTTAGAACAGGAAAGAAAGGAAAGAGCCCTTGGAAGAGATCCAAGTGGGCACCTTAAGGTCAAAGAAAGAAAAAGGAGCTGCCTTTAACCTTGACCCTAGAACTTTACAGTCTTGTCTCTGTCCCATGATACTTCCCTTAGAGTGGGCTTCCCGCATGCGCAGTACTTTCCTTACCCTTTGGAACTGAGCACCTGCAATTGTGTTTAGGGAGATAAATGCACGCCCATCTGAGAGTTTCTTCTCTTTTCCCGCGGTGTGTACCTGGGAGATCATACTTAGCCATGTGCATGTCCAGGAAGTTGCTTCTCCCTGGGATCTACATTCAATTAACATTTTGATGTTAACAGGTGTGGACTGTCAGGAAATGGCCTCTTCCTGGTGCCGGCTGCCAATTTACCACTTTTAGAGAGGCAGTGCGATAATTGCCAAACCATCACCCGACATGTCTAGTGGGTCGGTGGGAGACCCCTCTCTGGGCCCCACTCATGCCTAACTACCTATAACAGAATTATTTCATTAAGAAACTGTGGAAAATGTTTTTAAAATAAGAACAATATGAGGGACTTCTTTTAATACATTTACAGTTATTAACACATGAGGTACCAAGGTACAGGACCACAGACACCCTAGCCAACAAAGAATCACTTTGAAATAGATTCAATAGATACACTTGAAATAGATTCAAGTGTATATAAAAATTTGATTTACAAATGATTACAATTCAAATCAACTATGGCTACCCAGCTGATTTGATACAACTCATTTGGAAAATAATCTGGAAGCCATGATTCAATATCCTGTAAATTATGTATCTTTTGAGTGATCAATTTTAACTTTATGATTACATTCCAAGGATATGCATCTTGGGTTTTTTTTTATTCCAAGACTTTTTTTTTTTTTTTAGGGCAGTTTTAGGTTTATAGCAAAATTGAGAGGAAGGTACCAAGATTTCCCATATACTCACTGGCCCCACCAATGCATAGCCTCCCACATTGTCAACATCACCACCAGAGCGGTGCATTCGTTATAACAGATGAAACTGCATTGACACATCATAGTCACTCAAAGTCCATAATGTACATTAGGGTTGACTCTTGGTGTTGCACATTCTATGGGCACACATACATGTGCAATATATAAAGTTGTATATTATACTTGTTGGACAAACATATAATGACATGTCTCCATCATTATAGTATCATACAGAATACTTACACTGCCATAAACATCCCCTGTGCTCTGCCTATTTACCCCCACTTCAATACTAGCAACTACTGAGGTTGTTTTTTTTTTTTCCGTGTCCACAGTATTGCCTTTTCCAGAATGTCATATAATTGTGTTATCGAAAGACCACAGGTTTGATCTAGGTCCTTGTTGCTGGCTACGCAGAAAGCCAATCACTGAGGCAATGAGTATTGCCAGGGAGGAAGGCTTTTTATTTGGGTGACATCAGTCAGAGAGATGGGTGCCAACCCTCAAATCCATTTCCCTTAACTAACTAACATCTGGGGTTTATATAATGGGGAATGTAGCTATGTGCAGGAAAACAGGAATTAGGGAGGGGTAAGGAAGCAATCATGATGAATGAGGGGTCTGCGTCTCATTGTCTTGATGTGGTGATCTGGTGAGTTTCAGTTCTTGGATTGAGGGTCAGTTTCCTGAGGAAGGAACTCAAAGGTAAGTTTCAAGTTTTAAGATTGGAAGGGTCAATTTCTAGATTTATTTGAAAAATTGTAAATATTAGTTCTATGAGACAATTGGGCTAGTTTCAGTTGGAATCACACAGTATGTAGACTTTTCAGATTGGCTTCTTTCACTTAGTAATATGCAACTAAGTTTCCTCCGTGTCTTTTCATGGCTTAATACCTAGTTTCTTTTTAGTGCTGAATAATTCCATTGTCTGTGTGTACTATAGTTCATTTTTTTTTGTTTTTGAGATGGAGTCTTGCTCTGTCACCCAGGCTGGAGTGCAACGGCGCGATCTCGGCTCACTGCAACCTCCGCCTCCTGGGCTCAAGAGATTCTCCTGCCTCAGCCTCCTGAGTAGCTGGCATTACAGGCACGCACCACCACACCCGGCTAATTTTTGTATTTTCAGTAAAGACAGGGTTTTTACCATGTTGGTCAGGCTGGTCTTGAACTCTTGACCTTGTGATCTGCCCTTCTTGGCCTCCCAAAGCGCTAGGATTACAGGTGTGAGTCACCATGCCCGGCCCTACAGTTCATTTAGCCATTCACCTATTGATGTGGTTTGGATCTGTGTCCCCACCCAAATCTCATGTCGAATTGTAATCCCCGGTGTTGGAGGTGGGGCCTGGTGGGAGGCGATTGGATCATGGGGACAAATTTCTCCCTTTGGTACTGTTCTCATGATAGAGTTCTCATGCAATCTGATTAAAAGTATGTGGCACCTCCCCCCTCTCTCTATTGCTTCTACTCCACCATGTAAGATGCCTTGCTCCCCCTTTGCCTTCTGCCATGATTGTAAGTTTCCTGAGGCCTCCCCAGAAGTCAAGCAGATGCCAGCATTATGCTTCCTCTGCAGCCTGCGGAACTGCAAGCCAATGAAACCTATTTCCTTTATAAATTATCCAGTTTCATGTATTTCTTTATAGCAATGCAAGAATGGACTAATACGTCTACTGAAGGACATCTTGGTTGGTCCCAGATTTTGGCAATTATGAAAAATCTGCTATAGATGTATGCAGGTTTTCTGTGGACGTACGTTTTCCACTCCTGCTGGTAAGTACCAAGGAATGTGATTGATGGATCATATGGTATGAGTATGTTTAGTTTTGTAAGAAATGGCCAAACTGCCTTCTATAGTGCCTGTACCATTTTGCATTCCCACCAGCAATGAATGAGAGTTCCTGTTGCTCTATGTCCTTGCCAGCATTTTGTTATTGGTGGTCTGGATTTTGGTCATTCTAATAGATATATAGTGGTATCTCATTGTTGTTTAACTTGCATTTCCCTGATGAGATATGATATAGAGCATCCTTTCATTTGCTTATTTGTCATCTCTGTATCTTCTTCAGTAAGATGTCTGTTAAGGTCTTTGGCCCATTTTGTAATCAGGTTGTTTGTGTTCCTAGTGTTGAATTTTAAGAGTTCTTTGTGTATTTTGGACAACAGTCCTTTATCAGATGTGTCTTATGAAAATATTTCCTTCCTGTCAGTGGGTTACCTTCTCATTCTCTTCCCATGTCTTTTGAAAGGCAGAAGTTTAATTTTAGTATAGTCCAGTTTATCCATATTTTTTCCCTGGATCGTGCCTTTGGTGTTGTGTCTAAAAAGTCATTGCTATGCCCCCAAATCATAGGTTTTTTCCTGTTATCGTCTATGAGTTTTATAACTTCATGTTTTACATTTAGGCCTGTGAGCCATTCGGAGCTAATTTTTGTGAAGGGTGTAAGTTATGTGTCTAGGTCCATTTTTTTTTTTTTGGCATGTGGGTGTTCAGTTGTTTCAGCACCACTTATTGAAAAGACTGTCTTTTCTCCATTATGTTGCCCTTGCTCCTTTGTCAAAGATCAGTTGACTGTATTTATATGAGCCTATTTCCAGGTTGGTCAATTCTGTTTCAATGATCTATTTGTATAGTCTTTCTCCCATTTCACATTGTCTTGATTACTGTAGCTTTACAGTAAGTCTTGAAGTCAGCTAGTGTCAGTCCTCCAATTTTGTTCTTTTCCTCCAATACTGTATTGGCTATTCTGAGACTTTTGCCTCTCCATATAAACTTGAGAATTAGTTTGTCAATATCCACAAAATAACTTGCTGGGATTTAGTATGAGATTGCAATAAACTCATAGATCATGTTGAACTGACATCGTGACAATATTGAGTCTTTCTATTCATAAACATGGAATATTTCCCCATTGATTTAGTTCTCCTTTGATTTCTTTCATTATAGTTTTTAAATTTTCCTCATACAGCCCTTGCATGTATTTTGTTAGATTTACACCTAAGTATTTCATTTTTTTGACTGCTAATGCAAATAGTATTGTGTTTTTAATTTCAAATTCCACTTGTTTGTTGCTGGTATATAGGAAAGCAATTGACTTTTGTATACTAACCATGTGTCTTGCAACCTTGCTAAAATCTCTCATTAGTTCCAGAAGTTATTTTGTTGATTCTTTCAGATTTTTTATATACACAATCATGTAATCTGCAAATGAAGACAGCTTTATTTCTTTCTTCCCAATCTGTATAGCTTTTATTTCCTTTTCTTGTTTTACTGAATTAACTGGGACTTCCAGTATGATATTGAAAAGAAGTGGTGAGACGATGATATTCTTGTCTTGTTCCTAATCTTAATAGGAAGCCTTCCAGTTTTTTTTACCATTGAGTATAATGTGTGAAAATTGTCAGAATCAAATAGAGTCACTTGTGTCAAACCCCAACAAAATGGAGCTTGGGAAGGCCATGAAGAGAGAGTCTTATATATGATGACAAGAACTATCACAAAAGACTCTGTCAAAATCACAACCTTGCACAAAGACCAGTACGATCTTATAAAAAAGTACTTCTGTGACAACATCTGCTCAGCAACTGCATGTTTAAACTTGGACTGACACTAGCCTTGTTATTGATCCTTGTAGCCATAGATAATTATTTGAGAATAGCTTATATGACTTTCTTCATTTTATCTTTAGAAGCCCTTGTCTTCCTTTGCTTCACTGAATATGCCCACAGAAATCCCCATGGCAATACTCATTCCCCAATAAACTTATCTTTGGAGAATCTGCTTGGTTTTCATTTTGCAAATGTTGGGCATAGAGATGCTTTATCAAGCTGAGGAAATTCTCCTCTATTCCTAGTTTACTAAGACTTTTTATTATGAATGGGTGTTGTTTTGCAGCAAGAAGGCCCTTGGCAGATGTGGCTCCTTGATTTTGAACTTCTCAGTCTCCAGAACTGTGAGAAAACAAATATCTGTTTGTTATAAATTACCCAGTCTTTGGCATTCTGTTACAGCAGCAAAAATGGACTAAGACACCTACCCTCCCACAACTCCTCCTCAGCCCAGCCTCATGGGAGGAGAGGGGCACTGACCTGCTTCTAGGATGCAGCAATGAGCCTCGGTAACCAGCAGGGGGCAGGGCTGGCCTTTGATGTTGGGGCAATAGATGTGAGCTCAACATCTTTCTCTCTCATTGCCACTTTCCATGTAAATGGTATGTGATGAAGCTTAGGTTGAGAGTTCTCATTATCTGCAGAATCCTACTTACTCTGAGAAACATTTTTTCCCTCAAACAGGAAGCTAATCAAGGCATTACCCTAAATGCACGTGATTCAGGGATACTGTGTGTGTGTGTGTGTGTGTGTGTGTGTGTGTGTGTGTGTGTGTATTTTTTTTTTTGAGATGGAGTCTTGCACTGTCACCCAGGCTGGAGCACAATGGTGCAATCTCAGCTCACTGCAACCTCCATCTCCCGGGTTCAAGCCATTCTCCTGCCTCAGCCTCCCAAGTAGTTGGGACTACAGGCATGTGCCACCTTTTGTATTTTAGTAGAGATGGGGTTTCACCATGTTGGCCAGGCTGGTCTCGAACTCCTGACATCAAGTGATCCATCTGCCTCTGCCTCCCCAAGTGCTGGGATTACAGGTGTGAGCCACCACGCCCATCACCTTATTTATCTTACTCTATTTGATGCTGAAGTCAATGGACTTCTTAGCCCAGGCTATCTTTATATCATTTAAACATTTAGTAGTCTGAACTTTTAAATGTATTTTAAATTGGTAGCCTACAAACTGCTTTCAGGACTTAGATTTTGGAATTTTGCCCATGGGTGTAAATCCCATGGGTTGAAATGTCAGTGCAAAGATGTGCTCTCATGTCTGGCTCTCTTTCCACACAGAAGAAAGTTCAACCACCTCATCACTTTCTAACATCCCCATATAACTGTTAATACAGTAGTAAGTCAGCCCTGGCCAGAGCCCTTCAAGCATGCTCAGTCATTCCTTCCTCTGACTGTGGGAAGGACTTTCTGATTTACACAAGCAGCCAGGACAGGACAACCATCACACCGCACAGTCAGCACAAAGCACTGGGGCAAACGTATTCTTTCTAACTCTGTTTTCTGGTTACATTTTTATCTCACACTCCTTCATTCCTCCACCTGACACTGGCTTTCTATTTTAGACCATCTTAATAGGAGGATCCAAGATTTGGGTTTGGGTTTTGTGGAGAATAGTCTCCTTGGGTCTCAGGTATATGTCAGGGGATTCAGCTCAGCTGGCCAAGGTTTTGTGAATGATCTTGGTTCAAAGCCATAGCCAGCAACATGACTGATGTGGTTTGGCTATGTCCCCACCCAAATCTCATCTTGAATTCCCGTGTGTTGTGGAAGAGACCCCTTGGGAGGTAATTGAATCATAGAGCAGGTCTTTCCCATGCTGTTCTCGTGATAGTGAATAAGTCTCACAAGATCTGATAGTTTTATAAAGAGGAGTTCCCCTGCACAAGTTCTCTCTCTTTGCCTGCTGACATCCATGTAAGGTGTGACTTGCTCCTCCTTGCCTTCTGCCATGATTGTCAGGCTTCCCCAGCCACGTGAACTGTAAGTCCATGAAACTTCTTTTTTTTTTTTTTTTTTTTTTTGTAAATTGCCCAGTCTCTGGTATGTCTTTATCAGCAGCATGAAAATGGATGAATACAACAACAAACCTTGGACTCCCATTTGCCTTTTTCACTTGGTTCACACATCTCCTCCATTGGGAATCTCCTGGAGAGGTGGTGCTGTGATTTGGAGTAGGACATGAGTGCTTCCAGATCCCTGCCATATTACAGTCTTAGTGGCACACTGGTTTTTAACACATCCATGAATAAAGACAAAATATAAACCCTATTCTACAATGTTGAAAGATCCAGAAAAGAGAAAACAACCTATCTTACTACCAAAGATCATCTCACACAATAATATATATATATTTAACATATATATTACATATATTATATGTATATAGAATTAGCTCACAATTTTGGAGGCTGACAAGTTCAAAATCTGCAGAGCTAATATCTCAATTTGAGTCTGACAACCAGAGGCTATAGAACTAGGAAGAGCCATTGCTCCAGTCTGAAGGCTATTAGGCAGGAAAATTATCTCTCACGTGGGGGAAGATCAGCCTTTTGTTCTATTCAGGTCTCCAACTGGTTGGATGAGGCTGGCCTGTATTACAAGGGTAACCCGCTTTGCAAAGTCCACTAATTTAAAGATTGATGTCATCCAAAAACACCCTCACAGAAACACCTAAAATAGTGTTTAACCAAAGATCTGGGCACTCCATGGTTCAGTCAGGTGACACATGAAATTACTGTCACATGGGGTTAGTACAGCCAGCACAGCATTATAGATTGGGATTTCTTTGCTCTATTAAGAAAATATCTGGTTTCTAACTATGACAGAGAAGCTAGTGTCAGATTAACCCTTCCTTAAGAAAATCATAAAAGACAAATACAATATAAAATTTAGATGGCTGAAGGTACTGGAGCACAATGAGGAATGCGATAAGTTAAGAATTGGGAGGAGATTCCAGAGAGAGGAGAACAGCACTGAGGTGAGGCTTACATTTGCTGCTGCCTTTTTACTCTAGGACTTTTGCTGGTTTTAAGTCTGAGGCATAAAGGTGAACAGAATACAGTCGCTTAGAGCAGGAGTCCCCAGTTCCCCAGGCCATGGACTGGTACCAGTCCGTGGCCTGTTAGGAACTGGTCCTCACAACAGGAGATGAGCGGCGGGCTAGCAAGCAAAGCTTCATCTGTATTTACAGCAGCTCCCCACTGCTCGCATTACTGCCTGAGCTCCACCTCCTGTTATATCAGCAGTGGCATTAGATTCTCATGGGACCGTGAACCCTATTGTGAACTGCACATGTGAGGGATCTAGGTTATGTGCTCCTTATGAGAATCTAATGCCTGATGATCTGCCACTGTCTCCCATCACCCCTGGATGGGACCGTCTACTTACAGGAAATTAAGCTCAGGGCTCCCACTAGTACTACTACATTATGGTGAGTTGTTTAAGGATTTCATTATATATTACAATGTAATAAGAGAAATAAAGTACACAATTAATGTAATGTACTTGAATCATCCTGAAACTATTCCCTGCAGCACCAGTCTGTGGAAAGATTGTCTTTCATGAAACCAGTCCCTGGTGTCAAAAAGATCGGGGGTTGCTGGCTTAGAGCCTTTAATAGTGTCAATGGGCTGGAGAAACAAAAATTGGAATTCAGAGTCAACACGTAGTTAGGATTCAAGGGATCAAGTTTCTAGATAAAAGATAATCATGATGAAGCTGATACAATGTCCCGCATGAAATTTCCCTTCAAGGTAATTTTCTGCCTCATAAGTGATGCGTGTGCGGAATGAGACAGCAAATAATCATGCAAAAGCCACCTGCTAGAAGAGCAGAGATTTTAGCAGCCTCACAGAAGGGAAGAGACAAAAATTGGTATATAAACATGTTAACGGGGAGGAGCCCTCACAAATAGCCCAGGCTCTTAGTTGACATCTCCCAAAGACAACATTATAGGGGTAAGGCCCAAAAGAAATAAACCAGACCCCCAAAGGACTGAAATCCATCCTTGGCTGAATCAAAGTAGTCTTTTTATACTCTATCTGCCTGAGAAGAAAATAAATTCTCCTCTTGAGGAAGATAGTATTACCCAAAGCCACATAATTTTTGATACACACTTTGTGGCATTCAGTGAAAATGACCAGGCATTCCAGGTAACAGAAAAACTGATTAAACACCAAGAGAAAAACATAGAATAGAATGTACAGATTCACAGGTGATCCAGATATTGGAGTTATCAAACACAGGGTTTAAAACAACCTTGATCATTCTGTGTAATAAGATGGAACAAAATATAAAGAATTTCATAGAGAACAAAAATGCATAAAAAGAGTAAAATAAAAACCCGAGCACTAAAAATCAAAAGAACTGAAATTAAGAATTTGATAGATTTATTTAAAAGCAGATCAAACATAGCAGAAAAGACTAGAAGTTTAAGATAGGCATGCAGAAAGCATCCAGATTACACACGGAAAGAAAAAAGAATAGAAAATGCAGAAAAGTGTGAAGGAGACATGACACATGATGAAGACGTCTGATATATGTTTGATTGTCCCAGAGAAAGAAGAGAAAATGGAATAGAAGCAATTTTTAAAGAGATAGTATCTATTTTCCAAAACAGACATCAAGTCACATATTCAGGAAGGTGTATGAACCCTAATATTAATTAGGATTAATTAAGATTAAGATTAATTAGGATTCATACATGGAAAACTATACCTAGGAATATCATTTGAAAACAATTGAAAGACAAAAACAAAGAGAAAAATGTTAAAGCAGCCAAAAGGAAAAGTGGATTACTTGCAAAGGATAATAATAGTAATTATAGATAACTTTTTAACTCAGATAATGAAAGTCAAAATGGGTGACATCTTTATAACACTGAAAGAGAACATCTGGCTATCTAAAATTGTGTGCCCAGTGAAAATATCCTTCAAGCATGAAGGCAGAACAAAGATGTTTTCATATGGGTTAGGAAAACAGAGACACTCCAAATACTTCGTGAAATAAAAAGTTTTAACATAGGACTTGAGGCTTATATAAGTGTGGGAAGAGAAGGGGTGGGGCAGCTGGAGAAACAGAGTCACCAGCCACTGTAACCAGAATTGGTGGAGTGGGCAGGATAAAAAACAAACATTGAAAGCAAAACAAAACAACATAAGCAAATAAAATACTTCTATAAACAAAGCTGGAGGACTTGACATAATATCAAGACTTATAAAGCTAGGTTAAATAAGACAGCGTAGTATTGACACAAGGAAAGACAAATCATTCAATAGAATTGTAAATGACAGTCTAGAAACAGACCCACCCATACATAGAAAACTTTAAAGGTCTCAGCTCTGTTCATGGCCAGAATAAAGGGAATAGAAATTTTATGAATATTTTCATGGTCTCTATGATACACATGGAACCTTGAGGTGGAGTGACAGACACCAGTGTCCCTAGTGATATTTTCATTACTTGGACCTGTGTGTTCATATTGGCTGTAACTGGCCAGGGCATTAGTCCCAACATTGAAAGCCATTTACCTCCATTCCAGGGTCAAAATAAATATACCTGGGACTCTATGGCGTTACAAAGATGGTTCAATTCCACCACAGAGAGCATCGCAAGATCTCTGAAAATATAAATTTTAGATGGCTGTTGACTTATCTTGAAAATGGTCCATTCTTCTAGGTGGTTAAAAGGTTGGTTTGGAGTGTAAATACATCTGAAATGTACGCTTAGGGAGACTCTTACCTAATTCACAGATGACTGAAGGAGTTATCTTAGGGAGAAAAAGGAGAAGAAACCCAGTGAACAATCTAACAATGATGCTTTTCTAGAGAAAATCATGTGGCTCTCCTTCACGTGAGCCTCTGCAATTTCAGCCCTGATCCCTGGGCCAGCGTTCCCCCACTTAGTGCCACAGTGTCATAGCTAATGTTCCTGCAGCAAGAATGGTTCTGTTTTGCAGATGTCACTTTTAGTGCCCAGATAAGGCCCCTGAGGCCTCTCCATCAACACATTTGTGTTTTGATGTGCAGCCTTCATGGTTTCGCTGGGAGGTAGTTATGTGGCCAGTGACCACTGGGGGGATTTTGGCATTACCTGGTACGGAACTCTGCTCTGTGGGAGGAAAGAGCACCCTTGAAGAGCACCCTTGACGGTTGGAGGAGCCAAAAGATGGGGCCAGAAGGAAGCTTCATTGAGCACCTAGTGGATTTCAAGTGCTTAATGTTTCACATTTATGTATTCATTTGATTTCCACAATTCTTTAAAGCAAGGTTTGCATGTTCCATTTTGCAGAAGAACTTGAGGCACAGAGGGGTTGAGCAATGTGTCCAAGGTTGTCCAGCCAGCTGAAGGGTGTAAGATGTTACTAGAGTCCAGGGAGCCTGCCTCAACTGGCTTCCCAAGGAGAAAGGAAGGGAAGAGGCCAAAGAGAGAGAGAGTGCTGTCTACACAGCTTGGAGTAGAGCGGGGCCTCTCCCACTAAGTTTTCTCCCAAAACTTAGTGCACCTTTATATCATGTCCTTCACCAGGGTGCTTTCTTTCCTGCCTCTGAGTCTTTGTCATGGAATTCTGCCATGTGACACAACTTCCCCTCACAGCATTAAGGTAGAAAAGGTTTTTTTACTTATCCTATGCCAGTCTCTGTACTAGAATACAGAAATAAACAACAAAGGGCACATCCCTGTCCTCAATCAGTGCTTCTTAAACCACCAACTTTCCATCCATGCTTCTGGGTCTTTCCCTAGAAAGTCTTCCCCAGATGCTACTGCTCATGTGGCTTCTTCCCTCTCCCACTTCCTATGACCCTGGGAGTTGGATCCTTGTGGTATGGCAGCCAATGAGGCGTGGCTGAAGGGCTTTTGAGTTGTGCTCACAAAAGAAGTGTGGCATAGAGATGAAACATGTGGGCTGTGGAGATGAACAGCCTGGGTTCAAATCCAGGCTCTGCACATGCTAGCACATTTTGCTTCAGTTTCCCCACCTGTAAGATAAAGATGTAGCAGTGCCTCCCTCTCATGACTGTTGGAAATAGAAAGTTTATTGACATCTGTCAACTGCTTATAATGGTGTCTAACATGGAGTGAACACAAGACTTGTCTCAACAGTGTATTCCCTATGCAGCACTGGGTGCAGAAGACAGAAGCCTTGAAGGGTTGGTCCATACCTCCATGACAGTTAATGAATATCTTCAGACCACTGACTACTTTGGTCTCAATCAAGTGCCACTTTCTTAGAAGACATGACAGGGAGGGATCTTTCAGTTGCAGTTTTCTTTTATCAAGAAGGATGAATGTGGATACATTGCAGCCTTGGGCTTAAATCCAGCTTTGCCACTGAGCAATCCACTTTGTCACCATCAGGGGCCAGCTGCCCCTTCATGTACACTGTAGGGACTTTCCTGGGCATATTCTTGACCACAAAGACCTTGTCCTTGCTATTGTCAAACAGCACATATTTTACTTACTTGTTTTGTTTACTGCCGGGTTTTGTCTGCTATAATGTAAGCCCCATGTAGGCAGGACCTATTATCTGTTTTGTTCACTGCTGCATTCCCAATGCTTGGCATAGGAGGTGTTTAATAAGTCTGTGTTGAAGCAGTGGATGCATGTGCTCCGATAGCCCTGCATGCAGCATGGTCAGTGGTCAAATGGACCTCATGGTGCCATCCCGGCTGGGCCTTACCCTGGCCGCACCCTACTCCTTCTTATCTCTGCCCAATTGACAGATGACTTCCCCATCACTACTTTGTCCACATCCACATCTGCCCACAGGCCTACAGCTACTCTCCACTGTCTACAAGGCCATGCTCACACTCACTCCACGGGGACCCAAAGCCTCCAGCCTTTTATCTCTGAACACCTCTCTAGCACTACCTTCCACCATGACCCTACCTGAACTTTCCATGGCTGCAAAGCTGGTTTTCTCTCATTTTATTGGGGCATACCTTTTCCTCTCTTTACCCATTGCTTTTGCCGATCGCATCTCTCCCCTGCCCTCTCCCAGACTATCCTACCCTTTTCTCTTTATTTAAAGCTTACCTGGTCTTCAGGATCTGAGCCTCACCTCCTTGGAGTAGGGTCAGGGGTTTCCACCACTGTAGCACTTTCTGGGATGGCTCCTTCCTAGACATGCACCACCTATATCCTACCCTGCTGCGTGTCTGGGCACGGAGTTCATTGTAGTGATGGGTATTGTCATCCAAGTGGTACACACATGCAGCTGGGCATCTCTTTCTGCTTCCCCACTACTTTCAAATGAATGCCTCTTGGAGAGGCACACATGGAAGAGTAGCCTTTCGATCTCTAATGGAGGCTGCATCGCAATTCAATATGGCCCTCAATTCACCCCACTGACCCTGCCCTATGTCCATCATCCCTCCCGGCCATGTTTGCCTTCCTGCTTTCTTTGGTCTTCGTGTTGCCCTGGGCTTTGACACGCTGTTCTTGCTGCTTGAACTTGACCTCCCTCCAGGTTGACCCGTGATTACGCCGGCCCATCTGCACACCTGCTTTTCTACATGGGCTGTAATTTGGAGCCCTGACACAGGTCCAACCTCCTCTTGAGGGGATCTAGCCCCTGATGTCTGGGCAATGACATTTTAGGACAACCTCTCTTGTCTGTACAGCCCATATTGGCCACTGTGAAGGGAAAGACTGGCTTACTCCTGCTGATGCCCCCTGTGTTTTTCACTATGACCCTTACCCAAAGGATGCTCAACAAATATCTACAATGGTGGCAGCAGCGGTGGACATCTCCTGGGAGGCTGTAACATGAGGGTCGTTCTCATCTTCAACTTTCTAAGCACAACTAACACCAGATATGGGACAATTGTGAATGAGTGGCTAGAAGCTGTTCCTCCCTTGTAAGGATTGCTCCTTAGTGTTCACAGAACCCAAGGTCAACTTTATTAGAATCTTGGCACACTGATTAACTGAACCACATAGCAGCCCCAGGATGCAGGCTGGTTCTGGCCTATCTGTTTGGTCCAGGATGAGATAAGATAACTCCTGGCCTCCCACCATGGTTACCCTGCAACTGGGTTGACAACTTTTCCCAGGAAGAGTAAGCTCTGGGTGGTGACCTCCCAAAGGAGCAAGAGGAAAGGCCTGTTGAAGTGGGCATGTGGGTCTGACATGGTGTTCAGAGATGGGGGCTGGGAGAGGAGGCCTGAAGCAGCCCCGGCCTCGGTCCCCTTCTCACTCATGTCCACCATCGCCTTGTGTGACACCTAGAGGACAAGAGGAGATGAAGACAGCATCAGTTTGGGGGCCTTCAAGGGGAAGACACTGTATTCCTGCCATGAAGAATAGAAGGGACCTAAGGAAGGGGAGGTAGAGAAGGAAAAGCCCATGAAGAGATGCCTTAAAGACTGTGGTATTAAATAGTCTGCACAGGACAAAGAACAAGGAACTTGACTTTTAAATGTCCCACATGCCAAAGGAGAAACCTCCTACCTACCCCCACCTGCCCACAAACATCCATGTTCACCACTTTACCTTGGAGATGGTTTTGTTGAGCTGCCCAGTGACTCCTGAGAAGTCAGCTTCTAAGTTGAGTATGTTGGTGAGACCAATTTGGGGAAGTATGTCTTCCAGGTTATATGTTCCAGAAATTGAAAACCTTGGCAAGTGCAAATCCAACAGACTGGAGAGAGAAACAGACAGAGAAATGGTGCTCTCTTGTTAATATGTGCCACTCCTGCTCTGTCTGTCGGCAGCCTGAGCCATGGGAGAGAGGCATTTCCCAGCGTGAGAAGCAACCAGTCTTCCCATGACACTGTTCACTATGGCGGACCATGCCACTACCCATACCCACAGCTCCCTTCTCTTTGGACCTCCTGGAATATCTTGTGGCTGGATCTGAGAGGACTCCAGGCACAGCTACCTGTCTTTGTCATCTTCATCACATTTATAGAGGGCTTTCTAGGTGTCAGATATTGGCTATGTTTTTTCAAGGCTGAACTGATGGAATCCAAATCATGACCACATAAGGTAAATACTGTCAACATCTTCCCACTTCCGTATCTGATGCATCAGCAAGTTCTGTTGGCTCAGCTTCTGAACTAGGTCCTAAATCCACCTCCTGGCATCCCCTAATACAAGCAGCCATTGTCTCTCACCCATCTCCACTTCAGGTTCCTCTAGTGTTAAATGGCATGGTGATGCCCCCTCCTTGGGGCTGTTGTGAGGATCTGATGGGAGATCATGTGTGTTGGGCATAGGGCACAAATGAACTCCTGCTTCTGCGTTTGGAGCATCTTTACCATCTGATTGCCACATTTCCCTGGGTTAAGTTCAGAAATTTCTTTGGATCCACAGCAAATCTGCCCTTTCTCTCTGGGGTTATTCTTCTTTATAATTATGGTTTGACAGCTACCCAGGCACCTGAAAGCATGACTAGTTCATAACCAACTTGAACACTTCTGCCTCAGAAAATCGAATTCAGGTTAGAGAATCGTGGCTGGTTTGACTCCTGGGCAATATGAGGGTCTGGATGCCTAATTGAAGTAGGAGGACATCTAGGGCTATTTGACAAGTTTCCCATAGGCAGCACTTGGGTGGGAAGCAAGACCCGCGCCAGTTGGCTGGGGGGTGGAATAGAGTCTAGTGGGGCAGGGGTCTGACAGAGAGCCCAAAACACAGTGGATGTTTAACAACTGTGAATGAATACATACACGAATGGTGTGCCAGGAAGTGCAGTTCCCCTTGGCAAGCTAACCTGCCTCACATCTGAATGGAGTGAAACATGGCAGAGTCTGAAGTTCTTATATCTAAAAGCCCCTAAAAATGGATACTAAGATATTGTAACTCTCTGGCACAAGGAATATCTGAGATTTAGAGGAGTAACTTGGGTCAGTTTTGCTTTTAGAATGTCAAAGTGGGAAGAAGTCAAACCAAACCCTCCCTGAGGGAAAATCTACTGGTCTAGAAGAGTCTATGGCACTCCCTTCTGTGATGGGGGCAAGGAGAAGACTCACCCCAAAGGAGCCAGGGACTATGGGGCTGAAATTAGCAACTGACTAGAGCCGTGGAGCTTCATGGACAACAGGAATAATCTCTTAAATCCTGGCCTCTCCCCTTGGCCCGTGCCTCTTATTTGGTGTTTTAATCTCTGCCCAAACACAAAATGCCTTCTCTATCCCTGGTACCTCAGTGTGAATGGGGTGCTGAGAGAAGTCACTTTTGGATATGTGGGGTGGCTAGTGCCTCCCAGGTTGTGGTGGATTCAAGATGACCGTCAAAAGGTGGCATCTATGCACCCTCCCCTTGAATCTGGGTGGGCTCTGCACCACCCAGCCATTGGCTCTCCAACCACCCATTGGCTCTGCCACCAATACAATGTGGCAGAAGTGCCACTGTGCTGATTTCCGGGCCTAGGCCTTACCAGACTGGTAGCTTTCATTTCCTGCCTTTGAAATATTCTGTCTTGGAGACCCTAGCTGCCATATACCAGTATTAACTATGCTGATCTGCTGAACCTGAGCTAGCCTCATGGAGACACTACATGCAGAGAGAGATGCCTGCCAGCCTTAATCTCTTCCAGCCAGCCCAGCACAGGCACCAGACACATAAGTGAAGAGAGTTCAGTGGCTTCAGCTCCAGCTGCCACCTACTCCAACACATGAAAACTGCCCAGCTGAGCCCAGTTAACCCATAGAACCAAGGAAGTGATTGTCTTAAGTCATTCGGTTTTGGGGTGGCTTGTTATGCAGCAAGCAGTAAGTAGAACTAAGTACCAGATTTCATCTCAGAGTACCCCATAAAAGAAGATGCACCCCCAAGAAGGTATTAGCTGGTGAAGGGGGTCTAGGGAAACTAGAAAAAGCTGAAGTTGCTGTGATAAAACTACAAACCATAAAGCAAGTGAGATGGGAAATAGTTTAGAGATCACATAAAACAGGAACTTTAATGTTTACAATGTTCTTAATATTTAATTTTTTAAACATGTTTTAATTAAAATAGAAGCACCCTTTAACAATATAATGATAATAATAATTTTTTATTAGAGATAGGATCTAGCTTTGTTGCCCAGACTGGAGTGCAGTGGCACAATCATAGCTCACTGTAACCTCAAATTCCTGGGCTCAGGTGATCCTCTTTCCTCATCCTCCCATGTAGTTGGGACTATAGGCATGCATCAACATGTCCAGCTATATATGTTTTTTTTTCATTTTGCATAGAGGCAGGGTCTTGCTATGTTGCCCAAGCTAGTCTCAAACTCCTGGCCTCAAGTAATCCTCTCACCTTGGCCTCCCAAAGCACTGGGATTGTAGGTCTGAGCTGCTGCACCCAGCCATGATTATTTTTCACTGTCTCTGATCTGATTTTTTTTGCTGTACTTAACCACCTTCTGTTCCTTCTGTTAGTGAATTGTTATGGGAGGGTGTGGTGGGGAGAGAGGAAAGCAAGAGGAAAGGAGATGGGGATCAGACAGACACCAGGAAAGTATAATAACAGTCAATGCCTGGTGAGCACTTCTTATGCTCCACGTACCAGTCTAAGTTCTACATTCTCTATGGGTAGAAACTCAATGAATCTACTGAGCAACCCAATGAGGCAGGTATCATGTTCTTAGTTTTACAGTAGAGGCCCAAAAAAGGTGAGAAAATTGCCAAGATCACACAGTTAGTAAAGGACAAGATGGTGAGCCTAATCGAGATGGATGTTGGGCTTTTGCAGCTGGAGTTGATCAAGACCTGCTGGGGTTCTTGAGCAAGGTCAGCCAGCATCCTTCTGCTGTGACACTTACCTGGGCAGGAGCAATTGGCCCCATTTTCTCAGGGTCTGTGGCTGCAGAGCAGCCTCCACCTGCTTCATTTTCCCCGGGTCAGGGAGGACCAGCAGCGCCAAGGCATTTCCTCTGTATTCTATCTGGAGGACGGTGCAAGCCAAATCCTGGTCATAGAGGAATCTGTGCATTTCCTTTTGGTGCATCATGGGGACCTGGAGAGAAGTCCTCTCATCCACAAAGAAACTTTCCTGCTTCTGGGTCTGGTAGCGACTGAAAGGGTGCTTCCACTTGGCTTAGGACACAAAACCCATAAGGCCATGAGAACTCTTTTCAAGAGAGCAACTCTGGGTAGACACACACAAAACCACAGTTCCTCTTGGCTATGCAAGTATGTGGCAAAAAATGTGGAATGGTTACAGAGCCAGGAGACCAGAATTTAGGCCTGGCTCAGTCTCTAGGACAAGTCACCAGTGTTTGAGCACTAACAGCCTACGATTTTGTTCCATTTCAGAGGAACTTAGCTTCTAACAAGCCAAAAGGTATTTTTCCATCTACTAAGCACCTTCCATGTGTTAGACATTATCTCTTTAAATTGTCATAAAAATTAATAAGAAATAAGTATTATTCCCATATCAGGGATGATCAAACTGAGTCTTTGTGAATTTATTTAAACATACTAATTTGCAGAGCTGGGATGACTGACTGAGCAGCTCAGATTGCTTGCAAACACTGAATTAATCCTTCTCAACCAAACTGCCTCTAGACAACAACCTTCTACAGAGACGCTCAAGAGCTCCTTCCTTCACTCACCCACTCCAACTCCCTAATCTTCAAACTGAAAAAGGAAAAAGAATTCAATTAATAAAATGTCATGCATTAGGCAAAAGCCCATTAAGATGTAGTTAGAAACGCAGAATTTTGGGGTCATGGTTACATTCACACATGTAGTATCTTCTCTCTTACTTCTTATAAATCTGTCCCCACAAACACCTCTTGCAAGCACTCTGGTCTTGATAACAGGAGAACTGGGTCATCCTGTCCTACATACCCACACCCAATCAATGACCAAGTATTGCTGATTCTACCTCCAAAACCACAACTTTATTCAAGGCCACCGTGCTACTTACTTTGGACCACTATGAAAACCTCCCAACTTGTCTCTCCTCTCTCACCCTTTCTCCCTTCCAAACCACCTTCCAAATTGTAGCCAGTTTGAGCTTCCTAAAACATATGTAATCCTGTCACTTCACATTTAAAAGTCTTCGGCAATTCTAAGGTTCCCTGAATAAAGCTGGGAGCCCTCAACCTGGCCTTGTTTCCCTCTGCATTGCAACTCTTGGTTTCTTCCTATTATTCTGCTATTGTGTTTGATGTTCTATCCCAACTAAATTTGTTTCAGTTCTTTGAAAATGCAATGATATCTCTTTTCCCTGGACCTTTAGATATGCTAGTTTTTTTCAACCTGAACCCTCTTTGCCCCACCTCTCCCAAGCTTCTTCACCTGAGTGGATACTACTCACTCTCATGTCTTAGCTTGGGTGGCTGTTTTACCAGGAAGCTTCTCAAGTCTGGATGGGTGTCTCTTTTGGGAACTCTGTGGCACCCAATGCCTATGCAAGGACAGCATCACCATCCCACTGAGTTATTTTCTGCACTTATTTCCAACCCACATGGACTGTGGCTACGCAAGGGTGGGAAAGCTCTATCTTATTCATAGATTTCCCCAAGTGGTTAGCAAAGAACCTATTAGCTGGCTCTCTGCTGTAAGAGCATTTACTTGCAGAGGCAGTGGCAATAATTCTGTCAGAGCAAGCCTCACCTTTGAAGAAGATGTAATTGGCAAGAACCATGAACGTGTCCTGGCTGAACTCCGGGAGGCAGTCCACGACTTGCCCGTATGTTTGCCTTCTCAAATAGTCATTAATCTGCCTCCCAGTTGTAACAGAATCTGTGAAGTTGGCAGAAAAAGCAAAAGCTCCATAAAGCTCCTTGATGCTGTCCAAATAGTGCTGCCGAGGCTTTAGTCGCTTGTCTAGGAACAGGGAGTTTCCTACTTTTAGTTCGAGTTTGGGGCTGGGCAGGGCAAGGGTGTGGAGGAGGCTCCGGAAGCCCTGGTGGATGTCGGCTTCAGGGGTTTCTGTGAGGTTGAATCCCAGGCCCTCCAGGATCAGAGCTGAGGTGTTAGCTTGGGCCCCAAGAGAGAGCAGGGCCAGGGTGGTGGAGATGCTCACTGGCGAGAAGAAGATGTTTCCGGGGGCGTCTGCTGCCAGCTCTTTATACAAACGCAAAGCAAAATTGGTAATGGTGGGTGTGATTCTGTGGTAGGCGGGGGCTGGCTCTGAGAGCTGATGCCTGGGGGGTTGAGGCCCCTGCAGACTTTTATCTCCATGGGCAAGAAGGGGCTGACAGTGGACAGAGGCCAGGATCCCTGTTCCCAGTAGCCAAAGCCAAGCTGGACCCATTCTCTGAAAACAAGAGGGTGAACATGTCACTTTTCTCCATAAATAATGTCATGATTCTCTATTGCTCATACCACAAATCCCACCTTCACAATGTGCCCCACAGGGCTGCCATGAGGGGCACTGAAGAAGACAAGGCTGTGGATGATTAGGATTCTGGACACTTTCCTCCGAGGCTTCAGTGAAGGTAGCAACCCTTTATCTGCTTTACATATAGTAGGTTTCTAACATTTTGTTGAGTAAAAGTCTCTGGACTATAAAACAATAGCAATAACAACAACAACAATGGCAACTCCTGGCCAGGCATGTTGGCTCACACCTATAATCTCAGCAGTTTGGGAGGCTGAGGTGGGAGGATCGCTTGAGCCCAGGAGTTTGAGACCAGGCTGGGCAACATAGGGAGACCCCCTCTACAAAATGTTTTTAAAAATTAGCTGGGTGTGGTGGCATGTTCCTGTAGTCGCTGAGGTGGGAGAATCGCTTGGGCCTGGGGGGTCTAGGCTGCAGTGAGCTGTGATTGTACCACTGCACTCCAGCCTGGATGACAGAGTGAGAACCTGTTTTAAAAACAACCACCACCACAACAGCAAAACAACTTCCATAGTCTAGCCTCCCTCCCTCTTTCTTTCTTTCTATTCTTTCTTTCTTTCTTTCTTTCTTTCTTTCTTTCTTTCTTTCTTTCTTTCTTTCTTTCTTTCTTTCTTTCTTTCTGTCTGTCTGTCTTTCTTTCTCTTTCTTTTTCTTTCTTTCTTTCTTTTTCTTTCTTTCTTTCTCTTTCTCTTTCTTTCTTTCTTTCCTTCCTTCCTTCCTTCCTTCCCTCCTTCTTCCTTCCTTCCCTTTTCTTTCTTCTCTCCAGTCATTCTTTCAATCATTCATTAACTTTCAAGTATCTGCCTGGTCCAAGAGGTAGCTAGGTCCTCAGTATTTAGTGGGGAAAGAAGTAAACAAAATTTCAGATTTCCTAGAGTTAAGGGTTTAATTGACACTAGCTTAGGTGACACTCAATAGCTATATATGTGATGACAAATTGAGAAGAACATGCTTGGAGCAAATGTCCTGGCCACACTGCCAGTGATATTAGGCCTCCCTCACATCCAGCATGGCTATTGACTATGATCCTGCCCATTGGAAAGGAAAGGATGATGTGCAAAGCCTCGGTCAGGCCCCAAGAGAAAGAAGAGTGCCCTCCCCCTTTCCAGTCGTTCATTAGCTGGAGTGGCGATGTGAGGATCGGCCATCTGGATGTGTGGATGAAGACAGCCCAGGAGTGGGGAGCAAAGTAGCAGGACTGATGGAGCCTAGAGGAGCGATGAGAGAGAGCAACTCTGTCTCCATGTCTCTGTCCAGCCTCTGATATCTGGGATGCCTCTTGTCACAAGCAGAGGCTGAAACCTCTCTATTTTTTTTATTGCCTCAGGGCTGTGGGGATGATGTCTGTTACGTGCTGAATTGTACCTGCCCGAAATTCATATGCTGAAGTCTAGACACCTAGTATCTCCAGATATGATCTTGTTTGGAAATAGGGTCATTGGAGATGTAATCAGTTAAGATGAGGTCATTAGAGCAGGCTCCTAATCCAATATGACTGATGTCCTTACAAGAAGGAGCAATTTGGACACAGACAACACACAGGGAGAATGCCATGTGAAGATGAAGGCAGAGATCAGGGTGATGCTTCTACAAGCCGAGGAAAGCGAAAGATGGCCAGCAAACTAGGAGAGAGGCAAAGCTAGGAAAGGAGCCTGGAGCAGATTCTCCTTCACAGCCTCAGAAGGCACCAACCCTGTCAACCCCTTGATCTTGGACTTCTAACCTCCAGAACTGTGAGTCAAAAATTTCTGTTGTTTAAGCTGCCTGGCATGTAGTATTTATTAAGATAGCCCTTGCAAACTAATGTGATATCTCTTGTGCTTTATTTTAAGTTACAAAATGTGCCAGAAGAGCCTTTATTCCACTTCCAGGGATCAAAGTGGTACAGGAGCAGGAAGACCCCTTGTTTTAGGGCTGGGAATGCAGCCTGAGCTGGAGGGGGAACTGCAGTGCAAACAGGGTTGTCTCTACTCACCCTGCCCAATGTTCCATGCTCTCCTTTCCCTTTCAGTCCCATCCCCCGACCCTACACCCATCTTCAGGTTCTTGCAGAAGACTCATGACCACATTGCTACTGGGACCCTCCCAAATCTTGATTTTCTCAGTAAGGAAGGCAGCCTTCTCTTCTCCCTTCAAATCCAACTCTTCCACCGTTCCATTCATTGCGCAGCAGCTGTGCACTGCTGACCACCTCTATCACTCCTCATCAGTTTGTCCTGATAACATTTGTGTCTTAACTGGCACCTTTAATAATTTTTTGCCTAAACCAATGACTTCTGGATCAATTGCAAATGCTGCGACAGTGAAAGAGAGATTATATTTTTGCAAATGGGTTTGTAGCCCCTGGTGCCCTAAGTAGCCTGCCAAACGACAAAGGCCAGGTGTCAGGAGGGACGAATGTGGTCTCATTATCTGCTATGTTGAAATGCGTTTGCTGGTCAAAGTACTGTGGGCACGCCCCCAAGGCTACGTCCTCCCTTTCTCCAGCACAGTGTGGGTTCACTTAATGACAGCCCCAGTGAACTCCCAATGTGGGTTCACTTAATGACAGCTTCCATACACTTCAGATTTTCTTTTGATCGAAAATTTGGAAGATGCAAATCAATTTAAAAATTGTTCTACCCCTGGGTAAAATGAAGTGCCTGTAATGAAACTATTTCTGGTTTATTCTTTTTATCCCATTGAACTCAGCACCATTTTCTACTCCACTGCACCCCAGGGACTCCCTGACTTGCAAATGACCTATTTCCCAAAGGGGATTCAATTGTAAATGAGGGGACCTTGGAATCAAGGCTGTGCAGTAACTCACTGCCTCATACTGTGCAAAAGCAGCTGTCTGAAACTCAGTGTCTCCCTTTGCAAAATGCAAATGATATTGCCCACCTCCTGGGTGTGGGGCCATTTCGGGATTATATGACAGTCAAAGTACAAAGCTCCAGGCATGCCGAAAGTACTCAATGGCAGTTTTTTTCCCTTTCTATCAAGCCTGGGGTAATGATGCCCAATTCATTTCTTAATTCCTCTTCCAGAAAGATCCCAGAGGAAAATTAAGAACTATATTCGTGAAGTATAATATTCTCACTTATTAAGGGTTTATGAAGTGATAGGATATTACATGCATTGTAACACTGGCTCCTGACAAAGGCAGGGGGAGGGCTGTGTGTAAAGGAGATAGAGGTGACATTTTGGATCAGCTCAATGCCTGGTGGAGGGATGCTGCTGGAGTTTAGTTGGGGAACAGCTGGGCTCCCGAAAGCTCTTGAAGCACCCAGAATAGTCACATTCAATGAAGAGTGGTCCTGCCCAAATACCGGTAGTGCCCTTGTTGAGAAACACTTGCTTTGTCTTATTTAATTTAATCCTTATGAGAACCTCAAAGCACAGGGATTATTAGCCCTACTGTACACAGGGAATGACTGATGCAGGGTTAGGACAAGCCGCCTGGTGAGAGCAGGAGCAAGACTCAGATTCCAGACCAGAGCTCCTAAGCACCCTTTTCACAGGACAGCTTCTAGTAAATTTGCTGCAGCATCATTGTCATTGTGCTTTGGGTTGTATTGTTTCATTTTCTTGTCTAACTGGCAGGAATATTTGGGATTCTTCTCTCAAAATTCTTGAAGTTTTCCATAAAAGGAGATTGAAAACCTGAAGTCTCTCCTTTAAGACTCAGAGGGAGTACATGGTTGCATTTCTTCTTCAGGGACTTACTTCTCCCATCCTTACCATCAAAGCCAGGAACACACACACACACACACACACACACACACACACACACACACACACACACAGAGACAGAGAGAGAGAGAGAGAAGGGAGTGAGGCAGTTTCTGCCCCTGCCCTCATTTTGGGCACAGGCAAAGTACTTACAGAGCAAAGGCACTGAGCAGGGGCCCAGGTCTTCAGCACTGCATCACCTCTACCCACAGGAAAATGGTGTTTGAAGATGACAGCAACCTGGTCAATATTTGTCAGGTCAATTCTGGGAACTGGTATGAAGACAATGCACAGCAAACAGGAAGGGCTCTTTTTTTTCAAAGTATCTGCCCTGACTGCCTGTCCCACAAACAAATGGTGGATTGTGACTTAAGCCCAGGCTCGCTTTGAGAATATTCTGATGCTGGCAGCAGGTGGTGGTGTGGTTGTGGCTGTTGCCTGTGTCTGTGGTTGTATGATCCAGGCTGTATTCTTTTTTTTTCTAACTTTTTTATTTCCATAGGTTTTGGGGGAACAGGTGGTATTTGGTTACATGAGTAAGTTCCTTAGTGGTAATTTGCAAGATTTTGATGCACTCATCACCCAAGCAGTATACACTGAACCCAATATGTAGTCTTTCATCCCTTACCCCGCTCCCACTCTTTCTCTCGAGTCCCCGAAGTCCATTGTATCATTCTCATGTCTTCCCATCCTCATAGCTTAGCTCCACTTATGAGTGAGAACATACGATGTTTGGTTTTCCATTCCTGAGTTACTTCACTTAGAATAATAGTCTCAAGGTCCACCCAGGCTGATGTGAATGCAATTAATTCGTTCCTTTTTATGGCTGAGTAGTATTCCATCATATATATATATACACCACAGTTTTTTTATCCACTCATTGATTGATGGGTATTTGGGTTGGTTCCACAATCTTGCAACTGCAAATTGTGCTGCTGTAAACATGTGTGTGCAAGTATCTTTTTCATACAATGACTTCTTTCCTCTGGGTAGATACCCAGTACTGGGATTGCTGGATGAAATGGTAGTTCTACTTTTAGTTCTTTAAGGAATCTGCACACCGTTTTCCATAGGGGTTGTACTAGTTTACATTCCCACCAGCAGTGCAGAAATGTTCCCTTTTCACCACATCCACGCCAACGTCTATTATTTTTTGATTATGGCCATTCTTGCAGGAGTAAGGTGATATCACACTGTGGTTTTGATTTGCATTTCCCTGATCATTAGTAATGTTGAGCATTTTTTCTTATATTTGTTGGCCATTTGTATGTTTTCTTTTGAGAACTGTCTATTCATATCTTTAGCCCACTTTTTGATGGGATTGTTTGTTTTTTCTTGCTAATTTGTTGGAATATCTCTGGATATTAGTCCTTTGTCAGATGTATAGATTGTGAAGATTTTCTCCCACTATGTGGGTTGTCTGATTACTCTGCTGACTGTTCCTTATGCTGTGCAAAAGCTCTAAAGAGCTTAATTAAGTCCCACCTGTTTACCTTTGTTTTTATTCCATTTGCTTTTGAGTTCTTGATCATGAAATCCTTGCCTAAGCCAACGTCTAGAAGGATTTTTCCAATGTTATCTTCTAGAATTTTTATAGTTTCCAGTCTTAGATTTAAGTCCTTGATCCATCTTGAGTTGATTTTTGTATAAGGTGAGAGATGAGAATCCAGTTTCATTCTCCTACATGTGGCTTCCCAATTATCTCAGCACCATTTGTTGAATGGGGTGTCTTTTCCTCACTTTGTGTTTTTGTTTGCTTTGTCTACGATAACTGGGCTGTAAGTATTTGGGTTTATTTCTGGGTTCTCTATTCTGTTCCATTGGTCTATGTGCCTATTTTTATACCAGTACCATGCTGTTTTGGTGATTATGGCCTTATAGTATAGTTTGAAATTAGGTAATGTGATGCCTCATTTTAGTCTGGCTTTGGCTATGCAGGCTCCTTTTTGGTTCCGTATGAATTTTAGCATTTTTTTTCCAGTTCTGTGAAGAATGATGGTGGGATTTTGATGGGAATTGGCTCTGAATTTGTAGATTGCTTTTTGTGGTATGGTCATTTTCACAATATTGATCCTACCCATCTATGAGCACGGGATGTGTTTCTATTTATTTGTGTCATCTATGAGTTTTTCAGCAATGTTTTGTAGTTTTCTTTGTAGAGATCTTTAACCTCCTTGGTTAGGTATATTCCTAAATATTTTATTTTTTTGCATCTATTGTAAAAGAGGTTGATTTCTTGATTTGATCCCCAGCTTGGTCACTGTTGGTGTATAGCAGACTTATTGATTTGTGTACATTAATTTTGTATCCTGAAACTTTGCTGAATTAATTTATCAGTTCCAGGAGATTTTTGGAGGAGTCTTTAGGGTTTTCTAGGTATATGATCATTTCATCAACAAACAGTGACAGTTTGACTTGCTCTTTACTGATTTGGATGCCCTTTATTTCTTTCTCTTGTCTGATTGCTCCTGCGAGGACTTCCAGTACTATGTTGAATAGAAGTGGTGAGAGTGGGCATTCTTGTCTTGTTCCAGTTCTCAGAGGGAATGCTTTCAACTTTTACCCATTCAGTATTATGTTAGCTGTGGGTTTGTCATAGATGGTTTTTATTGCATTAAGGTGTGTCCCTTATATGCCGATTTTGCTGAGGGTTTTAATCATAAAGCGATGCTGGATTTTGTCAAATGCTTTTTCTGCATCTATTGAGATGATCATGTGATTTTTGTTTTTAACTCTCTTTATGTGGTGTATTACATTTATTGACAACCATCCCTGCATGCCTGGTATGAAACCCACTTGATCATTGGATTATCTTTTTAATATGTTGTTGGATTCTGTTAGCTAGCATTTTGTTAAGGATTTTTTGCATCTATGTTCACCAGGGATATTGGTCTGTAGTTTGTTGTTGTTGTTGTTATGTCCTTTCCTGGTTTTGGTATTAGGGTGATACTGGCTTAATAGAATGATTTAGTGAGGATTCCCTCTTTCTCTATCTTGTTGAATAGTATCAACAGGATTGGTACCAATTTTTCCTTAAATGTCTGGTAGAATTCAGCTGTGAATCCATCTGGTCCTGGACTTTTTTTTTTTTTTGGTAATTTTTTAAATTACCATTTCAATCTCACTGCTTGTTATTGGTCTGTTCAGGGTATCTAATCCTTCCTGATTTAAACTAGGAGGATTGGATCTTTCCAGGAAATTATCCATCTCCTCTAGCTTTTCTAGTTTATGCACATAAAGGTGTTAATAGTAGCCTTGAATGATCTTTTGTATTTCTGTGGTGTCGGTTTTAAAATCTTTCATTTCATTTCTAATTGAGCTTATTTGGATTTTCTCTCTTCTTGGTTAATCTTGCTCGTGGTCTTCTTTTTTTATTTTTTCCAAGAACCAGCTTTTTGTTTCATTTATCTTTTGCTATTTTGTTGTTGTTGTTTCAATTTCATTCAGTTCTGCTCTGATCTTGGTTATTTCCTTTTTTTTCTACTGGGTTTTTGTTTGGTTTGTCCTTGTTTCCCTAGTTCCTTGAGGTGTGACCTTAGATTATTTGTGCTCTTTCAGAGTTTTTGATGTAGGCATTTAGGGTCATGAACTTTCCTCTTAGCACTGCCTTTGCTGTATCCCAGAGGTTTTGATAAGTTGTGTTACTATTACAGTTCAGTTCAAATAATGTTTAAATTTCCATCTTGATTTCATTGTTGACCCAGTGATCCTTCAGGAGCAGGTCATTTTGTTTTCATGTATTTGCATGATTTTGAAGGTTCCTTTTAGAGTTGATTTCCAGTTCTATTCCACTGTGGTTTGAGAAAGTAATTGATATAATTTCAATTTTCTTAAATTCATTGATACTTGTTTTGTGGCCTATCATATGGTTTATCTTGGACAATGTTCCATGTGCTGATGCATAGAATGTATATTCTGTGGTTATTGGGTAGAATGTTCTGTAAACATCTGTTAAGTCCATTTGTTCCAGGATATATTTTAAACTCATTGTTTCTGTGTTGACTTTCTGTCTTGTTGACCTGTGTAGTGCTGTCAGTGGAATATTGAAGTCCCTCACTATTATTGTGTTGCTGTCTACCTCATTTCTTAGATCTAGTAGTAATTGTTTTATAAATTTGGGAGCTCCAGTGTTGGGTGCATATATATTTAAGACTGTAATATTTTTGTGTTGGACAAGGCCTTTTATCATTATATAATGTCCCTCTTTATCTTTTTTAACTGCTGTTGCTTTAAGGTTTGTTTTGTCTGATATAAGTATAGCCACTTCTGTTTGCTTTTAGTGTCTATTTGCATAGAATGTCTATTTCCACCCCTTTACCTTACATTTATGTGAGTCCTTGTGTGCTAGGTGAGTCTCTTGAAGGCAGCAGATACTTGGTTGGTGAATTCTTATCCATTCTGCCATTCTGCATCTTTTAAGCTGAGCATTTAGGCCATTTCCATTCAACATTAGTATTGAGATGTGAGGTAGTATTCCATTCATCATGCTATTTGCTGCCTGTATACCTTGCTTTTTTAATTGTATTTTTGTTTTATAGGTCCTGTAGGATTTATGTTTTAAAGAGGGTCTGTTTTTATGTGTTTCCAGGATTTGTTTCAAGATTTAGAGCTCCTTTTAGCAGTTCTTGTAGTGCTGGCTTGGTAGTGGTGAATTCTTTCAGCATTTGTTTGTCTGAAAAAGACTGTATCTTTCCTTCATGTATGAAGCTTAGTTTCACTGGATACAAAATTCTTAGCCGATAATTGTTTTGTTTAAGGAGGTTGAAGACAGAGCCCCAATCCCTTCTAGTCTGTTCTGTAGGGTTTCTACTGAGAAATCTGCTGTTAATCTGACAGGTTTTCCTGTATATCTTACCTGACTATTTTGCCTCACAGCTCTTAAGATTCTTTCCTTCATCTTGGCTTTAGATAACCTGAAGACAGTGTGCCCAGATGATGATCTTTTTGTGATGAATTTCCCAGGTGTTCTTTGAGCATCTTGTATTTGGATGTCTAGGTCTCTAGCAAGACCAGGGAACTTTTCCACAATTATTCCCCCAAATATGTTTTCCAAACTTTTAGATTTCTCTTCTTCCTCAGGAATGCCAATTATTCTTAGGTTTTGTCACTTAACATAATCTCAAACTTCTCGGAGGCTTTGTTCTTTTTTTCTTATTCTTTTTTCTTTGTCTTTGTTGGATTGGGTTCCTTTGAAAACTTTGTCTTTGAGCTCTGAAGTTCTTTCTTCTGCTTCTTTGATTCTATTCCTGAAACTTTCCAGAACATTTTGCATTTCTCTCAGTGCTCTCCTTTATTTCCTAAAGGGTTGATTTTTATTTATGCTATTCCTTCACTAAAGATTTCTCCCCTCATTTCTTATGTATTTTTTTTATTTCCTTAAATTGGACTTCACCTTTCTCTGGTGGCTCCTTGATTAGCTTAATAACTGACCTTCTGAATTCTTTTTCAGGTAAATCAGGGATTTCTTTTTTGTTTGGTGGTGAGCTAGTGTGATTTTTTGAGGGTGTTAAAGAACCTTGTTTTGTCATGTTACCAGCACTGTTTTTCTGCTTCCTTCTCATTTGGATAGCCTATGTCAGAGGGAAGATCTAGGGCTCAGGGCTGCTGTTCAGATTCGTTTGTCCCATGGGGTGCTCCCTTGATGTAGTACTCTCACCCCTTTCCTAGGGATGTGGCTTCCTGAGAGCCAAACTGTGGTGATTGTTATCTGGATCTAGTCACCCAGCAGGTCTACCAGGCTCTGGGCTGGTACTGGGGATTGTCTGCATAGAGTCCTGTGGTGTGAACCATCTGCAGGTCTCTCAGCCATGGATACCAGCACCTGTTCTGGTGGAGATGGCAGGGGGGTGAAATGGATTCTGTGAAGATCCTTAGTTTTTGTTGTTAATGCACTATTTTTGTGCTGGTTGGCCTCCTGCCAGAAGGTGACACTTTTTGAGAGAGCATCAGTTGTGGTAGTATAGGAAGAACCAGGCTGTGGGTAGGGCCTTAGAACTCTCAAGAGTATATGCCCTTTGTCTTCAGCTACCAGAATGGGTAGGGAAGGACCATGGGGGGAGGGGGGCAGGGCTGTGTGTGTCTGAGCTCAGACTCTCTTTGGGCAGGGCTTGCTATGTCTGCTGTGGGGAATGGGGGTGTGGTTCCCAGGTCAATGGAGCTGTTCCCAGGAGAATTATGGCTGCCTCTGCTGTGTCATGCAAGTTGTCAGGGAAGTGGGGGAAAGCCAGCAGTTACAGGCCTCACCCAGCTCCCACACAACCCAAAAGACCAGTCTCACTCCCACCATGTCCCCCCAAACAGCACCAAGTTTGTTTATAGGCAGTGGGCAGGAAGGGCTGAGAACTTGCCCCAGGCTACCAGACTCCCACTTATGAGAACAAGTAGGGCTTTCACGCCTATCGGCCTGTGGAGTCTGCACACCAGATTCAGGCCCTCCCTTGAGTTCTGGCCAGGAGACTTCCTGTTCAGTTGGAATTGTTACAAGGTTCAGCTGGGGGTTTCCTTCTCCCTGTGGTCTTTTCCCAGTATTTCTGGCAGCCCTCCCCAAGAACACCCATGAGACAACTCTGAAATAGCTTTCTGAGGGTGGAAAACCCACAGGCTTTTCCTGCTGCTTCCTCTACCCCTATATTTTGCTTGGCTCTCTAAATTGACTCAGCTCCAGATAAGGTCAGATCCTTCTCCCATGATCTAGACCTTCAGGTGCCCCAGTGAGGGTGTGTGTTCAGTGACAGACAATCCACCTTTCCCACTTTCACAGCTTGGGCACTCACAATATTTGGACTGTCTCTTGGGTTCTGCAGGAGCAACCTCCTTCCTTCAGAGGGTTTGTGGGTTCTCTCGGCTTTCCTGGTTTATTCCTGCATTAGTTCTGAAGCAAAGGGTGAAGATGCGAGTGTTGAACCTTTGAAATTTTTTTCAAAGGTCCACACAGTGCTCTGTCCAAGTGCGAGCTGCAATCTAGTCTTGCCTTCCGTCTGCCACTTTTCCCCCTCTTTTTTTTTTCTTTTAGGCTACGTTCTTTATTGGTCACCCTCACCGCAAGAATGTGAGAGAGGCACAGTCATCCCTACTTTGTAGATGGGAAACTGAGGCTCTGTGAGGTTAAGTCACTTGCTCATTAAGTGGACGGATGGGGCCACACTCAGAACTGGGATCCTATCCCCCAGTCCAAGCCTTCACTACCACACCAAACCATTCCAGTATTTTGTTGATGCTTCAAATAAAATATGATCTGTGTATGAATAAAAAGATTGGAAGGGGCTGGGTGCGGTGGCTCATGCCTGTAATCCCAGCACTTTGGGAGGCCAAGGCAGGTGGATCACTTGAGGCCAGGAGTTCTAGACCAGCCTGGACAACATGTTGAAACCCCGTCTCTACTAAAAATATAAAAATTAGCCTGACAGGGTGGCGGGTGCCTGTAATTTCAGCTACTTGGGATGCTGAGGCTGGATAATCCCTTGAACCTGGGAAGCAGAAGAGGTTGCAGTGAGCCAAGATTGTGCCACTGCACTCCAGCTTAGGTGACGAAAAGAAAATTGGAAGGAAATTTCACAAACAGAGAAAGACCTTTCTTCTTACTACTTTGAGAAACCTGTGAAGTGAAATCATTGGCTCATGATCACCCATGTCTCCCAAGTAAGTAGAACAAGCTTAGAATTAAATGAGTATTTATTTATGAGAGAATCTCTTCATGACAAAATTGAAGTGACTTTTAAGTTCTTCTTTGCAGATTTTTGTATTCTCCAAATTTCTTACAAAGAGCATGCATCTTATTCATAATTAAAAACAATAAAACATTATTGTTGGAAAGTAGAATGATTTAATAGTACAAGTAAATCTCATCCTAAAATAAAAGGTCATTGAGGTTGGCACAGTGGTTCCAATCAAGGCACTTGTAAAACATAAAGTCTCCTAGGAGGTCGAACCTGATTCCCTAAATGGGGTGGAGGTGCAGGTGCCCATGGGTCTGCATTTGCCACTCTTGCCTTGAGTGAAACTTTCATGCGATGCTGTAATACTCATGCTTGATATTCTGTGACTGATGATTTTGCATCTTGAAATGATGGCCCAAACTAACGGCCACAGTTGATTATGTTCATGCCCTCTCTGTGTTTTCATGGGCATGCAAGAATCATTTTACAAATTCTCCAACCACAAGCCTCAACCTCTATACTTCACTTCCTGCCCAATAGGGATGTCCCACCTAACCACTCCCCACACTGCAGTACTAAAGTCTCTGGCCACATGTTCCTCTCGCTCCTGTGCCTCTGGACCAGCCCCGGTGCTTCCCCGTGTGGCCCTGTGTGGTGGGGCAGGCCCCTTCCTCTTGGGTGCTCAAAGTAATAAACTCTTCTTTCAAAGGCAGATGTCTCTGTCTGTCACCTTACCATACCCAGTGGAAATGATTTCAAAACAAAATGTGAGGTACATTTAAAAACAAATGCGAAGGATTGGCATTTCAAAAAACAGAGCTGGGACCTCAGCAAGTTGATAGAAAATGTCCCACGGCTGTTTTTGTATCTGCTTGCCAATGCAAGTCTGAGTGGGCACCAGGTTGCCACCTAAGCTTGCTTTCACTGTAAAGTGCCACTGGAAGCAAGGCTGTCGGAGGGATGCTGACAGCCGTCACCCACTGCTGACTACTTGGGGTTCCTCATAGTTTCTGGAAAAAACTAGTTGTGAACAGCAAGTGTCATTAGTCACTTCTTCACACCTACTATCTCCTTTGTGCTACTGTAGGACATCTTCTTGCCTACTCTGCAGGAGGCTGGAGCCATGTCTGAGCAGGTATGTTCCTTCCTGGGAAGGATGCCTGGCTTCTCCACTGTGGCCTTTATAATGGAGAGCCTGAGGGAAGAGCATTGTGTATAAAACAAACCTTGCTTCAGGCAGCGTTGCGGGAGCCCTTCATAACTGGCCATTGGTCCTTGTTCTAAGCCAGCACAGGAAGGCCCTGTGGCTTAGGTTAGTTGTTTTTACTCTTTGAGTGTCAGCTCTTCTGTTTTTGTTTTTTGTTTGTTTGTTTGTTTTTGTTGTTTTGAGACAGGGCCTTGCTCTGTTGCCCAAGCTGGAGTGCAGTGGCAGCTTGTTCTGTTTGTGAAATAAAGTGGGAGCGTGAGGGCCAGGGGGTTAGGTTCCCCTGGGACTTCTGCCAGCTCTCCAGCATAACTCCTTTCTGTTTTGTTTCTTTCCTTATAAAATAGCATGAGAAAGCCTACATGAGGCCCCTGGCACATCCGAGGTGTGTGGGGCACCGGGGCCCCCAGAAGAGGAGCCTTTGGATCTGATGGGAGCAAGGGCTCTACTGAGGCTGCCAGAGATGCCCTCGGTAATGGGGGTGACATAGAGGTGCCAGCACAGCCTGTCAGGCAACGAGGGAAGGAGGGACGGTGGGTCTGACTCAAAGGACACGAGCTGCCTTTGCTGTAGTGCAACCGTGGCCCATTGCTCATTGTGCTGCTCTCAGGACTCAGAGTATGGAAGCGGGACCATTGCCGTTACAAACCCGCAGGGAAGGGGCTGAGCACCCGGAGGGCTGTGTGTGCACACATGACGTTATCGGAGTCAGGAAGGCAGCCAGCCGCGAGGAGATGGGAAACTGGTCCACGGCACCCGGGGAGACCTTCACAGCCCACGCATTAGCCCTCGTCAGCCGGTGTCCCGGCGCTCCCCACAAACCCAGACTCTCTCCTTGGCTAACAATGGCCTCCACCAGCCGACCTCTTTGAGCCTCTGTGTTCTCATTTCTTCCATCTGCCACACATGATGCCACAAGGTCCCTGCTCTGTCTCTCCAACATGCCACTCATTCCTGACTCACAGCCTTCATGCTCACACCCCTCCCTTGTCCTATCCTCACTCTCAGTCATCCTGTTCAATGCCTTCATGGCACTTATCATAAGCTCTTACGATCATGTTTATAGGTCTGGTTTCATTGTTGCTGTAGGGGGGTCTGTCTCCCCCATTTAGGCCTAACAGGCCAGGAATCTTGTCTGTCTGATTTACTCCTAACATATGTTAAGTGTTCAATAAATTTTTGCTGAATAAATGAAGGAAAAAAATCATGCAGCCTCTGAGATGTCATGGGATGACAGCCCAGCCATCGCGAGTTCGCTAGTAAATCATTTTCAGATTAGGACTCTGTTGACAGATGAATTCATATTTTAGTTTTATTGAATGTGTTATTGTAATTCTGCAATAGAGGTGCCTAACCTGGGTTGGCGTATTTCCATTCCTGGGAGCCCCAAGGAATGGAAATATGGTAACCCAGCAACATCCCATGAAGCTAGTTACCTGGGAGAATTTGTGGAAAAGGGCACTGACTGGGGTTAATGGGTGTTGGCTTGTGACTGGGGTCCCTGTTGATGGTTTGGTGATTGAGCCTTGGAAGTGGCATCCCTGCCAGCGAATCCAGCTCCACTGGGGTCAAATGCACCCTCAGAACAGAAAGAGGGATGTGGTTTGTTATTTCTTGTGCATTAGCAATGTGCCATCAGTTAACAGGCCATTTCCCACCTAGGATTTAGTGGGATTTTCCACTTTCCCTAGAAAGAGAATACCGTCTGTGGCTTTATTTGTAATCATCATCAGGAAGGTCCTATTGAAGGAGACAGTGAAGTAAGAGGGGCCATCCTTCGATCGGACTATGAACTTGGTGGTGGTAGCTGCTGTGGCCTCAGTGCCCTCTTCACTGACATCCAGCACAGCCTTGTGGGTTGCCTGCCAAGGGAAAAACAAACATCAGTGGCCCTAGTGGAGACACTTTTACTTAACTGAGTAAACTAAACTGAGTGCTTTTGCCCTGGAATGGTGATGTCTACCTTGAAAGGATTCAAGGTTCAAATGCCTGGCATTGGGTTTACTCAATACATTGCAGTGGGTGTTGACTATGGCCCATTGGTCCTTACACCGGGATTGAGATGGTTACAAACACAGAGCAGGAAGACCGGAGTGAGTCTCAGTTCTGCCACTTATGGTTGCAAAATTATTAAGATGCTGCGTGCTTCAGGTTCCCGATCTATAAAAGGTAATAATAACTGCATATGCCCCGTAAGGTTATTGTGTAAATTAAGAGAGATCATACAAAGCAAGTGCTTGTGGACTTGCCAGCAGTAGTAATTGCTGCAGTTCTTGCATGGCAGACATGGGTTTGATATGACTAAGGTTAGATCCCTTCTTTGTCTTCTAGGGAAGAGATTCTTAACCTGGAGTTCCTGGATTTCTAAGCTTCAGGGAGGCTTGAGCTCCTGTGACTACAGGCATTATTTTTCATAGGCTCACAGATACACTTTCCTCGAGAAAATGTCCATTATGTTCATCATATTCCAGTGGGGCCTCTCAACATTTTCTGAAAACCAATGACAAAGGTCCCCTTCAGTGGCCCCAGGATCACTTCTATTATAATCCACTATCAAAATAAAATTTTAGGTCAGGGATCAGTAACCCATATGTGTGCAGGGGCTAGGCAGGTAACCCCAATTAACTGACGGAGACTTCTTGTAAGAGCATGGGGTGCCCACATTACCTGGAGGATACTGTCTGGTTAAAAGGGGCACTCATAGCTCAGCTCCTGTGATGGCTGCCATGTGGACACATAGGCTCACTGTTGCCATGTGGGAATTAGAGTTAGTGATTTATTTCAAGAGGATCAGAAATCTAGACTTTTAGATCTAATATACTATGCTTTAAAACTCCTCTCTCTCTCTCTCTCTCTCTCTCTCTCTCTCTCTCTCTCTCTCTCTCCTTACACACTGAAGGCCAGACAACACATCTACAGGGTGCAGATGACCTATGGGCAGCCACACTGTGATGCCTGTGTGAGGGCCTAAACTTCAGGGAGGAAGAAAGTGAGGTCAGATCCTGAGGGAGCACTTGCTCTCCTGCAGCAGGCATGGGGGAGCACCTGACTGCTGAGGATGGCTTCGGAACATTTGTGTGAAGAGGGATAACAGATGCTGCATGCCAGAGGGATGGTGGCCATAGGCCGCAAGATTCGGTTCTTCTGGCCGCAGAAGACCCTGACTTCACCTTTCAGGCCTCTGTTTCCTTATCAACGAAATAAGAGCATGTGATTAATTCTGCAGGTGCTTCCAGCTTGGACTTTTTTGCAAATATTTTCATTCAACTCACTTTAGAAACCTGCAGGGAGTCTCTCTTTGCAATTCCAGAAAAATCAGCATTTTTGTCAAAGACATTTTGGATGCCCATCTTCGGGAGGATGGTTTCCAGATTGTAGGAGGCAGAAATGGAAAATCTGGGGATGAACACCTCTATCCACCTGTGGAGTAGGGAAAAGGAAACAATGAGGTCACAAGCCCATGGTGTCTGCATCTCTGCTCCTAGATGCCATTTTGGGAGACTCCGTTCTTCCTCCAACCACTGCTAATTTCTGCTAAAAAGGTCAACACATCCTAGCCAAGAAACCCAGGTTGCTCTTGAAATAAGCCTCCCAGCTGAGCAGGTCCAGCACTAAAAACATGCAAGGAGATAGACGAGCCCCCAGTGAAGTGGGTGCAGAGGTGAAAAAGCAGTCAGCAAGGGAGTCTATGGCAGAAACCAACAGGAGACGTCCAGTAGCAATGGAAGCTCATCAACCACCCACTCACTGTCCGGAATACCTCCTCAGCAGCACTTCCTGATGCAAGCCCTGCTAATAATGCCCTAGAGCAGCAAAGTCCAGCAGAACTTCCTGTGATGCTGGGAAGATCCTAGACCTGCACTCTCCAGTACGGTAGCCATTAGCCATGTGTGGCTACTGAGCAACTTAAACAGTGGCTTGTGCAAATGAGAAACTAAAATGTTAATTTTACTACATTTCAGTTAACTTAAGTGTAAATTACTGCAGGTGGCTTAGCGGCTACTATATTGAACAGCACCACCTGATAATTTAGCACAATATTTTTTTTCCTCTGCAATGGTTTCCCTGAACCAAGAGTAAACAGCCCACATGTGTTGAACTTCTTTTTTTTAAGATGGAGTCTCACTCTGTCGCTCAGGCTGGAGTGCAATGGCACAGTCTCTGCTCACTGCAACCTCCACCCCGTGGGTTCAAGTGTTTCTCCTGCCTCAGCCTCCCAAGTAGCTGGGATTACAGGTGTACGTGGCCATGCCCGGCTAATTTTTTTGTATTTTAGTAGAGACAGGGTTTCACCGTGTTGCCCAGGCTGGTCTTGAACTCCTGAGCTCAGGCAATCCACCCGCCTCGGCTTCCCAAAGTGCTAGGATTACAGGCGTGAGTCCAGCCTGAACATTTATTATATGCCAGACATTGTCCCAGGCACATTCAACAACACTTCCCCCTTTTAAAGACGGTAAAGCTTACTTTTAGTGCTTTGCCCAAGGTTATGTACTTAGTGACTCACAGCAACGAAAGCACAAAAATATTGGATGGACACATTTCAGTCCTCATCTGACAGGTGTCTTGTGACCCCTCATGCCAGGGACAGCTCTCTTTTCCCTGCCACTGTCCTCTTTCCCTGTTTTCTCTGTGCTCCATCTGCTGCTCTGTACTCTGTCCCTCCCTCCCTGAAATTCTGTGCCACCTCCTCTTCCTATCCCCAGCCCCAGATGCAGCCTGAGAAGAGAAGAAATCGCTGACACACCCTGCAGCATCTCTTCATCCTTAACTTTGAGTTTTTGCCAGTGCTGTGTCCTCTACCAAAGCTGCCCTTGCCAAGCCTCTGTGTGCTCATATGCTACCCACATGTGCAGCTAAACCCCACCGCCTCCTTGAAGCTGTCCCTCAGTCCCAGCTGAAAGTGATCTCTCTCTGCTCAGAAACTCCTCAGCACCTTTCCTGCCCTCCCGTGGGGCATTGCCCAATCTCTTTCTTGAATTCCAGTTACACTGCAGCCTTCCTTCTCTCTTCCCAGACTATGAGCACCAGGGAACGCTGCTAAAATCATTCTAAGATGCCAAAAATATATTGCTAAGAGACAGAACATAAAACGTGGACATTCCTTTTTTATCTCATGATTAATCTTTTTGCTATTCTCCATATTTTTTGTACTCACCATACTAATTACAGAACTAATAATAACATTATTAGCTAGCATTTACTGAACACTTACTATCTTCTAGGAATTCTTCTAAGCACTTTGTAAGTAGCAGGTTACTTTACCTTTTCACCAACCTTTGGATTTGGTAATATTGTTATCCTCTTTCTTATATGTGACCACCAATGCTTTTGTTTGCTAGCTTTTATGGGATCATTCCATAGATTTCAATATCAGATAGGCTTCTAGAGCCAGCTCTGCAAGCATATAACAGCTACATGACCTTGGGCAATTCACTTACCCCTTGGAGCCTCCATTTCCTCATCTGTGTAATGAGTGGTACTAAGACTCCTCATCAGGTGATAGTGAACTTCAAGTGTGAACATGTATAGACAGCCCCAGGCTCTCTGTCCTGCATGCAGTTGGTGCTCACTGTGCAGAAGTGATTATCCAACAGCTGTTAGCACAATCTCTCCCTCATCTTTGAATGTGTGCATCCCCTGCCTCAGGGCCCAGGAGATTGACACAGATGCCCACCTTTTCTGGAGTGAGTGGCTCCACTTTCTCAGTGTTCTGGCTGACAAGGCCTGTTCCAGTTGCCTCATCTTGCCCTTGCTAGGGAGGACAAAGAAGGCCACGGCATCTCCCTTGTAATCCATCTGCAGCACAAAGCAGTTCAGCTCTGTATCCACCCCAAAAGCGAACTGCTCTTTCTGGTGCATCATGGGGACATGCACAGTGACCTGCTCGCCCACCAGGAATGGGAAGTTCTTTCTTGTATATTCAGGGTGAAAGGGCTTCTCCCACTTGGCTAGCACAAAGAGAGAAAAGAAGTCTTTATGTCAAAGTACAATTAGTGAGGCAAAGACAGCAAACTGAAATGGGGAATTACTTCTAGTGGGTATGAGGTTTCTTTTTGAGGTGACAAAAAAATGCTCTGATATTACACAGCGGAGTAGTTGCCCAAACTTGTGAATATACTAAAAAGCAATAAAATGGTGAATTTTATGACATGTGAATTGTATTTCAATTAAAAATAGAATTAGTTAAATAGAACAACATAAACTGAAGGTAACTTAGTAAGGGCTCAAACCATACCAGTTTTCTTTCCTTCTCTTTCCTCTTTGCAGGATGGATGGATAAATGGGTGGATAGCCTGGCAGATGGAGGGTGGATGGATAGATGAATAGCTAATGGATAAATGGTTGGCTGGCTGGGTGGATAGATGGATTAATGGATGAATGGATGGATGGATGAACCGATAGAGGGATAGATAGATGAATAGATTAGTGGATAGGTGGTTGGCTAGCTAGATGGCTAGCTAGGTGGATGAATGGATGCATGGATGGATGGATGGATGGATGGATGGATGGATAGATGGATGAACTGATGGATGGATAAATGGGTGGATAGTTTGCTGGATGGGTAGATGAAGGGTGGAGGGATGAACAGGTTAATGGATAAATGGTTGGCTGTCTGGGTGGATAGATGGATGTATGCATGGATTCATGGATGAATGACAGATGGATAAATGGGTGGATAGTTTGGTGAATGGGCAGATATAGGGTGGATAGATACATGAATAGATTAATGGACAGGTGGTTGGCTAGCTAGGTGGATGAATGGATGCATGGATGGATGGATGAACTGATGGATGGACAAATGGATGGATAGCTTGGTGAATGGGTAGATGGATAGATGAATACGTTAATGGATAGATGGCTGGCTGGTTGGTTAGGCGCATGCCTGGATGGATGGACAGATAAACTAGTGCATGGATAAATGAGTGAACATGTGGATGAAGGGAGGGAGGAAGGAAGGGAAGGAGAGGGACAGAGGAAGGGAGGGATGATACGGTGGCATCCATGAAAACTCTGCCTGGAGATGCCAGGCACTTCTATCTCAAGCACAACCTATAAAGTTGGCTTTATCATCAGAGTATCCAGTCAGCACAGAGACTGGCACAGGTCAGGCACTCAACACATGGTAAATCTTTTAGAGACACATGCTGAGGATCATAGAGCAAGTATGGGGTAGAGGTGAAATTCAAATTCAAGTTGTTTGACTTTAAAGCTGATGTGCATTCCCTGCAATACAGTGAAACTGTAAAGCTCTAACATATATCTACATCTATATCTATATCTATATGCAGTTATATATGAAGGAGACTTCATATATATAAGGGATACGAATGACAGGCACATCAGCTTGTCTACATTTCTACACCTATGAAAGTGTTCACACTCTTGGATTTGCTTCTTAAACTGGGTTGTCAGAGAGTTCCATGTTTCTTTCTAAAACTTTCAAGGGGCAGTGGGACAGCTGCTGGTGGCAAGAGATCTTTTCTCTCAAGTAGTCTCCAGATTTTTCCTGTGGGTTTCCCACTGAGTCAAATGTAAACACACCTCAAGACACTTAATCTGTCTACCCAAAGAGAACTAAATGAGTCCCTACTGTAACTGGTAAACATGAGCTATCCTAGGTCCTGCAGCCAGCTAATTGCAAAGCTAATTAGAGCTCAGGCCCTCCCATTTCTCCACCCTGCAGTCTAGGGTTTGTCTGGCTTGTGTATTTCACTAAGCAAAAATCATCATCATCATCATAAAATAAATAAATAAAAATCAACTTCTCAAATCCTTACCTTTAAAGAAAATGTGGTTCACCAGAACCATGGCCGTCAGAAGGTCAAGGCCTTGGATTATGTCTACAACCTTCCCTTGGGTCTTCTTTTTCACATGGCTGTTGATCCTCGCCTGGGCAATGGAGGGGTTGGAGAAATCTGTAGAAAAGACTTCTGCTTCATACAGCCTCTTGACATTGCCCAAGAAATTTGCCTGCAGCTGCAGCTCCTTCTTGACGAAGAGGGCACTTCCCATCTTCAAGGTCAGGTCTTTGCTGGGAACAGTCAGTGAGTGAACCAGGTGCTGGAAGCCCTGGTGGATGGCAGACTCTGGTGTGTGTGTGAGGTTGAAGCCCAGGCCCTGGAGAATCTGGGTCTTGGTGACTGAGTGGGCCCCAAGGGAGAGCATGGCCAGGGAAGTGGAGACACTCACAGGGGAGAAGAAGATGTTCTGACTCGGGGTCTCCAAAACCAGCCTGCGGTATAGGCGGAAGGCAAAGTCGGTGTTGAGGGAATACACCTGTGAGGCAGGGGTGCTCTTTGTGGAGGAAGGGCGGGGGTATGCACTGGGGGCATTGGCCGGGGACACACAGTAGATTGGAGCACAGAGGCCAACAGCAAAGAGTACTCCATAAAGGTAAGATGCCATTTTGGAACAAAATATGTCTGCAAGAGAAGTAAGAACCATTGAGGGGGTAAACTGAGGGTCCAGGCCCTGAATCAGAGACCCTTTAACACCCCCACGCCATCAGCAGCAGAATGAGGACAGATAGGCCAGTTAGCAGAGCTCTCTCACATAATCTCTGAGCCTCACAATATTCCCATGATGTAGATCTTATTATTGCTGTTTTACTTGCAAATGAGTAAACAGGCCACAGAGAGTCTGTGCAACTTACCCCAAATAGCATGGTTGACTTGTCTGTGTTCTGTGTGGGCTTCAAAGTCAGGTCTCAAATTCCAAATCCCATGCTTTTTGATGTTTCTGCTTCATGGACTTATTTTTTAAGAATTGAGTATGTGAACCCAGATTGCATTAGCAGCCAGAAGTGGTTTCTCACCCTTTGGAGGTCCCTCCACACATTCTTTATCCATTTTGTGTAGATCTGATTATTTTCTCACCCTGGCTGCCTGTTCCCAGACACAGGCATTTTACTAATGTGTTCATATCTCTCAAAAAGTGGAAACCTGGAGCAAAAGGCTGTCCTTTTTGCTGTGCTCCTTCAGGTGCCCTGAGCACTGGCAGTCAGTTGCTGATGAGCTGCAGTTCTAGTCACATCTGTCTGCTTCCCCTTCAAGCCTCAGCTGACATGGCTTTGGCCCCAAGGAGACTTCAGACTAAATGACCTGATAGCAATTTCAAACCCCAACAGGGCTGGGCTTGAATCTAACCCTGACATTCGTGGTGGACAAGTAACCTCTCTGGACTTCTCTGTTTTGCCTTTGTAAAACAGAGATAGTTACCTTACAGAGTTGTTCAGAGGACTGAGTGTGATAAGGCACAAATTGTGCAGCACGGGACCCAGCACATGGTGAGCGCTGAATACATTACTTTTACTGTTGTTTTGTTGAAGTCAGAGAGAATTTGATTGGAGCAACTCTATCAAGTACTGCTCACAGGTCTCCCCAGCCCTGCCTACAGCACCCTCACCTGTTCAGTTTCATCAGAAAGATTTCATTTCCTTTAACACAACTTTACAGAGGAGCTCCAACCCTGTGCGTTGACCCTGAGATACAACAGTAAGTGGTCATTTTAGAGAAGGAAGGTGTATGAATCCAATGCAAGGCCAGGGGAGGTCTGTGCTCAGCCAGAGGGGAAAGCAAAGCAGGTGTGTGCTCCAATAGGTCACATCCGTCTGAAGGCTTTTCTCTTCTCACAAATTTTATAATTTCCCCCCCATGACCTGGATGTCCTTCCCCCCATCATCCTTTTCACAAGCACAGTGCCTTCATAATCCCCCTTGCCCTTCATCAGACTTTGCTCTTTAGTCATTTATACTACAGTGTGAATGGCTGCCACCAACTCTTCTCCTAGGAGCACCGGCATGAAGTGTTACTCCTGATTGTGAAGGAAAGACTTTACCCACTGGAACAAGAATTCAGTCAATAAGTGAACAATTATTTTGCCAGAAATGGAGAAGGAAAAGATAAGAGAACCTTTGCCAAAAGCGACAAAAATATTGCCACACATAGTCACTTGTCTATGTCAGACCAAGCATAATGTGACAGCCACATTCCCAACAATTTCTCTGTGGAAATGAAATATGTAAATGAATCACATTTTATTATACCAGATATAATTTAACTTAGATGGAACTTTATAAAGAACCCTTTTACTGAATGAGTAATTCTTTTGCAAACCTGTTCATTTCTCTCCATTTCCACTTATGTGATTGGCGATTTCTGTTGTGTAGTTTTGTATTTGCCTGTTTGACTAAAGTGGAATTTTCTTTCTAAGTTACATTCGCATCCATCCATCCACCTACTGGACTCTTTGCCAACCTGTTCTGAACTGACCTCCAGAGCTGCCCCCACCCTGAGTGCCCCATCTCTCCCTTTCTCCAAGAAGGCCATTTTACCCATGCTGCCATCTTCCAAGTCAGGAGACTGATGGCCACTCTGCACTCTTCGGCCACCCTCCTTCCCCACATCGTTCTTCCTCCCCGAGACATCGCAAGCCCCAGCTTCTCTCCATCTCTTTGCTTTTCCCTTGGTCCAAACCCTCCTTATCTCTCCCCTGGACAATCCTGAAGGCTTCTGGACTCATCTCCCTCCTCTGGTCATGCTTCCTCAAAACGTTTTTCTTAAGAAACTTCACCAATTTGACTCTGCACAGAGACGATCTACTGGGAGATAGAAGTGTTGGGGCTACAATGGGGGACAGATAGCCAGGGTCCTGGCTCTTAAAGAGTTCTCTGGGAACCCTATGACATGTGGCCTTGAGAGTTGACTGCTTCCCCTCTCTTCGGCCCCACTGCTGGCCAGTGAATTTATCTGCAGCCTCTGCAGTCAACACCAATAGCAACAGCCCAGGGTCCACCTCCCTCCCTTCTCTTCCCACTCACCTACCCCTTGCTCAGGCATAGCATACTCTGCTACAAATGCCCCTCCTGGATGCCACCTTCCTTTGCTAATGGAAAAGCCCTTGTTTCTCACTCTGGAAGACTCTACTTAGCTATTACCGGCTTGAGAGGCCCTCCCTGGCTCCCCTCTCCTGTTGTGACTTCATCACTCTCTCCCTTCTCTCTTCTGGCACTTCTGAAATTTACTCGACTTCTATTACCAAATGGATTATCACTGACCACACGCGTGCCTTTAGATAATCTCTAGGTTCTTTGAATGTGTAATTTATGCATTTGGTCCATTGGGTTGAACATGTACGCTTATTATGCAGGTACTATAGGAGGTGTTGGGGCTACAATGAGGGACAGAGAGACAGGGTCCTTGTTCTTAAGGAGCCCACTGGGAAGACAGACAATTAGCAAACACCACTAGACACAAGAAGTGTGTGTGTGTGATGAGTAAGTACAGGCATTGGGAACACCTATTCCATAACAAGAAAGGCTTCCAGTGGAAGTGGCAGCTGATTGAAACTTGAAAAATGTTAGCAAGGTAAAAGGGAAAAGCAGAGAAGAGAGAGATTCAGGCTGGGAGGACCACCTGTGCAAGGGCCCAGAGGGAACCAGAGCCAGGCAGCTTTGAGGAACAGAAAAGGTTCTGACACAGATTTCAGCACCACAGAAGCCGGCAGGAAGGGCTGGGGAGCAGGAGAGACCAGCTGCCGAGAGAGGGGGCCCCATGCAGGGATGTGCGGACTTGGTTCTGTGCCCTGGAACCCACTGGGGGATGGCTGCAGAGAACCTCAGCAGCAGAGAATTCTCAAGACTATCCCTGCACCTGTCTGTGTTCCTCATTGCTCTACACACCTGCTTCCTGTCCTCCTTCCCCCTTCCCCCACCAGCACGGAAAAGTGCCCAATGTATGGGCTCAGTAGACACTTGGTGTGCTGCCCTGAGATGGAGAAGCATTTACACCAGCCTCAGAACTGGGGTGGTGGCTGGGCGCGGTGGCTCACGCCTGTAATCCTAGCACTTTCGAGGCAGGTGGATCACCTGAGATCAGGAGTTCCAGACCAGCCTGGCCAACGTGGCAAAACCCCATCTCTACTAAAAATGCAAAAGTTAGCCAGGCTTGGTGGCGGGCACCTCTAGTCCCAGCTACTCCGGAGGCTGAGACAGGAGAATCACTTGAACCCGGGAGGCGGAAGTTGCAGTGAGTCGAGATCAGGCCATTGCACTCCAGCCTGGGCAACAAGAGTGAAACTCTGTCTCAAAAAAAAAAAAAAAAAAAAAGCAACAACAACAAAAAACCAGGGAGGTGAAATGAAGGAGGCCTCCTGGAATATAAGACTGAAACCCTGAGTTTCTCTTATTTGATGAGCTCTGTGACAGACTGGGGCTCTTCAGGACGCCGTGTAAGAGTGTGGCATCTGCAGGCTTCCCTGTGACAAGCTGGGGTCTACTGTGTTAACTTGGGGTCTGCAGGCCCTCTAGCCTCAATGGTGAAGTGGCAGCACTTGATCTTGACGGCCACTCAGAAGTCAGAGCCTAAGCAAGATCATGGTTCCCCTCCTAACCTCAGAGCAGTACTTTCTGTTTAGAGAACAGCATTGTCCTCGAATTGCTTCATCTTCTGAATTGCGTCAACCCTGATCTGTAAGGAGGGCAGTTCTGAGGAAGGGCGAGACAACGTCTGCAGAACGCCCAGTGCGGCATCCAGCCCATGGTGGGCAGGAGACCAAAGCTGCATCTCTCTTGTGGCTCTTATGATTTTGTGTCCCTCCCTTGGAATCAGGGTGAAGGAATAGGATTGTCCCTGGCTATTCATGACCATGGGAGAGGAGACCAGGTTGAAGGAAGAGGACATCAGCCACATGGAGGGGAAGCGGGTGCTGCCAGGCGCCAGGATGCCACAAGCACCAGGGGTCTGTGCCCCTTTCTGTGGAGGCTGGCAGTGGGGCAGGTGGCTCTCAGGGGGCCCCCACTGACGCTGGGTTGTGCCTCCTAAAGAATCCGCATTCCCATCAGCAGAGGTGGCCTATTAGACGCGGCCTCCACGCCCCAAGTCTTGTTTCTTTTGGGCTTGGGTTGAGTAGGGGAGACCCACCTGAAGTCGGGGAGTTGGCTAGTAAATGTCCTGAGTCATCGATGGTACTGGCCTCCATGTGACTTCAGGTAAGTCTCTGCTTTTCACAAGACTTCAGGAAGAGGTGGTCTCAAAAGGCCCTCTCTTCTGAGTCTGGGATCTATGTCTGAGGGCCCCCAGGTCATTGCTCTCTTGGGGGAAAACCGTGGCCAAAGCTCATTCAGTCAGCTCTTAAAATCCACCACACTCCCCACTTTGCTTCTCCCCACCCTGAACTCCTGTCCTCCTGTGGCCACCCCTTCTCTCTCCCAGCCCTGCCAAGGCCCTTGCCCCTCTTTTGGCTGTGGCCCGGGTTTATGTGAGCGTTCGGCCAGGGGGCACTGCTCGTTGGGGTGACAGGGACACTCTGCCGTCCCCAGGGCTTGCCTCTTCTGGACCTCTCCCTCCCAGCTACCACAGCCTGCATTCCACCTTCCATTGTCTCTCACTCACTCCCATCTCCAAGCGCTCCTCCACCCTGCAGACAGGGTGACCTTTCCAGATGCTGATCTGGTGTATCACTCACCTCACCTCGAATTCCTCAATGGCTCCCCATTGAGCTCAGAAAAAATGCTCAAGCCCCTGACATTCAAGAGCTTTATTTATTGGGCCCTGACTCACCTCCCCAGCTGCATCTTTGAGGACCCAGCTGTTTGCATTCCTCAATTCCACCCCATCCCCTATCTTCGTTTGCCTCTTTATCCAGCTTGGGTGTCAAGGGCTTCATTTTAATCTACTGTGCTTCACCCCCAGGCCTGTGTCTTCATGTCCCAGCCCTGTGGCAAGGCTCCATGTGTGGTAGAACCTACCTGTCTGCTCCTTCCCTGCCAAGTGCTGCTGGAAGAGGGGTTCTGCAAGGCAGCCTCGTCCACTGTGGGTTCCCAACCACCAGCCTTTATCCACCCGGCAACATGTAACTCATCAGCTCACTCTCCCATTTTCAGGGAAAAGCTTCACCTTTTCCATGTCCTTAACCTTTTTATTCCAGGGTGGAATGGATGCCCACCCTGCTACATGTGTGCTACATATGCATGTGTGCCTACATGTGCACACACACACACACATACACACACACACACACACACACACACTGAGCAGACAACCTTGCCTCCTATCTCACATAAAAGAGAGATCCTATGAAAAGGAATTGTCTCAACTTCCCTCAAAGGGCATCCTCTCTGCCTATCCCTACTTTCCCAGTCGCCCCTCTCTCTCCCCTACACCTCCACTCCACCAATAAAGCAGAGGATCGGCCCTCCTTTGAGGTCCAGTCCCCCTTCCTGGGCCTTAGAAAGTATCTCTTCTCTCCATCTCAGGACCCTTCCACCTCTCTTTTCTGCACTTAAACACTCCCTCTCAAGCTGATCCTTGCTGTTAGTTTGGAAACTGTTCAAGTCTTGCTCGTTAAGACAAAGAAACCAACAACGACACAACAACAAAAACACTCCTTTCACCCTCTCATTTGCTTCTAGCAGCTGCCCTATTTCAATACTCCTCCCCTTGTGGCCCAAATTTTCAAGAGCTGTGTATTCATGGTCTCTGTGGCCTTACCTCCAACTCACTCACTGGTCCACTCCAGCCTGGCTTCTGTATCCACAAAAATGTGACCCAGATGCTACTAAAAGCCAACTAATGTGTCTAGGTTCTCATCTTATTTGACTTCCCAGCTGCATTTGACACTGAAGACCATGCTCTGATCCAGTCCTTCCCTCTGGCTCAGTGACACCACATTCCCGATCTCTCTGCACCTCCTCCTTACCCACCTTTGCAGGTTCCTCTTCTCCTGCCCTGTCCTTGCATGGTTGGTGAGCCCTGACACTTGCTTACTTGGTTGTAGCTCTCTCCTCACTTTAATCTCTCCTCTCCCTCCAGCTGATCTCATGCCACGACACCCATGACTTCATTACTAAGACATGCAAATGATATATTATTTTTATTCTCCAGCTAGACATGCAAATGATATATTATTTTTATTCTCCAGCTCAATCCTTTCCTCTGATCTCTACATGTCTAACTTCCTACTTGATATCTCCTCCTGATGTTGCAAATAAACCTTACATGCAATATGAACCACAGTGAACTCAGACTCCTTCCCAAGAACCATCTCCCAGCAACAGCCACAACCGAAACCTCTTTTCAACATTTCTGTCACTGGGTCCACCATTCACCTGGTTAGTTGAGCCTAGGAGGGGCATCCTTGCACTTCCTTCTTCTTCATGTCAACTTATGCCCAGTTTTGTCAACTTTACCTCCTGAATGTTGCTCAAGTCCATCCACTTTTCTCTGCCTCCACTCTAGCAGGCCAGTTGGGCTGTCATTGTGTCTTGCCTGGGCTACCACAGAGCTTCCTAACAGCTCTCTCTGCATACCCTGTCCTGCTCCTCCAATTCACTCTGCACATGACAGCTAGAATAGTCTTTTAAAACTCAAACCTGACTGTGTCACTTAGTATTTAAAATGTCTCAATTGCCTCCCGTTTCCCAAAGTAAACACTGAAGTCTTAACTTGCATTGCCTGGCCTCTGCGGGCTCCTCTAAGTTCATCACAGATCATGAAGCCCCTTGCCCTTGACATCCATGTTAGCCCATTCTGCTGATTTTTTTTTTTATGCTCACATGTGATATTTGTTGTTTCCTACTCCTGGAATATCCTTCCAACTCTCTTCATCTGACTTTTCCCCTAATTAATTTTTATTCATTATTTAGGCCCTAGTTTGTGTGATTTCCTCAAGGAAACTCTCTTTGACCACTGAAATAAGAAAACTTTCTCCCAGCAGCTATTTTTATAGTACCATCAACTTCTCAGTGAAACACTTATCACTGTCATAGTTTCACATTTATTTGTGTGACTGAACAATTCATGAATCAGGGATCCTGTCTACCTTAATTTTGTCTACTTGTGCACCCACTCTTTGGCCAATACTCACGGTTCAGTAAGTGGTTGCTAAAAGAATAAATGAATTGAAATAAAATGAAATAATCCATTTATCTTTGAAGAGTAATCCTGACTGGTAATAAGCAAGGGGAACTCAGGGTGATGGAAAGTCCTGTAGCTACTTAAGGTAAAGTTACACAGGTATATATGTAAAGTTTGAGTTGACTTACACTTTTGGCCAAAACAAAGTAACTGATATTGGTTGCAAACTGTTGTAAACAGAAAACTAGACAAAATTTATGACACTATTGAGATACTCGAAAAATACATATAACAATTCAGACATTAGAGAACAGGCAGGGAAGGTAAAAAATGAGATAAGCTCTACAATTGTCCCAATTTTCTGCCTAAGGATACTTTCTGGACGTGTGGAAGAAAACCCAAGGAGGGCATGGGAGGCTTGCTGAGCTTAGGAGACAGACATTAGAGTTTGAGAAAACTGAGGAAGCTATAATTTGTGCAGTGAAGTACTAGAGGAGAGCTTTAGAAATGTTCATAGGGGTCTCTTTAAGTCCAAAGCTAAGTACTAAGCTCTGCATGCATAAAGTGAAATTCCACATGGCTGGTCCACACACACACACACACACACACACACACACACACACACACACACACACGAAAAAATAAACCTACTGTGAAGGTATAAGCAAAATAATTTCCAGAGTTCACAAAGCATAGGATATATTAAGGTTATGCACCCAAAGTGGAGAGACCTGGAACATTCAGTAGAGACCCAGAAGTGTCACATCTTGGCATTAGGGCTAAACTAACTTTGAATTAAAGCTGCACTAGACCCACCCTAACAAAGTTTAAAAACATGCCTTGACAAGCTCAAACAGATCTGTAAGTAACGTATTGCCTGTTAAAACAAATGTCAAACACTGTAAAGGAAGACAACAAAATTGTAATATTATGATGTCCAGCATCCAATTAAAAATTGCTAGACCTTCTAGGACTAGGAAAATGTGACCCATGACCAGAAGAAAAATTAAGCAATATAAACAGGCTCAGACATAATAGAGATTAAGGAATTTGTAGACAAGGACTTTAAAACAGTTACTTAAAATATGCTTAAATAATAAAAATGTTACTGTAATGTGGGAAAAATCAAACTTCTAGAGATGAAAAACTTAATATCTGAAATGAAAAATTCACTGGCTGGGTTTAACAGCAAATTTAGTACTATAGAAGAAAAGATCTGTGATCTTGAAAACATATCAATAGGAACTATTCAAACTGAAGACAGCAAGCTGGAAAATAATAATAATAAAAAACAAGTCCCAGTGACTTGTGGGACAACATCAATGGTCTAACATATGTGTAATTGGAGTCCTAGGCAAAAAAAAGTGAGGGACAGTGGAGAACAGAAAAATTTGAAGAAATAGTGGGCAGAAATATTTGTGTACTTTATGTGAACTATACCTAAATAAAAATCAAAATACAATAAGTTGAAATGAATGCCACCCTGCTGTTTCTTCCTCTACTCTCTATGATTACACACATATCTCAGTTGGCTTGGACTACCTATCTCATTCTCTTTGCCTGACACACTCCTTCCCATCCTGCCAGCTCCAGCTCAAAATCACCCACTGCACAAAGTCTTCTCTAGATCCCACAGAAAGTCTGCCCCTCCCTTTACAAACACCTGGAGCAAACCAGGGCAGTTTATCTTCTTATATGTCGGTCTCCCTGATTAGACAGTCTGGACTTTGTGAGGCATCCTCCAGAGTCGGGACTATGATCAGTAAGTAATAGAGAGGTAGCAGATTGCATGGGAAGGAGAAAGTGGGAGGGATGTTGGGAATCCTGAGGACCAGGCACTATTGGCTCATCCACACCCAGGGACTTTTGTAGAGACTCATAGTTGGTAAAACACAGAGAGGCAGCCTAAAGAAGTATGGAACTTACCAAGCGTAATTGGGCTCTCATTAAAATGCAAATTTCCAGGTCCCATGCAGAACTACCTAATCAGATTTTCCAGGGAAAGATGAGAAGACTTGAGAGTGGGGAGGGCTGTGTGCTTCCTCTTCCTACCCTTCACCCCACCTTCTGTCCTTGCCCCAGAGAGAAGCTCTTCAGGGTTTCCTCTAGCTCTGAGGTCCTCAGTTCCTGGGGCCTCAGGGCCACCTTGAAAGTAAAGACCCATTTCTCCCCAAATTCATAAAACCAAGCCTGCTGGAGTAGCAACCAGCCAGGAGTAGATCCCCATGGGCCCATCAAGATGGAGCCTTCTCCCAAGTCCATACTCCTCCATGGAGCCTCTCCTGCTATGTCCAGGCCTTTCTGGGATCCTCTTAGGACTCTGGCTACAGGATCTCTTGCCTGCCTCACACATTCTTATGCTTCTGCTCCACTTCTGGTTTATTGGAGATACTCATACTATTTAAAAAATCTGGCTACATCTTTATACTTTTCTATTTCAATACTTGTTTTAATATTTCACCCATTGTTTCTCCTAACAGTGGAGCAGATTGGGTACCTCAAGGCTACTCTTGGAGTGCCATCTTAGCTAGAGGGTACCCTTCGGATTGTCAAGAAGCCTCCCCAGCTGAGTTCCACAGTCCTCACCATGGATCTGTTTCAGGAAGTGCAGCTCCCTGCCACCCTTTCTGCTGCAACATTGTTCATTTCCTAGCCTGCCCAGTGTGATCCCCTGACTTCTAGGAATCTGAACCAAGCTGAGGGTAGAGATAGGGAAGGGAGATAGAACCAGACAGGACCCCAAGCCTTGAGGAATTTTGTCTGTCTGTTAATTAGTCTAGGGTTTTGTTTTTTTTTTGTTTTTTGGCAAGGGGTCATTATTTCAACATCATGGGACACATGAGATTCCTGCCCCAGCAGGGATCTTCATCCTGGAGAGCCCCTTTTTCTGCCTTGCCCAGGAATCTGTGATTCCTCTGTTCACATCATGGTGAAGAAAACAGCTACGGAAAAGCTGTCTGTGCTGGAAGGACATTCAATCTTCATGGAAGCCCACCCAGTGGACTACCCTTCCTGCTCTGGAGGCCTCTAAAAGCCAATACTCTATGGATGCATGCCCAGCAGATGCCAAGTGGGTTCGTGTAACCTATAGCATTGAATTCTCCCAAGACCCTGAAAGATCAGTATTACTATCCCCACATCATACAGATGCAAAACTAAGGACTGGTCCACCAAGGGATGTGCCTAATGTCACAAACCAAATAAATGGCACAGCTGTGAATTTGACCTCAGCCTGTCTAACTCCAGGGCTTCCTACCAATCTCCAGCCACCTGACGCATTTTTCAAAGTCTTTAAAATAAAAGACCACTATATGTGACGTGTATCCTGGATTGGATCCTGGAACAGAAAAAAAAAATATTCATTTAAAAAGATGGCGAAATTCAAATAAATTCTGTAGTTTAGTGAATAGTAAGCTAGCAACATTGGTTCCTCAGCTGTGACCGACGTCTCACAGTCATGGAAGATGTTAGCATTAGGTGAAGCTGTTGAAGGGTGCATGGAAACTCAGTGGACTCTCTTCACATCTTTTCTGTGAAGCTACAATTATTCCAAAATTTAAAAAGAAGAAAGTAAAGCCAATCAGTCAAGGACATAAATCAAGAAAACATTCCAACCTTGGCCGAGGTCTCCAGGGATCAGGGAGATGACTGCTCTGTTCACAAGGTAAACAATCTCAGTGGTTTCTGCCCACGATGTGGAATCACTCAGTGTCAAAGTCCTCCCTCTTCCAGCTCTCTTTTGATCATTCTGAGTTCCCCCAGGAGTGAGTCTCAGCTTGATGCCAGCCCATCTTTACCACCATCTCAGACTTGCTGACTTTCCTTTCTAACAAGGGTGAGTAAACCACAGGCTGGGAGCCTGCAATCTGTGACAGTCTTGGTTGAATTTAATCACTGAATTAGTTTTGTTGTGTGCATTTTTACTTTCTACTTGTGGCAAGTTGTGCTAGTTTCTATGTATGACTGCAATATTAATTTTTCTATTTAAGCAAATTTTCTTTTCCTAACATGAATTGATTTAAGGATAGGCCTTGAGCAAATAACGTACAAAAGAGAGGGGAATTTAGTCCTAATCATGAAAATGGTTTGGGAGTAAATAAAATTTGAGAAACTGAGCGCTAATGGAGAGCTGGTTTCCCAAAGAGAAAGGGCACCTTGGCTTTGCACCCCTGTGGGAACACCTGAGCACTGATGTGGTGACTCAGTGGGGTAGGATACGTGTTCCTGGCTGGTTCTGAAGGGGAGACTAGAAAATGGGGAGGAAGCAGACCATGTGACCTCAGCTCTGCTTGAACAAGGTTCCTGTCTCTCCTGTCCATCCTGGCTTCTCCATCCCTGGAACACAGCCTGGCACACAGAAGATTCCCAGTAAGTATTTATTGACTAAACAAATGCAAGGGAGAATGACTATACATAAAACTTTCGAGCCAGTTCTATCATTTCCAATATGAACATCAAAGTATTGCCCAAAATAGAAGGGTCTTCTGGGGGCATCCAGGGCAACCTCATCATTGCACAAATGGGCAGTGGAAGCCCAACAGGAAGAAGGTATTTGCTCCAGCCACACAGTCAGTGTCTGGGAAAAGCAGGGCCAAGAACTAGGACTTCCCTTCTGTGATCATTCTTGCCAACACACCAGTCTGTCACTTCTGTTATGCGCCCACATGAATGACCTCAGCCCAGGCAGGCAGTGCTGCAGGCAGAGTGGGGGCAGACAGCAAACCAGACTCCTGGCACCCAGCCTATGCTGGAAGAGGTAGAAAGTCCCCTGCTCGGAGGCTGCACAGAGGTTTTCTGTATCGTGTAGGTCAAACTGGACCACACCAAGGCAGCCTGTCTCTCCTGGGCCTCTGACACTGGGCACCCTCATTCTTGGTTAGGGTGAATCCTTCCTTTATGCATCAAGTCCACCTTTGCTGTAGGGAAAAGAAAGAGAGATCAGACTGTTGCTGTGTCTATGTAGAAAGGGAAGACATAAGAAACTCCATTTTGACCTGTACCCTGAACAATTGCTTTGCCCTGAGATGCTGTTAATCTGTAACTTTGCCCCAGCCTTGAGCTCACAAAAACATGTGTTGTATGGAATCAAGGTTTAAGGGATCTAGGGCTGTGCAGGATGTGCCTTGTTAACAAAATGTTTACAGGCAGTGTGCTTGGTAAAAGTCATCGCCATTCTCCAGTCTCGATAAACCAGGGGCACAATGCACTGCAGAAAGCTGCAGGGACCTCTGCTCTGGAAAGCCAGGTATTGTCCAAGGTTTCTCCCCATGTGATAGCCTGAGATATGGCCTCATGGGATGGGAAAGACCTGACTGTCCCCCAGCCCAACACCCATGAAGGGTCTGTGCTGAGGAGGATTAGTAAAAGAGGAAGGCCTCTTGCAGTTGAGATAGAGGAAGGCCTGTTTCTCCTGCCCGCTCCTGGCAGGAGAAACTCGGTATAAAACTCGGTATAAAACTCAATTGTACATTTGTTCAATTCTAAGATAAGAGAAAAACTGCCCTGCGGTAGGAGGCGAGACATGTTGGCAGCAATGCTGCTTTATTATTCTTTACTCCACTGAGATGTTTGGTGGACAGAAACATAAATCTGGCCTACGTGCACATCCAGGCATAGTACCTTCCCTTGAACTTATTTGTGACACAGATTCCTTTGCTCACATGTTCTCTTGCTGACCTTCTCCCCACTATCGCCCTGCTCTCCTACTGCATTCCTCTTGCTGACATAGTGAAAATAGTAATCAATAAATACTGAGGGAACTCAGAGACCAGTGTCGGTGCAGGTCCTCCGTATGCTGAGCGCCGGTCCCCTGGGCCCACTTTTCTTTCTCTATATTTTCTCTCTGTGTCTTATTTCTTTTCTCAGTCTCTCATGCCACCTGACGAGAATTACCCACAAGTGTGGAGGGGCTGGCCCTCTTCATTTGCATGGGCATTTCCCAGGCTAAAGCCTCCAGAGGACTGTGCAGCAGAGATCTCAGAGAGGCGAACCATAAAACCCACTGTCTCAGCCTCCCGGGAGGCTGGCTGTGACCCCTGCCAGCGCCACTGGCACCGCTAGTCACCCTTACCCACTCCACTTAATGTCTCTTCTCTTCTCTCCTCTCCTTTCTTTTTTAACGGAGTCTTGTTCTGTCACCCAGGCTGGAGCGCAGTGGTGCCATCTTGGCTCACTGCAACCTCTGCCTCCTAGGTTCAAGTGATTCTCCTGCCTCAGCCTCCCAATTAGCTGGGATTACAGGTGCATGCCACCATGCCTGGCTAATTTCTGTATTTTTAGTAAAGACGGGGTTTCCCCATATTGGCCAGGCTGGTATGTCCTTATTTCTTGATCACACCTATTGTTAATTTCCTGCCTCTCCCGAGTAACACGAGACCTCTGCAAGGGCAAGGATCTTTCTATATTTTATTCACAAAACCCTAAAACCCCTCTTTGTCCCCGCATGGAGAGGACACTCAGTGAATATTTGTTGAATGGATGGATGAACTGATGGGATAAATAAAAGCCACAAGTGTTCGGGGGATTTGTATTTGCTCCTACCTCTGTGGCAGTCTAGCTGTGGGACCTTGTGCAATTGATGTGATCTTCCTAAGCCTCCGTTTTCTCATCAGTAAAATGGGATGGTCACACCAACCGGAAGGGTTGTGGGCCAGTGAGATGGGGAAAGCACTTGTGTCGTGTCAGGCTTTGATAGGCATCTAGGAAGTGTCGGTTATGTCAAAATCAAAATCCAGTCATTCATACACTCATTTATTCACAAGGTTGGTCAGCCCACAAATATGTGACCTGGGAAGGCTTCTGAGAAGGAGAAGGGGTGAACCCTCTCTGAAAGACTGAGTAACATGCTGGAAGGAAGTCGTGGGAGTGGGAGAGGATGAGGAGCAAGGAGAGCATCCAGGCAGGGTGGGAAGATGTAGGGAGGTGGCACACAGACCTACAAGAAGGAGCAGGCATGGTCACATCCTAGTGGGCAGGCCTGCGGGACTAAGGCATGTGACTCCCCTCCCAGAGGAGAGGGGAGCTTTGGAGGGGGCTGACCGTGTCTGGACAAGGATGATTAGCAGGGCAGTTTTTCTTTCCAGCAAATACGTGTTGGGTGTGTGCTCTGTGGCAGGTACCGGCCTGGGTATGGGGGATACAAGGACACAAGTCTGCAGGCAGAGGGACATAAAACACATGGGCTTTCCTGAGTCACTCTCAAACTGCACACCTGCTGAAGCCCGCCAGAGTTCTTCAATTAAAGACCAGCATCCCTCTGTGGCCCATGAGTTCCCACCTACCTCTTGGCCCCGCTCCCACCCCTTCTTGCTTACTGATCTCATTTCAGCTCCTCACCCGTGCCACTCCTGACCTCAGGACCTTTGCACATGCTGTTCTCGCTGCTTGGTGGGGCCTCCCTGGGCTCCCACCCTCATTTCTTCCTCTTTTTTTTTTCTTTTTCAAAATAGAATTTATTTGTGCAGTGAATAATACAAATGTGGCTATGAAAGCAGAACATGATATTTAAAAATATTTAAGGTATGCAACAGTCATTTTAAAAACAGAATTAGTTAAAAGGAAGATGAATAAAGAACTCGAGCTTATGCCTGATTTCTATTGGTATACTTAGAAATACCAATCAGTATTTAACATATTATTAACTATGCTGGAAAAAACACCTCTATATGCAGTTTTAATTCCTAACTACAGTTTAAAAACAGATGAGTTCCCAGCATTTGGAGCTCCTCCTAAATATTACATCCTGGGGAAGCCTTTCTTGGGCCCCCGGACTGGACGCGACCTGTGACATGCGACCCCCGGACTGGACACGACCCTTCTGTGACACCCTTTGCAAGCTCTGCGATGTCTCCTTCACTGTGCCCACTGCAGCTCATGACAAACATGTGTTTATTGGATTCATGGTGGCTTCCCTCACTGATTATTAACCCCAGGAAGGCAGAAACCGGTCTACATATATCAACAATGAGCTCAGAGATTGCAGCCCAGAAGTCATCATTTAATGGAGGACTGACTGCAGCCCACAGGGGGCTGGAGGGAACATTCAGACCCACCTGCCATCGCCATGCATGGATGTAAGGGTTTTGGAAGGCTGCTTGGAAGAGGCTGCTTGGGAGATGTTGGAAAGGTAGAGAAGAGTTCATAAAGAGGTCCTAGTGGCCTGGGTATTAAAGGGTGAGGAAGAGTTTGTTAGGCTGGAGGAGGGAATTCCCATTAGAGGAGATGGTAGAAGCACTGGAGGGGGCTGGTGGAGGACCGCAGCAGGGGCTCTCTACTGCATGCCCACGTGCCAGGCACAATGGCCATGCAAGCTCACGTGATCCTCAGAGGTAGATAGGTAGATAGAGGGTATTAGTCTCTAGCTTAGCCGCTGGAGGTAGATATTATGATCCTCTCTCAATAAATGAAGCGGCTAAGGCTCAGAAAGGTTTAGTGATATGCCCAGGTCACCTGGCCACTCGGTGGCTTTCCTGGCAGTGTCACTTCCCCAGTGTCATATGTTGCGCACCTGAGACCGTAGCTAAGGGTTTCTGTGTCTTTCTATACCCACCCCTCAGGCTGGGGCAGGGGAAATGATGTCGGCAAAGGGCTCGGCCGGGATTCCCAGCCTTTTTCCCACGTCTGTGTCCCTGTGCGGGGTCTCAACCTTCTCCCTCACCCCCACCCTCTCGAAAAGGGGCTGCGCACCCTGGGCTCCTGGGCTCAGCCCTCACCACCGTCCACTTGCCCTGCCCCTCCCCCATCACCCGCAGGCAGCCTTCTCCACCAGCCTTTGGGGACTCTTGCCTTCCTGCCCCAAACCAGAAGATGGGGCACTTGCTGCATGTGGCTAACCCTGAGGCCACGAGAAAGCCACGTCACCTCTCTGAGCCTCAGTTTCCATGTCTGTTATAGGGACGCCCACTCTGGCTGCTCTGAGAGCACCTGTGACCAGAACACAAAGGACACCATGAGCTGCAAACTGCTAAACACGCCCGGGAAATGATAAGTAGTGCCAGTCGAGGCTCCTCAGTGCCAAGCCAGCCAGTATCCTCTCCTCTCCAAACACCGAAAGCCCTGGGAATTCCCTGGAGGAGAGGAAGGAACCAGATGCCTGAAATGAGCTTGCCCCAGGCCGGGAAGCTGTGCGCGGCCCTGCGAGCACCTGGTGCCCTCTAGTGGCCACAGGCGGCCCTGCAGGGCCACATTTTCTGGGGAGGGCGCAGAGACCCCACTCACTCTTCAATTGAACTTGCTAACAGGTTTAAACTGCAGGATCTGCCTTTGACAACAAGATAAGGAGGGGACAGGGGAGGGAGGGTGCCAGGATGTTCTTTTTGTGCCAGAAATGGACAAAGCTGGCGGCTACTAATAGACTTCGTCCTTCTAATGCTGCCCGAGGGGCTGGACTGGCCCCGTCCCTGTTTCCCCATCCGCCTGGATTCCTGGCTGAGCCCAGAGCTCCCACGTGGACACTCTGGGGCGGATCATTGGCCAAGGACTCACAGAGTTGGGACCGACTTTGTTAAAGCACTGAACTAGCTTCCTTGGAGCCCCAAAGGGAGGGGCGGGACCTTCACTTCAGAAATAAGAAGACAGACTCAGAGAGGGTTTGTGGCTTTCCCAAAGATACCTCATTCCAGGATTTGAACCCCAGTCTCTCACTCGAGACCCCAGGTACTTGCTGTGGCCCATACCTTCCCCAAATTATCCACCAACAGCCAGTCAACCTGGGGCAGGGCTGTGGGGGAGAAACATTTGTTTACTAAATCACAGAGTCCCTCTGCCCGCTGGAGGGGAGAGGAGAATGCCACCAAGTGGGCGGGGGTGGGGCATTGCATCCCAGCATTTGAATGGGCAGGGAGGAAATGGGGCACAGGACTTCTAGAACTTGCAGTTTTGCTCATTCGGGCTGTCTAGGGAGGTGGTGACAGGGAGAGACTAAACTGAAATGTGCCTGTGACTTCCATCTCAGGAAGATGGAACATGTTCAACCCCAAGCCATGTTCGGGGTCTGTGGCAAGCAGGAATTCTCCTTTATTTTCCAATAGGGTTAACAATCTTTCCCAGGAAGAGCACGGAAGGTATTTTCTCGCTGTAAATCAGCAGCAGATAGGGTTTGTCTATCTTGACGACGAGTGGTGTCTCCATGGGCAGAGTCTGTGCTCCGGTGCCAGCGGCCCCTTCCGTACCCCTCTCATCCATCTTCAGCTCAGCCTTGTGCACAGCCTACGGAAGCCAAGGGCAAAGTCAAGGTCTGCCAAGCTCCTTGGCGACCACAGTGGGCCGGAGGCCCAGAGAGGATCAGAGAGGAAGACCACTTGGCCCAAGCCATCCAGCACAGCAGTAACTTGGTTTACTCCAGGGTTCCTGGCTCTTTCGCCATTAATGCTGGAGAATATTCGACAAGCAGATGCCGTGTGAAGGAAAAGATGGTGCAGGGGGAGCATCAGTTACGGGAGTCGGTGGGGGGAGAGATGGAGTGGGGTTTGCTTCTCTTTCTCATGGGTTACAGGGAAGCATCAACCATAGCCGTGGCAGAAAGGTCTACTGGGCTGTAGCTGGGTGAAAGTGAGGTGGTGGTACCCCCACCCTGAAGCCTCCAGCACCTCCTTTCATCCACCTGGTGGATGGTTAAGAGGGAGAAGGATTCTGGATTAGCTCTTTGAGATGACTTGCATCCCAAATCCACTCCAAAGGCATCAACGTCTGTAAACAGGTGATCAGTACTGGGAAACTAACGGGCATGTGTGAAATCCTGGCACATTTCTTGCTAGCCTACAAAATTCTCACAATTTTACTTGCAGAAAACAGGACAGTATCCTGTGTTACAATCACAGCTATCAGCAAACGTAACTACAGAAAGAAATGAGCCATTAAACTCAACAAGACCTTCAGAGCTGGTGTTAAATGTTTGTGGGAAGTCTGTGGCAGGAAAGCTCAAAAGTGAGAAAATTCTAGTAACTATGTTTCTTATGTCAACGTGAAAAATACAGTGGAATCTGTGCCATCTGATTCAGAGCAGCGGGCTCAGCTTGGCAAGCTGGATCCTTCCCAGACTGGCTTGAACCTCCCACTTTATCTCCACTAAGCACCCAATCCCCACCACCCACTACTCCATGATATCCAAAAACCCCCAGCCTTGGCCACACTGCTGCACCCATCCCCGCACCCATCTCTGCTTGTTGAAATCTTTCCCCTCCTTCAATGCCTTTTTAACCCCAAAGTAGGGTTGCCAGGTGAAATACAGGACATCCACTGAAATTTGAATTCAAGATAAACAATGAATATGTTTTAGTGTAAGTGTGTCCCGTGAAATATTCTGAACATACTGGCACTAAAAATATTATTCATCATTTATCTAAAATTCAAATTTAATTGGGTATCCTGTATGAAATCTGCTAAATCCGGTGACTCTACCTATATGGTGCTCTCTTCTTGCCCCAGACAGTCAGGTGCTCACCTTTGCCAGGGGCCACAGGCCCCTTTGCTTGGTCATCTCTTCCTATGCAGCATATGCTTATGCCAACTCATATGAAACATGTGGCCTTGGGCGCGGTGGCTCACGCCTGTAATCCCAGCACTTTGGGAGGCCAAGGTGGGTGGATGACCTGAGGTCAGGAGTTTGAGACCAGCCTGGCCAACATGGTGAAACCCTGTCTCTACTAAAAATACAAAAAAATTAGCCGGGCATGGTGGCGGGCGCCTGTAATCCCAGCTACTCGGGAGGCTGAGGCAGGAGAATTGCTTGAACCTGGGAGGTGGAGGTTGCAGTGAGCTGAGATCGCACCACTGTACTCCAGCCTGGGTGACAGTGCAAGACTCCTTCAAAAAACAAAATAAAAGAAAGAAAGGAAGGAAGGAAGGAAGAGAGAGAGAGAGAGAGAAAGAAAGAAAGAAAGAAAAAAAGAGAGAGAGAGACAGAGAAAGAAAAAGAAAGAAAGAGAGAAAGAGAGAGAGAAAGAGGAAAGAAAGAGAGAGAGAAAGAGAGAAAGAAAGAGAAAGAAAGAAAGAAAAGAAAGAAAGAAAGACGGATGTGGCCTTTGAGAGAGGGTCTGGGTTAGACCTAGACCAGTTCTAGGCCTGATAACTGTTCCAGGCCTTGATCAACGTTTGCTACATTGAATTGATTTCCAAAATAGCAGCAGTTTTAAAGACTGGAAGCATGAGGCTGGGGGAGGTTATGTGGTTTGCCCAGGATCACGGGGTTGGTAAGGGGCACAGCTGCATTCATGCCCGCCCCGACTGGTGGGTGGAGTCTCGGCTCTGACAGCCACTGTGACCCTGGCTCTGGCCCCGGCTGGGGGAAGGCCCCTGTGCTGCAGGGAGTGGAGTCCAGGCTAGGCAGGCTTACCTCGCCCACTTTCAGGCTGCGATGAGGGGCGATCTTGGTGAGATCACCATGTTCCTCAAAGATTTTGGAGACACCTATGTAGGAGAGAGTCTTCTTCAGGTCGAAGGTGCCCGTCATGTGGAGTCTGGGTACAGACACGTCTACGACCCTGGGGAATTGACACGACAAGGGTGAGTGGTCAAGTCCTGTTGTGTTGCAGGGCAAGCCTCAGGATACATGACCAATGAAACATGTGTCCTCCCAGCCCCAAAGGTCTCCAATCTCTCTCCATCCACAGAATGAGGAGGGGCTCCTTAACCCTGGGACCCTGGTTTCAAAACACCATAAGCTCTCTGAACCGTGTCCCTGCCTCCCAGCACACCTGCCCCAGAGCCCTCTACAGGGAGTGTTCTCAAGTCTCAAGTTCCCCCGTCTCAGAGCCCCTTCAGCCACAGTCACTGATGATGTCCACACTGTAGTCGCTGCCATGCCTGAGCCCTGAGCCCATCCTGACCCCAGAAGACCTGACACTGGAGGGAACAAGGCACCCAGAATCTGGAGGTAGACAGAACTGAGTTCAAATCCACTCTGCCTCTCATGAGCTCTGTGACCTTCCCTCTCTAAGTCACTTGTGTGAGAAGGAAAATGATCACCGTCGCTCCTGCGGGACACTAGGGGTGCTAAGGCAAATGCAGACAAGGCACTCAGCAGACAGTTGGTGCGTAGCAGGTGCCCATCCTCCTGCCCTCCAACTAGCAGCTTCACATCCTCTGTGGCTGAACCGCGATCAGCCTCCTGCCCGGAGCCTGGGGCCCAGGCTCTCCTGAGGTACCTGCAGACCCTGGATTCCCGTTCACCTGGCCTTGCACCCTATTTTCCCACCTACCCAAGGATCTCATTCCTGCCTATGTGTCCTCTCTCTCCTGCATCATCCTTAAACAGTGCCCCTTTGATCCTCCTCTGGAGGAGGCCTCATGCTAGAGTGACCCTATCCTCAAAAACTAACACCAAGAGATCTCTCTTGGCCCTGAATAGCCTCTCCAGCTTCCAGCTCATTTCTTTTCTTCCTTTTATAGCAGCTATCTCCACTCCCTCCCACAATTGCCTCAGTCCACTCCAGTCGGCTCTTTGACCTCAACTTTTTATGGAAGCAACTCTTTCCAGAGTCACCGTTGACAACCAGCCCCACGTCCCAGAGCCAGCTCTCAGTGAGCCGCACGTGATGGTAATCCCTTTCTCCAAGGTGAAGCATTCCAGGTCCACCCCTTGAGGCTTCTCCTCCTTCCCCACCACTCCTGCCCCTGTCGGGCTCCACCCCTCCCATCTCTACCGGTGACACTGCTGCTTCCAGGCTCAGACCTTGGTCCCCTTCTCTTTTCCACCTTCACTCCATCCCCATACATGTCATTCAGTCTCACAGCTTTGAATATCATCAACAGGCCCAACGACTCCCAAATTTACCTTTCCACTCATTCATTCACTCAACAAACATTTATTAAATCTCTACTGTATACCAGGTGCTGTTCTAGGTGCTGGAGATGCATCTATGAACAGAGCAGGCAAAGATCCCTGCCCCTGACTGTGTGTTCTAGCAGGGAAGACAGGTGATAGAATCAACACAACAAAAAGTACCACTTAAGCCTACATACATGTACTAGCGGTATGCAGAAGGCAGTAAGTGCTATGGAAAAAAATAAATAGATTGACTTGCAGGAATCGAGGATTGGTCCAAAGTTTGAGCAAACCTTGAGGCAGGCAAGAGAGTTAGACAAATTGGGGTTTTTTTTCCTGAATAAAATGGGGAGTCACTGTCGGGTTTTGAACAGAGGAGTGACATAGTCTTGCTTAGGATTTAAAAGGATCATTCTGTTGCCTCTGTTAAGAATATACTCTTGGTGGTGGTGGTGTGTGTAGTGGGGATGGGCAAAAATTGATGCTGGGAGACCATTTGGAAGCTAGTGTGGTAGTCACATGTTGGGAGCCACAGAGACGGCGGAAAGATACCAAATTCCAGATGTGGTTTGCTGTAGGCTAAAGGAGTTTCCTGACAGACTGAATGAGGCATTTGAGGGTGGTCAGGGTGACTCCAAGGTTTTTGGCTTGAGCAACTAAAAAGATGGAGTCACCACTGATTGAGATGGGCAGGCTTGGGGAGGTTCTCTGGGGACAGATCAGGAAGTCATTCTGGATGTGTTGACACTAAGCTCCAATTACACATCCTGGGGACATTCTGGGTAAACAGAAAGATCCACGACTCTGGAATTTGGGGGAGAACAGGGGCTGGGGATGGAAGCATGGCAGTCGTGGTAATAGAGATGGTGTTTAAAGCTCTTAGCCTGTGAGCTCACTCAGGGGTAAGTATAGACAGAAAAGAAGGCTGGGAACTGAGCCCTGAGACACTCACCTCTGAGACCTGGAGGAGGAGAGGGGTCTCCAGCAAAGGAGATTGAGGAGGGGAGAGGTGGGAGGTGATGTGAGAGTGGAGAGCTGGAAGCCAAATGAAGAGTGCCTTAAGGAGGTGGGGACAGAAACCAGCCGAAGAGCGAGGCCTGAGACTGACTGCACTCTGCAACACAGACACCCTTGGGACCCTGGGAAGGGAGCTTTCTGTGAGAAGTGGGTGCAGAAGCTGGACTGGAGTGGATTTAGGAGAGGATGAGAGGAACTAGGGGCTGTGAACAGAGGCAACTGCTTCATGGTATTCACCTGCAAAGGGGGAGTGACGAAATGGAGGAATAACTGGGGGAAAGCAGAGGTCAAGAGAAGCTTTTATGTTGGGAAAAATAATAGCATTGAGATTTCCTGCAGGCCAGCACAAGCCATACAGGCCTGCCTGCACAGAAGGCAGACACCTGCTTTGTCTTCTTGCATAGAAGCCACTTCTATGAGCTGTAAGTTTTCCCTGGCCCCCTGCGAGGTTTCATGATAGGAAAGATAAGGGCATCTTTGTATCTGATGGAAATGATTCAGAAGAGAGAAAAACATATGCTGATGTAGGAAAGTGAGGAGAGGATTTCTAGGGTGATGTTCCTGAGTAGCAGGGGGCCGTAGGTCCAGTGCGTAAATGAGGAGATCGGCTTTAGTTTGTGCCAACGTGGGAAGGCACTAAGTGCAGCTGTGCTGACAGGTGAGTGCATATACCAATATGTACGGAAATGTGTGGGGGGCACCCAGGCTGGGAGTGGACCCTCGACACTTCTGAACAGGACAATGGCTATTTCAAAGCCACCAGCAGTTTTCTGCTCCTAAAGGTGGACCCTGGGAAACAGAGCTTTTCCTCTGGGGAAATCAGAGCAGCACCTGGCCTCAAATTATGCAAATCCAAAGCAGGTGTCTGCCTCCTGCACAGAGGCCAGGTGGAAGTCATCCGAAGCCTAAATTCTGACATGTTCTACACACATGTAAGTTGGTGTGTGTCTGTTGACTTGGTTACTTCTTTTAGGGAAAAGGTGATTTTTCTGCTCAGTGTCTTCTAGGCCCTCCAGTCTGGAGAGGACTGCAGAAAGAATGCATAGGGATAGCCCGTCCACCTCTGCTCTCCCATAGCGGGCCACTGAGCTCTCTGGACTAGGCTTCCCACCTGTAGATCAAAGCAACTTGACCACTTATCTCCCAGAAATAATGAGCTCAGAAGGTAGGAATGTTTGTTCCTATCATGTTCTAATGAAATGTAATTCCCTGGGGACGGTGAGCAAGCCCCCTGTCCTGCAAGAGGATTTGGAGTTTCTTCTCGGGAAGGTGGACAATACCCTGTCTGTCATTCCAAGGCCAGAAGTGACTGGGTAGGCAAGACATCCCTGGGGTGAGAGGAACCTTCCTTTCTATGGCCCTCCTGGTGGGGAGGCCTGGCCTCAAGTCAAGGAGATGCGGAAAGCAGTCCCAGAGGGATGGGGGAGGCAGACCAGGCACTAGAAAAATGGAAGGAGGTGCCCTGGAAGAGATGCTGAGAGCAGCCTACACTTGGACTTCACAAGACGCCACTGAGAGCAGCCTGCACTTTACACCTGGACTCCACAAGACACCACTGAGAGCAGCCTACACTCTACACTTGGACTTCACGAGACGCCACTGAGAGCAGCTTACACTTGGACTTCACAAGACGCCGCTTCTGTGCGCTGTAAGTTATCCTGGGTCCCTGTGAGGAGCTTTGGTTCTGTTATTCCCAAACCTCCAGGAAGTCTGGCACTAGCCTACAGAAAATCTCAAAGGTTCTATTTCACTCTTGTGTAAAGGTGCAAAAGGAGATGAAGCCTGAAGCCAGAGAGATGGTGGCAGTGCCCAGGGAACATCTGTGTGGTTGGTGGTGGCCTGATGGTGGTCACAGCACCAGGGGCTGCAGAGGGCCTCAGTGAGGGGAATGTGAAGCCCCCAGTGTAGCACCTGAGCTGTAGCCCCATGGAGAAATTGTCAGACATGGCTTGGAGATAGGGGTGGAGTGCACTCAGGACAGTGAGTTCCAGCAAATCAACTGCAGAGTCTCAAGCCACTGTAATTTGAGTCCTACGGGAAATGTCATATTCTGGAGTCCATGTCTCACAAAGCCAGACTTCTGGATGAAGTGGGGTGGAAGACCTGGCATCCCTCCCATTTCTTACCTTCTCTTCATGTTCTACACCCCCCAGTTCCCTAGGGAGATCTCTCAAGACATCTCTGTGAACTCTAAAAATCTGTAGAGTGCAGGCTGAAACACGTCAGTCCCTTTGGGGATGTCCCCATGTTGAGACAACATGGGGGAACCCGTGGGTGGTAACTGAACTGAACTGATGTGACTCCTTTCACACGGAACATGGCTTGGAGGCATTGCAGAATGCATCTCTGATATCTAGAGTGAGCTGCAGGCTTGAGAAAGGAAAATTCTGGTTCTGAATGCTTTCAATAAAGTCACATTTATGGAAGGGGGGAGCTAAGTGACAGGGCATTCCAAGAGCGCTGCCATCCCTCGAGATCTGCACAGCCTCACCCGCCCCTCCCACTGGGAACATCTTCTGCAGTGGAAGAGCAGCCACCCTAGGGCTTCAACCTGAGGGTAAGAGGGTCAGATTTGCAGGACACCTGTCATTCAATAAACCAGAAGTTCAAAAGTTCTGCTGAGAACCTTGGAGCTCTGCCTCTTTAGACAATGGGAAGGAAAGAGGAATTTGCATTTGGATATGTTTTCTGTGGGGCAATGCTGTGCTAAGGCACATTTAATTCTCTCAAGAGTACTGTGGTGTTGGCGATATTATGGCCACACACCATAGATGAGAAGACCAGGTCTCAGCTAAAGGTTGTAACCTGGACCCCTCCTTTTGTTTCAGTGGCCAGACTCTGCCAACCCTTCCACCTCCCTGGTTCCCAGTGGGAAGGGCAGGTGAGACTATGCAGATCTCAAGGGATGGCAACGCTCTTGGGATGCTCTGCTACTTGGCTCCTCCATCCCAGTACCATGACTTAATTGGAAGCATTCGGAATCAGAATTTCCCTTTCTTTTTTTTTTTTTTTTTTTTTTGAGATGGAGTCTCGCTCTGTCGCCCAGGCTGGAGTGCAGTGGCGGGATCTCGGCTCACTGCAAGCTCCGCCTCCCGGGTTCATGCCATTCTCCTGCCTCAGCCTCCCAAGTAGCTGGGACTACAGGCGCCCGCCACTACGCCCGGCTAATTTTTTGTATTTTTAGTAGAGACAGGGTTTCACCGTTTTAGCCGGGATGGTCTCGATCTCCTGACCTCGTGATCCGCCCGCCTCGGCCTCCCAAAGTGCTGGGATTACAGGCGTGAGCCACCGCGCCCGGCCAGAATTTCCCTTTCTTAAGTCTGCAGCTCACTCTAGATATAAGAGATGCATTCTGGAATGCCTCCAAGACAGTGTTCTGCATGAAAAGAGTTGCATCAGTTCAGTTACCACCCATGGGTTACTAAGCTCAGTCCTAGCATCATCTGTACCTCTCTTGGTACCGTCCTTGGTGCCTGACAGGACGTTAGGTGTGGCAGAGGTTCTTAGTAAATACCTTTATGGAGATGCATGGGGAATGATGACAGGGACAAGGTGGAAGAGGGAAAGAGAACAGAGAAGAGGACATCTGACACCTGTCCAAGTGGAAACTGCCCACTCTGCTACATCCCCTTCACTGCTCTGGCTACTAGAGGCCACTAGCCCAGCCACTTTCAAGGCACTATGTATGTCCACGCTGACACTAAGTCCCCAAGACTTAAACCCAACACCAACTCTTACCTTTTCCCCCAAAATCTATCAGTAAGCAAGTGCCTGGGAGGAATTCTGTAGGCTTAGCATTAATCTAATATCAGTTTATGTTTTAAAAAGAAAAATATTTACTCTCTTTTATTCTTCAACTATTATTTGTATAACTTACTTTGGATACTTCATGGGTTTTGTTGTGACACCACAGTTGACAACATCATTCTACTCACAACTCACAGCTCTCTTTTACAGCCCGTGTTTGTCCTTGCAGTTTCCTTTGCTCCTCACCCTTTCATACAGACTGCCACTCACCCTTGAAGACTTGGCTCAAATGCTATCTCCTCTATGAAGTCCTCCCTGACCACCGCCCTCCAGTAAGACTCCATCTACTGCGCCCTCACAGTCTTGATGAATCTCCCTCAAAGAGCCAGGCACTTCACTCTATTCCTATGATTTGTTCCCCAGTCTAATTCTCACCATGATATAAGTTTATTATAGAGCCCAGAAGAGGACTTGGCCATGAGGTAAGAGCTCAGACAGCAGAAATAAGAGGGAAGACAAGAGAAGGAAAAAGCTGCGAGGGCTAGGCACCCACTTTACCTGCGTGACAGTAATGTTTTCCATCTGGAGAAAGTGTCCACCTGCAATCCCTTCTCCAAGTGCTTCAGCTTGCCCTCATCAGGAAGGATGAAGATGGCTGTGATATTTTTCTGGTAGGGTATTTCCAGGATGGTGCAAGAGAGCTTATCGTCATAGCCAACTTGGTATATGCCACTACGGAACATCATGGGCACCTTGACTGAACTGTTTTTCTCCAGAAAGAAATCTTCCTCTTTAGTTACATTTGGATCAAACTCATGTTTCCACCTGGCTTAGATTGAAGAAAGACAAACAGACATGTTATCCCAAGGGAAAAAAGGTGACTAAATCCAACTAACCAGTAGTCTCTCTCCACACAGATTCAGGGTGAAAGGGGATATTCCGGGATATCAGGGAAGTCCTTGCCCTCATGCCATGTCCTGGAGATTTCTGATGATATGGGCTCAGGTGCAATTATTAGTTCCCAAAGAAGCCAGGACTAGACTGCCAAATTAAGAGGGGAAAAGAAGACTACCATAAGCTCAGGTTCCCCTAAGCCTGAGAAAGCCCACTGATTATGTCCTAACAGAGGGGACTGCATTACAATTAATGAGGGCTAATTGAGTCTGATGTGAGTAGACTCTTCTTTAGCCATCAATCTGCCTGTGGATTTTGAGAACCCTCAATTTTTTATATTTAGTACCATGTTCCTGACACTCCAGCAGTGATTTTGTCTGGACTGATGGGTGTTGGCCTCTGATTCTCACCTATTTTGGCCAACCTGTTTGTGTACATGTGTTCTGTGTGGTGTTGGGGGATAAAGTTGAAATTGGAAACATTCTTCCATCTTTTTTTTCTGTCTCTCTCCATCAGATCTGGGAAATATATAAAGTCTGATAAGGAGAATTTATATAATACATACATAAGGAGACCCACCAAGTGATCACCATCACCATAATCAACACAATCACCATCTCAGGTGTCTGCTTAAAGTGCTGGAAAGCACACAGTGCTAGGGCCAGGAGAAATGTGTTCCAGTCCTGACTGTCAATGATGGGCTTTGTAACTTGGAGTAAGTCAGTTAATCTCACTCTGATTTTTTTTTCTCATCTAAGTGATGGGAACAAAATGTCATTCCAACCTCTATAACCAATGTTGTGTTAGGATAATCACCAATAATGAAAATGATAGACTTCATAAAGCTCATTTCACATACATTTTCACTTTAAATCTCAATAACTGTATGAGTTATGTATCATGGTAACCATTTTACAGATAGGAAAAGTGAGGTTTTGAGAGATAAATCACATATGAATTCAAGGTCACAGAGTAAACAAGTGGCCAACCCAGGTTTTTAACCCAAGTCTAGTGGTCATCCTATTCTTTCCACACCAACATGCCAAAAGCCTTACCTCGAAAGAAAATATAATTTGCAAGAAGCATCACAGTGCCGGGGTCTATATTCTCGATCAGGTTGTTAATTTTCCCATGGGTTTTTTGACTGATAAAGTCATTGATCTGCTTCTGAGCCATTTCCAAATTCTGAAAGTTGGTAAGGATGGTTTCGGCACTGTAAAAGTTCTTGGCATCTTCCAAAAACTTACGCTGTGGCTGCAGCCTCTGGTCAATGAACAGCGTGTTCCCAATGCTCAGTTTGAGGTCCTGGGTCTTCTGGGTCAGCTCGTGGATGATGTAATGGAAGCCCTCATGAAGATCTTTTTCTGGCATCTTTCTGAAGTTGAACCCCTGCTTGATCTCGTCCAGGGTGCTGTCCTGGGCACCCAGGCACAGCATGGAGAAAGCTGTAGAGATGCTCAAGGGGGATAGGAAGATGTTCCTGCCAGGGTTGTAAAAGGCCAGCTTCTTGAGCAGCTTAAAGCCTAAGTCCATGTTCTGCCTTGCAAGCTCCTTGGCTGCCATCCTTTGCTTCCATCCTTGGACCTCGCTCAAAGCTTTATAATTCCTTGGTGAGAAGCTCGGCTTTAGAAGACCTTTCACCGTGAGGAGAACAGCCAGAAAAATGGCCAGGCCTAGTGTGGGGTTCATTTTCCTTGAAGAATATCCTGTTGAGTAGTAGACCTGAGGTCAGCAGAAAAAAAGAACATGATAACCCCATTGCCTACATGTTACCCAGAGGAAGACCAGATGAAAGAAGAAATACAGTGACTATTATGTGTTGTACATAGCAGTTTATGAGTGCTTTGACCCCTTTATAGCATTTAAACTTTATAATCACCCTGGGGACTAGAAATGACTTCTACACTTTGTAAATAGGAGGACTGAATGTAGAAGACAACTCTTGTTTTTGTACCCTCTTTATGGAAACAGTGTCTCAATTCCTTTGAGGAACAGCTCTCCTTCCCTCCATTGGACCACAGTGAGGATACCCCGTAGTGTAGGCATATGGCCCAGACCTACCATCATAATACTTCATTCCTTTGCCACACTGGCTGGTTAAAGATGAGAGTGTGGACCAAAATCAGACCTCTCAGTGTCTTTCTAAGGGAATGCAAAACCCCCTAAGCTTTGGGGCAGCTAGCTTTGTGAAGTAGCCCTGGAGCTGAATGTGGCCATGGTTTCCACATGTAGAAGGAGAGGAGAGTGATAGAGGGAGGTGGAAAGACAGAAATGGACTGACACATCTGATGACATCTTTGGAGACCCTGGACTAACCTTTAACTCAGTTTGCTACCCACTTCCATGTTTCCAAGTTATGAAAGCCAATAAATTTCCCTTTTAGAGTTGGCTGGTTTGAGGTAAATTTTTCCCCTTCAGCCAAAAGAATTATGACTAATTTACAGAGATCAAGCTCTTTGTTTAAGCTCATATGTTCTCTAGGTGGTGGATACTCATTCCAGGAGGACTTAGATCTCCAGGAAACCTTCTTCCCTACACCCTTCCCAGGGAGGGAAGAGGATGGCACCATGGGAGAGGAACAGCCAGGTCTGCCTGGCTCTGGACTGCTGCTCCTTTCATCCACCTCTCAGCTTTGACATCTTCCAACGGCCACTGTGAGCTTCTGGGAGACAAGACTTTTAGCTACGTTTTCCCTTAATCTCCAGCCCTAATTCTGCAGAGAGATGCTAAAAGCATGTTGGCCTAAAAAGCTTATTGATTTCTCTGGTTGGACATACTACTGTCAGTGATGGTCACACCCATTTATATGTAAAACGAAGGCAGATTTCTTTGCTTGGTCATCTGTTATATCATTTAGTCTGCTTTCTTCCTGTAATTTATATCTTACATGTCTGTAATCTGTGGGTAATAGTCAGCCTGTCCACAGTAAAGGTTTTTCATGGTTGTCTTAGATTGGGTTCCCTAGAAGCAGAACCTGAGATGGGGATTTAGGTGCATGTTATGTATTGAGGCAGTTGTCTTCCCTGTAGGGAAGTGAGGGAAGTGGGATGGAAAAGGGAAGGAGCCAAGGTGACATCTAGCCTTGGCCTGGTCCACAGTGGGAGGGCTCTCCAGGCTGGCCTTTTGGATAGAATCGGTCAGTTGGTGGCTGTGATCTGTCCTCTGGATGCAGGTCATGGTGCATAACTGGGTCAGTTAGGTCTTATCAGCCAAGGACAATTTTCTGGAGAGGGGAGGGCAGTTGTGAGCTGTCAGCAGGCAACCCTCACAGCAGCACCAGCAAAAGGGAACTGGGTCAGCCACCAACGGGGTCTGCACAGCTAAACTCCCATGCCTGGCTCTTTCTGGTTGGCTGAATAAGCAGATGAATGAACACCAGGCAGGGCCTGTACCTAGGAGTGTCCCCAGTTCCCAGGTTCTTCATGTCCAAATCCTTCTACGCCAAGCACTGTGGATAGAGCCTTGATCACAACAAAGGTCTTCAAGGAGTTTGTAGTATAGTATTGGAAAATTCTAGTGAATACTGCTCATTGCTCCTTCAGCATCCATTCTCCCAGCTTCCCAATAGATCCTCTTCTTCTTTCTTCTCCTCTTCCCCTCCTCGCCTTCTTCTCCTCTTATCCTCTTCTCCTCATCTTCTCTTTCTTTTTCTTCTTTTCAATAATATACTCTTCTCTCAGGCAGCCCATGTGCCTCAGGGACACAAGCCCCTCCCAGCTCCAAGGGAGGGCCTGATTGGTGCAGGGGCATCTCAACTCTCCTGCTACTGGTTGGTTCAGGAGCCAGACCTAATCCAATCAGTGCAGGCGGGAATTTCTGCCCTGATCCTTGTTTAGGGAGGGGCATGTGGCTTAAGGGGTGCAATGAGGGAGGATTTCAAGACTGTTTGTTGGAATGTTGGGGTGCTGGCCTGTCTCTTTCCTGGGATGTCCTGGGCAGGAAGGCACGGCAGGCAGGGACTAACAGCAACTTTGCCCCGTGAGGGAAGTGACTCTAAGACAAAGCCATAGCACAAAGAGGATGCATCCAAGGGCTCTTAAGAGAAACCGGGGCTGGGTCCATGGAAAAAGCTGAACCCAGAGCCCACCTTGCCTCTGGACCCCCAGTGACGTTGAGTTACATGGTCACTTCCTTGAAGCCAAAAACATCCTCACAAATACGGGCAGATACATATTTTTTAAAACGCCAGGACTACTAAGTAGGCAGGAGTTCTGTGCTCTGCTCTCATGCCTTCGTAGCTGTGTGACATTCCAGAAAGCACTTCCCTCTCTGAACCTGGGTGCTCTCTAAGCACCTTCTACCCCCAAAAACCACTTCTTGGTAAAACTTAATAACAGCTGGTGATGAACAAGGGCTCTATGGGCTGCTGAAAACAGATTGTAGAAGAGAAATTAGTAAAATTCCCAAGAATGCTTCAGATAAACAAAAGAAAATAGGAAGGAGTCCATTTCAGGGTTTAGGGGGCTGCACTGTTTACAAAGGCTGCCTGGATTAAAAATAGAAGCTTCTGCTATTCAGAGTGGGCGCAAGTTCCCAGTGCCTAGGAGTGGAGAAGTTAAGACATGTCCCTTGAGCTGAGAAAACATTCTCAGCAGCGGTGAAACCAGCAGCCTGGCAGGAGCCTTGGAGGAGGCCGGGCAGGGCAGGGCTGGAGCAGGGAAGGAACCCACAGAAAGCACCATCCTGGGAACACTCTGTGGCACGCACAGCTTTACAGTGATGTTCAGTCACTGATCCCTAAACATTGTCAAGTTTCAGAAACAAGAACGGATTATGGAATTCCAGGTCTGGATAGCGGTCCTCCCCAACTTGTGTGTTTGTTAGGTGTTTTGATGCAAGTCTCTTCACCCTTCAGGCTTTCAGTATCTTCATCTATTAAATGAGGGGGAGGTGGTGATAATTTGGTTTCTTCCCCCATGAGATACTGCTGATCAGGTGGCACTGCCACCACCTCCCCGCCCCCCCACCCCCGCCCCAAGGGACACAGCCCACACCCTGGCCTGGTGGGGTCTCAGCACCCTCCCACCTCAGCATGCCTGTGTCACAGCAGTCTCCACCGGGCCTCCTGCCCTGGCTCCCTGAGTGCGAACATCTGGCCTTTCTCCCCCAAACAGCCAACACCAGCCCCATTCCGGGCCTTTCCATCTGTCATCACGGGCTTTAAACTGACCCAAATTTGTCAGTTGGGTTAGATGCCTGAGTAGGCTAATTTTTTAATTCCATCAATTAAAATAGCTGAGCAACTGGTTATTTCCCAATCAATTGATAGGTTGCTCTCCTGAGTTGAGCAATTGTTTGTTGGCTTTTAGTTTGGAATGTGTGTGTGTGTGTGTGTGTGTGTGTGTATCTGTGTGTGTTTGGCTGTGACTCAAAATAAATAAAGAGATAAAACTAAAACAAAACCAAGAAAAAAAAAAGAACAAGATAGAAACCGAACCCCATGGGGTACACATGGGACACATGAAGCTATAGTCAGTATTTCAATTCTCTGATCATCCTGCTCCCATGTTCCCTATTAATTTGGAAAAATAATTTCCTCCTCTTATGACTAGATAAAATAGTGCCTCACTGACCCGGAAGTCATTCATCCTAAAGACAGATCCAAACCAGATGGGAAGCGTCCGCACAGGTAGCATAGGCGGCTTAAGTCTACACGAGAAGGGGTTTCCCTGTGGGAGGGCACTGCTTCCACCTCCCACACCGTCCCGATCAGCCAACTGAAGCAACAGTGAGCTGTGACAGCAGACTCAACAATAATAATATTTCTAATTTTACAAAGCGCTTCCCCCGTTATCACCACAGTTTGAAGAAATGATACCTAAACAGGGATAACACACACAGGCTACAGAAGGTCTACTCAGTGCACAGTGGTTTGGAACCACAGTTTTCTTTAGAGAGAACTCCCCCTGCCCCCAGGCAGGTCACTCCTCTCCTGATAGTTGACCACCCTACCTCTCTTCCCTGGGATGAAACTGACTGGCTAGAAAGAGTTGATGTAATATCCTTCCTCAAGCCAATGAGACCAAAAAGTTTAGAATGCTTTGGACAAGTTCCCATGTCTTGAGAACCAACAGAGCGAGCTTCAGGCAACCAGTGTGTTGCCTCCTCATCGGGGAGATGCTTCCTACACTTGGCTGCATGCACCAGACACCCCTTCCTGCCCCAGAAACCCCTTCCTGCCCCAGGAACCCCAGGCCCTCTGAGATGCCACCTTTCCTCAGAACCTTTTCTGAGCGCCTCTTGGAATGTGCAGCACTTGGGTAAACCCGGTGCCCTTCTTTGGGCTGAGAAATCTGAGGAATCCTTGCTAAAGGTGTGCCTTGGCCTCCCAACAGAAGACCCTCACAAGAGCCCTGCACTTGAAGAGCCACTTCAGGCCTGCTCTGTGGCTCACCTGTTTTAAAGGACTGATATTGCTTTAAGAAGAAATCACTCTATATACATCAGAAATTAAATTATTATTTTTAAAAGCACATTTAGAACTAAGTGGTGGTAAGACATATCTTCTCTCCCCTGTTAGAAGTAAGAGAAGCCCCATAAACAAACTCTGATGACCACAGCAATATACTTTCTCCTCCTTTCTGGAAAACAAAGAGTGGAGAACATGTCCCCATTCCACTTGTTAATTTGCCCTGTAGATTTCTGCCTTCATTCCTTAAGAAATATGTTTGAGTCCTCACTCTGTGTCAGGCACTGGGGCACTAGAGCAATGCCCAGGAAATGGTCCATATTGATGCTGCAGACTGACTCTCAGCCCAACAAGCCCCACAGCCTTCTCCAAACCCTCAAGAACCTTCCAGCTGTTTGCCTGACCTGGTCCTCCTCCCCTTCCGTGACTGCATTCTAGGAGGAGGGGTATGTGGGTTGGAAAGGCTGAGAGATCATTGACTTCAGGACTATCTGTGCCATAAAGAGGGAAATGAGGCCCAGAGTGGACAAAGGAAGAGATTGTGGTTGCAGTGTGCATCAGTGGTGAAGGCAATTCTGCAGAAATGCATTGAACAGGCTGCTTCGCCTCACTTTCTCCATGAACCAGTGAGTTGATGGATCCAGCCTCTATCCTCAGAGAGAGATAAAGATTCACAAACAGCTCACACACAAGGATGACTGTGGCCAGCATCATGCAGCAGGGGTGGACCCAAATTGGAGGCACCACTTATGTCCCAAGACTTCTCCCATCCCCACATTCATGAAGCTTCTCTCTCTAGAAAAGCACTGGGCAGTAGACATCCATAACACTCTGCCAAAGATGTTCAACAAATTCTTCAAGAGGGGTTTACCTGGATTTTGGAGATCCTCTAGAATTTTCCTTTCATACACCCACCTGTGGACAGTGCTACATCCTCCCTCGATCTGAAGCAAGCTTCGTGTGGAATAGACAAGAAGCACCGGATCTTTTGGAAGGGAAGGTCTCATACTCACAGTACATTCAGAAGTCCACTGAGCCAGCCAAATGCATCTGCCTTTCTTGCTTTATTATTTATACTTCCATGGCCTCTTGGAAGAGTAAGGCCAATACAATGAGCTGGCGTGTATGGGCAGGTGATGGAGGCTTTGGAAGCAATGGCCACACCACCTCCCTGGGAGCTCTCCCTGTGGAGGCAGCGGCATGATATCGTACCGGCCACACCCACTGGGCTGTGGCTTCCCTAATGAAGTCCACTAGACACCTTTTGCAACGACTCTATTTCCCAGTTGCTCTCTGGGTATGGAAGCCAGAATAGTCTACAAGTAGATGAGCCTAGAGTCCTAATACTGAATATTCAACCCAAGTATCATCATTGCTGCCCATGGGAACAGGTTGATAACTGGGCTTCTTGGGGTCATTCCCATGTATCCCTCACCATTTTCTTTTGCTATTTTTTCATGTGTTCCAAATTAGCTTAGCTCACATGGAGTCCTTTGGGGAAAAAGTTCGAGGACAGACAAATAGACAACTAAATGCGTAGATTCCGTTAGGAAGAACAGGAATTAAAAATTCACCTCAAAGTTCATGATCATGGAAATTACAAATTGTTTTCCTATTGCACATTTGTTGTGCTGGAGTGGTGAGACTATGGTTGGGTTCTCTTGTGCTGGGGTGATGAGACTATGGCTGAACTCTGTTGTCTCTGCCTCCCCCTTACTTTTCTATATTTTCCAAATTGTCTTTAAAAAACAGATATTACTTTAGGATTAATTTTTCAAAGGCTTAAAATAAAATAAAATAAAATTCTTATCTTCAGTTTTACCACTTGGAGAGAGAAGCATTGAAGATGTCTGGGAACATTCCAAACCCACTGATGCTGGGATGGAAGAGCAATAAGCTCAACATGCCTATCTTCAATTCTGCTTAATCTAATGAGCTCCAGTGAGCAGAAAAAACATTCACATATTTCTTCCCCATTGAGTGGTGTTTCACAGTAGGTCGTATCTGATCGAAACACCTCGGAGGCCTCGGAAGAGCCATGGGTGTTGTTTTCCCTTCCTTTGGGTTGCTGCTTTTAGCAAAGACATGACTCTCATTCCCAGAGCTATTCAGAGCAGGTGACCCAGACAAACCTTCTTGGAAAGAGGAGACACTAGTTCATTCCCAGGCCTGGTTCAGCCACAGACTCTATGCACTCAGGGCCTAGATGAACAAGGACATGGGGATATGGGTTCCAGAGCTGCCCAGATCAGAAACCACCCCTGAAGATGCCCCTGAGCCACCACCTTCCCTCGCCCAGGCAGCAAGGCCTGCCTGCTGGGATGCATGGGTCAAAGACACCATGTGAACGGCGAGATGAGAGACTTCACACTGGCCGGCTCTGGTCACCAAGGGGTTGCAGAGGAGACAGAAGGACAGGCTGAGACCAAGGAGTACAGGTGGTCCTATTGTGACTGTAGAGGCTATAGTGGTGGAAGATCAGAGCCAGTGAGGTGGACACTGACCCAGAATCCAGGTCTGTACATCTGGTTTGGGAGGGAAAACCTGCCCTCTAATGACAGGGTGAGGCCTGTGTGAGTCTGAGGGCCATGCCTCCCTGCCTGCCCCAGACACTCTCTGCTCCAGGGTAAATTTCCACGGGAGACATGCAGGAAGAGGCCAGGGTAGGGATGCCCACTGAGCGACACGGGCAGCACTGGGGATGCCTGAGTTCAGACAGTGCCAGAGGCCAGTAGGCCATGGGCAGAGGGTAGCCACAGGTGGGCTGCCGGCCAGCCAGGCGCTACACCTGGGTTGGGAGTTGCCTGTCCTGCCTGGGGAAAAGAGCCCCGGAGGAGGTGCACGTCTGTGGAGAGCAGTGAAGGATATAGGCATGGGAGGGAGCAGCCCCCTTCACGTGCCCATTAAGGGACCTCAGCCTAGACTTGAGGCTGCCCCGACTGCCTGTAGTTAAGATTCAGGTCCCATGGATTTGTGCCTGGTGTTCATCAGGGGCTAGAAGGATGAAGGAGATTGTCCAGCCTGGGAAGATTATTGTTATAAGTTAATGGGCCTAAGGCACTGGTCGGAGGCTGAGGGGTGGCCTGAATATTTTTTACATTATTGCCATGTGTAGGGGTGAGAGGGGAGCTAGGAATTTCTGGTCCTCATCCTCACTCTTTGGATCTCCCAGATGGAAGAAACATGTTAGTGACCATGCCACACCCTAACTCCAAGAGCTCTGGTCTGATGGGAACACAGAACACAGAGATACAAGTCACACTAGGTAAGGGCCAAGGTAGAGGTAACTCTGGGAGGTGAGAACACACAAGAGGCACCTGATCCTAGCTGGGGTGCTCTGGACTGTGTCATAGATGGGGCACTCTTAAGCTGGGTTTTGAAGGATAAGTAGGTGTTCTCTAGGAGAAAACTGAGAGCAAGAGAAGTATATCAAGGATTTTGCATCCTGGAGAAAGTGAGTGAACAATCTAATGCCTCCAGAAATTGTATATGTGACTTTGGGCTTCTGGTTCTTTAATTGCAAAATGGGAATAACCTATTTCTAAAGCAGTTGTTTCCATCCTGGGAGTGCATTACAATCATCCAGGAGCTTTAGAAATACCTATTTTCAGAACATTCCTCTAGAGATTTTGAGTTAGTTGATGCAGGATAAATCCTGGGTGAGGGTGCCTTTAAGAACTTCTCTCCAGGGGATTTAATGAGTACTCAAGGTTGAGAATCCCACTCCAAAGCAAGTGATTCCCACCTGATGATTCCCAGGTCTTTTAAAGCATTCAGCCACCAGGTATCAAGATGGCTGTAAAGCCACAGTATTAAGGTATTGGAACAGAGACAGACAAGCTGACCAATGGAACAGACTAGAGAATCCAACAGAGCCACACAGGAAGTCACCTGATATGTGACAAGGGCATCGCTACAGTTCAAAGGAAAGGATGATCCTTTCAATGAATGATGAAAACAACAACAACAACAACAAAACACCAGTGGATGTCCATACAGGAAAAATATAAATAGTGACTATTTTACTCAACATACAAAAATTAATTTGAGAAGTCACAGACCTAAATGTGAAAGGTATTAGATTGGACTATATGAAACTATTGGTCTTTAATATTTTTTAACCTCAAAACCCACAAGAATCAAAATGATAAAGCTTCTAGAAGAAAATATATTAATAGTAGACAATCTTTGTGACCATGAGATAGGCAGAAAGTATTAACCATTTTTACAAAATGATAAATGGAACTTCATTAACATTAAGAGCCTTGTTCCTCTAAAATTACCTAGGACAGTACAAAGGCAAGTCACAAGCTGGGAGTGGTACGTGTAATGTCTGTGTCTGATAAAAGGCTCATGCCTGTTTTTAAGCACTTCTACAAATCGACTGAAAAAAGACAACAACTTAAAAACTAAGCAAAGACATGAACAAATACTTCACAAAAGAAGATATCCAAATGGCCAATAAGCAGCTGAAAAGGTGCTCGACATCATTAATCATCAGAAACATGCAAAACAAAACTACAAGAAGAACTCACTACACACCCACTAGAATAGCTCAGATTAAAAGGACCAGCCACACGAGGACGTGGAGCAAGTGGAACTCTCTTATATTGCGGGTGGGTGTGCAAACCGACACCAACGTGTTGATTGGAAAATTGCTTGGCAGGATCTATAAAAGGTAAACATATGCTTACCCTTTGACCCATTCATTGTACCTCAGGGTATATGCCCAACAGGAAATGAGTGCTTGTGGGTTTACCAAGACATGTACTGCAATGTCCATAGCAGCTTTATGTGATAGACCTAAAGTGGAAACAACCCAGATGTCCATTTATAGTAGAGAAGGGAGAGAGAGAAAGAGATTCCTGGCCACCATCCCAGATCATACTTTGCATTTCCCTGGGTGTCCCCACTCTTCTTTGGTTTCCACAGGATCCCCAGTTGATGCTTGTGACAGACAGCTATGGGAGCCAGTGACCAAGAGTGTGAAACACTGCAAAGCCCAAATCCCACTAGAACAAATTATACTGTACCTCCAAGCAATAAGGCAAAGACTGAGTAAATGCAATGTATTTTCAGTCATTGAATTCAACTCCAATTGGGGAGCTTAATCAATAAATGATTTAAAATTAATAATAATTGATTTTGAAAGAAAATATTTTTAAGCAATCTCCGGTAAGATCCTAGGTTACCCTAAAAAGCTTCTAGTACAAAATGTTGAAAATCTTTCCACACAAAAATCTAAACAAGTAAGAAATAAAAGGAGAGAAATAGAAAATTTAGAAAATTTTTTTTTAATGGGAAGCATTCTGTAAATAGTAAAAAATTCAAGATGGCATTTCAGAACATTCGAGAAAAGGTGAACAATTCCATAAATGCTATTAGGAAACAAACAAATCATTTCAAAAATAAAATTACAAGTGTTGGAATAAAACCTTTTCATAATGTTAGAGTGAAAAAGAACTTCCTAAGTGTGATACACAAGCCAGAAACCATGTAGGAAAAGATGGCATATATGGATATACCATCTTTTTGCAACGTGTTAAAACTCTACAGAATATGTAAAATTTGGAATCACAAATTGGAACATGTGTACAAGATAGAGAGCTAATGTTCTTAACAATTAAGAGTTCTTATATATATCAATAAGTAACCACATGTGTTTCTCAATCAGCAAAAAGTAAAAAATTTGGGTAAATATGCATTGAAACATTGTGGGTGGGGGCCAGCTTTGATTTTCCTCATCTTATTTTCTTCTTTGTCTTTGTCTCTGCAGAACAGGGTACTTCCATGCACATATTAGTAGATACGGTTATTCATAGACATTATGTATTTTTCATACCAACTTTGCAAGTTTGGGTGCTGCTAGACCCATTTTTACACATGAGAAATCTGAGTTTCCTATAGCTGCACAGTTAGCAGATTCAGGACTCAAAAATCAGGTCTTCTGGTTCTGAATCCCTTTTTCCATGGATAGCTTTCTGGTAGACCATAAATGAAAGCATGGCCACAGCATCTTGGCAGCCAGCACAGACCCATGGAACTCTTGGCCAGACTGGTGATCCAGCCCTAGGGCTAGGCATGAGAAGGACGCAGAATGTCTGTCTATTTGAGTGATCACCTTGGCCCTTGGTTGTCTTCTCTAAGACAGAGAAACAGACAACACACACACACACACACACACACACACACACACACACACACACACTGCCCCTTGGACTAACCTCACCTCCCCAGTTTCTCCTTTCCCCTCAGGTCAGTCTTCCTTGGCCTTCCCCAGTTGTTGCTGATCCCAGCCTCCTAGTCCTTTTTCGGTCCTGGTCCTGCAGCCTTCAGGTTCCAGGTATGTTCCTCTAGGCTCCCAGCCCCACAAGCCTTATCTACAAACTGGGTGGACTTCTGCCCAACGACCTACTAAGCCTGCCTCTGCCACCTCCACCCCTTTCCCAGGATCAGCCTGGCCAACTGGCCCTGCCAAGTGTCTCACTCAGAGAGCAATGCGTCTGGGAGTTCCCTTCCTCACCCCTTGGGAAAGATCAGGCCTACTTTTTCTCTCCCATCCCAAATAGCAAGGGGCACTGTGCTAGGTACACCCAAGGTGCTCTGTAGATTCACTGATGAGGGCCTGGCTTGCTAGGACCTGAGTGTTTGGCACCCAGTAAACCTCATAAAAGTGAGTGCACCAGAAACCAGAGTGACACACGCCATCCCCTCCCAGCTCCACAGCCCTGATCCCTGTGATCATCTTTGAGCAGAATCGTCCACCCCAGATTCCTTCCCTGGGACAGGACAGGAATGGGTGTGGGCACCCTGGCACTGCTATAGAATACCAGCCGCCTGGCACAGATGTTCACATGGCCCTCTCTCACCTCCCAGGTGCAGCCTGGGAGCAGGCAGCCCATCCATCCAACCCCACCCCACTCCCGAGCTCTGGGACGTCTCAGGGCCTGGGCCTGTGGTCTGGGTACCAGACATAGGTGACTCATAATGCACCTGGTGGCTGGAGAAGCCATCCCTTCCTCTGGTTCTCAGTGTACTCACCTGTACAATGGGCAATAGGAGACTGCATTGGATCTGTGGTTGCCTGAGAGAGCCAAACTATTGGAAGTCATGCTGTCAATCAATTTCACTTAAAATAATATAGACCCAAGTCCGTGCTAAATGTCATTCAAGCCAGATCTAGATGCTGGTAGAAGAGCAGAACAACAGAGGATATAAAAAAAGAGCATTTGCTCAACATTACTAACCATCAGGGAAATGTAAATGAAAACCACAATGAGATACCACCTTACTCTTACAAGATGGCCATAATTAAAAAGTAAAAAATAAAAATAAAAAAAATAGATGTTGGCATGAATGTGGTGAAAGGGAACACTTTTACACTGCTGGTGGGAATGTAAATTACTACAACCCCTATGGAAAACAGTATGGAGATTCCTTAAGGAACTAAAAGGAGAGCTACCATTTCATCCAGCAATCCCACTACTGGGTATCTACCCAGAGGAAAAGAAATCATTATATGAAAAAGACACATGCACACACATGTTGCGTAATTTCAAAGATATGGAACCAACCTAAGTGCCCATCAAACAATAAATCCATAAAGAAAATGTGGTATATACACACCATGGAATACCACTCAGCCATAAAAAGGAATGAAATAATGTCCTTTACAGCAATTTGGATGGAGGTGGAGGCCATTATTCTAACTAAAGTAACTCGGGAATGGAAAACCAAATATTGCATGTTCTTGCCCATAAGTGGGAGCTAAGCTGTGAGCACAGGTATAAGAATGATATAATGGACTTTGGGGACTCAGGGAAGAAGGTTGGGAGGGGGTGGTGAGGTATAAAAAACTACATATTGGGTACAGTGTACACTGTTCAGGTGATGGGTGCACTAAAACTCAGAAATCACCGCTAAATAACTTAATCCAAGTAACCAAAAACCACCTGTACCCCAAAAACTCTTGAAATTTAAAAAGAGCATTTCAGAAAAATATTTATGGAAGGAAAATCGCAAACTGCAAAAAAGCCCATAATTTAATGTTTTTCTGCATTTTCAGGTAGCCCACCAATTTGATTTCAGCAGCATGTGTACTTCTGTGCACACCTCATGTACACACACACACACACACATATATATATACACACACACATTTAATTCTTACAAGTCTGTGAGGGACCATTGTCACACTATACAGATGAGAAAGCTGAGGTTTGGGATAGTGAGTCATCTGTCAAATGTCACACGGTTATTTAATGGATGTGCAGCTTCATAAGAATTTCTTAATATAAAAGCAGAAAAAAAATATGTGGATACAACTAGTGCAGAAACTTTGGGAGAAATCAAGGAAATTCTGGAACTGTCTGCATGCCTCACATAAGGCTGCGGCTGTTAAATGCTGGCTCCTGGGATGGCTCACTCTAGTATTTGTCGGGTTGGTTCGTGCAGCCCAGAACAGGAACCGACACCACCTTCAGTTTTCCATCTCTGAGCCATTCGACTTCTCCTTTGGAAGGTGTCCCACCCACCTCTCTCACCTGCCTTTCCCTCATCCTCCTTTCCTGCTTCCTTCCAAAGAGGCAGAACTTGAGTTGAAAAGCAGATTGAATGTCTATAATGTACCAGGCAGCAAGCCAGGTGTGGGGGAGAGAGAAATAACACAAGTCCTCATAAGCTCACAGACCAGGGAAGGGACAGACACTGGGGGGTCACGCCTGTACTCCTAGCACTTTGGGAGGCCAAGGCAGGTGGATTGCTTGAGGTCAGGAGTTTGAGACCAGCCTGGCCAATATGGTAAAACCCCATCTCTATTAAAAATACAAAAATTAGCTGGGAGTGGTGTCTCGCACCAGTGGTCCCAGCTACTCGGGAGGCTGAGGCATGAGAATTGCTTGAGCCCAGGAGGCAGAGGTTGCAGTGAGCTGAGATTGCACCACTGCACTTCAGCCTGGGTGACAGTGATACTCCATCTCAAAAACAAAACAAAACAAAACAAGAGTTCTGTGGAGGGGTGAGTTCAACACCACTTGCACCCACGAGAGGCAGATATTGAATCAAATCAAGGCCTCCAAACAAAAAAAGCCGCAGCTCCATCCCCCACCCACTCACGTGTCCCCTCTCAGGGGGCATTGTGACATTGAGGCGGAGCACAGGTCCTACAGCCACAGCAAGCTGGGCCACCTCACCCAGGTCACCTCACTTCTCTGTGCCTCAGTATTTCCATCTGCCCAATGGGACTACTGAAGTACCTGCTTTGTTCATTTCATCAGATTGTTAGCAGTGCTATCAAATGCAAAGGCCCATGTGGAGAGGATCAATTAAAACTAATTAGTAGTAATCATAGCAATAGTTATAATAGTTGTTAATAAAATAGTAATTAATTACTATTAATGGGCATTACTAATGATAAACATGATGACAGGGAGCTGATTCTGTTCATCCAAGTCACACTCTGCTCACCATTCTCATCCTCCAGCATCAAGAGTGAGGGTGTTGTGTGCCTAACACTGCTGGAGCCCAGGAGGACAATTCTTGCCTCTCAAATGAAACATGTGTTATCAAGAATGGATCAGACAGCAAAAATCAAATGTTAAGGATGGCTGAGATCCTTGAAATTCAGGAGGAATTTGGATGGGTAGTCAGTAGTTACCCAAATAGGGTTATCTGTTCACATCTAACTACTGACTATTTTGTGTGCTATTATATAGTTAAGGATGGGAAAAGCTCATTTCTGAGCTTTCAGAAATTTGGGAAAACAGAGTGGTTGTCTACTTAAGACCAAGGAAAGGGCCAAGTCACAGAGAAGACGTAGTGAAGAAATACGCAAGCCCACACATCTATTCTCCAAGAATGTTCCACACATTCCCCAGTGGGTTCTATTACCAGCTCAAGCCACTAGCATAAGAATGAGGAGTGATACCGAGGGTAGCTCTGGAAGCAGCCATCCCACGGCTCACCATGCAGGTGGAAGAAGGGAAGTTTCCCTTCAGTCATCCAGGTTTTCAGTTTTCCTTCCAGGATAAGCGAAAGCAGGCTGATAGAAACCAAGTGTGGGCTGGTAAGCAGGTCACCCTTATCTGCAAGGGCATACTCTGAGTTGCCACGGCTTGTTTGCTGATACCAGACAGTCCTCTTACAGAGAACTGCCTTTATAATCCAAGACAAAATGAAGGACAATTACTTTCAGAGAGAGAATACAAAGATGCAAATGGCTGATATCAGATATCTCTAAGCAGTACAAACCAAGAAACAGTAGAGACTCAAGAATCTGAAGCAGAGCGGGAGGACCTGAGAGCGGGAAAAGACTATAGAGAATTCTATGTAGAGACAGAAAATCTGGATTCAGGCTCCATGGCTGCTGTTTCCCAGCCGTGCAACCCTCCTCAAGTTACTTCATCTTTCAGGATCTTGATTTCCTCACCCATAAAACTGAGGAAATGTTTGAGAAATCCATTGGGAGGATAAATTAAAGTAGTGACTGTAAAAGGTGTGGTGTAAACCATAACCGCCCATGCACAGGCTGCTCTGTGACTTCGGAATTTTGCAGGGGTCCCCAAGGGCTGGACCAATGGCTTTCATTTTCCTCCACTCTGGGATGAATTTTTAAAAAATTACTGGGTGCTCAGCTTGAAATCTGCGGTGTTGGGATGAAAACCTAAACACCATACAACTGCTATTGTCTTCCAGTGGTGTTTCCAAATGCCAGAATAACCTGACCAGTGGGACTTCAGCCAATCAGCCCCTCTGCATCACTTCCCAAGACCAAAAATGCTTTCCCTCCTTGGATGAACAGCCTGGAGGTTGCTCCAGTGGCTCCCTGGGGACCTCACAGTCCGAGAAGGGGTATGGGTTTGAGAAGGGCAGCATGGTGCGGGCCTAGACTCCCAAGGCCACCCCACATCTCAGCACATCTATGTCTTAACCTACTCACCTGTGAAATTAGGGCAATCATACCTCCCCACTGTCGAGAGGCTGAGATAATTCGTGCAAAGCCCTGGGACAGTGCCTGGACTGTGCCGCTTAGGTACTCCATGGCGGCTGACTTGTTGTTTTATTATTATCAATCACTATTATTCTTATCCTCATATAACTTTAATTATTATTTTGTGATGGCACTGATGACAGAGACGGTTGTTTTTGGCAGCAACCCAAAGGGCCACCAGTGTGTCCACACCCACCCCCTCCCAGCCACAGCTATCTCCCACCTGGCACATGCTGACAGCCTTGGGCATGCCAGGCCAGATGGGACTCGTGTGCTGCAGGCACGTGACAGAGCTGGACGCCACAGCTACTGGTGGGCACTCTCTGCCAGCCCCTGGTGGCTGTGACTCACCTAGTTATGGCTGGTGGAGGTGGGAGAACAACCTTAGAACTCAATGCAAGAAGTGGGCAAACTGAGCAGGGCTGGGGTCGGGTGGGGACCTGGGTGGGCCCTTCGAGGTGGCTCTAAAGGGCTTGCTTTGGGCATTGGGGGTGGGGTGCAATTGGGTCCATGTAGGTGTCCGGCAGTTGGGGCCGGATGCTCTCTGAGCCAGTGGGTCTATTCCAGGGACTTGGTCTGGGCCATGTCCCAGATCTAAGGACTCAGAGGAAGTGCAGGGCCAGGGAATTCTGAGGTGGTGGCAGTTGGTGGCCAGAGGTAGGCAGGTGGTGGGGCTTTGAGTCTGTAGTTATTTGACTCAGGGCTTCTGCAGCCACTGGTCGGAGTGCAGTTCAGCAGGGGAGAGTGTGGAGGTGGGCAAGGATTAGGCTGGATGTCAAGACAGGATTGCAGCCCAGTGGGAGAACAGGCAATGAATCAGGGCCCCGAGGCAGAGGCCAACTTCCACGGACTGAGGAAACCCACGGTGGCCGGAGAAATGGTGCTGTCTGGCCAGAAAAGAAGGCCAAAGCCACCAGCCACACACCTGCTGCTGGGCCTGACTCAGTGGCTGAGTTGGACACCTGGGTCAGGGTGTGCTAGGCCTGGAGTGATGGTCCCCAAGGGCCAGCACGGCCACGGTTACCAATGTTGGCCTGAAGGTGACATGCCTGGGGGATCCTGAAACTATGCGACGTGTTTCTGTGGGAGAGGCTGATGATTGGGAGTGACAAGCCATAGACTGAAAGAGAAGCAGAATCACAAGGGGTTGCTGCTTGGTGAGAATTTAAGAGTCAGAGTGTCAGGAAGACCTAGGGCTGTCTGGGTGGTCCGGGAAGGCTTCCTGGAGAAGGTGGCCATAAAACGGGAGGAACCCGGAGTTTCTACATCACCCTCCCCTGCAAGAGGCAATCAAATTCACCTGTGTCATCCCCTCCCCCAACCCCCATATCTAGAGGCAGTGAAGGAGCAGGGAGCCACCCACTCAGCATCTCCGTGGACGGGGAGGCCTGCCCTACAGAGCCTCGCTCATGTTCCCATATCCCAGGGTCTGTGCCTGCACAGACAGCAAATGCTGCTCCACTTGGGCCCTGCTCCAGGAGCTGGGGACGGCAGGGACAGCCAGGTTCTGTGCTCAAGGAGCTGATACTCAAACGGCCAAAATCCAGCAGTGCAGATGCAGGCAAGCAGTGCAGATGCGGGCAAACAGTGCAGATGCGGGCAAACAGTGCAGATGCGGGCAAGCAGTGCAGATGTGGGTCATTTCAGGGCAGGGAAATGCTGTGGATTTTGAGTTGAGCAGACCGGGTTTGAACACCAGCTCTGCTCCCAGTTACCTCATTCCTAGAAAGCTATTGCACCTCCCGAAGACTCTTTTTACTCGTCTGCTGAATTTGGATAAAACCATCCACTTCCTGGGATATTTGGAAAGAAAAGAGAGGAACCCAGCCCCACAGAGTTTTGCAAGTGGGGAATGTACCAGCCCGCAGCATCCAAGGTGGCGCCGAGAGAGTGGGGTTCAGGGAGGCCTCGGATGGGAGCCTTGGCATGATGCCGCCAGAACTTTCCATCTGCCCTTGCCTTTGCTCCAATGTGTGTGCTGGCTCTGTTCTTGCTCTCTCTGCAAGCTGGCTTCCTCCACATGAGCTGGGCTTCCACCAGGGCAGCAACACTGCAAAGAGTGATATGAGATAGAGGTTACTGCAGGGATTAGGTCTCCCAGTGGTGGGAGCTGGGGAGAAGTCTGTGGAAGGCTGTCATCCTGGGTCTGGTGGTCAGCCCAGAACCTCTGCAGGTCAGCCAGGTGGGGAGGGAGAAGAAAACCTGGGTATGAGTTGGGGCAGAATGAGGCCTGGTCAAAGCTTAAAGGACAGACCAGAACCCACATCTGTCACTCCAGCCTGGCTGACACAGTGACTCGAGGAAGGGGCCGGTGTTCCTCACCTGACCTGAGACCTGGAGAACTGAAGGAGGAGGCCTGGTGAGGGCTGGAAGAGCCCTTGGCACAGATGCTGTTCACAAACACCAGGTGCACCAGCAGGTGAAGGGGGGCAGCGCCTAGCACCCCACACCAACCTCAGAGTGTTCCTGCTTAACTTCTGCCTTCCAAACCAGAAATACCTTTCTCTCGTAGCCAACTCTTACCTGGAACCACAGAGGGTGAGAATTCGTCACTACACTGACACACCTGGCTGGAACTATCACCCCCAACATCTTCCAAAGCTTATACCTTACAGTTTCTGTCCCCAAGACCTATTGCCTTTGCACTCTCTGACCCCAGGTCCTAATTCCAAGGCTCAGACCATCCAAACCTGGTTCAGGTGCCCCTGTTTGGGTCAAACACTTCTGAACACAGGGGTCAGGGTAGAACAGGTGATGAAATGACAGCTCCCACAGGCAGGCACCTAGGGAGGGGCAGTTTCTATAGGAAGGGCAGGAAGGAAAAACTGCATGTGTCACCGCAGCTATTGCACACACACACACATTAAAATAGTAAAATAGGGATACCAAGGGGGAGGAAAAAGCCTCGGGGGAAAAGCAGTGAACTTGCTGACCATAAATGTGAACGAAACTGCCCTTTGGGGGCACAGCACATGGCTCTCTGCGTCCCAGCAGCCAAGGACCACACGTAGTTCCACAGCTCTCAGCATAAATGTGTGTGAGTGTCACTTCCTCACTCTATCACAGGCATCAGACAGTGGGACCATGTGTAGCACAGCCTTGCACCCAGGCAGTGCCTGTCGCAGCAGGGAGCACAGTGGAGGGTTTCAAATGTGTGTTTTGGGGGCTTTTTGCCAGCAGCGTCTTCTCGCTACTCACCTCTGTCTCCCAAAGCAAGCATGGCGGCTTTCCTGGGTTCTTCCCTACAAGAGGTACCTCCTAGATTTCTGGTTAGCTCCCTCTATAACTTCACTCACCTTATTCATTTACAAACGCGGGTTTGGCACCGACTGTGCACCAGCATGGTGTCTTCCCTGTAGGGCCGATGAGTCAGAGGGAGTGATACTGATCACCATCGTCCCAGTGTGTCTACGGATCTGGACGCTTGACACCTGGGGATGCCTGCATCCCATATTTTCCCATATGTTGGGCTGATATTTTTAAAAAACCTCTCCCCACATCCCCAGTACTGGAAGCTTTTGCTCTTTTTTTCTCCTGGGGATGAGTGATTTCCCAACTTAAGAAGAAGGCCCAGCGCCTGGGACTGTGGGTTCTGTTCTGGAGTAGAGCCTGCTCGGTTTCAGATGAAGAAACTGGTTTCTTGTGCTGCTGTTTTGCTTCTTGCCATGTTCAGTCCCCTCAGATGCCAGCCAGACATCCGGCAGGGGGCTGGTGAGGACTCTCTGCCAGGCACCTGGGAGTCTCCCTAATTATCCAGTGATCCTCCCAGCTTGTGACACCTCCAGTCTCCCAGAGATAGTTCAGGCTGAAAGGCTGCATTGGAATGTGTGGGGAAGAAATGGCCCTTTGAATGTGTTCAAAGCCTCCGTGGCCCCTGGCTGGGGAAAGCCAAGGGCAGTTGTGCTCAGCAAACTTCCTGGGGAGCCTGTGGTTTTCTCACGGGGAAATGGGAAAATACTGGCAAGAGAGAACTTTGTCATTGTTCCCTGCATTTAAGCAGGAGGGAAAAGAAAAGAACATGAAAGCATGTCCCTGGCAAGCACATCAAATTAAATGTCAAAAATATCCCAATGCTCATAATTCACCAGCGGCCGATGTCTGAAGTTACAGCTTCAGGCATTTATCACAGACAGCACTTTGAAAGGGAAAAGTCACAAGTTTTGATGTCAGAGCAGCTTGGCTTTGAATCCTGGCTATATTCCTGATTAGCTGGATGTGTCTGGATAGTATGTTTAACCTCTTCACACTTCAGTTTTTTCTGTGAAATGGACTTCGCACACCCCACAGGAGACCACCATGAAGAATGTGAACATCGAGTTAGGGCTTAGAAGCCTTATTTGCTAATAATACCAAAATGGACATTCTAGGTTTATAGTGAGGGTTAATGAGATTATTTAAACAGATTTTTGTGGTTTTGTTCTTAACTATATCCCTTGAACCTTGAACCTTGCACATAAAAGGCACTCAATAAATACCTGTTGAATAAATTAACAAATAAACATATGAATGAAGAGGTGTTATTTCCCTCTCTAAACTCCTTTGCCTGTGACAGAAAATTCAAGTTTGTTAAATAGCAACAGTGAAAAAATGTTGGGATTGTAATGGAACGTCTACCACTCACCTGTTCAGCCTCTCTTACCTTTGCATTAGGGAAGGGCTCATTCTTAGCCTTTTCCACCCCAAACAAGCCCTTCTTGTCTTTACACACTGTGGACCTTGGGTTTGTAATACCTGCTTCTTGTCCATCTGGGAAATTCTGACCCAGCTTCAAAGTTTAGTTTACAAGTCACTTTCTCCATGAGGAGAGGGTGATGGTGCCAGCAGTGGTGGTAATATTAGTTCTGGTGGTGAAGGTGGTGGTGGTGGTGAGAGTGGTGGTGGTTGTAATGGTGATATTAGTTCTGGTGGTGATGGTGGTGGTGGTAGTGGTGAGAGTGGTGATAGTTGCAATGATGATAATAGTTCTGGTGGTGATGGTGGTGCTGGTGTTGGTGGTGGTAATGAAGGTGGTGGTGATGGTGCTGCTCGTGGTGGTGATGGTGGAAATAATAGTTGTGATGGTGATGGTGGTGGTGAGAGTGGTGGTGGAGGTGGTGATGATGGTGATGATGGCACTGTGGTGGTGATGAAGGTGGTGGTGGTGATGGAAGTAGTAGTTGTGGTGATGGTGATGTTGGTGGAGGTGGTGGTGGTGGTGATGGTGTTGGCGGGGGTGGTGGTGCTGGTAATAATGGAGGTGGTGGTGGTTATGGTGATGATGGAGCTGGAGGTGGTGATGCAGGTGATGATAGTTGAGGCTGGTGGTGATAGTTGCCATAGTGATGGTGGTGTTGATGGAGGTGGTGGTGATGGTAGTGGTGGTGGTAACGGTGGTGATAATAATTGGGGAGGTGATGGTGGTGGTAGTAGTGGTGACGGTGGTGATTATAGTTATGGTGGTTACAGTGGGTGATGGAGAGGATGGTGGTGGTGGTGATGGAGGTAGTGGTGGTGACAGTGGTGATAATATTTGTGGTGGTGATGGAGGTGGTGGTGATGGTGGTGGTGCTGGTGATGGTGTTGATGGAGCTGGAGGTGGGGATGATGGAGATGATGGTGGTGATGGAGATGGTGGTGGTGATGGTGATGATAATAGTTGTGATGGTGGTGGTGATGGTAGTGATGGAGGTGGTGGTGGTGATGGTGATGATAATAGTTGTGGTGATGGAGGTGGTGATGGAGGTGGTGGTGATGGTGGTGATGGAGATGGTGGTGGTGATGGTGATGATAATAGTTGTGGTGATGGAGGTGGTGATGGTGGTGACGGAGGTGGTGGTGATGGTGGTGGTGGTGATGGTATTGATAATAACTGGGGCGGTGGTAGTCATGGTGGTGATTATAGTTATGGTGATGACAGTGGTGGCGATGGAGAGGCTGGTGATGGTGGTGCTGGTGATGGTGATGACAGAGCTGGTGGTGGTGACAGTGGTGATAATAGTTGTGGTGGTGATGGAGGTAGTGGTTATGGAGGTGGTGGTGATGGTGGTGGTGGTGATGGTGTTAATAATAACTGGGGCAGTGGTAGTGATGGTGGTAATTATAGTTATGGTGATGACAGTGGTGGTGATGGAGAGGCTGGTGATGGTGGTGCTGGTGATGGTGATGATGGAGGCAGTGGTGGTGACAGTGGTGATAATAGTTGTGGTGGTGATGGAGTTGATGGTGGTGGTGGTTGTGATGATGGTGCAGTCACTGAACAAATCTTTACCCTAATAATATTAAATAATTATTCATAATTAATAATTAAGTAATTATTAAATTATTTCTTTTTTGAACCATAGTTTTCATGTGGCCCCAAAGAGAAAGTTCTTTATTGTATTCTCTTTCATCTTCTGAAAATTCAAACACATTTTAACCTTCAGGACTTCCAGTTTTGAACTCTTCTTGGTCGTCTATTCTATTCCTGAGTGAGAAAAAAGGCTTTGAAGGTCGCCTTTGATAGAGAAAGATACAGCAGGAGGAGATAACAGGTCATTCCGACAGTGAGACAGGGAATAGAAAATTGCTCTAGATGGCTGCTCTAGATGGAATCTCCTCTCTTGGCCTGCCACTGCCATTCATTAATTCATTCCTCCATGTACAGGTTCTTACTGACTGCCCTCTCTGCACCTGGCACTGTGGCAGGCGCTGAGGACACAAGGCTAACCCAAGTTCCCCCAAGCTGCCACACGTGCAGGCCTCTCCTGGGGGAAGTGCAATGGCCTCAACCTTGTACCTGGAATCCAGTGGGAGAAATGTCTGTAATTCATCTATGGCTTCACTGTGCCGGTTGGCTGATCTATATAATTAGGTCCCTGCTATGGTTTAAATGTTCATTCCCTCTGAAACTCATGTTAAAACAATCCCTAATGTAACAGTATTAAGAGTTGGGCCTTTAAGAGGTGATTGGGTTATGAGGGCTCTGCCCTCATGAGTGGATTAGTCCATTCATGGATTAATGAATTCATGAGTTATTACAGGAGTGGGCTTTTTTATAGAAGCAGTTTGGTTTTCAGTGCAACCCTCTCGCCCTGTGATGTCTTCTGCCAAGTTGTGACGCAGCATGAGGCTGATCGGATGCGGCTACCTGATCTTGGACTTCCCAGCCTCAGGCTGTAAGAAAGAAACCTTTTTTATTTTTAAATTACATCTCAGGTATCCTGAATAGCAGCAGAAAATGGACTAAGTCCCCAAACCCAGAAATTTAATAAAAGAAAAAAATCAAACCATGCACATAATTCCTCAATGGAACTCTTAATCTAGTAAAAGATTAAGTGACAGTCCACAGGGCCCACAGTCTCCAGTATCTTTGATGTGTCAGGCTTAGGCATGGGAGGAGGTGAGACAGTAGGGAGAAGTAGGCAGGTGTAGCTGGGGGGAGTACCAGCAGGCAGAAGCCCCTCTGGGACCTGAAATGCCACCAGGGGGAGATCCAACCCCACTGCTCCCGCCCAGGAAGACCCACTGGGGACAGGTGGCATTGAGCCTGGCCACATCATCTCCAGGTTGGTGGTGCCACCTCCGATGGCCTTCCCCGTTGTTCCATCTCTAATCAGAAGGATAAAATGTGCCAGCAGCTCTATCTGCCACCCTGGAGGGTGACAGCAATGACCATCAGGGGTTTTCTTAGAAGATGAAAGCTCTGGTTTGTCTCTGGGCAATTGTGGTAGAAGACAGATTTTTCTGTCACCCTGTGGGTGATTTGTGTTCCTGTTTCCTTAATGTCCTTCCCAGTGGTTTCTAAAGAGATGCCCTATGCCAACATTCTCTTCAACTCTGCTTCTTTTCTTTAAATGGGACTTTGATTCTAGAACAGTTGCATAACGTGATGTTCTGCAGAAGCCCAGCCTCCCACCTGCATGCCCTCCCTTGGGCTGCCCCGTTCCAGTTTCCTAAGCAGACCCTGTATTACTCTGCTTCCCTGCTGTGTCTTAAAAGAGAATGCAATGGCCTTGCTGGGAAAGAGCTTGTTTTCTCACAGAGCCTGTCCTCGGATAGGCTGTCTGTGGCCCATCATCCAGGACCCATTCTCTGTGGATCTGTGGGCCTCCACCTACCCTTCCAGGAATGTCCACACTGTAGCTAAGCTTTGCACATCCCTTCTCATAAATACGAAGAGGCGGCTCTCCACCCCAGGGCTGCCTCCATTCCAGCTTCCTATATCTACACAAAACAAACTCTTCAACTCAAACTCCACCACCCCACAAAAGCGTCCTTGGATTTTTTTCAGAGTTAGAAGAGGCCACACCCTTCTCTCTTCCCCACAGTGCCTGACCTGTGCCCTTCCTGAGATAAGGACCACAGGCTGTTTGTGGACTCAATATTTGTTCTCTGTCCTGGTTTCATCCCATGACCCTATGAATCTACTGTCCAGCTTGGGTTTGGAAGGCGTGGAGATGGACTGCCTTCAGCCATGGCGAGTGTGGTCAGGGCTGCCCGCTCCTTCAGGGTCTGCCCGCTCCTTCTTGGGGCAGGCATCACCCAGGGGCTGAGCAAGATGAGATTCAAAGTCCAGCCATTTGAGCCCAACAGGGAACTCAACTGAGCAGCACTCTCTCTCATGCTGAGGAGTGAGTAGGCCAAAGCTTTGCAGGCTGGCCTTGCAGCTCAACTTCTCCATCTGCTCCACCCTTAGGTGGGGATCCCTGACAAGAATCTTGTACCCCAAACGCCATCCCAGCTTCTGCTTCCAGAGAACCCAGCTGGCTATTTGGGCTTTCTCTATTTATTCTTCCATTCAACGAATACCAATTAAGCACTGACTGTGTGCTGCATTGCACTGGGCAGTGGAGACCCAGCAGCAAACAATGTGGGATGGACAGACTAGAATGGTGAGACAGGCTAGAAGAAGTAATACTCACAGACTAGAAGTGAGTAATGAATGATGATGGCAAATGTTACGGGAACAGACAGGGTGATGGGACAGAGAGTAACTTGGAGGCAACTTCCCGTGTTGCAGAAAAGCTTCTCTGAGGAGGAGATGTTTGTTCTGAGTCCTGAAGGTTGAGGAGCCAGACATGGGAAGAACTCTTCTCCTGGCCCTGTATGCCCAACTGCCACCTGGACACCTCCCCAAATGCCCTCAGCCCCGAGTAGCCCCAGGTAGGCTCCCCTGTCCCCAGTCCTTACTACCACTCCTCTGCCTGTGTTTATGATCTTAGTGGATGCCACCCAGATCCTTGGTCATCACCCTAACCCCTCCCTCTCCCTCAGCACTAGGTCCTGATGCCACCTGTCCTTGAGGTGGCCGCACCTCCCAAGCTGATTGCGAGGGCTTGGTTTGGGTAGGCCCTCAGCACTGTCACCAGCAGTTGCAATACTTGCCTAACAGGTGGCCCTTCTTCAGTAGGTCCACTGTCCTGTACCATACTCCACCCTCACCTACTCACAGAACTAAGCACTCCGAGCTCTGGGATCGTGTGTCACCTGCAGCATCAGTGTGCTGCGAGTAGCACAGGCTGGTAGGCTAACACGACGGATACTTGTCTCTCAGTTCTGGTGGCTGGAAGTCAGAGAGCAAGGTGTGGGCAGTACCACGCTCCTTCTGAGACTCTGGGTAGAACCCTTCCTTGCCTCTTTCCAGCCTATGGTGGTGGCAACAATGCTTGGTGCTCCTCAAACAGCAGCTGCATCCGTCCAATCTCTGCCTCTGTCGTCACGTGGCCGTATTCATGTCATCTCCCTCTGTGCACCTCTGTCTGTGTGTTCAAATTTCCCCTCTTTGGAAAGACAGTAGTCTTAATGACTTCATTTTAACTTTACCTCTGTAAAGAATCTGTTTCCAAATATGATCACATTCTGAGGTGCTTGGGATTAGGAACTCAAGCCACTTTTATCTGGAGTAGACATAACTCAGTTCCTAACACCTGTTATGCCTTCATCCTATCCTCACTCACATGTTAGCATAATATTTTCTACTAAGGCCACCTCCCCTTTCTTACCCCCATCCCAAAACCCAGTTCTGTTCTTTTCAGTGTTTGGTTTTGCAGCACAACCATTTTTTCAAAAATAATTTTACATGGAGCCCCAATAATACAAGCACAAACAAACTAGAGGCGCTCTCTGATTGCAGGGCAGGCTGTGAAGGGTTGGAGGGAACACCCCACTCATCCTGCCATGGCACCTGACTGGCTGGCCTCCGAGGAAGCTGTGGGTCACAGTGTAGAAGCCCTGGCTGGAGTGTGAGTCCCCTGGAACTGCTCCTGGACCTGGAACCTTGGGATTCCAGACCACCCCCTCACTTTCTCGGGCCTCTGCCTCAATGCTAGCTTCAGAGATGTCTCCCTTGATGACCTATTGTATGTAACAAACAGTACATAATCCCCTGCCTCTACCCCCTGTTCCTGCCTTATTTTTCCCTCTAGCACTTATCACTGTATTTGTTTATTTGCTTATTGTCTGTCTTCTCCGTGTACTAGAATGTAACCTCAGCAGGGAAAAATGCTTCCTTGCTGTTCTTCCAGGGCTTAGAACAGTGCTTGGCTTGAGGTGGATGATCAAGAAATATTTGTTGGGAGGATGGTTACCCAGACTTTTTCTTCAACAGTTTTATTGAGGAATAATTCACATTCTAAACCACGATAGGGCACGATTCTGTGTGTCTGTAGATACACAATTTAGCATATTCATAAAGGTTTGTGAAACACAACAAATCATTGTCCTGGTCTCTTTCTGTAGATGACACCAGGCAAAAGAATATTGTTGTTGCCAGCAGAACAGTTTATTACACATACTCATTCATGGAAAAGAGAAAATCAGAGGTTTAAATGAGGAGACACACATGGACATGGAGTTTCTGTAGATATTATTTTTCTGCTTTTATTTTATGAGAAAATATAGGTATTACACTAAGAAGCTTAGGAATGTATATATACTGCCCCTTATGAGTAGATATTTAAAGTTGTTGTGTCATAAAATACTGCAAGTTCATTAAAGTTTAAAAATTAAACAGTGATGGTTGATACCTGTTGTTTTTGTTGGCTGATGACCTCCTTAACTGAAAACTTTCAATTTTCCATCTATTGGATCTTTACTATGGCAGCTGCTATCGTAGTACAATGTGTCCCCAACCTCTGCACATGATTGGTCTAGGTGATTGACCTGAGATGGGTCAATTAGCCTCCTTCTTGAGGAATTTGGATTCTAAGCTAAGGGATGCTTAGTGTGACTGCTCTCTGAAATGAAAGAGATAAAAATTTGGAGCCCTTGGTGGCTTCGTCCTGCCAAGCGGACTAAGGAGGGGATAAAAATCAGTTGGCAGTAATAGAGAAAAACAAAACAAAGAAAAAAGTATAAAAGGTTGTGAAAAGGAGAAGAGGAAGGAAGGGGCTGGATTGCATCACTACCCATTTGTTCTAGGAGACAGTCCTTGGGCCACAGTTGGCTTCTTATCATCCAAAGAAACTTACTTAAGGAAAGCATCAAACAAATGAAATATACGTGATTAAATTTGACAATAGCGAAGAGGATCATTTGCATCATGAAGTTTCCTGGAAGCTTTTTTCTCCCCTCTAAATTATTCCCTGTTTCCTGTGATCTCTCCAAGTCTCTATCTCAGGTTGCAAAGGGAAGGGCCTTTGGGAAAGGTCTTCTTTACCCAGACACTCCCACTCCAAGCCACTATGGCCCACAAGGCAAGACTTAGCTTAGCCAAAGCCACTCTGTTTCTGCTGCATCTCTCCATCCTGAGTTTCTACCTCCAGCTGAAACATAAATCCTCCAGGGAAATATTGTTTCAGGCTGCCTGGTGGTAGCAGAGCCCCAGGGTCTCTGAGCCCTGACGTGGACATGACCAAACTTAGGCCATGACACTCTCCCTCCCTTCACCTTACTAGAATCTCTCTTTTCAGAATAGTCTCTGCTGCCTTGAGGTGGGTCCTCTCTTTTCCTTATGGGAGCTCCCCTGGGAAGTATGGGGACTTTGTGAAAACTTAGAAAAGAACATCATACTGAACTGACAAAAGCTGGAAGCATTCCCCTTGAAAACCTGCACAAGACAAGGATGTCCTCTTTCACCACTCCTATTCAATAGAGTATTGGAAGTCCTTGCCAGAGCAATCAGGCAAGAGAAAGAAATAGGAATAGACATTCAAATAGGAAGACAGGACGTCACACTATCCCTGTTTTGATGATTCTATATCTAAAAACCTCATAGTCTCTGCCCAAAAGCTCCTTGATCTAAATAAATTACTTAAGCAAAGTTTCAGGATACAAAGTCAACATACAAAAATCAGTAGCATTCCTATAAACCAACAACATCCAAGCTGAGAGCCAAATCAGTAATTCAGTCCTATTCACAATTGCCACAAAAAGAGTAAAATACCTAGGAATATTGCTAACTAGGCAGGTAAGAGATCTCTACAACAAGAATTACAAAAACTGCTCAAAGCAATCAGAGATGTCTCAAACAAATGAGAAAACATTTCATGCTCATGGATAGGAAGAATTGATATCATTAAAATGGTCATACTGCCCAAAGCAATTTACAGATTCAATGTTCTTCCTATCAAGTTACAAATGAAATTCTTCACAGAATTAGAAAAAAAAATTAAAATTCATATGGAACCAAAAGGGGCTCAAAGAGCCAAAGCAATTCTAAGCAAAAAGAACAAAGCTGGAGGTATCACGTTATCTGACTTTAAACTATGCTACAGTGCTACAGTAACCAAAACAGCATGGTATTTGACATGGTTTGGCTGTTTCCTCACCCAAATCTCACCTTGAATTATAGCTCTGATAATTCCCACATGTTGTGGGATGGACCTGGTGGGAGATAATTGAATCACGGGGGTGGTTCCCCCCTTATTGTTCTCCTGGTAGTCAATAAGTCTCATGAGATCTGATGGTTTTATAAGTGCTTTCCTCTTTCACTTGGCTCTCACTCTGTCATTCTCCCTCTGGCCATGTAAGACATATCTTTTGCCTTCCACCATGATTGTGAGGCCTCCCCAGGCACGTGGAACTGTGAGTCCATAAAACCTCTTTTCCTTTATAACTTACCAAGTCTCAGGTGTGTTTTTATCAGCAGCATGAAAATGGACTAATACAGTAGTGGCACCAAAACAGCATGATGCTGGTACAAAAACAGACACATAGACCAACGGAACAAAGTATAGAGACCAGAAATAATGCCACACACCTACAACTATCTGATCTTTGACAAAGCTGAAAAAACAAGCAACAGGGGAAGGACTTGCCATTCAATAAATGGTGCTGGGATAATTGACTAGCTATAAGCAGAAGATTGAAACTGGACCCCTACCTTACACCACATATAAAAATCAACGTAAGATGGATTAAAGACTTAAATGTAAAATGTAAAACTATGAAAAGACTGGAAGACAATCTAGGAAATACAATTCTGGACATAGGACTTGGCAAAGATTTCATAAGAAAGACTCCAAAAGCAATTGCAACAAAAACAAACCTGGACAAATAGGATCAAATTAAACTAAAGAGCTTCTACACAGCAAAATAGATTAACAACAAAGTAAACAGACAACCTACAGGATGGGAAAAACTATTTGCAAACTATGCATCCTACAATGGTCTAATACCCAGCATCTATAAGGAACTTAAACAAATTTACAAGCAAAAAACAAACAACCCCATTAAAAAGTGGGCAAACGATGTGAACAGACACTTTTCAAAAGAAGACATACACATACATGTGGCCAAAAAGCATATGAAAAAATACTGAATATCGCTGATCATTAGAAAAATGCAACTCAAAATCATAATGAGATACCATATCACGTAAGTCAGAATGGCCATTATTGAAAAGTCAAAAAATAATAGATGCTGGTGAAATTGTGGAGAAAAGGGAATGCTTGTACACTGCTGGTGGGAGTGTAAATTAGTTCAGTTACTGTGGAAAGCAGTGTGGTGATTCCTCAAAGAACATAAAACAAAATTAACATTTGACCCAGCAATCCCATTATTGAATATATACCCAAAGGAATATAAATCATTCTACCATAAAGACACATGCACGTGAATGTTCACTGCAACACTATTCACAATAGCAAAGACATGGAATCAACCTAAATGCCCATCAGTGGTAGATAGGATAAATAAAATGTGGTACATATACACCATGGAATACTGGAATACTATGCAACTATAAAAAGAACAACATCATGTCTTTTGCAGCAATTTGGAGCTGGAGGCCATTATCTTAAGCAAACTAAGTCAGGAACAGAAAACCAAACACTGCTTGTTCTCACTTATAAGTGGGAGCTAAAAAATGAGAACACAGGGATGCTAGGAAAGGAACAACAGACCCTGGGGCCAACTTGAGGATGAAGGGTGGAAGGAGGGAGAAGATCAGAAAGAATACCTATCAGGTACTATGCTTATTACCTGGGTGATGAAATCATCTGTACAACAAACCTCTGTGACACACAACTTACATATATAACAAACCTTCACATGTACTCCTGAACCTAAAATAAAAATTAAAAATATTTTAAAAAGAAAAATGCTAGTGATTCTTAACCTTAAAAAAACTTAGAAAATTTAGTGATGAAGAGAATCTAATTCAGCATCAATCAGTGACTATCTTTGCATCCAAATCTACTCTCCCTGACTATAGTTAACAATATGATATCGTTCACTTAAACATTTGTAAAGAGTATAGATGTCATATTAAGTGTTCTTTTAAAAAAATCATAAAGGGACACAAATAAACTTTTGGACATGATGGACATGTTTATTACCTTGACTGTGGTGACAGTGTCACAAGATGCATACGTCCAACTCATCAAATTATATATATCAAACAAGTGCAGCAGTGTTTTGTAAAGCAATTACACCACAATAAAGCTATTTTAAAAAAGAAGAAACTTTCCCACCCCCACTGAGGCACCTCAGGGAGAAGGTCTTTCCAAGATCCACCTAAATCTAGGTAAGACTGATAGTATCAAGACTAGGGTATGATGTGAACCTCTGCCATAAAACTTCTTGACTTCATGAGGATAATAGTATTGGCCAAGTTGTTGAGAGCTATATTTGTCTTTCCTCTCCTATTCTCCTATCCCAGGGTCTCAGGGACCCACAGCTGCCAGGAAAGGTGTGTCAGGCTGTTCTTGCATTACTATAAAGAAATACCTGAGACTGGGTAATTTATAAAGAGAAGATATTTAATTGGCTCACAGTTCTGAAGGCTGTACAAGCATGGCACCAGCATCTTCTGGACTTCTGGGGAGGCCTCAGGGAACTTACAGTCATGGTGGAAGGCAAATGGGGAGCTGGCATATCATATGGTGAGAGTGGGAGTGAGAGAGAGAGAGTGGGAAGTTCTCACACTTTTAAACAACCAGATCTCATGAGAACTCGCTCATCACAAAGGGAATGGTGCTAAGCCATTCATGAGGGATCTGCCCCCATGATCCAAACACCTCCCACCAGGCCTTCCCTCCAACACCAGGGATTACATTTCAACATAAATTTGGCAGGGTCACGGATTCATACCATATCAAAAGAGATCCTAGATGTAACATCCTCGATCAATCAAAGCTCAGACTTCTCACTGGAAATTCAGCAAATACAGACAGTTCCCCTTTTGCACAGTTCCAATGTGCATGAATTTCACTTACATGATTTTGCTAAGTAACATCAGTCTTCCAACAACACGATTCAGATTTCAATTGCCACAGTGTACTACCTGTGAATAACTTCCCAAAGTACAAACTTCTCCACTAGCTATTCAGTAAATACTAGAAGTTCATCACGATCAGTGGTCAGTCATGTCACTTCTTTCAATGTCTGTCAACCACTGGTTCATTTGCATCTGTTGTTCAGGTCAGGCACAGACAGCAAAGCGTGTAGGTATGCTGCCTCCCTGTCTCCCAATTACAAACCCATGTGAGATTTCACAAAAATGGACAGTTGAGGGAAGGAATTGGCCAGCAAAGACAGAAATGCAGCAAAGCAGAAAAATGTGATAATACTAAACTGAAATCTGAATAGAACAAAAATGGAGTTATGAAAAAGAGAGCTGGTGATGAAAATGTTGACATCCACCATTAGAAAGGCTTTACAGATAATGCAGCCAGAGGAACTTGGTGAAGACCAGACTCTCAGAGATATTTCATGACATCGAAAGAACAAAAGATAAAATCTTAGAAGCCCATCTAAATTTAGAAAGGAGTAAGTTAAAGATCCTTGCTCTGGATCATGAAGAATACAATAAGAAGACAAGCATTGCTCTAACTGTTGTTGATAAGGTATTTTTTAAGAAATAAATAAAACACTTTAATGCTCTATGTTTCTATGTTTTAAATTACAGTGTATTAAATAAATATTAATTTTACTATTTTTTTTTCGTTTTCTATCCATTTATAGCCAACAGTAAGAGAATGTTGGCATTTGACAAAATTAAAGAACAATTGTGATTTTTTTCCCATCAAATGTTAAGATCATGGTGCAGGATGTCAGCTTGCATGGTCATGTTTACTGTCAGGTACTATCCACCTGCAAGATGAGATAACCTTATTATAACCCTTAGTCCATTGCTTGCCTCAGAATAATCCTGCTGAGGATATTAGCTGCTCTCATTCTTATCTTGGCAACGGTAGATTGAAAAACATGGGGTTATCTTCCTGGGGTATATAGGAAGTCACAAAGTCCTCTGATAATGATATCTAATTCAATCCCCCTCAATAACCCTGTGAGATGAACATTCACCCGTTTCACAGTTGAGGAGAATAAGATAGGTTAGACCACGCATTTAAAATCACACAGCCACAGTGAATAAATGCTGTAGCCAGCCACTAATCCAGATTCCCTGACTCTACGTACCCACTCCCATTTTCCCACCACTTCCTGGTATGAAGGCTTTGCAAATACCAGATATGATAAACTGAGTTATGAAGAATGAAGACAGCTGATCTAAGATGAAGTAGGCTCTACACATACGCATTTACTCAGCAAACATTTAATTTAGTAACTACTTGTGCCATATCTGGGGTAAACTCTGGAACTGCAAAGATTAAAGAGACATCTCTATGCCTTCAAGGATCTCCCAGGCTAGTACGACAGGCAGACTAGGAAACAACTGCCAATAATAAGATAAGAGACCCACTGACTAGGCAAAGGATTTTGTTGTTAATTTGTAGATTCTATTTTTTAAGCTTTTTGGATCTTAATCAGCTTGCATTCATCAACAAATTGGCAACTGGTGTATTTTCATATTTTTAACCAACAAGTCATGTATCAGTCAGGACAGATAAGACTATGCTGCAATAACAAATGGCCCCAACATTTCAGGGTCTTAAAGCAACAACAGTTGATTCTTGCTCATGCCACAGGTCAGTCACAGATTGGCTGCTGGTCCACATAATCTTCCCTCTGGGAGCCAAAATCTTTCCCAAATATCACCAGCTGTAGTGGCTAGTGGCAGTGGTGAGAAAAGCATGGTGAGCCATGCATGGCTTGTGAAGGCTACTTCCAGAAGTGATCACATCACTTCTGCACTTATTTGACTGTGCAAGGTCAACGTATAATCTTTTCCCAAGGAGGAGCAGCAAACACAACAGTCTACCCCAGGTTCAAATTCACGGAAACACTTTGTTTGCAAAATTTTTTAATAGATTAAAAATTTTTAAATCTTTTTTTTTGCTTTTAAAAGATTCTCCCAAACCCGAGGCTGGTTTTTTCATTTGTTTGTTTGTTTTTGTATGTCTTTTGAAAAATTTTACTTTCTCATTCATAATAAAAGCCTATCTCTTATATCAGAGGGATAGGCAACTTTTGGGGGGGGAATAAATCCACTTTGAAATGGGGTCCATTTCAAATTGAAAAAAAATTTAACAAATTTAAAATGTTTGTTATGTGAAAGAAAAAATATGCAACTCATTTTTAAGGATCACACTTGCGAGTATCTTGCACAAGATAAGCAGAAAATTTCTGTGTGGTATCAGGGCTTTCCACATAATTCCTCATCTTGTAAGGATTCCATTTTATGATATTCTTTTCATAAAATCAGGACTTTTAAAATGACTCTTCATCTTTTTATAAAGAATTCTAAAGATTTAATTTTAAAGACCTCTTTTTATAAAATTTAACACATTGATAATATCTTGTAGCTTGCTTACAGGAAATATAAAGAAGGAGTTTCATATATGGTTTTATTTCTAGAAACACACCCCAGAATTCTTTGTATATTCTAGTCTAAACAAATACTGTGTCTGTACCTGCACGTTTTTCCAAAAAAATATTGTTTTGACTTTAGAAATAATACAGTGTTGAAAAAATACATACTCTCCGGTACAATTTTCTTTTACTGTTTCATAGAAAAATACCAGTTAAATATAATTCAAAGCTGAAACAGAATCTAAGCCTCTAGCAAGCATTCTAATTGAGACATATTAGATTCATCAGTGCTGCTACCCAACTATACAGCAAACAGCCCACATGAGAAATTCGTTCCAGCAATATTTGCTGTGATTCTTTAACAATGTTTTCTCTGCCTCATTAAACAGTATTTGCTGACAGATGAGTTTATTTTAGCATGCTATTATTTTTCACAGACTATTTAAGTCATTTTTCTATGACCAACAGGATGTGGCCTTTTTGTTTTCGTAATGAAGAATCAAATCTCAAAAGAGGTTTCTCCCAGGAAGCTGGTCACATTCTCTTTCTTGATCTGGGTCTTGTCTGCTTGGATGCATTTGGTTTATGAATAATTAAGGAGGTGTATACTTATGTGCTTGTTTCCATATGTGTATTACACTTTAATAAAAATGCTTAAAGAGATATTGAATGTGTTATTAAAATTGATACTATTTTCTAACATACCAAATTGAATAACACATGATTTTAGACATTACTGAAAAAAACTTACAGATGTTGAGCTTAGTTCTAATTTTTTTTTGTTTTTTTGAGACGGAGTCTAGCTCTGTTGCCCAGTCTAGAGTGCCGTGATATGATCTCAGCTCACTGCAACCTCCGCCTCTCAGGTTCAAGCAATTCTTCTGTCTCAGCCTCCCAAGTAGCTGGGCTTACAGGTGCCCGCCACCATGCCCAGCTAATTTTTGTATGTTTAGTAGAGACAGGGTTTTACCATATTGGCCAGGCTGGTCTCGAACACCTGACCTCCAGTGATCTGCCTGCCTTGGCCTCCCAATGTGCTGTGATTACAGGCTTGAGCCACCATGCCCAGCCAAGCTTAGTTCTTAAATAACTGGCTAATTGTGATAGTTCCACACTACTATAACTAATATTTCATACAACAACATTTGCTAAAGAGGAGTGAATCTTTTAGAATTGTGTTCAGCTGCATGTGACACAAAACCTGATCAAACAATCGCTTAAACAAATTAGAGGGTTCTGCTTTTTCACATAACAGAAAGACGACAGTTCCAGTATTGTTCCAGCAGCTTGAAGATGTCACAGATGAGTCTTTATCACTGTCTTGTCCTTTCTCTCAGGAGCACAAGACAGCTGCCACACCTCCAGTCATCACATCTACATTCCAGAAGGGGAGAAGGAGGAAGCCATGAGGAGGAAGGGTATTGCCTATGTTAAAAAAAAAAAAGAAGAAGCAGAAGCTTTTTCAAAAATCCTTAAGAGATGTCCTATTATTTCTCTTTAGCCATATTTGTTACATGATCACCCTTAGTAGTAAGGGAAATTGGGAAATGTAGCTGTTTTACTGGGTTACATACCTTACATAAAACCAGAGTTCTGTTAAAAAAAAAAAAAAAAAAAGGCGGGGTTGGCCATTGGAGAGGCAGCAAGCAGTGCCTCCCAGTCAGAATCTGGCAGAGTTGCTGATCATAGCTATAAATCTGATTTCTCAGTGGTCTTTGTGGCCTCTAGTGTGCTTTAGCTGACTCCTTGTCAGATGTGGCTCGGCCATCAGAACTGATGTGGCTGATGAGGGGCCAGAACTAGGGGTGGGAGCCCACACAGGAAGCTCATGCTAGCCTTTGTACAGACAGCAGAAGACATCCACCCAGGTGATGGAGGAATCTCTTTACATGGGTTGTCCATTGTGAGGGTTAGTTTAGTTAACTCCTGGTAATAGATTCTATATAGTTGGTAAATGCACTTACCCAGGCACATAGAAACTGCAATGAGAGACAATAGTTGGAACTTGAACTAAGGACTGAGGACAACACTGCTTCCCACCCTCACTGCCGACCACAAGGCTCTCACTCTCCCATCAGCATACCTCAGATCCTGCGTATGGTGCCTGAGTGACCTGTGAACCAAGGGAGGGACCCAGACTCAACCCATTTATTACATATTAGTAAAGATTAATGTCTTTCTTTTTTATTAGAATAGTAAAAGTTAAACAAAGTTTGGATATTTTCTTCCTACCCTGCAAAGGATCATCTTGCATGCTTTGCTTTAGAGACCCTGAGACTCCTGCATAGGCAGGTCCCTGCCCTCATGAAGGTTACATGCTAGTGGGGAAGACAGCAAAGGGAGTAACGGGAGGTCGCCAAAGAGAGCCAGAGAGTGGCTGCCCAGAGAGGGGAGCAGAGTGTGGCAGGTCCCCTCTGGGAAGGAGGCAGGGGCACAGACCAGACAGGGGAGCACAGAGGAAAACTCCAAAAACCCACATCAACTCTTGTTGCAATATCGTTTCTAGAAAAGTCAACCCAACCAAGGCCATCATTACCTAGTAAAAATGTGAAACAATAAAATGAGAGAAATGTGAAGATCATTGCTTTGAGGGAACTAAATGGGACAATGTGATATGGGGTGACTCTGGGCAGAGAATGGGCAAAGCTCCTTCCATAGGGTGTCATGGAGGGTCCCTGAGGAGGTCACACTTAAGCAGAGACTTGTGTGACAAGGAGGACCAGCCTGGAAGAGTTCCCCTTGAAGGAGAAATAGGATGTGCAAAGGCCATGGGGTAGACTGAGTTTTGCATGCTGGAACAGAAAGAAAGTGGGGTTTCTGGGGTGGGGGCTAGAGTGGAGCAAGTGAAGGGGAGGGTGGTAGAAAGTGAAGCAGGAAAGTATTTAGAGGCTGGCCAATGGCTCCTGGACAATATTAAGAGCTCTGGACATCACCTTAATTGGAACAGGAGGCCATTAGACATTGGAGTGGATAGAGTGGCAGAGCCTACTCCTTCCCAAATGTTGGCCAGAAAGTCTGTGAGTTCCTTTGGAGTGAGGACTATATCTGGCATGGTGTTCCCAGAGCACTGCATGTGGCTGGCACACAGAAGCACTTAACAAGGGCTGGGTGGATGCATGGCTGACCAGCCTTCAGCTATCTCACAAAGCACCTAAGCTTGTCCCTGTACTATCTTTTGTCTATGTATCTGCCACCTTTTCCTTAGCTGGGTTTCAGGACACAATCCCAGAGAGCCCTTATCATCCCTGTCTGTATTCTCCAGCCATATTCCCATTGTCTCTGCCTGCAGGAGCGGGTACCTATTTTGGGACTCTGCTTCAGGCAGGGTCAGAAACAGGTAGAGGATAGAGGACTTCCATCACCCTTATTCTAGATTCTGTTTGCTTTCAATGCAACTTATAGGTATGACACAAGCAGATTAGCATCAATTGAGCGCCTACTATGGGCCAGGCAGGTTATTGTGTATTATGTAGATTATTGCAGATTATGTAGATTATTGCATTCACCACAGCCCTGTGGGGTAGGTGTTTCCACATATAAGTGAGAAATCTGAGGCTCAGAGATCTGAGTGACTTGAAACGTCACTTGCTGTTTGGAAACAGAGCTGAGATTCTGACCTTGTTCTGTAGCCTCTGAAGATCACACCCTTTCTAGAGATACTGGTTGGCTTCAGAGGTCTCTGTTCAAATGCCTCCTTCCCAGAGGGGACCTGCCATGCTCTGCTCCCTTCTCTGGGCAGCCACTCTCTGGCTCTCTTTGGCGACCTCCTGTTACTCCCTTTTTCACCTCCTGCTTCTGTTTTCCCACCTGCCATTACCCCAGCAAATGGCAGCAACCTGGCCCCATGACGTGTAGGTGGAGAGAGCAGGGGGGAGTAAGCCATCTCAGCCTCACTCAACTGTGATCCCATCCTGCCTTACTTAGTGTTACACCACTGCAGATCTTGCTGGTCCTCAGTTCCCCTGAAGATTTGGAATTGGCCAGTTATTCTCCATTTTGGGGTGAGCAACCCCTTGGGGAAAGTAGTGAGAGCTAAGGGTCCTCTCTTCAGATCAAGACACAATGAAAGGAATCCCAGGTGGGGCAGCTGCTGTTGGAGCTTCCTCTGGCTCCAGGAGCAGGAGACAGGGGCACAGACCAGACAGGGGAGCACAGAGGAAAACTCCAAAAACCCACATCAACTCTTGTTGCAATATCGTTTCTAGAAAAGTCAACCCAACCAAGGCCATCATTACCTAGTAAAAATGTGCGACAATAAAATGAGAGAAACGTGGGGCTACAGCTAAAAGTTCCAAAGGTTTATCAACCTCACAGTCTCTGAGGGTTGAAGAAACAAAGACAAAAACAAACCAACAACAAAACACTCACAATTACGCTTCTCATAGGGAGATGTGATTGATGCAGGGGCAGGCAGCCCCCAAATTAGGGCTTAGCCCAGGAAGGTTCTTGACTGCATCCAGGAAATAATTCAAGGGTGAGCCAGTGGTGTTAGCAATAGTTTATTGAGTGGGACTCCTCCTTGTGAGCAGGGCTAACTCATTGCAGTGTGCCCAGAGTCAGCAACCCATGGGCTGTTGGCAATTCTATTTATAGTCAGGTATACCAACTTCAATTACACGCAAATTAAGGGCAGTTTAGTGCAAATTGAGGGGTGGGTTATTTAGAACTTTCTAGCAAAGAGGCAGTAATTTCCAGGTTGTTGCCATGGAAAGGGGTGGTAACTTCCGGGTTATTGCCATGTCATTTGTAACCCGTCATGGCACTGGTGGGTGTATCTTATGCTGATGAGCAGTGAGGGCAACTAGAGGTTGCCTTCAGCACCATCTGCTGGTTCCTGCTGATTTTTTCACTTCATCCATTGGAGACTGGGAAATATTATCAGGTTGGTGCAAAAGTAGTTGCAGTTTTAATAATAAGTCCTGCAGGGCTCCAACCTCATAATGACATCATCCAGTTGCTGCCCAGTTCATAAATGGGTCTTGACAGGTATGTGGCTCTTTGAAGCTCATGAAACATGTCTGCTTCCTTACCTCAGAAAATCTGGCCAACAGTGCTGCAAGTAGAGAATTATTACTCCCATTTCACAGATGAGCAACCTGAGGCTAGGCTGGGACTTCGTCAAGCTGAGCAGTAGCAGAGATTGAAGTCAGAATATAAGGGGGTGTGAGGCTTCCAATGCCACAGATTGAGTGGTAAGCAACAGTGTAACTGGATGCACCAAACCAAGCAACTATCAGCACCTCCTCAAAGGCAGAGTTCATTGGAAAAGCAATTCTAGCCCTCCAAGGGGCCTCCGTCTTGTTACAATGTAAGCATCCCTTTCATGCTTCTATGAATAAATACCCAAGACTGGGTAATTTATAAAGGAAGGAGGCTTAATTGACTAACAGATCCACATGGCTGGGGAGGCCTCAGGAAGCTTACAATCATGGCGAAGGGCACCTCTTCACAGGGCAGCAGGAGAGAGAAGTGTTGAGTGAAGCGGGGAAAAACCTCTTAGAAAACCATCAGATCTCATGAGAACTCACTCACTATCATGAGGACAGCATGGGGGGACCGCCACCATGATCTAATCACCTCCCATGAATTCCCTTCCCCAGCACATGGGGATTACAATTTGAATTGCAATTCAAGATGAAATTTGGGTGGGGTCACATAGCCAGACCATATCACTGCCCCAAAAGATTAAACCCTGAAACATCTCTATAACAATCTTCATGACTCATTTTCCACTGTTTCTCATGACCCTCTAAATGCATCTTTATGTTTAGTTGTTTTACAGTGAATCAGTTCAGAGGACTTATGATTTATAAGGAAAATCCTCTCTAACCCAATCTTTTTCTCCCAGTATTCTGATCCTCTATTCTAGGACCAGCAAACAGGCTGAATTTCCCATCCTCTTATTCTGCACCAGTAGCAGACATTACTAGTCAATCCTAGAATTCTGTGCTACTGAGCTCAGTGCTCCAGGCAACCATTAGAAGAGCTTTTCAGGAGGTGGTGCTGAGATGCACCTGCAGCCATCATCCACCTGCAGTGTGGAGGAGTCGATTGAGCTGACTTCCTGAGCACTACTGGGGAATGCACTGGGGAGAGACACTGAAACCAGGCCCTCCGCTGTCAAGCAGCCTGAAGCCCAGAGCCAGTGAGAGTCTGGAAGGCAAGAAATGTGTCAGTAAGCTATGAAAGTGAACCCTCAGAGGAGGGTCAGCCTGGGGTAGGACCATGAGGGCAGAGGCAAAGTGAAGAGGAAAGGAACCAGAAATATCCCAGTGGAAGGTGGCAGGCCTGGGCAAATGCATTTCTTTCAGTTCATTTGTTTATTTTTTTCCCCAAAGCAGTACCGGAGACACCACCCCTGGGAAATACAAGGGAGCATGAGTCGCCAATCGTGGAGCTGGTGGTAGTGGGGAAGAGTTGTGGAGAAGAGAGTGATACTGTCATGCACTGGGCTTTATTTCATTCAATCGCTGCTATAGTCACTTCCCTTTCCTTCCCTTGGGAAGTGGGTGCTAGGACCCAGAGGACTTGGAAAGAGTGGAAACCAGCTCAGATTCCACTCCCATGTCACCTGTCAGCTGTGTGTCCTGGGCCACCTTACCTCACCCAAGTCTCAGTTTTTTCACCTACAAAATGAATCCCCTGCTTTAACCTTTGAAGGCAATTATGTAGCTTGACAGGAAAAGGTATGGACAATGCCCAGTAGAATACTAGGCACTGTGTTTGAGACCCCCCATTTGTTGAAATTAGAGATGCCCAAAATGTTGTTTTAAAAGATATAATGTGCTTAGGTCACTGTAGTGTGATCAGTTCTAAGACAGCCTGGTTAAATACATCTAGATATTTCAGGTGTATGAGAACCTCCAAGGACATAAAGCCAAACCCACAGACGTTGTGTGTTGATGGAACTTCCGAGACTTTTCCAGAACTCTCCGTTTTGTGGAGTGAGAGGTGCGTGCATGGGATGGAGAGAGAAGCTGAGGTCCTGGGGAACAAGCTCCCGGGAATCTGCCCTGCTTTGCCCCACCTCTCGATCTGTACCTTTGCTTCTCTTCGAAACCCAGCCCCATTCTCCTGTCCTCCTCTTTTCAGAGTCCGTGGCTTCCACACAGTAGGGCAATAAAGGGCAGTGTGTCATGGGAGAGGAGCCCAGGTCAGGGCAGAGCCAATAATCAGGAAAGTTTTTCCAGAAGGACGATGTCTGAGCAGGGTCTTCAAGGAGATGCATGGGTCGAGTGAAGTAAGCAGAGCTGGGATTGTGCTGCAGGGTGAACAGACTGTGCAAAGCACAGAGGTGCAGGGTGCCCTGAACATTCAGGGAGGGACCGGAAGGTCTGTTGATTAACCAGTTAATTTCATGATGTCCAAATGGCCTTGCCTCCCCCAGCTCTGACCATCACAAAGGTGAGTGCAAGACAGTGTGTGATGGGATGCAACTCCTTAACAATCACGCTATTAAAATATGGTGCACAGAGCTTCAAACCTCAGCCACTAAGAGGTTTCTTCCCATCCTATAACCACATCGTGAAACCATGGTGGGAAGCCAACACATTGCTAAGCTACCCCTCTGTGTCCTCAGTTCATCCATCTGTAAACTGGAGTTTTCCAGGCTCAGCATGATTGACATTTTGGACTGGATAATCCGTTGTCATGGAGGGCCATCCTGTACATACTAGGATGTTCAGCAGCATTCCTGGCATCTCCTAAACGCCACTAGCACCCCCCTCCAGTTGTGAAAACCAGAAGTGTCCCCAAAGGGAGCGAAAATTACCCCCTGCTGAGAACCATGGCTCTAAGGTCCCTCTCAGCATTATCCCAGCATTATCCAGTTCTGAGAGTAAATCAGGAAACACAGGGAAGTCAGCGTCTGCAGAAGCCTTAGAAGAATTTCTGTGCCATCTGCTGGCAATCCAAAGCCTTGTCCTCCCTCAGCTCAACCCCCTGCCTGTCATTCAGCCTGGAGGAAGTCCAGAGGCTCTGACCTTCGGAAACAGCTGGAAAAGAAAACCAAGAATGCAAGACTCGTGTGTGGGTTTTGTAGACGTTAGAGCAGACATTGGGTCATTTGGGCTAATATGGTTCTGGTCAGAAGAGCTGCAGGCTTCTTTACACTAGCAGTTCCTAGTGTAACTGGGGGCAACCCCCTCCAGGGACACAGCAATGTTGGGGGTGTTGGGTTTCACAACTTGTGTTGGGGGTGTTCAAACTGCACCAGTTTGTAAGCCCTCCCGCCATTTCGCAGAGCTTGGTCAAAATGAAACATTCCACGGGATTCGAGCCGTGAGAAACACCCTGTCTAAACACCTCACCACAAGGCACAGGAACGTCCTTATCACACCCTGCTGGGCAAAGGCCCCACTGAAGGAACATCCCTGCCATACCCTGCCGGGCAAGGGTCCGAGGAACATCCTATCACATTCTGTGGGTAAAAGGGCCAAACTATCTCATCGTGGGAACATGTTATCAACATTTTCCCAGGTGGCAGGCCTGGCCCCACCCCTAGACTCCTCCCACCCAGGCCTACAATTGTCCCAGCCTGTAAGCAGAGACAGGCACTGCCATTAAGCTGGTCCTCCACCTCTGCAGGTTTTATGCTGGACATAAATGCCAGCAGTTGCTATAGAGCTTCTCTCTCTCTCTCTCTCTCTCTCTCTCTCTCTCTCTCTGTCCCTGTGTGTGTCTTTCCTCAACTCTCACTTTCCCCTTAAAAAACCTAACAGCGGAGTGCTAATAACATCTAGCCGGTAGAGGCCAGGGATACTGCTAAACGCGCTACCAGGCACAGGACAGTCTCCTCCATCCTTAACATAGAATCATTCAGCCCAGAGTGTCAGCAGCACCAGGCTGAGAAGCCCCACTCTAAGCTAAGTGCTGAGCTTCCCAGAGAGCTCCTAGCCTCTTGAGGGCAGTCCCTCGGTCTTGATGCACTTACATACACTTGAACACACACCGAAGGAACAGAAATGCCCCACACCTTAGGAGAAATGATTCTGGAACAGTTTGTAGTCACAGGATCAGATGAGAGTGAAGATTATAAGCCTGCCAGAAGGGAGCTCAGCTGCCCTTCTTGTGAAATAGGCAATCTGACAGAGGCTTGCATTTCCTTCATGATTTCTGTAGACGCAGCCCTGTGCTGAGTGCAAAAGACAGTTGGTCACTCAGGCCAGAGTTGTTGAGAGTCACACAGAGTCTTGAATTTGAGGTTAGAAAGACCACATTGGCTTCCACAACTCTCAGTTTCCTCATCTATAAAATGGGCTTAATACTAGTTGCCCTAAGCTTATAGGGATGTTGGACTGATTCAGCCGAGCAATTTTATGTTTGCACGTGGAAAGTGCTCAGTAGATATCCACTATCGGCATTGCCTGTGCCCTGTGTTTGTCTTGCAGGAAGCCCTTCTCCTTTATCACCTCACTTGATTATCACTACGTTGCTATAAAGTGGAGGTTCTGGGGCTGGCATCCTGTGATTCTCATCGTATGTGACTGGCAAGGAATAAAGAAAGACACTCAGGATGCTACAGATACAGAAGCTGACTGCACAGGGACCTGAGAAAGGAAGGGACTGGAAGGGGCTCAGCAGGAGCACCACCAGCTCACACGCAGAGCCAGAACTGCCCTGGAAGAATTGGGCCAGCTGCTGCCGAATCCATGGAGGGAACTCAGGACATACAGGAGGGTTCCCCTTGGTGGGGTTGAGGGCATGGCAAGGACCCAATGATGCAGTCAGTGAAAGGAGACCTGGTGAACGGCAGAGTAGCAGCTCCCGGAAAAGAAGGAAGGTACCCTGGGACCATGGGCACTGACTTTTGCCGTCTTTCAACCACAGTGCTTTGGGCGACAACTGTCGGAGATAAAGCACCCACGGGCCCTACATTTGGGCAAAACTTGAAGATTCACAACGCTTTTTTAGGTTACTTCTTCCAGCAAAACCTCAGAGCAACCCTCTGTGGTAGGAAGGGTGGTTCCCATTTTCCAGATGTGAAAACTGCATCCCAGCTGGAGAAATCATTTGCCCCTGGGCATGCAAACAGCAGTGGCAGGGCCTGACTTAACGGGAGTTCTGTCCAACTGCAAGTTTTGCACAGTACAGCTGCCTGGAGCCAGAGGGTGCATGGGAGGAGAGACAGAGGTGTCCTCCCCAAGGCCTGGAATTGATCCTGTACTGGTAAATAGGCAGAGAGCGTGTGCCATGACTCACTGAGACAAGCATTTCCAACCGGAAGGAAGAAGCAGAGTTTTGACTGCAGCCTAGGAATCAGGGGCTGACGTGTCACCCTCTCCCAGTGGCCTCTGCATTGAGAGCACCGGCGTGGTGGTGCGACACGGAGGGAAGCACTTCTTGCCACAAGCTTCTGGGGACGTGGACAGGGAAACCCCCAAATCAGATTAAACACCAGAGCCTGCGAAAGTCCTGCTTCCTCCCCATGTCTGCTCTTCCACCAACAGAGGATGTGAGGACCCCAGGTTCAGGGGTGTCTGCTGAGAGCCCTGAAGGTCAGGGACTACCAAGAGAGAAAGAGCATTAGCTTCCAGAAAGTGCTTCCTGAAGAAGGTGGCCTGCACATGGCCCTGTCCCCCCGTGGAGGACCTCCAGCCCGTCTACAAGGACAGGACTCATGTCTAAGAAGACTCCCGTGTGATGGTGTGATGCCACCTGCAGAACGTGTTGCCTTGAATGCCAGGGGCACCCCAAGCCTCTATCTGCCATCACTGCCTGTGCCTCTGTATCTGTGGGTGCCGGTGACCAGCTGTGTGCACCTGGGAAGCTCTCCAAACGTGACATGACCACGACACCAGCAGGCCTTCATCAAATGCCTCCTACAGAGGTCTGACTGCCACTTCCTGAGGCCCATTCACCAGCTGGCCTCCTGCGGGAAGAAAACCCAGCCATGTTAGCACATGGGGGCCCTGTTTTTATGAAGTCATAAGTTACTATCTCCTATCTCCTCCTCTGAGTGTGTGTGTTCACAGGTGTCATATAGTACTCTATGCAAGCATGGCTCTCTGTGTAACATAAGTCACCCATGTCCATAGAAAGAGACAGAGATAACTGCAGATAGAAGTGTGTGCGGGCCTGTCATAACCAGCTACACATGGGTGTGAACACCTACAGAGACATGGGGTGGAGACAGAAAAGCAGAGCTGTGCAGGTCAAAATCTTAAATCCAGGGCATTCTTGGCAACCACAGCATTGGGCTTCTCTTTGCCACGTCTACCACTTTGATTGCTGGTGGTGAGGTTGATGAGAGACCTGAGGGGTGTCCTGGCATCCCTGAGACATGCACTCAGCTCCCCGATGGCACAGCTGGACTGGCCTGCTCTCGGCTGCTCCAGAAATCCCCAAACCCTGTGGGCATCCCGTCACCGTGGAGACCGAGTCAAACATCCCTGGGCCCCGTCCTGGCCTGCTGAGTCAGCTCCTGCAGGGTGGGGTCTGCAATCTACGGGTAATCCTGGCAGGGCCAGGTGGGGCTGTCTGGGTGATCCTGAATGGTGAGGCTAGCCTGGCATGGATTGGAAGGAGCCCTCGCTTCTCATTTAATGGCAGAGCTGCCAAGAATAAGTCCCAGGTCCCCGGCTCTGCCCTTCCCAGGCATGTCCAGCCCTGAAGCAGGAGAAGGTGGGTGTGTGGCCAGCAGGAGGCACAGACATTCTGAAGTCAGAATTTTCCTTCCAAGTTAGGGGCTGGGACACGAAGAACCAGTATCCCTTTCTCATCATAACAGCAAGAACGACGCTTTTGACCTTGGTCTCTTGGAAACTTGGAGGCAAATAGCTGCATGACGCCTTCGAGCTGTAAACATGCACTCTCTACACACTGAGTCCACACAGCCTCCTGGCTGCCACATTCTGTTCTGATTCCTTGACCGTGCCTTTGTAGTCAGTCCTGCAGTCAGGTAGGGTAAGTCCTCTACTTTTGTTCTCTTTTTTATAATTGCTTTGATCAGCATTCTGTTTTGATTTATATCTCTCCTGATTGTTTAGGTGTGCCTTTTTAATTTCAATTTTTTTTTGAGATGGAGTGCAGTGGCACGATCTCAGCTCACTGCAACTTCCGCCTCCTGGGTTCAAGCAATTCTCCTGCCTCAGCCTTCCAGGTAGCTGGGATTACAGGTGTGTGCCACCACGTCCGGCTAATTATTGTATTTTTTTAAGTAGAGACAGAGTTTTGCCATGTTGGCTAGGCTGGTCTCGAACTTCTGACCTCAGGTGACCCACCTGCCTCGGCCTCCCAAAGTGCTGGGATTACAGGCATGAGCCACCATGCCCGGCTTAATTTTAAATTTTTTTAATTTAAATTGGGGAGGTCTTCAAAGCTGCCTCAAATCCTTTATGGGATCAAGTGTGACATAAACATTTTCATCCCTCTAAGAATGCAGAGCTGGAAAAGTCCTTGAAGATCTTTAAGCCGAACGTACACAAACCTGTACTGTTTGGTATGTACAAATGTCTCTAACTTACTGAAATTAGAGGCCCACAGTTAAAAATTGGGATAGTTTACAATTTAAAATGTCCAAATTTCCAACTTCTTTGGAGTAATCAGGAGATCTGTTGATATGGTCGTTAGACTGGACACACAGTTTCATCTATACCTCCAACAAGGATTCAAGGAGCATCTGCACCATGTGGACACAGCCCCAGGCACGGATGATATACATGGCAGTGGCACGGTCAGGGATCCCCGTCCTCCTGGAGCCGACAGCAGGCTCTCCTCTGAGCTCCCGTGACCTGTCTCCTTGTCATGTTAATGACCTAGCCCCAGATGGTCCAGTTTATAACCCTTTCCTGGTCCAGCCACCTTGATTTACAGATGAGGAAACTGAGGCCCAGAGAGAGAATGTGACTTGCTGAAGACCACTTAGTGACCAATGGCAGACGTAGAACTAGAACCCAGGCCTCCTGACTCCAGTTCCCAGGACATTCGTCTGAGCTGGGCTGGCTGGCTTCAGGCAGCTACTCCCCTGCCCCCATGATCCGGTTCAGCTTTCCCTCCAGGTCCCTCCATCAGGGACCGCCCCTAGGGAGGGGCTCCCTCAGTGCTGCCAGGACCCCGGTGTTTTAGTAAATATGTGTCCTGTGCTGGGCTGATCTGACCCCTGTGGGGAGGGGCCCCTCTCCAGCCTCCAGCTGAGGGCAGGCAATGACTTCCACCAGGAATACACGTCATTGGCAGGTCCATCCCCTTCCCGCTGTCCAGCCAGCCTGGCGTCTGACTAATCAGAGCCCACAAGCCCACCATGTGAGTAGCCTTGCTGTTCCTTAGGTTGTTTGCCTTTGGTTTTTTAATTTTTTTTTAACTTACTATGATCAAGCTCTCAGCAGGCTCATCCAACCCAGTCATCCCTGCAGTGAAACCCGTCATTTCAGCTGTGCGTGATGCTCAGCTAGTTGTCTCCGAAGCCTTTCGTCTTCCCACCCACACACCTTTTGGAGGTTGGCAACTGCCCAGTTCTCCTCCCCCTGCATCCACCCCCTCACCGTCTCCGTCCTTGCAGTTTCTATGGTGCTGCTGAGCCAGGGACCATCACTTTCTTTGCAAGATGGTTTCCATGGCAACGGGTGCTGTGGCATCCGAGTGAAGCAGAGGCTACCTCTTCTCCAGAGACTTCCTGGTGTGGCCTAGGTGCCCTGGCTGCCTCCTTCCGCTCTTGACTTCTTGTGTGGCCTGGGCAACTTGTGCTCTTCCCTCAGCCGGAAATGCTCAGCCATACTTGTTCATATAGTTTGTCCTCTCCCTCGATGCAGCACTTGGTTCAGATGCCACTTCCTCAAAGTGGACATCACTGACCTTTTGCCCCTAATTACTCTTTATCCCCTGCTCCCCGCTGAACTTCTTCTGGCACTTAGTACACGCTGAAATTCTATTATTTGTTTATTTGTTTACTGCCCACCACTCTGTCTAGAATATACATTCCACAAGGGTAGAAACTTTGTCCTGCTCAATGCCCAGTTTCCAGAACCTTGCACAGTGACTGCCACATAGTAGGTACTCAATGAATAACCAATGATTAAGTAACTGGCCCCATGTCTCCTTTCCAGATCTCAGCCTTCTAGTCCATGGAACATCATTTATCCAGGTGTGATGTTGGGCTATGTCGTGTCTACGAGCTATGCGTTGGAGTTCTTCAAAAAGAAAAAGGAAAAGGAACAATGACTTGAAAAGCCTTTTAAATCTGGGACTGTTTGGAGAATCCGTTGCAATGTAACAGATGACCCCAAACCTCAGCGGCTGAAAACAACAATGGCTTTATTTGCTTAAGATTCGGTGGGTCAGGAATTCAGGACTTAGCCAAGTGGTTCTTTGGCTCCATGTGGTGCCAGCCAGAGTCATTCACTCAGCTGCATTCAGACCATGACTCGCTGGGCTGGTCTGGAAGGCCACAGAGGCTTTGCTCACATGTCTGGTGCCTGATTGTTCCTCCATGAGTCCTCTTTCTCTCTCTCTATTTGGTTAGCTTGGGCTTCCTCATAGCATGGCAGTCCCAGATCACTCAGACTTCATATATGGCAGCTGGCTTCTCAAAAGGAGCATTCCAGCATGTAAAAGCAGAAGCTGCAGAACCTAAGGCTTAGCCTCACGTTGCATCACTTCTGTCCCATGTTATTAAGACAAGCCACAACTGATGTCTAAACTCAGAGGAAGGGGAAATAGACTCCACCTTTTATGGGAAGAGCAGCAAAGGCCTTGAAGCCATATTTCATCTACCATAGGGACAAATCCCTTACCAGATCCCACCAAAAAACTTGGATAAATATATACTCCATAGGATCAGGCCTCACTCAGTGCCACTAATTGGAGGATTATAATTGTCCACAAAAAGGCTAAGCATAATGACGGACTAAGATAAAGGATGAGTTTGCTGCGGAAAGTAATACTAAGGACAAAATTGAGGGAGAGTGTCAGCCCAACTTGTGAAATATGGCTAATACCTGTGCTAGTTATACTTCTTTTGGTTACAAAAACATAATCTTAGAGACCCTTTGGATTGCTTAAACAAATAAACAAACAAAATATTGGAAGGACTACCAGGTTGTGGGCGAGTCTCACGGAGCATGGAACAACTGGATCACAGAGAAACCAGCTCTGGGGACTCAGCCGCAGGGGGCTACGGGTTGTCTTTTGAGGCTCTGCTGCAACCGCAACTCAGCATTCAAGACTCTTGCTCACTGTTTTCCTCACTTCCAAATCTCACTTTCCAGGACAGGGACTCAGTGGCCCATCATTCAGGTGTGCTGCTAGCTCCAGCCTGGGGGACTGATATGGTCTGGCTGTGTCCCTACCCAAATCTCATCTTGAATTGTAGTGCCCATAATCCACACGTGTCATGGGAGGGACCCGGTGGGAGGTAACTGAATCATGGGGGTGGGTTTTTCCTGTGCTGTTCTCGTGATAGTGAGTAAGTCTCAGGGAGATCTGATGGTTTTATAAAGAGCACTTCCTCTGCACATGCTCTCTTGTCTGCTGTCGTGTAAGACGTGACTTTGCTCTTCCTTCACCTTCTGCCATGATGGTGAGGCCTCCCCAGCCATGTGAAAGTGTGAGTCCATTAAACCTCTTTCCTTTATAAATTACCCAGTCTCAGGTATGTCTTTGTTAGCAGCATGAGAATGGACTAATACATGGAAAGACGCCCAGGCCCGGCCATGGCCTTAGGGACTGTGCAAGGTATCAGGGGCAGATCCTGAAGAGGGGAGGTGATTGCAACCCAGGGGCAGGATGGACACCTCCCACTCAAATTTGATCTGGATGTTGAGACCAACAACAACACACGTGCACCCGAGGATATAGCAAGATCTAATGCTCACACTATGAGGCTTCTCAGGATAGCAGGGCAGGTTGCCTAAGGTGCTCTGAACATGGCTTGAGAAATCAAGGAAAGAAGACTGACTGTCTTGGTGTTTTATGGTGGTTAGTGGGTGGGGCTGGGGTGAGAATTCCCAAGCACAGTTTGAGAGGCACTGGGCTATCCCATCAGTGGGCCCAGATGTGGGGTAGAAAGGGGAGAGGGAGGAACCAAGCCTAAAAGCTGTCAGCAGCCAAGCATCAAGAAACGGAGTCAGACTGCATTCCAAGGACCTGCTGCCAAGTCCTTCATAGCCACACAGCAGTTTAGAGAACCTGCTCCTCCCTTTACCCTACAATCCACAACAGCTCCAAAGCACTGAGACCTAGGAGACCCTGAGCTGAGGGCTAGAGAAGGACAGGGCAGAAGGTCAGGTGTTTGCTCTGAACCTGGACTTCGGTCAGCACTGCACAGAGACGGCAGCGTAGGCAGGAAGCCTGGGGTGGGAAGGGCGGCAAGGCTGGGCTGGAGCCATGGTGGGCAGAGGGACAGGGTTTGGAGGATGAAGCAGGACCTCGAAGAACAGAAATCCCCATCCCCTCCCTCTCTCCTCAGTTCAGAAATATCTTCACCTTCTGAAATCATCAGCTCAGCATCAGTTAGAAAATCCTCATGGCTATGGTGATACCCGCTCTGCATGGCCAGAATCAATGTCCTCAAATCAAACCAAACCGGGATCAACCCAACGCCCCCTTCTCCATGACGCTTGCCCCTATCTCCCCTTCCCTCCCCTTGCTCTGCGGCCTGTGGCCTCACCTAGGGCTGCCTCATCATGTCTTTGCTGCTCTCTAAGGTCAAGGTTGCTCACGTCTGTGCCCTGGATGTACCCTGGCCCCCGGGCACAGCCATCATCATTCCATGCTCCATACTTCTACAGGACATTTGCCTATGCTGTTCCCCTACCTGGAACACTGTTCCACGCTTGGTACCTCCTTGTCATTCTGCTCAGCTCAAATGCTCCTTCCCCAGGAAACCCTTCCTGAAGGCCCCCTCCCCCAGCCAGCGAATCCCCATTGCAGTCAATCCCAGCTCCTGCTCTACGCTTCAGAGCCCACCCACACTGTGTAGCTGCAGGAGCTGCTCCCGCCAACCAAAATAGGGTGATTTTGCTCACTGCAGCAGGAGTTCAGTAAGTAGCTGAGAACGAGTGCATGAAGCAATGAAGGAATGAACTCAGGGTGCTGCTGAAGTCTTCTCCCCACTGGGCCAGCGGCTGTTTCTCTTTCTCCTCCAACCTTCGACAAGTCTGAGCTCAGGAGAGGAAGGGGCCCGTGTGATGTGAACCCAGCTGCTGCGAATCTTTCTGAGCCCAGCTCCTCCATTAACTTGCCTTAGTCAAGTTCTAACCCTCACGTAAGAGGGGGTGTTTGGCTAGATGAGCTAGCATTAACACTTTCAGAATAGTAGAGGACTAAGCCTGTGTTTCCAAACGCAAAAGCCACCTTTTCCCACCCCAAGCCCCAGGGCACGGGTTTTAGGAGCGCCTGAAGGCAGTGGATGTGCCAGTGCAGTTAAGAAATGGAGGCGCGCCCTCTGGTGGTGAAAATTCAAACTGCAGAGACCAGGCCCCGCCAAACGCTTGCCCTGAGGCCGTGGGTGATTCTTAAGACCCGCTAGGGGACAGCATTAAAGTGCAGGACCCCCAGACCCGCCCTGCACGCCCACACCCGTGATTCTGATTCAAGAGACTTGGGGGAAAGCCTGTGATTCTTTGCTTTTAATAACTACTTCTAGGCCAGGCACAGTGGCTCCTAGGATTTTGGGAGGCCAAAGTGGGTGGATGACTTGAGCCCAGGAGTTCCAGACCAGCCTGGGTGATACGGTGAAACACCCGTCTCTACAAAAAATACAAAAATTAGCCGGGAGTGGTGGTGCATGCCTGTAGTCCCAGTTACTCTGGAGGCTGTGGTGGGAGGAACATCTGAGCCCAGGAGGTTGAGGCTGCAGTGAGCCAAGATCGTGTCACTGACTTCCAGTCTGGGTGACAGAGCAAGACTCTGTCTCAAAAATAAATTAATTAACGAGTACCTCTCTTATGGAGGACTCCAGGGCCACATTTTGAGGAATGTTGGTCTTAGGCAAAAAGCAGCTGAATTCCTTGGTATCCTAGTGCCTCGGTGGTGTTATGGGGCGGTGGCCTCTGTGACTGTGGGTGTGGCCTCAGGGTAGCAGAATTTCGCTGGGAGACGCACAGCTTCCTGCAGGGTCGCAGGCCCACAGGGGGCTCAGTCTACCCACATAACCCAAGAAGAAAGCCTAATCCTCTTTGAGGGGAAAGTGTGGGTTGGGACTGCCCCCGGCTGGCTGCACAATTGGTTGAGGTTAAATCTCCTTTCTAATAGTACTAGTCAAAGGCGGAGGTGAAGAGCTTGGACTTTGGGACCAGAAATTTCTGAGTTCAAATCTCAGTTTTCCCATATAGGAGCTGTGCGACCTCAAGGAAGATATTTAGCGCCCCTGGGCCTCCATCACCTCCTCTCTTTAATGAAGGTAAAGCATGTCTCTTAGGATTCCTAGGATTATTTAATGTCATTACACTATCAAAGACAAGACCCAGCACATTGCAAAATCTCCACAGATAGGATCTGGTTTTGTTGTAGTTATTATTGTAGTTATTTTTATTACTTTTTTCCGTAGGTTTTTGGGGTACAGGTGGTATTTGGTTACACGAGTAAGTTCTTCAGTGGTGATTTGTGAGCTTTTGGTACACACATCACCTGAACAGTATACACTGCACCATATTTGTAGTCTTTTATCCCTCGCCCCCCTCCCACCTTTCCCTCAAGTTCCCAAAGTCCACTGTATCATTCTTATGCCTTTATATCCCCATAACTTAGCTCCCACCTATCAGTGAAAACATTCGATGTTTGGTTTTCCATTCCTGAATTACCTCACTTAGAATAATAGTGTCCAGTCTCATCCAGGTCGCTGCAAATGCCGTTAATTCATTCCTTTTTATGGCTGAGTACTATTCCATTGTGTATACATACTGCAGTTTCTTTATCCACTCATTGATTGATGGGCATTTGGGTTGGTTCCATGATTTTGCAATTGCAAATTGTGCTACTATAAACATGCTTGTGCAAGTATATTTTTCGTATAATGACTTATTTTCCTCTGGGTAGATACCCAGTAGAGGGATTGCTGGATCAAATGGTAGTTCTACTTTTAGTTCTTTAAGGAATTTCCACACTGTTTTCCATAGTGGCTATACTCATTTACATTCCCACCAGCTGTGTAGAAGTGTTCCCTGTTCACCGCATCCATGCCAACATCTACTGTTTTTTGATTTTATGATTATGGCCATTCTTGCAGGAGTAGGGTGGTAACACATTGTGGTTTTGATTTGCATTTCCCTGATCATTAGTGACATTGAGGATTTTTTCATATGTTTGTTGGCCATTTGTATATCTTCTTTTGAGAATTGTCTATTCATATCCTTAGCCCACTTTTTGATGGGATTGTTTGTTTTGTTCTCAGATTTGTTTGAGTTCACTGTAGATTCTGGATATTAGTTCTCTGTCAGATTTATAGATTGTGAAAATTTTCTCCCACTCTGTGGGCTGTCTGTTTACTCTGCTGACAGTTCCTTTTGCCGTGCAAAAGCTCTTTAGTTTAATTAGGTCCCAACTATTTATCTTTGTTTTTATTGCATTTGCTTTTGGGTTCTTGGTCATGAAATTCTTGCCTAAGCCAATGTCTAGAAGGGTTTTTTCAATGTTATCTTCTAGGATTTGTATAGTTTTAGGTCTTAGATTCAAGTCCTTAATCCATCTTGAGTTGATTTTTGTATTAAGGTGAGAGACGAGGATCCAGTTTCATTCTTCTACATGTGGCTAACTAATTATCCCAGCACCATTTGTTGAAAAGGGTGTCTTTCCCCAACTTTATGTTTTTGTTTGCTTTGTCAAAGATCGGTTGGCTGTAAGTATTTGGGTTTATTTCGAGGCTCTCTATTCTGTTCCATCGGTCTATGTGCCTATTTTTAAACCAGTACCATGCTGTTTTGGTGACTATGGTCTCACAGAATAGTTTGAAATCAGGTAGTGTGATGCCCCCAGATTCCTACTTTTTGTTTAGTCTTGCTTTGGCTATGCAGGCACTTTTTTTGGTTCCATATGAATTTTAGAAGTGTTTTTCCTAATTCTGTGAAAAATGATGGGGGTATTTTGATGGAGATTGCATTGAATTTGTAGAATGCTTTTGGTAGTATGGTCATTTTCACAATATTGATACTACCCATCCATAAGCATGAGATGTGTTCCCATTTGTTTTTGTCAACTATGATTTCTTTCAGGAGTGTTTTGTAGTTTTCCTAGTAGAGGTCTTTTGCCTCCTTGGTTAGGTACATTCCAAAGTATTTTACCTTTTTTGTAGCTATTATAAGAGGAGTTGAGTTCTTATTTGATTCTCTGCTTGGCCGCTCTTGGTGTATAGAAGAGCAACTGATTTGTGTACATTAATCTTGTATCTGGAAACTTTGTTAAATTCTTTTATCCGTTATAGGAGCTTTCTGGAGGAGTTTTTAGGGTTTTCAAGGTAAACGATCATATCGTCAGCAGTGAGAGTTTGACTTCCATTTTACCAATTTGGATGCCCTTTATTTCTTTCTCTTGTCTGATTACTTTGGCTAGGACTTCCAGGACTATGTTGAAGAGGAGTGGTAAGAGTGGGCCTCCTTGTCTTGTTCCAGTTCTCAGAGGGAATGCTTTCAACTTTTCCCCATTCAGTATTATGTTGGCTGTGGGTTTGTCATAGATGACTTTTATTACATTGAGGTATGTCCCTTGTATGCCGATTTTGCTGAGAGTTTTAATCATAAATAGATGCTGGATTTTTTCGAATGCTTTTTCTACAGCTATTGAGATAATCATGTGATTTTTGTTTTTAATTCTGTTTATGTGGTGTATCACATTTATTGACTTGTGTATGTTAAACCATCCCTGCATCTCTGGTATGAAACCCACTTGATCATGGTGGATTATCTTTTTGATATGTTGTTGGATTTGGTTAGCTAGTATTTTGCTAAAGATTTTAGAGTCTATGTTCATCAGGGATATTGGTCTGTAGTTTTCTTTTTTGGTTATGTCCTTTCCTGGTTTTGGTATTAGGGTGATACTGGCTTCATAGAATGAAAGAGAGGGTTGCCTCTCTCTCTGTCTTGTGGAATAGTGTCGAAAAGATTGGTACCAATTCTTCTTTGAATGTGGTAGAATTCTGCTGTGAATCCATCTGGTCCTGGGCTTTTTTTGTTGGTTATTTTTTATTTACTATTTCAATCTTACTGCTTATTATTGGTCTGTTCAGAGTATCTAATTCCTCCTGATTTAAGCTAAGATGGTTGTATTTTTCCAGGAAGTTATCCATCTCTTCTAGGTTTTCTAGTTGATGTGCATAGAAGTGTTCATAGTAGCCTCAAATAATCTTTTGTATTTCAGTGGTGTCAGTTGTAATATGTTCTGTTTCATTTTTTAATGAGGTTATTTGGATTTTCTCTCTTTTTTCTTGGTTAATCTTGCTAATGGTCTGTCAATTTTATTTATCTTTTCAAAGAACCAGCTTTTGTTTCATGTATTTTCTGTGTTTTTTTGTTTGTTTGTTTCAATTTCATTTAGTTCTGCTTTGATCTTGATTATTTCTTTTCTTCTGCTTGGTTTGGGTTTGGTTTATTCTTGTTTCTCTACTTCCTTGAGATTTGACCTTGGAATGTCAGTTTGCGCTCTTTCAGTCTTTTTGATGTAGACATTTAGGGCTATGAACTTTCCTCTTAGCACAGCCTTCGCTTTATCCCAGAGGTTTTGATAGGTTGTGTCATTATTGTCATTCAGTTTGAAGAATTTTTTAATTTCAGTCTTGATTTCATTTTTGACCCAATGCTCATCTGGGAGCAGGTTACTTAATGTCTGTATATTTGCGTGGCTTCAAAGCTTCCTTTTGGAGTTGACTTCCAGTTTCATTCCACTGTGATCTCAGAGAGTACTTGATATAATTTCAATTTTCTTAAATTTATTGAGGCTCATTTTATGGCCTATCATGTGGTCTATCTTGGAGAAAATTCCATGCACTGTTGAATAGAGGGTGGATTCTGCAGTTGTTGGATGAAATGTTCTGTATATATCTGTTAAGTCCATTTATTCCAAGGTATAGTTTAAATCCATTGTTCTTTTGTTGACTTTCTGTCTTGATGACCTGTCTAGTACTGTCAGAGGAGTATTAAAGTCCCCCACTATTATTGTGTTGCTGTCTATCTCATTTCTTAGATATATTAGTAATTGTTTTACAAATTTGGGAGCTCCAGTGTTAGGTAGATATATGTTTAGGATTGTGATATTTTCTTGTTAAACAAGGCCTTTTACCATTGTATAATGTCTCTCTTTGTCTCTTTTAACTGCTGTTGCTTTAAAGTTTGCTTTGTCTGATATAAGAATAGGTAACCCTGCCCACTTTTGGTGTCCATTTGCATTAAAGGTCTTTTTCCACCCCTTTAAGTTTATGTGAGTCCTTACATGTTAGGTGAGTCTCTTGAAGGCAGAAGATTGTTGGTTGCTGAGTTCTTATGCATTCTGCAGCTCTATATCTTTTAAGTGGGGTATTTAGGCCATTTACATTTAATGTTAGTATTGAGATGTGGGGTACCATTGCATTCATTGTGCTATTTGTTGCCTGTGTACTTTGGTTTTTTTGTTTTTGTTTTTGCTTTTTAAAATGTATTTTTGTATCACAGGTCCTGTGTGATCTATGTTTTAAATAGGTTCTGTTTTGATGTGTTTTCAGAATTTGTTTCAAGATTTAGAGCTCCTTTTAGCAGTTCTTATAGTGCTGCCTTGGTAGTGGTGAATTCTCTCAGCATTTGTTTATCTGAAAAAGACTGTATCTTTCCTTCATATATGATGCTTAATATCACTAGATATAAAATTCTTGGCTGAAAATTGTTTTGTTTGAGAAGGCTGAAGATAGGGCCCCAATCCCTTCTGGCTGGTAGATTTCTCTGCTGAGAAATCTGCTGTTAATCTAATAAGTTTGCCTGTATAGGTTACCTGGTGGTTTTGTGTCACAGCTCTTAAAATTCTTTTCTTTGTCTTAACTTTAGATAACCTGATGACAATGTGCCTAAGTCATTATCTTTTTGCAATGAATTTCCCAGGTGTTCTTTGTGCTTCTTGTATTTGGATGTCTAGGTCTCTAGCAAGACTGGGGAAGATTTCCTTGATTATTCCCGCAAGTTTGGAAATGTTACCTGGTGCTTTCCAAACTTTCAGATTTCTCTTCTTCCTCGGGAGCACCGATTATCCTTAGGTTTGGTCGTTTAACATAATCCCAAACTTCTTGGAGGCTTTGTTCATATTTTCTTTGTTTTTGTTGGATTGGGTTAATTTGAAGATCTTGTCTTCAAACTCTAAATTTCTTTCTTCTACTTGTTCAATTCTATTGTAAGACTTTCCAGAGCATTTTGTATTTCTGTCAGTATTTCTATCAGTGTGTTCAATGTTTCCTGAAGTTTTGATTTTTTTAATGCTATCTATTTCCTTGAATATTTCTCCCTTCACTTCTTGTATTGTTTTTTGGATTTCCTTGCATTGGGCTTCACCTTTCTCTGGTGCCTCCCTGATTAGCTTAATAACTAACCTCCTGAATTCTTTTTCAGATAAATCAGGGATTTCTTCTTGGTTTGGATCCATTATTGGTGAGCTAGTGTGATTTTGGTGGTGGGGGGTGGGGGGCGGGGGGGTGGTGTTAAAGAGCCTTGTTTTGTCATATTACCAGCGTTGGTTTTCCGGTTCCTTCTCATTTGGGTAGGCTCTCTCTGAGGGAAGGTCTAGGGCTAAAGGCTGTTGTTCAGATTCTTTTGTCCCACACTGTGTTCCCTTGATGTAGTACTCTCCCCCTTTTCCTATGGATGTGGCTTCCTGTGAGCCACGTTGCAGTGATTGTTATTTTTCTTCTGAGTCTAGCCACCCAGCAAGTCTGCCCGGCTCCAGGCTGGTACGGGGGTTTGTCTGCACAGAGTCAGGTGATGTGAACCCTCTGTGGGTCTCTCAGCCATGGATACCAGCACCCGTTTTGGTGGAGGCGGCAGGGGACTGAAATGAACTCTGTGAGGGTTTTTAGCTTTGGTGGTTTAACGTTCTATTTTTGTATTGGTTGGCCTCCTGCCGGGAGGTGGCGCTTCCCAGAGAGCATCAGCTGTGGTAGTATGGAAAGGAACTGGTGGTGGTGGGGTTTCAGAACTCCCAAGAGTATATGTTATTAGTTTTCCGCTATCAGGGTGGACAGGGAAGGCCCATCGAGGGGCAGGGCTGGGGGTGTCTGAGCTCTGACTTTCTTTGGGTGGGCCTTGCTATGGCTGCTGTGGGGGATGGGAGTGAGGTTCCCATGTCAATGGAGTTATGTACCTAGGAGGATTATGGCTGCCTCTACTGAGTCATGCAGGTTGTCAGGAAAGTAGGGGAAAGCCAGCAGTCACAGGCCTCACCCAGCTCCCAAACAATCTGAAGGGCCATTCTCATTCCCACCATGCCCCTGCTAACAGCCCTGAGTCTGTTTCCAGGCAGTGGGCGAGCAGGTCTTGGGAACTTGCCCCAGGTTACTCACCTCCCAACTGCGAAAGAATAGGGCTTTGGTTCTTCCCCTACCTGTGGAGTCGGCACACTGGATTCGCACCCTTCCCCAAGTTCTGGCCAGCAAGCTTCTTGCCCTGTTCAAATTGTTACAAATTTCAGCTGGAGACTTCCTTCTCCCTGTGGCATTTTGCCCCACACCTCTGGCCACCCTCCCAAAGGGCTCCTGTGGTGCCATGCAGGAATGGCCTGCTTGAGATCCAGCAAGCTCCCAGGGCCTTTCCCCCTGCTTCCTCTACCCCTGTATTTCGCTTGGCTCTCTAAATCGACTCAGCTCCAGGTAAGGTCAGAAACTTCTCCCACAAACTACACCTTCATTTTCCCCAGTGGGGGTGTGTGTTTCATAGCAGAAGGTCTCCCTTTCCCATTTCCGCAGTTTGGGTACTCACAGTATTTGGGGGATCTCCTGGGTCCTGCAGAAGCAGTCCACTTCCTTCAGAGGGTCTGTGTGTCCTCTCAGGATTCCTGGTTTGTTCTTGAAGTCATTCTGACACTAAAATTCACCATGCAAGCCTCCGCATGCTGCTCTGTCTATCCAAGTCAGAGCTGCAATCTAGTCTTGCCTCCCATCCACCAGGATGATCCTGAATGAAGTCTAATTATTGTTTTTTATTCAACTGACCCTAACATAGGACTTGTTCTGTGCTAAGCAATGTGCTAAGCTGTGAAAGTTAGAGGGAAGGACACAAATTCAGGAAGAAAAAGGAATAAAACACTGTGCTTGCTTCCTAAAAACCCATAGTCCAGCAGGGACATCATATGTGGTAGTCTGAAAGCATATCCACTTTGAAGATGACTCTAGTCTCAGTTCCTGTCCAACTGCAACCTCATAAGAGACCCTGAGCAAAAACCACCCAGCTGAGCCCAGTCAACCCCCAGAACTGTAGAGATAGCAATAATAATGACAAACAACTGCCATTGTTTTATGCCGCTAAATTTGGGGTGGCTTGTTTCCCAGCTATACATAAGTAGGATGTATGTGTATCCTGTGTAACTATGTATCTAAAAGCCAGATAGAAAATGATGAGTTTAAGAGAGGGACAGATAATTAGACGTAGAGTTCCTAGAGAGGCTAAACAGCCCACCTACACCTTTTAGCATTTCCAGGCAAGCATCAAGCCCTGAGCCCCTCTAACTCCAGGGATACATATTGTGTTGCATGAGTGTTTTGTTGAAGCTCTGCACTCTTAAGATAACATGGGGGAAGCACTTCTCTCCTTCCTCTTTGTAATTCCTTCTCAGTCTCCACCTCTCAACACCTTTCAGTCCTCTTTCACATGAGTAAAGCATTTAAGAATCAGGAGACCTGTTCTTGACCACCTACTCTGGAATTTTTGCATGGAGCTCTCTTTGGACTGTAGCATCTATAGTCTTCCTACCTCCATCCAAACCAAGACTGGAAGAGCTTTGTTGTTGCTGTTCTGTATGAGCACATACCCATTTCTTACAAGACTGGAAGGAAACCAATTATATCTAGTCATAAGCTGAACACCAGGTTTGCAAATGATTTTATTTTCTTCTCCAGGTTTTTTTTACTTTCCCATATTTTTCATGATGACCATTATTGCATTGCCAATCAAATTCAAAACAAGGACAGCCTTTTTAAGGGCAGATTAATTTCCTGGCTCCATTTGGAATCCAGGGAATGGGAAGGGGATTGGGAGCAGTTAGCAGGAGGGCAGCATAAGTGGAGCCTGTGCTGGAATGGGAGACCAAGACAGCCATTGAGAAAGGGCTGGGTTGCAATTTAGGATGCAGTGGAGCAGAGGAGGGTGTCAGGGAGTGGGATTCATGCCTACAGCACAGTTCAGGCAGTTTCTGGGATGCTGGAAAAAGCGGCTCCCTGCCGGGGACATCAGTGGTGTCACAGCAGCTGCCCCATCTGGCCCAGTGGTATTTCCTAGGGGCAGAGAGGCAGTCAAGCCCTCTGCTTCCCCACATCCACCCTGGCCTTCCTGGTCAGGCAACTTATCCCTGCTTCCTTAAATCAGTACTTGCCGAGAGTGTTGCAGATTTTAGGAGCTTGCCACTGGAACATCTGAGCAGCACCTCTGAGCAGGGCCTTTGGCATCTCTTCATTCATTCATTCATTCATTCATTCATTCATTCAATGACTGACTTCTGTTAAGCATCTTCTATAGGCCAGGCCTGTTCTAATGTGCCCAGATATGACTGTGGCACAATTCATTGTCCTCTGGGACCTTACAGATGATTAACAAGAAACACTTGGCCTTCAAATTGTAACAGGCAAGGGTTCAACAATCCTGAAGCCCTCCCAGAGACCTTAAGACAAGAAGCAGGCAGGACTGAGGCTGGAGTTAGCAACTGAGCCCAGCCTGCAGCCACACCAATTGCCGTCATTCCCTCCTTCTCCTGCAGGGTCCAAGTCAGTAGCTCCCACTACATGCCTGAGAGTTCTTTCCACCTTTCCTTTATATGGGCCTGCTCTTTGCAGGAAAAAATAACTGCTGTAGCCCACGGGGACTGCATGGACTTCATGGGATTCAAGAATCTCCCTAAATTGTAAAACATACATCTGTGCATATTTCAGGGAGAGTTCAAAGCTTTCTTGAGATAATCAGGACCACAACTCAAAACAAGTTTAACAACATGGTTTCAGCCATGTGTACACCTTTGGGGATAAATGAGTAATGTACAACCCATCTGAAATAATACGACAGACTAACTCACGCTTCCACTGCACTCACTATGGCCAGATGCTATTCTAGGACTTTACAGATGTCAGTTTACTGATCTTGTTGACAACCCTGAGATTTAGGGGCAATTATTACCCACAGTTTACAGATGAAGACACTGAGGCAGAGTTAAGTAACTTAAGTAGTGGTGGAGTCTAGATTCAACCCAGACAGTCTGGCTGTCCACCACTGCTGGGATGGGAAGGGAAGAAGGAAGCACCCATTAAGACTGATACAGGGCTCAGAACATTTAAGAGTGCTGCCCCCCTGCCCTTAATATCAGTTTTCTGATTAGTGATTATTGCTTCTCATTTGACACGTGAAAAACTGAGGTTCAGAGAGGTGGAGTGACTTGCCCAAAGTCACAAATCTCAGCAGTGAGGGAGCTTGTCTGACGCCAAAGCCCAGCCTCTGTCCAGAACATACCAGGGGCAGGCGCCAGAAACTAAAGGGCAGTGACTGTGTGCTCATGGCAGGGACAAGCTGTCCATCCCCTGGGCTGCAGCCAAGCATACGCTAACCCCTGGAATCTGTGGCATCAGCCCCAAACTCACTGAAGAAGCAAGACTAAAAAAGCAAAACCCCAGACTGTAGACCATTGTAAGGGGAATAATGTATTTTCACATTCATCAGAGCAAAAATCCATGGCCATCTTTCACTCATTGACTTACTCAGTCAACATCCATGGAGCATGTCCCCTGCACCACATTCTGCTCTAGCGCGTGGTACAGCAGTAAGCAAAGCAGCAGCTGCTATTCCGGTGGCAGGAAAAGTCTGTCCAAGTGGAGAAGCAGCAGATGCTGGGAAGGAATATGGGCTTCATGTTCAGTGGCCACGGAGCAGACCCTGACTCTGGAATCTGAGCTAACAATGTCTCCGGGCTTACATTTTCTCATGTGTAAAATGGGCCAAGCTTAGTATACCTAGAGTGTATAGGCAAGGGAAAGAGAGAGATGAGTGAGGGAAAGCGAGAATCCACTGAGACAGTAGCTCTCACTTTGCCTGACCTGCTAGCTTCCTCTCTTGTCCTGGTGTTGACCCATTTTGGACCTCAGGCCAGCTGGCTCCAGGGCTGTGCTTGTGCCTGCTCTGCCATCCCCATGTCTACATCGCTCAGGGCTCCCAGCCCACTGTGCTGCTCAGTGGTGTATATTTCACTTACCTTAAGGCCCAACGACTTGGAAACACATCCAGAAAGTCTGCTAGAGGATGCCTGAATGGTCAAGGTCATCTCAGTCAGGGCACCCAGGGCCACATTGCTCCCTGCAGTCCTTCCCCACATAGCTTGAGAAATGGCTGCCCCAGGAGGGTGCAAGGGTGCAAGGGTGCAGGGGTTCACTGATTACTGGGGAGAGAACAAGTTCAATTCCATGGTTAAAGAAGAAAAATGCAAATTGAATACCTGGCCCAAGGAGGTTCCTGGTCCCACCCCATGCCACCCTTGCCCTGGGATGTACTCTCCTTATGGTCTGACCTATGAGATCTCAGTGGACTCTATCCTCAGAAATCACAGAGTCCAGGATTGCAAACTGGAGGCCCTGCTGTGAGGCCCTGCCCACAGGTGGGTCTTGCCTGGCCTGTAGAGAGCTGGCTCTCTCACTTCCACACATCCCCACCATTCCCCACCGTGGCACCATGGAGTCTTCCTTACCTGATCTAGGAAGGCGGCGCTGGAGCTTGCTGCCCCCTGTCTGATCCAGCCCCTCATGTTGTAGGAGGGAGGTGGGCGACTGAAGCTCAGAGAGGGAGTAAATGAGCTCAACTTCACACAGCTAGTGAGGGGCTGGTTGGAGACCAGATTTTCCAAGTGGTTCCCCGGGCCCTCGGGGAGCAGCAAGGGCCAGGCGAACCTCCATGCACTGCACAAACATGAAGAAGTGAACCCTCTTGGGGTTCCCCAGGTGGGAAGTGGGGTGTCTTCTTGGGAGGGGGTGAACCAACTTCTGGTGAGTTTTCCTTGTTGAGGCAATGCTGCACCCGTAGCCTGTTTGTTAATAATTACCTGGTCGGGAGAGAGTGGGTGGTACTGAGAAGGCCTGGTTTGACCAGTCCTCCTGGGCTTGATAAGACAGAGCTGAGACAGCCACCCAGGGGGTCCACTCCAGGACAGACTGTGCCGTGAGTAACCCCCTGAGACAATGGAGACGAGAGACTCTAGAGGGAGGGTGACCAACTGTTCCACTTTGCCCAAGACTGATAATTCTTCTGGGATATATTTTCAGTGCTAAAACCAGGAAAGTCCCAGGCAAGCTGGGACACTTTGTCACTCTTGCTAGAGGTGAGAAATACTCAGGCTAGAAAGGCCCCGACTTAGGGTCCATGGGCACTGGTGGGTGACTATGCCCGGAGACCCAGAAAAGCCTCCCCCAGGGACACACAGCTGGTACAGGGCGGCACTGACTGAGGGCCAAGGTCTTCTGGCTGCCAATCCAGGTGATCTTGGGGAGCTCATGCCGGAGGGGAGGTGTGTCTGTGAGTGATGCGGTCCTATGTATGTTTCTAAATGATCCCTCCAACTGCTGAGTGGAGAACAGAGAGCAGAAAGACTAGGAAGCTTTCTGCAAGGGTCTAGGTCAGGGGTCAACAAACCACAGCTTGTAGGTCAAATCCGGCCCACCGCCCATGAGCTAAGAATGCAAGATGTAAAATATAAATATAAAATATAAGTGATAAGTATAAAAGATAAATATATAAAGCTATGAAAAATCAATAGAAGAACAACATTTTGTGACACAGGAAAATAATATGAAATTCACATTTCAGTGTCCGTAAGTGAAGTTTCACTGAAACACAGCCACGCCTCTTCATGCATGTCCGGTCTGTGGCTGTTTCCAGCTGCCACAGCAGAGTTGGGTAGTGGCAGCAGAGACTGTGTGGTCTGCAAAACCACAGATATTACTATCTGGCGCTTTGCAGAAAAAGTTTTCTGAGCCCTGGTTGAGGATCATAGCAAAAGAGGGGGCGAGAGGCTGAAGAACCTACAGGAGAGTCTAGGAGTTGGAGACCAGCTTGGGCAGCATGGTGAGACCCCAACTCTATAAAAAATTAGCTGGGTGTGGCTGTGCATGCCTGTAGTTCCAGCTACTTGGAAGGGTGCATGCCTGTAGTTCCAGCTACTTGGAAGGGTGAAGTGGGAGGATCACCTGAGCTCAGGAAGTCAAGGCTGCAGTGAGCCATGATTACACCACTGCACTCCAGCTTGGGTGACAGAGTGAGACCCTGTCTCAAACAAACAAACAAACAACCAAACAAACAAAAAAAACCCAACCCTGCAGGTCATGGAAGTGGATTAAATGGATTTTGGGTGGATAGAAGCCTAGAAGCTTTTTGGCCTGACAACCGGATACTGGTGGGACCATTTGATGGGGCAGGAGCAGATTTGGGGGAGAAACTGGAGTATCCTTTCTTGGACAGATGTTCATTATGAAACGGGTACCAATTCTATCCCCACAACTTTGGGCAGGTCACTTATTAAACATCCATGTCCTTGTCTGTACGGGGTAACAATACAAAGACCAGTTCTACTGACCTCTACAGGGGTGGGAGGGTCAAACTAAATGGCTGAAAGTGGTTTGTAAACCATATAAAGCACTCCACAGATGTTTGTGGAACAGACCCTAAAATAAACTCTGAGGATAGCCATCCTCCATGCAAAATCACTGCACTAATGAAATCAACTCATCTGAAAGACAAGTGTGGGAGAAGCAGCACCTGAGTCTGGGGATGTGGGTTCTGGCTGGGATATGTGCTAGGTAGGTGACTTGGGTGAGTCACTTTGGGAGTCTTCATTTCCTGCTCTGTTGGGTGAGAATGGAGTCTAGTGCTGTGCAGAGCTCACACAGGTGGGAAACACAATGACATGATGGACACAAGGAGTGTGCCTTGTAAGTCTAAAACATTGCCATCCAATAGTGTTGCTGTCACCATACATGTGGAAGGTGGTGGGTGTTACATTGCCTTTCACAAGCCCATCTGCAGGAGTTGAGGGTGTCACTCACGATCTCCGGGTGCTGGCCCACTGCCAGCCTTCTCAGTAGGGCCAGGTGTTCTTCTGGGGGAATTTCCTGGGCATTCTCTTCCCTCCCATAGGCCTGAGAGTGCAGAGGATGCATCTTATCGACTACCTGCTCCTCCTGCTGGTTGGACTACTGGCCCTTTCTCATGGCCAGCTGCACGTTGAGCATGATGGTGAGAGTTGCAGTAACAGCTCCCACCAGCAGATTCTGGAGACAGGTGAGGGCTCCCCCAGCCTCAAGATAGCCCCTGCCAATGCTGACTTTGCCTTCCGCTTCTACTACCTGATCGCTTCGGAGACCCCGGGGAAGAACATCTTTTTCTCCCCGCTGAGCATCTCGGCGGCCTACGCCATGCTTTCCCTGGGGGCCTGCTCACACAGCCGCAGCCAGATCCTTGAGGGCCTGGGCTTCAACCTCACCGAGCTGTCTGAGTCCGATGTCCATAGGGGCTTCCAGCACCTCCTGCACACTCTCAACCTCCCCGGCCATGGGCTGGAAACACGCGTGGGCAGTGCTCTGTTCCTGAGCCACAACCTGAAGTTCCTTGCAAAATTCCTGAATGACACCATGGCCGTCTATGAGGCTAAACTCTTCCACACCAACTTCTACGACACTGTGGGCACAATCCAGCTTATCAACGACCACGTCAAGAAGGAAACTCGAGGGAAGATTGTGGATTTGGTCAGTGAGCTCAAGAAGGACGTCTTGATGGTGCTGGTGAATTACATTTACTTCAAAGGTGAGAGTCAGATCATTGGTATATGCTAAATCCACACCACCGCCTCCAACCCACTAATTTGTTGACTGGTTAAATATATTTTTACAAAAATGTAAGTAAAAACGTTGTGTCTGATAGGGTTGAGCAACCCTCAGGGAATGCAATGTGAGAATGTTGTATGTTGAAGACTCTGTAGTATTGAGGTTTCCATTCCTTCCTATCTTTAGACATATTTTCTTCATAAAAATAATGTATAAAATGCATTATAGCCAGTGATCATTAGTTGAATTGCTGGATTCATATCTGAGCTCAGCCTCTACCAACAGTGCAAACAGGTCAGCTTGTTTGCTCAAAGCAGGGATAAGACAAGTCTCTAATTCAAAGGTTGGCTTTGAGGATCAAATGATTAACCCATGTATATACTCCTTAGAAAAGGGTCTAAAGAGATGGGCAAACTACAGCCCATGGGCCAAATGTGTTCAGCCACTGGTTTTGTAAATAAAGTTTTATTGGCACACAGCCAGGCCCATTCATTTATGTATTGTCTGTGGCTGACTTCATGCTACAATGGCAGGTTGATTCATTACTGCAGAGATTGAATGATCTGCAATGCCTAAAATAGTTAATATCTCTATAAACCTTTTGGTTTGTTGACCCCTGACCATTTTATGTACTCAATAAATAGCAACTATAATTCATCTAATGATAACAATGCTCATTTTGAAGCTTTAAAAATATGTAAAAGCATAAAGGAGAAAGTAGACATAATCTCTAGTCCTACCACTCAGAGGCAACAAATGTTAATGTTTTAGCATCTTTTCTTCACCTTCCATTCACACACATATATGTCCACACAGTTGATTTTGCAGTGTGCAAACAACTTTGTACGGTGTGTATTAGCCAGGGTTTCATCAGAGAAGGAGAGCCACCTCAAGTCAATGGTAAGGAGATCATTATAGGAATTAGGCCCCACACAATTGCGACTGGGAAAGTGAAGGTCTAGAGGAAAGAAGAGTTGGAAGGACAGAGAGAAAGTTGCCAATGTAAGCGGACAAGTCAGAGCTTAGAGGGGAATCTATATGCCAGGCTCAACCAGCCATCAGAGTGCTGCCATGGAGGGGAGCATCACTGCATAGTTTCTGTGGTAGCCTGGGGCTGCTGTTGTTTAGTGGGGTTAGACTTGGGAAATGAGCTTGGAGACAAGCAGGGCAAACTGGAGCACACAGAGCACTGCTGAGTCTGACCATCATCATATCTGACTACCAGGGCCTTCAGAGGGCAATCTACTTCGAAATCTCACAGTTCTAACCAGCTTGAACCCAAAATCTACAGGGAACAAAATTCTAGGGAGCAACTCCCAGCCTAATGATTCAGCCAAATTAGTCATCCCATGTAATTTGCATGTGGAATTTTCATGAACCATTGAAAAGTTTTTTTAAAAAAGCTTTGTTTTGAGGCTGGGCATAGTGGCTCACACCTGTAATTCCAGCACTTTGGGAGGCCAAGGCAGGTGGATATTGAAATCAGAAGTTCAAGACCAGCCCGGCCAACATGGCAAAACCCTGTCTCTACTAAAAATACAAAAAAAAAAAAAAAAATTAGCCAGGCTTCATGGCACATGCCTGTAATCCCAGCCACTTGGGAGGCTGAGGCAGGAGAATCGCTTGAACCCAGGAAGTGGAGGTTGCTGAGATTTTGCCACCACACTCTGGTCTGGGTGACAGAATGAGACTCTATCTCCAAAAAAAAGTTTTGCTTTGAAATAACAAAACTTTTAAACTTTAAAAAAAAAATTAACTAAGGAAGGAAGAGAAACAGTAGTATGGGTTTCACTGTCAGGAAGACATTGGTTAGAATCCCAGATCCCTTGCTATTCCCTGGACTAAAATTCCTGGCATGGAGGCCTTAGTCCATTCACCCTACCTGCCACCACCTCACTGCACATCGCCTCCTGTATTTGCTTCCCTCCTCACACTGCAGCGATTCCATGGCCATCATTGTGGTCACTTCCTTGCAAACACTCTGAACTCTTAACTTCCTTGGTTTTCCCTCCCTCTATCATACTTACCCTCCAAAGCTGCAAACCTGCTTAAACCTAAAGGTCTAACTAGTCTACATCTGCACCCAGCAGCTGAATGTGGTTGAAGAAAAACATCCAACGGGGCTGATGGTCTCACTTGATATTTGTGAATGCAAATTTTCATTGATATCTCTACACTGTCCAGCAATCCTACCTACATATCTCCACTCTCCAAAACAACTATAATAACAGATTCGTCCTTCTCAAATGTCCTCCCCACTCATGACTTTCACTTAACAATCTTGTCTCACTTTTCATTGAGAAAACAGAATCAGTTAAACAGGAAATCTCTCATCTTCTCACCTCCAAATCTACTCACCTCCAAATCTTCTCACCTCCAAATCTACTCGCCTCCCTGCATTTGAACCCACAAGCTCAGATGCCCTCCTCTCATCATGGCAGTAGTGACCCACCTCTTATGGAAGGCTGACCCCTCTGCTCACACTCTGCCATCTCCTCTCTCCTTCTCAAGGATGCTCACCTAACAATGAAACTCTCTTTCCAGCACCCCTTGTTTCTTCTCTATCAATCCTACTCACATATTAGAAAACGAACATCCTCTGCTATCTCTCATTTTAAAATTTAAATGAGGCCTAAAGGATCCATTCCCCAGGCATGTCAGGTTTTGAATGGTCAAAATGGGACATCTTGATGGGCTCATAGGGCAGGATCTGGAGCGACTGTTTCTGTAGCTCAGAACACCAGATGGCATTCCCTGGCTGGAGGACTAGCTCTGTGGCCTGCAGATGTCCTGTACCTTCTTTTCATCTTCCCTTCAGCCCTGTGGGAGAAACCATTCATTTCCTCAAGGACCACTCCCAAAGACTTCTATGTTGATGAGAACACAACAGTCCGGGTGCCCATGATGCTGCAGGACCAGGAGCATCACTGGTATCTTCATGACAGATACTTGCCCTGCTCGGTGCTACGGATGGATTACAAAGGAGACGCAACCGTGTTTTTCATTCTCCCTAACCAAGGCAAAATGAGGGAGATTGAAGAGGTTCTGACTCCAGAGATGCTAATGAGGTGGAACAACTTGTTGCGGAAGAGGTAATCAGTGTGCTATGGGGGCTGAATCTACAGTACTATCCATCAAATGTAACTTTCTAATGAAAGACAGTGCCCCAAAATAGAGAGTGAACACCAAATTATGAGAGAATTCTCACTTGCTCTGAGAACTTCCATGGGCTTCCTTTAAATGATGAACTCTCCTGTTATATTTAAAATATGACTTCCCCCTCTTTAGGCAAAAAAGAACCACAGTAGGAGTTCAGAGTCCTGGGTTCTAGACATAGCTCTTCCACTGCACAAGACTTGGGTCAAGTGACTCTTCCTCTCTGGGGGGTTACCTCTGTGCAATGAAGAGGTAGCCCTTCTGGCCCAGAAGGTTGACTAAGCTGCCATAGTGGGACTTAAAAAAACTCCATCCACCTACCCAAGGAATTAATAGGAAGGCTTCCCATCACTCTGGTTATGATTGGAAAAAGTCTTCAACCATATATAAGAAAAGGATCCTAGCCCAAGGGCACATGTGGATAGAAAATTCACACAACTTTCATGATGGAGAGAATCCAATCCAAAGAAATTAGCTGGTTCAAAAAGAATAAAACCCACAGGGCTATAACAGAGGCAAAGGCAAAACTGCCACCTGGCGAGGCTTACATCTGTCTCCCTGGGCACCTGAACACCCACAGGAAGCAACCTCTGAAGAGGGGTTCCCAAGGACGGGAGATCCCACAGACAGCAGGGCCTGGGTACAAAGGAACCTGGCCTTTCAACATCCATTTGTGGGAGGTGGTCTGAGCCGAAGCTGTTTGTGGGGACAGAACTCAGATGGAATAGAGCCAGCTAGAGAGGGCCACCAAGGAGGGCTCTGCCCAGCAGGGATCCTGGCTTGTTCATTAATCTAATGTTCTAACTCAATGCCCCTTTCAGGAATTTTTACAAGAAGCTAGAGTTGCATCTTCCCAAGTTCTCCATTTCTGGCTCCTATGTATTAGATCAGATTTTGCCCAGGCTGGGCTTCACGGATCTGTTCTCCAAGTGGGCTGACTTATCCGGCATCACCAAACAGCAAAAACTGGAGGCATCCAAAGTAAGTCGTCAACAGTCAGCAATCCCTAGAGAACTCGGTAGGGCAGTGCCCATGGGAGCTGCCAGGCGATGGGGCTCCCAAGCTGCCACATGGAGTCTCAGAGCCTGAGTGTGTTCAGTCATCTACAGGCATCAGCATCCACCAATCAACCAGCCCTGGACGTGGTGCTAGGTGCTGGAGATATAGTGTTGAACCAGCCCCTGCCCTCAGAGAGCTCTCCCAGTCTAGTCAGGGACACAGCGTCTTCATAGAGAGATAAACGCAATGATAGAAAATGGAGGAGGGGCCGGGCATGGTAACTCATGCCTGTAATCTCAGCATTTTGGGAGGCCAAGGCAGGCAGATCACTTGAGGTCAGGAGTTTGAGACCAGCTTGGCCAAAATGGTGAAACTCCAACTCTACTAAAAATACAAAAATTAGAATGGTGTGGTGGCGGGTGGTGGGCACCTGTAATCCCAGCTATTCAGGAGGCTGAGGTAGGAGAATTGCTTGAGCCTGGGAGGCAGAGGTTGCAATGTGACCAGAGATCAGGCCACTGCACTCCAGCCTGGGTGACAAAGTGAGTGAGACTCCATCTCAAAAAAAAAAAAAAAGAAAAAATAGAGGAAACAGAGAGGAGAGACACAGGTGAGGCTGCATTGGGTGCGTCTGTATTAGGGAGACTTTGCAGATAAGAGAAAGAGACTCAAGACTTCTGATAAGAAAAGTGCACGAGGGGGTAGAGCCTTGGGTTCAAGCTTGAATTCCGGTTCTTCCTCTTATGGTTATTGAAAGAGTACTAGTTTCTGAATTTATTTTCCTCACTTTTAAAATGGACATCATACTGCTGACCTCTTAGGATGGCCATGAAGATCAAATAAGATGCATGCAAAGCCCCGGGCACAGAGCAAGTGCTCATTTAATGAGAGCTACCATGATTGTGTGTGGCAGGAGGTCTCTAGCTCAAAAATCCGCCCAAATGAAATTCTTGCTGTGTTATCCCCAAGAAATGGCCTTGCAGGCTGTTATGTGCAATATTATTCCCTAGCAATTTCTGGCTCTCGCAGTCTTGTCCAGGCCCCCTCTCTTGCTGGCTTGGAGATAATGCTTGTGATTTTCCTCCCAGAGTTTCCACAAGGCCACCTTGGACGTGGATGAGGCTGGCACCGAGGCTGCAGCAGCCACCAGCTTCGCGATCAAATTCTTCTCTGCCCAGACCAATCGCCACATCCTGCGATTCAACCGGCCCTTCCTTGTGGTGATCTTTTCCACCAGCACCCAGAGTGTCCTCTTTCTGGGCAAGGTCGTCGACCCCACGAAACCATAGCCCTCCCAGGGCTGCTCATCTGTTCCAAGCAGGAGGATGTGGCAGGGGAGGGCTGGGAGTGAGTAGCTCTGTGTTTAGAGTTGGGGACAAGGATGACACCGAAGGTCCAGGAGTCCAGGACAGCAGGTGCTGGCCGGTGGGGAGCGGGGAGGGGCACTGAGATGGGCAGGGCCTGGACATTCCACACCCTGGTGCTGTGCAGCCTCTGGCAGAGCATCCGACCTCTTGGAGCAAGTTTCTGCCTCTGGAAAGGGGGCGGGCCCTTTTCACAACAGGCTGGTTGTACCGAGTAAACAACACGATGCCATGAAGACCCTGGTTCAGTGTCTCGCACGTGGTAGACACTCAGTAAATGCGTCCTCTGCCTGGCCCTCCTGGGTTTGCCCCAGACTCCCCTGGCAGACCTGGTCCCAGACACAAGGTATGAGAGCTCCAAGTCCCGTTCCAGTAGGTTATCCAGGTTTATGGAAAGGGGACTGGGTGTGGGCAGTCAGCTGCCTCAGGCAGGGCTGGTACCTTGCTCCAGAGCAGGGGCTGAGAAAGCCACGGAAAGGCAGACACCACCAGGGCGGCTTCCACGGGGACCTGGTCAGAAGAGCCCAGTGAGGCACTGTCCCCTCCTGTGGCTACAGAGATGTGACCCGTGTCTCTCCCAGGACAATGGCTGCGGCCAAAGAGCACACTGCAGACCCAGAGACTCTTGCTTTTACATCCAGGCTCTGTGCTCTGGATCTTCAGGCAAATCCTCACCCTCTTGGGCCTCAGTTTCCCCACCTTTCTGGCCTAGGTGGTCCAGCTCAGACTGGTTGAGTATGTGGGGTGGATCCTCCCAGAGTCTGTGAGAATAAACCACCCCCTCCACAGGGCAAGGCAGGTGGATGAGATGTGGTTCTGTTTGCCCTGAGCCTCGGTGATTTCTGGCAAATGCAATTCTCTGGGTAGGACCTTGTGGTTTTCTTGGTGGCCAGGACATCAGTGGCAGCTGGGCTCCAGCATTGTCTCCAGCCCTTGACCATGGACACGGAGTTCCCGGGACAGTTAGAGCTGGGAACGGTCCAGCCAGGAAGGACATCTCCTTTCCTTTTCCTCGACCTAGCTCACCCTGTGCTTTCAGGGCCGGGGCAACAGTTCCCACACGCTTTCCTATCAGCTGCTCATCCTCCTCCCAGGCAGGCCATTTCACTCCCACTCGGTGGCGTCCAGGTTGCCAGCATGTTCAAAACCAGAATTCCTGGGTTCAAGTCCCAGCTGTGCTCCTTAGAAGTAGTGTGATCCTGGGGAAGTCATTTCACGTCTCTGAGCCTCAGTATATTCATCTATAAAGTGGGATGATGATAACGCTACTGACCTCATAGGGCTGTTGGGAGGATTAAACAGTGACTGTATATGTCAAGTCTCACAACAGTGCTGTGCAAACATTAGCTATATTATTATTGCCCTCATTCCTGCAGCCCTGACAGTCAGTGCTGCCACCACAGGCTCTGAGCTGGGGGTCTCTCTCCACCAAATCCCACTGCCATCTGGGGACCCCAAACCTTTTTCACGTTGCCACTTTCGCTACTCAGGAAAATTGACACTGAGTCCCCGCAAGGAGAAGTTCCAAAAAGGCAGAAGATTTATAGGCCTTTCTCACCACACTGGCGCCTGAAGTTCCTAACTGATCTTCCAGAAGTTTCTAAATAAGACTTCAGCTCTCAGCTCTCCTCTCTTGGTAGATCCAGTGGGGGCAGAATCTCCCCTCAGAGTCTGTCCTGGACTGAAAGATTAGGGGCTGTTACTTTAGGACCAGCTCAAAGAATCTTCTAGGCTTTGGGAATCATGGCTGCTCGCCACATCCACTCCAGGGTGCTTGCTCAGTGTCCACGAGGCCCAGGGCCGATACTGAAAACTCAGCCATGGGCTTCAGAACAAGACCCAGCTGTCTCAGGCTCTTGGCTCTGGCAAGCAGGATGTCTCACTGTCACAAACCCAGAATTTTCACCAAGGAGAAGGTGACCAGGGGAACAGGCCGGAGAGCGGCCTCCAGTGTTGATGACTGTTTAAGAGCCAAAATATTCCAGTAATTGTGTGACATGGGGATCCCTGGCCCAAATAACGCTGCAACCACAGGAATAGGCTCACTGCCAGGAAACCAGGAAACCGATATTTGGAGCAATAGACAGACTACTCTTGTACAGTGGAAAAGTCCTTGCAGAAGGGAGGAAGATGGAAGGGGAAAGCCCAAAAGCGTTCCTCTCCCTTCCTGCCCCTAAAATATAGCCCTGAGCTGGACATGAGTGCAGCCTCAGGAGAACTTGACGAAGAAATGTTCCATACAGGAAATTGCCTGGCGAGGCCATTTTGAGTTAGTTATACCAGCTCTGGGCTTCACTCAGGAGAAGCTGTCCAGTAAATGCCTGAGGGCACCCAAGGCCTCTGGGATTCAGGGGAATGCACGCTCTCCTTTGTACCCCTTGATTTTGTTGGCCCAAAAGCAAGCCTGCTAGCTCAAAGAGTGATTCATTTCCCCCTGTGCCTTCTGGGAAGTTGGATTCTGTTTTTCAACAACCAGGCAAGAAATGAAGTAAGGCCCAGGCTGACTCGCCCCCTCTTCTGTCCCTACAGAGGTACATGGGTGAGTGGATTCCAGGGTGGAAGACAAACCTGAAAGAAGGCCAAGGTCTAGGGTTACTATGGCAACAGCATGGCAGGGCGTGGTGATGTTGAATGACCGCGGCCCCGAAGTGATGAAGGAGAGAGAAAGGAAGCAGGTCTTCCTCAATTCAGCCTTGAGAGTGAAGCCTCCTTATTCTGATTAATCTCAACCCTCCACTACTCAAAAATAGTTGATGGCTCCCTATTGCCTACAAAATAAGGTTCAAAGGCCTCTATTTATAGTCAAGGCCCTCCCTGATCTGGTCACCCCCTGCCTGTTCTGCCTCAGTTCCTCCTCTTGCTCTCATGTACCCAGTGGCTGCAGTCACAGAAAGTCTTGTTTTCCCAGGTTTCCTATAGCGTCCTACCTCTAAGAATCTGCACTCTCTCAAGATCTCACAGATACCACTCACCTCCCTAAGGCAGACTGTCATCCCACCATCAAACGTGGTTGACCCGATAAGAATGTTTGCCCCCACCCCCACCATCCCTATTAGATAGGACATTTCAAAGGTGGGGACCTGTTGACCCTGCTGACCCTGCATTCCTTCAGCTCACCTGGCCCCAGTGCCAGCTGGATATGAGAGAGGCCCAACTGATATTTGTTGCATGAATGAATGAATAAATGAATGAATGAATAGAAAAGGTTAAGCCAGAAGCAAGGTCACCGAGCTATTTGTTCTGCATCACCACCCCTTGACATGGCCCTGGAATTGATTGGGCAAATATTTAGTTCAGCTCCTCAGATTTCAAAATGCCCTTTTGGAGCATTAAAAAAAAAAAAAATTAAAAAGACTTCATGCAGGAGATCTTGCCTCTTTAGAGCAGTGCCTGAGTCCACTTTTCCCGTTGCTGCTCCCCTGTGGGGTCTCTCATTTGTGTGGCCCTTGTTACACCGCTAGAGAGGTAGGCCTCTCAACAGCAGCAATGAGTGCTCGGAGGAACCGTGCCTGTTTGTGAGTTCAGAAGTTATCTTCCAGCAGGAAAACAAAGTCTTTCTGTACTTTGCAACTAGGGGAAAAGGCAGAGGAAGCCAATGTGAGTGGCAGTGATGTAGCCTAGTGGAAGGTGACAAGTTTGCACGACTCTAGTAAATTGGTGTGTAGAGAAATGCAGCGTGGGTTTATTCGGTTTTTCATTCTTTCATTCAACATCTAGTTACAGAGTGGGGTTTGGCCATGTTTGAGATAGGAGAAAACAAACTTTTTTTCAAGTTCTCAACACTACAGTTCACCTCTGGTCACCAAAATGTGTGTGGGATTTCTCCAACCACCAAATTGTCCAGCAGACACTAACTGGGTGTCCTGCAGTTCAATTCAATTCAATTCCAACACTATCTACCTGGAGATAATGTTGGATCCCATCAGTTAAGAGCTCTGTCGCACAAGACTGCCCCTACTTCAGATGCCAGTTGCAAGTAGTAGGCTGTCACCTATACTTTATGACCAACTGGCTATAAAGTGAGGTTCCCACAACTCCCTCCTCAGGTTCAGTTCATTAGCTAGGAGGGCTCACAGAACTCAGGGAAACACTTACGCTTACTGGTCTATTTTATTAATAAAGGATACAGATGAACAGCCAGATAAAAGAGAGTCAGAGGGCCAGGTATAGGGTACTGGGCGCAGAGCTTCCATGTCCTCCCTCAGTGTACCACCCTCCAGAAGCCTCCGTCTTTCAGCTGCCCCAAAGTGCCCAAACCCTGTCCTTTTTGGGGTTTTTATGGAGGTTTCATTACACAGGCATGATTGATTACATCATTGGCCACTGGTGACCAACTCAACCTGCAGCCTCTCTCCCATCTCAGGAGGTCATGAGGAGGGGGGTGAGCTGAAAGCTCCAACCCTCTAATTCCATGGTTGGTTTCCCTGGTAACCAGATTCTTTATGAGCCTACCCAGGAGCCCACCAAGACTTGCCTCGCTAGAAAAAAGATGTTCCTGTCACCCAAGAAACTGCAAGGGATCCAGGAGCTCTTCATCAGATGCTCTTGTCACTCTGGAAATTACTAAGCTCTCGGGAATCAGGTCAAAGACCAAATATTAAACAAACGATTCTCTTAGTACCCCTATCTACAAGGATCCTAGAGGCACTGTCTCAGGTACTCGAGCCAGAGACTAAATGTATATTTCTTATTATTAATATGTCACAGTTTCACAGGCTGCTAGCCAGGAAGCCAGAGGGACCTCCCCAGTGTAAAATTTGGATTCAGACAAGGCTGCAGTCTCAGCTTCTTCACTAACAATGCACTGTGGGGCAATCGCTTTACCTGTTTGGGTCTTAATTTCCTCACCTGTACATGGCAGTGTCCTCTGGGCACAGAGACCTACTGCAGCTGTGGCAGTGGAAATGGGAGGATGGACATGGGATCCGCTGAAGACACAGACCTGGGAGCCCCTGGCTTCTGACTCCATGGAGTGGGTGAAGGGCACACCAGTCTGCTTCATCCCTGACTGCCTGGGAGTGGGCCCTTATCGAAGAAGAGGCAGAACTAATATGAACAGCTCCTGTGCTCTGAGCACCTGCAATGAGCAAGGCACGGTGCCGAGTGCTTGCCAGGAGGTATGAAGAGGCCGCAAGCATCCAAGTATAGAACCTGGACTTTGGAGCCAGGATGCTTAAATCTGAATCTGAAATCCAGCAATTACTGAGTGTATTTGTTTGCTAGTGCTGCTCTAAGGAAGGACCATAAATGATGTGGTTTAACCAACAGAAATACATTGTCTCTCAGTTCTGGAGGCCAGGAATCTAAGATCAGTGAGGAAGAATCTATTCCACACCTCTCCCCCAGCTTCGGAAGGTTTTCTGGCAATCTTGAATGTCCCTTAAATGTAGGAGCATCACCTCAATCTCTGCCTTTCTCCTCCTGTGGTGTTCTTTCTGCGTGACTGCTGGTGGCCAAATTCCTCCTTTGTGAAAGAACACTAGTAATATCGGAGTAGGGGCCCACTCTACTCTGTTATGACCTCATTTTAACTAATTACGTCTGCAAGGACCCTATTTCTAAATAAGGTCATATCCTGGGGTGCTCCAGGTATGGGCTTCAACACGTGAATTTGGAGGGTTGGGGGCAATTCAACCCATAACACCGGGTGAGGGACTTGGGTGGTCTCTCTGTGCCTCAGTTCCCTCACCTATGGAATGGAGATGACAATACCTAACTCATAAACCTATCGTGGGTGTTTGCTGAGTTCCTGTACGTAAAGCACTTAAGCTAGTGGTTCAGCATTAGTGCCTTACAAATGTTAACTGCTGTTATCTCATTCATCTTTTGTAACAACTGTGTGCTGTGCAACAAGGGTGACAACTGGTATGCCTGCCAGAGCTGGGCAGGTCACACAAACAGACGAAGTGGGCTGCCAGTGATGGGGCCCAGGCAGGTGAGACAGTAAGAGCCCCCATTTAAAGGCATTCTGCTCAACATTGTTACATAATAATCTATGGCATGAAACTCACCTATGGAGGCGAGAGCTCCTTGTTGCTCTTGATGTCAATGGAAAAAATTGACCATGACCTACCTGGTCCTTAGGTGGGGTTAACAGCTATTCTGAAAGAAGAATGCTGATTTGACAAGAACTGGGCGTGAAGCCAACCATGTGGTCTAGAAAGGACACAATTGCCTTTAAGCCAAGGCCTAAGCCTATCAAGACTGAGTTAATGAGGCTGCCCCATCAAGCCAGCGGAGGTCAGCCCTCACCAGCCCTGGCTGGCTCTCTGGCTGCAGAGTTGCTGAGCAGGGCTGGAGAACAGACCAAATGGGGCCAGCCAAGTTCGCACATCCTCAGAGCCACCCGCTCAAGTGTTTAGCTCTCCTGGGGTGATTGACTTCAGTGGGAGCGTGGCTCTGCCATGATTCAGACTTCTGGCCTCCAGAACTGTGAGAGAGTGAATTCCTATTGTTTCAAGCCACCCAGTTTGTGGTGATTAATTATGGCAGCCAACTAACATTCCTCTTTTCCTCCAATTTCATAAGAACAGGTGTTGCTCTTCTTGACACTCAGCTGTGTGTTCTCTTGGCCTCCTGCTCCCTGGGGGAGTCTCCTTCCATTAATAACCACCTTTAACCTCCCTTTCAGCTTCTTCCCCCAAACCTGGGAAGTCCCTCCTTCCAAGCCACAGCTCCCTCTGCCCCACCTCCTTCCCAGCCTTCTCATCAAGAAGCAATCTGCCTTGACCATCTCTTTGACTTCTCAGCCTGCTGGCCCTGGGCTCCTGCTCCCACCTTCCCACCCAGATCACCCTGGTGGATTCCATGGACCAGTGACCATCCTCATCTACTTGAATGTTCTGCTGCATCTGACACTGACAGTGATATCCCTTGTCCTCCCTTGTTTACTGCCCTGGTCCTCCTCCTTCCCAGCCATCATCACCTTTGTGAGCTCTCTCCCTCTCTGCTCAGGCTTATGCCGAGGGTCTCAGCGTTCTATGCTTCATCCTCTTCTCTTGTCCTCTCCTTGCCCCAGGACACCCCTGATCCCATGTGCTTCCTTCATTTTATTTCCTGTCTCTGTTCTTGCCTCCAAATCTCTCTTTAGACCCATTCACCTGTGTCATCTCTGCCAGCAGGCACCACAGGCCCTTCAGGCTCACTAGGTCCAAAACTGAACTCATCATCCTCCATACAGGCTTCCAAAACCTACCCCTCAGCTCACACCAGGTCCATTCTCCTTCCTTAATGTGTCTCCTCCTCTCCAGCCTCACCCCCGCTTCCTTGGCCCACACCACCATCATCTCTCGCTTGGATTATCACAGCAGTGTCACTTGGTCCTGTCTTGATCTCCAGGTGACCATACCCGTGACAGCCCAAGATAATTTATCCCTCCTTTACTTACAGAATGAAGTTCAACCCTGGTTCCCAACCCAGCAGGACTTCCAAGCCCTCCATCTGGCCCTGATCTGGCTTCTCTCTGTCCTCCCTTCCTCCTCTCTGATGGGCTCCCGGTGCCCCACCACCCCCTTAGCCTGTACTGCTATCACTCCTGTGGTTCTCTCAGCCCAAAATGCAGCCTCCCACTGCTGTGCTGTAAGCTATTCTGTCTGTTCACTCCTCTCCACCCAGCCAGGGCTGATAAAAACCTAGACAAGGTTCAAAAACCCAGATCCAAGGTCACCACCTTCACAAAGCTTTTCCTATTCCATTCCTCTCTCCAACCACGGGAGAATGGACCATTCCTCCCTGTGTGTCTTTATTGTGGAGACATGTGTCAGAGCATCGACTCTCTATCTTTAGTTCATCTATTGAGATATTGATCTCTCTTCTTGAGGCCAGGGGTATTTTCTGGGACATGGTTAGATCTCAATAAACATTGATACTGGAGGGATGAAATGAAGGAAGGATGGATAGAAGGCTATAAGGATGGGTGGATGGATAAATGGATGGATGGATGGATGGATGGATGGATGGATGGATAGATGGATGGATGGAAAAATGGATAGATGGATGGGTGGATGGATGAATGGATGGATGGATGGATGGATGGATGGATGAATGGATGAATATATGGGTGGATGGATGGAAGGAAGGAAGGAAGGAAGGAAGGAAGGAAGGAAGGAAGGAAGGATGGTAGAAGAAAGGTAGTACCAGTATGCTTTAGCTCATGCAGGCAAACAGATGATGGGCAGAGGGAAGCATGGTGGCTGATTACAGGAGGATCATAGCAGATGTTTAAGGCAAGATTGACAGCCCCACAAAGACTGAGAAGAGAAGATAAGAAAAATGGGAAAGTTATTAAGACACAAGACCTAGATCAGGAGCTAGAAGCTGGATCCCAGAACAAGGCAAGAGCCTAATGACTCGAGTAGCCAACTCATCCCAGTTTGCCAAGGTCTTTGCCAGTTTTAGCACTGAATATCCCACACCATCGGAAATTACTCAGTCCCAGCAAATTGGAATGGTTGGTCACCCTACTAGTAATTAAGACCAGTGCCCCACTTCAGAGCAGAAGCATCAGCCAGGCCCTGAGTGACATCTTGTAGGCTCTTGAACTGGTCTCACTCAATCCCCATGAGGCCCAATACCATGGAACAGAGGGCAGGGAGGCTGAGGGCCAAGCAGAGGAGCACCTGTGCTCAGCAGGGCAAGGCATCACAGGGGCCAACATTGGTTTCCCTGCCCTTCTCCCAGAAACCACCTCCCCACTTTGATCCTTTCCCATGCCCTGCTAGGCTCTAGGACACCAAATTCTCATATTCTAGCCACTGGCCCTCCCTAGGCAGTCACCCTGGGTGTTATGGACTGAATTGCTTCTCCCGCAAATTCTTATGTTGAAGTTTTAGCCCTCAGTGTGACTGTAGAGATTGGGCTTTTAGGGAGGTAATTAAAGTTAAATAAGGTTATAAGGGTGGCACTCTAATCTGATAAGATTGGTGCCCTTTTAAGAAGAGGAAGAGTAATCAGAGAGCTCGCTCTCTTCCTCTGCCCAATCCCTCTCTTGGGGGGTGTGTGTGTGTGTATGTGTGTGTGTGTGTGTGTGTGTCCAGTGTGGGCTCACAGGGAAGAGGTCATGGGCGAACAGAGTGAAGGCAACCATCTATAAGTGCCAGAGAGCCCTCACCAGAGACCAACCCTGACGGCACCTTGACCTTGGATTTCCAGCGTCCAGAACTGTAAGAAAATACATTTCTATTGTTTAAGACATCCAGTGTGTGTTTAAGCCAGGCCAGTGTGAGGTATTTTGTTACAGCAGCCAGAGAAGACTGATACACTGGGGTGCCATGCCCCCGAGACTCCTTCCAAATCTCTCCTTTCAAAACGCACCACCCTCAGTCCTGATTCCTTCAGAGCTCTTTCTGCATGGCAGTGGGAGTCATGAGTTACCTCAGACTTTCCCCCAAATTCTCAAGACATTCCTTAAGATGTAAGCTTGGGAAACGGCATGTGATGTCTTTCCCTCGTGGGTGGTCAGAGCACAGACAGCACACACAGGCTGGAGACGGCCCACAGGAAAGGTGGGCTAACCACCTTTCCCAAAGTAGTTTCATCTGGAACCCATTTGGGCGGTGTTACACTAGTTTCTGATGGCTGCTCTAAGAAGTTATCACAAACAGTGGCTCAGACAACACAAAATTCTTCTTTCATGGTTGAAGAGGCCAGAGGCCTCACTGGGCTAGAATGAGGATATTGGCAGGGCTCCACTCTTTCTGGAGGCTCTAGGGGAGGATCCATTCCTTTCCCTCTCCAGCTTCTAGAAGCTTCCTCACTCCTTGGCACCTGGCTCCGACATCACATTGACTTTTCCCTTCCTGCTTCTACCATCACATCACCTTCTTCTGACTCCAATCTCCTGCCTCTTTCTTGCAAGGATCCTTGTGATTGTAATTAGGACCCAGCTGGATAATCCATGACAATCTCTTCAAGATCCTTAACTTAATCACATCTGCAAAGTCCCTTTTGTCATAGAACGATAACATTCACAGGTTCTGGGTATTAGGACACGGATAACTTCGGGGTTCCATTACTCACCCATAACTGGTATGCAGTGCTGATTTCCATCCTGTAGGTACGGTTTAGGGATCTCTAGGTCAATGAGATAATGGACTCTTGCTCATGTTACATGGCATAATGGGAAGAAAGCCAAACCTAGAAAAAGAGGGACTCAGGTTCCCTTGTTAGAGCCTCTTCTTACTAACTGTGGGATTAGGGGCTGATTCCCTGACCTGCTGTGTTCTGTCTTCTCTCCAATTCAATGGGAATGAACTGTGAGGGCACTGAGCAAAAACTAAGGTCTCAATACCTAGTAGTAGTGGGACTTGCCTCTGGATACCCAGTAGTGATCCTGCCGCCTGTTTCTGGATATCCTACAGTAGCAATCCCACCTGTTTCTGGATATCCTACAGTAGTGATCCTGCCTGTTTCTGGATATCCTACAGTAGCAATCCCGCCTGTTTCTGGATATCCTACAGTAGTGATCCTGCCTGCTTCTGGATACCCAGAAGTGATCATGCCTGGTTCTAGATACCCAGTAGTGATTGTGTTTCCTCTAGATACCCAGTAGGTATTGTGCTTGCTTCTAGAGATGTAGTAGTAGCTGGACTTAGCTCTAGATACCCAGTGCTCATCTCTAGACTGGGCTGAGATCAGTGTCTCCCTTGAAGGGTTATTGTAAGGATGAAAAAAGATAATGCGTTTAAAGCACTTGGTGTAGTAGGTGGTCTTTTTAAAAGTGTGAATAAATACTAGTTCTTATTATTTCTGTGGATATCCAACAGCCACATAATTGGGCCCCAAAGCCATGAAGAAGGAAGAGGAAATGTCTTAAAGGTTGTCGATGGACAGTGTTTGCTGAACATCAAAATCACTTTCCAGGTATTACCTCTGATTTGCTCTACCAACTCCACACCCCACCTGCAGCCACATAACCTTCCATGATCACGGCCATGCACAACACACCATGTCCCCCAGGCAAGGGGACCTTAGAAACATAACCAGGCTTGAGACAGCACTCTGCACCGGTGTCTTGGAAATGCTCTTAAGAGTGTATGGCTGAGTTAGGGAACCAGGATTTCAAAGTAGAAAGGGAGAATCTACCCAAGCCCATAGAAATCCTGAATCCACTCCTTTCTCAGCAACAAGCACTGGCCTGGGAGTCAGCCACTTATGCACCAACCCCACTCTGCCCCTAATTAAATGCATGACTTTGAAAATTCCCCTCATTCTTCTGAGCCCCAATTCAGTGATTGGTGCAATCACAGGCTTGGCTACAGTGACCCATTCATTGCAGGCATGGTGAGTCTCTCAATCCCTCTCATTTCCACTAGAATCTAACTGTTGGGATCTATGACCCAGTCAGCATAGCAGGCCTGTGGGGAGCTCTCAGGTTCAAGCATATGCCCCCCCTAATCTACAAGAAATTAGCTGCAGAAAACCAAGGAATAGAACCTGGAAAAAGAGAGGGTTTGCTAGAGCTGTCCCTTTCCCTGTCTCTGGAATGCCAACAATAGGGAGGCTCTTTGGTCTTGTCTCTCAGGAGTGCCCATGCCATTCCAGGAAAATGATGGCCCAGCTGGTGGTGTAAGGCTTGGGGGGCAGCGAGTGGGCATCGTGGTGAAAGCCTCGGGATCAGGGAGCTGCGTCTGCAGGCAGGCCTGCTGGCCGGAAACCTGCCAGGAAAGGAAGGGGCTGTCCCGGGGCGGGGCCAGGGAGGGGTGGAGACAGGGCCGGCTGTGGTCAGTGACAAATGCTGGCTGCAATCCAGCCAGCCCTCTGCCCTTTCTGAGCCCGAGGGACTGCCACCTCCACTGTGTGCACACTCAGCTACGGGACACAGTAAGTACCGATGCCGCAAAGGGAGGTCCCCAGGGCTTGAGGGCATGTGAGGCGAGGAGAGGATGGACTCTAGAGTTTTGGGGTTTGGGGTCTGCAAAGCTCTGAAGGAGTCTCATCTCTGCAGTTTCAGGTATCCAAGGCAGCAGAGGTGAGTGGGTCCCCCGAGCTCTGTGACCTTATGCTCCACACTAACTCTGGCAGAGCCTCCGTTTCCTCATAGGTAAGATGGAAATAATTACACCCTCTGGATGGTGTGACTGAAGATTAAATACAGCGGGTGCTCTCACTCAGCACATCTGGCCATGTCTGCAGACACATTTGGTTGCCACAACTGGAAGGGGGGTGGGGGTTAGTGACATCTAGAGGCCAGCGATGCTGCTGATGATCCCACAATGCCCAGGACAAGATCACAAAGCATCATCCTGTTCAAAAGGTCAACAGGATCAAGGTTGAGAGACCCTGAAATAAGGCCATGGGGACAAAATGTCGGCTGGATAGGAGGTGCTCAGTAAGTGGCAGCTTCTGTTGTTTTCTGTGCCTGGAGTCTTGGGCCTTTAGAAATCAGGAACAATGATCCAATATTATCGGCTTCCGTGAGATAAGGGCATCTTGCCTGGAGGCTGCCACCCAGGCCGGTCATGGCAGCTGCTCATGAAGGACAGTAACAATTTGGCAGTTTGTTAAATGAACAAAATGTAGAAATAAAGTAAGCAGAATTTTTAGTTTTTCTGAAGGTAGGGCTTTTGGCCAGATATGCAGCAATAAAAGAGCAAACTGCTTCCTTGGGCCAGTGTCCTTGCTCATAGATCAGGAAACCGAAGCATGAAGAATACAGGCGGCAGATGCCTGAAGGTAACGGACGTGTTCATGGTGCTGACGGTGATGATAAGTGACAGATGTAGACTCATCTCCAAACTTGTCAGGTTATAGACATTAAATATGTGCAACTTTATGAATAGCAGTCATGTCTCAATCAAGTGGTTTTAATAAAGAAATAATAGGAAGCCAGAGCTGAGAGACAGGGAGGGAGTTGTTCAAGGTCACCTGGCAAGTGAGCTCCGGGGCGGGGAGAGCTCAGCTCTGGGTGGCCAGCCTGGCTTTTTCCACTGCTCAGTGTCCAGCTTGCAGTCTAATGTCTCTGAATTACAGAGAAGGAGACTGGTCAGTTCATTCATTCATTCATTCTACAAAGGTTTATGGAGCATCTCTCCTGACTGCAAGCTCTTGAAGGTGAGAGCAGCACAAATGAGGGTCCCATGGAGAGAGAGGCCGGAATGAAAAATGTCAATGACAAATGCATATATAAAGGCACATGTGTAATTGAAAGAGCTTTGAGAGAAAGAGTCAAGGGACTGTTCCAGAGAATAGCCATGGAAGGGGAAAAGGTCCAGTGTGATAAGGTATTGCAAAGAAGTGACATTTAAGCAAAAGCCTGCAGCCTATGCAGAAGTTGGCCTCAGTGAGAAAGGTTGGGGGAGGGTTCCAGTAGAGAGGGAAGGTATGCAAAGGCCCAGAGTTAGGACAGAACTTGCTGTGTTTGAGAAACTGGGAAAAGAAGAGTGAGCCTGGGGGTATCACGTGATCCAGGGCAGAGCAGGTCCAGGCCAGGTGCAGCCAGGTCACAGCAGCCCTAGTGGGTTAGAGCACAAATCAAAGTTTAGCATTTATCTGAAACACAGGAGTTGGCCATGAGTTTCTTAGGCGAGGAAGCGCTGTGACCATATTTATGATTGAAGGAGATTCTTTTATATGCTGTATATAGAAAGCCTTTCAGGGCAAAGAAAGGAAGCTACTGGGGTAGCCCTGGGGGAGATGAAGGGAGCTTCCACTGGGGGCAGTAAGAAAGCCAGGGAAAGGCGGCAGCTTTAAGACCTGTTTTGGAGATAGAACGGACAAGCTTTGCTGATGGGCTGGAGTGGAACAGGAAGTCAAGATTACTTCTTCTGGGAAGTTCTGTTCCTGGGTCTTTAGGATCTAGAGGAAGCTGTGACTTTGTCTCTCATCTCTGCCTGGGCTCCAAGCCTCACATCCCTTTTTGTAATTAGAAGATATTGGACAGACCGTCCTCACTAACACAATTCCCACAGCTGAGTCCAGGGTAGAACTGGGCAGGACTTCACTGCCCAACACGGGAAATATCAGTCAGCAGATTTGGGTTTCGGGGATGGTGGTGGGCCAGCGGGAAGACTGACCAGGGCCTACCCATCACATCCCCACCACCTCCCACCTCAATTCACCTTGGCCTGAGATGACAGGTGAACATGACTGATCCTCTCTCTTCCCTCTGCAGAAACACTAAAGCCAGGGACCAGGAGAGGGGCAGCCCAACCAAGCTTTCAAAGCACTCAGTAGAGGCTGGTCTGGGGGATGGGAGGCTCCCAGGGCTTCACCTGTCTCTGTCAAAGCCATGTATTTCCACCAGAGGCCCAAGAGTGCGATGGCAAACCCTGGATTTGAAACTAAGAAACGTAAAACAAGCACTGAGGACTCCACTGCCTCTTGAGTGACCTCTCTGACCCTCTGTTTCTTCTGCACTGTTAGGATAATGATACTAACTCCATGTTGTTGTAGAGAAGTATAAATGAGCTAATACAGGTGAACCGCCTGGGGATACCAGGAGGTGAGGTCGAGGAGGAACGAGGTATCACTCCTCAGAGCCACTCAGAGACAGGCTGTGCACGAGTCAGAGGAACCTGGATTTTAATTCCGGTTCCATCACTCAGTAGCTGAAACAAGCTATTCCACTTCACTTAGCCTCAGTCTATTCAATCTGTAAAATAGAGTGAGTTTACTTTTGGAAAACTCTGTAAAATAGAGAGCTTACTTTTGGTGAAGGTTAAACATAGTAATATTTATGGAGTGTCTAGTATGTCTTTAATAATTAGTGGTTTTACTGAAAAGTAGAGAGAGTTGGCCCAGAGGGAGCAAGATTTCTGGGTCTCAAACATGTAGCCCAGGAGAGCCTAAGTGAACCTGGGGCCCTCTCCAAACAGATCCTGGGGGAGACTCAGTGCACACCCGGAGAAGCAGCTCCTCCCCATCGGATCTCTAGTGCTTGGCAGGGGGCGGGGTCTTGAGGGGGTGTCCACAACACATGGCAGACTGCAGATGAAGAAACTGAGGCCCAGAGGGGGTGAGGCTTGCCCAGGGTGACCTAGTAGCTGAATAGATGGGAGAATGGAGGCCAGGGCCTCACTGAGACTCTCTGGTCAGCTGCCCCTGGGCTGTATCCAATAAGGAAACTCCCCTGCTTCTGAAGCTGTTCTCGAAATTATCAGCTCAGTGTGACCCTGTGGGGGGTTGAGCCACATTGTTTCTTTAGAAGCATCTCCATACATGGCTGGTTCCAACCCTTGGCAGGAGGGACCATATTGTGCTGTAAAATAGACTCATTTAGAGAAGCCGGAGATTAAAGCACCCACCTATGTCCTTCAAAGCTCTCCAGGCAAGTGCCATGGTGGGAACAGGTAGGGAGTGTCAGTGGGGGGAAGCCCAGACTCTGCTCACTCATTATCTGCAGATTAGGGCTATTGTTGGTGGCTACTAAGTCAGGGATTTCAAAATCAGGAAGATGCAGCCAGGAAAAGAGGAGGCAGGACTCTGCAGAGGAGGCAGGACTCTGCAGAGTCAGAGTGATAACCGAGTCTGAGTCCAAGCTTTGCCAGTGTTAGCAAGCGACTCCATCTCTCTGAACCTCGGATTACCCATCTGTAAAATAGAGCTAGCAGCAAGATGTACCTTTTTGGGTGGTGCAGGGCTGAAGGAGTTGGCACAGTGCCTGAAAGAGGGTGCGGGCAATGCGCCCAACTGCTGTGGCTGCTGGGTTTGGTGCCAGGTTCGATTCTGCAGGCAGAAACTTCTACATGAGGCTCCTTCTCGGAAGGAGCTCAGGACACAATTTGGAGGCTGGGCTGGCAAGGGTGACCTGCTGGAGCTATTCAACTTCACTTAAAGACAGGCCTGCAGTCCAAGCCTGCCCAATTCCTGAGACCATTCTCTCTCCACTGCTGAGCCCCACGGCCACTCTGCAAGGGATTTCCCACCCACCTGTTTGGGGCCCTTTGGAGTTTGGTTTTAATTGGGTCACGGGATGCTGTGACAGGCTGCCCCTGCCTGGTGGGGATCTGGGGTCACTGATGACATTGTGCCCATGGAGAGAGCCCAGCAGAAAGGGATTCCCTCCAAGGCGACACACAGGGCAAAGCTCACATCAGAAGCCAGGCAGGCCCTCTGCACCTGGTAATTAGCCAGCCTGGGTGCTGTCAGGCTCACACGTGTGTGTGTGTGTGTGTGTGTGTGTGTGTGTGTGTGTGTAAAGCATGTACCCTATGGTACAGTTGAGAATATGGAGGCCTCAGATGGGGCTTTTGCCAGAAACTGCCATGCCTACTGCTCACACTTCCATAGCACGTGCCCCCAAGCACCCCATGGTGTAGGTGCTGTTATTATCACTATCTTACAGTTATGGAGCAGTGGCTCAAGGTGTAACTGACTTGCCCAAAATCACACTACAAGGACACAGCAGGGCTGAGATTTGAACCCAGGCAGTGGCTTCAGAGCCTGAGCTGTTTCCTACTGCAGAGGGAGGAGGCAAGACTTCTACCCGTAGCCAGATGGGGAGGCATGGGCACAGGAACGGCTCTTGGGTGAAGTGGAGGGAGGAAGAGGAGGACTGAAGGCCAAGGCCACGTCAGGAGTGATGGGAGACCCCACAAAGGCCTCCCTGAGAAGAGCTAGAGACAAAGATGAGTGCCTCCTCATCTGGAAGATGAAAAGATGTCTTTGCCTGCATGGGCTGCTGTCACAAAGTCCCAGGGGCTAGGGGGCTTCAACAACAGAAATTTCTTTCTTTACAACTCTGGAAGCTGGAAGTCTGAGATTAAGGCACCAGCAGGATTTGTTCCTTCCAAGGCCCCTCTCCTTGGCTCACAGGTGGCTGCCTTCTCCCTGTCTTCACCTGGTCTTCCCTCTGTGCATGTCTCTATCCTGATCTCCTCTTTTTAATTTTTGTGTAAGGACGTAGTCATATTGGGTTGGGGCCCACTCTAGTGACCTCATTCTAACTCAGTCCCCTCTTTAAAAGCCCTATCTCCAGATATAGTCACATTCTGGGGTATTGAAGGTAAGGACTTCAGCATATGCATTTTGGGGGCACAATTCAGCCAGAACAGGAGGACGGTGGGGATGTCCACATGAAGAGGTTCAGGCAGAATTCCTTTAGGAGGGGAAGATGTCTCTCTGTGGGACAAGGGTGGCATGGAGCAGCCCCTGGGGGAAGGAGAAGGGGACAGTTTGCATACTGGTATTCTGCCTACCCCAGGGTGGACACTCACTCAGCGTTTGCTGAATGAACAGGGCAAGGCCAGCAGTGCTGATGGTCCCAGGCATGTAGCTGGTCTGAGTTCATAGAAGGACCACAGCGCCCTGCCATGTGCCAAACCAGGACACCAGAGTGAAGGCCAGAAGCTCACATGGAAGCAGCTTAGTTCCCTGGTAACCTCGAGATGCTGATGAGACAGAGCAGAGCAGAGGGAACCCTCTCCCTCCATATCCCATCCTCCAAAATGTGTCCCTTGATGTGGATGGGTAGACAGGATTCCTGCCCTGGCAGCCAGACCCCTGCCTTGGGTCTGCACCTCCTCTCCCTCCTTCCTCTCCCCGTCATCCCTAAATCTTGTCCTCGAGCCACTGCCACCCTGTGTAAACCCTCATGCCCAGTCTTGCGGGTGCCATCCCTTCTCTTTGAAGCTGAATGGACCAAACATACCCATTGAGTGTTGGGTGGGGACATCTCTGGAAAGTCAGCACCTGGACCAGCTCCACCCCTCTCTGAGGACACCTTCTTTCCCTTTCAGAACAAAGAACAGCCACCATGCAGCTCTTCCTCCTCTTGTGCCTGGTGCTTCTCAGCCCTCAGGGGGCCTCCCTTCACCGCCACCACCCCCGGGAGATGAAGAAGAGAGTCGAGGACCTCCATGTAGGTGCCACGGTGGCCCCCAGCAGCAGAAGGGACTTTACCTTTGACCTCTACAGGGCCTTGGCTTCCGCTGCCCCCAGCCAGAGCATCTTCTTCTCCCCTGTGAGCATCTCCATGAGCCTGGCCATGCTCTCCCTGGGGGCTGGGTCCAGCACAAAGATGCAGATCCTGGAGGGCCTGGGCCTCAACCTCCAGAAAAGCTCAGAGAAGGAGCTGCACAGAGGCTTTCAGCAGCTCCTTCAGGAACTCAACCAGCCCAGAGATGGCTTCCAGCTGAGCCTCGGCAATGCCCTTTTCACCGACCTGGTGGTAGACCTGCAGGACACCTTCGTAAGTGCCATGAAGACGCTGTACCTGGCAGACACTTTCCCTACCAACTTTAGGGACTCTGCAGGGGCCATGAAGCAGATCAATGATTATGTGGCAAAGCAAACGAAGGGCAAGATTGTGGACTTGCTTAAGAACCTCGATAGCAATGCGGTCGTGATCATGGTGAATTACATCTTCTTTAAAGGTAAGGCCCTTGGGCCCAAACCTGCACTTTCTTTGGCTTTTCTGCTGCTTTTATCTAAAGAATACCCAATTCCCTCACATACATAAAAGACGGGGAGTACGTTAAGTTCTTTTGGGTGCCTGTTGAGAAAAATTAAGTAAACAAGCAGCCAGAGAAGGTAAGATGAATGCCTTCTTGCTGTGGATGGGATTAGTGAGGCTGAGATGCTGTTTCCTCCACGGAGGAAGAGCTGGTTGCTGTCTTCGGGCCCCTGGGGACATCTGAAGCCCCAGCTTTCTACAGGCTCTGAAGTATGAACCCATTGTGGCCACCATGGCAAAGACACCAACACCTTAGCCACTCAGGGCAGGACACAGACCCCAGAAGGGCTTAAAGGGCATTTCCCAGTCCCCCGTATCCCTCAGATCTTGGCCCCTCTGCCCTCATAGAGGCCAAGACTCCCTCAGACAAATGCTTGTTCCTCTGAAATGCCTCCTCCTGACTCCTCAGCAAGAGCTGACCTCTGCTTATCTCCCCGACACTCCTTGTAAGCATTCCTGCTCGCCTCTGCAGCTCCTGCCAGTTGCTGACCCTGGGGAAAGCAAGAGTGGATAGAGAGGAGAAGAGAGGAGAGGAGAGGGTGGGAAGGGTTGCGAAGGAAGGTAAATTGTTAACACCTCCCCTTCCTATGGTCACAGATCATGAGTATCTTTGGCCATTTGGGTGGCTATAACAAAATACCATAAACTGGGTGGCTTAGCAACAACAAACATATATTTCTCATAGTTCTGGAGGCTGAGAAGTCCAGGATCAAGGCACTGGCAGATGCAGTGCCCATTCCTTGGTTCATAGAGAGTGCCTTCTTAGTATATCCTTGCTGGAAGGAGGAAGGCAGCTCTCTGTGGTCTCTTTTGTAAGGACACCGATCCTGTTCATGACAGCTCCACCCCCATGACCTAATCAACTCCCAAAGGCCCCCTGTCCTAATACCACCACCTTGGGGGTTAGGTTTCAACATATGAACAATGTGGGGACACAAACATTGAGACCACAGCAGTGAGTGTCGAACTTGGACTCTGAGATTTCCTATCCCCTGGTGCAGGGCAGTCCCCATTACACCAGATTGCTGAGGGCAGCTGGGAAATAAGCTAAGGACGGTATTGACTGGGGTCTTCCTTCGATAACGATTAAGAAGTTGGAAACAGGCCAGGCATGGTGGCTCACGCCTATAATCCCAACATTTTAGGAGGCCGAGATGGGCAGATCACCTGAGGTCAGGAGTTCGAGATCAGCCTGGCCAACATAGTGAAACCCCGTCTCTACTAAAAAATACAGAAATTAGCCAGGCATGGTGGTGGGCGCCTGTAATTCCAGCTACTTGGGAGGCTGAGGCAGGAGAATCACTTGAACCTGGGAGGTGGGGGCTGTAGTGAGCCAAAATTGCGCCACTGCACTCCAGCATGGGTCACAGAGCGAGACTCCATCTCAAAAAGAAGAAAAAAAGAAAAAAAAGAAAAAAAGAAATAAAATAAAATAAAAAGAAGTTGGAAACAATCACTTGTAGCGTTTTGTTCAGAAGTTCCCATAGGAAGGTCAGAGAAGGGTCATTGAAGACTTCCCAATGGGAAAAACCATTCATTTCCAGGATCCATACTAACTTCTTTCTAAAATTTAAATCAAAATATTGGAATGAAAGTGCAAACAGAGAAGTTCACCCAGATATCAGGTAGCATTCACAGCCAGCCACATTTTTCACCCTCTTCACTTGGAGATTTGGTCTTGAGTAAAACGTTAGAGAATCAGAGAACATCAGGGGTCCAGGGCCTCTGAAGATGTGAAAACCAACCTCCTTGTTTTGCAAATGTGGAAGGAAAAGTCCCACGAAAAGTCCAAGAATGTGCCCAATGTTATAAAGAGACTTGCCTTCATATTCAAGAGGTTCAACAGTCACTGCTCTGGGGCTGCCATAAAGATGGTCTCCGCTGGCTATCTTTACTGTCTTCACTCCTTTTATTTGCAGCTGAGAATTTCTAATTCTGACACAAAATTCTTTTTCATTTTTCCCTTTTTTCATCTTTAGCTAAGTGGGAGACAAGCTTCAACCACAAAGGCACCCAAGAGCAAGACTTCTACGTGACCTCGGAGACTGTGGTGCGGGTACCCATGATGAGCCGCGAGGATCAGTATCACTACCTCCTGGACCGGAACCTCTCCTGCAGGGTGGTGGGGGTCCCCTACCAAGGCAATGCCACGGCTTTGTTCATTCTCCCCAGTGAGGGAAAGATGCAGCAGGTGGAGAATGGACTGAGTGAGAAAACGCTGAGGAAGTGGCTTAAGATGTTCAAAAAGAGGTACTTTCAGACTACCCCAGGGCCAGCCTAAACCCACACAGCCCCAGGGAGACACACACGCCCTACCAGGGCCACACAGCACTGGTGGGAAGGACTCACCCAGCCAAGGAGCTGCCTCCAGGCCCAGAGGCATCCTGTGACATCCAAGTCCTGGGGGCCTAGCCCAGTTGGAGGGACAAGAGCTGGAAACTGGGTTCCTTAGGGTGGTGCCAGAGTGGGCAGAGACCTCTGGGCAGCCCACGTCCAAGTCCAGAGCAAGGGGAGGCTCATCCTAGAAAAGAGGCCAGAGGAGCCATAACCACCATTGTTCCTTGGGTTAAGGAGTCCTTTTTTAAAACCATCAAAACTAAGAATCCAGTGCATTATGAATCCAAGGGGTGAGGCTCAGTGTGCCAATGCCCCAGAACAGTCTAAGAAAGCTCCTTTTCCCTTTCCAGGCAGCTCGAGCTTTACCTTCCCAAATTCTCCATTGAGGGCTCCTATCAGCTGGAGAAAGTCCTCCCCAGTCTGGGGATCAGTAACGTCTTCACCTCCCATGCTGATCTGTCCGGCATCAGCAACCACTCAAATATCCAGGTGTCTGAGGTGGGTTCAGAAGCTCCTATGCATCTGCTTCCCAAGGTCTATTCTGTTCTATTCTTTCTATTCTACTCTACCCCATTTCATTCCATTCCATTCCACTCAACTCCACTCCACTCCACTCCACTCCAGTTCACTCTATTCAATTCCACTCCACTCCACTCCAGTTCACTTTATTCAATTCCACTCCACTCCACTCCAGTTCACTCTATTCAGTTCCACTCCACTCCACTCCACTCCAGTTCACTCTATTCCATTCCACTCCATTCCACTCCTCCACTCCTCTCATCCACTCCACTCTACTCCTCCACTCCACATCTCCACTCCACTCCTCCACTCCACTCCTCCACTCCACTCATCCACTCCACTCCTCCACTCCACTCCTCCACTCCACTCCTCCACTCCACTCCACTCATCCACTCCACTCTTCCATTCCACTCCATTCCACTCCTCCACTCCACTCTTCCACTCCACTCCATTCCACTCCTCCACTCCACTCCACTCTATTCTATTCTATTCCATTCCATTCTACTCTATTCTATTCCATTCCATTGCAGTCAACTCCACTCCACTCTCTACTATTCTATTCCACTCCTCTCCCCTCCACTCCATTCCATTGCAGTCCACTCCACTGCACTCCACTCCTTTATTCTGTTCTGTTCTATTCTATTCTATTCTATTCTATTCTATTCTATTCTATTCTATTCTATTCTATTCTATTCTCTCCCTCTCCCTCTCTTTTCCCACAAGTAGTGAAAGTTTCACTTTGTGTCTTATCCTTCATGTAATGGGAAGCCATATCCACCACTGTTCCTTGAGTTAAGGAGTCCTGTTTTAAACAATCAAAACTAAGAAGGCACTTCCTAGCTATGTGATCTCCAAAAAATACTTGACTCTCTGAGCTTCCTTTCTCTCTTCTATAAAATTGAAGAATTACACCTTGCTCAAAGATGCCATGAGAATTCAATGACAGACACATGCGAAGTCACCCCCCAGCACAGTGCCTGGGGCAGAGTAGCTGCTCCATTGTTCCATTTCCTACTTGCTCCATGGCTCAGTTGAACAGATACTTAGAGGTTGATGCCCATAGGCAGAAGCTTTGCCATTTGCTATGATGACTTCACCTGCCCCTAGTGGCCTGGTGATGCCTGGTGTCTCCCCTGCAGATGGTGCACAAAGCTGTGGTGGAGGTGGACGAGTCGGGAACCAGAGCAGCGGCAGCCACGGGGACAATATTCACTTTCAGGTCGGCCCGCCTGAACTCTCAGAGGCTAGTGTTCAACAGGCCCTTTCTGATGTTCATTGTGGATAACAACATCCTCTTCCTTGGCAAAGTGAACCGCCCCTGAGGTGGGGCTTCTCCTGAAATCTACAGGCCTCAGGGTGGGAGATGAAGGGGGCTAAGCTATGGCCCATCTGTATGCTGGTAGCTAGTGATTTACACAGGTTTAGTTGACTAATGAGGCATTACAAATAATATTACTCTATGATGATTGCTTCCACCCACACGACTGCAACATACAGGTGCCTTGGGGAAATGTGGAGAACATTCAATCTTGCCGTCACTATTCATCAATGAAGATTAACACTGAGATCCAGAGAGGCTGGATGACTTGCTCAAGTTCACCAGCATGGTAGTGGCAAAGAGAGGTCCAGAGTCCTGGCCCTTGATGCCCAGCTCAGTGCCACAAAGCTCAATAGGAGGGATGTTCCAGTGGATGAGGGCCACCAGGAAGCACAGGTCCAAGGCTGGTCCCACACTTATCAGCAGCAACAACTGTCAGTTCATCCTGCATGGGAAAAATGTTGGAATGGGAGTCTGAAATGGGGCTACTGTTTCAGTCCTAATGTGCTGTGTGACATTGGGACAACACTTTCCCTCTCTGGACCTCAGTTTCCCTCTGTATACAAGGATCAGATTCTTGCTGTGACCCAAGAACTCCTGAAATCATATAGAAAGGCTGGGGTGGGCCCTGTCATTCGTGGTTGATTTCAATACACTCAAGTGCCATTCATCCTTTAAGAAAAACATCTGGATATCAAGGTGGAAATGGCCCATTTAATGATTGATTATATCATTTTGTGGATATAGTTATAATCTGATGGGCCTGGCTGGGAGTGGAAGAAGGGAAGCCTTTTGCAAATAGTAGAGTATCAGTTGCAGGTGCCAATGACTAACTTTTTGAATTCTATGTTGGCATTAACAATAAAGCATTTTGCAAACACTGGTTATAACTGTCTTTATGGAGGCAGCTCTGGGAATGGTGACATTGATAGCTTACCATGCTCCAGGCCGGGTGCCTGGCCCTTCACCTGGATGGTCGCATTTGCCCCTCATAAGACTCCCATGAAGAAAGGCACCACTGTTATCCCATCTGTTATTCACAGATGGGAAAGGCAAGGCTTGAAGTGGTTAGGTGGCTTACCCAGTCACATATCTTCTAAGTGGTGCAGCCAGAATTTGGCGGGGGGAGTGCGACCAAGAACCCTACACTCAGTCCTGTGCTCTGTGCTGTGGAGGAGAGATGACCAGGAGCAGAAACTTCATTCAGGGACATCTCAGGCACCAGCTCCCCCATGAGCCAGCTAAGTTCCCTCCCTCCCTTCACCAAGCACCATGTGTTTCCTCATGTGCCGAATGAAGAGGATTAGATACTCAAGAATGGAATGAGTGGGTGAGTGAGTCCTTCGCTGCACCCAAGTCTGATTTTCTGTGCGCCTGCTCACCCCACCCTGCATGTTCTAAGCATGCTTCCATAAGGCTGTGCCCCACCCTCTGATTCTAGAGTCTGGACTGTATCAGAGGTGAGTGCCTACTAGAGGTAACAAGGTCAGGACCCCAAACCTTGTCCATCCCCCAAAGTACTGAGCCCCCACCATGCACCAGCCCATGCCAGATGCTTTGCACTTGTGATATCACCCATCCCTTGACAACCCAGCAAGTTCTATTATTGTTCCCATTTTACAGGCAATAACATAAGTGCTTTCCCAGGGTCCCACGCTGGTGACAGTGAGGGCCCAGGGTCTGAGAGCCCAGATCGCACATGTGCGGGCTGGTGGCAGGGGAGATGGCAGCAACCAGACTCAGACATTTCTCTGCAGTTGTGCTGTGGGCTCAGGGTGGCTCTTTATGAAGGGGCCCCTTCATGGGGTCATGCACTCCTGTGTGTTTTCCCTTGCATCATGCCTTGCCTGTCTTGGCAAATATTTCTCTGGAGTTTACCCAGCCAGTCCAAGGTCACAGGGAAGCCCTGTCTGTGTCTCACACAGAAGGTCAACGTCCAGCACTGTCCAAACTTTACTCAGCAAACAGTCACAAAGCAGCTCCTGTGTGGGGGGTCAGGGGTGGGCTCACTGTGGTCTCTGCTGCATGTCACACATTGAAGCACTGTGCTGGGGGTCATCACAGGCTGTTTAACTCAATTGTCACATGAGCCTGGGTGCACAAAATGGTAGAGCAGCTCAGAGAGAGATGGACAGACAGCATGAACCTCTGAGGAGTCAGGTTTTCTTGGATGAAGGGACACTAAGATGGCTTTGGAGCGTGAGAAGGACTTCACCTAGCAAATGTGGGAAAGGAGTGAGACCTCCAGGCAGAGGGACTGGCTGGAGACGAGCGTGATGTGGTGAGCCATGGAGTGTATGGGTCCCCACAGAACTTCAGTCTGGGCCTGCACAGGGCATGTGGAGGAGACAAGGAGGAGGGAGGTGGCCGTGCCGGCGGTTCAGTGACAGAGATCCTAAATGGGAGGCCAATCCTAAATGGGATGATCTCTTTCATCCCAATTTCAGGGTAGTTTGGTCATCCACGCCACATTCCAAGTGTCCCCTGGGCCCTTTCTCTCCCTCACCCCCCTGTCTGCACATGAGTAGATGCCTCCATGCAGCCCTCCCAGGACGCTCACCTCTATCCACAGATGCTTCTCCAAAACCCACCAGGCCCTCCCATGGAACGAGCTCACCTACAGGGTAAAATCAGGTCACGGTCACATATAGCCTGACTACTCCCCTCAGGACCCTCATTCACAGCCACTGTATTAATTTGCTGGGGCTGCCAAAACAAAGTGTCCTCATCTGGGAGGCTGCAGTAGATTTGCTGAAATTGATTTGCTAGCGTTGCTGAAATTGATTCAAGCTTGATTCTGGAGCTTGAATCGAAGATCAAGGCAAGTGCAGGGCTGGTTTCCCTGAGGCCTCTCCCCTTGGTTTGCAGGTGGCTCTCCTCTCCCTATGTCTTCACATGGTCCTCCTCTGCATGTGCCTGAGTTCTAACTTCCTCTCCTCTCCTCATCTCCACCAGTCTTATAGAATTAGGGCCCCCCAATGACCTCATTCTAACTTAATAACCTCTTTAAAGTCTCTATCTCCAAATACAGTCACATTTTGAAATATTGAGGGTTAGGACTTCAGTGTATGAATTTTGGGAGGATGCAACTCAGCCAGGCTCACTCTTATCATTACAGCTGCACTAGTGCCATGCCTGGTTCCCAGTGGACACCCCAGGAACAGCCATCCATCCAGAGTGATATTCTGTGACATCCCCTACACTCCACAGCTCATCACATCACACTCGTCTCCAGTCGGTCTGTCTGCCTGGAAGTCCCACACCTGTTCCCACATCCACTGTCTGGGAGGTCCTTTTCATGCTTCAAAGCCAGCTCAGTGTCCTCCTTTGTACAAAAAAATGTCCTGACCTCTCAGAACTTCATTCTTTCTCTCTTTCTGTCGATCTTTGTCTGAACTCCTCTATCATTTTGTGCACCCAGGAACGTGTGACAATTGAGTTGAACAGGCTGCAAAAACGAAAAAGAAGAAAGAAATGCTGAGTTAAACAGGCTGCAATGACCCCCAGCACGGTGCTTCAATGCATGAAACGCATCAATGACTTGCAGCAGAGGCCACACTCAGCCCCCCTCTGCCCTTTGAGTTTTTGCAGCTCTTGCCAAGATCATTCTTGTTCTTAGAAAGCCCACCATTATTTTCCTTTCTAGCCATATGGATTCTAAAAGTTCCTCTTGTGAGCTGTAATCAGAATGCAGAGAAGTAATACAAGGTTAGGGCCCAGGACTCTTTCTCCCACCTCTCCCTGCAGAGACTCAGATTTTTTTAAAAAATGACCTTGGTCTTCGGGGGAAGAACTTCCCACCACAGTGAACAGCCATGCCCAGCCTACACTTGACTGTGCGGCTTACTTAGCTCATCCATCCAAAGGCTATTCCTGGGTTGCCTAGTGGAAATCCAGGCATGGAGCTAGTGCAAGCACAATGATAAGAGTGAGCCTGGCAGACACTGACCCCAGCAATAATCAGGTAAACAAATAAACAGAACTACAAACTATGATGACAAGAATTCATCCATCCACAGATATTCACTGAATGGCCACTGTGTGCCTGGCACTGTTCCAAGTGCTGAAGAAAAATGAAGAAAACAAAAATCCCTGCCCTTATAGAGGAGACATTATAATGTGACAAGATAACATAATGAAAAAGAATGAAGAATAAAATAGAAAAGTAAAATGGATTGCATGTCACTTGATGACAAGTACTGTGGAATGAGGCCGTCATCTAAATGGAGCACAGAAAGTGGAACATGGCGACATCTCAGCCAAAAGACCCGGCAGACACCATCTTGGCCAAGGGATCGAGGTTGGCATCGCCAGCTGTGAGCAGTGCTGACATCTTATTATCTTCGATATGGCGTCATGAGCAGGCTGCCTCCTCTTGGTGGGATCTTCCCCCAAACCCAGAACCTCAGTCTAATCACAAGAAAATGACAGCCAATCCCAAGTTCAGGGACATTTGGCAAAATAGCCCACCACTCCTACTTAAAAGTGTCGAGGTCTTGAAAGGCAAGGAAACCCTGGGAAATCGTCTTTGGCCGGAGGAAACTCAGCAGACATGACGACTAAATGCAATGTAGAATCCTCGGACAGAAAAGGACATTAGTAGGACAGCTGGTGAAACCCAAGTAAGTCCAGGCTGTACCAATGTCCACTTCCCAGTTCTGAGGAACATGCTGTGGTCTGTCCACATTTACATTAGGAGAAGCAGGGAGAGCGTATATGGGACCTCTCTGTATTGTTTTTATAACTTTTCTGTAAATCCAAAACTGTCTTAAAATAGTTTTTTTAAATTATACTTTAAGTTCTGGGGTACAGGTGCAGAATATGCAGGTTTGTTACATAGGTATACATGTACCATGGTGGTTTGCTGCACCCCCTTTTTTTAAGAAAATGTTTCAAAAAGAAAAACAGCCAAGTAGGGGAGGGCACACGAGTGGGGTTGGGAATTGCAAAGGCAGAAGCAGGAGACCAGTTAAGGAAGAAAACGGGGCACTAAGAGAGACAATCAGGAGGACCTGCTGCAGCCAGGGCCCTGAGGGGCTCCCTGAGGTGGTGCCATTGAAGCGGAGTTCTGAGGGACAATCAGGTGTAGACACTGTGAGTCTCAGAAGTGGGAAAAGGGGAGTGCTGTGCACAAAATTGAGAGACGGTGCCTGTGGCAGCAGCTGAGGAGGGAAAGAGAAGGTGGGGTGGGAGGCCCATCCCTTCCTTGGCCACAAGGACACTGAGTAGGGTGCTGAGATGGGAGTAACAGTAATAATAACAGGCAGCACTTGGAGGCTGCGTCCCGTGTGTCTGGCACTCGCCTAAGCCCTTTGTGCACATTGGCTGAGTTAATGCAGAGGTGAACTGAGAGGCACCTGGGGTAGGGGCTGGGGGACAGGAAGCAGGTGACATCTCCAGTCCTCTCCAGCGTCCTTAGAGCAGGTCTACAGTACTGATCCTTCTCTGCCACCCTTCTCCAAGACCACCTTGGTGGGAGTAAGGGGCTCTAAGGTGACAACACACACAGGAGCCACAGACACAAGACACAAGACACTTTTGACTCCCAGGAGAACCTAGTATGGGCATCCACACACCCTTCCTGATGGTGACTTTTTATGTAGACATGCAGAGTGCAGTTAACCAGCTGTTCCTGCACACATCTGGATTGCTACTCACACATCTGTGCACACACACACACAGCCTCCTGGAGCACTGTGGCTTCTGGGTGGCTAACACAGCTACCACCTCTGGTTGTGCTGAGCTGAGCACCCATTGCCTGCTGGGGTGGGGAGAGGGCAGGCACTTTCCCTGCGCGACCCCGTTTAACCCTCTCTGCCCCACTGATGTGGTCCCTGTTGTCCCCGATGCACAGAGGAAGAACCTGTGTCAGGACCCCCAGAGCGGTGTCTCCACTAAGCAGAAGTCTCTGTTTCTCTCCTGGCCTCTCCCAGAGGGGCTGCTCTGAAGCATGTGGATTTGATCAGGATAATCAAGGTAAATGATCCTTATCTTGATCCATCACAAATGTTAAGGTACAAGGCTGTGGAGATGGAGAGTGGGTGGAGTCTCTGCTGCCCGGTATCCTAAGCTGGGTGATCGCAAGCAGACACACACATGACCACCTCTTGGGCCATGCAGGGGGAATGAATGTAATGAGGCCGATGTTACAGGGTTATTGAAGGCTCAGGGGAGACCAGGCCAAAAAAAAAAAAAAAAAAAAAGCTATGACCTGAGACCTCCCTATAGCAGTGTTTCTCAAACTCTGATTAACGTTACTTGAGGAGCTTGTTAAAAATACATACTCCTGGCCCTGATCAGATAAATCAGAATATTTGACACAGAGTCTTTAAGCTCCCCCTCGGGATTCAAATGCACACAGATTTTTGGTGCTTTGCCGCCTACAGTACAAGAGAGGGCAGGACTGTCCTGTTCAGTGCACTGTGACCCGGACGCTCAGGCCCACGGAACTCCCCTACTCCCCCTGCTCCCTGCGGTGCCACCCACCTAGCTTTCGTGCCTGAGGGTGGTCCTCAGACTCCTCCTAGAACAGGCCCAGAGGCTCTTAGCTATGTAAGTATTCATTCCTCCAATCACTGCAGAGCACTCACCAGGTAACAAGCACGCACACCCAGGCGAGTTCCCCATGCTCGTCCCCACGTTGATATCTCAGACTCTACAAGTCTTCAGCTGCTGCCTAGGACTCTGTAAGTCCTTGAGCTTGGGACCCCTACCACACACAAGCGCTGGGCGTGCCCCACAGGCGGGGAAGTGCTGGCCATATACACCCAGTGAAGTGGGAATTCCAGATAATGAGTAACTTTTTAGCAAAGTACCCATGCCCTTTGAATTGTGAGGTGTTTTTGTTTGCTAAATCTGACAATTCTACCTGTAGGGAACAGGGATGATTGAGAAGCAGCTGCTCCGATGGCCAGAAGCCAACAGCCTTCCCTGCAGAGATGCGGGAAGTCCCAGGGACAGCAGGAAAGTCCAGGCACTGCACTGGCAGTGGGATTGGGGCTTGGGTCAGAAGAGGGTCAGGGCCACAAGGAAGGACCCTGGGAGGCTTCCTGCTACATAATATGAGGGCCGGGAGCATAACAAAGGATTGCCTTATCCATGATTGCATCATCAAACTGAAGCCTGAGACAGAACATTCTGTGAGGTGGCCTTGTTCACTGCAGAGGAGCTGACTCACACAGTTTTGTCTGGGAAGTTGCAACCTGTGCCAGGAGTAGCCAGCCTGGGAGTAACAAAGAGGCTTTTCTACTGCAGGTTTTCCTAGAGCTCCTCTCCCTCCCTCCCCTGGCCAAAGGTGAGCTCTGCAGGGAGGGTCCGGCTCTAGGGGACTTTGCTCCTGGGCATCCTAGCTGCAGAGATTGGTGGGGCTTGTCCAGAAAGGGGGGTCTTCTGGACCTGGGGATGATGCAGTTGGGCCTCAGGGTACTGGGAGGCCAGTAGGGGTGCTTCAAACTGGCCAGTAACCTGAAGGACTCATATTCTTAAGGATATCCTGGTGGCCACGTAGAAAACAGTCAGGTGGGGTGAGGGTGGAAGTAAGGACCAGCTCAGAGGTCACTGAGGGTGCAGCCAGACAGGCTGGGACCCACGTGGGCAGCAGAGGTGGAGAGTAGGGATGTGGAGGGGGAGACCCAGCCCCACGCTGGGGGCCCTGAGGGGAGGTGGAGGCTGAGCCAGGAGAAGAGGCACCACCCACTCACTTCCTGCTTGCTGAATGACTGTGAGGAGCAGGAGAAGGAGCAAAAGAGCAAGTGAGGAAGTCAAGGGGGTTATTTGGGGGCAATGCTCCATGTGAGGGTAGCTAAGGACAGGTGCCAAGGAGGCCCCTGTGTCAAAATCCCAGGTCAAAATGTTAGTTACCAGAGACCTCTGATAAAGACAGAGCCACAGGTAAAACGCAGCGGCACAACCCCTCGACCCTAAAATCAGAAGCCTATCTGTGTCCTGGCAAGGAGAGAAGCACGAGTGATCATCCACACCGCCAGGACGCAAGCCCGTTATTTCTGATGCAAAACCCAGGCTCCCTCCAGGGCTGGCACAGAGGACTGCCAGAGGAGTCAGGGGGCCTCCACCTTCCCCAGCTGCGCAACCTCAGAGGGTGTCTCCTTATCTCTGGGGTCACTGTGTCTTCATGGCCAGGCTGGGCACAGGTCAGCTGGGAGTGGAGCTGTGTTTGCAGGGAAGGAACGAGGGTGGACGTCGAAGCCAACCTGCCTGGTTCAGAATCCTGGCTCAGCTTGGCACTTACCAGCAGTGGTGGTGAGGCCTTGGGAATGAGCTCCGCCTCCCTGTACTTCCGTTTCCTCATATCTAAAATTGAGGGAGTAATGGGACCCGCCTCAGTGGGTGTTCATGTGGATTCCATGTGCTCTTAAGCATAAAGAACAGAGCAGCTATGATGACCATCATCTATGTCACTGGGCCTCCGGAAGTGAGGGAAGGAGAGGCAGATTTGCTTAAGTAGAAGGAAGGCGGAGGAAGGTAGTAAGGCGTCAGCCATGTGGCACAGATTGTATTATGAGATTTACTGGTTTTCTTACTTCGTCCTCAAATTTCCCTCCTTACCCACTTCCCATGATTCCTGAGAGTCAAGAGGACGGGAGCTGTGGAATGTGTTAGTCATCTACTGCTGCAGAGTAAATAGCCCATGATTATCTCACGGAGTTCCTGAGGGTCAGGAATCCAGGATTGCTGTTGGCCAGGGCAATCCCAGAAGGCTCACTTGTGGGGCTGTTGGTAGAAGGTCTCAGTTCCTCCCTATGTGGGCTACTCACAGGGCTGCTCAAATGTGACTTAGAGAGAGAGAGAGAGAGAGAGAGAGAGAGAGAGAGAGAGAGGCTTGTTTGTTTAGTGTCCAGGACCGAGAGAGGATATAGAGAGAAAGCACAAAAGAGAGAGAGAAAAAAAGAGAAAGGCAGAGAGAGAGATAGAGACAGAGACACAGACAGTTGTTGAATGTCCAGGACCAAGAGAGAGACAAAAGACAGAAAGCACAAAATAGAGGGGAAAAGAGAAAGACAGAGAGAGTAAGGGACAGAGAGAGGGGGACACAGAGAGAGAACCCATGGCAGAAGCAGCAGTCTTTTTTTTTTTTTTTTTTTTTTTGAGACAGAGTCTCACTCTGTCGCCCAGGCTGGAGTGCAGTGGCGTGATCTCGGCTCACTGCAAGCTCTGCCTCCCAGGTTCACACCATTCTCCTGCCTCAGCCTCCCAAGTAGCTGGGACTACAGGCGCCCGCCAACACGCCCAGCTAATTTTTTGTATTTTTAGTAGAGACGGGGTTTCACTGTGTTAGCCAGGATGGTCTCGATCTCCTGACCTCGTGATCTGCCCGCCTCGGCCTCCCAAAGTGCTGAGATTACAGGTCTGAGCCACCACGCCTGGCCAGAAGCATCAGTCTTTTTATAACCCAATCTCGGAAATGACACCCCACCCCTTCTGCCTTAGAAAGAAGTCACTAAGTCCAGTCCAATGTGAGAGAAAGTAATTAAGCTCTATCTCTTCAAGGAAGTGGTATCAGACATTTGTGGACACATTTGTAAAATGACCAGAGCGTTAGAACCTCAGAATCCAGCAGACTAATTGCCCTCATAGTAGATTATTAATGTTTTAAAAAATGGATGGACTAGCTGAAGGAATAAATGAACGAGTGAGTGAGCAGGATATTTCTGTCTCATTTCACATGCAGAAAAGGCACTGAGGCTCAGAGGAATTAGGACATGTGTGAGGTTCTCTAGGCAGTAAGGGGTGGGGGCTGGCCTGGTTTGCCAGAACTCGGAGATGCAGCATGCAGCGTGCAGCAGTTCTGAAATGGAAGCCAGGGATGGCAAGCTACAGCAGCCACTCCCTCCCGGAGGGAGAACGGACCCAACACCAAGGAGGAAGGGATGACTCAGCAGCCCTCAAAACAGAGTCAGGAGTTCTCCCTGCTTTTGCCAAACCCTCTGCAGGCACCTCTTATCCATACAGGGACGCAGCCAAAGGCCTAGCTGTGCTGAAGGAAATTTGCAAATCCTGCCTCAAATCTGCAGCCAGTATCTCCCCCAGCAGCCTCCAAACCAGGCCAGCACGAACCCAGCCAGAGAGCAGCATAGGTGTTGGGCAAAAACAGGCTATTGACTCCATCCTTTTCTAACAGAGACCAGAGTCCTCTGGCCTTCCACAGAGAAGGTGGGGCCTTCTCAGGGTTCTCTGGATCTGCTGGTGTCAGTCAGTATCTATTTCTTCTTCCTAAGAATTCTTTTTTTTTTTTTTGAGATGGAGTTTTTGCTCTGTTGCCCAGGCTGGAATGCAATGGCACAATCTCAGCTCACTGAAACCTCTGCCTGCCGGGTTCAAGGGATTCTCCTGCCTCAACCTCCCGAGTAACTGGGATTACAGGCACCCACCACCACACAGGGCTAATTTTTGTATTTTTAGTAGAGACAAGGTTTCACCATGTTGGCCAGGCTGGTCTCAAACTCTTGATCTCAGGTGATCCACCTGCCTCAGCCTCCCAAAGTGCTAGAATTACAGGCATGAGCCACTGAGCCCAGCCTCCTAAGAATTCTTAAAGGAGCTACGGTTGACAAAAGAGTTTCAGAGAGGTAAAGTTATGGCCCTAAAGTCACCCAGCAAGTAGATGTGGCAAAGCCATGTTGCAAAAGAAGCCCTGGTGGGTGACACTCTTTGGATGGCCCCTGCCTCTCCGGAAGGCACCAGCGTTGGTTTCTCTCCGCCTCACCTTCCCATGCAGGTGGGCACGTTTGTGCTTGGGCTCCTGCTGGTTATGCCCCAGAAGCACACTCTTCCCTATCTGCAGTCCCAGCCCATGTGTGGACACAACCCATTTCCTAGGGTGTTCCTTAGCCCACTGCACCAAGTCAGCATTTAGGAATCAAGAGTGGCACCACAAAGGCAATAGCTGTGAAGACCACAAGCAGCATCACAGTGATCAAGCTTGCAGAATTCCATTGTCTGATGGACTCTGTGTGTACCAAGGTGACTGCAATCCAGGGACAGTGAGAGTCACTAGGCCTTGGACTAAGCATCTGCTTGTCCCAGGTCCCAGGCTGAACATTTGATGTGAATCTTTAGTCTCTTCACTTTTGAGACAGGCACTACAGCCACACTCACACAGGTCCCAAAGGCCAGTGCCACCCACTACCTCTGCCATCTCCACTCCTGCATTCCACCAGATTCCCTGACCTTTAGAAATAGTCTCCTGGAGGCCAGGCCTGCTGGCTCAAGCCTGTAATTCCAGCTCTTTGAGAGGCTGAGGTGGGCGGATTACCTGAGGTCAAAAGTTTGAGATCAGCCTGGCCAATATGGTGAAACCCCGTCTCTACCAAAAATACAAAAATTAGCCAGGTGTGGTGGCAGTCACCTGTAATCCCAGCTACTCAGGAGGCTGAGGCAGGAGAATTGCTTGAACCCAGGAAGTAGAGATAGTAGAGATTGGAGTGAACTGAGATCATGCCATTGCACTCCAGCCTGGGCAACAGAGTGAGACTCCATCTCAAAAAGAAAAAAAAAAGAAAAGAAATAGTCCCCTGGAGCCCCTGGCCCTGACCTCCCAAAAGCCAGAGTGAACTTTCAATCTCACCGTAGGCTGACCCCCTGTGTCCATTTTAAGTCAGAGGACTATACCCATCCACAGTCAAAGAAGAGGGTGGTGACCAATGTGGACAAAGCTCCCATTCAGCTGAGACCCCAATCAGTAAAGAAAATCTTTCCCTACACAGATCTACAGACAACCAAAGCCTTAAAAAGGCATCAACCCTAAAGCCTGTGAAAATGTGATTTTCTCTCCTGTGTTCAAGAATGGAAATGCCTTCCTTCATTTTTAAAGAAGGAGCAGGGGATGGTGGTGAGAGTCTGGATTTGGCATTGGATTGGTCTTTCCTAAACTCCAACAGCTCCTGCATTTAACAGCTAGGGGTATGTGGGCAAATCACATGATTAGACATAGGAAGCTTTTTCCTCCTTCCTACTCCCCTTCCTGGAGGTTGACACAGACCAAAGCTTGGTAAGAAAACTTAGGATAAAAGAAGGGGCAGAGGCCGGGCAAGGTGGCTCATGCCTGTAGTCCCAGCACTTTGAGTGGCCAAGGTGCGTGGATCAATTGAGCCCAGGTGATTGAGACCAGCCTGGGCAACATGGTGAAACCATGTCTCTGCAAAAAATTACAAAAATTAGCTGGGCATGGTGGTGTGCACCTGTAATCCCAACTACTCGGGAGGCTGAAGGGGGAGGATCACTTGAGCCCAGGATGTTGAAGCTGCACATGAGGTGAGATTGCACCACTGCACTCCAGCTTGGGCTACAGAGTGAGTCCCTATCTCAAAAAAAAAAAGAGGGCAGAGATTTTTTTCAACATCATCAGAGATGGGAGCTATACAAGATATACAAAGAGAGGAGACAGTCAGCCATGGCAATGTCAAAATACTCGTTAGCCAGCACATGTTCTGCCTAGGGAATTTTCTGCACCTACTGGGAGGTATGGGGAAAGGACACAGGGTTTAGCAGGATCAAGAGGTTGTGGGGGATGCAGAGTACAGGACAGCAATCCCCAGATGGCCTTGGCCTTGGCTCTCCTTCCTCCAACTCTTAGCTCTCAGGATAACTGTAGAATATGCTAAGAATGCAGTGCCCTGAGACAAGGAGAAAATATCAGGAACAATCTGAGCTTTGTCTTCATTCCTCCTAAAACTTGTTTCAGCCATCCAAGTGACTTCTGAGATATAAAACCCAGGGAGGGGTGTTTTTGAGGCCCCTTAGCTGTGGTGCAAAGTGAGGCACATGCAAACAAGACCCCATCTGCCGGGGCAGCTTTCCTGAGCCTTGGGGGACTGGTTCACCATGGATCCTAGGCGTCTGTTGATTCTTGCTGCCTATATCTGTAATGAAGTTGGTTTGCGTGGCTTGCATAGTATTCTGTCACATCAAACTCATACTCTAGCAACTGGGTTTGTGTAAAACCTCCTCCCACATCCAGGAAATTAAGCAGAAATTAGCAAGATGCTTAGAGTCCTCTCTGAGGAGCGAGGCAGGTGCACAGTGTTGGGGACATGTTGGGAGTCCTCCCCCCAGATTGATAACCATTGCATGGGACTCTGCTTCCCAGAGAGAAGAAAGAGAAGATTTCAATCAGGAAGGGGCTCCCTGCAATTTCAAGTAGGGCAGGATGGAGTTGAGAGGTGGGATGGAAGCAATGAAATTAACTTGCATTTCAAACCTCTGGGGGCAACGCATAGGCTTGAAGCTATAATGTGAGCCTGAGCTAAAACAGTAAGGGTGTTTATTCAGTATTCTGGACTCCATATGTATCTGATCACTTCACAGCTGCTTAAGGAGATTGTCCAGGGGTCGGCTAACTAGACCCACTGGCCAAACCCAGGCCCAAAACAGACAGCTTTTAAATATTTCACAAGCTAAGCTTCATACATTTTTAAAAGATTATGAGGAAGAAGGAAGAAAAGGAGAAAGACAAAGAGGAGTCAGGGGAGAAGAGGAGACAGAGATCATATGCGACCATCAAAGTCTAAAGCACTTACTATTTGGCCCATTACAGAAAAAAGTTTGCAGATCCCTGGAATGTAGTCCCTGCTCCCTTCCATTAAGGCCACTGCCCCAAAACTGCAGAGACAGTGTCACCCTGAGAGTGGGAGCATTATTTGTTTTGCTCGTTGCTGGATGCCCAGTGCCTAGGATCATGCCTGGCACATAAAATCACTCTGTAAATATTTGTGGAATAAAGGAAAAAATAAATGAATGAACAATGTATAGAAAAGCACTTGGTAACCTATAAAGTCCAAGTATAGGACAAATAAAAATACATACTTTATTTATTTATTTTAATTTTTTTTTGAGATGGACTCTTGCTCTGTTGCCCAGCCTGGAGTACAGTGGTACGATCTCAGCCCACTGCCACCTCTGCCTCTCGGGTTCAAGAGATTCTCCTGCCTCAGCCTCCTGAGTAGCTGGGACTACAGGCATGTGCCATCATGCCTGGCTAATTTTTTTGTATTTTTATTAGAGATGGGGTTTTGCCATGTTGGCTGGGCTGGTCTTGAAGCCCTGACCTCAGGTGATCCACCTGCCTTGGCCTCCCAAAGTGCTGGGATTACAGGCATGAGCCACTGCCCCCAGCCTACATACTATTTTAAATCCACTGCACCTGTTCTTATTCTGGAGTGGATGCTGAATTCTGCCCTTGGACAAGGCCCTCAGTGTGTTCTGGGAGAGCCTGGCTTGAAGCCACATTATGAAGAGGCAGGGCAGATCCCAACCCAGGAAGCTGGAGACAGAGGAAATCTAAAGGCAGGAACCTCCTACAGAGGTTGCTCTTCTGCTTAGCCTAAGAAGCAGAGCTTCTCAGGCTTTCTGGTGCACACAGATCACCTTGGGGTTATTATTAGTATCCAAATTCTAAATTAGCATGCCTGGGCTGGGCCCCAAGAATTAGCATTTCTAACAAGCTCTTCTGTGTTGCTGCAGCTACTGGTCCCTGAATCACATGTGCTGTACAGCAAGGATGTCAAAGCTCTCTTCCTCAAAGGCAGGAGCATCTCCTCAGACCCTAGTATCCTCCTCATTTCCTCTTTGCTTCCTTTTGTCGGGTTCCAAAAAACAGTAGAAGTGCCCTGGATTCTGATGAGAGAACATTCTCAAGGGATTGCTGACTCGGGAGGCAAACAGGCTCCAGCGATCCTGCAGCCCACGGGCTGGTGGGGAGATGACCCACAGGGGGCTGTTCCAAAAAGGAAGAGCAGTGGGCCTGGAAGAGTATGATTTGGCCTTAGTGTTGCTTCACTTTTCTGTCTTAATTGCCCTGTGGTTTCATCTGGTCATGGGAGTCCACGATGACATGTGCCATCCTTGTATGAATGGTGCTTGCAGAACCGAAGGAAGGGCCTGTACCAATGCCTGGGGAAAAGCAGACCAATGAAGACTTGTAAGAGCCCAGAAAAGAGGCTGGGAGAAGGTCAGGAATGGGGTAAACGTGGCCTTGGGGCATCTGCCTGGAGCTCCAGGTGACCAGTGGCACCCAGAACAATTCTTGACCCTCTGCAGGTCCTCCAAAGCATCCTCAGTAGGACCTGCAGAAGGTCAAAAATTTTCTGCTTTCACGTTGGATGGAGGTCAAGACTAAGTCAGCTCAACTGTAAAGAAAATGATGCTTTTCCCTTTGAAAACTGGTACAAGACAAGGATGTCCTCTCTCACCACTCCTATTCAACATAGTATGGGAAGTTCTGGCCAGGGCAATCAGGCAAGAGAAAGAAATAAAGGGTATTCAATTAGGAAAAAAGGAAGTCAAGTCTCTATTTGCAGATGACATGATTGTATATTTAGAAATCCCCATTGTCTCAGCCCAAAATCTCCTTAAGCCAATAAGCAACTTCATCAAAATCTTAGGATACAAAATCAATGTGCAAAAATCACACGCATTCCTATACAACAATAACAGACAAACAGAGAGCCAAATCATGAGTGAGCTCCCATTCACAATTGCTACAAAGAGAATAAAATACCTAGGAATCCAACTTACAAGGGATGTGAAGGACCTCTTCAAGGAGAACTACAAACCACTACTCAACGAAATAAAAGAGGACACAAACAAATGGAAGAACATTCCATGCTCATGGATAATAAGAATCAATATCATGAAAATGGCCATACTGCCCAAAGTAATTTATAGATGCAATGCTATCTCCATCAAGCTACCACTGACTTTCTTCACAGAATTGGAAAAAACTACTTTAAATTTCATATGGAACCAAAAAAGAGCCTGCATAGCCAAGACAATCCTAAGCCAAAAGAACCAAGCTGGAGGTATAACACTACCTGACTTCAAACTATATTACAAGGCTTCAGTAACCAAAACAGTATGGTACTGGTACCAAAACAGATATATAGAACAATGGAACAGAACAGAGGCCTCAGAAATAACACCACACATCTACAACCATCTGATCTTTGACAAACCTGACAAAAACAAGAAATGGGAAAAGGATTCCCTATTTAATAAATGGTGCTGGGAAAACTGGCTAGCCATATGTAGAAAGCTGAAGCTGGATCCCTTCCTTACACCTTATACAAAAATTAACTCAAGATGGATTAAAGACTTAAATGTAAGACCTAAAACCATAAAAACCCTAGAAGAAAACTTAGGCAATACCATTCAGGACATAGGCATAGGCAAAGACTTCATGACTAAAACACCAAAAGCAATGGCAACAAAAGCCAAAATTGACAAATGGGATCTAATTAAACTAAAGAGCTTCTGCACAGCAAAAGAAACTATCATCAGAGTGAACAGGTAACCTACAGAATGGGAGAAAATTTTTGCAATCTATCCATCTGACAAAGGGCTAATATCCAGAATCTACAAGGAACTTAAGCAAATTTACAAGAAAAAAACAAACAATCCCATCAAAAAGTGGGCGAAGGAGATGAACAGACACTTCTCAAATGAAGACATTTATGAAGCCAACAGACATATGAAAAAATGCTCATCATCACTGGTCCTTAGAGAAATGCAAATCAAAACCACAATGAGATACCATCTCATACCAGTTAGAATGGGGATCATTAAAAAGTCAGGAAACAACAGATGCTGGAGAGTATGCAGAGAAATAGAAATGCTTTTACACTGTTGGTGGGTCTGTAAATTAGTTCAACCTTTGTGGAAGACAGTGTGGCAATTCCTCAAGGATGTAGAACTAGAAATACAATTTGACCCAGCAATCCCATTACTGGATATATACCCAAAGGATTATACATCATGCTACTATAAAGACACATGCACACATATGTTTATTGTGGCACCATTCACAATAGCAAAGACTTGGAACCAACCCAAATGTCCACCAATAATAGACTGGATAAAGAAAATATGGCACATATACACCATGGAATACTATGCAGCCATAAAAAAGGATGAGTTCATGTCCTTTTCAGGGACATGGATGAAGCTGGAAACCATCATTCTCAGCAAACTAATACAGGAACAGGAAACCAAACACCACATGTTCTCACTCATAAGTGGGAGCTGAACAACGAAAACATATGGACACAGGGAGGGGACTATCACACATTGGGGCCTGTTGGGGGGTTGGGGGCTGGCAGAGGGATAGCATTAGGAGAAATACCTAATGTAAATGACAAGTTGATGGGTGCAGCAAACCAATATGGCACATGTATACCTATGTAAAAAACCTGCACGTTGTGCACATGTACCCCACAACTTAAAGTATAATTTAAGAAAAGAAAGAAAGAAGGAAAATGATGCTCTGAGGCCGGAGAACTTGAGAACACTCAGATAATGCTCTGAGGCAAGATGACTAGTCATCCCCAATGTCCACTCTCTTTGTCTCTCTCATGGTAATGGAACTCTGAATTTTTAGCTGGGAGGTGGCTACCTAGAATCTTGACTGCACTGCACAGCCTCCTTTGTAGCTAGGTATGGCCATGGGACAAAACTCCAGGCAACACAACACAAGTGGGAATGACAGGCAATGTTCAAGGCATTCCTTTCAAAAGAAAGGGTGTGCCCTTCCCTTCCCCTGTGGCCCTTTCTATGGACTGGAAGGTGGACATAGCAGTGAGCCATCTTAGCCTAGACAAACAGACGTGGAGGGGCAGCTGAGCAACCAGACAGGAGGACGTGGTTTCTGACAACGTGGAGGCACCATATCAACCCACTGCCTCCAGCTGGACCTGCAGGAGAGGGAAATGAACTTCAGTCTCATTTTAGCAACTATTTCTTTAGGATTCTGTGTAACTTAAACATATGTATTGGCCAGGTACAGTGGCTCACACCTGTAATTCCAGCACTTTGGGAGGCTGAGGTGGGAGGATCCCTTGAGGCCAGGATTTCAAGACTAGCCTGGACAACACAATGAAACCCTGCCTCTACAAAAAAATAAAAATTTAAAAATTAGCCAGGCATGGCGTTGTGCACCTATGGTTCCAGCTACTCAGAAGGCTGAGGCGGCAGGATATCTTGAGTCGAGGCGGCAGGATATCTTGAGTCCAGGAGTCAGAGTCTTCAGTAAGCAACGAGCAATGATTGCGCCACTACATTCCAGCCTGGGTGACAAAGCGAGTCTCTCTCTCTCTCTCTCTCTCTCTCTCTCTATATATATATATATATATATATAATATATATATAAAAATATATAATATATTATATATGTGTATACGTATATATGTATATATATACACACACACACATAGAGAGAGATATATATATAAAGACACACACACACACACACACACACACACACACACACACACACACATTCAATTCCAAAACTGGGAGCCTGAAAGTCATTTAAGAAAGATGGGCCCAGACAGTTATTGGTCATCTTAGTGCCTTACAGTCAACAAATATGTAAGTCCTCTAAAGATGCAGCACTATCGCAACAGACAAACAAAAAATCCTGTCCTCGTAGAGTGTACATTTAATATCATTTCATTTCATCTTGATTACCACTCTGTCAGGGAATATTGCCTTGCATCTTAGACATGAGGAAATTAAGCTGTAGAGATTTCCCATGATTTGTTTGAAGTGAGTCAGTTGGTGAGTCAGACATCAGAGATTCAAGCCAGGTCAGCTCATGCCAGAGCTAGAACCTCGCCACTGGTCTGGTGGCCTCCAAAGCATGCCCTCTAGAGAGGCCTGTCAGGGCTACCCCGGATGGGGACTGTGACCATGAGGAATCAAGAGGAAGGATTTTTTTTTTTTTGAGACAGAGTCTCTCTGTGTTGCCCAGGCTGGAGTGCAGTGGCGTGATCTTGGCTCACTGCAACCTCTGCCTCCTGGGTTCAAGCGATTCTCCTGCCTCAGCCTCGCCTCCCAAGTAGCTGGGTTACAGGCATGCGCCATGATGCCCTGCTAGTTTGTTTGTTTTTTTTTTTTTTGTATTTTTAGTAAAGATGGGGTTTCGCCATGTTGGCCAAGCTGGTCATGGACTCCTGACCTCAGGTGGTCTGCCCACGTCAGCCTCCCAAGATGCTGGGATTACCAGCATGAGCCACTAGTCCCGCCCAGGATTTTTTTTTTCCTTTTTCATGAGCCAAAGAAAGACCCCAGACTAGCTAAGAGAGAGGCCCAAGGATACCTGAAGGCCGGGGAGGAGGGACAACCACTTGTTGGGGTGAACCAATCGCAGAGGCTCAGCAGGACAGAGGCCAAGGCTGAGGAGGCCCCCACAGAGAAACAGAGCCTGAGGACAAGGGGTTCCTCACAACACCTGTGCTCCCCGAAAGCTCCCCTCCACACCCCTCTCTAGGTGCCCTACTCTCTGGGGTTGGTGAAGGGGTGCCAAAAATGCAAACTGATCCACAGAAAAATAGAGTCCTGTATTTTAAAAATATATCTAGGTTTGTATATGGACATTCACATCACACAGACACACAGACACACATGCAGCCACACACACACACACACACAGAGACACCAAAGAAAAGTGCTTTAGAAATACACCAAAA